>NC_000003.12:173705574-174955574 GCF_000001405.40 Homo sapiens
AAGATTATTTGAGGGACTATTCCTTTTTATGGAAAAGAGATGAGGAAAATAGAAAATCTAAGAATAACCTTAGCAGGTCGAAAGTTTTGTTTTAAATAATTTAACTTTTTTGTCATAAAAATGAATGGAATACTTATTCGGTCGTCATGGAGAAAGCCTAGCCTACCCATCCTTTTTTTTTTCTTCCTAATATGTGGAGAGCCTGATCCTTTACATTTGCTTATGCTGCTTTGAACATTTTGGTCACAATTTTTATTTTTTATATTCAAAGTATGTAGACCTTGTGACAGTCAGTTGTAGCAATAACTCTTCTTGTGGTCTTTGAAAGATCAAATACAAACCAGGAAAAAATTCTAAATAAGGTTGAGAGTATTTGAATAATTTTCCCCTTAAATTTAGTGGGGTTTGGGAAGAATTGTGTGTTATGAGTTTATGACAACTAAATAATAATTAAACTTCAAATGATTAAACTTTAAATAAGTAAAAGAGAAATAATTTTCGTGCTCCTTGCAATAAGTCAATAGTGTTAGTGTTAAATAGAGCATGAGAGTTCCTTGTAGACCTATTTATAGAGACAAAATTGTTTATGATTTGGTATATACCTTTCCATACTTTTCATGCTCATGTAAGTATATTTTATCTATTTAAATGGAGACATGCTGTATTTACTGTTCTATCATTCCCCTCTTCACTTAACAATATGGGGAGGACTTATTTACACATTTAAAGCTACCACTTTTTAGAAATAGATGTAATTTTAAAAATAATTATGCATGATTAAGATTTAGACTTTTCAAATTATTTTAGTATAAACACTATCATAACAAATATTCTTACTCATATGTCTTTGCGTACTTGTTCAATTATCTCATTAGTATGGGTTCCTAGAACTAGATTTGCTGGCTTAAAGGTGCTTAGGTAGATATTTTATACTTCATGAAAATTTTGGTTTCCACATCCCACAGTAGCATTGTCCTTAACCATCTTTTATGTTCTGTGTTTCTCTAAGTATAAAACTCTAATTGATTTTAAAATCTGCACCCTTTGGTTATTAACAGGTTGGTGGTCTTTTCAGCCATCAGACTGAGCAGGCATTACCAAGCCTATAGCATAGGGTATTTACGTACAGATATCGATCTACAGATATGAATATAGATCATATAGATATAGTTATCAATATGGTTACAGACATGGTTATACACATAGATATAGATTTGGACAAAGACACACATACGCACACACACGCCCACGCGTGCACGCACGCACACACACACATCTTTTCCCAAAAGCAAGTTGTTGTTTATGCTGTTTCATCAACCTAGAAAATTTTATTTTTCGATATTCAACTTTATTCATCCTGAGAAGCTGAGCTCTGATTTCACTCTCCCTACCAAGTCACAGCCATTTTTTATTGCTCCTGTCAGAAATCTCATATTCCTTTATAGAACTTATATGGTGCCTTATACACTCCTATAACATTTATCCTGCTCTGTCTTTAATTTGACTTAGGCGTATGTCAGCTTCAGGATTCATAGATAAGGTCCTTGGTTGCAGGAACCACGTCTGACCTATTTTTTAAATCCACAGATACTTCATGATTTGCCAATATATGTTGATTTGGTGTAGGTACTAAGCCAGTGTTGTGTACATATGGATTTCCATTGTTGTCTGCCACAAAAGGAGTAATTTTGAGAAATGCAGTGTTTTGGAAAAGAATATGAGACATGCAGTCAGAGAATTTGCCACTTAATTTCTGTGTGGCTTTAAAGATGTTCCTCATCTTCTGTGAACCTCAGTTTAATTCATCTGTGAAACTAAGGGAATAACAATATACTTCAAAAGTAGTAAGTGTATCGCAAGTAGTAATGAAGAATAAACAAGATACTGGCTTGACAGTGCTTTGCAAATGTTATATAAACATAAATATAATAATTATATATTATTACAAATAAGATTTCTGAATTCTTACCTCGGTAGAAAGTAAATAAGAAGACTGAGTCTCTGTCTCCCAACGTGTACCCAATGATATGAATCTTAAGTAATCGGATGGATGACAGGATTCCAGATGTAAATTTTGTGACCATATGCATCCATCAGAAATTATTTAGTGAAAACAGAAAGAAAAATAAGCTCACAAATGGGGTTGCACTCTCTTTCCTGTATGATAGAATGGTTAAATTAATGGCTAAATCTAATTAAGAAACTGAAAAATTATAGCTTGCCTGCTGCCAATATTAATCCCAATGGACTGTGAGATAGGGATATGGTAGCACTCAAAAATTACCTCACCATTGTTGAATATTAAGGCAATTTTGCTACCTATCCTTAGAAATAAAACAGCCCTTGCAATTAAATTTTGTAATTTGTTATTGGTTCAAAAATTAATGCCTTTTACTATCATAAATGTATCACCACAGGTGACAAAGCACAATTTTAATTAACAGTGACAGGTAAAGCTCCTTACAGTCAGATTGAATTTATATTAGCAATTATATAAAAATTATATTTTGATCATCACAGTTTTGCATTGAGGCCAAGAGTTCTAATCATATATAGTCCTGCCCCTAACGTTTTGTGGGGCATGGGCCAATATAAAAATTATAAAATAGCTACAAACTGCCAAATATGTCCTTCTACCTTGATAAATAAATATACTTTTATAATGACCCAGAAGCCCAGGTTTGAATTTGGAATCCTCTGACCCTTGGACTCCTGCATCCGACCTTGGCTGAAGAGCAGAAGGCCCCTCCCTTGTTGCCTGATCAGTTTCCTTTTCATCCCCAGCTCAGTGCTGCACCACGGGGAATCCTGTGCTCCACCTCTAGGTAGTCATACTTCTAAGCCCTGTCATCACCACCTCTCAGCCCCAAAAGTCTGTGTCTGAGCCAACCTGCTGGTCTAGGGACGCACACTAGTAATGCATTTGACTTTCAGAGGAAAAGACCAGGAGAGAGGCCTGCATAGACTTTGGACTGGACTCAGGACCATTAGGGCAAGATATCTCAGAGTTTTTGATACGTAAGGAATAGCCTAGAAAAGGTATTGTAAACTGCGGGTGAACACATCCACTGGGCCCCCTAGAATCCTTGTCCCCTGAGGAGAAATACAGGATGGCAGAGAGCTATAGTGAGGCTTTCTGACGTACAGGACCCAGGGGCCCACCTTGCCTAGATGTAGGGGTGGTAATGATCATACATTAAGCATTTGATGATATTTCAGAGATGTCAATTAAATAATGGCTGAAATATATCAGTGATACTAATAAGTTTAATACATTGATTTTCAATTATATATGCTTTAGGAAAAAGTAAAGCTGTATTTTAAACCAATGCGTTATTCGGTATATTAATTTTGTTTTAAAAGTGAGGTTCTCAAAACGTTATTTCCGTGTGTTGTGGTATTATTTCCTTCTTGACATATTTATAGGGAATTTAGTTATTGAGAAATGTAGGTTATGTATGTGAAAGACACAAAGCATACCAAATAATTTAGACACAGACGTAAGTATAGCCATGAGTGTCTGTGTTAGTCAGGAAAGTCTAGGTTTTGTTATGGCAGCAATCACACTAATTTAGTGATTTAAAAATACCGAGGTTTATTTCTCATTTGCGCTGTATCTATCATGAGTCAGCCCAGGGCTCTGTTCTGCAACATGGTCCTTCTAACACTGGAGTTCAGCCAGACCTAGCAGTCACCCTTTTGTTCTTAGAAGTTGTAGTAAAGAGGGAAAAGAGAACAATGGCAAATCTTGCATTACCCATTATGTGCTCAGTCCAGAAGAAATACTTGCTCCTCTGACCATAACTCATTGACAAAAAACAGTCAAAACGATCCTGTGTTCTAGAGGGAGATAGAACCAGAATATTTGTTGATCAAAACTAATGATTAATCTTGTACAGTATACACATGTATGTATCTAGGAAAGCATAAGAAACATCAAGAACCAGCCGGGCACAGTGGCTCACGCCTGTAATCCCAGCACTTGGGGAGGTTGAGACAGGTGGATCACTTGAGGTCAGGAGTTCGAGACCAGCCTGTCCAAAATGATGAAACCCCATCCCTACTAAAAATACAAAAAATTAGCCGGGCATGGTGGTGAGTGCCTGTAATCCCAGCTACTCGAGAGGCTGAGGCAGGAGAATCACTTGAATCTGGGAGGCGGAGGTTGCAGTGAGCCGAGATTGTACCATTGAATTACAGCCTGGGCAACGAGAGCGAAACTCTATCTCAAAAAAAAAAAAAAAAAAAAAAAATCAAGAACCATATGCGCCAAATTGTTCATACAGTTTCCTTAAGGGTGGAGTGCAGGTTACAGCTACATTTTAAAAACTTGGTGTATGCTTTTCAGTACTTTTGTAATATTTGTTAAATTAAGGCTATAAAATAGTCTTTAAAGGTATAAATACTAATGCAATACCCATATATTGAAAATTAAAACCTACTGTTCATCTAATATTAGTTGTACTTTCATATATGACAAAATGGTGATGGACATATCTTTAATTAAGTTTGAGATTCAGTAGACACAATTACTTATGGATTTTTCAAAAATTCAATGAGTGAATATTTATATATTCAGATACTGTAAGAAAATTAAAATAAGCATACCAAAAGATACAGTAGATGATATTAGACTTATATACAATGGAAAAGGACCAGTAAGGTATTCAGTTTGTCCTTCCTTAATTCTATGGGACATTTTAGATTCCGGAAATTCACTACTGCCGTGTTTAACATTTCATTTAGTATTCTATTGTAAGCTGTATTTCCACTCACATTTAAAAAAAAATCTTTACATAGATTTCCCAGGATTTATGCATTTCTTTATAACTTGACTGTCTTGCATAGTCTAATTTTTCAGCATTTAAATATCTAAAATAAGTTTTAAATGCAACGTTTCTGAATTATTTTCTATTGTTACGTACTAAAAGCAAGTCATATTGTTTAGAAGTAATTTAATTTCCTAGGACTTGGTTTATGAATACTTGGTAAGTCTATGCCTGCAACAACCACTGAATGCCCCACAGCACACGAGTGCAATGTCTTTGATAGCATGGGTTTTGTTAAATTAATGAAACCTTAATAATTAAATTTTTAATTGCATCGGGAAATTTTTCATTAACTGAGAATCTTTTAACAATAAAGTTCCTTTTTACCTGGCACACTTTGGAGGCAATGCATACTTTTGGAGGTATCTAATTCAGGCTGAGGAGTCTCAAAGCATAAGAAGACCCAGTCAAGTACCATGCGAGAGTAAACTGGGTAAGAAAGAAGGGAAACAGTCCATAAGAAAACAGATTTCTGTGGTGACCTGGGAGTGCATGCTTCTCTTAAAGGTATTCCAGTTAGAACAATTTTAAAGCATTATTCCAGTGAAACTAAATACTCTCATTGGCAAGATTTGAGTGTCTGTCTATGAGTTTGAGACTCTAGAACTCAGATTCTTGTTTATTACACATATTTATTTATTATTCAATATTAGTCTACACAGGCAAGAAGATCCATAATTGGTCATATTCTAAATTGTGCAAACAGAAAAGACATAAAATCAAGAGATGCAAAATTCCTAGGAGAAAAATAGTATTAATTTTGTGATGGGTACATAGTTTTGTTAACCTCATTTTGGTCATCTTTTGGGTTTAAACAATTCACAATAATATTTCACAGATATCTCACTTTAGATGCTTTATGGCTAAAAACCAACAGTGGGCTTGGTAATTTGTTTCTGGTGAGAGTGAGAGAAAAATCAGTGTGTAAGTTGTTTTCAGTTCAGGGAGAAGTAGGACAATAAACCAAGTCAAAACATGAAGAAACAGAAGTCACCAATGAAACACAGACTATTAAAGCTACCACCTGTTGCAAACTTGTTTCCTTAAATCCAACTAGGATTTAGGGTTTAAATTATAATATTAAATTGGTTTTAATGATGGTTTATAACAGTGTCTTTTGAAAACACTCATTTTTTGTTGTTTTGCTAATGCATAAAAGCATCAAAGCTCATTAGTTTCATATTGCTTGGCTCCAGTCAGCCAAGGGGTTAAAAGAAAAATAGAAGCTGAAAGGACTTCTTTTGCCCGGGAACCTTATCATCATTCTTATCTCTTACCTGTTCTTATGAGGTAAGATATGCACTGAGCATATTGGCTGCTTATGCTTGTTACTGGAATCGATCTACTATGGTGATAATGAGTCATCATGAAATAGCAGCCCAGTTACTGAAGGAGGTAAGGTTAGAGACCAGAACCTGACTGGCAACAAGGCTGTCTGGATGCCTCCCGACACACTCAGCAACAGCTCTTTACGCTTTCCCAGAGTACGGACAGTAGTGTTCCAAGTCTGGAGTGGCAGAGGCCAAGGCTGATCACTAAGTGGGTCACAATGAGCAATAGGAAACTGAGGGCATAGAGCAATACTTGTAATTTTACTTTTGAACCTGATGTTTGTTAAAATCTACAGAGTATTGGGTTTCTGTTTTCAGGAAGCTTTAAAAAGCAAACTAAATACAGATCAGGAAATTCATGGACATACTTCTATGACTGCTTCATAATAATGTATGGGGTATGTAATATGTGCTAACCACTGTGTTGAGTGTTTTTATTCTGCAGTTTTTTTGTTTTGCTTTTAGTTAGTTCATGTAATTATTACACTAACTCAGTGAGGTAAGTATTGTACTTGGATTTCCAGATAAGGATACCAAAACTTTGGGAAGGTAATATGCTTGCTTAAGAGCATATAGCTATGAAGTAATAGAAAGGGGATTTAAATCCATGTCTGTTTAACTTCCAACCCTAAGGTAGCCAGTCTTTGTTAGCTATGGTTAAGCTAATTATACTCAAGATTCTTAACTACTAAGCTTGTCTAGATATTTAGCTCAGTGGTTAAGATTTAGGATCTAGTCAAGGCTGCCTGGACTCAGATTCTGGCTCTGCCACTGACTACCTGTGTGCTCCCTAACAAGTTATTCTACCTTTTTGAAGCTTATGTTTCTTACTGTAAAATGAGGATAATAGTAGAATTTAATTTCTAGGGGCCTCATTAATATTAAATGAGTTAATACACGGGAAGTGCCCAGAACAAGTAGTGCCTAGGAGACATTATTCCTGTCATTATCATTTCTATTATTAGTTATTGAAAACCAACAATTCTACAAATGAAGATTAAACAAAATCCTTATATATAAGTGCAACTAGTTGTGTTTTTTTCTTGAAACTTGAGGCGTTAAAATTTGATTTTTTAAAGATAAAAAAATATACAGTCTGCTAGATAACAAATTAATTGTAAAACTTCAGAACAGGTTGGTTGGGGTACAGAAAAATATAAAAGAGCAAGAAAAAATTAATAAGGAGAAAGGTAGGCATGGAGGAAGAGACAATGAGAGATATGTGTAGTAGCAGCAAGGTCGGAAACAATGATATACTTAAAGACAAAGGGACAAATAGACATTCTAAGAGATTATATTCATCAAGCAATACAGTTAACTCATGATTTCAAATAAACTATTACTTTAAACAAGGTTGCATTTTTATAATTCTGGGCAGACATAAAAATATCCTCTCTTTGTATTTACTCAGATGGAAGCTGAAATTGTTTTCCAAAAAATGGCTCTCACGGCATCATTGGTCAACTTGACTGTGATAATGTGAAGTAAGAATAAAGAAAAGGAGTTAGGTCCCAAGTGAGCAAAAACTAAAAACAAATGAGTAGTTTTTCAGTGTTTTCTTTATGCAATGAAATATTTGTATTATTTGGGTTTACAAATTACAAAGATACATGGCTTCATAACTCGTTCTTTTGTCTTTTAAATTATCTTCATTTTTTTCTTTATCTTTGGGAGCAAAGTGCTGATGAGTTAGTGTGATGTAAGAATAGAAGAGTTAAGAG
Source organism: Homo sapiens (assembly GCF_000001405.40). Classification (NCBI taxonomy): domain Eukaryota; kingdom Metazoa; phylum Chordata; class Mammalia; order Primates; family Hominidae; genus Homo; species Homo sapiens. The sequence goes on from NC_000003.12 coordinate 173,713,456, forward strand.
AAGGAGAAGAATGGCACCAAACACTAGCTTTATGTTCTCAAATTTGGTGCTTAGGCCACTGATAATTGCTATTCTTTTGAAAATATATATGTAAATTATTTTCATTTTTTAAATTATAATAAGCCTATGTTCTGTACAGATATTTTCTAGCTTATTTCACTGTTTACTATATGATTGACTTTGGACAATTATTTAAACTTTGTATATTCTTCATTTTTAAGTTGAAATTAATGATAGTACAGGGTCCTTGTGGGAATTAAGTAGGCTAAGATATGCAAAATGTTTAGAATACAGCCTTATACCCATCTGTACTCAACAAAGGTTAATTATAAGCATAGCTGTTACATGTATGATTACATTCCTTAGCTTACTTTCTATAAAACAAATCACATATGTACCCTATATTGTAGGGTGCATTGTTATGCCTGGAAGATATTTAAAGTGATATATGGCTTTATTGCTAAAGAGTTATGCTTTTTATGGCTGGTTACATCCTAACAAAGTAGAGATAGCTCAAGGATACTAAGAAAAAGGAGAAAGATGAAGGGAAAAGTAGATTAAGAAAGAGGAAAAATAAATGTTTGAATGCAAAGTGTAATAGAAATACATTTGCAACTAGAATTTGAGGTTTAAATTATAACATTAAATTGGTTGTCATGATGGTATATAACAGCGTCTTTTGAAAACATTTATTTTTTATTGTTGTTATATTGTCACCTCAGCTGAGAAAGTCTTGGAATTGGAAATGGGCTCTGAAATACATTTGGTGTTCAAAATGTATTTCCATCATTGGTAGCTACGATTCTGGTTAACCTCTCTGCTTCTTGATTTTCTCATCTAAAGTTGGGGCCACTACTATGTCTACTGCAAAAGTCTTTGGAGGGTTAATTGGGTAATGCAGATAAAGGGCTTAGAACTGTGCTTGACACCATATTTGCCTTCCTTAAGTGTAACTATTATTATATTGGATTAATTCTTAGGCTAGGAGAAATGGTGATGAAAAAGGCACTGTTCTTGGTCTCATGCAGATCAGAAGTCAATTGAAGAAGACCTAAAGAGTGAACAGGCTCTTATGATACAGCTTGAAAATTGTCCTGAAGCTGCTAGAGGTACATACAGGTTGCTGCTAGAGCAGCAAGTTAAGGGGAACCCATTTATTTTAGAGAATGAACTATGCCTTTCTGGAGCAAGTGATCTCTAAACTGGATCCTAGGAGAATGAGATTTAACTTGAAAAGGGAGTGGGGAAGAGTACATCAAAGCTTGAGGGAACTGCAGGTGCCCAGAATGTTTTGGGAAAATTCAAGTACTCTATAGTATTACAGGAGAAAAATGTATGGGTCAGATGAAGAGACTGAAGCAACTGGTAGAAGAAAAGGAGGTAAATGAGCAGGGTAAAATGAGAAGGGTTTTGTCCTGAGTGTTAGGGAGGTTAGACTTTCAGGGATTCTTCAGAGTAATCGCAGGAGAATAAACACAAGAGCTTAGATCTTTAGAAGAGTTCTCTTCTCTGCCTTTTGATATAACATAAAGAGCAGATGGAAGGAGGCAAAGTTTCCAGGAAGGCAACCGCTTTGGAGGTACGTACTGAAATTGTTAGAAAGTGGTTGTAGCCCCTCAAAAAAGGCATGAAAGGTGGGGGAGAGAGAGAAGTGGATGGACTCTATTGTATTTTGGTGGAATCAGTAAGACAATGTTTTTTCACTTCTTAAAATGGGATTACAGGTCTTGGCTTAAATGATTATTTCATAGTCTTTTCACTTGTTTTCCTGAGTAAAGATCTGAACACTGTGCCTTGTTTTTGTCCAGTAAGAATATATGTTACTCATGTTCCATGGCCTTTAAACACTTTCATGTCCAATTCTACAATTATCATGTGGAATATTTCCACTTGAAATGCATTGTTAAGTCTGTGGCTTCAATAGTAAGAGAATAGTAAGCAACATAAATATGCCACTTCTTTTTTCCTTGTTCCATAAGTGATGGGTGATTTTCTTGGCGTGATTCTTCTCTCTTATTAAGAGCTTTAATGTTTAGGATTCTTGTTTTGCACTATTACAGAATCAAGGTAGCGAAAAGGGACTAGTGAGCTATTTCTATGTATCAGGAGGAAGGTTCTGTATCCCTTTTATTACAAACACGTTTTTCTTTTATTTTCTCTTCATTTTCTGTCCATTGAATGGTGTATAGAACTTATTATGCTAGCTGATATCACAATGCTGGGAAAATTAATTTACTTAAATAAATAGCATCAATTTTTAAGCTATTTTCCAGATAGCATCCTGTCTGGTTTCGCAGATAGTTCATTAGTTGGCAAGTATAAACAGTCACAAACTGCTTTAGTTGATAGTTTAAATTTAAAAATAAAATCCTTGTCCTGTTTATACTGTTTTTTGTGTCACAACATTATGAAAACAGGATTTCAGAGTTTTGAAAAAAAAAATTTCATTATTTAGATTTTGATTAATGTATTTCAATTCTTGCTGAACAAAAATATTTAAATAAGATAGAAGAGTTGTATTTTAAATTATTTGGATGATATTAAAAATACCTAATACATAAATATGCTTACAATAACCAGAAATATTCATAAGACAATTCTACCATTCATACAAAAAACTTTGAATTATTTCACGAAATAAAATTGAGCAAATCTGCCACTTTATTGCTTTCCTGTCAAAGCTGGCTGTATGTAAGAGCTGGTAGAGACAGTGAATTTGCACGTTCAGGAAAGCGATTTGAAGGAATTAATCTTTACAAGCATTTCTAATCTGTGAATTTAAACTATTTCTCTATTTTTGGAAAGATGGGTCACAGATTTTGTAGATATATTCATTTTACTTAGACAAATGAGTGCTTGTCAATAGGGTAGTGTTTGTGTGTGTGTATATATACACATAAAATATACCACCTATACATTGTGTTAGAATTTCAATTTGAAACACCATGTATATAATCTTTAAGAATGTAACTCTCTTAAACTTCAGTCCCTTTTATAGCAGACTAAGTGCTGCTAATATACAGGAAGCAAGAGGCAGCAGGGTCTTCACCTCAAAAAGACCTTCGGATTGCACCCCTTTGGAGCTCATCAGAGCCCATTCAGGTTTATCCTGAGGGGTCAGTTGATGCACTGCCTGATACTACTTCTTCCCGGGGGCTGAATGCACAGCTTCAGCGAGACACCCAACTCCTGCTGACTTGAGAAAAGTGTTATTTTAATGATGATTATAATGAGTTTTAGTGTTGCTGGGAGCCAAATGTATCCTTAAGTCTAAAAGAGAAAGCTGCATAATGTAGCTTAGATTATTATTTGATATGTTGGCCTTTTAATTAGGATTTTTCCCTTCTTGATATTCATTTATTGCCTATTGTTCCAAGGTGAATATTTGTCGTGTATCTTGATGAAGATATCGTAGCAACTGAAACACGTTGAATGCACTGAAGGGGTGGGGGGTCTGCCTCATACCGTTTATCCTGACACATTAATCAATGAAACTATAGCTTTGATCCTAGCACCTGAATTCATTTCTAGCATTTGATTTCCTCTCCAGCAGTCATTACAAGTTACTTTTTATTAAGTGACTCTAGCTTTAGAAGATGGCTTTTAGCCACTTTTAAGCCCATCCTTGCACTGCATTGTCATGAGAAGTTGATTAAGGAAACATCTAATAAAAGAAGCTTCAGCCAATTTGGTATGGTGATGCCATAGCAATCCTTAGAGTCAGTGGACTTTGAGAGTGAACTTTTTTGTCTTTAGTAAAAGTTGATGTGATCTGTTCTAAAATGGTTGTGTTTTATTTATTCTGTTGCCAGATTTTAATATGATTGAAAATTTTTTGAAAAAATGTTAGTTTTTATTTTTAAGCTGTTAAGATCTCTTCAGGAAGGTACATTGACTTGGTGCATGTCCATTTTTTACAAAAGAAATGTATATCAAACCAGTTAATATTGGGAGTGCATAAAAGGTTGGAAACTAAAGGTGTTGATCCAGCTTGATTGTAACAGTTCTTCAGCAATGGGAGTCAAACTGTTTTAGCCATGATCCATGGCTAATAACCTATGTTACCTGTGCTTGTAGGTTAAAAGTAGAGCAAAAATTTCACAAAATGATAACCTCAGTACAGGCAATGAATTGTATTTTCTTTTTTATTATAATTGATGACAATTTATTGAATATCTACTGTGTATGGAATATATATAATCTTAGATGCTAGCAAGATAAGAGTGAGTAATGCTTTCAATCTGTATGTGGCAATTTACAGTTATGTGAGTCCTGCAAGCATCAGGAGCCACAAAGTGGTTTAAGAAGTGGTTTATAAACTCTGGCCCTCAGGAGACAATTAAAGATATCAAAATATCTCACGTACCCCATAAATATATAAACCTACTATGTACCCCCAAAAATTAAAAATAAAATGAAAATAAAATGTGCATGATGTAGGTACAAGGGTAAGGGTGCTTATTAGTGATGTAGGTACAAGGGTAAGAGTGTTACAAATTAGAACATTTTCAAACATTTGAGAATGTTAGAACTTCACTCTACATATTTTTTAGTGTTTTTTATTGACATTAAACAACTATACATATATACGGGGCACATGTCATATTCTGATACTTAAATACTATGTGTAGCGATCAAATTAGGGTATTTCGTATATCCATCACCTCAAACGTTTGTTATTTCCTTGTGTTGGGAACATTTTGCCTCTTCTCTTCTAGCTATTTTGAAATATACAATAAATTATTGTTAACTATAATGACTCTATTGTGTTATCAAACACTAGAACTTCCTTCTTCTCTCTAACTATATGTTTGTACCCATTAACCAACCTTTCTTCATCCACTGCCCCCAACCTACCCTTCTGGTAACCATCATTCTACTCCCTACCTCCATGAAATATCAATCTTTTTAGTTCCCAAATATGAGTGAGAACATACAACATTTTTCTTTTTGTTTCTGGCTTATTTCACTTAACATAATGACCTCCAGTTCCATCCATGTTGCTGAAAAAAATGCCAGTCACAAATTAGTAAATCGATTTTATAATCCATAAATGAGTTTCAGTTTGTAAAACACTGCTCACAGCCACAAATTATAATCCTTAGAAGGTAGGTAGGCACACTATAAATTTTGAAAAGTTTCACTCAACTGTAAAAATCTATGACTGACTAAAAAATGCAACAGATTATGATTCTTAAGTGTCATATGACAAATTCTGGTTATGAATATCCTGAGTTAGGCCAATAGATGCATCATCTACTTGTGTGATCCTATTCAATATATGGCTTTATCTGATGCAAATTGTTTCAAAATAAGTGGTAACATGTAATAACTTTTTAAAGAACATTTAAAAATAATTACCAAAAATGTTTATAAACATACCAGAAACTTTCCTGTTTTTAAACAATAATGTGTAGGTTTTATGATTGGTGAACTGAATGTGAAAAATTTTCTTGAATCACTAAATAAAATAGTTTCTTATATTGCTGAGCTATAGTTGAAAGGAACTAACATAATGAAATCCACTTTTCATACCACTGCCATTTTCCTTGCCCCCAAAGTAAATCAGACTGACATGGAGGCTTTCTGAGGACAGGCACCATTCATGTTGTTCAGCCATATTGATCCATTGTTTCCTCAAAGCAAAGCACTATTCCAGGCCCAGTCCCTTGCCACTTGTTAGATATGTTATTGATTCTATGAATATAAATGAATGGATGGATGGATCAATCAGTTAGTGTTAGTAAGACTTGCTCTAGGTAACTGAAAAATGGCAAAAATTTATTTTGATCTCTGATTTTCCTCTCTTTTTGTCTTTCCTGGACTTAGTTTCCTTAGTCAGTAAATGTGCATAGTCTGATACTTATTTTCCTTAAACTCCTTTTTGTGAGTACCTTCTTTCCTGCCCTAAGCTCTAGACCTTCCTTTTGTCAATTTTTTTTAAACAAAAGTGACCGTCCCAGTATCTGGTCCTCAGACATCATTTAGTTACGCACAAACTAATCTGTGTAAAGGAATGAAGAAATCTCTTTAATGGCTTATAGTGTAACTGCTTCCAAGGGGACTTACATCACAATTAGAGCCTACTGGGAGAAGGCGTCGTGTTGCATAGTGGAATTAAGGGCACTGTTAAAAAGATTTGGGAAATCTATTGGTAGATATTTTGTCAGTGTCCCACAAAAAACCTCGTATAGTTGATGTTTGAACTTTTCTCAGAAAATACTGACACTATGCTGGAGACAGAAGTTATTAAGGAATCCTGAAAATGTCAAAGTGTTTATGTGTATAGTATACATATTTTTCTTTCTACAGTCTAGGATAGGGTGTTCTCAAACTGGCTGTAGATTTTGAGGTGTGCCTAAAAGTGCTGATTTCTGGGCCAGACACAGTGGCTCACGCCTGTAATCCCAGTACTTGGGGAGCCAGAGGTGGAAGGATTGCTTGAGGCCAGGAGTTTCAGACCAGCCTGGACAACACAGTGGGACCTCGTCTCTACAAAAATTTAAAAATTAGTCAGGCATGGTGGCACACGTCTATAGTCCCAGCTACTTTGAATGTTGAGGTGGGAGGATCACTTGAATGCAGGAGTTTAAGGCTGCAGTGAGCTATGATCATGCCACTGCATTCCAGCCTAGGCGACAGAGAGAGACTGTGTCTCTAAAAAAATAAAAAAAAGAAAAAGAATTTTTTAAAAAATGCTGATTTCTGAGTCACGATCCAGGCCTGCTAAATCAGGATGCCTGAATGTGGTAAACAAAATCTTTATTTTTAAAATAAACACTCTTGAGAGAGTCCCAAATTTTAAATATTTTGAGGCGGGGGGTGCCGGCGGGGTGAGAATTGTCTGTGATAACTTAGTTGTTTGAAACTTGTTTAAAAATAAGTTTCATTTTTCCCTTATTCAAGTGACCGGAAGGTCAGTTATTTTTTGTCCTGTATTATAAATGGTTATTGATACTGTGTGACATGAAAACAAAGTTTAACCAATAGAACCTTATAGAGAATTCTAGGCAGAGCAACTTCCAGTATATCACACATTATTTGCTTAGGAAGGACAAAATATATTAAATGAGAAGGTGGGAGTGGATATTTCAATTCTGTTTCAGCTCTAGAAACAACATATCTTTCATTATACCATACCTTATTAGTAAGTGAATTCCACTGAGGAGAAAACACAACAAAACTAAACATTTTATTTGTATTGCTATGTGAATACATTTTATATATTCCAGATCTTAACTCTCCATTTGAATCTCCCTACTAGCAGAAGTAAATGAGAGTTTAATATATTCTTTAGACCAATATTATTGGATGCCTATGAAGGCATAGTGCAAAGATCTGGGGATGAAGTAATGAAACAAGAACGTGATACCTGCACTTGCGTGTCTGCTGATAATTTTTAAGGATAAACTTATTTGTAAAATTAATTTTTAAGGTATCTACGTAGAGCTATGATGAGGAGAAGTAAAGAGTATGGAGAGGAAGACTACCGTGGTCTTGAAGAATGAATAAGAGGTAGCTGATCAGGCAAAAAGTCAGGTAGAAGCTTTTAGGCAGAAAGATCAGCACAAATGAAGGCTCTGCTTTTTATTATTTAAAGACTGCGTTTTGAGTGCTCATATGCACACAACGCTATGATCCTAGCCTGTTTTAAAAATTATTTTCCTTTTGAAAGAAGCTGCAAGCCTCAACAATGAAGCCATTATTATGTTTACAAGTTACTTAGGAGAAAGAAAAATGATAGCAATTTAACATTTTACATTATGGCTCCAGTCACCAGGTGAAAATGAGCTTGGTGTTGACTGTCCTCACCGAGGTGACCTTGTGTCCAATCAAAAAGTACATCACAAAATTTGGCATCACTTGTAATTTCTAATATGCAAAAAGATAGCCAGGCCAATCTGAATGTTTTTTGGTATATTGACTAAGGCTCATTTAAGTGTATTTTCTAAGTAAACAAGTAAACGCTATAGATTTTGTTGCACATAGCACTTCTTTGCTTTTTGCTTTCAAATTTCTCAGGTTTGGTCACCACACTCTAAGGTAAAATGTAAACATACGATCATTTATAATAATAGTAACACTAATTATAATAATGTCTTCAGAGTGCTTACTCTGTACTAGGTATTTATGAATTATCACTTTATTTTACAACAACCCATTGGGTTTTTCAAAGACAAAATACACTATACACATTTTATGTAATTATTTATGGAGATTGTTAAAGAAGGACTGGAGATAGTAGGGAGTTTTAAAAGAAAGAAATTTTGTTTATTGCTGCTTAGAAAGCTATAAAATAATTTTTACCATCTTTGCCGCATAGTACAGCCACTAGCACATGACTTATTCTTCACTATGCAGAACCATTTAATCATTTTAATGAATTGGGAAAGTGGCCCCCATTTGGCCAGGAAAAAGAACCAAGTATGCTTTGATGCTGAGAAGGAAGTTGGTGTGACATGATGGGCAACATGAATATCTGCTCGTAAAAAAAAAAAGGGACCCCAGTGGAACGGAGTTACGTATTCAATTATAAGGGTTTTCAAGTACTTCTCTATTTCATGTGTCTGCTACAAAATTGTAAGTGCCTTAGAATGGAGAAACACCTTACATGATGACACCTCTGAGGAATTAGTAAAATAACAGAATTGATTGTAAAAGAGCTCCAAAGTTGGTGTCCACACAATGGGTTGATAGCCTTTGCTGTCTCAGTAACAAGTTCTTCAGTAGCCTTGTGTAAGTCATTAACTTGTATCACATATTTTTCTTTTCTTTTCTTCTTCTTCTTTTTTTTTTTTTTTTTTTTTTAACAGAGTCTTGCTCTGTTGCTCAGGCTGGAGTGCAATGGCGTGATCTTGGCTCACTGCAACCTCTGCCTCCCAGGCTCAAGCGATTCTCCTTCTCAGTCTCCAGAGTAGCTGGGATTACAAGCACCTGCCACCACGCCCGACTAATTTTTGTATTTTTGGTAGAGACAGGGTTTCACCATGTTGGCCAGCTGGTCTCGAACTCCTCACCTCGTGATGTGCCCGCCTTGGCTTCCCAGAGTACTGGGATTACAGGTGTGAGCCACCGCAGCTGGCCAACTTTTTTTTCTTTATCTTCATAAGTGACTTCAAATCTGCACTCATCTATTAAGACATGAGAAACAATAAGGGAAGGTTCATTGTGCAGGCACTGCAGCCACATCAAATCCAGAGTCTGTCACACATAATACCTGCATGACCATGACAAAATTACTTAATCTCCCTTTTCCTCACATTTTTCATCAATGTTTAATGGCAATGATAATATTACCATCATTAATGATAATGTTAATATCATAAGGTTGTTGTGAAGATCCATTTATTCATTTACTTATTCATCAAAATTTTAAGAGCATCTACTATGTGCCAGGCACTATGATGCATTTCAATGAAAGACAGAAAGACAATAAATGAAAGAAAAATAAAAATATAAAACGTGGAAAAATTAATTTGAGATGGGCAAGAATATTTTAATAAGATAGGCAGAGAAGATCTCCTTGATAAAATGACGGTTAAACAGAGACCTGAATGAGGTAAGTGAGATAAGTCCTGAAGCTACAAGGGGACGGGGACATATCACATAGAATGAACTGCAGAGGCAAAGGCTGTGTGACACAAGGGTTCATGGCATTTTCAAAGCGATACTTGAAGGCCATTGCGGCTAGAGCTATGTGAGCAAAGGGGAGAATTTTCAGAAATAAATTTAGAAAGATGTCAAGAGGGCAAGAGAATATATGGGCCCTGTGGAACATTATAAGGATTGGCTTTTACTGCATGTTATCAAATTTAAAACATTTTTCATTGTTAGCTTCATCATTATTTTATGTGTAACTAAGGAACAAAAACTGCCCTGAAAATGATGGCACAATACTTTCTAATCACATAGATTTTTATTTTGTATTTATCTAAAAAGTTTATTTAGTCTTATTTAGACAAAAATTCTTTTATATGCTATGCTGGTCTGCCTCTGTTTCTTTTTACATACACAATAACTTCTCATTTCAATGTTGAATCATAGTGGAAACTTACTGAAGATATTAAATTCAAATGTGTAGTCCCAATAGTGCCTATAATTCAACTGAAGTGATGACCAAGTTTGTTCATATACAAGCAATGATCACTATGTTATAACTGCCACCTGGTTCACGGTGAATATAAGACACTTTTTAATTTTCTATATAAAAATAAGTGTGTATTATAGTCATCTAAATGTGGAATGTAAATGAGATAGAAAGTCAGAGAAGGGTGTTGAGAGAAGAAGTCATGATTTACTTAAAGAATTACTTTTACTGCCATGAAAAGAATAGACTGACTGAAATGCACAAAGGTGCAAGCAGAGAGCTGCCCAGGAGATTTATTTGATTAATGATGATTCAGATAGATGGTAGTGGTTTGGCTCAGAACAGTATCTTAAGAGGTGTCATGAAATGGTCAGATTCTGATGTCTTTTGAAGATAGAAATGACAAGATTATTGATAATTGGATGAAAGGGATAGGAGAAAGAAGTCAGAATAACTCTCAAGTTTTTAGCTTGAGATTGGGAAGACTGCGCACAGATGGGTAGGGATCCATGGGGGTCAGGAGTCTGCTATTGGACATGATACATGTGAACTTCACTATTCGACATTCAAGTGGAAATGTGGAGTAGGTGACTAGAAAATGAGTCTAAAGTTCACAGAAGTAGAATCTGGAGATAAAACTTTAACTTAAAATAACTCCTTCCCTGTATAGATGCTGTTTAATATTATGAAACAGGATGACATCACCTACAATTGTGTTTCTCCATTTTTCACTACTATTCACACTTTTTTTGAGACGGAGTCTCGCTCTGTTGCCCAGACTGGAGTACAGTGGCGCAATCTTAGCTCACTGCAACCACCGCCTCCTGGGTTCAAGTGATTCTCCTGCCTCAGCCTCCTGAGTAGCTGAGATTACAGGCATGCACCACCATGCCCAGCTAATTTCCATATTTGTAGTAGAGACGAGGTTTCACCATGTTACGCAGGCTGGTCTGGAACTCCTGACCATAGGTGATCTGCCCACCTCAGCGTCCAAAAGCGCTGGGATTCAGGCATGAGCCACCATGCCCGGCTACTATTTGCACTTAAAATAACTAGTTCAACCATTGTGGAAGACAGTGTGGTGATTCCTCAAGGATCTAGAGCTAGAAATACCATTTGACCCAGCCATCCCATTATTGGGCATATACCCAAAGGATTATAAATCATGCTACTATAAAGACACATGCACACATATGTTTATTGCGGCACTATTCATAACAGCAAAGACTTGGAACCAACCCAAATGTCCATCAATGATAGACTGGATTAAGAAAATGTGGCACATATACACCATGGAATACTATGCAGCCATAAAAATGCATGAGTTCATGTCCTTTGTAGGGACATGGACGAAGCTGAAACCATCATTCTCAGCAAACTATCGCAAGGACAGAAAACCAAACACTGCATGTTCTCACTCATAGGTGGGAATTGAACAATGAGAACACTTGGAAACAGGAAGGGGAACATCACATCCAGGGGCCTATTGTGGGGTGGGGGAGGGATAGCATTAGGAGATATACCTAATGAATGTAAATGACCAGTTAATGGGTGCAGCACACCAACACGGCACATGGATACATATGTAACAAACCTGTACATTGTGCACATGTACCCTAGAACTTAAAGTATAATAATAAAAAAAGAAAAAAATAATATTTTATATCACCATATCACTAGGTAGCATACAAACATACACTGGAAAAAATATGTATTATTTAATGTAACTTTATTTTATAGGTATGATACATTCTGTTTTTCTTGTCTCATCTTTTCTCTGTTCAAAAGCCAAAAGTTACTACATGTTCCTAAGATTAAAAAACACTAAACCAGAATGGGAATGAGAATAGGGAAGAGATTAGTTCCAAGAACTGAGCCCTGCTTCATGCAGTATGTCCAAAGATCTGCAGCAATGCCTAGCACATATTAAATGCTCAACAAATGTTAGTTTGTATTATTAAAGGGGGATCCCTTCCCCCCAAAATATTACTGATTTGTTTTTATCAACTTCATAGTTAGAGGGCTCACACTACAGCATACAGAAAAAGAAACAGGTATTGCATTAGTTTTCTATGCTGTATAGCTAATCACTACAAGCGTGGCTTCTTAAAACCACATACATTTATTATGTCAGTTTCTGTGAGTCAGAGCTCTGGGTATAGTTTAGCTGGGTTCTCTTTCTCAGGATTCCACCAGATGTTGGCAAGGGCTGCAGACTCATCAGAGGCTTGACGGGGGAAAGATCCACTTCAAACTGCCTCAGGTTGTTGGCAGCATTCATCTCCTTATAGTTTTAGAGTTGAGTTCTCCACTGTCTTACTGGCTGTTGGCTGGAAGTCACTCTTACCTCCTAGATGCTGCCGCTGTTCCTTGCCATGTGACCCTCTCTATAGGCAGTTCAGTGCATGCTCACCTACTTCTTCAAGGACAGCAGAAGAATCTCTTAAGCTCCAGTATGCCCAGCTGGAGTCTTATGTAACATAAATTATAATAGGGATGACAACCCACCACCTTTGTCATAGAACATAACTTAATCAAGGGAGTAAAGTCGCCTTTTCCTTACTCTGTTGGAAGTGAGTCATTTGTTATGCCCCTACTCAGAAGGAAAGGATTCCATAAGGACCTTACTTACTGGGGGTCATCTTAGGGCATGTTCTTCTGCTTGTCTCCTTCTTATCCAAGGTATTCTTCCTGGAACTTGTAGGAAGGAGTAAAATTTTGGTCTTCATCTTGGTTATGAAATAAGAAATCATAGAACAGGGGTAAGAAGACATGAGCACTATTCTTAATACTTTCTGTTTTATCATGGGAATACGGCAAGGTAATTAATCTATCATTACCTCAGTTTTCCCATCTTTAAAATGGCTGTACCAGTATCTTTCCATCATCTTTTCTCACAGGATTCTCAAGAAAATGGTATAAAATATTTTATGAAAAATCAAATTTTGAGCTATAAAGTGTTATAAAACATGACAATACCCTTTATTATTATTATGCTCTGGTTCTCCAACTTTTCACCAGCTGTCTAGAAGGACAAAGCAATGTTATAAATGGCTTGTGGCCTGTCACCTTTCTCTAAACCTTGTCAACAGCAAGCTTTCAAATATTTATTGAAGGAATAACACATGTTTTTCTTCATTTGGTTTATATCTACTTTTGTTCATCAAGGGAGCCATAAATAGTTTTACCTTTCTTTATAAAGTGTGTTTGATTTTTAAAACAGACAACAAGTGTTGTACAGTTTGTATTAAAGGACTACTTTATTGCTTTTTTATTACCTGAAAAATGCAACAAAAGTTTAAAATTAATAACAGTCAGTAGTAACAGGGAGTAGAGATAATAAAAGTTATGTTCTTTGCCTCAGAAGCAACTTGCGATTCACTTTCCATTTCCTTACCAAAAAAAAAAAAAGAAGAAGAAGAAGAAGAAAAAATAATCAAGAACTTCTCTGGTGTTTGTTTAATCAAAGCAGGAACAGAAAAGGAGAGAGAAAGAAAGAAAAAGAAAAACTTTTAAACATAAGGCAGCGTCTATCAATTGAGAAGAGAGTCAGGGATTTGCTTGATTTGGATAGTCCCTCTATCAACAGAAGTTTCATAGCCACTGTTGGGAGGAAAAAGCAACAGTGAAACATCAGAGGGGGAAACAGATTTACTGGGGCATAGCAAATCCTAGTAGGGTTTAAGTATTTCATGGGATCAGTTAATTAGTAAGTGGCAAGCTTAAATGACCGTTCCCAGAAATCTTACCTAACATACAGAGCTGACTTCCCAGGAGAGAAACATATTTTCCTTTGGAGACCAATATCTAGTTTTCAATTATTAAAAAGTAGAAAAATATTTATAAAGCACATCTTTCAATGCTACTCTTGTAAAATAATAGATTCTTGCAAATATCTTTCATTATGCCTGCCACTGACGTGCTAGAGTTGTATGCCCTTCTAGCACCTTAAACTATCTCCTGGAAATAATACTGACACAAAACCTAGACTTGGCTCTCACCATTTGCTGGGCATTTCCAAATGAACATTCTTTTGGTTGGAATTCACTCTAGCAAAAGCCAATTTTTAACCTTTCAGCTCTTGCCCAACCCACACACCTTGCAAGGGCTGTAGGGTCCCAGTCCACAAGTATATATATATACAAATTCTTTATCCTTTATTCATGGAAGGAAACATTCTGGCTCCTTTACAAATCCTTTATAGCTCAGAATTTCGGTTTAAAGTGACTTTTGAAATGAAGGCAGAATTATTCTCTGTATTTTTTGATGCTGCTAAGAAGGAATTTCCTCTTGCAATCAAAAAGAAGTACAGGAAGGCAATGGAGACAATAAACCAGGATTACTGGAGATGGTGTTTCCCACTGAGTTGCAGAAGGAAGTATTTGGGGGTAAGTGAATGGATCAGATCATAAAAGTCTATGCAGCTGATCTGAAGAACGTAGATTCTACTCTAAATAAATGGTGAATCATTGATGGCTTGGGGAATATGAACTGATATGAAAAAAATATAGGGAATTAATCTCTCAGCAGTTTGCCCTATGGTGGGAAAGTCTAGAGGCAAGGGTTAGTTTGAAGGTGGTTATACTCATGTTAGTGTGAGGCACTAAGGTTGGGTAGAATTCGAAGTGAGAGAGAAGAATGGATGTGAGAGATGTGTAGTAGAGAAAAATGACTAGACTTAGTGACAAGATGTAAGTGACAAATGAATAAGACGTGGCAAGACTATGAAAGTCCTAAGAAACATAAAAACAAACTGGTAGAAGATATCTTACAGGCAAATTTTGGCATATGGAAAAATAATGTGTTCACACTACCAGTCTAGGTGGACTTTGCATGTATGTATGGGAGGACAATATATAACAGAGGTGACTACCTCCTTTATACTCCATTGTGTTCTGACCTTTCCCTTGTTTTGGTTAAAGCCACGTGAGCTTTAGAATGGGCTAAATATCTATAGTGGGTTGAATAGTGCCCCCCCTCCAACAATTCATGTCAACCCCACACCTCAAAATGTGACCTTATTTGAAAATTGGGTCTTTTAAGATGTACTTAGTTCAGATGAGTCATGCTTGATTAGAGTGGGCCCTAAATCCAAAGACTGGTATCTTTGTAAGAGTAGAGGTGAACCAGATGGATGCATACGTATAGGGAAGAACAACATGTGAAAAACAGAAGCAGACATTTAAATGAGGCAGCTATAAGTCAAGCAATGCTAAGGATTGCTGGAAGCCCCCAGAAGCTAGGAAGACGCAAAGAAGGATTTTTTTCCCTAGAGTCTTCAGAGGGAGTATGGCCCTGCTGGCAGGTTGATTTCAGACTTCAAGCATCCAGAACTGTGAGAGGATAAATTTCTCTCATTTTAAGCCACCGAGTTTGTGGTAATTTGTTCCTGTAGCCCTAGGAAATTAATAACATATCTGAACTACAGCAAATAATAAACATTGAACCATCAGTATGTGCTAGACATTGTACTGAATACTTTATTCAGATTACCTGATGGAATCTTATTTTGCTGAGATGATTGTCATATACTTTTAAAATGAAAACACTAAGACTTTGAGGGGTTTTATAAACCCAGGTCATACTGGTAGTAATTTTTGAAACCAGGATTCTTAAAATATCAGTTGGACTTAAGAGCCACCAAGCAAGTTATCTCTCAGTCATTCCATCCACTGCTGAGCAATTCCCAGAAAATGTATTTTCAGCTTTAAAATTCTCGAAAAACAAAACAAAACACTTTTTGTTGAGTTCAGATTCATCAATGGATCAAGGATTCCTAACCCAGATAATACTTCTTGTTCCTATGTTTAGACTCCTTGGTCTTCTGTGAGCCTCTGAGTCTTTGGGCATTACAATAACTTCATTTTGTTTCCATCTATCCTAATTCTTTAGGCTTTGGTATCTAAAGATTTTTGTAATCTCTAAAATTATTTTACCCAGGGACATAAGTTGCGTGGATGGTTTAAAATACACACACTTACACAGATTTGAAGTCTTGGTGAAGCAATATGCAAAATTGTAAGCTTTTCTAATGATTCTTCTTAATTTATTATAATGCCTTTGATGGAATGCAAATCTGCAACGTGGAATTTCTGCTGCTTGTAAAAGAATAACATTGCTAAGTTTAATTTTTACGGAGAAATATTGACAGCATTGATAAAAGCTTAAAAATAGCTTTATTGTTATAGTTGTATATATTAAAGGTGAATGCATTGTCAAATGTCCAGGTCACTCACAATATAAATGTGTATGTGGTGGGACCCATACATTGGTGGTTCTGTAATCCAATCATAGAAAATTTTTACTGATTACCAATTTCCATATTCTGTCAAATGCTTCAAAAATTCCATTTTACATTTGCATATCTATTTGTTTCAGATATTTCACCTATGGGACTTAAAGTTTCTGAATAGGTCAGTGAGGCAGAATTTCCTCTTTTTGCCCTCTATCTCTGACTTGTGTTTGGTGCTAGAAAAATGCATTAATTCGAAATACAGAAAAAAAAACTATTTATTGAGTGCCTACTATTGACCAGGTATTATTTTAGATATTGAAAATATAACATTGGAAGGAGTTCAGTGCATATATGCTTATATATTATTATATATCAATATACATGATTATATATAAATTTATCAATTATATTGGAAATACCAGGATACAAGAGAAAGAGTAAAACAAAATTGTAGTAGGAAATATCTTGTAGATAATATCAGTGATTTCAGATCTAAACTTTCATGCCTCATGTTTTGAGGTCTAACACACTACTGCCCCACCGCTCCCCCCCCCCCGCAAAAATAGAATGAAAGCTACAAATTTGCACCACATATGTAATTTTAAAATTTTTTAGTAGCCACACTAAAAGAAAAGAAATAGGTAAAATAGGTAAATGGCCATATTTTATTTCCAAAATATTATCATTTCAACAAGCGATCATTGTGAAAATGAGATTTTTACACCTTTTTCATTCTAAGCATTGAAATTTCAGTGGTATTTTACACTCATTTCAGACTAACCACATTTCAGGTTGCTCAATAGCTGCTTCAAGTAGCTAGTGGTCACTGTACTGGACAGCACTTATCTAATGCCTTGATTGTTTGCCTTGTCTTTTCCATATGAAATGAGAGTATTAAGTAATTCATATCTTTTTTTCCTCACACGCTGCAAATAAAAAAATGAGGAAATAGGCAAATTGTTTTCTCAACTATTCCAATATAAAAACAAAATATAGTTATTTATTAAAAGGTCTTTCTTTTAAATAGAACAAAATGTTTAAAGCTTACTTACGGAACATCAGATTTGAGCACCTGTAGAAGATAATAAAATCTCTGATATATTCTCTTTGAAAATAATTGAGGAAATAATATTTTCTAACTTCAGAATTTTAAAGAGAAAGCAAACGTATCAATCTGGGCAAGGCTTCAAAGAGGCCATGATATGTGCCTTGAGAAATCCCTTGGCCATCACCAAGGGGCTATTCTGTCTCTTGGAGCGGCTCTGCAGAATAATTTTACCGTATAATCTGTGACTGTTTTCATTCCGATATCATTCACATAGAGTCTTAGATGACAATTTCTCTTTTTCTAGGGAAAAATTTAGTACTATTTTATGCATAATGTAAGTTGTGTTATTACCAGATTTTTAAAGGAAATAGGTTTTTGAAACCCTTAGTTTCATTTTATTCTTGAGTTCTGATAAGTTGTATACATTTGTTAATTAAACATGACCATGAAACATAGCAATAAAATCTGAAGAATGGAAAGAAAGATGGAGTTACTTTATAATTTTGTTTCTAATATTTTGTAAAATCATTTAAATATAAGATGGACTGTATTCAATTTCAAGTTTTTATTTTGGAAATGCACAAATCGTATAAAATATTAGGACTTTGGATCCAGGTCCCACTAATATTGTGAGTTTCCTCATTATGAAATGGGAAATACTACCTTTTCTGCAGAACTATTGAGAGGATGAGATGAAATAAATATGTGATAAATAGTATTGTGTAGCTATTACAGCAGGCTCTCAGTAAAGGTTAGTTATCCTTTCTTCTCTACCACAATTACTGCTTCCTTTTGTTTTAAAAAATTCAGGTTCCTTCTTCAATCTGAAAAACAGCATGAGAAACATTTTTCATTATTGCATAAGGAAACCAAAAAAAGAAAAATACAAATTCTGTTTAAAAAATAATTCACCTAGAACAATATTCTGTACCTATAATTTACATAGAAATATAAATATATAAAGGAGATGTGCAAAATGAGATGGATTTAGGTTCTTGTATTATGACTGAGTTCAGGAAGTGGTCAAAAAATTAAAAAGACATTTTTTGTAAAGAACAATACTGCTCTTTGCTAACAGAGTAATGAAAAGATAAACTCACTGAGGAATAAAATCATAATCATTATGGTGTTAAAATAGATGATGTATATTTTTATTAAGAAAAGTACAAACTAAATTGTTGTTTACAATTATTTTCAAACATACCTCTAATATACCAGTGGTTAGGATAGTATTTTAAGGTAGTTAAGATAAAATATTATCTCTCATTTAAATTGCTTAAACCCCCTTCACTAGGACCTTAAATGCCCCAGTAGGACATCTTAGCATAACTAGATGTTTTCCATCTTTTAATTACTATGACTAATTTTTTACAGCTGAGTTACAAAACCTTGAAAATAATGAATATGGTGACACATTCTTAATTATAATGGTGCAAACAGCACCACTCTGATACAGTGTGAGGCTTACATTGAAAAGGAATTTCCCTGGAATTGAAGCTCCTCTGATTGCTTTCCACATCACGTTTTAAACAAACACTGTGATGCTTTAGCCATGACTTGGTTGCCTAGGATACACAGTTAATGTAGCCCTAAGATGCTGCTACTAGTTAGGCTTTGAGGCCGTGTCTGTAAGTGCTGCACATAGCTGCTTTTAATACATTAGAAACATTTATGTAACAGGGACACTTTGCGGCTGGGTTCGGGGTGGGTAGTTGCAGTTTCATTCATGAGATAACCAGCTGTATATTTCAGTAGTTACAGTGAAAATAGTTATTTTTATTTTAGTTTAGGTTAGTTTTTCTGTGAAAGAGGCAAAAAGTGACGGTTTTTTAAACAAATGCAAAATTGATTCAGTGACCTAATTCTAAGACACATTCTCAAAGAATTAAATTTTCATTGTTGAAGAACTGGAAAAGGTAACTAGCTAAATTACAGTGAGTCATTTCTACAAGCCTCTTCATTTGATAGTGACTTTTATTAGTAGATGTTTATTTAGTCTGTGTGGTAAAACATATCAGTTTATTTTTATTAAGATATTTGAAAGTTTCATGTATTATAAAATTATTATGATAATAAAAATAAACATTAGCAAGATAATGTTTGTAACAGTAGTTAATGAGAGTATTGGTGATGAACCACAGAAATATATACAAATATGGTATGTACAGATTATACCTTTTATATCAAAAATTATCTTTCAATTTTTATAACAGTACATTTTTAATGTTTTTGGTTTAAATACGAGATGGAAATATAAAGCTGGTTATACATTTTAGCAAAACAACTTAAATCTGGTTTTAAAAATCAGTAGTCTTCTTGCTTCATTCCTATGAAAACTTGAATTGTCTTCTTGGCTGATTGGAGTTGTTGAGTGAGTGGGAAGATCCAATTTGAACCAGCAGGTGGTGCTTGAGTTATAAATGCATTTAGAATAGATATTTTTTTGAAAATCTTGCAAAACTTTCAGGAATGGTTGTTCTTATTTTCTATTTTATAGGGGTAATTACATTTTAGAAGGAAAATCTCATTTAGAGCTTCTGAATTATCACTGGAATTGATAAGCTTAATGCCTTTTCATTCCTTCTCTCTTTCCCTTTCCCTTTTCTCTAATCATTGTTCCCTTTTCTGCAGTAGCTTTCAGCAGCTGTACTGTCAGGGAGGAAGGATACACTCTTTTCTCCACAACAGAGGGCCTGGGTGGTGAAAGTGGAAGATACTGTTCCAGGAGAGCTTCAGGCATATTGCCTGCAAGTGTACCACTTTTTCTCCTGGGTAAGATTCAAGGAGGTTCCTAACTTCACCTTGAAATCTTGGTGCATGTTTATGACACCACTTTTCAAGTTCACTCTTCTGTATATAAACCATTTTTGCTGTGTATTAGAATGCAGCTCTCTTAATAGTGACTAATTTATTCAGTCTTCAAAAATGCATATGGTCCCAAAGGTAATAAAATTATGGCCTTTGACATTTGTCACGGGGGAGGAACACTGTTTGTGTAAAAATTCCTGCAAAAAAGCATTGTCCATACCACCAAATTCAACAAGAAAATAAAAACATTGTTTGATGGATAGTGCATTTTCAGTTTAGATGTACTAAATCTAGTGAATGAGCATAAAACCTAAATGACTAGGTTTTATGTCATTTGACATATCAAATGACAAAAGATATAATATTACCGGTTATCTAGTGTTACTTCTTTCTGTGAGCACATCAAGTAGACTTTGCGGTTATATTTTAATTATTAAATACTAAAGCTAATGAAAGTCCTGGATGTCTGCTATTCCTGCAGAAATAATCAGAAAGCATCTTATAATTACATTTTTTCATTTTAGGAAATTCCTTTATTGGTTTTGTTAATAACATTTGGTTTTATAATATTGATGGCTTTAGAATTATGATCATGTTAAGGCCTTAGAGCCTAATTTATTTGGCTGATCACATTTCTGACATTTTAGTTCAAGATAATAAACACTGTATATTCCTAAAGTGACATGCATGTTGTGTTTTCAGTCTATTGAGAATTATATCAGATAATTAGATTCTGTGGATAATTCTATTTTTTTTTTTTTTTTTTTTTTTTTTTTTTTTAGAAACAGGGTTTCACCCTGTGGCCCAGGCTGAAGTGCAGTGGCTCAATCATAGCTCATTGTAGCCTCAAACCCCTGGGCTCAAGTCGTTCTCCTGCCTCAGTCTCTCAAGTGGCTGGGACTACAGGAGTGTGCCACCACAGCCACCTAATTTTTTATTTTTTATTTTTTGTAGAGATGAGGTTTCACTATGTTGTCTAGGCTAGTCTTGAACTCCTGGCCTCAAGCAAATCCTCCTGCTTCTGCCTTCCAAAGTGCTAGGATTATGGGCATGAGTCACTGCACCTGGCCTTATTAATTCACTAGTAACAAGCAATCTGAATAAATCACATTTTTCCCCTTAAGAAACTCTTTTTCTTCTATTTTTCCTCAGTAGGAATTTTCCCTGACAAAGTTAATATCTTCAACAAATTATTGCAATTGCTTTTTTCTGAACTCTGACTCAAAGTGATCAGGACAATTGGTATTAGCAACGGCAGAATAAAGAGCATGGAATAATGGATCTTTTCTTAGATTATGTACAGGTCTCCATCTTTATGACTAATGTGGCACAACATTCTTCTCTGCAAAGGTTTTTCTTTTTCCTTTAAGAATTAAACTTAATGCAGTATTTGTCAGTTATAAATCCAGCTATGCAAATAAGGGTCCACTAGGACTCTGAAGAAGGGAATGAACTTCAGTTGCCCTTATGAGCTCTATTAATTTGCATGTCCATAGTAATATTCCAGTTTCCAGGTTCCTGTAACTATGTATGGGCATAAGATACAAAAAGTAAGATGATTCACTCAAATTCCAACTACTGTTTTAAAAAGTAACAACCAAAATGCAAAGTTCTAGCAATATTTAGTCCAAAAAGTGAATATTTTGTTGTTTTAATACGTGGGAGTTTATTTTCATTCCTTTTCTCCCTTGCACATGGAACTACTGAAACACTTTTATTTTTTCCCAGTACATCTTTGGCCACTTGAATTTATAGAGAAGAGAAGAGCAATGTAAAATACTAATGAAGCAATTCTTTCTCACATTTCAGACTGCTGCAAATCAAACTCAAAGGATTAGGAAAAAGACCCTTCTTACAAGTTTATAAGACTAAAATTTCTTACTGGTTCATGAAATACATTTAACTTCTCATTCTTCTGCAACATAGAAAGCTGTTGTCAGCTGGCTGATTTCTTGCATACCAGGCCAACTCTTCTGTCTCAAATCTGCATAGAGATAAGTTTGGAGAGGAGCAGAGTCCCTTTGGGGATGAAATTTGCTTTTGCTATTTTTGTTATTCCTTTTTCACAGGAGGCTGTGTAATAATTTTCTGCCTAGGGTCTTGAAATAACATTAAAGATTGACAATTTGGTTAGACTTGTCACTCTTAGGGCCAAAGTTGACTCATATTGCACAAGGGACTGGTGACATTCACATAATTTTTTTAAAATACCTTTTGCATATAAATATTATTTTTCCAATTACAGGTGGCATTTTGAAATGCTTTTTTGTGTTGTGAGTCATTCAAACATGTTATAAAAATATATATTTTATCTTTGTATCTTCATGCTTTCCTTGAGGGTGATTTTGGTTTTTGGAGTAGCTCTTAGAAACCTCTTTCTCAGGCAGACACCAAGCAGATGGAAGCACAGAAAAGTTGGAAGACTTCATGTTTGGGAGGTAGGCACAGACTGAAGGAAGTGGATGCCCTAGGTTAGAGACAAGATAACAGCATTGTGAGAATAGAGTAAAAATGAATTCAGCTTGATTCGTTTCTAGCTTTATGTTGGCTACTTAATACAGTATATAGAAGTGAGAATGCTTTCTACCTACCTTCTTTTCTTTCTCCTTTCTTCCTTTCTCCACTTCTTACTCACAGAAGTGAAATTGCTGATTGATTTCTGTGCGTAAGAAAGGAGGAAATTTTTCCCGTCCCCCACTCTCCTTCCACCAGTCCTACAAATGTGATCACTAAGTTTAGGAAAAACATATGCACAGTTTGTGTGTAATGTTCTGGGAAGCATGAAGTCCAGGGGAATATGCTTTACAGATGGCTATGCAGAACCAATATCAAAAAAAATGGAGGGGAAATATAAACATAGAAGGGGACCAGAACATAGTTGTAAGATGAGATTCAGCCTTCTGACTTGTTTTTTATTTCTGAACAAAAATTGTTCCTTTGTGACTTCTGATGAAGTCCTCCATCTTTTTAGAAGGGAGGCTTGGAGAGGGTTGCAGTATGAGAAAAGAGCCATTGCAGATAAAAAAAAAATAATTTTGTCTTGGAAATTCAAGTACCTACAAAATATTAAAGGTGCTAGTAAACCATTAAAGTGTAAAATAACCTTAAAATCTAAACCCAATTCACTTACAATATGATTATGACTTCAAAGTAGAAATATATATTTATATTTTTCATATACCTACCCACTAATGTTGGCCAAAATTGATCATTATTGATAAATTAAAACTATATACATTTGCATAATACCTCTGTTTAATTATGAGCAATATTGGTGCAGATAGTTTCAAAATGTAGCTGAGATTTTAATGGTGGCAGTAAATCAGAGATGTTCTACTTATTATTTCATTTTACCTACTCTAAAATGGCTGATAATTTTTACAAAGAATCTTTCTAATTATAGTAATATTACTAAACAGAACCCATTTTATTTAGTAGATCACATGATAAATGCAAAAGCAAAAATCCACTGGTAGTTTATTTGTAATTTAGGTCTTAACTACCTAGAGAAATAGAGTGAACATGTGTCACTTGAGTTTCCACACTAGACAACGAAAGACAACTTCCTGTATGATTGCTAATATAAAGCCTCCTCACTAAGAAAAAAAAAAAAGTTTTATTGAGATTTAATTTGCTTACCAGACAATCCACCTATTTAAGGTGTATGATTCAGTGGTTTTAACTATATTCACAGAGTTGTGCAACCATCACCACAATACATTTTGAAACCATCACCACAATTTTCATTACTCCTAAATGAAACCCCATACCTATAAGCAGTCACTACCCATTTCCTCTCAACCCCTCACCTCTAGACAACCATTAATCTGTGTCTCTATAGATTGCCTCTTCAAGACTTTTCTTGTAAACAGAATCATATGATATGCAACCTTTTGGCTTATTGTGTTAGTGTAATGTTTTTAAGATTAACTCACATCATAGCATGTATCAGTACATAATTCCTTTTTATTGCACAATAATATTACATTGTAGGGATATACTACATTGTATTTATCAGTGTCAGCTGATGGACTTTGAGTTTTTTCTACTTTTTGGTTAGTATAACTCATGCTCCTACGAACATTCATGTACAAGAATTTGCATGGACATGTTTTTATTTCTCTCAGATTGTCTACTTAGAAGTAAAAGTGCTGCACCATATGATAACCCAATATTTAACACTTTGAGGTACCAACAGACTATTTTCCAAAGTGGATGCATCATTTTACATTCTCACCAGCAGTGTATGAGGATTCCAACTTCTCTGCATCCTCACCAACACTTGCTTATCTGTCTGTTTTATTATGGGCACTTAATGAATGTGAAATCATATCTCATTGGGTTTTGATTTGTATTTCCCTGAAGGCTAATGATGTTGAGAATCTTTTGTGTGCTTGTTGGCCATTTCTATATCTTCTTTGGAGCAAAGCCTATTTGGATTCTTTGCCCATTTAAAATTTTTTTTTAAATTTTTATTATTGAATTGTAAGAAAACTTTATGTATTCTAGACACAAGTCTTTTATGAGATACATGATTTGCAAATATTTTCTTTCATTTTATGTGTAGTCTTTTCATTTTCTTTGTTGTAATCATTGTAATACAAAATTTTTAAATTTTTATGAAGTCCAGTTTATCATTTTTTTCTTGTTATTTGTGCTTTTGGTGTCATGTTTAAAAATGCGTTGTCTAGACCAAGGTTGTGAAATTTTACTATGTTTTCTTCTAAGAATTTTATATGTTTTGTCTTCTCATTTAGGTTCATAATCTATTTGGAGTTAATTTTGTGCATGGTGTGAGGAAGGAGTCCAAATTCATTTTTTTACATGTTGATATCCAGTTGACTCAGGACCATTTGTTAAACAACTATTCTTTCCCCAATGCATTTTCTTGGAACCCTTGACAAAAATCATTTACTATAAATGTGAAAAGGTATTTCTAGTTTCTTGATTCTATTCCATTGATTTATATGTCTACCCTTCTTCCAATACCACACAATCATGATTACTGTAACTTTGGGGTAAGTTTTGAAATGGGAAATTGTAATTCCTCCAACTCTGTTTATTTTTGAGATCGTTTTGGCAATTTTGGGTCCCTTGAATGTCCATATGAATTTTAGGATCAGATTGTCAATTTATGCAAAGAGAGTATCTGGAATTTTGATTAAAATGTGTTGAATCTGTAGATCAATTTGGAGAGTACTGCCATCTTAACATTCAACTGCAAGAGGCAAAAACATTTGATATTAGAACATGGAAAACTATAATTTGAGGTAGCTTAAGATAAGTGACATAAAAGATGTACAGTGAAACCCCCTTGCAGATTAAAAGGAGAAGGTTTTATCCATGGAGAAAGAAAAAGACTATTCATGGAGGAGGCTGTTCAAGAAGTATGACATAAACCTTGAGTTGTCTAGGATTTCATCAGGCTGTATTGGAAGAGAGGGGCATTGGTGAGAATATTCAAGATGGCACAAACAAAAGCTCCCCAAGCAGGAACTCATGAGTCGTACTCATGGAACATCAAACAGTTCAGTTTAGCTAGAGAATGGGACGTGTGAAGGAAAGTGGTCAAATATTCCGCTCGAATAAAGGAGACCACATTGTGGGGGCCAGAAAAGCCAGCTTAAGGGGTTTAGCATTTACTTGGTAGGCATTGCAGAACCTCCACAATATTTTGATTGAGAATATACTGTAATACTAGCTTGTAAAATCTGTTAGATGAAAAGCACATGTATCTGTAAATATTTTAACCCGAACAAAAGGCTACCAATGAAAGGTCCAGGCTGTGACAACTAACCTAGTAGATCCTCTTCTGGAAAACAAAAGGAAACATTGCTTATCTTGTCAACGGAAGGGGTTTGCTTATATTAATTCAGGATTTAATAGCAAGCTAAGCCATAGGGAGCTGCTGTCATAATGAAAAACTCCACTAGAGTCCTCCTGGAAAAGGTACTTCTGATGTAAAAGACCTCAGGGAAAGGTTTCTAGAGAATCCATAATTAAATGTCACATCATGGCAAGGGCAGAGGAAAAAAAATGACTCTATTTGGAAAATGGCAAAATATAAATGTCTGGTCAAAATATTTTCGTGCCTTATTTAAAATAAGGCTGACGTTCTTCCTAGTACTCTAGAGTTTCAGTTAACCATCCTCAGTAAATAAACCATTTGTTAACAAAACAAAGGTTGTAAATGCGCTTCTACTTTGCATGGCAAGATAATGCCCATGGAAATTCCTAATTTCTGGGTGGAATTCTTTCATTCTGAGTTGATGGACTGGAAAAAGCTTAACAGATTGCTGCACTACTGATTCATTTCCTAACAGACAGTTTAAACTATATTGGGGATGAGATCATTGTAACTGTTTTCCCATTTTCCCTAATTTAGGTTATTTATTTAAAAAAGAAAGAGTATAGGGGAGAGGAAACAAACCTTAGTTTAAATTTTGGTTGTGTAGCCTCAGAAGAGACTATTAAGATTCAAAAATAGATAATCCTTCCAGATGGGTCCAACTCATTGCAATAAGAACATAAAACATAAAGGACAGTAAATTAGCACACAGTACTTATCCCTGGAGTCTGCCATATGAGCTAACCAATGGAAATTACTGGTATATATGGAACGAGACAGTTAGTTAGAAGGAACTCAGTGATTTTGTGCTATATTAAGTCAAATCATACATTAGGGATAATAGAAAAATTATGAATTCTCTGTTATTTAACACTGGATTCCTACATTCATCACCTGTTTAAGCAAATTAAACAGTAAAAGAATGGACCATATTTTGCACATAGCACATTGTAGGATAGTATTTTGCACAGAAAAAATAAGGCTCTTTTGATCAAGTCCAGACCTGCCAATATAAAACCCATATCTTGGCCAAAGTTCTCCCTCATGCCCTCCCATACCCCTGTTCCAAAGAAGTACTGATTAGAAAGAGAAGAAAATAATTATAGACAAACAGAAAGAAAAATTTGAAGAAAGGAGTAAAAAAAATTACAGCGAGGTTTAGAAAGTTGAGAATATGCAAAAGAAAAGTTATGGTGACAGGCAATGACATCTAAAAGGAAAATGTGCTTGTTTTTGCTCACACCATAGTTTATAGGCAAGGAAGCAATCATGTGTTTAATTCTTGGATGATGAAAGATTTTGGAATTGAAAAATAAAAGGAAAGGATAAATTGTTCTCGAAAACTAGAAAAGCCATGCGTAAGGTGGAGAAGGTAAGGGCTTGCTAGCACTGACAAAGAAGGACCAAATGAAAGTAGATGAGATGTGAAATCAAGGAGTCAGACTATCTTCTGTGACAATTTCAAAGCCTACAGAAAAAACAGCTTTGACTTTATAAAACACGCAAAGTATTATTAGCATACAAAATTAAGCGTTTATGAAAACTCTTAGCATATAGGTATACAATTAGTTATCAGAATGCCTAAATACATGGAAGTTTGATTTAGTCAACATTTTATAAACTAATAGAACCTAAAGAAGATAGTTACCAGTACATAAGTATTACATCTTAAATATTGTTAGAATCAGTGCAGTAATAATCCATTAACTTGCTGCTTGGATTCCATTAAGTGGTATCAATTTTATTCTGTTGCCTAGCATGGCATCTGGCACAGAGCAGACAATCAAGAGCCATTTCTTGAGTTAACATATAATTTCTAGCCCAGGGCCATCATAGAAAAATTGATATTATAGACTTAACGCCCAGGAAATATTTCTTATATACCTACTATGTGCCAGGTAAAAGGGACACACTGATGTTCCAGGGAACTGATAGTCTTTGAAGTGGCATACATGGGCTCCTTAGCATCTTCCTACTAACTTGAGGTCTTCTATATCAGCTTTCTGGGTTTGTTTTTGTTTTTGTTTTTGAGACAGAGTCTCACTATGTCACTCAGGTTGGAGTGCAGTGGCGCGATCTTGGCTCACTGCAACCTCCACCTCCTAGGTTCGAGTGACTCTCCTGCCTCAGCCTTCCAAGTAGCTGGGATTACAGGCGTGCACCATCACACCCACCTAATTTTTGTATTTCTAATAGAGATGGGGTTTCACCATGTTGGCTAGGCTGATCTCGATCTCCTGACCTCAGGTGATCCAACCTCCTTGGCCTCCCAAAGTGCTGGGATTACAGGCGTGAGCCACTGTGCTCAACCATGCTATATCAGCTTTCTGACTCATGGAAACATAATCATGATCCAGCTAAGGAAGTACAAGTTACAAAGACTGAGAAAACGAAGAAAACTTCTGTCCCTGAGGAAACAGAATGTGTTCATACACTGCGTCCCCGTAATGTACGCTCCTTTGTTGGAAGCTGGCCTTCCCACCCCCTCTAGGCCCTCTGGTGAATAAGCAAAACCAGTCTCACTCTAATTTTTACATCAACTAAGTTGCAGAAATGTCAGTTCATTCTGTGATGTTCTCTATTTTTTTCTGAAATAAGATTTGTTTCTTCCTTCCCTCTGCTTTTCCAGGAATCCATTCTTCTCCTTCTCTCCAAGGATAACTATACTACAATTTCTTAAGAATGTATAGTATATCTATTTTCCCTTTACAAGGCTGCAGGCAGTTTTATTTTGAAACTAAAACTCATGGAATTATCAAGAAGGACACTGGGGAAGAAGAGAGAGGGATGTGATTAGGAGAACTCAGATTCTCTTTTAATATTAGGGCTGATGTCGCTGTACTAGGTAATAAATATGTAAATTTTCTGTTTGCCCCAATTGATTAAATGTAATTAACACCTGTTCTAAAATACTTTGTTTTCCTTAATGAAAAAAAGTGAAATTTTTTCAAGCTTCTACTATATTCTATACATTTTATATGCAATGTCTCAACCTTTATTATGATCTTTTTAGGTAGCTTGTATATTCCCATGTCATAGATGAAGAAGCTGAGTGTCAGAAAGATTAAGAGATTTCTTTAATTTCTTTCTTATGCCTAGATATATTATAGCTATATTCTAAGCCTTTATATTTTCCTTCATAACATGTTTTTGGTCATTTAAGAAAACAAGTATTTCATTTTTATATGACATTTTGATGCAACAAATTTCCCCTGAGAGTTCAGTCTACATTTCTTTTTTACTTTCGATTTGTGCTAGACATTTTTGCAAGGGAGCAAAAGTTGTAATTTGTTTTCCATGAAAGTGGCCCTGGTTTTTTCATATTAGTTGATGTTTTAGGGATGTGTTTCCATTGTTTATCCCTAAGAAAAGCAGAAAATACATTTCTTTCATGCTATTTTGTCTAAGTTATTCCTCCAGATTTGAGGGGGTTGTTTGTATTATGTCTATAAAATTATTTGCATGTACTTGTATTTAAATACATACACCCATAATCTTCAATATAGAGATTGCCTGGCTAGACCTATGTCTTAATAACAACTGCATTGCTACAGAAGGCCAGTGTAGGCAATTATTCGCTTTCCTCAATATGCTGAGGCTACCAAAACTTGCATGGAACAGCTATTGAGACCTTTCTCTTGATGGAAGTTTTCTACTGTTGACCCTTAAAGACTCATAATAAACTCACACTTCAGCAATAGATGGTAACAGTTAAGTTCTACGTTCTAAATTTGATTTATTTTTATCATTAATGTTTGATAATGGCTTTAATATTTAAAATCATGCAAGCATCTAACAAGTTGTAACATGTACGGAATTCTGAGTAGCTTGTCCTAGAGTGTAGTCTAAATTATGTTTTCTGTGAGAATGATTTCGTAGTGACTAAGCACCAGCAGCTCAAGGGACAAATACACCATTTACTCTATTATATTATATTATATTTTCTTCTTTGAACAGCTGCTACTTATTATTCATACTACTTCAGTGTCACTGTTAGTGCTTTCTACTATCTAATATATCACAGCATTTGCTCACATTTTTGCCTCTTTCACATAGAATTTGAGAAGAAAAGAAAAACAGGACATTTTCTTTTTAGAATTTCCTCTTTTTCTTCAGCCTTTGAAAATGGTATTGCTAACATTCTGTTTTCTATGTCTAAGTGGAAAATGTTTCATCCTTGCTGAGGTTACAGGGATGAAATAACAGTAGCAGCAAGCTACTGGCCTTTCATTGGACAGTTCGTTGGGGAGGGAGTGGGGATTGTTCAACTGACTCTGGAACTCTGGATGGGGTTCCCCATCTCTCCCTCAGGGTTAACTTCAGTCCATATAATTGCTTTAACTGCCTGCAGAGTTCAATGTTCAGAGACAGACACTTGGATTTCATTTATTCTAAGTTTAATGTTTTATACAGTAAAACATGTCAGAGGAGGCAGTTGTCAATACTCCAATTTCTGAACACTACATATCACAACTTTTTAAATTTAAAATGACTTTATAAATTCAGACAAATAACTCATTATAAATTCAAAATAACTAGTTAGAAATTCAGACAAATTTCTGTTACATAAAGATATAACATGATATAGTAAGGGAAGGTAAAAATTGCATGGATTGGGGCCAAACTAATCAACATTTATATCTGTGCTTTATCCACTTTAGTTATGAAACCTAAAACCATTAATTTTATTCTCTGAAATTCAATAGAATGGGAATAAGAAGATTCAACTTGAAGGGTTGTCATGAGAAATATATAACACATCAGAACAATGGATGCTACTCAATAGGTGTTCAAAAAGTGTTTTTCTTCCCTTCCTTTTCTTCCTCTTCCTTTACACAACATTTATTGAATGCCCAGACACTATGCTTAATTTAAGGAGGCAATGATAAGTAAAAGCAGATGCACTCTCTGCTCACTGGGAGCATATTTCCTAGTGAGGAAAACTATGATAAAGAAACAATCAAGAAAATAGTGAGACACTCTGACTGGAGCAGGTGCTGCAGAAAGGAGGGACAGAGAACAGCATATTTTAGAAGGATTTGAACCTGTCACAAAGATCTGGAAAGACTTCTGTGAAAAGGTAACAACGTAGCTGAGATCCGAGAGATAAGTAGGAGTTAAATAGGCAATATCTTCACTACCACCACCGTTAGAAAGCATGATTGTGTGAACACTAAGCTTCCTTTAATTGTTCAGAGAAGTAAAACCTGCCAAAAATTTTGTAAATCATTAAATTTTGCTATGTATCACATCCTTATCTTTCCTTCTCCCTTTCCCTATGATCTCACCTTTGGTTTCTTGTGGAGGCCACTGATTGGCAGTGGTACTAAAAAAGCTGTTATTTATTTATTTTTTTTTTGACATCTTTGTTGCTCTGCTGGGATGGATCTGATATATCTTATTCTGCTACCGTGTATACCAACAGCAGAATCACACTGATCACTCTTTGTCCGCACTGTCAACTTCAGTTGTTCCCAACATTGTTAATAGACCGCCTATCTTTCCTTGCACTTAACTGAAACTAAGAGGTACTGTTGGATCCATGATGCACATTCTTAATGGCTCATCCCTAACCAGAACTGATGAGCCTTCTGTATGGAGCAGACCGTGGCAAACAAGCACAATGGCAGTTGTTTTCATCATCTATTGTGAAGTGTCTATAGAACTTAGTGACTTGATGTCAGCTCTTGCCATATTTTCTGTGCTCAGAGATGCCTTGCTTGTGACTAATGTCCTCATTACAGATTGAATGAAGAAAAAAGGGAAACGGAGAGCAGATGACAGCCTTCCCCATCCACTGAAAGAACATTCTTTTCCTTTCTTATCTCCATGAACTCACCCCCAAAATGTTACCAGACATCATTTTTTTAAAGTAGTAGATCCTTGGAGATCCTAGTTTATGCTAATTGCATCAGCATTAAGCAATTTACTAATTTAATTAAATAAATTAATTAGCTTATATTTTTTACCTAAGTACATCTAAAGCTTTTTTTTACGAGAAAGAGTTGGTTATTTATTTATTTTAAACAGACAAAAGTTCAAGCAAACTTACAAACACCCGTGTAGTATCAGTAATGAGAATAGGGAGGAAGGTAGTATACATTGTTTGAGACTGAAAGGAATTTTAATTGATGATCATCAGCCCCACACCTAACATTTTATAGATGAGATTATATGGCTTGCCCTAGATCACACTGCAGGTGTTTAGGGAAATCTCCAAGCATCAGGCTAGGTGTTTGGATGCAATATGCCATGGCTATTGGTGGCCCAGTTACCTAGTTCCAGGGAACAGATACTCCAGAAAGAAGCGGTCTGATTTCTTTGTCTTTATTTTGACAAAGGATAATTTGAATCATGGACTATTAGTTCAAAAGGAATTTCAGATAACCATAAGTTAGAAACATTCACTTCACAGATAGGGAAACTGAGGCTTACATCATTGCAATCACTTATCCAAGTGTGTAACTGGTTTGCAATCAGGACACTGGACTTACTCAAAACTACCTTAGTGTTCACTGAATGCCCTCTCTAAGTGAGGCATTGTACTGGACAGTAGATTATAAAGGTAATTATAAGGATTTTCTCTCTCAGGATTGACAGCTTGTTTTCCTGGTTCCTAGGCAGCAGAAAGGAATGAACAGTTTATACCCACCTATTAATCTTAGGCTGCGCTTGGTGGCATGCACCTGTAATACCAGTTATTTGGCAGGCTAAGGTGGGAGGAGCCCTTGAGCCTTGGAGTTCAAGATCAGCCTGAGCAACCTAGTGAGACCCTATCTCAAAACAAAAACAAACAAGCAAAAAAAAGTTAAAAAAATTTATCTCATTTTATGGGTATCCCCATTAAAATATTTCATTTTCTGTTCTTATTCTCAAGATAAAGTTTAAAATGCTTAGCTAGACTCTATATGACCTTTTACACTTGGCCCTTTGCTTCCTAACACTCCTGACTCATCTCCTAATCCTCTCTCCTCCACTTACTGACCTCCAGTCATTCAAGCCTTGTCCCGGTCTCTAGCTTGTATCAGGACTTCCTTGCTGTTTCCTCTAATGAGTCAGAATTCGAGTCTGAGTCTTAAAGCCCTTCACGAAAACCATTCTTGACTGTCTACACTAGATTAAGTCTGATTTGTCACATGCTATTATAGAACATTCTGACATGTCCTCTACAGTCACAGATATAAAAATATAGTTATTTATGTAATTATTTGTTCAAGATCTGTCCTTGTCACCAGAAGATAAGTAATCTCCATGAAACAGGAATCATCTTTTTATTCAATATAACACCTTTAGGCTGGGGGTGCTAATCTCAGCACTTTGGGAGGCTGAGGCAAGAGGATCACTTGAGGCCAGGAGTTCAAGACCAGCTTAGGTAACATAACAAGATCTTCTCCCTACTAAAAGTATATATACATAAAAAATTAGTTGGGCATGGTGTCTTGCACCTTGCATCTGTAGTCCCAGCTACTAGGGAGGCTGAGGCAGGAGAATAGCTTGAACCCAAGAGTTTGAGGCTGTTGCACTCCAGCCTAGGGTCTCCAGAGCAAGACCCTGCCTCAAAAAGAAAAAATTATATATACACACACACACACACACACACACACACACACAAACACACACGTGTGTATACCACGTGTATACGTGTGTGTGTATATATATGTATATGTATATATGTGTGTCTGTTTTTGAGACAGCGTCTCAAAACAATATATATATAATATATATATCTTTAAGTATATATATTTAAATATATATATCTTTAAGTATATATATTTAAATATATATATCTTTAAGTATATATATTTAAATATATCTTATGTATGTATATATTTATATATACTTATATACATTTTATAATATGTATTTTAATATATATACTTAAAGATATATATATACTTAAAGATATATATATTTAAATATATATATAATATATTTAGTACATAAAACAGAGCCTGGCACATATTTAGAATATCAAAAAGTATTTGGTTAACGTCTGCATAAGTGAATCCATCTTTCTTAGGATGGTTTGTCCCTGCATTGTTGATTGGCAAGCAAAAGTCCTGTTCGAATCTCAAGGGTATATTTTTTCTTCGCAATCTTTTCCACATTCTTTAAGAGATACTTTTTATGCACTTTTCACTTAGTGACACATATTTCCTTTTTACCTGATGACTAAGATTGAGTATTCAAAAAGGAATGATATACTCTTTGTTCCAAAGCAATTGAAAGTCTTGTTCATTTAGGGACTAGGGTATATGCAGCCATTGGACTATGATGTTAGAGTTTTAAAACAAAATTTTCTTTCTTCTTCTTCTTGTTCTTTTTTTTTTTTTTTTTTTTTTTTTTTTTTGAGACAGGGTCTTACTCTGTCACCGAGTTTGGAGTGCAGTGGCATGATCTCAGCTCACTGGAACCTCCACCACCTGGGTTTAAGCAATTCTCATGCCTCAGCCTCTTGAGTAGCTGGGATTATGGGGGTGCCCCACCACCATATTTTTGGTTGAGATAGGGTTTTACCATGTTGACCAGGCTGGTCTCAAATTCCTGACCTTAAGTGATCTGCCCATCTCTACCTCCCAAAGTGCTGGGACTATAGGCATGAGCCACCACACCTGGCCTGAAAACATATATTTAGGAGCGTAAAATCTAGTAAATATTATTTGTTGATGTAGTACTTATCCAGAAATAACTGCATTGTTTTACTTTTGTTGTAAGACTCAAGAAAGATTTTATCAAGAAGGAAGCAGGTAAAAGAAAATTTCAAGTGTGGAAGATAGATAACAGTTGATCCCTTAGATTTACTCTTGCTGCTGACTTCCTTGTTTGTACAGGCAGAACATTACATCTGAACACATAGGGGCAGAGGAAGTTGCAATGGAGAAATACTATCTACTGGGTATGTGCAGAACAACTAGACTTCTGATGACAGCTTCTGGGAAGAAAATGTTGTAATGGGAAAGGTCTTCCCTAGAGCTGTCCACAATGTGTGTAAGAAGAAACTGGTTGGATTTTAAAATCTCTGTATAAACATACATTGTTTGCCATTCAGTATCTAAATAAGGGAGGATGAAAAAGGATGAATGCAAGAAATTGGCCTCATGGTGACTGCCTAATTTACATGTTATCACAACATCCAGATGTAATATAAACAAACAAACAAAAGGTTTCTCCATAACATCACCTGTAAGTTACTGAAAACTGCTTGTCTTTGGTCTTGGTCTTTTGACTTTTCATCTGGAGTATTCAGCTATGTAGATATCTTCTTATCTATCAGTTTGGAAGATTTGCATCTCAGTAGTTTATCTGAAAGCTACATTTGTAGATCAAGCCTACTGTTTGAGTAAGGTTGCTTATTTATTTGAAGAAGTTTGGGTTGCAGCAAGGTGAAACTGATTGAAATAATAAGGTGGCTACACCTTGATACTACCCCTGGATATAGAGAATTCAGGTTGTTAGTGGTCTTATGATTTCAAAGTAGGTGCGTCATTATATGCACATAGCATGACTGAATTCATTATGAAGGAAAAAAAGCAGATCTGTTCAAATGCATGCTTATGTCTCATTTGCATTTTCTGTATGCTTGATGCCATCATTTATCGGTGAATACAGTGAAAATATAAGGCAGAGAACCCTATAATTTGATTAAGTGTACAAACTATCTTGAAAAAATGTTTATCTCACTCACGCTTTTTGTTTTTTAGCCTAAAGACCTTTTTGCTATAACTTAGAAAGGAAACTTAGCATAAAGCCACAGTTTAAAATAACAAGATGATTTATGGCCTGCTAGATTTCCAAAGTCATTTTTTATGATCAAATAGTTCAGTCAAAGGACTGAACAGGTGTCAGGAGCCCTATTGGCCCCAGGCAGATCAGTTTGTCTTTCTAGGCCTCAGTTTCCTCATTTATAAAATGAGAAGATTGTTCTAGCGAAATAATCTTGAAGATACTCTTCTAAATATAATAAGCATTTTTTGTTTGGTTACATGATGTGAGCATTTGGCACTTTGCTGACAAATTTAATCAATCTAGACAAATGGCTTGAATGCCAATCAATCAAACCGTAACTGTTAATTTAATTAACTAGAAAGACTCCCCTTCCAAAATAAAAGGTCAGCTTTCCAGTTTGAAACAATATCAGAGATCTTTATTCCACATGTAGAAATCATTTCCTTAAATAGTGCTTCTAACCAAAAAAAAAATAATATTAACATATACACATACACATTGTAAAATATTTCTCTTCTAACAAAAATTATTATAACCTATTAAACATTACTGTCACTCTTTAGTGATGACTAATACATATTAATTGAAAGCAGAATGAAGTGCTCTTCCATTACCTGATTTTCTGGGAATAACTCCCTTTGTAACAGGGTGACTATATTACATTCCAGTCTTCCTAAAGCACATTAATTTGGGCAGTTAACGTTCCTGGTAATTATTGGATACTTTTCACTTATTCACTCTCACGTGAAGGTAAACAGTTCCCAAACTAAGTAAAAGTGTGATGAAGTTTGTCCCCTATTCATGCCTCTGTGCTTTTCCTCTTCTGGTCAGAAATTTGTCCAGCTGGAAATTTGCAGACCTAAACGGAGTTAATTCTGTTATCCCATCATAGGCTTCCTTCCCTGGTGGATGCTGTCCTGCCCTGATTCGCCCTGTACCAAAGCAATCTTCCTCAGCTCCTTATCTCCTTCATATAGGCAGATCTACCCTCTCCTATCCCTTATAGCCCTGCTCATTATTTTGGACTTTCTACTGAAGCCTTTTTCATGTTGTCCAGGCTATGTGACTGTATTTTACTTCGTGTTAGTGATAATTTATTACCATAGCAACACTTTCCTCATGGCTTACACCATACCCTTATGATTCCTGTGTTTGTTTTAAAGTCAGATAATGAAGTTTCTGGTGAGAGTATGTCACTGAATTACATCACCTTTGCAAATTGGAGGTTACTGAGCTAAGATAGAAAACTCATTTCCTTTGCATTGTCAGAGTATTCTATTTGGTATTTAACAAAATGTAACAAAACATTAGCTTACAGATTGAATGGATTTGCCAATTTTCTAAGAACTTGAACACAGGTACAAGTAGTAGTGGATATGTATCAAAATAATTTTATGTCTATTGAGAATTCAGAATGCATTTCTGTGCCTCAAAGTAATCATTATGCACACTAATTATTGTTGTACACTGCAGAAATAGTGGTTAGTAGAGGTTTCTTTTGATAGAAAGGCAGATAAATCAACTTCTCTGTCATTAATTCTTTAGATGATGAATAATCCTTTTATGCAAATGCTTGTCTTCCTGCAGTGTACATTAAGGTCTAAACTCCAGCTCTGTTATGATGTGTGGAAGAAAATTCAAAGCCGAAAAAGTTCTTTGTAATGCACTTGACCCTGGGATCATTAGAACATTTCAGCACAACTTAACTGCTGGTAGAAAGAACAGTGCTTTAGAAGAGCTAAGTAAGGTAGTTGTATCCAAAAAATTTAAAAACTCACATTAAACTATTACCCTATTTCTGCAGGGTATAATAGGAACACATTTCAAAAAACAAATAAAAGGTCAGGTGTTTAGCCATGTGACAAATGTGTTTTTTGAAACTGTGGATTCCAGTCACAAACTATAGAAGTATAGCTTCAAGTTTTGAATTATGATTCCAGGGTCACCTGAGTAGGCGCACATCTATAATAGGACTATACTAGTTAAGATAATGTTTGTGCATAGATACACTATTTGCTTTTTTTGAAAAGAAAATAACTGATATAATCCAGTTTCAAATATCCTAAGAATTCTTCATTTCCACCTGTTCCTTGCCATGGAGGATCATAGAAACATATAGTATGTTTATCAATTATTTAATATATAAAGATATATAGCCGTAACTTGTTGATTTAATCTAACATTGATTAATTTTCTCAAACTTAACAAACTAGTTTTACTTCAATCCATTTTTATTTGCCATGTGTTGTAAAAGTAAAAACATGTGAGTATAGCTATTATTTCTCCCTAAATATAAGTGTGGTGGATCTATTTACCCAACTCACTCAAACAGGCCTTAAGTAAGTTACCTTTGGAAGTGAGGCCTTGTTATGCTAATAATCAGACAGACAGAGTAAGACAGAGATTTCCAAGCAAGGATGAACAGTCTAGATAAGCAAATCAACAATTTTGTTGTGTACAAGGAAAGATGAGAATATCCTTAAAACAGAATAACAGCACAGCAAAACCATAGAATGTGAAGGTTTAAGGGGGCTTGGGAATAAAATATAGTAATAGCTACTAAGCACTACTCCAGACACTATGCTAAGAGCTGTACCTATATTATCTTATGCTATTCCCACAATCATCCCTCAAGTTAAGTTTACTTTTCCTATTTTACAGATAGGAAGCTAAGGATTAAGGAGTTAATTAGCTTGACTCAATTGACACATCTAGAAAATCACAGAGCTGTGATTTGAATCTTTTTCTGACTCTGAGGCCTGTGCTTGTTAAAACACAATCTTAACATGAGTGGTTTAGCACAGCTTAAGGAAGAGGCCTCTGAGAAACATGGCAGAATTGTGAACTCTTTACCAGGCTGCTGATAAAGGCCTATGGACATATGCCCTGTATTTGTATTTTTCTGATTCTCAAAATTGTGTTCACAAATGTAAGTTATTTCCAGGATTATTGTAATGCCAAATACCTCTTCTGCCAGACTTCTGAAGGGCAAATAACAAATCCTTACTGGTATCTTAAAAATATAGATTTGTATTCTTGACTTCTTACAATATGCAGAATGTACCCAGTGTTTAATATGCCAGATATTAACCTCCTGAACATACCTTCTTTCTTTTTGCCCTCTGCCCTATATCAGTTGTTTACACCCACTGGCATACCTTACACCTCGTCATAAGCAGAGATCCCTCCCTGATCTTGCTGTCAAGGATTCCCCTCTCTAACCACCAGCTGCTTTTTTCCCAGCTCACCCTCAATGCTCCAAACCTAACATATTCTTCAATCCAACCCAGCACTGTAGTTGTTGAATCAACCAACTCTTCCTTATTTATCATAGCATTAATACTTCTTTCCTTTGTTTAAAAAGCTTAAAGTCCATCTTTGTTATTTTCTTACCTATAGCTGGACTTAATTCCCTTACTCCTCTCTCTTTCTGGAACTTGATTGTCTCCTTCTCCACTTACTACACTAAACATGGCAGGAAAACTAAACCACATTGAATGGGTCACCACTTTAAATATACTCTCAACTTAAGTGGTTTTCAGACTGCCCAGTGATTCTGCTACTGTTCACCTGTCCATTCTCCTTCTACTTCCCAGTCTACTTCTCCCTCTCAAATCTTCAACAGTTCTTCCCCAGTCCTCAACCTCAGCTGTTTACTTTGCTTCCCAATTCAGTGAAAACATAGAAGCAATTATAGGGAATGTCCACTCTCCTCCGATACCTACCATCTACCCCATCCCTTCCCTTATACTCCAAGAAAGGCCAAACCCTTGACTTGTATATTAGATACCATCCTCTTTTGCCAACTCATGGACATTGTTCAAAAACATTCTACCCACCCGTCTTTTCAGTACCATCCACTTTTCACTGTCTACTCAGTTGTTTTCGTCAGCATGTGAACATGCTACAGGTCTCAATCCTTTTATTTGTCTTTAAAACTACACTCATTGCCTTATTCATTTCATCCAGACTCCTGGCTTTAAATACTGTCTATGAATTTATAATGCTTAAATTTAGATCTCTGCTGCAGGCATCTCCCTCAATTAAGATCTGAATATTTCACTATCTATTCTCCAACTCTACTTGGATATCCAATAGTCATCTCAAACTCAACATACCCAAACTCTTCTTTCTTCTAT
This sequence comes from Homo sapiens, assembly GCF_000001405.40. Lineage (NCBI taxonomy): Eukaryota > Metazoa > Chordata > Mammalia > Primates > Hominidae > Homo > Homo sapiens. Next base: position 173,753,347 of record NC_000003.12, read on the forward strand.
ATTTGTTTCATGGTCTTCCCTGTCTTGGTTAAAGCAACTCCAAACTTCCAGTGGCTCGGGCCAAAACACTTGAAATCATCCATGATTTTCATCTTCCTCTCATACACCATATCTAATTTGCCAGCAAGTTATGTTGGCTATACCTTCAAAATATATCTGGAATAGGCTGTCTTCCTACTAAATCCACCCTGGATGAAACCACTGTTATGTCTCGCCTGGATGAAAGCAACAACCCAAACTTTTTTCTCTTTCTATTCTTGTACCTCTAGGGCTATTATCACTTCAATATCCAGAGTGATTATATTCAAACATTAGTAAGTCATATCATATTATCTCTTGCCTTAAGATCTTCCAGTCACTCTGTGTTCATCCAGAATAACAGCCAAAGTCTACACAGTGGCCTACCATGCCTCAAAAAGTCTAGCCCCTGTTGCTTCTTTGAGTCATCTATGTTCTATTCTCTCTCTTCTTCAGCCACATTAGTCACTGTCTTCTCATTCTACCTCAAAGAAGTCACCCTCTACCCTCAGAATCTTTAATTGCTGTTTTCTCTGCCAAAAATGCTCTTCCCCCAGTATCTACATAATATAATATAATAATAATATAATATAATATAATATAATATAATATCTACTCAGTTTCTTCAAGTACTTTTTTTTTCTTTATTTCTTTCTTTTCTTTTTTTTTTTTTGTTTTTTTTTTTGTTGTTGTTGTTGAGACAGGGTCTCACTCTGTCACCCAGAGCGGGGTAGTGCAGTGGCATGATCACAGCTCTTTGTAACCTCTGCCTCTCAGGCTCAGGCGATCCTCGCACCTCAGCTTCCTAAGTAGCTGGAACTGCAGGTACAGGCCACCATGCCTGGCTAACTTTTGTAGTTTTTTGTAGAGATGGGGTTTCACCATTTTGTCCAGGTTGGTCTTCTGAACTCAAGCAATCTACCCGCCTTGGGCTTCCAAAGTGCTGGGATTACAGAGATGAGCCACTGTGCCTGGACTTCAAGTGTTCCTTAAAATGTCCTCATATTGGTAAAGCCTTCTCTAACTGTACTACATGAAATTGCAATGCCCATTTCACCCAATACTCCTCATTCTTCTTTCTCTGTTTCATATTTTTTCTGTAGTATTTATTACCATCTAAAATATTACTTAATTTACTTATTTACTTAGTGTATTATCAATATCTCTACTAATAGTTCTATTAGTGTAAGGATTTTTGGCTATTTGTGCTGTATCCCCTGGGCTTAGAATAGTACTTAACATATAGTAGACACTCCATAAATATTTGATGAATGAATGAATACATTGGTAGGAAAATGAATAAGAGTTCTGTCACAAATCCGACTAATGCAGAAAAATAAATATTCAAATACATTGTCCAAGTTTTAACCTAAGATAGTACTGAATCTTCTTAAAGATCTGTACCTACACTAATGTTTTCCTTCTTCTTCATTCTTTGCTTTCATATCATGCATTTACATGTCCAGAAAGTCACTATTTTTTTACCACTTTTTATGTCAACACTCCATTCATTACACTTTATTTAATTTATACAACAATTCCAGTATTTGTCACCTTCAATCACTCATCACAGAGTTTACCATGAAATGCCATCTAAAGGTTAAAGATAGGACTTGAAATCTGTTTCTGAAAGATAAAACTATCAGATCAAGGTAGTGCTTAATTGTTTAAGAGAAGATAATTGTGTAAGAGAGAACATCATTTGAAACATTCCCTGACAATATTTTTCTTAGAAAAGCTTTAAAAATCAGGAAAAATTTTGGGTACTGTTTGGCAATTTTGTTCAGTTAATATTTGCAATATACATATTCCATTTTTTTACAAAAATTAGAGCAAAACTGTACTATGTGTATTATCAAGGTTTACCAATATTCTGATGTTATATTGGTATAATATTGATGTATCTATTGCATTATTTAATGCCAAATCTAAGGTCAGGAAACAAATTATTATTGCATCATTCTTATGATTGAATATGATCTTTCTTATTAATGAGTTTACAGAAAGATATGGTGCTAAAACTTACAAAATACTGCTGAGACATCAGTTTGCAATATCTATATTTTTTAAAGGAAAGAAATATAATTTAAAATAATTGCCTATTTCACTTGACATTTGACATGTTGTAGGTTCTTTGGGAGCAATTTTCAAGGCAGGCCCATGTGACTTATAGATGCTGGGATGGGAAATACCACACTGACACTAGGGCTGCCTTTGGAGACAGAAGCAGGCACATAAAGACAGATGAGTGGCAAGGTTGGAGTTCATTCCTCAAACACATTGTCCCAGTCTGAGTAGGTAAATGAAAATGGCAAGACTAATTAATAATTAAGGAGGGAGACCCAAATCAAGAATGCAAACATAAAGCGCAATGTAAAGTTGACACATTTTGTGTTCCTCTAGCACACTCAAGAACCCTGATATCAAAGGCATAGTCAACTGTGCCCAGCAAACATTTTTGGGGTGTTTAGCAAATTTAAGTGCATTAACAGTTTTCCTTACATATTTCTACTGACTTATACTTTAATTAAAATGCTGCTTCTATAACTAATGATGTTATATATTGATTCAACTGGAAGATCAATTGTATCATTGGTAAAATAGGTTATATTACAAATGAAGGCATTTTGCATTATATATGGTATTTTTATTTTTAATTATACTCCTTTTATTCAAAAATATCTTCAACAAATAGAGCTACAGAGAAGTCTTAAATTTCATTCAGTAATTCCGTTGTTAATGATATCTACATTAATGTTTTGGGATTTTACACAATCACATTTACACATTTTTTTTGTATCCAATAAGATAAAGCAAATAAGCAATTACTTTTATGTGGTAAGACCCATGAATTTTAGTATAAGAGAAAAATGATAAAAACATAAAAATCAAAGTATAAATTTTTAAAAGTTAAATTTTAATAGTAAACATCAATATAAATTTATTTTATTTTTCTCTTCAAATACATATGTATCTTAACTTTGAAGAGAAAAACAAGTCATGGATTCATTAGTTAATGTTGATATGAATCAAAATAATTAGTGTAAGAGAAAGAATATGGAAGTATAAAAAAATTAAACCTTTTCAGGGTAGAGAGCTGCAAAATTATAAATATAATCATGAATTCTTCAGTACATGTGTGTAGATATATATATGCAATATGTGTGTGTGTAAATGTATATATTCCAGCTGTGTGTACTAAAAAAGGCTTAGAAATAGTGACAAAGCAGAAGCAGTGAGCATAAAAATTGCGTCTCTAAATACCATTTCCCATTAATAGGAAACAGAACTTCTTACAAAAATGGCTGATTACAGATCTGTGTCAAGAAATGCACAAAATGATTCAGGGACATTTATTTTGTTCAGAAAACAAAGAAGATACAAAGACTAATGGATAAATGTAAAAAAAAAAAACCCAGAAACACATAGAAATCTATATAAAACAAAAACCTACGGTAGAAAAAAAAACAAATTTACATGAAGATCCCTTTGACTAGTGCTTTTTTGTGTGTTAAAAAGAAAATTGACTGATGTTTATACAAACACTTCAAATAATAAAAATCAAAGAGTCTATAATGATACTAAGACAGAGAAAGCCAAAACAAAAGCCAAACAACAAATACCAATGCTTCGGTGGCAACTAGGACACTGACTCCATTTTCTAAACATTGTCAATTAGAAGAAAATAATTATCTAGAGGTGATGAAACCAATATCTTCGTTGTAAAAGAATTCTGTGTGTAAATTGTGGAAGATGCTGCAACTAAGAAAAATGGACATTTTTGCAATATCTAGTGATACCACCTATAACAGATAAAATCACTGATGAATGAAACCATTGGATGAAAGGTTAATGGGAAATCAGATATCACCATCTTGATCCATTGTCTAATCTCAGAATCACTTAAAGCAGGAAACTCAGCATTATGTGACATACTGATCCTATCCTGATATGTTGGAAGATGAATTACACAGAAATATTAAGAAATATTCTTGTAAAAAAAATTAAAAGTTGTACCTGAATCTAATCATGCCTTTAGAGCTAATTGATAGTTTACAAGAAACATAGGTGATGGTGGAGTAAATTAAATTAAACCATTTACTATGGTTTAATTAAACTATGTAAAAAAACCACATACCTTTAAAATGTAGAACATTATAGAAACAATCTGACTCAGTTTCTTAATTAAGGCAATTATAGCCAAAGAAGGTGGATGGGAAAAGAGGGTTATAATTTTAAAAACTTGATACATAACAACCAATGGCAATGTGCAGATATCGTTTATGTCCTGATTCAAACAAAGCAGCAGAAAAAAAATGGCACTTTGGAGAAAATCAGAGAAATTTTAAAATAGTCTGATTGTTAGATTATATGAAGGAATTATCCTTACTTTCTTTAGGTGTGCAAATGGCCAAGTGATTATGTAAATAAAAGCCCACGTACTTCAAAATTACATACTGAAGTTTATAATACGATGTCTGAAACTCGTTTTAAAATACATTATTTCAAACGAAGTAATAAAATACATGATATAACAGTGCCCAAATTTTAATATTTATCTAACATGGGAAGATGGATGCTATGGGCTGAATTGTGTCCCCTCCCCAAATTCAGATATGTTGAAGCTCTAAGCCTCAAGGTGTCTGTATTCAGAGACAGGACTTTTAGAAGGCAGTTAAGATTGTATGAGGTCGTAAGAGTAGGGTCCTTATCTGAAACTATTGCTGGCCTTATAAGAAGAGGAAGAAACAGAGAGAAAACTCCTTCTCTCCATGTGCATGTAATGAGCAAAGGCTATGTGAGGACACAGGAAGAAGATGCCTGTCTGCAAGGCAGGAGGAGAGCCCTCATCAGATATGGAATCAGCTTTTGTCTTGATCTTGGATTTCCCAGCCTCCAGAACTGTGAGAAATAAATTTCTGTTGTTTAAGCTACCAAGCCTATGGTATTTTGTTATGAGAGCCCTAGCAAACTGAGACAATGGACATATGGAAATTTATATATTTGAATCTCTAATGTTATGTATTTTTTAAAAATTTTCTTGAAAATTTCTGACCATGTCAATAAAACAGAATGTGATTAGAATTTAAATTCTCTTTTTACTGCTTTTAACTCCCAGATCCCAATCCATCTGATCTTGTAGCTTTCCTGCTAATATATTATCTACAGTACTTTATAGCTTACAAGAGAAAATCCAAGCTGCTTACCCAGCCAGTGTTTCCCATAATTAGCTCCAAATGAATCTTTCCAGACATGTCTTGCTCTGACTTTTGTAACATATCCTTATTCTTCAACCAAAATAAACTTTACATCGCCAAAAATGCCCCCCTCCATGTATATTTGTAGCAATTCTTTAAGTGATTCTCAATTTTTACATTAAAACTTAAAAAAATAGCTAAGCAGTTACTATACCCAATTACATGAAGCTAAATAAATGAACGCAGTGTAGGTTCTGATATCAGTTCTCAATTTTTCCTTCCTAGGGAACTGGAAATAACCCTTAATCAGTGTGGCTAAAGGATTGCTTTAGAAAGAGCTGTAGATTCTCTCCTGTGGATCTCACACTGGGAGCCTTGTTGGTGCATGGGTATCTCCTAATTTTATTGCCTTTATTGATAAATTCTTAATTTTGCACTTAGGTACTTGCATGACGTTCAGCCTATACATAGTAAGCATTATTTTTCTTCTACATCCCACATTTTCTTCCCCCTTTCTCACCACCTTCTTTCTCACATGTACCCTAGAATCTCAATTTTAACTTCCTAACATGAATTTTTCCTTATTCTTTCATGTAATTAAATACACACACACACCCAATTTTCATGTCTTTGGTTTAAAAATAAAATATTTTATCTATTTTTCTATGCATCTTCCTTTCACTAATTAACAACTCATCATGGAAATCCCTGCACATCAGCTGATAGATATTAAATGCATTTTTAAATAATTTTATAATATTAGCAAAGATAAACCATAATTTATTCAACCATTTTCCTATTAAGAAACATTCACCTTTTTCTTATGTAGTTTCACCACCAACATGGTTCATCAATTAACGTCTTTGTACATAGCAGTGATTTAATCTCTATGGGAGTGGAGTCACTGCTATGTATGTTTTTAATTTGAACACGTTTTCACATTGCTTTCTTAAAAATCTGTGACAGCTATTTCTTTGAGCAATGTATGAGAGTACTCTATTACATGGAGAATATTAGGCATTGCAATGCTATTGGCCACGTAGCCATCTACTGAGGCAAAAAGCCCTATTGCGTGATTACTTTCATTTATATTTCCCTTACACTCTGGGGTTGTTCATCATACTTCCATGTAACTATTGCCATTTTTATTTGTAGAATAGCTCGTATATTGTTTTTCTTTGGCCCAGTTTTCTACTAGGATGTCAGCATTCTTATCAATTTTTAAATCTTTTGTATATAATACAAAATATTTTTATTATCTGCATTATTTTTATTTTTAAATTATTTCTATTGTTATTTATCTCCCAAATTGTCCTCTAAGGGCTTTATTGTTTTATAATTACATCTTTAATCAACTGGAATTGGGTGACACAAGGATCTAATGTGTTTTCTTTTAGTGGGTAGTTAGTTGTAACATTCACTTACTAAATTAGACCATCCTTTTCAAACGAATTGAAATACCTCCTTAGTGATCCTTACATTCCAAAATATACTGTGCTCTATTTCTGAACCATGTGTGCTTCTCTGCAAGTGGCTTTAAATTTTTGCATTCCTATAAAATCACCTCTTTCACTAGTTGGAAATTCTGTCGTCTTGCTCTGGGGTCCCATAGAACTTTATTTTTACTTTGAGCACATCCTATCTCAAATTATAGTTGCTTTTATCTATATGCCTACTGAATTTCACTGTATAATCTCTGAAAGAAGAATCCGCATTGAATTTGTCTTTGTATGCTTCACAGTTTCTTGAGCAATTTAGAAATTTATGACATGGTTATTGAATACATGAATATAATTATTCACTAAGTAAATATACTAATAATTAAATAAATATTATGAGAATCATAATAGTTTCATACAATTTTAGAAACCTGAAGTGAAGGTGATTCTGTTCAAGACGTGAGAAGTTTTTATTCTTGTTTTACTTTAGAAGTTCTTGCGACAGTGAATGAAGTTAAACCAAAAAATTATATTTATGTAATCTCTCAATGTGCTATTCATTAGTACATAAATCCAGATTACCCTTTTATGCATAGTTTATTGTACTATATGAACATTTAGTAAGTAGCTCAGTCTAATTTAGTTTTATTTAGTACCTCTTTCTAATTAAAGCCATGAATGATATAGATAAATTTATAGATCTGCAAGAGCCAGGAAACTTTGATAATATTAAACCAAATGAGAGAAAAGCATATAAAAGACAGCTTATTCATATTCTGCCCTCAGTCACAGGTTTTGAGATGTAGATTTTGCTGTAGTACAATAAAAGCAACTAAAATGTCTAACTCATTAATATGACACAGCAACTAAAATTTCTAGCTCATTAATATGTTAGTATCACAAAAATCATCCCAGTTAAGTCAGCACAATAGAGCAATTAGCAGATGTTTACCTAGAGCTACCTACAATCATGCAGTTTTAACTCTGGGCCTATAACAATTTTTAGAGAAACTGATTGTGGTAGCCTCTGGGTAAAATAAAACAGGAAATTCTGCTTCATTTCCAGCTGTATTGTGTAGTACAATGAGAAATGTTGACGGCCGACTCAGTCTTGCCCTTTTTGCTATAATGTCTTTGTACTCAACATATAGACTGAATATAAGTTAGTGTGCAATGACTTTCAATACTTATATTACCATATAATGCTAAAGAACACTGAGATGCAGTTCTTGTGTCAGAAACAACCTAATTTGCTTGTTCTAGTAGAGAGCTCAAAGCCCACTGGAGTGACGTCTTATTTTCTCTTCTATTAAAGAAAGAAGCTGTCTCCCTGGAGGTTGGCAGGGGTCCCAAACTCAGAAGAAAGGTTGATTAGATAAGCTGCGTTTAGTGGCTATGACAGATGGACATGGAGTCGATGGGTAAGAGGTAGGGGAGCCAGTGTCCACAATCAAGTGTGATTCCAAAATACAGTTCAACTGAGGTAAAAACTGAAAGATTCTGATGAGGCGGGTAGATTAGCATGATATATAGAGCATCACTACCTTTTAAATATGATTATTTAGTTCATTTTGGGCAGATTTTATGAGATTTCTTATTAAATAGACCATAATATTTCTGAGATCAGGGGGCCCTCCATTTTAATAGACTTCTTTAATAACCTGCATTTCCTACAGAAATATTTCTTCTAGTCTGGTAGCTTCAAATATCAGTAAAATGAGGAAATAAGACCTTAGCCACCATTATATGCGTTGGATGCTCTTTTTGTTCTTGTAGCCTTTGTTCTCTGATTTAAACTTATCAATTGAGACAGATAATGCAGACTTTTTACCAGGGAAAAATCAGTGAATATCAAGGCAAATCTAATAAAATGGAGCTAAGGATCGTCAGTCTGTGAGGCTTCAGTTACATTTTGGGAATGAACCGACAGAATTCTAGTTCTCAGAGAGACAAAGCAAAGAAATAATCCAAGAAAGCAGTTGAAGGGTTACAGAATGTTTCAGGGGCAAGAGTCTTCTTATAGCCTACTGGTAATTTTAGTACTATTCAGCAATATTAAGGCATTATTCTGCCTCAAACTGATTATTTCATTTAGTTCTTCCAGGACAGGAATAAGCCAAAGGTAGCTTGGATGGTTCTGAGCTTAGAGAGCAGAGGAAGAGAAGAGACTCTCTTAATAAGAAAGGAAACAAATAACAGAAGGACAGTGTTGATGATAGATTCCAGGGACTCATGTTCTCCGATATGCAAACACACTGAGTGTGACTTGCCTTCTCCAATAATGAAGTACTTTTTTGTTGTTTTTTAATGAAAGGAAAAGCAGTTTACTATAACACTAGGTTGCTAAACTTGGGATCTGCTATAAAAGTGACGATGCAAACACATATCTGTACCTTTAAAATGATAATAAATTAAAAGAAATGGAGAACAAAATATTTGAGTGATTAAAATCTAGATGAGATGAAATATACTATAGCTATAGAAAACATGCAAATGATGTGATTTTTTTCTTTACTTTCTTATGTCTTAATGGTGGGGGAAATAATGTACTTCCAACTGATACTAAAAAGAGACTGTTTTATTATGTTTACTACACAATGAGCCTACCTAAGGCATTCTCTAGTTATGGTATACATTATTAACTGTTATAAACCATTACTCTGAATAGTACCCAAGCGGCCTGAAAGTTAATGTTTCTCTTTAAGTGCTTAGCTCACTATAAGAGAGTAACTTAGACATGGAAAGTGACTGCTTAGTCATCGACGCTGATTCTGCCAAGATTAGGATAAAGTTTTGGGTGAGATTGGAGCAGATTAGGAAATATAAAAGGAGGAAGAGGGAGAAAGGGTTAAACTCATTAAAACAGAAGTTCCAAATGCTAATCGTATGATACTTTAGGGCATCAATTTCAATAAGTGTTGTGGAATTCTCCAGGCAATGGGATTGTGTAAATTTGTCTCTGATACACACACACACACACACACACACACACACACACAGAATCTTTGACAGTCATGAGGCATATGATTTCATGTTCCTACAGACTGCACCCTTTTTCTTGTTACAACTACTGATAATTAAATATTTGGAGAAATGGACAAAGCTTTGGGAGCTTACTTCATTCTTTATCTTCTTGCAGTCTGTTAAATTCATTAGGTCAGAAAATTTGTCAGTAGCTCATATACTGCCAAGGACAGAGATGATTAACTGTGATTTATTTAATGAACATCATTATTCCAGCACATGATGTAAAGGAAGTACCTGACCCCTTTTTTTGTCCTAACCCCCACTAGAATCTATAAATACATATTCTCTTGTCTAATTGAATTTATTTCTTCATTTAACAAATATTTATTTACATATCTACTCTGTGCTAGACAAAATGTAAGGGGTTGTGAGAAAAAAGACATGTAATTTCATGCCCTGTTGAATAAAATGGAAAGCACAGCAGAAATTCATGATTTGGGTTTACTTTTTGTATTACAAATATAATTTTGGTTTGATAAGACATTTATGATTTTACTTTATTTCTCATTCATTTTTAATGTTTCCTAGACCTGTGAAACTTTGTTTTGATACACAAAGCTTCTCATTTAATTTGTATATATGGTATAACTAACAGAGTTTGAGATTCATTAGCTGAATCTAGAACTGTCCTATGCCTTCAACTCTCCAGCAAACTCCTGTTTTCTACTACCTAGAGCTATAAGAAAAAGGGGAGGTATGAGGAAGAAAAATATTGAAAAGGGAACACAAAAAATGGAAGCAAGAGGGATAAAGAGGAGGAAAAAAAAGTAAGAAAAAGAAGAAAAAAGCATTTTCAAAGTGAGGAAACAATATGAGGAATGTTAATGAAAGAAGCAACCTCACAACCCACTTACCCTTTCACACATCAAGCATACTCATTCAGTTTCCTGTGAAATAAAAGATCATTTTATATTCAAACATTTTCCATAAAATCTGTACTGTGCTCAGTAAGCTAACAAATATCTGAAGCATTGCATTGAAGAAGTTGTAACATACTATTCATTTATGGTTTTTTAAACCTTGTTTTCTCTGGGCATGATCACTCTTTGAAGTTGCCTGTGACATTTTCATATTCTCACCAATGAATGTCAAACAAACAACAAAAGCTCTGTACACTTCATGATGGAGAGAAGTTCAACAGGAGCTCAGGATGGGAAAGACTAGACTGCAGTAGAGAAGGTTTTTTAAAATAGGTCAAAACTGGAATGTGGTCTCCAGGAAAACTAATGGCATCTTAACTGACCTGGAAGCCTAATGTGCAGAAAGTAGGTGATAAGTATACTCTGTCTGATCAGATCTACCTTAGGTTTCACCATGAAGGGCCATGGACAGACTAACGCTATGTTCAGAGGGGTGTGACTGAATCACTGCTTCCTGTAAGGTTCACTTGTTCATTAAGCAAGATAGAAGCAGAATCAAAAAGAACAGAATGGTTGCCTTCACTTATCTGAAGGTCTGCCATGTGGAAGAGGTATATTTGCTCCTGTGTTCCGAAGGAGTTAAGAAGACTCTGAGAAGTATATCTCAGCTTATTTTTCAGATGGCATTGTCAGATGCCAATAACAGATTGGGCTACCACAAAAGTTTTAATGCCAAATTTCCATTAGTCACAATTAGCATAATCTGCATAACTACCTGGTAAGAATTTGTTGAAGGATTCACTCATTAAATGGGTAGTAGAATGAAAGGATTTCTAGTTCTTTTTCTACTCAAAAACACAATTTTCTGAATAGGAATTAAGAAACATAAATATAGAGCTCTCCAGCCTATCAAAAATATATTTATAAAAAATCATATTAGTATCATTTTTCTAGAATAAATGACTTATTACTTTGTCAGTGTACCCATCAGACATTTGTATTATTTTTATAATGCTGCAAGGGTGCCATCTGATATTTCTTGTTGGATAATTTCCATTTCTAACTTATTAGAAAGAAAATATTTTTATGTCCATCTTTAGATAGGCTTTGAAAAGATGGAGAAGTGAAGAAATGTGCCAGAAATTGCTAATTGCTGTGGGTGCATGTGTGTGTGTGTGTGTGTGTGTGTGTGTGTGTGTGTGTGTGTGTGTATGTATGCACACATACATTTGTATGGAGGAGGTTTTTTATTCAGAGATATAATTCCTTCTTGCTCACAGAAGTATTTCTGGTTCATGAGGACTAAAAAGAACAAAAGCGAGAAAGCTGGTGTGGTATAAAAACTTTAACTCACTGAAGAAAAATATATAGAACAATGTGTTGCCAGAATCTAAAACAATATAGAATGAAAATTTCATTGGGTTGATAATAAAAGGTAATTGACCAGATAGACAAGAACTGTTTCTGCACTGTGGCCTAAGCACATTGAGAGAAACCAATGATACTTTATCTGGAGAAATGGTAAAAGGATATGCAAAATAAAAAACCAAGAGGAAATCTGCCATTAGGACAAGAAGGAGAAAAAAATAACTGGACTCCCTTGTCTTTCTGTTTTGAAATTTCAATTTTTCCTCTTTTCTCAGTAACAGCTTCCTCAGTAACCTGAGACAGTGCCTTGGGAGGTATGGCATCTTCCCCTACAGAATGTTATACACTCTCTTAAAGCCATACATCCCATTGTTATTGTTCCAATCTCTCTCTATAAACTTAGTCCAGTTTACTTCAATTTCTGGGATTTTGGAATGACCATTGCCACCATGCAGAGCCTCAAGCTTATATTATACGGTAAGAATACCAAAGGAAATTGTTTCTCACACTTTTATTGCAGGCTTCAAAAGGAAAGAAAAACAGAATGACTGCCATTTCCATTCTGCTCATTTTGTTCTCATACATACTCATCTGCTTCAAGATGATATTTCATCATCTCTTTCTGTCATTTACCACTTCTTCCCTCATTCCCTACCATCTCCTCTATCCCTTATATCCTTTGAATGTAGGTCATGCTCATGGTTATAGTGGCATAGTAAAACTTGATGGAGGAGAAACTCTTCTATTTTCTAGATTACTGTACACATATTATTATATGGATGCATGCACAGATGCACGAAAACACCTAGAATCTTCCTTATTATGTTTTGTCTTTTTTTTTTTTTTTTCTGAGACAGAGTCTTGCTCTGTTACTCAGGCTGGAGTCCAATGGCGCCATCTCGGCTCACTGCAACCTCTGCCTCCCAGGTTCAAGCAATTCTCCTGCCTCAGCCTCCCGAGTAGGTGGGATTACAGACACCCACCACCATGCCCAGCTAATTTTTGTATTTTTAGTAGAGACGGGGTTTCGCCATATTGGCCAGGCTGGTCTCGAACACCTGGCCTCAAGTGATCTGCCCACCTACGCCTCCCAAAGTGCTGGGATTACAGGTGTGAGCCACTGCACCCAGCCTCATCTTCTTTTCCTCATACTTTTTCTCATTCTTTCCTATTTTCCCTCCTCCATGTTCTCCTATTAGTAGTAGTAGTAGCAGCAATATTAATTGTTATACTAGTAGTAGTAGGATAGTGGTATTTTCTACTTATTGAACCCTGACTATATTAGGTATGTGCTTGTCATCTTACGTACATTCTTCATAATCCCAAAATGTCCCTATTATGTTATTTCTCTATTTTATAAGATTGGAAACAGGACGAGGTTAAGTCATACCATTAGAGGAGCAGCAGGACCTCCGCATTGAATTATCCTAATTGTTAGAATAGTACTGATTCTGAAATTTCACAATTTGTAAAGTTAGGAGAACTGTTCTCAATGAATATTGAAAGAAAGAAGGGAAACTTGTTTTGCCTTTTTCGTTTTTATAAGAATACGTTTTTAAATCAAAGCCAGATTGGAATAAAAAGAATTTTATGGCTGTCATCTTATACAGAGTATCATTAAATAACATGAGCTAATATGCAAAATGATTATTACAAAATTTTTATCTAGATAAATGATTTTGAAAATTTGATTAAAACCGATCTGCTGTATTTCTTCCTAAAATTATCTCCTTCACTGATTTGCCATTCTCTAGTTCAGTAATGATAACATAAATAGTAATTACAATGTATCCTGAGAGGGTATTTTAAAGCTTCAGCTATAAGTAGCTGTAAATGTTTAATGTGTAATTATAATGCGGATATAAATTAATAATCTGGAAAAACAAAAGAAGGGACTGGCGTGTTTTTCTTCAATAATGAGTATTTTCTAATAGACAGAGAAACAGAAATGTAAAATTGGTACTGAAAACAATGCTTTAAGTCTGAAGGGATTTCTTATACTTGATGACCAAATTATATTCATTTCTTCTTCCAACAAGAAGAATCTAACACGTATTTGACACAAAATTGGTGTCTGACCTATGTTAGGTAGATGAGTGATGGACAAACCATACTGATAGTTGGTTTGTACTTAGCATTAAAAATATTTTATTATATGTAGAGGATATTGGCCAAACTCTTGGAAAGTACAAAGATATTTATAAGGGGAATAGGCATTTTCACCAGACAGTAATAATAATAATAAATATTAGAAAATAATAAATACTAAATGATCGTAATAACAGAGAATTATCCAGAAAGTTTAAGATACTGACTTTTTAAGACCTTTTCACGACAAATGTATTCTTTGGTTTAAATTGTCCAGCCAATTCATTGAATAGTGCAATTTGTTTAATAAATATGTTCATTGTTTACTGTATAAGTACAGGGAACATAGAGTAAACAATGACCCATTCAATTTGAAGAAATCTTAGTAAAACACACATTTATTTTTATCCTAATTCTATATATTTAAGTTTTATAATTTTCTTCAACATAAATTATAGTTTAAGGTCTTGAAATGCGTCTAGACAAATCATTTGTCAAAATTCAACAATTAAAAGAAAATTCGTATTTTGATGCAATTGCACAAGTCATTTTAATCTCTGCCTTTGAATAATTACATTTTTGTAATTTGAATTATAATTTTTAACAATTTCCTTTGAACATATAAAAATCAATTTAATTTAAATTTTTCATTTTATTTTAACATTAAGTAAGTTGTTAATAAGAAACAAGCTTCTCATATTGATTTCTATTTTTTTCTACCTGAAATTGTCTCTCAAATATGTATGTGTTCATGAAATACTTAGATAATTTATCCAAGTTAGAAAATGGAAATTAGGTAACCAATATATATTATAAAATAATTTCATTTCCGAATACCTGAGTTTGGGGGGAAAAAGTTACTGTTAATGTTGAAAGAAAAGTAATTCATTGAATTTTAGAGAATACCTAATTCCTACTATGTGAGTTCAGAGACAATCTTCATGAAGCTCTTCTTCTCCAATCAGAATGGACTTACTCCTCAGTTGTCAGTTGCTTGAGATGGTACCACAGGAGCTGAGAGAAAACTTGGTGAGACAGTTCATACACTCAGTAGCTTATTAATAAATCAATAGCCCTCTCCCCAATCACAGTAAATAATCCAGTGTAGATTTGCCTCTTAGGATCTTGAGATTTTTCTTCTCAAGCACACCCCTTTCATAAATGCCCAAACTCTTGAAATGGTCACCATTCATTAGTTTACACCTTATGTATCACATATGCCAAATATTTCCTGAGGCCATCTTTTAAAATTTTCCCCCTTGGAACTTGTGTTAAAAAATAACCTTTCTATCAAACTCCATTTATGTTTTAATTAATTTTCTTTCACTCTTCAAACGCATATAATAACCAATCAAAAATAAGTGTGAAGTTCCTAACGTTACAACTAAATTATTATCAAAAGTAAAACAGCCCCAAAACCAAACTAACATTTTGTTGTTGTTGCTGAGACAGGGTCTTGCTCTGTCGCCCAGGCTGGAGTGCAGTGGTGTGATCTTGACTCACAGCAACCTCTGCCTCCCAGGCTCAAGTCAAGCTATCATTCCACCCCAGCCTCCCAAGTAGCTGGGACTACAGGCACGTACCACCACACCCAGCAATTGTTTTTATAGAGGCAGGGTTTCGCCATGTTGCCCAGGCTGGTGTTGAAATCCTGGACTCAAGCGATCCACCCTATCAGCCTCCCAAACTACTGGGATTACAGGCCCAGCCTCAAATTAACATTTTAACCGACCTAGATTGGTCTCCATTACTTTGTTCAAGAATCTTCAGGGCCCAGAAAGTCCAAATTAAGAGGCATAGTTTTGGAGGCATTAATAGTGAACATCACCTCCTACCCCTTACACTCATCTTTTCCACAGCTGTCAGAATATCATATTTACCATGAAACTCCTCTGCCAAAAATTTTTCAGTGGTTCACTGTTTCTTCCAGGAGAAAGACCAAGCTAATTAACATGGTTTACAAGGACAGTCCATCCCTCATCTTCCACCATTGTGTGACTTCTATGCTCAAATGACTGTAAACTACTTGGCCTTCTGTTCTACACTTCATCTCCCAACATTCCCCCAAACACACATATGAGGGCCATGTGTTTCCTGCCAGTCACACTCTTTCTCATAGCCGATTTACCTCAGGAATCTTTCGAACTTTTCAGCATGTGGTCCCCTGACAACTCATGCATGTGCCTGGGGTAATAATACATGCTATGCATGAAACTGTCTGCCCTTCTAGGTGCTTATCTCTTTGAAAGGTGTGTCTATGTCTCAAGAACCTTTTTATTTATGCCAATTCATCCAAGGCCTGGCACAAATTACAGAGGGCAGGATTGGAGATGGAATGTGGGCTGCAGATAGAGGCACTGATTGGAAACACAGAAGAGTATAAGGTTGAGTGCATCTACTTAACAACTTTCTGAATTCATATGCCAGTGAATAAATGAACAGGGAGGGTCTTACTGGTTATAATTTATTTGAGCTATCTAAAAAAGAGTTTAGTGTCCCTTAGCTTCTGCTACATTCTTCCCTTACCTTATCCCTCTGGAAATATCTAAAAGGTAGCATTTCCCCTACAGGACAGTAGAAAAATATCAGGTGTCCCTGCTTTATGATTTCTGCATACAGAATCCATAACTTTCAAAGCTCAAGGCAATTAATGGAGGCCCCTAAGCTTCTGTTATATTCCAAGGATACAGCAAAGTTTGGAAACGGTCCTCTTCCTAGAGCTCTGGAAAATGTCCTATCTTAATAAAGATAATTCTCAAGCCATTAGGAACCTCAGAGATCTAGAGCAACTCTTTACAAATAAGGAAACTTTTGCTTATTCATTTATTCTGTGGTGGAAAATGCCAGAAAAATGCCTGGTGCTGGAATAAAAATGAGTCAGCTGGCTGCTCCTCAGGCCTTCACAGTCTAGTTAGAAAAAATGACCTATAATAGGATAATTAGACATGTAAAACATTTACAGAACTTGGGCTACAGAGGTGAGTTGATTTTCCCAAGGTTACCTGCACAGATAACGTTGGTTGATCTAAAGAGGAGAGTACAAATGATACATCATAATTTCTGCCCTTGGCATTTTAAAAAATTAATAGATTTTAAAAGTTTTATAAGTTAAAGAGTCATATGGATACTTAATTACTTTGTTGCTACCCCCTGATATTTTGCTTCTCTCCTGGTAGAATCTTAAATAAATATTTACTGGAATATATCTAAAATTTTAGTTCAGTGCTGCTCCTCATGGATTCCTAATTCCTTTGAAGGAGTGTATGGTGTAATGATAAAAAGAATAGATTTTGGAGTGAGAAACAATTGATTCACAGCTCTGGTCCTTCATTTACAGAAAATACAATTTCAGATCAATGTATCGACCTTTCAAAGTCTCAGTTTCCTCATCTGTGAAATGAAAATGGCAGTGTGCATCCCAAAAAAGGCTTGAAGGGGATTGAATAAGATACTGCATGTGATTCAATTAACATATAATTCGCACTCAATAGAATGAAAAAAAAAATCCTGCTATTTTGCCATGAAGAGGCTTTCAACCTTTATAGGAGAGCTTGTGAATCAAAAAGCATACTGCCAATAACATAGCCTTTCAAAACTGAACCCAGGGCTTATTCAGCTTATAAAGCAGAAATCCTGTGCTCACTCTGTTTCCTCAGCTGGCAGCGTTCTTTCACCTTTCACCTCTCAAAATCCCTATTGTTTTTCAAAGTTCATCTCAAATGCACTTCCACAAAGAAGTCTTCACTGAGACCTCACAGAGAAGTCTCATTTTCTCTTTCTCTTTCTTCCCATAGTATTTTGCTTCTATTACTTCTAAATCATTTATTTTAATCACCCTGATTTAAAAATTGGCTGCATGTCCGTCTTCCCATTATATGATAACATCTGTGAGCACATGGGGAATGGTTAGCACAATTTTTGTGCATAGTAGGTTCTTTCAAATAACATCTGTAGAATCAAACTAAACTGAATAGAAAATAAGGAACTGTATTATTTTTGTGACTCATCTGAATTTTGCAATCTTATGCCATCATTTAAAATCAAACCTATAAGCAGATGTGATGATTAGGGTATTTGAGCACATTGAGGAATGTTATAATTCAAGAAAAATTTAGAGGAAGTAATTTTATTGACTGAATAGCAAGATAAACTCACTTATTTTTAATTGAGGGGCAAAATAAATACTTCTTGAGTGAACAAGTACTCAGGAAAATAACTAACACCTTGAATTGTATGAGGTTTGTATGTTACCACCATATTTTTAAAATAATGGCTAGTAAACGCAGAAAATTAGAGGTCTCTAGAATTTGACAAATTACCAAGAATGACCTCCAAGAACTCAATATTATTAAAACATGTAATGGTAACAACATTAGACTTGTTGATTAGTAAGTTTATGCCAACTTTTAATAAAAACTTTTTATATATATCAAACTTATTTTGTCCATACCGTATTGTAGTGTGGGAGCCTTTCGGGCAGAAAATGTAGAAACAAATTAAAATATAATTATAATTATAAAAATATACATATACATGCATCTATAGATCCTAAGATAGCTGAGAATTCTAACTTTAATATGTTGTGGTTAACTTGTCTTTGTCAACTTTGAATTTAACCAAAAAACAGAAAAGTGTGACCTTATTTTTTAAAATTATATAATTCTCTTTGATGAATGTACTGATCATTGCTACTGACCAGAGACGGAACAAAACCCAGGGCATATTTTTATTAGTCACATGTGTTTTTCAATTATTTAAAGAGGAAAGTAAAAAGATTTAAAAGATTATTGGCTCATTTTTACTTTCCCTTTTGTGGATGTTAATCAAAGATTTGACTAATTTATTCTTACCTTTAATAGTGTATGGTAGGTTTCTTTTTTTATTTGAAAGAGCAGTTTTTATTATAATGAAGTTAAAATCAAATTTGTTCACATTTTCTCATATTCAGTCATGAAGTTTTAGAAGCTACTCAGTTTAAAAATGAAATATGAAGCCGGGCATGGTGGCTCACTCCTGCAATCCCAGCACTTCGGGAGGCTGAGGCAGGAGGATCACCTGAGGTCAGAAGTTTGACACCATCCTGGCCAACATGGTGAAACCCCACCTCTACTAAAAATACAAAAATTAGCCAGGCATGGTGTCAGGCACCCATAATCCCAGGTACTTGGGAGGCTGAGGCAGGAGAATTACTTGAACCTGGGAGACGGAGGTTGCAGGGAGCCAAGATCACACCATTGCACTCCAGCCTGGGCAACAGGAGTGAGATTCCGTCCCACTTAGATAACAATAAAAACATCAGCAACAAAAACTTGATATGCCCCACATTTTGTTTAAAGTTAAGCTTTTCTTCTCCTTCAACTTGTTAATGATTAGGCAGAAGCCTGGACCGGAGAATGGGATGTGGTGGTCTTCTTCTCTTCACATTCCTGCTCCTCAGTGACACCCATCCTTTTTCTGTATTCACTGAGTGTATTATTTTGTTCTTTCCTAGGCTGCCAGACTCCTCCTCCTAATTGCAGCTTCCTCTCCTTCAGCCAGCAGGCTATAATTCCACCTCGCTTTTGCATCCAAAGGCATCACCCCAAACTCTTTTTGCAAAAGCAATCTTCCCCTGGCAGAAGTCTGCTTGGGTTAGATTTTCTTTTCAAATTATTCCAGATCAACATTCCTACTATGAATTCCATATCCATCTTTCCAGACATATTCACTTTTGGTTCTCTATCAATCAGTGAAAGTGCCATTATTTGTTTCAAGACAACACCCAGCCCCACTGCCATAACCCACTTCAGTCAACATTTGTCTGCCTTTTCCCCACTGTGCTCAAAGAGCTTCAAGTCACACATATCAAGCTATCCAAGCTAACTCCTTAAAGCTTCTCATACCAGACTGGAAGTGAGGTGAAGCATTTATCTCCCTCCCTCTGTGGGGAGGGGAAGGAATGTGCTTCAACATACAGCTTTCTACAAAGAAATCCTCCCCAAAAAACATTTTTTTATTAATCTTTTATTTTCATATCATGAGCATTGGACTAAGTTCACAGGCAGCTTATTGGTCATCTTTGCAAGATTTACACCAATGACCTAGCAGTTTCACCTTGGAATTGGTTTGTTCTTGGCTTTGAGACACAAAATGTTGTTATTCATATGTCGTTTTAAAAAAGTATAGTGCCATTATTGATTTTAACTTACCTGTTTGTAATATGTTATCATTGAATATGATGTTTGTTATATATTTTGGGCAGATAACTGTTGTTAATCAATATGATTTTTATTGAATAATAATTAAATTAAGTACCTATTTGTGCTAGAAATTCTTTTCAATGCTGGAGATATAATGGTAGGAACAAAAGGTCTCCCTTCTCACACAGTAGTGGGAGGAGGTGGGTAGGTTCATAAATTTAAAAATCACACATATAACTGTATATATAAATAAAAATAGTTATTTCAGAAGTTAATAAATGCTATGAAGTAAACAAAACATGGTAATGTGACAGAGTGACTGAGGTATGAAATTAGATGTTGGAGGAGAAAAAGCTTCTCTAAAGGGATGGAGTTTAAGCTGTACTTTAAAATGGAGTTAATCATGTGAGGAGCAGGAAAGAGAACATCCCAATCAGACAAAGTAGCACACCCGAAGTCATAAGGTGGTAATATGTGTGCGTGTCTAAGAAACAGAAAGGACAGTGTTGCCAGAAGACAGCCAGGAAGGCCGATGCATTCAAATAGCAGGGCATATGGGCCACAGTGGAGTCTGTTTTTTTATTTATAAAGCAATTGAAAGAAATCAGAGGAGTTTAAGCAGAAATGCTTATGACTTCATATGTGTAAACTGAAGTGGTCACAGGCAAGCCTTTGATATATAGTCCTCTTAGTTATCAGGCTACTGAGAGAGCCAGAGCAAGAAATGTCAGTGGCTCATACAGGTTCTTGGTAGTAGAGATGGAAAGAACTTATGTAAAATGTAAGTGGGGGAAGAGAAGGGCATCCTGCTAGATAAAATGCTTCAATAGTTGATCTTCTGGCTCTGGACACTCACTAATATTTCTCTGAGTTTTTGGATACCCAGTCATCCTATCTTTTCCACACAAACTCCTGTATTCAATGTCTTTTTGAGAGACAGTGACTCCTGTTATTGGTCTGGCCAAGAAGTGAATTGGAGAATATGCAGAGGATTCCACAACCACTCCCTGCTATCATACTCCAAATAGCTGTGCTGTGGGCTCTCTGGACTCACTTCCACTTCTAGAATGGGCTGTTTATGGGCCTGGTCTTTTCTTGGTGTTGAATCTACCTTTTGTGTTAATTTTCTGTGAGCATTTTTGTTAAAGATTTCTTTGTTCAATTTAAGATCACTTGCTCTCTGTCTTCCCAACATTCTTTGTTGTTTCTGAGTACATTGGTACTCTCATTTGCATTTTTTTCTTGAAATTTCAAGATATTTGGGGAGTGAGAGGATTTGCACCTCTAATACAGCCTCCCCCAGCCCCCTCGCACGCACATTCTAGATATGGCTTGTATTCTGTCAGTTTAACATAGAGTGTTTTCCTTCTTACAACACATTTAAACCCGATAAAATCTTTTACCTATAGTTTTAATGCAGTGTCTACTAGTTTTGAAAAGGTTTCAGATTTGATACATTATAATTGAATCTTCTTCAAGTATTGAAAATATTCTTTAAAGCCTTTATAAGTGCACCAAGCTTATGCAATTATAGTCAATAAAATAGTTTTTTATTTCTTAAATTTCTAGTTTCTTTCTCATCAAAATGCAAATTAGTACAATCAAATATGCTTCTGTTTTCTGAGTATTTATAAGAAATACTGGATTTACTAAATCTGCACTAAATGTCTAATAATTAAAAGGTAAAATTGCAAGAACTTAATTTTTTAAATGCAATCCGTTATTATATATTCAGATTATAAAATTTAAATTATTTTATGACTTTATGTTTTTTCATTACTCTTACGTGTTTTAAAATATATGCATCTTCCTGTGTGCTCTTTGATCTTTTGGTGGGAATGTGCCATTCTCCCTTAAGGCTTTGGTCTTTGGAGTTGAACAGACCTGAATTTGAACCCTTGACATGTTACTCTGTTATCTGGGGTAAAGTATTAACCTTTCTGATGCTTTTTTTTTTCCCACCATACGATTGGGATCATGCCTCCTGCATGAGATTCTTCAAATTTGTTATATAACATATGTAAAGCTCCTTTCACAATACCTGATTCCCAATAAACATTAGTTACTGTTGTCTCATTACTGATGCCACATTGGCTTTCCATTTTGCGATTATCATTTATTAGTTGTGTAATCACAGATAGGCAATGTTAACTTTTTGAAAGCATGTGCTTTTAGGTTAATTAAATGGAAGAATGGACATGGAAGTAGTTTAAAAACAATAATGCATTAATAAATACAAAGTGGGAAAAACACAACTAGAGTGACACTTTGTTAACTTAGGTCATTATAAAAATATATCCCCATTACATTGTTACAGAATAAAGTGAAGGATACAGAAAAAGAGAACAATTGTGTGATACAACTACACAGCACTGAGGCTAAAAAGGGACAATCATTATAGACAGTCCAGATATGAAAACATAGACTTTTGTCTATTCCAGATTTTCTACTGGAGTTCTTTACTGTATATTATACACACTTTCTACTATCAACATTAGCTTATCTGTGCAAACTGTTTATTGCTATAGATTCTCTTTCCTTCATCTTTTTACTAAACCTTCCAGGCAAAAATGCCCGACTAGTATTTTTCTTAACTAAAGTTTTCTTTTCCTGGCTATCAGTCTCAAATGGGTGCAATTCTAAATAAGTCAACTTTCTCCAAATATCGGGGTAATGAACAAAAAAACTTTATTAGAAATTGTAATGTTTTAGTACCACCTATCATCTGCAAACTGTGTCCAACTGGCCTTAGAGAGCCCCTAAGCTCTCTAAAAATATGAAAATAAATGGAATCTAATTAATCTGGATTCTATGAAGAGTTGGGTGAGATAGGTTAAATGAACCATGGCTTGTTTAAAATTATTGTTGCAGCTTTGTTCCTCTCTCATTTTAATTATTTAACATTATCAGTTACCTGATTAAGATTTAGTTTCCCTACCATTAATAAATAAAATCAGCGGGCATTGATGTTAAGTGTCAACTTGTTGTGGTGTTGACAACCTAGTACAGCTCTGATTACTTCAGGAATATGTGTGGGAAACTCGATTTAATTACCTGTCCCTTAGAATTGCCTTTGCATGTCACATTTCCATATCTTTAATTTCCTCATACCTGACTACTTCCTGATGTAAATTGGGCAGGTATGGAAGTGACATGAATGACTTGGCTATTATATGTTTATTTTCCTCCGTATATAAAAGTAATGTGGTTGACCTTACCACATTAGGTGACAGATTTGGTTAAACTAGATGGAGATACCTCTCTGATCCTCTGTTATGACTGACTAAAAAATAATCCTTATTGTAAAATTGGAAAAGCATGTTCAAGTAGCAGTGGAATGATCTTTCATAGGAAAAAGTCAACTGAACACACATATCAAACCTGTGACCCTGATCTCATTATCATCATAATCTAACCATACAAGACAACGATCAGACTGTGTATACCACACAGACAAAATGGAATAACTATATAACTTGGGAAAGCAGTAAGAGTGATTAAAATCTCAAGCTCTATAATAACTGCTTTAAATTCAAATTTTTCACTCCTTGGCTTACGCAAGTTATTTCATCTTTCTAGAAGTTTCGGTCACCTCATCTATAAAATAAGGATAATAACAGTACCTACCTAATAGGCGTTTGAAAAGAATAAATGAGGCCATTTATGTAAGGTTGTTCTCTCAGTGCCTGGAATATAATGGGTAAGTGTTAGCTTTACTAGTTTATATTACAATCATGAAACAGTATTTTGAATGCCCAAAGTAGCAACCATATGGATTTGGTGAGTGACTCATTGTGAATAAGTAGTAGGTTCTGTAAGTGAACATTGAAATGACTACTTTTTTGTTTGTTTTATCTTGTTTTTAATTGATATATAGTAACTGTATACCTCTACAGGGTGATGTTTCAATACATTTATACATTATGTAATGATCAAATCAGGATAATTGGCATATCCATCACCTCAAATATTTTTTATTTCCTTGTAGTGAGAACATTCAAAAACCTTTTAGCTATTTTGAAATATGCAATACATTATTATTAACAATAGTCAACCTACTGTGCAATAGAAGACCAGAATGTATTCTGTCTGTCTGTCTGTCTGTCTGTCTATCTATCTATCTATCTATCTATCTATCTATCTATCTATCTATCCATCCCATTTTTAGAAATCCATTCATCCCTTGGTGGTCACTTAGGTTGATTTCATATCTTGCTTGTTGTGAATAGTGCTAGAATAAACATGGGAGTGCAGATATATCCTTGAAATGTCAATTTCAGGAAATGACTGCTTTTGAAAAGTTTTCTATTCTTTTCCAAACTCCATGCTGGTCTGAAAAGGCTCATACAAATTTCCCAAGTATCTATTCCATTCATTAAAAAATCTAGCATGTTTATAACTGATAATGATAATAATCATTGTATTAAACAATCAATACTTCACTATATAAATGTGATTCACTTTTGTTGTAGTATATTCCTTAAGTACTATAACCCAATGAAGCACTCATCAAATTCACTTTTCACTTGAAGTGTTAAAGTTCATCCTTGGTACCTGCAAGGTCATTCCTGACAAATTGACTGAGGTTGTTAAGGTACAATTTAAGATAACACACAATTTCTTTAGTGTCTGTTTTTTTAAAAAAAACCTGTTTTTCATTGTGTATAATTATATACTTACATTGACAAATATGAATGTCTTGTTCATGGCAGCTACTTTATCTTTTCTGGCTTTGGAGACCTCTTTTTTAGTTGAAATTTATAAATTAACCAAATGAAGTACCTCAGTATTTCTACCATTGTTAATTTTTTTAAAGGAAAAGACTAGAGTCTCGAATAATTTACAGCAGAATTTATTAGGCGATGGTTTTAGGAAATAGAAATGAATTTTTTGCATGTGCCAATGTTTCCATCTTGTTACAGATGGCTCTTGCTGGCACAAGATAAGGGTAGAGGAAAACCAATAAACTTGCCAGATTTTCCCTAAAAATATATGAAGAATTTTGCATATTGCTCTTAAAAATGAATTTTTGCCATTATTATATACTAATATCTGCTTCTTTTTGTTTTTCTGCTTTAAAATTGTTACACAAAGATGATATTAAACCTTCATAATTTTTATGAAAGCAAAATGTAGCTATTGAATGGATTTTGGCTCTCAGTCTTTTCTTTCTTAACAATAAAGTTAATGCTCCAAAAATGCATGAAAATTTATTTTTAACTGACAGTTGATTTTTTTTCAGTAAGTAAATTAAATCATTTCATCTTCTTCAAATATAGAAACAAATATAGAATTCTGGATTACATATTGTAAAAAATAATATGAGTAATTAATTGATATGACAAAAGGTTGTGATATCATTTAACTAACTTACAGTGGTAAAATTTTTCTTACAGAGCAAATGTAAATACAAAGTTATTCAATTTAATTGAGATATCTAGTGTATTCCTGGTATAATAAACAAGATAAGTGATACAGAACCATATTTAATATTTTATTCATTAAAATATGAAATACTTTAAAGAATAAGAACATTCCTAAAGTTAGAGTTCATTGTGCTTAATGTATTTTATATACAAATCTGTAGAAATAAATAGTTGCTTTGCAGAAAAAATGGTATTTTGATAAGCTAAACAAACTTGAGATTGGATATCTGATTAACTAGATATTAGCTCAAAATTTTATTTTAACACTTTCAAATAATATTTCTAGGAAATAATATTTGATTTTTCTTGGCACACAGTATTGAACATAGACTGCATTTTTTGTTTTATATTTATTTTCCTCTTAGATGTCTTAAATCCCTCAGGACCAACATTTTGAATATCAATTATTTTTATATCAGATGATAACTGTGAATATATGAGTGGAAAATATTTGGCTGAATCATTAGAAAATATGGAGATTAAGTGGAGGGTTACTTTTTTATTCAAGTCATTTTTCTTAATGGTTTTTACTCTCCCTTATTTATTTAACAAAATTTTACGGAGTCCTGTAATACATCAAATCCTGGGCCACAACCTCAGATATAAAGATAAAGTTGGCATGGTCTTTTTCTTTGGATATTTAAAGTCTGTTGGAGAAATTGGACAAGCATCAAATCAACTGAAAGCAGTGGGACAGAGACCTAGTGTTAATATGGTTTGAACTAACTACTATGGAACATAGGCTAAACCTAGATATTACCAAAAAATGAGAAAATCAAACTGTGTTTCAGATAAGTGGATTTTGAGGAGAGTTGTCAGCTACAAATCTGACAGTATAAGTCCCATGCACTGGGTAACAGGCCTTAAAGATGAGTGGCAGAATATGGTGTAAAATAATAAAAAATGTTTTACTAGTTTCCCCTCATCAACTGCTATTTTTGCAAGATTATGTAAAATGTTCATAAATTGACTCTTCATTTTACAACTTCCTTTATCCCTTTTTTCCAATTTTGTCAGTTGTCTTTGCCAGAAAATGTTATCCATTTACCTACAAGGTCTGTGAGTCAGAGAATTAAAATACATGAATAAAATTTCCAAATTGCATGCATAAAAAGCTATACATTTTCTAGATGGCTGCCCATGGAATATATAATTTGTTCTTTGAAACGTCCATATTTAAACTTACAGTTGACACTTTATCCTTAATTCATGCTGCAATGCTTCTCACTTCCATACATAATAATGTGAATTAAAGATTGTATTAATCTACAGTTGCTACTGCTGTCACTTGGTTCATATATTTAATGATGATGCATATGTTTCTCTCTGTATGATATATAAATACATGCATACATGTATCTGCATATGGTCAGTGTACATGTATACGCTCAGTGGGGTCATAAATGTGTTAAAAATGTTCGTTATGTTCAAAGTATGAATCTCAAATAAGACTCAATAGTTTATTGGCTGAAATAATTGCTATGACAAGTGCAAATAACTGGAAGACTTTAAAGTTTCAAATAATGTTTCATGCACACACTTAAATTGACCATCTATACCTTCAATGCCACATGTACTAGCAACCAAGACAATAACATGCATTTTGCTAATCCAACCATAATGTTATTCTGAGCAGTTACTTTATTGATGAGGTAAAACTCCAATTCATTTATTCCAGTAGAGTATTATAACTAGAGAAATTAAATATTTATTCTAAAAGTCAGTAGAGATGTGTGCACAAATAAAGTTGTTTGTAGAGCAAGCAGTAATCTGAGAGAAGCAGACATTTAAAGGTGTGCCCAGAGTATTTACTTGATTTATTATATGTTAAACAGCAAGTTAAAAATTCTGATCACATATTTTAATGATGAAAATAATATATGTTCATGGTTTTTGAAAACGTAAATATTGGCCGGGCACAGTGGTTCATGCCTGTAATCCCAGCACTTTGGGAGGCCGAGGCGGGCGGATCACGAGGTCAGGAGATCGAGACCATCATGCCTAACACGGTGAAACCCCGTCTCTAGTAAAAAATACAAAAAAAATTAGCCAGGCGTGGTGGCGGGCGCCTGTAGTCCCAGCTACTCGGGAGGCTGAGGCAGGAGAATGGCGTGAACCCAGGAGGGTGGAGCTTGCCGTGAGCCAAGATCGCGCCACTGCACTCCAGCCTGGGCTACAGAGCGAGACTCCGTCTCAAAAAAAAAAAAGTAAATATTGAAGAGCATGTAAGTGAAAAAGTAAAAATCCAACCCATTTCTCCATGTCACATACTGTACTCATACCCTAGAGAAAAAGCATTTAAAATAGTTTATTGGATATCCTTCCAGGAAATATCTGTGTATATTTAAACAGAATATGGCTAATACTTTTTTCTGTGCAAATAGGATGATACTTTTCAGATTGTTCTGTAATTTGCCTTTTTCTCTTAATCCTATGTCTTAGACAACTAAGTATCAGAACATATGCATCTACCTAATTCATTTTAGTAAATATAAAAAAATTGAATTTGTTCACTGTTATGGATTATCTTTGATGGGCATTGTAGTTAGCATTTTGGCTTTTATCGTACCCATTTTTGACTTAATGGATACATTGTTGTCAAAGTCAGTTGTTCAATTTAAGATCTGAGGATAGGTTTGGTTGATCTCCTTGAAACGTATTGAATAGAGACATGGACACTGGAGTTACCCCCACTAGTTAGTGATATCACTTCAGACAGGAGGGGTTAACTCCCCGTGTCTCAGTAATTGGATTTGTAGGACAAATATGTTTTTTAAAAAGGCACATTAGCCCTTGGCATACGAGGTGGTCAGAAGAATCCACTGAAGCAATATATGTTGATGTGTTTTGAAAAAGATGAAATATTTTTTAAACAAAGTATATTAGGCACTGGTACTCTTGGTAGAGTCATAAACTATTAGCTCAAACTGGACAATGTTATATGCCTCAGTCACGGAAAACCTTAAAGTAATTTTTTCATTAAGCTTTATTTGATTTAAGATTTAAGGGAAGGTTGAGATCCCACTGAAGAACAGGCAAGATAGAGTAGATCAATTTATTTCTCCTTGCTTTTTTAGTTACTTTTATTGAAAGTGTCCCTGTGGGTCTCACCAAAGCAATCCTACTGTTGGAAGAGCTTTGGAAGTGTCTTTTTTTTTAGTTTTCTTTGTCTAGGGTATATTGGGGATAGGGAGGAATAGGGCAAATTAGACACGAAATCTAACCATGTTGCTATGGTCAATTTGGGAAAGACAGGGTGTTGAAAGAGCTAAGCAGGGAAAGTACATAATACATACAACACCTCACAACATTCCTGACAGGCACATAGGCACTCAGATGTTAATTCCTGCAAGCAACATAGATCAGCAAATTAATTGAATGCATTAAAGGCGCGGGTAATGTAAATATAGTAAAACAGAAAAAAAACCTCTCAAGATACTTTTACCATAAAACTATAGAAATGTTATAAGAAATAAACAAGCATGTGCATGTATGTGTGTATGTTTTGGTGAACTGATAGTATGCTAGTTTTGAGCACTGCTTATTTTCAAAAAGTTCAGTTCCTCAATAAAAGCTCCATTTTATGAATGTTTGTAGTTTATGGACTTTTGCTCTTGGGAGAAAATAGTAAAATAACTGTAGGTATTTTATCTATTCACTCCATGCCTCGGGCAGCCCCCAGGAGAGCAGGAAAGGGAACATGTGTGGCCAGGCAAATTTTATTGTGTACTCAAAGCTTACCTTTTTTTTTTTTTCTTTTTGCATTGTTCTTACCACCCATGATTTTAAAATGGTATGAGAATTTTTCAAACTATGTCCTCATGTCTTATCACCTTGCTTATAATGCCCTTCATTCCCCTACCCCCCGCTCCCAGCTTTAAGTATTTACAGCTAATTCAGTTTCTTTGAAAGAAATCTGAAATCACTCAGCAGGTATAAAAATATATATACTAATACATGTACTAATACAAAGAGATCTCCTGAATATATTGTTGAGTTAAAAAAAGTAATGTGCAAAACAGCAAATATAGAAAGCTGTCTTTTAAGAAAGAGAGGGAATAAATATATATGTATAATTTATAATTGCTAATGTCTACAGAAATAATTTCCTTCATTTTACATAAAGAATGTGGAAAGGATACACACGAAAACAAAGAGTGGTTACCATAGGATTGGGGATGAGAGGTAGGAACAGGGAAGCTAAGGGTGGATGAGGGAGAAGCATGATTTTTTACTGTACTTTGGTTTTTATTGTTTGGATTTCTCAACTTTGTGAATGAATTACATATTAAAAAGAGACCATTACATTTGAGAAAAACATTCAAAAATCCATAGTTGAGGCAGCAAAATGCTGTGAAAACATTGGCTATAAACCTGAGGAGCATGAGGTTTTTGTAGCAGATACGCTACTGTTGCCTGTAACTTGGAACAAGTTACTGAGACTTTCACTCTCCCTGGCCTCAGTGTCCTCACCTGCTCCAGATAAGAAGGTTGCAGCTGATTATCTCATGCCCTAGATGTCATTCTGAGCTATATTTTAATTGATCTAAGATTGTGCATAATCCAGAGTTATTGGATTAGCGCCATAGGCCACTCACTGAAAGTATGGAAACATGTTCTAGTATATTTTACATCCAAAAAACTTGTCATAATGTTTTTCATTCATTTGTTTTTTTGTTTTTTGAGACGGAATCTTGCTCTGTCGCCTAGGCTGGAGTGCAGTGGCACGATTTTGGCTCACGGCAATCTCTGCCTCATGGGATTCAGCGATTCTCCAGCCTCAGCCTCCTGAGTTGTTGAGATTACAGGCATCCATGACCATGCCAGGCTAATTTTTGTATTTTTAGTAGAGACAGAGTTTCACCATCTTGGCCAGGCTGGTCTCGAACTCCTGACCTCAACTGATCTGCCCACCTCAGCCTCCCAAAGTGCTAGGATTACAGGCATGTTACAATGTTTTTTTGAAGAGATCTGTTTTATAATATTCTGGTAATGTTTCTTAAAGGTAGAAACTTTGCTTAAAATAATCTGTGTAAAATATTTGATTATGTAGCAGGTTTCCCTAGAGGAATTTAACTTTTCAATAAAATTTTAGCACTAATAAATATGCACTGATAGGAGTCATAAAATGTATGGAGCACTGATTATGTGCCAGGTAATGTACTCAGAACTTTACATCTATAATTTTCACACCAGTTGACAATAAGTTGCTTTTGTCTACATTTTCACTTGAGGAAATAAGCCTTAGAGACTTTTAGATTATAGAATAGATATTCTAGGTGTAAAACTTGAGTTTCAACAGAATATGTTGAAAAGTAAGGAAGGTGAATATTAACATCTCTCCATGGAAAATGGTAGTTGTATTCTGTCTGGAAGCCACAAAGGACTAGGTAATTTCCTGGAGTATTTTCATTGACAGACTGGGTCTGAGAGAGGATATAGATCATGGGAGCTTCTTTTATCTACCTCCTCTCCCACAGGCATGCTCAACAGGGACATACAGAGGGAAGTGGCCACACTGAGATACCTACCCCATGATTCTTATATAAATAGGAGAAAGAAAGATGCACACACACAGACCGTACCTAGAGGCAGAGAGCGAGAGGCAGAGACAGAGACAGAAAGGCAGACAGAGAGAAAGACAGAGAAATAGAGTGAGAAACAGAGAGAGGAGAGAGAGACAGAGAGAAAGACACCTTCAGAAACCCAAAGTCAGAGACAGC
The DNA here is from genome assembly GCF_000001405.40 of Homo sapiens. NCBI lineage: Eukaryota > Metazoa > Chordata > Mammalia > Primates > Hominidae > Homo > Homo sapiens. The sequence continues at coordinate 173,784,673 of NC_000003.12, forward strand.
CACTATAGACTTTGTAATATGATCAGAAAGGAACACAGGCACACAGAGGGATCACATGGTGTCAAAGACATTCTGAAGAAGAGAGACTCATAAATGAAGATTTGTAAATATATACAACAGATAGAAAACATTTTAGAAGCACACATCTGGCCAGAGAGATAAACAAGGCATAGCAAGTCACGCAAATAAGCATCAGCAAGACAAAATTAGGCAGAGTATCATACATACACAGACATATACACAGAAAACAAAGTGAATGATATGAATCTCCACATGGGAAGAATGAAACATGTTAAACTAGACAAAAGAATACACACATTAACACAAAACAAATATATAGACAGAGGCAGAAATGACATTTATGCACACAAACATAGACATACACACACATAACAAGACAGACATAGATACCCATAGTCTGACAACAAGAAGAATCAGACTTTATTTCTGGCTATAATAATAGTTCAAAAGCCGCCCCACTTCCCTGGCTTCTGCACTCGGCAGGGGGCCAAGAATTCCTTGTTTCCCAGGCCACAGATGGCGCCATCACCCTTGGATCATGGTGCCTCATTCTTACTGTATTTTTCTACTTCTGTTTATTTCATTATGTTCTAGTGAGCACATTTCTCTTACTCTTTAGCATTTATTCCCCATCAATATATCTTGATAATTTCCACATCTTCCTTACAATACATTCCTTAATTTTCTTAAAAATATGTTATAAATCACTGCAGGTTGGGTTCGTTGTTTTATCTAAAAATGATTTTCTTCTCCCAGCCTTAGTTTTACTAAAGTCTGATATAACATTGTACAAGATAGTAGGGTGGGCATTTTTTGGTAATATGTGGACCTCAAAGAATCTAGAATATTGTCAGTACTAGATAAATTTTAAACCAACATGGTACAAAATATTTTGAGATAGAGATTATTTATTGACTAAATTTCTAAGTACATAGATATTTTAATGGCATACAGAGGTATATACATATGCATAGTTGAGTTTATATATATATATATGTAAAATATAAATGTGTTTATCTATAAGAGTGTATGTATAATCTCTCATCTATTTACAGTATTCTTACAAAATAAAGCTTTGTTTGGGAGTAGACCGTACTGTTTCTTCCCGGCATTGTCTTCTCAAAGAGAAATTAACATTTGAGTTGAGCTTATAGTATCAAACATTTCCATCTGTTGTGCCTCATAGCTAAGCATGTACACAATGTGATAAATTTTATACATATATGTACAACTTTTCATTTTACTCCCCAGTGAGAGGTAGAAGAGGAAAGGGTCAAAATCCTACAAATAGAAAAAGGGTCTGGACTTCAAGTTTTCCTTAAAATGTGGTACATAGACCTCATTCAACATTAAATTGCTGAATTCTAGGCTCTACCCTGACCAACCTCAGAGGATAAGAGGGTTAGTAAATGTCATTTTTAATAAGCTCCCTAGGTATTTTTTTTATGCACATTCATGTTGGAGAAGCACTTTCTAGAGAACAGAATTTTATTGATTTTTATACAGGGATTAAATCTGAAAGGTATGTTCCAATGCAGAGGGAGGGCCATGAGGGTAAGTATTATGGCTGTGAGTTTTGTACATTGAAATTGCCCTGAATATCCCTATGTGTTCAGTTTTCTTTCCTTCTTTTTTTTAAGTACCAAACCATTTTGATCTTTCTGTGATCTTGTTCTCATATGTTTTCTCCCTGCTCTTCTGATTAACAAGAAATATCCAGAATAATTAAGCTGCCAACAGAAACAAATTTCTACTTCATTTCAACAAAATAGTATTGAAAATCATTCTTTCTCAATGGAAAGTTATCTTTAGGTGACTCGCAAAGGAGAAGTGAACCCATGTATCATATGTGTGTAATACACACACACACACACAAAACCCATATACATAAATATGTGTAGTATTTATATTTATAAATCAAACACTACTGCCGTGCTTAATAGTATATGAATCATTCTGGCCTAATTATTTGTAACTAAAACATAGGATACTATTTCTTAACCTGTATCAGAAAAAATGAATTTTAATACTAAGTAAATACAGATACATTCATATTCAAAGGAAATATATATAGGAATGGTAACTTAGAAAACAGATATGGGGCAGGGCATGGTGGCTCACGCCTATAATCCCAGCATTTTGGGAGGCCGAGGAGGGTGGATCACCTGAGATCTGGAGTTAGAGACCACCTGGCCAACATAGTGAAACCTCGTCTCTACTAAAAATACAAAAAAGTAGCAGGGTGTGGTGGCAGGCACCTGTAATCCCAGCTACTTGGGAGGCTGAGGCAGGAGAATCACTTGAACCCGTGGGGCGGAGGTTGCAGTGAGCCGACATCACGCCATTGCCCTCCAGTCTGGGAAACAAGAGCAAAACTCCGTCTCAAAAAAAAAAAAAAGAAGAAAGATATTGGAGTGATTATTCCCTTATAAGACTTGTTTACCCAAGTAATTCACCATCGAGTACTCAAAATTGCAGCTTCTCTTAGTGTATTTAAAATTTACAAGCATTAATTCATGTGCAAATTTTTAAAAACATCTCTTGCCTAAAGTCAACTGTATATTTTTATTGCTTTAAATTTTAATACAGCTGTTTCTATCTTTCTATACTAAAATAAAAAGTCTGTGATATTCAGGACATGGCTGTTTATCTAAATGTGAAATATTTCACAAAATCAAATGTGATTTCCACATATTCTTAAAAATACACTTTTTTGTAGAAACACTGGAGACTAAATGGAAATGCATTTATATTGGTAAAGATATTTTTCTTCAAAGGCAATCTTGGCTTCCAATAGTTAATATTAGTATTAAATATGGTATCTTTGATAAATGTTATTATTCTGGACTCTTACAAAAAGTAGCTTGATTTGAGACATTTTAATAGCTTAAAGGGAAGAATGAAAATATAAGGAAGGAAAAATCCATAAAGCATGAGGCCTCTTATCCCATATTGATTCTTGTAATCCAGCAACCATTAGATACTTAAATAAGCCTCTTTTAAGATGGCATGTTTACATTTTGAAGATCAAATACCTTAATTTGCTCATGGGTTTCCCAAACACAATTAGTACACAAGATAGAAGGTAGGCTTTCAGTGACCATGTTTCCGATGTTTTTGAGCTGACCACAGCAAAGGTGCATTGTAAATCAAATTATGCTCAAGCAATTGCTTCTTGCAGTGTTGGTGAACATAAATGCCTTTTAAACGTGATCACAGATTATGAAAATAGAGCTAGAACATTGAAGCTGGTGAGTAATAAAATGAGTAAAAATATTTTAATAGTCAAATAATTGAAAAATATAACTTCATCCAGAATCTCTTTCTTATTTTCCATAAAAAATATTGGCTTTTTAACTGGATAAAATTTTAGAAATACAGCTTTGTCCCAAACCTGCCCATTTTCTCCTTAATGAGTATTATTACAATGGAAATAAAGAGTTCTGTGACATTTTACCTTTAAATTTTCTGTATTTTTTTTCTAATGCTATAAACCCAGACTTGACATTTTGCAAAAAAAAAAAAAAAAAAAAAGAAAAAGTTTATTTTTATCTTTACTTGCTGGTAATCAATTTCAAATATATAGTGACTAAATATTAAATAGTAAATGGATAAAAAATTTATTAAATACATTTAGAACCCTCACTTTTTAAAATGCAACATAAAATATCAATTGATTTTCTACTGCAACTGTTCCACTGTCAATTAACCTATTTTTTTAGTTTTTAATTTACTGTGTGATAGCAAAAATTTTTAATATTTATTGTGTCCTCAACATATACCAGACTCTATTCTAAGAGCTATACATATATTACTGCCTTTAATTTCATAAATGATCCTATGAAATTGGTATAAATTATTTCTATTCCCAATTAACTAATGAAAAAAAATCAAGAGCTAGAGTTGTTAAGTAACTGACCAAAAGTCTAACAGCAGGTAGAGTGGTGGAGTCAGGAAACAAAATCAAGAAATCTTACTCCTGCTGGATGCAGTGGCTTGAGCTTGTAGTTCCAGCTGCTGGAGAGGCTGAGGCAGGAGGATCACTTGAGCCCAGGAGTTGGAGGCTGTAGTGTGCCATGATCACACCTGTGAATAGCCACTACCATAATCCAGCCTGGGTTACACAGCAAGACCTCATTTAAAAAAAAAAAAAAAAAAAAAAAAAAAAAGACCTGATTCCAGAACCTGTGTTCTTCATAGCCAGTAAGAAAGAAAGGATGTTGGCCGGGCATGATGGCTCACGCCTGTAATCCCAGCACTTTGGGAGGCTGAGGTAGGCAGATCACGAGGTCAGGAGTTCCAGACCAACCTGGCCAATATGGTGAAACTCTGTCTCTACTAAAAAAGTACAGAAAATTAGCCAGGAATGGTGGTGTGCACCTGTAGTCCCAGCTACTCAGGAGGCTGAGGAAGGAGAATCACTTGAACCTGGGAAGCAGAGGTTGCAGTGAGCTGAGATCGCGCCACTGCACTCTAGCCTGGATGACAGAGTGAGAGTCCATCCAAAAAAAAAAGAAAGAGAGAGAGAGAGAAAGAAAGAAGGAAGGAAGGAAGGAAAGAAAGTTAGTTTTAATTAAAAAGAAGCGTGAAGTGTGCATGCACTTTTTTCCTGAAAATAATACAAATACAGCCAGTCCTTTGTGTTGTAACCAGGCTTCTTTTCTTTAGTAGTCCCCACTACTTCCAGCTCACTTAATGCCTATTACATTAAACTTCCACATTACACGTGAAAAGCCTTTGCAGAGCTTTCACAAACACCATCATATTTGATCCTACCACAATCTCCCAAGGTGGATAGAACACATTGTCCCTTCCTTTTCACAGCCAAAGAAATGAAGGCTCAGAGATAGAAAATGTCTTGAACAATGTCATATAGATTATCACCTAAAATGTAAGAGGCAGAGTTCAAACTAGAACCCAAGGCTTCTGTTAATAACTTGGGCTCTTTGACTACAGAATTTAGCACCTGTAATTCAGGGATGAGCCCTCTCATGCTGGTGAGGCCTCTGTGTACTGTGGGAGCAACTGACTCACAGCTTCACAATCTGGGCATAATGTACGGTGTTCCACACTCCGCCCATCCTTCCTTGGATTAAGCAATAAACTAAAGTTCAAATTCAAACTTTCATATTTGAATAGAACACATTTTCTATATTTTTCCCAACTGCCTCACCTCCATGCAGCTAATCTAGTTCTGATTTCTCAGCATCTCTATTGAGGACAAGGCACCTGTGAGCTTCATTCCTTCTGCAGAGCACAGTCCCTACCCTTGTCTTTTTTTAATCCTTTGTTGTCATAACCATGCCTTTCTTTCCTCATACCATAGGAGGCACATCTTGCTCTCTACCTTCCAACTACATTTATAATTGTTTCTTTTATTTTTTTCTTCATCATGGTACCTTATGCCATGTAATAAAAGAGCAACAGATTTACCCTGAGTGGTTAGGTAGTTTCAAATATATATATGTGTGTATATATGTGTGTGTGTATATATATACATATGTGTGTGTGTGTATGTATGTATCCCAGTGAAGCACTCCTCTTGGATTTTAACTACCATTCTATTATTCTCCCTAAAGTAGTTGCACAGAATAGTGTGAATGGTGTGAATTCCAGAATAATACAGAGCTGCGTCCATATCCTGGCTTCCCATTTATTAGATAGAGGATATTGGACAAATTTATCATCTTTCTAAGCCCTAGATTCTTTCTCAACCACCCACAATTCAGTGATAATTATCATTACTCTCACTGTATTCTCTTTATAGATCAGGCATTATACTAGGTATTTCACGTTTAGAATATTGAATTGTTACGAAAATTTTATTATGCAAGTATTATTCTGATTTACGTTTAAAGAAACTAATAATAGAGAGGATAAGAAAGCTACCAAGGTCATATAGCTGGCAGGTAATTGAGTGGGGACAACCTAATTCTAAAATTCTTCTTTTTAAAGTGCATATCATACTAGAAGGTACATGTGTGAGTATGGTTGTGTGTGTGTGTGTGTTTGTGTATTAAGGATTTAGTTTGAGTTAATGGATAGAAGAGAGGTGAAGGGCAAAACAAATATTTAACTAAACTTCTCTATGCTAATCCCTGTAGGAGGCACTTTTAATTATTATCACAATATTTTTAGAAGAGTATGGCATTGTCTCCTGAGATGCTGTGAGATTAGAAAACATGTCAAAGGTTACACAGCTAGCATATGAAAGAGCCCAAAATCCAAACCTGTATATATCTGTCTCTAAGCCCTTTATGACACAGACAAATTATCAATTAGTATTAATGTATAATTTAGGAAATACCTTTTAGAGTCTTACACTTCTAGATTTGGAAATATCTTTGAGAATAATTCAGAGGTGATAACAAACATATAAGTTGTCTACAGTCGTTAAAAACGGTATCTGCATAGAGTACTGTGACTGGGTGTGGTAGCCCCACTGATGCTAAACATTAACTCTTTAGTTTCTTAATCATGCTACAGTAAGGGTATCCTGGGAAATTGGCCCAGCCAAAGCAACTTGGACGCTTGAGTAGAAGGACTCTGGAAGTTCTGGGTAATCGTTATTCACCAACCTGTACAAGCATTTCACTCTCTCATTGGCCTATATGACTATCCATTAGCCCTAGCTACTCTTGTCCTTACTTTACATCTGGTTAATTATTTAATTTTTCCAAGCTTTAAGTATTTATTCCGCACACCACCCAATTTAATGATATCCACTACTGAGAAGTTATGCAATTTAACTGATATTACTTATTTAGTTTGAACTCTAGGATCTTTTGTCCTTCCAAATCCATTGGCTTGTTTTTAAGTTTCTTCTGTTTTTTTTTTTTTCTTTTAAAGGCACTTCAATAAATATTTTTCTTTATTTTAATTTAAATTTCAATTGCATCTAGATGAAGTGTTGCTTGGGGTAGTGCTAACGGCTTTCCAGTTGTAATATGATTATTAAAAAAACAATTGATTTATGGTTTGCTTAAAACAGGTCTATGCTACACCCACACCCAATTTTTCCTTTTCTCTGCTTGTCTTTATTGCTATGTGACTTATTGTATAGGAGCTAACCAGACTGGGTGAGAGGAAAACTGAGATCTAGACCTAGTTCTGCTTCTGACTAGCTGTGAGTCCTAGGCAAAATCTGTTAAACACTCTATTTTTGTTTCTTCACCTGTGAAATGAGGAGTTCGATAGTCACTCAGTAGGGTCATTTCTAGCTCTAGCGTCCTATGAATCTGGGCACATGACCACTGGATTCCAAGTGTTTCTGTAGTATGTAGTATATGCTTAACATTTATTGCATCAGGCAAGATAGACAGAGGCAGAGAGAGAAAGGGGCAGAGAATTGTGTCCCCGAAATACTCCAGCCTGCATGGTAAAAGAGGATCAACTCATGTGGAATAGCACAGAAAGTATGAAAACAATGAAATTGTGCTTCATTGAGAATCAAAGATGTTTAGCAAGGAGAGGCATGTGTGAGACCAGAAACTGTTAAGAAGTCATTTCAGGGGGATAGACACTGTCAGAGAGCTCATCCTTCACTGGCTTGTTTCCAGTGAGACCCACTCAGAAAACAGGATCTTCATAATGACTGCTTCAATCTTTTTATCTCACTTATGAAGATAAAATTTAATAATGCCAAAAAGTTAAGGTATTTTTATAGTCAGGTCTTGCTGGTGTGTAGAGAACTATCTCTCTCATTCATATCCTGAAGACAGCATTTTGGGCCAAAATACAAAGTAATACTCCTTTCTTTTCAATGTGAAATACTCTTACACATTATTGTAGAGGAGACTCTCCATGTTTGCACTAACACCTTTCCTCCTCTCTGAGGTGAGTTGATTATAATAAGAACTTTAAGGAATCAAACATATGGAATAAAATACACAAGGTCTAAGGATGAAGTCACTGTTTTGTTCAACGGCACAAGACTCACAATAAAAAAAAGACATATTTTGGAAAGCAATGGAACTTAAGAGATAAAATGTGCAGATAGTAAGAGGGTCTTATGGGCTGGATTTGAGCATTTAGTATATGACAATAGGAATAAGGAAATAGTAAAGACTTTTAAGGAGAGTAGTGGAACAATGAAAGTCATGTTTAAATTACATTAATCTGCACTGCGTTTTTAAAAATGTATTTTAAATGACTAGCTTCCATTTGGAATAGAAAATATCTTATTTTTGCTCATGAATTTCGAAAACATCAAAACTAGTGTTAAACCATATTTAGTTTTCATCTGTCTTGTTTTAGCTATTTTAAAACTCACAGTACAAGATTCACTATGTCTAAGTAAGCCTTTAGGTTTTTAAGTTCCTGTTAGTTCTCTTAGAGTGCTTGCAATTTTAGTCTCAGAAGGAGTTGAATGTGTGCACATTTTAGCTGATGTTAATTTACAATGATTAAATCTTTTTTCTCTTTGGGTTTGCCACTATTAATAACTACAACTTCAAAAAACCCATTGAATACAAAATGGATTGGGAGAGAGTCTGGAGTCTGCATGATGGTAGAAGCAACCAAGAGCTTTCTACAATAATTCAATCGTGGTAATGGTAGCCACTGACTAGGCTAACAGTAGAGAGTATTTAATGACAGGAATGAGATTTCCCTGGGAAATCTGGTGAAATATGATGAGAGCAAAGGAAGGAAGAGGGAATAGTTAAATATTATTTCTAGATTTAGAGTTTAGAGACAGAGGGGGTTATACCTCTGAAAGCAAGACCTATGCTGGAGGGAAAATGGGCTTTGAAGGTGGAGATGATGGTCATCCCTGTTGTACTGAGATGTTGGTGAGACATCCAAGTAGAAATTGTTGCAGAATATTGTATCTTTATGAATATAAGATCAATTAAAATATGTTAATTCTCAGGCAAAGTGAATTTAACTTTAAATACATATTTAATCAAAACTTTAGAAATATTTATAAAATTTCAGAAGTGCTACAGTCTTGAATTTTACTTTTTGGTGACATTAATTTTACTTGCAAACACAAATGGAATAAGACCTCAGAGGCTCCTTTTTCATCATCTAATTTCACTTCCATAAAGCAATTCTTGTCTGATGAGAGCATAATGCAGGCTTCTATATAAAATATTCCCTGTCATATTTCTGAGAATGATTTTGCCTCTTTTTGATTCTTGTGTTTAAGACTCAGATAGGGCAGAGTTTATCAGTGTGTGCTTAAACCCTGTAAATGGCTTCCATTGCTTTTAAGATTAAGACAAAAATCCTTCAGCTGAAGGGGCTGTGTGTTCCAGTTGATTCTTGTCTGGCTCTTTGTCCTCATCACCCACGACTCTCTTTTCTACTCCTTGTATGCCAGCCACACTGACCTCCAGGCTTCCTCTCTTTTGGGGCCTTTCTATGTGCTATTTTCTTTCCCCGAAATCTTCTTTCCACCCTACCTCCTCATACCCAGCCCTTTGCCTGCCTGGTGTTTACTCATCTTTCAGCCCTCAGGCCACATTACACCTAGTCACTGAAGACTTCCCAGACTCAGCCAGGTCACCTTGTATAACATCTTATAGCACCAAGACTTTTTCCTTGACACTTATCACAATTTATAAGTGTATGTGTATGTATATTTGCTTCATGTCTCTTTGCTGAGATCTAATTTTCATGAGTGTAGTTGTCTTGCCTGTTTTGTTCCTCCATGTATCCTTCATGCCTAATGTACCATATATTTGTTAAACAGCTGGATGACAGAATATTGCAACCATGGCAGGGAGGTTGGATTATTGATGCCATCCCAATCCCATCTTCATTGAAATAGCTCTAGACATCTAGTGGCACTTGTGTTCTCACCAGACTCCTGCTCTAGGTGCAACTTTGGATAATACTTGGAAAGTCAGGGCAATGGAGAGTGTGTCTTCACAAAGTGTGAAAGGGTTTATAGAGTATACAGAAGCATTTCTCCAGAATAAAAGGAACATCAGTTTGAGATTCTTCAGGCTGTAGAAATACTGTATCTGCATGTAATAAAAATCAAACAAATATAGTGTTAAAGAATAATGAGCTTTGCAAATTTGCTGATGCTCAGGTTAGGGGTTAGTCTATTTAATTTACTTTTTATCTACTTAAATTCTTTCTTCCCCAGATGCTATCATTTTTTTATTCTAGATGGAATTGCTTTTGACATCAAAGTGTTATGTAATCAAGGTAATTTATGGTGAAAAACTATTTTTTAAATAAATACAAATGAGCTCTTCTCAGTGTACTAGAGCAGAGAAAAATTCTCTTTTCCCCTTTCCTGACTTTAACATAAGATTCTCCTTTTTTTGTGTGTGTGTTTCAAGTTGTGCTCTTACCTCTGAAAAACTGTCTGAAGGAATATATTTTGTGTTTATGTGTCTTCTTCCAACACAAAACTAAACATAGGGTATGTCTGTTGCTTTCAGACCCTTGGAAATTGTTTCCTTCCAAAACATGTGTACATAGGAGCCATTAGCCTAAACAGGCAGCTCACCTAAATGACACTCATTGTCATGAATGACAGAGCACCACCACCAAGATTTGCACTGATATGGATTCTTTTTTTAAATAATCAAGTGTTCCAAAATTCACTTCCAATATCTCATTGGAGTGGCTTGCATTAGATTTTTAGTTTAGCATAATACAAACGTATGACATTCTCAAAAATGTAATTCCCCTTTAACTGAAACATTTTCCAGAAAGAAAATTATTTTTCAGCTATGCTTTCTTTATATCTGGTCATATAATCAATAGTTTTAAAAGTGTGATAACTTTTTGTTGAATAAATATAGTAATATCAAATTAGCGAGAATGATTCCAAATCAGTCACTTTTACTGATTTCTGTATTCTCAAAAGTTATGTATTCATTTTAGTTATATAAAATTAACTAAATTTCAATGGGTAAAATTCAATAACTTTGCAATGACAACTGTCATAATATCTAGTTTCTTAAAACCATTGTGTTTTAATGTTTGTCAGGTTGAAAAAGTCAAATATAGTAACATAATCCTGTCGTTACTTAAAATGCATTGAATTCTGGCATTGTTCTCCGGAATACACATATTTTTTCATATCCTTGATTCAAGTTTTATAAACTAAATTTTACCCCAAGAGAATACATCCTTGAGAACATTTAGCCTGCTTCCAATTGCTCCAGAACAACAATGGCAATATCTTAAATTCTCTCATTTTGTAAAAATGGCCTTAGGGATGCTTTACAATCAGTTTACTTCAAAGACTGCTGGGTCAAGAGGACAGGGGAAAAAAACAAGGTCAATAGCCAGGGCTTTCCATCTATCATGGTGGGACCACTGGAGCCAGAAGCTCTAAATAATCCTAAAAAATTCAGAGGCTTCTTCCCTTGAGAAGGACGCATTTCTAATGGCCAGCTTTTCTAAGTCGGGAGCTAATAATACCCTCAACCTACTTGCCTTTTGCAGATATGTGTGACACAAAGTATGGATAATTTCTGCTGAATTGAACCCATAATGAAGGAATTTATAATCAGTTCTAATGTATTTGAGACCCAAAGTATATTAGCCCTTCATCAAAGGGAATGATAAAAAGCAGCATTAATATGGGTGGATAGTAATTATTTCAGAGCTCATAATTATTCTCCTGTTAACTACAGAGAAACGCTGATATTTTTACTCCCTTTTTAAAAAATAAAAGGCTCTGGTCGGATTCTGAAATGTAAGAATGCATCGCACGTCCTTTACCAGAACCCATACTTTGAATTATGCTCATGTTAATCGAAAAGAAACTATTTTGGAATTAAATGAGTTCAAAGTTCATGTTAGGAGTTCCCTTTACCTTGCTTAGTCCTGTTGTTTCACCACTGAATTTATTTATTGCCCATAGGAGATATAAAGTATAGTAATTACTCTCACTCCCTTTCAAAATGACAGGAGGTCTACTCTCCTATTAACTCTAATGAGAGTTATGTGTGTGTTCCTCAGGGAGGACAGACCCAATAGAGTTTCAAGGTAGAATTAATCACTTCTACACACTGGTTTTAGTGGTCTCATTTGCTTTATATTTTGGTGCTTTGAGATATCCATTTAAACTGCTTGTATTGAAAATGCAGTATTTGTTGTTTAAAAGAAGCATAAGCTGTGGTTAGAATGTTGTTAATAACTGTTATTTCTATTTGAAGGATAAATGTGTTACCCTTTGAGGAAATGATGTTGCTCAATTTACAGGAATAGAGTGTCTAAAATGTGACTGTCTACTTTTCATAAAAAATTAATGCCAATTACCTTTTACAATATTTTCTTTCCGTTTAAAATGTTTTAACATGAGTGATTACATCAGTTCTAACAGTTTAGAACAAAGGGAAAGTGAGCCAGAGAGCTGGATGCCCTAGCAAAGAAGGGAGCTCTAGGCAGAGGTGGTGTTTTGTTTCCAGCAGGGGAAGAGGGAATCTTGAGATCATGTAGGGATCTGCTGCGGTAATCCAGAAGCATATGTTTACTCCACTGAGGCTTCCTCAGAGAAACCAGTGTGGAGTTTCTCAGTTTGCAGCCCTGAACTCTGTAGATATTTATTCTCAGTGCCTTTAGGCGTAGAGATAAAGGAAATCTGTGTTCTTTCTTCTTATAATCAGTTTTGCCCAAAACTGTTACCAACCCTCTTCTTCCTAGGGAACCTTCAAAAATCAGATATGTAAAAAATTCTTGATGTTAAGAACACCCAGATATACTGAAATCACTAAAATACTGCTGTAATTCGTACTATGGGAAAAAACTTACTGTCATCTAATAATAACGTTTTATTTAGTATCAATAAATGAAGTGTATTGGGATAACTGGACTTAATCCTCCTCCAGGATAATCATATCCCCATGATGCTGAAGCAATATTTGTATTTGCTTCTAATTCTTCAGATTTATTACAATAAAAGATGTCCTATACAATGCATGCATGCAATTATTATCTCACATCAGGTAAGAGAAACACAGTTTCCTAAGTAAGGAAGGTAAAAATAACTAATGTAGCAAAAAACAAAAAATAAAACAACAACAACAACAACAAAAAAAAACAAGAAACAAACAAGCAAAAAAACTGATCCATCAACCATGCATCCATGGAAAAACTCTCTGTATATATACTGTCCATGACTTCTCTACATATGCCCTCAACTAGCAACTGAGAGCCATGTGCCACATGCAAAGAAGTGGGCGATGATGTTTTGACAACAATTCTCTTACTGTTGCAACTCATGTAGGCCCAAGAGCTAGCCAGCTCTAAATACATGTAAAGTATATAGAAAGCACTGGCTCAGTGGCTATATAAGCTGAATGATTCCTCATAGAAATCATGTAAATTGACTTGGGTACCCTAGAAGGGGAAAGAAAGACAATTCCATCTGACTAATTCAAGAGAGAGCTCTTATAGAGCCCCGAACAAAATGAAGACAGTGATTTAATTGTGATAGATTTTACACGTGCCTCCAAATATTAGCAAACTAATGATTCAGGAAAAAAAATTTGAGCTCACATTAATGATTTCTTAATATAGCCAAGAATTAAGCAAATTAAGTAATTTAACTAAAATTGGAAAGTAGATAGTGGTTTTGGCAGCAATAAATGCCACTGCATTTAAATTGTGTTGCTAACCAGTGAATAAAACCATAATTTCTACATAGCAGCCTAGAAAATAGAAATGTATATTTTTTTGCAGTCTTTAAGAAATTACAGAAAAATTAAAAGCTTGAAAATATAATTTTTGAAGTCTAATATTTTGAGGGATGCTTTGAAATTGGAAATATTTTAAATATAATATTCTGATTCAGCAATTTTAAAATTTAAATGAAAAAATATGTATAGCTTTCAGAAATGTAGCTATGTTGTTGCATGAATGTCAAATAATCCTAAGCATGCCTTTTGCATTTAAACAGGGTCATGTTAAATAAATGTACATTTCTGTGAACTTGCAACTGAGTGTCAATTAATATAAATTATTGCTTTATCTATGTTTTCTGTTAATGGAATAATTGCTTGCAGGTGTGATTATAAAAGTCTATCACTTAATTTATTGTTTATAGTTTCCCTGTCTGTGTTTGAAATGACCTTGAAACCGTGACCTTTCAATTGAGGTAGTCAATGGGTTACTTCAATTACTTCATCCATTTCTGCCTTTCCAATCTTCTGATCTTTGACAAGTTATTACTGTTTTTCAAGGCTGTCTCCCTGAGCTGATGAAACATAACTGTATTATATCTTATTTTTCCCCCTCTGTTTTCTGGGATTGTGTTTTTCATTCTTTGAGAGTTATAATAGTAAATTTAGTTTGGAATTATAAATATAATGAATAGTAATCTCGGAAAAGACTTAGAAATTTTGCTAAAAATGTTTAACAATCTTTCCCTATGAAGTGTGCTTAGACTTAATGCCTGCTTCTTTACTATTTATATTATTGAAATCAGTACATGACTTTCAGTCTCTTTTTCCCTCCCTTTTCTTTGACTGTTATTTTATGCATGACAAAATTCTCTTGCTTACTGCTATGTGATTGGCTGTCTTTTAACTTGAGTGTCGTGTGTTTGTAATGATTGCTTTTTGCATGAGGATTATTAAATGTCATGCAAATTAAATGGTTGTGGAAACAAAAAAAGAATGTGAGACTTCACTTGCTTTTTTATGTGCTGAGTATGTCAATTATGTGACACTTAAAATTACTTTCATATGCCCTTTGACGTCCCCTTTGGTGTGCTCCTTTATTCTTGCAAATTAGCATTGTTAAGTATAATAAAACACTTATTAAGCATTCACAGTGTTTTAATACAATTATTCTCCTCAAACATGATCCTATTATAAATAACTATACTGAGCATGAAACTGCACTAAGGCATAATTCCATTATATTACTAAATTGATTATGAAATATAAGCCCTGACTCGGTAACTACCTTAATAGCTAAACACTGACTTCTACTGATCGAACTTTTGCTCTGCTGAGTGATGAGACTATTTAGTGATACATTTGTGCAGGATGCAAATGTCTTAAATCCACAAGTAATATTTAAATGAAAACACATGGGGAAATATTTGTGTAATGACAAGTAATTTTAAAAAGTCACAGTTTTGAAAAATGTATGGATTAAAAATATGTGAAAACCAAATGTTAATGTTCTTAAAAAAAAGAAGAAAATAGAAAAAGAGCAACTTAAGATATTCATATCTCTGTCTTCTCTAAGGTTATTATATTGTCTCAAATTAAAGAATGAATTTGACCTACTTTTTTAATGTTGCCACCAATTTAAATTAGAAAAGACACTGAATAAATTAAGTTCTTTCAGCTAATAAAACTGTTTACTTTTTTGTATGCAATGGGTATTTTTTTTTTTTTTTTTAAAAGTCTTTGCTCATGACTTGATTTTCAAGCCATAATGTATTTTTTATGCTGGATATATTTACAACCCAAATCTTCTATGAGATATTTTTGGGAAAGGGTTTTTTTTTCTTAAACAAAAATAGGTAGTCAATTATGATGTGACCACTTCCCCACTCTTTTTGGAAATATCCTTGAGAATTTTAGTATTTATATTTATTTTTTCCCCTCAGTCTTGTTTATTCTTGAATTGTCTTTTTTTTTTTTCCTCCATTTCTCCGTTCTCAATCCTAGGTCCCCTTACAAAGAAACAGACAGATGATTTAGGTGATAATGACGGTGCTGAAGATGAAGGTATTTTTTTTCACCAAATCTATTTGCATGACAAGGGCCTCAATCACTTTTTCCACCCCTTTCTATTTTTTTACTTCTTGTCTTTTTTTGAAGAGTTGTTTTTAATTCCTGTTTTTGATGTGTTTTGTCTTCTTGCTTGTTGTTACATACAAATATAGAGTATTAATTTTTTTAAAAAATTAATATTAAGTTTTACATTTTGATGCCAACCATTAAAATGTTTTAAAAAGAGGGGCATTTTTTTTTTGTTTTCTTGAACTGACTTTTGATATGTTTCATCCCACATTTTGACTGAATTTTGTCCACCTTCTTTGAACTAACAATCTCTCCCTTGTAGTCTCTCTGTGCCCATTTTGCATGTTTTCTAATCTATGTAAATATTTTCCCGAATATTAAAATGTGCTTCATTTTTACATTCGACATTTGTTTTAAAAAAACACACACACCCAATAAAATGAAGGACAAGCTGAAAGCTAATATAAAGTGTTTCTTGAGCAATATATTTTAATGTAAAAAATACTGTTTTCTGTTTATTTGCTTAAATGTCACATAAATGCAATTAAATTGTATACATAAGAAAAGGCATTACAACTATTTAGAAAACTGTAGTAAACATTGTACAACCATTTAAGTATTCTGGACTCCTGTAGTACTTTTGATAGAGTCTGTAGCTATTTTCTTAGACAAGATTCAATGAATATTCTTAATTTCAAGGAGACATGATTTCCAGATTGTCAAATAAAATATTCTGATTTTCAAACATTGCAACTATAAGCAATAGAATATTTTCTACTTCATTAATATCCAAATTGTTTCTCCTTACAACTTTCATTTGACATACAATTCTGATTTACTCTGTAAACCTATGAACTCACTACCTAGATTGACTTGACATTTCTGATTTCACTGTACCTTTACATGGTGTTAAAGTGAGCTCATCTTTTTTGGTTCCAATCAGGATTAAAGTTTATGCTTTTTGTTTGTTCATTTTGTTATGTTTTGTAATCCCAGGTTTCAGAGTAAGTGCCAGAAATCTAGAAATTAAATCTCATAACGAAAATAATAATGTGGTTAGAAAAGTTTTCCAAAATAAAATAATCTACAACAAGGACAGCAAAAGTTTTGTTCCATGAGTTACAAGGGAACTATGGGTAAATAAATTTTTACTAAAATATTTGCCTTATTTGCATTGACATATATACATTTAATAAACTCCTTCACAACAGATAATTAAATTACAGAGGTGGAGTATTGAGAACTTAAAAATTATATTTGGTGTTAATATTTTTGAAACACTTAAGAATTATTTTGATTAAATAAAATGTATGACATTTGATTAAATATTTATTTACCACGAACACCAGCAGTGGATTAAAGATTAAACACAAAGCAGTCATTAATATTTGAAACAAATCATTATCGCTGTCCAAGAGTTATTCTGAATGTTAAATAGCTAAAAATAAACTTATACTATCAAGATGCAAATTCTGATATTTTAAACACTATTTGAAATTTGATGCATTCAAACATTCAGGATATTTTGTGACATTGTAGAACATTAATTACTGTTTCCAAAACTATAAGAAGACTACTTCCACTTTCAGGCTTTGGGACTTTTTGAACCCCTTGAAAATCCTTAACTCCTAGAATTTGTTATCTAAATAATACTGAAAGCATACAGGACTTCTTCATGTGTATCTTTGTAAAGGCCAAATTTTCCCCATTTAGGCAAAGGGTTAAAATACATTATTTTCCTATTTTAAAAATATTTTGATTGCTTATTTAATGTGATTTTTTTTTTCCTTTTGTTAAAACAGCTTCAAGTAAGGCATTTACCTATTTAGAGTAGGTAAGTCTGAGCGATCATAGCTAGGCCATGTAAACCTGAATCTATTTTATAGACATGTTTTGAAGCACATTTAACATTTTTAAATAGCCATTTAAAATATCCTAAAACCCTATTAAAATGTCAGGTAGTATTCAGGTTAAGTACTAAGCCATTCAGTCACAAGAGTTATTGAATCAATAAATATTTTTAAATACTCAAAAGCGTAGAATGTCAAAACAGTCAATTCCAGTTCGGTCTCTTCCTCTGTGTTGTTTCAGATAATTGTTTTGAATACAAGAAAGATGAATTCAGATATCCTACAGGGGAAAAGAAACCTTTTATAGAAATTTCAGAGCATTTTTAACTCAATTCTTTTTATCATTATTTTGTAGATGTGACTGTGAATAAAAATTGTGATCAATATTGAATTTGTTCCAAATGTTGACTCGACATCACTGGACATAAGGCAACAAATATGAAGGACTTGATAAGTAACTTCATTTACATCAGTCAGAAGTCAGGTCATCAGATCACTTATGTGAAATTCCCCACCCAGTTCCCCTCCACCTATGCTTCATTTCAGGTCCCAGTCTCAGCCACTGAATTGCAAGGCCACTGGCCATATTCCTGGGTATACAAAAAGATATACAAAAGAATGTATATCTTTTTTTTTTTTTTTGACAGAATTTCCTTTTGTCATGGAGACTGGAGGGCAGTGGCGTGATCTTGGCTCACTGCAACCTCCGCCCTCGTGTTCAAGCAAGCAATTCTCCTGCCACAGCCTCCCAAGTAGCTGGGATTATAGGCGCCTGCCACCATGCCCAGCTAATTTTTTGCTTTTAGTAGAGACATGGTTCATCATGTTGGCCAGGCTGGTCTCGAACTCCTGACTTCAGGTGATCCACCTGCCTCAGCCTCCCACAGTGCTGGGGTTACAGGCGTGAGCCACCAGGCCTGGCAGAATTGTATATCTTTAAGACAATTCCATAGTTAAAAACAAGACTAATCTGAAGTGACAAAAATGGTTCAAAGTAACATCCCAGATTTCTACCAACTTATTTTAAAAATTTAAGAAGTATTTTAAAAATTTAAGAAGTATTTTTAAAAATTTTAATGGTGCTAATAATGCCTTCATATTAACATTTCAATATTTACCCTGGGTGTGGTGGCTCCACACCCTGTAATCCCAGCACTCTGGGAGGCCGAGGTGGGCAGATCACTTGAAATCAGGAGTAGGAGACAAGACTGTCCAACGTGGTGAAACTAAAAATAAAAAAATGAGCCCAGCATGGTGGCGAGCACCTATAATCTCAGGTACTCCGGAGGCTGAGGCATGAGAATTGCTTAAATCTGGGAGGTGGAGATTGCAATGAGCCCAGATTGCACCACTGCACCCCAGCCTGGGCCGCAGAATGAGATTCTGTCAAACAAAAAAAATTAAATGCAATTTTATATACTATATAGTTCAAGACAATTTTTTGTAGATTTTGAATATTTTTAAGCTAAAAAGGTGTGTTTAATTCTGTTATGTCCAGTTTAACAAGCAGAAATTCAGCCAACACTTCTATGTTCATTCAGTGGTTCTGAATGATAACTTGAGGTTCATAAAAATGACTGGAGGCACAAAAGTCTGCCTTGAAATGTGTTTTTTTATAATAGAGAAAGATTTAATTGAGGCAATACTTCACAATTTTAAAACTGTTAATTCTAAAAACTCTAAAATATGGGCAATTAAATACTTCATGAGTCCTTTAAGACAAAAAAAATCAGTAAACATATTTAATGATTATATCACTAATAATTATTCACTAAGATCATTAATGGAAGTTGTAATTTCAAACTCTGGTTGTCAGGTACAAATAAATCCCCATTAACTGCTCTAGATCTATTGACACTTGCTACATTGGCTTAAAATTTTGGTCTATAAGAAAGATAAAATAGGTACTAAAATTTTAAATCAAGGTGTTTACTCAGACTCCAATTTTTTTTTTTAACTTGAAGAACTTGATTTAAATGCTTGTGTTTAGTAAGGCTTAAAACCATTGCAAATAATGGAAATTATAAACATGCCTGACAAACATTTGTACTTTTACTGGAACTGAGTTAGTATTTTAAAATTTCTGAGTGTGTTCTTGTGATTTTAGTAAAGTCAGTAGATGCTGTTTAGGCAAAGTAAAAAATCTTAAGTGAAAATTCATAGTTCACAAATTCCACTATATTTATAGGTGGTTAAATATGTAAAGGTTTAAAGAGACAACTTGGCTCTAAAAAATTAATTATAAATTAATAAGCTGCATTTGATATATTTGCACAGAAGATAAATGCCCCCTTCAACATTATTATTAAAATGATGGAATTAGCAGATGGTATTCAATGGTAGGCTATCTGATATATTAGTTTTATTTATAAAGAGTCTGGTTCTTTCTAAAAACAAATAAATAGTTGTAATTGAGAGCCTTTAGATTGCTATTTACATCAAAAAAAAAAAAAAACCCTATAAACTAAGCATAAAAGTTAAGCCTAAGATAGAAATTTGTAATAAAACATTATACAAAGTAAAGCCTGGCCAGGCATGGTGGCTCACACCTGTAATCCCAGCACTTTGGGAGGCCGAGGAGGGCAGATCACCTGAGGTCAGGAGTTCAAGACCAGTCTGGCCAACATAGTGAAACCCCATCTCCACTAAAAATGCAAAATTAGCCAGACATGGTAGTAGGCGCCTGTAATCCCAACTACTCGGGAGGCTGAGACAGGAGAATAGCTTGAACACTGGAGGTGGAGGTTGCAATGAGTTGAGATCACGCCACTGCACTCCAGCCTGGGTGACGAGAGTGAAACTCAGTCTCAAAAATAAAAATTAAATTAAAATAAAGCCTAAGGTGGACCACTCTGACAATGCACTATTAAAGGCTTCCATTTTTTTCCTGTAACAGAAAATATCCAAAGTTTCTACAGTTTCTCAAACTTTGTTAACAATATTAAGGTTTGTTATGTCCAAGAATTTTACCTGTTTTAGTAAGTATCATAATTACTTTTGCACCAGCCTAATAATACTTTTTATAACCTAAATCTCAGGGTTACTTAAAATGAAAAATATTTTTCAGAACACAGCATAAGAATACTAGAGAACTTTATGGAAAAGAACTGCTCAATATCTTAAGTTATTAGGCAAGGCTGAAATTTGAAAAGTTTGAAAAGGCAAATTAAAAATTAAGATTAACCCAGACTATCAGTAATCCTTTTAAGTCTAATTTTCAAAGAAAAATAAAGAGATACCACTCAAAATAGCTCCTAGAATCTATTGTCATATTTTCAGTGTTTTCTGACAATGTCCACTTAATTCTGTTATTAAATATAAAACGTGGCAGGTCTTCTCAATGTGTGCCTGTATTGTTGTATTGTTTTCCAGGTGAACAGAATGGTTCTACCAAGATTTCATTACTGTTCACAGTTGGTGCTTTGTAATTCTATGTAATTTTAATTAAAGAAGAATTCTGAAACAGCCTCCCTCTGTGCTACCTCCAAGCATACAATTAGCCGAGTACAGTGTCTGCTGTGAACAGTCAGTTAATGATTTCAGTTTAATAATTTATTATTGCTTTTTCAGTGCCAGCCACACTAGAAAAATAAGAAGCTGAAACTGTATGTAGCAAACAGGCATTTAAGGTGCACAGTTTAACAATCTCAAAAGGATTGCTTTCTCTGTGTAAGTCTAACATCTCCACAAGCCCCCAGATCTTTATAAATGAATGAATACTATTTTTTTCTCCCAAGGTTTCAAGGAGAAAATAAATTCAGATTTTCCTCTTAAATGTGTCTGTGTTTAGTGAATGGTTCCTATGTCAAAGTATCCTTCCCTCACTACTTAAAAACAAGATATTATTCTCAAATATACCTTTGGGGAATTAGAGGGGTACTAGTAACTTTATACACTGGTATTAAGTCAAATTTAAATAGTCTTTTAAAAAAGTTTGTTAAGTTCTGCAATGAGCCATTTCCCCAACTCGAAAATCTGGGCAAACAAGCTGAGCTGCAATCCTTGACCTAAAATGATTCTTCATTTGAAGATATCACTTTATTATTACGCTAGAGAAATCAAGGCATTTACATTACACATTCTATTTTTTTACAAAAAATGCAAAGCAATCTCTAAGTAATCACTAGTTCTTTCAATAAATTTGTATTCTGTTAGTCCATTCTGAAAACTGGCACCTCGATTATAAGGATGTTGGAGAGTTAAAAGTGATAAAAAATTTTGAAAGCAAAGGAACAAAAACATACTATTAAATTATACGTTTTAATATTGGCATAAAAAAAGATAATACATTTGATGTAATTTTGTTTCAATTGTGGGTATAAGAGATCATGGGCTATTACATAATAGTAATGTTTTCTTTATGTATATATTCAGAGCCATATATATGCATACATATAGTAGTTCAAATATTTCAATCTATATAATACGTAGATAGAACTATGTTTGCTGATATACACAGTTAGGCTTATCTACAGAAATCAGTGCATTTTTCATACTGATTAAAATTATGTTATGTTTATTTATATATTATTTCTAGATCCTTGTTGAAAATTACAGAATTCAGGAAAAGTATGAGAAGAGCAAATATATTTAATAAAATTCAGAGCTGTAGAAATCACTTGAACCCTAAATCTTGACACTTTACACTTGAACTTAGCTCTATCCCATCCCATGTCTACATGATAAAACATAGAGCCAAAGCGTGAAGAAGAAGAGTATATTAGCCACACAAAGAAAGTGAAAAAATATTTGTCTGTTCTCTTCTTCCAAAGGGTAAGGAGAGCTGGATATAGTGGATGTCCTGAATTTCCTAAAAAATATCATTCTAATGACATTTCCCTAAATGCAACAAGAGGAGCACAGATGTACATGACTTTCGTGCCTAAACATTCATCTGACATTACTTAGGTAGTAAACTGAAACATCTTGCATAACACAATACTGTAATTATGTTCACAAATTGGAGCATAAATGAGTTGATGTAATCATGTTGCATTTGACACAAAGTTTTACAGTACATAAGAAAGGTTAAACAGATTCTTTTGTTCACAACAGCAATAATACCATTGTCTTTAGTTTATGGCTCATAATGTCATGTGAAGTCTATCATATTTTTAAAAAGTAGTCCTAAGAATCATTGCCATTCTGTTTCTTTTGCGTTTACTGTCACTTGAGGAATTAATCAAAATGCACTAAAATTCACATCTAATTTTAATTTGTCTAAGTTTTATAAGTCAGTTTGCAACTTGTAAACAAAATTTTGATAGAAAACAATGGATGCCTATTGCTATTTCCACAATAGCTATTCATATGAGTTGCTTAAGAAACACTTTAATAAAAACAGCAGTTTAAGAACTATATTGAAATTATGCCCTCTTTTCACTAAGATGGAAAATGTATTCTCTGCTTCATTGTGTGTTATTTTTGAGGATAAGAACGATTGCCAACCATTTGTTTTCCAGATATTCGGGACAGTGGGGGTCCCAAACCAGTGATGGTGTATATCCATGGTGGCTCATATATGGAAGGTACTGGAAATTTATATGATGGAAGTGTCTTGGCAAGTTATGGCAATGTGATCGTCATCACAGTCAACTATCGACTTGGAGTACTCGGTAAGAAGAGTCTCTCTTTTGTTTTCACCATGAATCCATGAAGTATGTGATGGTTTTGTTTTGACTTGTTTTGTTCTGCTTTGCTTTGTTTCACCCATTTTTTTATGCGTGTTGACATTCTCGAGCCCAAATTTTTTATAGTTTCAATGAATTCTATAGGTTGGTTTTAAGATGTGAAACTAAAAGGTGATGAAATTATTCACATTGTCATGGAATGTACTTCCTGGTTTATAAACTATGAAAGACAAAATGGCAGGGCCTTATTGAAGAAGAGTACATCTTTGAACAAATATTTCCTTCTTCTGCTTTTCTGTTTACAATACTCTAAGTTTCCCTGAGGTTTGGCGTGAGCTAAGACTAAGTTTACATTCTCTTCTGGAGTATGTATATGGACTCGCTTTTGGGAATGATTGTTTGCCATTGTGATGGAGGTTTCTTTGGTTTGTTGTTGTTATTTTGGTTCCATAATAATTAGTAATATTTTTCTGAATGTATTCTGATTGAATTATTTAATTTGAAAAAACATGCATTGATTTTATAAAGTAACAAAGAATTCAGTTCAATGATGTATACTCTTGCCAAAAGAATGATAAATACAAAGTGGAGATTTTTAGCTTTGATAAAAAGTATAGAGACATATTACTTATAAAATAACTTAGGTATTCTGAGATAGGCATGTTATCTTATACAATAACCAGTTTTTAAAAGATAAACTTGCTATTCTAGCATATATTTGTTTGTTATAGTATTACCACAATTTGAGGAGTAAAATTACTGTATGATTTAGTAAAACATCTTTATCTGTGATGTATTTAATTAACAGAATTTGCTAAAAGAGCACAATGCATCCACAAAATACTTAACTTTTTAATCTTAATTGTCCTCCAAGTCTTATCCCATACTATAGACTTGAAGAAGCGTAAATTATAATTTTGTTTATACACAAAGAAGCGCCTCACTCTTTCATTCTATTATCTAAAAGATTCTGAAAAAGGAATTTGTATTATATTCCTTCCTTGGTAGTATCATATCTTTTATCCACGTTGAGAATCAGAATTTTTCCCCTTCAGTGTTATTGTAACTCCTATGTAATCATAATTCTGTGTTTATGCTTATCACAAAATATTTTAAAAGGTAGAATAATTTTTGTGAATCAAGTTTATAGTCTGGGGGAAGGAGACATTTTACCAATGTGAAGGTTAAGTCTCAGTCATTTTCTAGTTTGCTTTTTTGAAATTTGGAGTGTGGTGAATGACCATAGATGCACTGCGTAAGTGTAGGTATAAAATATTCTGTAGCACTGATCGAATACACATGAGTTCCTCCATAGTGTCTAATCATCCATTGCTTCAAACATTCATATGATTTCTGTGGGCTGGGATGAGTGTCTTTCCACCAGTGAAAACTCTGTGTATTTAAGACATATAAATAATTGCTCATAATAATTCTTGAATCTTAAACCTTGAATTCTTAAATCTTAATGTTGTCATTTGTTTCCTATGGAACATTTTCATTGGAAGGAGGGTTTTTAATATTTTCATGCATTGAATCTTAATGGTAGTATTGTTGAGAGCTCAGTTGTTTTTGCTGATTATTATTCTTATATTTTTCTAATTTTTAAGTTGAAAATCCTGAGCAGTGGCCAGTTTGCCAGATGAAACTTTAAATTGAAATGCTAAATTATGGTAACAGTGTTTTTAAGGACTTGAACATCCAGTTATTCATATTTATCTATTTTATTTAAGAAATGCTTTGGCCACAAGTTTTTTTGCCTCTTTCTGTTATTGGTTCTGTTTATATAAAGCAAGATTTCATAACATAAACTTTGTTGTTATGTTAACAAAAACTTTACCCATTCTTTTTCTTTTTATGTGTTCAGAACTGATGAGGACTTGACTTTGACCTGATTTTAATCCTATATTCATGCCCATACCCCATTTTAAATGCCGCACTGTGAGGATTGGATTGCAAGGCAATGGATTAACTCGCTAAAATATAAAGCACTCAGTCAATCACTTGGTTTAGATAGTAGCAGAGAGCAGACAGTATTGATATTATCAAAGTATGATTTCCCAGTGTTAAATATTTGTTCTGGCTCTACTGTACCCTAGAATATAACATTTAGTTGTCTCCTCTCCTTTATTTCTCTTAAACACATTATACACTGATAACAAGCCAAAGGCTGTCCTTGATAGGCCTCCTCTCAACGTGACAAAACATAAACTCTGTGAAACATTGTTTAGGTAGACTTTAAGACATTGGTTCTCGAACAGAGGTATTCTGGTCACTTTTTTCCAAAAATATGTGTTGGGTATTGTGAAAATGTATTTAAATAAATTAATTCATAAAAAAGAAATTATCAGAACATTTGTTTCAGCATACTTTGCATGAGTGCCGCACCACAGCAAGATCAACAGCTCATCGGACAGAACTGCAACAATAAAGACTGTAGACTTTTGAGATTGATGTTGTGAATAGTTTGTCTAACAGTAAAAAGGTAAGCCAAGGTTTCTTGGGTGTGGGATCCAAGACTATGGCTGTCTAATTTGCACTTGAGTGATTAAGTAGGAAATAAGATATGATCCCACATCCGAGGAAATCCTGAGCTGTGTTTTCACTGGGGTATTTTGGTGTGAAAGAAATAGATTTGGGGGTCCAATGGACAAACTGGGTAATTACAAGATCATTGATTTGAGGCGACTGGTTGGAACAATCAGGATGTCTGGAACAGGTAGTGCAATCTGTGTTGATTTGAACTTGCCATGTGGAGGTGGTGGGGAATCTTACAAGTTTTGTTTTTTGCTCTTTGATTTTAGTGATGAATAGAGATGTGATAATGTTTTAATTAGAAAATTCGTACAGCTATCTAGCTGCCAATTTTTCAGTTTAAAGATCTCATGTTAAAAAAAATTTGTTTATTACAAAGTAGGAATAGAATAGAAGAAAAAAATACCTCTACCATTCCTCAGAAGAAGCTAGTAACAGGTCAGAATTAGTTCTTCTACCGACACCCTTTAGTGGTTTCCTTTCCAGTGGTAACACAGAATATCACTCTTACTGTGTGGTGTATGATTTTCCCCCACCCTGGAAATGCTATTGGAAGTGATAGGAAAAACTGCCAATAAGATTGACAAAGAGGGAAGGGAATGCAGGACTCTGCCTACTAACCTCACTCCCCAGTTTCATGTTAGAGCTCCTGGCGACCTCCTGCCATTTAGTTTCACACTTCTTATACACTAAATATTTAACTTTTCTTTCACTTTTGACTTTACACATTCTTTGTCCTCAGCCAGTTTTGACATAAACTTTCCATATTTGCTTTCTTCAGCATCTATTATTTGATATATTGTTACATAGTCCTTATATATGTTTAAAATTATTGTTAGTAGGGTATTTTTTAAACATTCTATTGTATGGTTTATAATCATCTTAGAAATGTAGGGAGAAATGGCCAGGTGTGATGGCTCACACCTGTAATCCCAGCACCTTGGGAGGCCAAGGTGGGTGGATGGCCTGAGGCCAGGAGTTCAAGACCAGCCTGGCCAACATGGTGAAACCCTGTCTCTAGTAAAAATGCAAAAATCAGCTTGGCGTGGTGGTGGGTGCCTGTAATCACAGCTACTCGGGAGCCTGAGGCAGGAGAAGCATCACTTGAACCTGGGAGGCAGAGGTTGCAGTGAGCTGAGATTGCGCCATTACACTCTAGCCTGGGTGACAAGAGTGAACTCCGTCTCAAAAAAAAAAAAAAAAAAAGGAAGAAAAGAAGAGAAAAGAAATGCAGGGATAAATACTTGATGTGTTCTTAAAGGGGGGAAATAATCAAACTTAAATGTTCTGATTGTAACTAGGGTAAACATGTTCTTATGGACAAGAATTATAGAATATATAAGATAAGAATTGAAAGAGAATATAAAATAAGTCACTATTAGATGAGATGTCCACAAAACATTTTTTAAAATAGAAATTATTTAAGTGATATTGACAAATGTCAAACATGAAAAACATGTTAAGTAATTTATCATTAAAATGTTCCAACCACTTATTTAAATTCAGAATAAATCTTTAAATTACTTTTGGAGTAAAAGAAAAATTTTAATACCCCTGTGAGGATCTTACTTGGGCAAACGAGATTTTAATCTGGTGGAAATTTAATCAGTTACCTTTATCTTGACATAAATATCTTGGAGGCAATTATGCAATTCATAATTCTAGCACATGTGATTTATTTTAGAAAAAAAGTTTAAATATTTTAGAAGTACTGATATCTATCTGGACATTTGGCACATTTTTGGAAAAGGATCTAATTAAATATTTTACTTGGTAATTGAATATTTACACCACCCGTCCATGGAAAAAAATAATTTAAAGTGCTAGCTCACCTACTTATATTTAAACAATTAGATTTAGCTTACTTTATAATTCTATGTGGGGCTAAATTGTTTAAAACAAGCTTTTGTTAACTTCACTGCATATACATTTAATGAACACCTTAATTTATTTTTATTCTATTAGATATGGTTAATGAAATTTTTTGATTCTTAAAATTAGACTATCTATGCCATAATAATGCTTCAAGTATTATTAGATAAATGGCAACAATAAGTATAACTTTAGGCCAGGCGTGGTGGTGCATGCCTGTAATCTCAGCACTTTGGGAGGCTGAGGCAATAGGATCACTTGAGCCCAGGAGTTCAAGACAAGTCTGGGCAAAATGGTGAGATTGTGTCTCTACAAAAAATTTTCAAAAAATTAGCCAGGTGTGGTGGCACATGCTTGTATTCCGGGCTACCCAGGAGGCTGAGGCGGAAGGATCAGTTGCGTCTGTGATCCTACAACTGCACTCCAGCCTGGGTGACAGAGTGAGATCTTGTCTTAAAAAGGTTGTGTGTATATACACGCACACACATACTATATATGTGTGTGCGTGTATATATATATATGTGTGTGTATATATATATGTATTTTTATATATATATATATAAAACTTTGGTGTGGTCAGTCATCAAATCAGTAACACTTGTTTTCAGCATTATACACCTTTTCTGAGGGATAAAAGTGAGGACAGTATAGTTTTTATCTTTAAAAAAGAGCTTTCACTATAGTTGAGGAGAAAAACAGTAGAGAATAATAATTGATATTCTACTTTATATTTATAATATATTGATTTATTAATTGATCTATATGAATAGATTCACTTGATATATAAAAGGAAAACAGAACGAGAGAAAAGTAAGGAAAGGTAGAATATCTGATGGATTAGTAAGGATATAGTAATTGATATTTATATTTGAAACTGATTGGCCTAGGATCAAGGAAATTTGCTAAAGCCTGTGCATTGATCATGATTTAAAGAGCAAAGCATATTAATTCCTCAAGTGGTACAATGTTTTGTCATTGTTACTCCTGTTTATTGAATTGTTTTTGTTTCTGTCTGACTCTTTCAAAGAACCCCCAAAAAACAAAAGTCTCATACTCCAAAACAAATAAACAAAAAACTTCAAGTGGGATCATATATTTAAGAGTAATATTTAAACAAATGTTAAATTTTATGCGATTGTAATATTCTACAACACATCCAAATGCGTTCTTGAGATGTAGAAAGAAAAAGAGTCAGTGTGTCTATAGAGTCCAGACTGTTTTCATGGAAATGGTGGTACCGGAGGAAGGCCACAAAGAGTGGAGTATCCTTGGTATTAATTGAAGGAAAGGGAGAAAGACAGTCTTTATTTCTATTTTCATTTATTCATACTAATTTGAAAAAGTGGAAGTAATTTGTGACAATGCACACAAATAAATAGATTGGTAAAATCATATTTGAATAGTAATACAGAGAAAAGGATACAGAAAGTTAGGTCATGAATATGTACAACAGTTGAACACAGATGCATTTCCTAGTTTTCTAGAAGCACAGTAAAATATAATGGATTTAATTTCATAATTATCATAATCACAAAAAGGAAACAAACATATTCACCAGAAAAAAATACGCAAATAATAGTTTCTCTTACATTGTACTACAGAAGAATTTATCATATGGGTTGTATTTCTTCTATTTGAAACGTGACAATACAGGAATTGTGTGATAGTCTTCGTGTCATTATAAGATGCAAAAATATTCTCAGTATATGATTATTTATAGTAACCTTCTGTAAAAACCAAAGACATAATAAAGGCAGCTGGGGAACAAAAGCGGCGAGGCCGAGGGCTAGGCCTGTGTCCTCCCACGGACGACCGTGACTTCCCAGCAGCCCCTGAGCTGGGCCCGCAGGGTTCGTGGGGTCTGTGGCTTTCACCCAGGGTGCGTGTCTCGCCCACAGGGGCACCCCATAGTGTCATAACTTCATAAGTGCTCATAACTTCTATAATATCATTTTAGCAAAGAGCTAACCAAAGGCAATCTGGGTAAGATATTTGGTGATTTCACTTATAATAGGATAGAGCTAAAATACAATTTAGAGCAATGGATGGTTTATTTGATCCATAGATTTCTTCTCTCAAATATGTTATGTCAACTGGGTTTTAATAAGGGCTAGATGGTAATCAATTTTAGATTGAGTACTAAAATGAGCTCCTGGAATAGAGAAACTATTTGTCCTGTGGCGACAGGTGCAGGGGACAACTTTAGATAGGTAATGATATTTTGCAAAGTTGACTGCTCATTATTTTTATTCCCTTACTCCCTCCAAAATGGTTTCAAGTGGCCCGCAGTAAAAGCAACTATTTATTTATTCCCAAAACAGAAACAATCTGAAAGTAAGTGTGTCAATTATTGTGGATGTTAGTTAAAAGAAGTAAAATGGTGTGTGTTAGGTAATTCATTCATGTATTCGTTCAGCCATTTATTCCCTTATTCTCTATAAATTGAGCAATATTATGTATGTCATTCTCTTAGCTATTAAGTATATTGTGAAAAATAAGATATATGTGAACCTTGCTATCAGTAGATTGTTAGCTTTAGGGAAGGTAGAAAATAAATAATTAAACAAATCATATAGTTTACATAGATAACGATTGAATGCAAAGTTAATTTTCTTAGCAATTACCTATATAAATTCTAGAGAAATAGTGCAATGAGAAGGGAGCTACTTTATTTTAGAAACACAGAGCAGTTTCCCTGAGGAGGTAACATTCAAGTTTCCATTTCTTTTTTTCTTTTCTTTTCTTTTCTCTTCTCTTTTCTTTTCTTTCCTTTCCCTTTCTTTTCCCTTTCTTTCTTTTTCTTTCTCTCCTTCCTTCTTTCCTTCGTTCCTTCTTTCCTTCCTTCCTTCCTGCCTTCCTTCATTCCTTCCTTTTTCTTTTTTTTTTTTAAGATGGAGTCTCCCTCTGTCACCCAGGCTGGAGTGCAGTGGCTCACTGCAACCTCCGCCTCCCAGGTTCAAGCAATTCTCCTGACTCAGCCTCCCAAGTAGGTACTACAGGCGCCTGCCACCACACCCGGCTAATTTTTTGTATTTTTAGTAGAGATGGGGCTTCACCGTGTTAGCAAGGATGGTCTCAATCTCCTGACCTCGTGATCTGCAGGCCTCAGCCTCCCAAAGTGCTGGGATTACAGGCATGAGCCACCGCACCCAGCCCCATTTCTTATACTCTACTGAGAAAACCCTTGTCAAGATTCCCAAAGACCTCTAGATTGCCAACTTCATTAGTCACTTCTCTGTTTTTATCTTGTATGATCACTTCCTAGCACAGGACACAGTTAACCATTCCTTTTTTGGCCTGCTTGTTTCGTGGTATCACCCAGGATTTTCCTCCTACCTCCCTGACTGCTTCGTCTCAGTCTCCTTTGCTGACTCCTACTCTCCTACCCTGACCTCTAAATGTTGTGCAATTAAGCATAATCCTTGGCTCTCTATCCTTCTCTCTCTATGATACGCCTTAAAGAACCCTGTGCATTACCAAATGCCATCTCTATGGAAGTGACTTTTCAAAACCATGTCTTCAAGACTAACCCTTCCTCAGAACTCCAGCCTTTCATATACTTCTGTGTACCAACCCTTCCATGTAGATGTTTAATGAATATCTTAAACTTAACATGGCTGAAATATGTTGAATTTCTCAGGCCTCCTTTTCTTATTGACTTCTACAACTAAGTTATAATATTATTATGTCATTCTTTTAGTTATTAAGGATATTGTGAAAATCCTTAAATTATATTATAATAATTAATTATAATAGTTAATTAAATATATTTACAAAATTATAAATATAATATAGTCAGTAATGAAATACTGTAATTATATATTTAAATTTTTAATAATAGTTATAATTAAATCTATATCTAATTATAATTGTCAAATACTATAATTATAATTATTATAAGATTATAGCCTAGTTGTAGAAGTCAATAATAACCTAATAATCATTGCAACAAGAGCAATAGTAATGGTGGCCACATTCATTGAAGACTTATATTCCAAAATTTGTTTTAAGCAATTTACATAGATTGCATTATTACATTCTCACAACTCTATGAGGTAGCATTGTTAGTTTCCAGATTTCATAAATGCAGAAACAAGTGAGTAGAGAGGCTAACTAATGTATTTACAGTCACACAGGCTAAATAGCATTCAGTGGTGGAACCAGGATTCTAACCTCTCTTAAAGCAACACTGTACTGATGTCATTGCCTTATCCATCTGGATGATCAAGTAAAAACTCTTTATTTTCCTAGGTTTTCTAAAACGCTAGATTTAAATCAGCGAAATTATCTTTTAAAAACCTGCATTATAACAGCTCACTTCTCTGCTTAACCCACTCTAGTGGCTTTCCATTATTCATGTAGCATAAAATTCAAACTTCATCCCTGCCTTGTCTGGCAAAAGCCCTCATGAAGTGGTCCTGGCCTGCATTTCTTAGCTCATCTCAAAACACTCTTCCTCTCTGTTCCAGTGGTCATTTATACTTCATAGACATCAAACTTTCTCCCATTTTAGGCATTATATGCCTGGTGTTTCCTCTACCCCAGATCTTTGTGGGGCCAGTTCTTTATCATTCTGATTTGGTTTAAATGTCATCTTCTCAGGGAGATCATCCATGTTCATCCAATCTAACAAGAGCCATCACTTCGTGCCATCTCCCTTTTAAAATTGTCTGCATTACTGCATTACAGTTATCATCCCTGATTATCTTCTGTTTATATTGGTATTGTTCATTTTGTTATTGTCTAGCTCCACAAAGCCCAAAATAGTTTCTGGCAAAGGATATTTTATCAGAAAATATTTGTTAATGAATTTAAACTGGATCTCAAGGGTCAATAGGTGTTGATCAGATGTGGTCATAAAGCGGAGAAGGCAGAGCTGTGGGCAGAAAAGAGGGTCTGGGTGAAAACCAGAGGAAGGAAACGGTTTTGCATGCTAACAGAGCTCAGCAAACTCAGCTGGAATGCTCAGTGTTAAATAAGGTTAAAAACATAGGCAGCAGGCTGTGCAGCACCTTGTTAAAGATTTAGGATTTCTATGAACAATCAGAAACAGTTATAAGACACTGAGCAGGTAAGTGACATGATTAGATCTGCATTTAAAAAATGTTTTGGTAGGCCTAGACCTTGATCAAAGTTGACATTCTGCTGTGGATACAAAAAGCACGGCTAATACCTCGTTAAAGTGAGACGGTTGGTAGTCAATGGATGAGGCAGATATTTTGCTCATAGAAGATTGAGGGACCTGCTGAGGCTGGACTCACTCAGGTAAGTATAAGAATCTATTTTTTACACAAAGAGCAACACAGATTTTGGCAGTTTTTCTTCCTTTATTTTGATAATGGAGTCAATCAAACCAGCATTGTGAAGAGTTCTTCTGAATGCCTGCTTTGAAGGAGTGAGAATCAATATGAGTTATATTTCAGAGACTGGCAAATATGAGAGATTATAATATAGTAATCTATAATATAGTAATCATGTAATCATGATGCCTCCTTATTTCTTAATGTTTCTATGGTATTAATATGGCTTCATTTAAGTTTTGAGTTGTCCTAAAAAGGATATCTTATTATTTTTAATTATTGTCTTAATAGTCTTTGGGCAAATTCTGGGAGGAATTTGAGAAAATGTGGTTTGTGATTTTCTCAAGTTGTTAAGATCAGTGATTTGGAATAAGACTACAGAACATAGTATCAAAATTTCCCTCATTGCTAGTTAAAGCATTCTTCTAGGACTAGAATTCAACAACCATTTCCAGGTATTGATAGGACTACAACTAACTAAACAATAAACAAAAATATATTTAGCTTTCTTTCAGAGCAGAAGTCATCCTTTTAACTCATTCATTCATTTATTCTTTCATTAATTCCACAAATATTTATTAAGCAGCCACTATAGCCTTCTAATTATTGGTGTTTACAATGTTAAAAAAGTCAGCCTCAATCCTTCCTCTCTGGACCTCAGAGTGAGTGAGAAAAAATGACATTAAACAAATGAACAAAACATTGAATGACATTAAACAAATAAACAAAACATTAATACAAATTTTGATAAGTTGTATTTCCAAAAGAACGATGTGCTACAAAAATGAATTTTTTTGAAATGTAGACTGAGGGTTTCAGCACAGTTTTATGAGTTTTTCCTGCATGCATTTACAAAATTAAATATTTTGTAAGACAGATAAAATATTTTGAAATAATTTTAAAGCTGTAAAATAATTAGAAGCAGAACAAATCGTTTAAAAAAGCAACTGTGGAAAAATGCAAAATCCAGACAAACAAACAGACCACCCACAACCAACCAGGCAAAGTTCTCTATCTGAATTAAATGAGCAAAACTGGTTTGTAAAATAGAAAATACACAGGGAAAATATCCCAGGAGAGTGACTAGCCCTTAGGTAGATATTTGATCTGTGGAATGGACGGGTAACCTTGGAACTTTGCAGAGAAAATAAAACGTTCTCTTCTTCACCTGCCTATAACTCTGAGAAAAGTCATGAAGTGTAATAAATTAGCTGCATTACTGACTTTTTAACAACAAAGATATGGGTCTTTTCTTCAGCCAGGGTCAGTTTTTTCTCTCTGTTACAAAAAGACAATGAGGGCTTGGATTTTGCTTTTTAATTTTGTTCTGCCTTTGAATAGTTCTTTTTTTTTTTTTTTTCCAGTAAGGAACTAAGGGAGTACTCCCTTACTTTCCCATGACCTGGTGTCATGATCTTTGATGTTCTGCCCACTTTTACTGATTTGCCTTTAAAATATAGTGCAATTTCATATGCCAAGACATCTTGTTTATTCTTTCTAAAATCCTTTAGAAAGGGATTTCTAAAGTCTTTCCTTGAACTACTTACTCTGTAAACATATGGATACTGCTCCTTTTCCTTTGTCTTTTTAGTTTTAATTTGCAGAGTTCATTTTTTAAATCAGCTTATGTTAGTTTTCTTCTTTCTATTCCCATTGCTACTACCTACTCACCTTGGGTTACCAAGTGGGTTTTTGGCTGACCCCTCATCCTCTAGACCTAAATTCATATGCCAATTGCATCCCACACCACAACCAGGCAAATTACTTTAATCCAAGAGCACCAGTTTTCTTTAGCTTTTCCTCTGCTCCACATCTCTAAACGGTTCTCACTGACTCTCGGATCCATTCCACAGTTTTCCTGTCATTCCAGATCTGCTGAATTACTTTGCTCTTCTTCTTGTCAAACTTTACCTTCTATTGGTTTCTGAGGAAGCCTTTTCAGGCAGGCCATGCTAGACTCCTCACTGCCTAGGACGATCCTTTCCAACAGCTGACCTGCCACAAATACCCATCTTTCTCAATCGTTGTAGCTCTATTATCTTTCTCCCTTCAATTCTTTGGGCTTCATTCATCCCTCTCTTCTCTCTGCTTCCGTGGCATAAGCAGCTTAGTCTCTACTTTGGTATGCATAATACCAATCCTACTTGTTATGGTTATGTATATTAACTGCTTAATATGGTAGATGACTCACCACCCAAATTAAAAAATATCTGGTTTTCCAATTTTATTAAGACAACAGACTGCTCTGCATACGTAATCAAAAGTCATCAATAAATATAGAAATGAATTCACTGTGTGCCCTTCTCAGGATATGCATTTCTAGGAATACAGAGCAGGTAGAAAGAGTGGCTGGTGGTATGGAATGTGGGTAATAAATTGTATTAACCATGTGCTTGCACAGGCTTCCTTTCAAGTCCCAAATACATGAGGTGAGGCCTTATCCTGGCTAACACGGTGAAACCCCGTCTCTACTGAAAAATTAGCTGGGCGTGGTGGCTGCGCCTGTAGTCCCAGCTACTCGGTAGGCTGAGGCAGGAGAATGGCGCGAACCCGGGAGGCGGAGCTTGCAGTGAGCGGAGATGGCGCCACTGCACTCCAGCCTGGGAGAGAGAGCGAGATTCAGTCTCGAAAAAAAAAAAAAAAAAAAAAAAACGAGAAAGAGTAGCAATCCTTTACCTCAATACCAGTGGCAAGAAAGTCTCCTGGATTTTCTAGAGAAGTATTCCTTGTTCTGAGACTATAATGCATGAAAGCTGCAATTTATTTTAAATTGAAAATAGCTATTTCTACATTTCCCATATTATTTGCATTCTTCTGGTTCCTGCTCAGCATGAGGTAAGTGAAAGCGTTGGTGCTCATAAGCATTAGATAAACATGAAAATAGTGTTGAAATGCTACTTTTTGAATTAAAATGCAGTAATCCCCCCTTATCCACAAGGGATATGTTTCAAAACGCTCAGTGACTCTCTATAACTGTGGATAGTACAGAACCTTAAGTAAACTACTTCTCTATGCATATGTACCTATGATAAAGTTTAATTTATAAATTAGGCACAGTACTTTATTAACAAAAATAATAATAAAACAGAGCAATTAAAACAATATACTGAAATAACAGTTATGTAAATCTAGTCTTTGTCTGAAAATATCCTACTCTACTGTAAGATATTTACCTATTTTCGGACCATGGTTGACCAGAGGTAACCGGAGAGTAAAACTGTGAGTGAGGGAAGACTGCTGTACATACGATATTGCAGAAGGATAACTATTCACTTTATATAGATAATAGGCTTTGGAACCTGTAACTTTTTGAGGCTCAGCTTAATGTTGTTCATTTGTAAAGATAAGAAATAAAAGGAAATTGTTTGTAGTTTAACTTTGCCTTTTGATACTTCATCTATCTTGAATTGAATTACAGGTGCACAACCATTATCACAAATAGAGATTTGGGTGCAATCTTAAACCAATCCCTGATTACCCTCACACCCACTCATCTTTTATAACAGTGTAGTCAGGACCATAGATTTAATTATATTCTAAAATTTTTCCCCAAATATGGAACAAATGACATTTCTCGACTGATTTATGTATTGGTAATTTCACCATTTACAAACCTTTTTAAGAGGTGAGGCATATCCCTGAGATGAAACATATCTAAGAGAAATACTAATTTCTGTTCTAGTATTTGCTAGCTTCTTGCATCTGAGCTTTGAAAAAAGCCATCTTTACTGGAGAAGTCAGTTCTCTCAGAGAATATGCAACATGCTCAAACAGAAGTAAGTTATTAAAAACATTCTTTGTGGTAATATCACCATAATTAGGAGCAATTTTCTGACAGGAATAAGAGATGAGTTTATTCCTATGTTATTTAATTATGCTAGAATTCTTTATGTTTTTGACTTTGTATGAAAATAAGCTTTAAGAAATACTCTTTATTCTTTTTTAATACAAATAAAACAATTGCTTCAGTAGATAGTGTTTTTCCTTAAAATATACCACAATTTTATCTGCTTTAAGTAACAAGAAATTGGGATTTTAGTGAATATATTTGGCTCTTCTGTTTTAGTATCAATCTGTACTATTTACTAAAGCAATTTATAGTCTACAATTCATATTTGGATTTATTTTTTGGAAGAACATGTTTACAGAGACCACAGATCAGACATATATAACTTTTTCCCTGATTCCAAGTTGATCTGCATCTATATGAGAAAAATCTACATAGTCCCTTAGCGATATTTTACTATAATTCATACAATCTTGTTATTTAGGAAAGTAATTAAATAAATAATTCATTTACCTATTTTTACCCTTCCTTGTGCTAGAAAGTATTTGTGAGAGCATATACAATAACATTATGTTGAGATATACATAATAAATCAGGTTTAGGGAAAACAGAAGACTTGAAAAGGCAAATAATTCTCAAAATATTTTCCAAGTTGATGAATTGAAACTCTGCCAGGTTTTATTCATTTTTTAATATCAGAAGGTTGTGAAACATGACAAGTCTTCAGAGAAATCAAAGTTATTCTAGGCACTAAGCTCTGCAAAAGAAATTTCTCCTGTGGGACTTTATATGTTGGGGACAGTTAACAAAAACAGAATTCTATGATAAAAATGCTTTTAAATAGAAATAAGCCAAAACTGTGTAGTTTAATTTTATTTACGATCCGTACTTCCATGTACTCTGTTTAGTTGTAACCATCTACTCCATGCATTAGCTTTTCTCTACCTATTCAGAGTCAGCATCCAAGTGGAACTGCTCGGGGATTCCAATGGCCAAAAGACCCAGCAGGGGTGATTAATAAGTAATAATGATTTCTGTGTATGTGGGTATTCCATAGGTAAATGTTCTAATTGAATATTGTTTTGCATGAGAAAACTACTGATTATAGGTTGAACATTTCTAATCCAAAAATCTAATATCTGAAATGCTCGAAAATCTGAGTGTTTAAAATTACCTTCTGGCTATGTGTATAAGGTGTATATGATACAAATTTTGTCTTTAGAATTAGATCCTTATTATGTATATGCAAATATTCCAAAATCCAAAGAAATCTGACATTTAAAACAATTCTGATCCCCAAGCATTCTGGCTAACTGTTACTCAAGCTATATTTCACTTTTCTGATCCGTTAATATAGGAAATCTGAATCAATGGGTTTGAATAAAAAAGAGCTTCTCTGTGGCTTGCCAAGTTCATCAGCTATCTTTAAGAAGGAGAGATAATTGACTTATTTTTCTTTTTTAAAATGATACCATATAATTAAGAAAGCCAAATTTTTGTTTTCTCTTATTCTCTTAAAAAAGATCTACTTGCTATATTGTCCCTTTTTTTCTTTTTTTGTACAATGCTTCTGTTACAGTCTTTATATAATAGTTTTTAAAAACCTGCTATTTTTTGGAAATAGAATTAAAATTGAGTAACTTCAATTTAATACCATGTCAGTTAATTCTCTAAGACTGTTCTATATGACTCAAGTGGCATACAGTAGATGTCAGTGGAAATTCCTAGTTGCATCAAGATCAACAAATCCCAATTAAAGATATTCGCATATAATTTTTAAGTGTACCTATATATACAACTTCTATAGATTAAAAATTGGTCTATTAGTCTAAACTTGAATCTGTCATAAGTTGTGAGTCTGTTCTTTTAAATGTTTCTTATATAAATCTCTCTATCCACCACCTACTACTTTTGGATCGGTGCTGTCTAACAGAAATATACTGCAATACACATACATAATTTGAAATTTTACAGTAACCATGTTAGAGAAAAGTAAGAAAAAATAGATAAAATTAGTTTTAAATCTTTATTTCGTTCAAACTAATATATCCAAAATATTATCATTTCTAAATGAAGTCAACATAAATTTATTACCAGGGTACTCTGAATTTTTTATTCTTTGAAATATGCTATGTACTTTATATTGTACTTACAAAACATCTCAATTCACATGCTAAATCTTCAACAGCACATGTAGTAGTCCCACTAAACAATACAGTTGTGCATAACAGAAAACACTGTTTGGCGCTGCTTCATTTAAAAAAAATTAAATCAACTAAAATTAAATAAAGTAAAAAAATGCAGTAACACAGTAACATGAGCCACATTTCAAGTACTCAATAGTCACATGTGGCTATTGGTTACCAGGTCAGACAACACACAGTTCTACATTGTTGTAAATAAAGTTTTTAATTATACACACCTGTTGGGAGAAATATTTGCAACAAGAACCCTCAATTCATGGAAGTATTTATAAATTATATACATGTACATGATATGAATATATTATGTATGCTATAAAATAATAGAAATTTTGAAGATTAATGAGTATTTTAAAATAATGTTATTTTCTTGTTAATTTAAAAAAAAAAAACAAATCTTTTTTAATGCTCTGTGTTAGGAAAACACTTCGTTATTTTTAAGATATTCCTTTTACATTTTGTTTTCCAGAGGTTTGGAAGAGTGTTTCTAAGATCAGTTTAATGTTTGGTTTTAATGGCTGTTACAGCTGAAAGAGATGATTCACAAAGACACAAAAGTACAATAACACATTTAAGGAGCAGTTCATTGTTAATCACAGTATATTTAAATCCACATAATAGTCTTATGGATAATTCTGAGAGCTGAATACTTGTAAAATAGGATTAAATTGTCATGGTTTCTACCTTGTAATGTGGTTGGCTAAAAGCTCATTCTTACAGCCAAAAGGAAAAAAATGTCAGCTTTGCCATTTTATGTGACTCATTGGTACTTGTACAATCTTCAATCTGTGGTTTATTTGCAAAAATCCTTTGAACCACTTGCTCCATGCAAATGCTAGTTTTATTAAAATTGAATAACATAGACACTAAATTCACTTAACTAGGTGCATGTAATCAATTATGCCCTTGTTTATTGTTGTTTTTAAAAAATTAAATAAAGCAATGTGCTTTAAAACAACAAAAGTAAACAAAGGTGTAAGGGGCTGCTAGACATCTCCCTGCCCTCAGGGGACCGCATGTGCTGTGTATGACATGTGTGTATTGACATGTGCACTTATATGACATGTTTGACTTACATAACCAGGAAAGGGTATGTATATTTTAAAAGTTAGATTTCTTTTTTCTTTTATAAAAGATGCATATAAATACAGGTTTTGCTATTTTTCTCCAACACTCATATGATCGTGCTGTGTCTCCCTTGACTAAGCACTTAACCATTGTGAATATTACTAATCTAAGTTAAAATGCTCCGTATCTATAGGAATATGATTTAGTGACGTTGTGTACTGATTTATGGTTTGAAGATTTTCCTCTTATTAACCGTATGTAGCCATTTCAATATATCTAATGGAAGTAACTAGAAATATCTTTCATTGACTAGCGTTGAACACCATGATTTTCCTAAAGCAGATTAGAAACATGTAGGTTCTTTCAGTTTTGTGAGTATATAAAAATGATATCCAACAATCTGGCAGCCCTAAAGTGGGCCCAAATAGCCACTTAGACCTTCACAAATTGTGCCCAAGAGAAAATCACAGAAAACTGTGCCAGCCAAAGAACAAGTGACAAAAATGAAATTAAGATTTCTATTTTAAAAATATTTCTTATTTTCATTCACTTTATAAGAATTCAGGTTATGCTTTTTTAAATTTTTGGCTATGACACTCTGCTGAAAGGGATTGAGAAAGCTTTTGAGCAAAAATTATTTTTGAAATGTTGAGAGCATGATTAATTTTCATTTATTTTTAAAAGTAAATTTAAAGTTGGACCATTTATTTTCAAGTGGCATGGCAATAATGACCAATTGGAAATACCTTTTTGCATATTTAATAATTCTTAGTGGAAAAAATGATAAGAGAATATGCCATTTTGTTCAATTTCAACATTGATTTTGATTTTTATATCCTTTGCTCAGCCTTTGTAGTGATTAATATTAGTAAGATGTATTCTGTTAGTTAAGGTTTTTCGTTTTATTCTATTTTTCCCACAGTATATAATTATTATTAGAAAATAATGGATGCTTACATTGTGTTCTCCAAAGCTCACATAGTTCCCAACGAAATTAGTGGAAGCTTACCTCTATTTAACCTGATCTTTATTTACATGGTAGTTGATAAGCTGCTTTCCACTAATGAGAATTACATCTGAAAGGATTAGATCTAAGAAATGGTAAAATTAAAATAACTATATTCATCATTTTGATCTTTTATATCAGATCCTAACATGCTGGAGTTTTCTCAGGTGAAAAATCAGGCATCTTTTGCTACAAGATATGTTCTCTCTAGATCACTAAGATAGCCTAATCCTTAACTGTGATTTTGGTTTTTTTAAATAAGTCTTGTGGTAGAGCAAAGTAGAGTTCATTCTGAGTCATGGCTCAGATGGAAACAAGCAAGGTTACACCCAAGACTCAATTAAAATCGTGGCTCATATTCTAGTTTATACCTGCACCTATGAGACATACTAACACAAAAAACTAACAAATGTAGTTTTTTTTAACAACTAAAAGTGCATTAGCTGTGTGTGTGTGTCTGTATGTGTAGGAGGATGTTTCTCTGTCAGCCATGATAGGCAACATTCTGCTGCAGGAATAGCAAACTCAAAATATTAGTGGCTTAAAATGACAAAAACTACTTCTGGCACACTCAGTTTCCTCTGGAAATATAGAAAACTCTTGATCAACTGTCCTCCATGTGACATTTCTGTAACTCAGACTGCCTTGATCTTAATCTTGTATCTCTGCCATCTCAATACCTGACCTCCTCATTTCCTGAGG
The DNA here is from genome assembly GCF_000001405.40 of Homo sapiens. Classification (NCBI taxonomy): domain Eukaryota; kingdom Metazoa; phylum Chordata; class Mammalia; order Primates; family Hominidae; genus Homo; species Homo sapiens. The sequence continues at coordinate 173,826,316 of NC_000003.12, forward strand.
TAGAGAAAGAGTAGTCACAGGGTTCCACATTGCCCTTTCATTGCCTCAACCCAAAGGAACCCATAACATTGGCTAGAATGAGAGATACAGCTACACTTAACTGCAACAGGACTGGGAAATAGAAGGAAACACATAGATCGTGTCATGAGCGTTACTGCCTCAGCCATGATTCCTTACTCATTTGATCATAAGCAGAATACTTAAATTTTCATGTCTGATTTCTCAGAGATTTATCCTGAAGTTCCTTATAAATAGTTTTTCTTCAAATGCTGGTTTGCAGTGTTCTGAAACTACGGGCTTCTGCCGAGGGTGTTAATGATGATTCATTCGGTTGAAAAACAACTAGGTAATTTATCATAGGCTAGATATTGGGGATACAAAGAGGAGTGAGATGCAGTGCTTCTGACCTGAAGGAGCTTACTGATTAGTTTTCAAAAAAGATGTGTAAACGTTTATATTATACTGGTAAATGCATTCTCCCATCTATTGAACAAGTGTTTATTCATTGCCTATGAGGTGCCAGGTCTTTTAATGGGGGCTTGACTTAGCAGAAAAAGGTCTCTGGTTTGCAGTGATTATATTTTAGATGGGGGTTGGAGGAGGTATATAGGAAACAAATAAACAAAACAGAAACATATTTCATCAGCAAGTAATATGTACTGTGAAGAAAATAAAACATTGTGATCTCCAGAGAGGAAGCTGGAAAATCTACCTCTGATTAGGTGATTAGGAAAGAATGCTCTAAAATGGGACCACTAATGCAACTACCTGAGCAGCCATACATTCCAAGATCTGATCTGGGGACAGAACGTTCTAGGAGTAAAGGTCAGAAAAAAACAAGTTTCTTCTCTTGTAATTAGTTAGACTTTAGAAGACAGGCCAGTGGCACTGGAGCATAGTATATCAGGAACAGAGAGGTAAGGGATGAATTTGAAGAAGTAGGGAAAATCCAGATTATGTAGAGTCTGTAGGTTGAGGTAAAGATTCTAGTGAAGAGATATAAATAAACATACGATATTTAAGGGAACAAAATTGCTTCTGTTATCTTAAGGCTGGGCAGGAGATCAGAGAAAACTGTTCTCTTCGGAGAGAGGATGCCTGAGCTGGATTTTAAATGAGGATGAGTCAGTTGGCCAAGAAGTGTGGAGGGTCAGTACATGCAGAAAATATTTAGCAGCACATCAATAGCACAGCTGAAAATAAGAAAGCAATGATCAGCATATATTTGACTGTGCCAAGAACTTGGAAGCATGGAAAACAGAGACAACACCTTAAGACCCTCATCTTAATGAGGGATCATATATATTTATGATATGTGTGTGTGTGTGTGTGTGTGTGTGTGTGTGTGTGAATGAGATAAATAACATTTATTATGGAAATTGGCTAATGCAAGTATGGAGGCTGAGAAGTCCCACCATTTTCCATCTGCAAGCTGGAGAACCAGACAGAGAAGCTGATGATGTAGTTCAGTGTGAGTCTTACGGCCAAGAATTAAGAGCACTGATGTCCAAGAGCAGAAAATAGATGTTCCTGCTCAAATAGCCTTTCTCTGCCTTTTTACTCTATCTGAACTCTCAAAGGACTGGATGACACCTGCCCACATTGGTGAGGGCAGATCTTCCTTACTCAGTATACTGATTTCAATGCTCATCTCTTCCAAAAACACCCTCACAGACAACACCTGGAAATAATGTTTGACCAGCTATCTGGGCATCCCTTAGCCCAGTCACATTGACACATGAAATTAACCATTACTCCATATTAATATTCTGCTGGCTTAAAGAAAACTAAAGGATATTTTATAATTTTCATAATTTGGGGTTTGCTAAAATTATTTATTTTATTCCTGTGATTTAAACTTGATAATATATGTATATAATAGCATAATTTGAGTTGCTGTCACATCATGTGGACACTTGATTTAAACATTTATCAAATTTGACCATGCAGATTTCTTTCTATATTGTGAATCCATTAATGTTTTTTCATGACTTAAACATTTTTGTGGATTGTTACAAACTAGGAGGTCTAAAACACTGGGAAGTATATATCCAGGAACACGGGTCCCCTTCCAAATGATAAAGGCAGATAAGTGGGAGCTGTCCCAGGATATAAGAGTTTTTCTGTGTTCATCCAACAGATATTCACAGAATATCCTTCTATGCTAGATACTGATCTAGGTATTGGACACAGAGCAGCAAACACAAGATACAATCTCTTTTACCTTTTTTACCTCATATTCCAGTGAGACGATGCAGGTAATAAATAAGTAAATAAAATACAAAGTATGTTTGATAGTGATAGATGCTGAGGAGAAAAATAAATCATGGAAGGTGGCTGGGAAATTTGGAAAAGTGGTGGTAAATTATAGTAGGGTAGCCAGAGAAGGCTTTTGAGTAAAGACGTGATTGATGTGAGAAAATATATCATGTTGATATCTGAGGGAAAAGTGTTTCAGGCAGGGGGAAAAGTAAGAGCAAAGAAATTAAACAGAGATAGGAACTAGGTTGGTTGTGAAACAGAAACTTGGCCTGTAAATGAGATCAGATAAACCATGAGAGTAGGGTAATGGCAAATGTTGTAGAGATGGCATTGGGAGGAATTTGTTGCTTTTTGGGGGGGATTAATTTGGAAAGGCACTGAAGAACTTTAAGCAATAATGCCATGACCTCAGTGACTTCCTAGCAGTAGTCCCTTGGCTTTCTGTATTGAGAACAGTTTGGAGAAGAGCAAGAATGCAAGCAGGGAGACCAGATGGAAGGCTACTGCAATAATCCAGGCACAATATGATGGAGGCTTGGACCAGGATGGTGAGCGTGGAAGCAGTGAGAAGTAGTTTTATGTTCTCAGTCACTGCAAGAGGGAGCTTTCATATTCTGAGCGGGAGAAGATGGCATGAGGAACAACTTTTTGGCAAGACAGCATCCAGTTAGGGTAGATTAAATTTGAAATGCCTATTAAGTATCAAACTGGAGTTATCTATTTGATAATTAGATACACAAGTTTAGAGGTTAGAGGAGAGGTCAGGCTAGAGAGAAAAATCCAAAATCCAAATATGCATGACTTTCAGATTTGATTTTTTTCCTTTAAAATATTTAATTGATAAATAAAAATTCTATACAATGTGTACAATGTGATGATTTGACATGCATATACATTGTGTACTGATTACCATAGTCAAATTAATTAACTCATCTATCACCTTTCATAATTAAAATTTCATGTGTGGAGTGTGTGCGTGTGTGTGTGTGTGTGTTTGTGTGTGTGTGTGTGTTAAGATCACTTAAAGAAACTGCTCTTATCAAATTTCAAGTAAACAATACAGTATTATTAATTATAGTCACTATACTATACATTAGATCCCAAGAACTTAATTCATTTTATAACTGAAAGTTTGTACCATTTGACCAACATCTGTGCTCTGGTAGAATTTACCTGATTTGTTCTCTCAAATTCCTTTCATTCACATTTTTGCTGATTCTTCTGCCCCCTTGCCTTCCAAAAGTTGATATTCAGCCCATCTTAATATGTGGCCTTGAGCATAGCCATGTCTAAAAGGTTTTGAGTAATCATCTGTGATGTTTCCTTCTTACCTACAGTAAATAGCTAATTGATCCAAACGTGCCCTGTTGAGTGGTCATAATATTTGCCCGGTGACTTTGGGTAGGTTATAGAATTACAGTGGGTAGTGTGGGGGGGGGAGGGAGAGAATAAAAAGAAGTCTTTGTGTCCAACTGATTTATCAATATGTTTTCATCCATTTAAATTATGTTTAGTTGAACTTATCTGAGCATGTGAAGAGATATCTTTTTAATATAGCAATCTATGCACACATCCCAGTATGTATTCATCGAGATTTATAATTCTGTAATTTCATAGGTCAGTTAATAGTATTCCCATTCAACCCCCAGGCTGTCATAACTTATGACATTCAAGTGTATGTTTCGATACGGTCTTAGCCAAGGGAAGTCATGTAGCCAGTGAAGCAGAGAGAGGAAAGAAGATTGCCATAGTTGAATCTGTATCATCAAAATGATAAAATGGGTCTATAATAAACAATAGGTTAGTGGCTTGATATGCCTAACAGCATCCACTGCAGTGCACAACAGGCAAGTTATTTATGAAATGGGCCTTTTGAAAATGTATAGCTTTTATAATCTGAATCTCATTTCTATGTCCTTTCCAACAAAATAGATTGGCATTATCCATCTATTTGGGACACATGGTTGCTTTATTATTTTTTAAAATATGACACCTTATAGTCAGGAAATATTGAGGAAATCCAATCCATACAATAAATGAAACTCATAAATATATTTTTAAAAAATCTCTCTTGTGGCATTTGAATTTTTATAATTCAGGAAAAAATAAAAAATCTTCTAGAATTCAAAATAATATAAGCTAGTGTTATTCATATATTACGTACATTGCACCCATAAATAATACTAATGATGAATTAACTGTCATATGTACTAGCCGGAAAGGTTAGTCAGTCAGAAAATGTTCTGGAGGAATCATGTGAATAACTAGTCCATGTTTACCTTGTACTTCTAATATAGATTTTTATTTACTCTTAGTTCCACATGAGATTGAAGTTCAGGATTTTCAAGGAGACTAACACAGAGTAACATCAATGAAGAATACACTTGACTTCTAGCCTTCTTCAAAAATAGGGAGATCGCTTCAGATTTCATCTAGTTATAGCTCTCAATTTGGTCAACCCAATATCCCCCTTTAAAAATAATATTTTCACTTAACATCATGGTCTCCAATTCCATCCATGTTGTTGCAAATGACAGGATGTCATTCTATTTTATGGCTGAATGGTACTCCATTGTGTATATGTACCACATTTTCTTTATCCATTCATCTGTTGATGGACACTTAGGTTGCTTCCAAATTTAATCCCTCATAGCTATCCTGAAAAAAAAAATTCAGTTTAGTATCATATTACCTACCTGCACATACATTTGAAAAAGGTATATATCAACCACATCTCTTATCTGCAAAATAAAAGAGAAGATAAAAGGAAAATAACTTTTAAAGAAATGTGTGTTTCAAAGTGCAAGTTTTGGATGAGGACGGTGCTACAAGGCATAATAAAGTAGACAAATGCCTGCCCATATACACAGAACCACTGTGAACACAACTACTACAGTGGCAAGATGACAAACACTGGTGCATTGTACTGATGGCTCAGTTACCACCAGTGGCATTGCCATTGGATGTTGATATTTTCTGAGATAGTATAAACATCTTGATTAAATTTCAAATAAAAAAGTACAATGTTTGTACTTTCTACAAAGTGCCATAAACTTCTTTAAAAATTTGTTATATGAAAACAGGAAGATGTTTTTTTCATAACAATCACGTGCATTTTATGGCTGTCTGGCCCAATTTATATCAGTTAAAAATATACCCACAATTTTTTAAAACTTTTTAAGTGAGAATGCTTGATTTAGAACTGGATGTTACAGTCATATACCATTCATTATAATTCAGTAGAGACACATACATAATCTGCAGAGAAATATTTAGATTCTCTTTCTCTTCGTTGTTTTCTTTATTCACTTTAGAGATTGAGTAAACAGGCTATCTTTATAATTATTATTTTTCATACAGCTAAGTCTATATTCTACTTTCTTTTTCTTTTTCTTTTTGACATATAGTCTTACTTTGTTACCCAGGCTGCTGTGTGATGGTGCAATTATGGCTTACTGCAGCCTCAACCTCCCAGGCTTACGCGATCTTTCCACCTCAACCTCTCAAGTAGCTGGGCCACAGTTGCTCGCCTCCAAGCCCAGCTAAATTAAAAAAAAAAAAAAAACTGTAGAGACAGGGTCTCACTGTGTTGCCCAGTCTGGTCTTGAACTCCTGGGCTCAAGCAGTTCTCCCACCTTGACCTCCCAAAATGTTGGGACTACAGGCATGATCCACTGCACCTGGCCTTTACTTCATTCTTAAAAGAAAATTATTTCTCCTGACCAATGAATCACAAAATTTCTCATGTTTCTTCCAATGCGTATCTACTATTCTATTATCACTGGAAAACTTTCCTTATATTAACTATTGAATTTATTGTTTTTGGATAATACAGGATTGATATTCTTTTAATTTCATGCCAATTTGTAGCCATCCGAAGTCTTATACTGCTGCCCTTGCAAAGAGAAATCTCTTTAATTGGGGGAGGATGTTTGCTAGAAAAGTTTATGTAAACATTAAAAACAAAAAGGTATGTATGAAATACTTATCTTCCTTTAAAGAACAAGAAGACTATTCAAGATATAAAACACTACGGTTCATCAAAGCTATTTCCTTGTGTTGTCAAATTTTGTTAACTTAGGAAAGTATGAAAATTAACTTCTATCTCACGTTAAAAACACATCGTTATACTTAACTAGTTTTTATTTTTAAAGTAATACATGTACATGATTAAATAAATAAATATATAAAGCCTAGAAAAGAGATATTAAGAAAAGCAATTTTCTCTTCAACCTAGGTTTGATCTTCTTTAGTGGCAACAATTATTGTTTGCTTGTTTATTTCTATCCAAAAATTTCTTACACAAATAAGTCTTGTTAATTTTTCTCGGTAAAGGTATATTGGCAATCTTTTCTGGTCAGCACTCCCAGAAACTTTCTATTTCACTACGGGATGCAGAGTATTGCATATGTGGATGAAACCATATGTGTTCACAGGTGATAAATATTTAGGCTATTACATATTATTACAATACAATAAAAATCTTTCTTGCACATTACATTTTATACAAACTACTGAATATAGAAAAAATTGAGAAGTGGGATTACTGGATTACAGTATATGTGCATTTAAAATTTTCATAGAGATTGGCAAAGTGCATTGCAAGAGATTGAACCAAATTACCTGCTCTCAATAACATATGCGAGTGTGTAACTTCAAAAACCCTTTTACTGTGTATTTTCAAACCATGTGCACTACACCATTTGGTTTGGTTTAAAATATATGTCAATTTGATGTGCATTTATTTAATTATGAGGAAAATAATCTATATGGAATTTAATATACTTTTTTTCCTTCCATGGATTGCTTATTTATACTTTTGTTGGTTTTTAAAATTATATTTTAGGTATTTTTTTAAATCTGTACTAAAAAAAATTAGTTTTTTTTGTCCTTTGTCTATGCATGCTGCAAGTAGTCATAGTTTATCCTCTATCTTTTATTTTTATTTATTTATTTTTTTGAGATCATTTCCCACTTTCTTGTCCAGGCTGGTGTGCAGTGGCACAATCTCGGCTCACTGCAGCCTCAACTTCCAGGCCACAAGTGACTCTCCCACCTCAGCCCCCCAGTGGCTGGGTCTGCGGGCATGCACCACCACACCCTGCTAATTTTGTATCTTTTGTAGAGATGGAGTTTTGCCATGTTGTCCAGGCTGTTCTCAAACTTCCGGGCCTCAGCCTCCCAAAGTGCTGAGATTACAGGCATGAGCCACCGCACCTGGCCATCTTTTAATTTTTCATGGCATGTTTTCTCCTATAGGAGTTTAAAATTTGTTATATAGTCAAATATACATTTTTTTTCCTATATGGCTTCAAGATTCTGTGTCTTGTTTCAAAAGACCAAGACTATTGGGTGTTTTCAAGTCACTCAGATTTTTTTAAATAATCCCCTTATTTTTTGTGGTTTACTTCTCAAACTTAAAATTGTCTAGGATTTATTTTAGTATGTAGAAAATAAGACTTACTTTGGTACATGAAAGAAAAAAATCAAACTTTTTCTCTCAACACCATGTTTTTCTTAATTGGTAGGCCCAATGTCATTCATTAATCCATCTATTTCTAATTTTAAGTGTTAACTTTTCATATTACACATTCATATTATAGTCACACTCTTATATTCCATTCTGTTCTATCTTTTAAATTAGCTGTATATTCTTTGCTCCTACCAAACTTATTTAATTAATAAGGCATTACAATACATTTTGATGGTGGGCATGGCTAAACTCTGCTCTTTATTACTCTTTATTTTTTGGAAAATTCTTGATCTTTTTCACGTTGTATTTTTACTTTATATATTTTAAAATCAGCTCCTCTAGTTTTAAAATTTTACTATATTTTATTGGAATTCCATTAAATATTTAGGAAGAACTGATCTTTCACAACATTGAATTATTCTTTAGAAAACAGGTGTTTTCCATTTATTCAAGTAAAGCTTATTGGTTAAGTGAATTTTCCCATTTACAAGTGACCTAAAATTCTTCTAAGTTCTCTAATGATAATAATAATAACAATGCTTACCACTTAGGGTACATTATATCTTTGCCAAACACTATGCTACAAGCTTTACACATACTATCTCATTTAACTCTTACACCATGCAATCAAATACGTGAAGAAATTGAACATCAGAAAAGTTAAGCAACTTACATATGGTCACAGAGTTAGGAGGAGATTATCAAACTCAAGCCCACACAAATTTAAGTCTCATGCTGTCCCTCACTATGCTAAACTGTATTTATCTCTATGTAATCACTCTCATTCATCAAGGGAAAAAGGGCACTTACGAAACTCAACAGGGGATATAACAGAGGAGAAATCCTGTGAACTTCACATAAGAAGAGGCGTAATCTCTACGCTTTTCATCACGCCAGCAACAAACCAGAATAAAGGCCATTGCTCTGTTGGCACTGAACTTATGTGTGCTGCCTAATTCTGGCAATGAATTCTTACCCAAATTTTCTGATAACTAATAATCCCTCTAAATGTATCACAGGAGAAAATATTTTATAACAATTTGTAGAGTTTTCCCCTATTTCTTTTGTCTCTTTGTACAGACACAATCTCACTTGAAGTTGGTAGTGATTTTTGCAGTAGACTCTGAGCATTATAGTTTATCAGAAATTTATTATTTTGCTTTAAACATTGCTTGAAAATGTTTTCTGGACTTTGATATATCGTGGTTGCTTCACTCTTGTATCATATAAGAAATAATAATTATGCATTGATAGTGCATAGACAAGTACAACAAGAGGAAAGGCTTTTTAATAAAAGATCTTTTTATTTTACTCTGCACTTGATAAGAGGGTAAAACCTTGCATTTTCCTGGTGTGATCATTGAAATTTGCAACAGAATTTAAGGCTGGATTGTTTTCTTTGGATACATATTTCATTATCAATCATCTAAGAAAAGTAATATTTCATGTTTAATAGAGATAAAGCATATATATTGAACAATACATGTTAGTATATGTAATATATATGGATAATAATATGTTCAAACACATACACACACACACACACACACACACACACACTTTTTCTCTCATCTATGCCCTTGTTTATCTCCAAGAAGATTTAAAATAACATTTGGGTACAACAGGTATATAAAACTCAAAGTTTTAAATATTGAATTAAAGTTATGAATTGCAATCAAAGAATATAAATGTTTCCTTAATCCAAGAATACTAGATGTTTCCTTCTGAGAGAGAAAGAAGAGGCGAACATCAGTTGAATCTTGAGAATGAGAAATTTAGAACAATCAGAATAGACATAAATCAATAGATAAGGGAATTTGAAAAATAATATCTTTATATATACATTAGCATTTGTGAATTATTTTTACAATTCCTATTTCCCTTGATCCTCACAACCGCACTGTAAGGTTGACAAGGAAAGTATTAATAAATCCATTTTGTAGGTAGGATGTCAGAGACTCAGTGATGTTAGCAAGGAAAGCTCCACTGATAGTTATTGCATGCCCAGCACTGGAACTTGCAGCCAGGTAACTTCATGCCTGCTAAAAATATAACTTCAAAATGGTTAAGATGAATCTGTAACATAAAACAATACCGTCATGACTATAGGAAATATGAAGACATTAGAATATTTTGGATTACAGCCCTAACTTTATGATGCCTAGTATATCAAATATCAAGCATTGTGATAATTCTATAATGACTTAGGTATCTTATAACATTGTTTTCATTATAACATTGTTATAAAACATATTGGAGTTTTAAGATTTTATTCATAAAACAATTATTCATTGGGGTTAGCACCATATTATCACAAGTGCTGTTGCAATTATTACAACTAATACTATAGTAGTAATAATCATACTACTACTAATAATAATAGTTTATTGATTTATGGACCTTAATTTACATGCAAATCAGAGGATTTTGTAACTTTTCTTTTAAGAGAAAAATGTATAAAATCCTCATAATATGCTCTCACCAATAAAACAATATAATTGTGGAAAATAAATTATAGTTTTGTCAGATTTTCTTCAACGGCTTCTTCCAGGCTACATGAATTTGTTGATGTTGTTAGTTTCACACTTAAATGTGGTATTATGATTCCTGAAAAACTTCCTTGATTTTTGAAACTCAACTTCCATCTCCCCCATTACTGAGAAAGGATATTTTTCAGATGCCCATCACCATCCATGTGGCATAATCTTTCTATATTCACAAAGTCTGGTACAATCTTATCAGTGGAATCAAAAGTTAGAAGAGTGTGGCATTTCACGTAACTTCAAATTAAAATGAGCATTTCTTGTTTGGATTTTTCTAAGGCCATCAACAAAATGATAATGCTCACATGGGTAAAGGGATGCTGAATATGTAATTGCTTCCTAAATTGATCTAAAGGCTTGATATTGATCTACTGGGTAACATGATATTCATCTTTGAAAAACACTATAATATGTGTTATGAAAATCATCTAAGTATATTTACATAATAGATGTTAATACCTGTTTTGGAACTTTCAGATCCCTTTTACATATTTACATGATGGACTGATAATAGTAAAATTGTAGGTTGAAGAAACAATTTTCTTCTTTTTCCCCAAACTAAACATAAAAATGAGAAGAAACAGGAAATTAAGAGTATGCGATTTTCATTCTTAATTCATCTCCTTGCTGGCTCAGACTACAGCTACTTTATTTTTTAATAAAGACAAAAGATGTTTTTAAAGTTTTTAATACATATAAAATTAAGTAAAATCAGGCATATACTTTAGAGTAACATTTTCATTAATTTAAAAGTGTATCTATATTTAAATGCACTCATCATAATTATTATAGAATAAAGGAAAATATGCTTTGGGACAGTAAACATAGACAAGGCTTTGTTCTTTATGAGGCAATCTGAATTTTAATAGCATGTCTATTATAAAAGTATCTGAAGACTCTGAAAAGCCTTTTGTTTCATAATGATATTCATTAATGTACAATATGTTGAGTAAAAGAAATGGCTGTCACCTAAAGTAGACTCTCTGGTTTCTGAATCTTAGCAGGGAAAAATAAAACCAGGGAACTGAGCATTCCAATCCTAATTCCACTGTACGAGATGGCCTACATTTGTATACATATATTAAATTTCTAATTAATTCTTTCTACTGCAGAGGATTTTTCCAAGCATACTTACATATACATTTAAGTTATTTTTCTTTTTAACTATGGCAAAGCATGAGAATATAAAAGAATAACTAGCCAAAATGTTTGCATGTGGCCATGGGGAATGTCAGTGCAGTTGGAGGGAAGTGGGACTGTATGCAGTTCTGGTGGGAACAGGTGGAGACTGTATGCAGTTCTAGAGAATCAGTATTACTGATTTGAAATTTTTTTGTAGCTTCAAAAATTGGTATATAAACTTGTATGTTTGAAGTTTTACAAATGGCACACTTAAAGCTGAAAAATATTTAATTAGTCTAATTTTGATTTTGTAGAATAGGAAACAGTGTTTCACAGGTAAGAGATATTACGTGATGACAGGATTGAGTGTAGAATGAGATTTTTTTGATTCCCAGCTCAAGGTTTGTTCCTTATACAGTGTCTGATTAACTTGAGCATTTGTTTAGTGTAAACACTAAATTGATTGTAACCTGGTCAACTTTCTACACTGACCAGGGAAAATTAAAAAAAAAAAGGTTTTATAATCTACTGTATAAAAAGAACATTTTATCCTTTTTTTAACATCAAGTTTGGCCAAGAGGATAGCCTTATAAAATAGATATGATAACCAAATTTTTGATAATTTACATTTACTCGTATTGCTTTTTGTTTGACCAGCTTCAGGTTCATTGCAATATTTATCTAGGAAATTAACATTGAACCTCTACATAATGGTTTGTTTAGTTACTGATTTAGGTTACCATTTTATCAAGAAAAAATTTGTTTAGTAATTTTGTGTACCTGTAAAAATGTTTGCCAACCCTAGTCTTAAATTCATTCTCCTAGAACATACGCTTAATAAGAACTGGGGATTTATCTGCCTGCTTCCATGCTGGACTCCCAGCCTCTAAATCCCTGCCTGTCAAAAGAGAGACTTTAAAAAAAAAATGTCGAATGAATGAATGAATCACTGCTGCTTTTGTATGAAACTTGTGAGAAAAAGTGGGTAATGATTTTGGTAGAGTTTCAGAATATTTCCAAGAACTTCTGAATTGCTTAGAGAAAGAGAAAAATGGGACTTATGATTGCTGAGGCAACGGATTCTATACTCATAGAGTGAAATTGTCTCTATGTTTGGATCCTGAGAATGTGTGAATAAAAATATGATGAGCAAGCAGTCTACGTTTGACTGATGCTTCACATGAAAAGTCTTACTGATATAGAAGTGTATTTTTTTGGTATACATTAATCCAGTTCAAGATGCTGGAATGTATAAATTATTTTTTATTCAGAAAGCCATTTTTCGTGTCTTAATTTTATATCATCAGGAACCAAATTTTGCAGATAAATGTTGACCCTCACAGTATTCTTTTTTTTTAACTTCTTGAATTGGATGACTTTTTTTTTTTTTTTTTACAGATTAGGATTCAAGCAAGCAGGTAACTTCACCTTTGGTTAATATGAATAGTAAACAAAAATCCATCACCCTTTTCTTAATTTGTTAAATTTATGTAAGACAATACTCATAATATTCATTGCTCTAGCATTTTCCTACTTTTTCTTTTATTTTGAAGTAAATTTGGAAAACAGAATGTTTATGTGCCTATAAAATTGTCATATTCTTAAACAATGAGTTTTCACACAGTCATGAACTAGGCCATGTTCTCAGCAAGATAAGATCCTGAACATCCTCAGAGAAGTTTTTTGTTTGTTTTTTTGTTTGTTTTGTTTTTTTGTTTTTTTTTTTGAGACGAAGTCTTGCTCTGTCACCAGGCTGGAGTGCAGTGGCGTGACCTCAGCTCACTGCAACCTCTGCCTCCCGGATTCAAGCGATTCTTCTGCCTCAGCCTCCCGAGTAGCTGGGACTACAGGCATGCGCCATCACGCCCGGCTAATTTTTGTGTTTTTAGTAGAGATGGGGTTTTACCATGTTGGCCAGGATGGTCTCAATCTCTTGACCTTGTGATCCACCTGCCTCTGCCTCCCAAAGTGCTGGGATTACAGGCGTGAGCCGCTGCGCCCAGCCGAGAAGTTTTTAAAGCTAGTGTGCACTTTAAACTTTCATTAAAGGGCTATGCCTATAATGCTTAAAGCACTCAAACATTAGCAGCAATTAAGGAGTAGGAAATTCAAATCATCTGGAAAAATTAGTGCATTGCATTAGGAAATGTGGTATTATAGATATAGCTAAAAGCCCTATTCTTATTTTCCCAACTTATAAAGCAACTGAGGCACAGAAATATGTAAGTAACTTGAAATATTCATGCGGCTAGTGTGGTAGATGTGGACATTTAAACCTAGAGACAACTTAAGCTAGAGATTCCAGCTTAACCACTGTGCTATTTTACAAATCGCAACATCGACATATTCAAGGAACACATATGGCAATATATGTGACTCTAAATGCCATTATTGCATTTTATTGGACAGAGTCCTGATTTCATCTACCTCAGGTGCTAAATTCAAGACTCCAGAGTTGCCTTAATTGACAAATAAATATACTATCATTCAAGAAAAAGGGGACAAAGTCTTCCCAGATCATCTGAATTTGGGGAGAATGTATAAAATAGAAATAATAACTTACAACAAGCAGTTCTATGGACTACCATAAAATTATCATATTTGGTATTTGATTTGGGTTATATAGATGTAGCTAGTGATATAAATATAAAGATAACTAATTTGATAGAGTTTTCAAGTATTTCCAAGAACTTTAGAATTGCTTAAAAGCATGTAAAAGTGGAGAGTAATCACTGTGAAGTTAGTAGTTTCTATGCTCACAGTGTGAATTTGTCAGTATGTTTGTAATTCTTAGAGTGGGTTGACATCTGTAATTTTAACAAGGATGCTAGAAGAAATGAGGTTGTACAGGTAAGCTGAAGTCAAGTTGTAAGGGTAGTAAAACCTGGGTTAAGGCTTCAAACAACATATTTTTATCTTTGACTCCTCCTTCCTTCATCGAATCATTAGGTATGCTTTAATGTCTTTGTCACAAACAATGAAATATTCCTCTCTTCTCATACTCACATTTTTATTGCAGTCACAGATGCTGTGTATCCTCTTTCCAGTCTCCCATCATTATGTACCTAGTTATTATCTACCACTATTTTCTTAACCACAGTGCAGCTACAACTTTTTGCCTCAAAAGCTTTTACTAGATTTCCAATCTTAATTTGCTGGTGAAATTAAATATAAGAAATACCCTAACCCACACGTTAACATCCTCACAACTTAACTTCAGCTTACCTGTACAACCTCATTTCTTCCAGAATCCCTGTAAATACTGTAGATGTCAACTACAAACATATAGACAATTTCACACTGTGACCATAGAAGCTCCTAACTTTGTAATGATTATTCCCCACTTTTTCTCAGTGTCTAAGTAATCCTAAACTTCTTAGAAATACTTTAAAACTCTACCAAATAAATTATCATTGTATCTATATCTATAGTTATATATATATATATCCCAAATCAAATACTAGTCAAATGTGACAATTTCATGGTGGTCTGTAAAACTATTTGTAGCAATATTACAAGTGGATTGTTACTTCTAGTTTATACATTTTCCCCAAATACAGATGATCTGGTAAAACTTCGTCTCATTTTTCTTGAATGAGAATATATTTATTTCTCTATTAGGCATCTTTGAAAAGCCTTGAATCTTGCATCTGAAGTAGAATTCAAAATTGAGAGGACTGTCTTGGCATTCATAAAATATGTGGAACAGGAGGAGGTTGTTAAGGGGGAACAGAGGATGAATTCAGCTATTTGTGTTTGTTGATTTAAGGCTGTGGTGAGATAGTGAGGTGATAATATTCCCTCCATGAGCAAGGACAAATCCTGTTGTGAAGTTCTGGAGGAAGCCATTGATTGGAGAGGTACATTCGGATGGCATGCATGGAGGGAGGGCACAGCTGAAGTCTCAGTAGCAAATGAAATTGCTAAAAAGGAAGACTGGAGAACAAAATGTATAAAGGTAGAAACTTTGAGAAAACTGTAGAAGTAGAGGAGTCATGGCAAAGAAAATGGATCAGCCTAAGAAGCACTGGAGTGATAAGAAATAGCACAGGAGAGCCAAAGGATGAAATATGATGAAAAGGAGTGGTTAGTTCCTTAGAGAGGCAATGGAAAAATGCTAGTTATTTTGACAGTCATGGGTGACAGTTCAGAACCTCATTTTTATAGAATAGTAGGGACAGTATCTCAAAAGGTTAAGAAATATATGCTTAATGGGAGGAAAAAAGCAGCCTGTATTAGTCCATTTTCACACTGCTGATAAATACATACCCAAGACTGGGGAATTTACAAAGGAAAGTGGTTTAATTGGACTCACAGTTCCACATGGCTGGGGAGGCCTCACAATCATAGCAGAAAGCAAGGAGGAGCAAGTCACAGCTTACGTGGATGGCAGCAGGCAAAAAGAAGAGCTAGTGCAGGGGAACTCCCATTTTTAAAACTATCAGATTTCATGAGACTCATTCACTTTCACAAGAACAGTGCAGAAAAGACGAGCCCACATAATTCAATCACCTCCCACCAGGTTTCTCCCATGACATGTGGGAAGTGTGAGAGCTACAATTCAAGATGACATTTTGGTGGGGACACAGACACAATCATAACATTCCACCCCTAGCCTCTGCCTAATCTCACGTCCTCCCATTTCAAAACCTTCCCAACAGTCCCCCAATGTCTTAATTCATTTCACCATTAACTCAGAAGTCCACAGTCCAAAGTCTCATCCCAGACAAGGCAAGTCCCTTCTGCCTATGAGCCTGTAAAATCAAAACCAAGTTAGTTACTTCCTAGATACAATGGGGGTACAGGCATTAGATAAATACAGCCATTCCAAAGTGGAGAAATTGGCCAAAACAAAGGAACTACAGGCTTCATGCAAGTCTGAAATCCAACATGGCAGACAAATCTTAAAGCTCCAAAAATGATCTCCTTTGACTCCAGGTCTCACATCCAGGTCACGCTGATGCAAGAGGTGGGTTCCCATGGTCTTGGGCAGCTCCGCCCCTGTGACTTTACAGGGTACAGCCTGCCTTCCAGCTGCTTTCACAGGCTGACATTGAGTGTCTGTGGCTTTTCCAGGTGCATGGTGCAAGCTGTCAGTGGATCTACTATTCTGGAGTCTGGAGGATGGTGGCCGCCTTCTCACAGCTCCACTAGGCAGTGCCCTAGGATGGACTCTGTGTAGGGGTTCCAACCCCACATTTCCCTTCCACACTGCCCTAGCAGAGGTTCTCCATGAGAGCCGTGCCCCTGCAGCAAACTTTTGCCTGGGCATCCAGGCGTTTCCATACATCTTCTGAAATCTAGGTGGAAGTTCCCAAACCCCAAATCTTGACTTCTGTGAACTCACAGGCTCAACACCATGTTGAAGCTGCCAAGGCTTGAGGCTTGCACTTTCTGAAGCCATGGCCCAAGCTCTACTCCACATTTGCCCCTTTCAGACACAGCTTGAGTGGTTGGCACACAGAGCACCAAGTCCTTAGGCTGCACACAGCACAGGGACCCTGGGCCCAGCACACAAAACCACTTTTTCCTCCTAGGCCTACGGCCCTGTGATGGGAGGGGCTGCCATGAAGACCTCTGACGTGCCCCGAAGACATTTTTCCTATTGTCTTGGGGATTAGCATTCAGCTCCTGGTTACTTATGCAAATTTCTGCAGCAGGCATGAATTTCTCCTCAGAAAATGGGATTTTCTTTTCTATTGCATTGTCAGGCTGCAAATTTTCCAAACTTCTATGCTCTGCTTCCCTTAAAAAACTGAATGCCTTTAATAGCACCTAAGTCACCTCTTGAATGCTTTGGTGCTTAGAAATTTCATCTGCCAGATACCCTAAATCATCTCTCTCAAGTTCAAAGTTTCACAAATCTGTAGGACAGGGGCAAAATGCTGCCAGCCTCTTTGTTAAAACATAACAAGAGTCACCTTTGCTCCAGTTGCAACAAGTTCCTCATTTCCATCTGAGACCATCTCAGCCTGGACTTTATTGACCATATTACTATCAGCATTGTGGGCAAAGCCATTCAACAAGTCTCTAGGAAGTTCCAAACTTTTGCACATTTTCCTGTCTTCTTCTGAGCTCTCCAAACTGTTCCAACCTCTGCCTATTACCCAATTCCAAAGTCACTTCCCCATTTTTGGGTATCTTCTCAGCAACACCCCACTCTACAAGTATCACATTACTGTATTAGTCCATTTTCATGCTGCTGATAAAGACATACCCAAAACTGGATAATTTACAAAAGAAAAAGGTTTAATAGGACTCATAGTTCCACATGGCTGGGGAGGCCTCACAATCATGGTGGAAGGCAAGGAGAAATAAGTCACATCTTACATGGATGACAGCAGGCAAGGAAGATAAGCTTGTGCAGGAAAACTCCTGTTTTTAAAACCATGAGATCTCATGAGCCTCATTCACTATCACAAGAACAGCACAGGAAAAACCCACCCCCATAATTCAATAACCTCCCACGGGGTCCCTCCCACACCACATGGGGATTATGGGAGTTACAGTTCAAGATGAAATTTGGGTGGAGACACAGCCAAACTATATCACAGCCCTTGTTGTTTGTTCTGTCAAGAAGTTTGGTAGTAGAGTAAGACAGAGGGGGTGTTTCGAGGAGAAACAGAGTTGAGAAAAAGTGCCTTACTTATTTTGTTTTTATTTATTGGTAGAATGTGTGGGTTTGTTTATATGGTCAGGTCTATCTGTAGGATTGATCTTGCATATTTTTATGAAAATTTTTGAAATAAAAACAAAAATAGTTGAGAATGAGAGTTTGATAAGGGAATGCATAATTAATAGAACACATTTCTGAAACACAAGGAAGAAGCTGAGGTACCTGAGCATGGAATCAGAAGACCTTTTCCTCAAACTTCACAGCAGAGGCAGAAAAAACAATTCATCTGGTTTCATCTCCTCTGCATTTAGAGTTCTTGATTTAGGCTGTGAGTATTTTAAGGAAGGAAGGGACAATGAATAATGTTTGTGATTGTTTCACTGTAGACATTTCTTGAACGAAGTAAGCATAGTTCTAGACTTTTGCTGCATGATCATTCATTGACTTTCTCATTCATTTGACAAATTTTATTGAGCCTGTAGTGTGAGTTACACAGTGTACTAGAAAGAAAACATGTTGTCACTACATTTAAGGCGGTTCATAGTCTTCTATTTTAAAATAACCAGCCATTATAATAGAAAGAAAATTCTGACATGTGAATGAAGACATTATGTTATGATCTGTGGAAGTTCTTTGTACTCATAAAATGCCATGCATTTAAGACAGTATCTCTAGGGAGGAAATTGGTTTGATGGGTTTGGAGGAAGACCACTGGATTAGGTGAAAAGTTTTATCAATGACCTTAAAAGATAGTGGTTTTCATAAAATAGCATCTCACTTTTCATCTTGTTAGTTCTGTGTTACCACCATTCCTGCTGATATTGTTGAATAAATTCTAATACATTAGCAAGCTCATAAAGCTAATTATAGTGGAACAAATATGTTTTTGAGGTAGTTCCATAATGTGTAAGGTGAGTCTAACTCAGTAGTCGAATCCTGGAGTTTTATTACACAATTAATACATACTGGGGCCTGTCTTATTGGACCATCAATATATGGCTTGTATGTACTGGGAGACAGTAAGCCAAATGCCATCTACTTTCTATTATAGAGCATCTGAGTGAATGATCCTCTGTTGAAGCAAAAACAAAGACACAACATAAACAAACAGAAAAACACACTCAGAAGTATCTTAATGCAATGAGAAATCTCTGTTGTGGCGAAATAATTTAATATTTTCAGATATTTCTCTAGGACTCAATAATTTTTACTTAAGATAGATGGATAGATAGATAGGTAGATGGGTAGATGGATAGACAGATAGGTAGGTGGATGGATAGATAGATAGATAGATAGATAGATAGATAGATAGATAGATAAATAGACGAATTATTCCAGGAGTAACTCAATAGGAAACATAAAATGTTAAAGCTGGTAGGTTCTTAAACAGAAATCTGTCTAGTTTCTTCATTTATAGGTGAAAAACTGAGGCAAGGTATTGGTAGAAGAAATGAGCTGGATTCCCTTTATCTTGACTCTTAGATTTTTTTCAATAATACTTAGTTCTTAGTTTTTCTTAAGTGTTTTTTAATTAAAATTTTTTTCGATATCATAGTATTCAGTCATATAACCACCTTTGTACTTATTTATGTGTTACTCATCTCTAGGATGGTAATTTCCATTCTTTTTGTTTTTAAAGATGGGGTCTTGCTATGTTGCCCAGGCTGGTCAGCTCCTGGACTCAAGCAATCCTCCTGCCTCAGCCTTCTGAGCAGCTGAGATTATAGGCATGTACCACCACTCCTGGCTAGGATGGTGATTTTCTTCATAAATAGGAGCTTCACTTTGCTTCTTGTGTCCCCAGTACAAGTATAATTCCTAAAACATGGTAGATTAATTTTAAATATTAATATAAATGAATGAATGAACCATCTTTTCTAAATTCTCCAGTTAAAATTCCATCCAGTCTTACTGAGTGAAGACTTATTGGAAAGAAAAGGCTCTTTCTATTCTGTTAGATTCTCAGGCCTACAAGGTCTCAGTAGATAATGGGTGACCCAGGGCTCAGTGCTTTTGTATATGGTAAGCTATCCCTAGTATTTCTGGGACATTTCTGAGGGACATACTCCCATGTGGGGTACAATGGAAGTTAACAGTAGACATTCAGATTACTCAGAGTGGGAGAGGTGAGAGAACACGTGTGGAGTATGGAATGGACCTAAGCCTAGATTAAAATCCCACCAAAATAAGCTGCATGTTTCTTAATTATGCTACATCTAGGACTCTGACCTGAAGAAATGGGGAATGTGATTTCATGATGTGCCATCTGCTCCCTTTCCCACCCCCATTTCTACAAATGTCTTGAATTGAACTGCAGGTCGTCCTTTTAGGAAGAGACAGATAATGACATTTTACTCTACTGAGGAGAAAATCGAGATATGGAAAGATTAAATCATTTGCTCAAGGGTAAAATGAATTATGCATGCATGCTTACAGTATTCACTCCAGTGTGTCTGCTTCTCTGCCTTCCCTGTGTGTCACTGAATTCACACCAAAGTATTACTCAGCCCTCTATGTGTTACTAAATTAAATGGAAGTATTTCCTTTAATTGCCATGTGAATAGTGGACAAGCATTGTGTTTATATCTAAATAAATCAAGGAATCATGGTAGTAAATATCTCCTTGATGTATCAATAGTTAAAACATTTTTAAAGCCTTGTTTTAGTGAATACCTTTTTTTTAATTGTGTTATGAATGCACAAGAAAATAAAATGTTAAACTGCCCATGATGCTTAATAATAGTCCAAGGTGGTTGTCTTGAAAAGTATATAAAAGATGCCTCTCCTAAATGTATTCCTTTATCTGATTAAATGATTAAAGAGCCACTGTTTGAAATGATGAACTTTCCAGACAGTTAAATATATTCTTGCCTTAAAAAAATACTGCAATGAGAAGCTTGTTTAAAAGATATTTTGGGATTGTATTCTAAGATGACAACTGATGAATAGCTTTGTTTTGCTATTTTTTTGGTCAGAAAGATTGTTTATACATTACTTAGATCTCTCAATGCATTTTTCTCACATCTTAAAGATGATATGGTTTTTTATATTATTTACCAAATGCAAATTAGACACAAAGGGAAACCAGACATTTTGATCAAGTGCTCAATTCTTCAGATAAATGTTTCCAACAATGATGGCTACCAGCTATATTAAAAATGTAGCTTTAAAGACTGGCTTATTACAATGAGAAGTTTTTAAAAAGCTGTATTCTATTATTTTACACACTTAAAAATTTGTTTTCATTATCAGAAGATAAAAATATATTATATTTTAAAATGTATTGTATTATTATTTTGGAAGGCTGAGGCAGGCAGATCACCTGAGGGCAGGAGTTTGAGACCAGCCTGGCCAACATGGCAAAACCCTGTCTCTACTAAAAATACAAAAATTAGCCAGGTGTGGTGGCATGCGCCTGTAGTCCCACCTACTCAGGAAGCTGAGTGGGGAGAATCACTTGAACCGGGGAGGCAGAGGTTGCAGTGAACCAAGATCACATCACTGCACTCTAGCCTGGGCGACAGAGTGAAACTCCATTTCAAAAAATAAATAAATTAATTAAATTAAATTAAAATAGAATGTACTATATTTTGAAATTCATCTACTTTCACCTTTTCCTCACAGTCCAATGAATGGAGATCAGTAAGAAACAAATATATTCGTTTTCCCTCTTCTGAGCATTTACTCTTGCCACCTATTTTGTTAATGGTAGGGTATGATTTCTGCAGCTGTATTACCTGGGTTCAGATTATAGAGTCTCCAATTACTAGCTGTGAGACTTGGAGCATGTTACTTAACCCCTGCTTCCTTTTCCTGAAAAATAGTGATAATTACAGTATCTAATGTAGTATGACAATTTAGTTAGCTCACAAGGGTAAAGACCCTAGAGGAATAGTTGGCACACAGTAAGCATGAACTCAATAGTAGCCATTAACAACCCAAATCCTCATTTCACACTTATGTGGTAGGTGTTATAATCTCTGACAGACAGTGAACCTTACAGAAGTCAAATCACTTTCCCAAAAGTTGCACCTTAAAGAGAGCAGAGATATGATTCAGTCCCACTTCAGATAAACAGACTCCCCTTTCCACTCATTTCAAACTGGTCTTCAAATAAATGTTAACGTTTAGACATCTTCAAGTTATTTATTTCATAAGGAGTAATAATATACAGCAATATTATTTTTTCTTTCTACTGCATATGTCATCTTTCTGAATGCTAAATTGTCTTACTTCCCCATTGCTTTTTGCATTAAATAATAACAACAATGTAATGCCATTTTCCCCTGAACTTCTAAGAGAGGGAACATTTGAAGTAAGTAATAGTCCTTTTGGAATGTTGGCCTGCATTTACTGAAGTATGAACAATTACCTTCCAATTTGGAATGCTTGTTGATTTTCCTAGCTAATTTTTCTTCTATTTTTGATGAATATTTTATTCAATCTTTATGTGAATTGATTTACCTCCTATTGAGTTTAATGAGATGTGAACTATTTTATTTTCTGACTATTACAAAATTAAATAGGATATACCAACATTAAAAATAAACTATAATTACCTGCGATAGATTTCTTTTTAAACAAAACTCATAAGGTGTTGCAAAGCAATTTTCTAGACATAAGGTATGTAGAGGGTGAAGGGTTGCATATGAGCTGAGAAACCAACTGGAGACTCCATAACCTTCTAAAATCCATCAGATATGTAGGATATAGCCAATGGTTTTATGTACAGCTCATTGTCAATTTTCCTTGGACTATAGATAATTTTTTGATCTATTGTATAAGCTTTGCGATAACTACCATATAATGAAAAAAGAAAAAAATTCTTTTGCGTAGGGGGTAGTGTTATATCTTTTCTTTTAAATTAATGACGGTATTTTTTTTCTTTGAATTACTCTCTGTATTACTCCATATAGTAGTAGTAGTAGATAGGTTTGCACCTAATTTTAATTCATATTGGTTAGTCACCTTTCTGTCTCTACTGAACTTTATACACATCCTGGGATAAAATGTTTGACAAATTTAATCCCATATTGACTCTTTGAGAAACCAGGCTTCCATGTGTGTCTGTCAGTCATGTAAAAATCATGGGACAAGTTAGGCAAAACAAGAGACTGCAGAGTAACAGTGTGTCCTTCATCTGAATATAAACATTAGCAGAGGTCACGTTACTAGAAACTTGTTTGAAAATGTATTATATTTTACTAATACAAAATCAGCGGTATGCAAAATGTTAGGCATCATTTAGGTATGAGTATCATCCTATCTTAAAGTACTGCTTATGCCAATGCTAACTACTTGTCCCTGGTCAAGGACTATTGTGTAGTGGTGGGAACATAGTGTATTATGATGAACAGGGAACTCTGTTGTGGCTTTAGCCTCTCGTATAAATTTACATAACTCATTTAAACTATCTGAGGCTCTTCATAAATAAAATTATGACAGAGCAGATGACTTCATGTTCCTCCTGCGATGCAATTCTCTGATACTGTGACTATGAAAAATCTAACCATTTAATAGATAAATGTGTTCTTTCATAAGTGTGATTCATAGTTCATTGATACCACTGTGAGCTCAAATGTAATACAGTAATATACTATAATAAAATATATTTATCTGAGGTAATGTTTTCTCTGTATTGTATTTTCTTTAATTATATTTATTACATATATACACATGATTTCATATGAAAGTAATATTTGCTGTAGAAAATTCAAATAATACAGAAAAATATAGAGAGAAGAGTGTGAAATATCCTCAAGAAGTCTCACCATTCATAGGCAGCCATCAGAAATAGTTTGGTGGACATCCTTCCAAGCATCAATTCTTTCATTAATACATACTAAGTGACATAAAATTTTACATAAACTTCCATTTATTCATATATATCTTACTATATATGTGTGTATGTATGTGTGTGATTATGGGTATATACGGATGTTGGATTTAACAAAACAGGACATCTCTTTATGGTAATGACTATATGTATTGATGCTGACATTCAATAACATACAATAACTACCCATAGTGATTCTGAAAGGTCCCTGGGGCACAAGTTCTCTCTCTTCTTAAAAATCACTGTGTTGTGATTTCTGGGTTATGCTTATATCTTCCTAACCATACAATTAGAAACATGTTTACATTTAGCTTCTTCTAGTACTTGCCTTGTGGGTTTCTTTTGGGGAGGGTAGTATTTTATTTTTACTCTATCTGCAATTTAGTGTAAAGAATGAGAGACATTCATTCCAAGTGATTAGTGAATTACCTCTATCCTTTTCGTTGAAACAAAAATTTTTCTTGCTGATTTTAAATGTTTTTGTGAAGTCCACATTTAACTAATTTTTTATTTTTACTTGGGTTATTTCTAAATTATTTTTTCCAACTATATCCTTCAATTTTGTTTTGTTGTTGTTTTTGTTTTTTGAGACACTTTCTCACTCTGTCACCCAGGCTAGAGTGCAGTGGCACAATCATGATCCACTGCAGCTTCAACCTCCCAGGGCTCAAGTATCCTCCCACCTCAGCCTCCTGCGTAGCTGGGACCACAGACATGATACCACATCTGGCTAATTTTTTTTTTTAATTTTACTTTCTGTAGAGATGAAGTCTTGCCATGTTGCCCAGGCTGTTCTCAAACCCCTGAGCTCAAGCAATCCTCCTGCTTCAGCCTCCCAAAGTGCTGGGATTACAGAAATGAGCCACACACCTGACTTACTTATCTTTCAAACTTTTATGTATTTTATACCATCGTGTTTTATTTAGTTTCATAATATGGTTTTATATCCGATTGATCAAGACCACTGTCCACATGCCCATTACTTTTTTTGTCCATTTTCCTCGAAGTTTGCACAAGCTGATTTTTCTGACAAATTTTAGAACATTTCATCAAATCTAACCTCCCAAGAATCATGACAGGATTCTTCTGTAATGAAAGTATAAATTAAATTAATGAAGATAAACAATTATTTCAATAATAAATCATTCATCTACATGAATAAAGTTTCTTTTATTGTTTAAGTCTTTGATGTGTATTTCAATAGGCATACATAACTAGGTCATATTGATTTATGATTATGTTTATTCCTTGATTTTGATACTTTTTTGAGGAACATTTGACACAATTTTTAACTCATATTTTACAAATGCTTACTTTTCTGAAGACATTCATAGCCAAACAGTTTAAAGAGTGATCTTATACTTTCAAAATCTTGAATTTTCCAGGTAAACAACTAAGACAGTTGAAACTATTAATAATGTTATCCCCTTCTTTCTATATTTATGTTAACTTATGAGGACCAGACCCCGGTTTCTTTTGATAATATTATCCCCTTGACCTTCTTGGGTCAGATACCTAGAAGATGCTTGATAAATATCTGGGGATATATTAAAATTTTGATCTAGTAATACTGGCTTAGGATTTAAACCAAAGAGGGAGCACCCTTCTATTGCATCTGCTTTCATAGGTTTGAAGAATTTTTCTGTTTGAGTCGAAGTCATAACATATTCATGTTAAATGTTAAGAAACTATAAATTCATTTCTTATATTCTAAGAGTCTTATTATAAAACATTTAAAATGTTGTCAAATACAGTCTTGATGTCACTTGTTTTTTTTTTCTTTTTCATTAGTAGTATGGAAAATCAGAGTGTTTCCTGTTTATGTGGGGCTTAAAACATACAATTTGAGGAACCTCTTTAAGCAAAGAATATAAAATTATGAATCTAAAGTTGAGACTAAAAGTAAGTGGTTGGCGCGGTGGCTCACGCCTGTAATCCCAGCACTTTGGGAGGCCGAGGCGGGCGGATCACGAGGTCAGGAGATCGAGACCATCCTGGCTAACACGGTGAAACCCTGTCTCTACTAAAAATACAAAAAATTAGCCGGGCGTGGTAGCGGGCGCCTGTAGTCCCAGCTACTCGGGAGGCTGAGGCAGGAGAATGGCGTGAACCCGGGAGGCGGAGCTTGCAGTGAGCCGAGATCGCGCCACTGCACTCCAGCCTGGGCAACAGAGCGAGACTCCGTCTCAAAAAAAAAAAAAAAAAAAAAAAAAAAAAAAAAGTAAGTGGTTATTTAGATTGGAAAATAAAAGCTGCCATGGAATGCCCCAATAGGAGTAAAATATTCTGAATCTAAGGCTTCATCAGTTTCAGAATAAGTCCACATCTTGTGTTGAATTATAAAAATTTCTAATATTGAACTAATCTTGTATTTCAGAGGCAAATCCTATTTGGTCATGGCATACTATTCATTAAATATCTTGTTGACCCCTAATTGTTAGTAATACGTTTATATTTGTTGTATCACAATTAATGTTAAATTATTTTATAACATATTGTTCACCAATTATAAAGCTTTAAAACCACTGACATGTTGGTTTTGTAAAAGCAAATTGGAAATTTCCTTTTCTTTCTATACATTTTCTATATTCTAGTGGAGCTTTAATATTCTTGCTTACATTTGTAAAAATCTTCTATATTCTTAAAATGATCAATAACAATCTAGCTAGATCTGCTAAGGGATGTTCATAAATACAGTATCATTTTGCTTTGAAAGAAGTCATGCTTTTAGCTCATCAGGCTGATACTGATAGAGCGTAGATAAAGATGTTTCCAGGTACTCTCAAGTGGGTTTATTTGTAGCCTTCAAATCCACCTATGTTATTGCTATTTGAATATGATTGCTAATCACAGATTTACAAGAAATGGACCCAATTCTCTACACATTTATACCCGTCTCCTTCACTTTGCACACTACTCTGTCTTTAAGACATCAACATAATCACTTGTGACCTGCTTCATTAGTCACCTCTTTAGACTTCTCAGGTTTTAGGTGTATCTTGTCAGCATAGTGGTGCCAGCACAGACAGGATAATGACAAATGCTACTTTTATAAGGTTGGCAGGTAGCAAACTACTTGTAGCATATGGAAAACATACTTTTATTTTTCATGCACTTGTGATGTTCCCATTGCTGATGCTTATGGGGCATAATTAAAGAGAAGAATTAGTATGAACTTATCATAAACTAGCTTCAGTGCATCTGAAAGTCAGAGAACTGATTTTTATTCAATGCTCCATTTTATAATAATAGATTTGTCTTTCTCCGAAATTGAGTCATCTTTTCAGATGAAGAACTTATGAATTTAAAGCATTAAACTCAATATAAAAATAAGTGTAACAAATACATTACAAAGTACCCAAAGTGTCTGGTAACACTAAGGAAATTGTATATTTATAATGTAGTATTATGGGTGGCTGAAATTCATAAATGGATTGAATTAAACTGGTATACTATTTCTTATGTGTGCTTACTAAGTGCATTTTTCTTACTGTATTTGACTTTGTAATATGTCTTTTGAAAAACTAACACAATCTTAGAAGTTTGCTTTATTTAAAAATATTGACTATGTATAAGCTTCACATTTTCTGCAGATTTTGCTCATGATTTTAGGAATATCATGATTTAAATACCAAGATAAGTCAATGATGAGAGGTTCTCATGGTCAGCAGTAATAAAAACAGTATCTTTTTTGAGTTAAAATTAAAATTAATATGATTCATTTTATAAATTATTTATTAAATTTATATACATTTGATAGTGATCAGTCTTGTTTTATGCAATTGATATATTCCCCCAAATATTTTTGTTCATTATATGTAAAAATACTATACCTTTAACATATAACACTCTGATCAAACATTAAGAAATCTTAAAAATCGTAACTAAACTCTTAAAATTCAAACATCAATCCCTCATTTTATCAGTTTTATGCTTATAGAATTTCATGTTAAGTTTTTTTAAGCAAGATACACTTTTAATATGGCAACAACAACAAAACTTTATCCATAATTCAAATACCCATTTTCCTTTGCAGAGTACTTCAGTATAGCTTTTTAAAATAGCCACTTAGGAACTCATTTTAATTAAAGTAATCATATTTGCTACCTAAATTTGTTGTCCTATTGCTACTCTGCCATTTCAGTGTATTAAAAGGAAAACAGTACAATGATGCCAACTGTAAGTCTGATTTTTTTTTTACTTTGCCCAGGAAAATCATTTCCTTTGAAGCCTATATAAAAATTATAAAGAAAAAAGGGTGGGTTATGTAAGTATGAATCTATTCTCAGCTTTCTGTGGCTGTGTCTACAATAATAATCGTTTACAGCATAACCAGGGGAGGAATGACTAACTTCTCTTCTTATCTACAAGATAATGAATAGCCTATTTAACTTTTTTTAAAAAAAATCAATGTTTGCGTTGATTTTTGTATGGTTACAATAGCAGCCAAAGAGAAAAGTTGCATGGTAAATTTGAAATTGCTGACTGATTTTTATAAATATTGAAGTTCAAGGAGTGCTTTACCATTAATGGTCATATTTATTGGGGAAAACAGTATTGGGGATTGACATCTGAACTGAGCTCATAGAACATGTAGCATAGAAATAGAAGGAGACAAGGAAAATGACATTATTCCCATGGTGCAAGGTGATGTTTAGCAGGGTGAACTTACATCTCTCATTACATCTAGCGGGTAGAAGAGTTGAACAAAAAGTGCCAGTCCTTGGCAGGCTTTTTGAAAAATCATACTACAAGATACAAAAATTAGAACAAAAACTAGTAAATGTTTTGTTCAAAATCACAAAGAATTATTTTTTACAGAGCAGTGTGTCTCTCCTGGTCTTTTATATTATTAATGTACCATGCCACATTTTTAACTGTTAGAAAGAAGGAATAAAAGAAAATGTCCCATAGTCTGTCACTTTAGACGCTTTAACAGTGTTTGACAAAATGTAGGTAAATTCTTCTAAGAACATTATCATTAACAGTTGATTATGGTGTTCATAAGAGTGGTGATATTAAGAATTTATATTTTAAAATTTAGTCATATCTGTATGTAATCCCAAGTTGCTGACTGAACTTAAATCTTTTAAAGGATAATTACAATTAAAGTGAAAATATTTTCTGCACTCATGCTTTTTTCTAGATGTTTATATGTTGTTAAATATTCTTTAAAATATTTTAACTTTTAGAAATTACCAACTCTAAATATTCTCTTATAAATATCTATTTTGGTCAATTAACTAGAAATCAACTAATAACAAAATGGTCTTGATTTTTTAAATACAAGAGATGTACTTGGCAAAAAAGTTTTATTGCACCGAGCCCTACATATTTGAAACATTAATTTTAGATGCCTCTATGGCAACATAATGTATTCTTGTAGTCTTCCAAGATGTGCCACACTTTGGAATCTTTGCTAAATGTCACAAACTGAGAGACATATCATAAACAAAATAAAGAATGACCACAACGGTTCAAAAAGTTGCCAATACTAACAGTTCCACCAAACGTCTATTATTCAACATACATGATTTGAATTTCAAATAGTTCTGTAACTAATTTTGACATGAAATTCTAAACAATTCTGAGTATTGCCAGTTGCCTCCAGTAGAGGCAAGGCGATATCACAATTCAACTCTATAAATAAATATTGCAAGTCTTTTATAATTTATAATATTATGGTGGCCAGGTGGCAAGTTGGGGATCATACACTACCACATCACTACCATAATTTTAAACAACCACTTGGTTTCAGGTTTACCCATCACTCTAGCTGCTTTGTGATGAAAGAATGGTATGTTTAGAATCTTCCCTCTTTCTGGATTCTCATCCTCAGGACTTATTTCTCTCCTAAAAGCAAGAAGCAAAGGAACTATTTCTGGACCCTCTAGCAACAACATTTTAATTTACTCAGCTGTGTATCAGGATCTTGAGGCATTCCTTTTGGGGTACTTCGTCAAGTGTACAGCTTCTTCTTTAAGCATGGATAAATACCAAAGCCACTTTCTGAATGCTGCAGAGACTTCACCTCTAGGGACTGTTGTTGCAACATGTTCAGGCTTTTGCAGTGGTAGTAATAGAAATATTGCTAATAAAATAGTAGTAGCTCGTTTTACTATATATTAACTACTATGCTGTGCACCTTGCTCAGATTATCTCATTTAATCCTTAAAACAACCTATGCTGTAGGTGGTATTACATCTATTTGGCAACTGGGCATAAACTGAATGTTAAAAATCTGTAAGTCACAAGTTTGGAAACAGTCAAATTGAGAATATAAGGCAGGTCTCTCCCAGGTAAAAACTGACTATAGATCATAAACTTCATATTTAGTAACTGTGTTTGTCAGAGGTTGAAAAGTTCTTTATTAAGAACTTCCTTCCTAATTAGGAGCTATCGTCCAGCAAAAGCATCAGGGGTAATATATGTTGCAGTGTAACAGTGTGGCCCAAGCTGAAATTCAAAACCAAATCTGGGAAAACGGAAAGGTTGATGATCTTTCCTAGGGTCTGTGTGCATAAATGTAAATGTATGGATAATATTCCAAGGAGATTTCTAAAGAAAATGAGAACTGTTTTACACAGAGGCCTAAAATACTAGAGAGAAAAGTGAACAGCACAAGGCTTAAAATATTATCATAAAGCCAGAAGTTGACAGGTAAATTTTATAATAGGTTTTATGAGACTCAGTACAGAATAAACTTTAGGATTCAGGTTCACAGGGAAGTAAAATTGCAGGGAATAATATCACCATTCTTCCATACAGAACCCAACAGTGCCCTGGCTCCTGGAATGCCAGGAAATTGAAGAAGCTGGAAAGGCACCTTTGGTATTTGCAAAAGGCGTTAGATAAAAAAAAAAAAAAGAGGCATGAATAAAATTAAGAAACAAAATTTCTTATGTAGCTCATCTTATTCAATACTCACGCTTGAGCACAAAAGGAATGCCACCTGGACACATGAAGGAGTAACCGACAAAGGCTTTGAAGTAGGTGGGGGTTGGGGTAGCATGTCCTTAAGTCAAGCAGATAGAAGGTAAGGGTTAGTAATTCAATAATTTGGACACAAGTGTTACTGTTGATAGAATTTGAATCCACTGATAACTGACCCCTGACATGCTGGGACTTGCACACCACTTGTGTTCAAACCCTGAAAGACTAGACTACCTGAAATTCCCTCTATGCTGTAAATATCCCCAGCTTCATGGTTTGTACAGAGCCTTCTCAACCTGAAACTCCCTCCCAGGTCTACCTTTGAGGTGTTATCACTTTCTTTTTTCAAAACCCAATACGTTTTCCAATTTATTTAACTGTTTGACTGTTTTTCTGCTTCTCCCACCTCTGTACCCAACACAATGGACAATATTGTTATTGATAATAACAATATTGAACAAACTTTGAAAATCAACCCACTAATACAAAAAAAAATCACAGAAAGTCATGTTGCCTCCTGGATTGCGAAAAGAGGGCTAGAAGAAGGTGGCCTCTAAAATCAGTGCCACTTATTGGGCTACATTGAGCATCTTCAGGGTGTTACTCTTTCCTTATTTTACTATCCAAGAGCTCCAGAATCCCTTTATTCCCCATCCCAAGGCCACTTAAAAAATTACTAAGTGAACAATTACTAAAAATTGCTACTAGAATGAATATATTTAAAAATATGCTTAAATTTCAGTATTGTCCTATACAAAACCATTTCTCTTCGTAGGAAGAGAACTATTTCATTGGGCTACATTGAGCATCTTCAGGGTGTTACTCTTTCCTTATTTTACTATCCAAGAGCTCCAGAATCCCTTTATTCCCCATCCCAAGGCCACTTAAAAAATTACTAAGTGAACAATTACTAAAAATTGCTACTAGAATGAATATATTTAAAAATATGCTTAAATTTCAGTATTGTCCTATACAAAACCATTTCTCTTCGTAGGAAGAGAACTATTTCAAGAACCTCACTATTTCAAGAACCTTATTTTGCCATTACTTCTTTGTTAGCATCTTCACATGCACAGTGAGTCTGGAAAGATTTCCAGCCTCTTTTCTTCCATTTTGAATTCTCAGAGGGCAATATTTTGCTTGATTTTAAAAGATACATGAGTGAAGAAAAATGAGTTCTGTCAGATTCCTCTGCCTTGGACTGAGTCATATATTTTCCCTAAATCCATACACCAGACAAAACAGAAGGATAGACTGATTTGTCATTTTCTCTTCTAGGATGTTTAATTTCAGACAGTTTTTTTCAAGGTCTGAAAAACAGTTACCTTCTGTTTTAAAATTATAATCCAGTAATCAAGCCTATGTAGGTTCTGGGTAAAATGCTAAGATTTGAATTATATTAGGGTGCCTTGCCATTTGGATAGGTTTCCAATTTCTGAATTCTCTTGTTCCTCACAGTTGTTGATTAAAATGGGTCATGATTTCTATCCTTGCTTATCCCATTGTAAACACACAACTTTAATATCAAAAGGAGTCTGTGTGGATGGTTTCTATGATAATTTCTAATTCACACATTGTTTGATTTCATTTTATTTGGAATGTCAGTTTTAAACCTTTAAGTTCTGAGCCTAAATGAAATTTTTATATGAGATGCCTTATTCATCTTTGACCTAAATCGCATAGATAGTTTATATAAGTAGCACCGGATTTTTCATTACCATCACATTCCTGCAAAATACTTCTCCTAGGTCTGAAAATGATCTTCAAATCATTTACTCGTCTCTTCACAACCATGGAAACCACATTGATAATGTCAGCAGTCTTAGTTTGAAATGCCTGTACAGCTTTTGTCTAAAATAAAACTTTCTAAGCTTTTGTATTAGAGAAAATCATAATGTAAATTAATGATGTTTCTCTCTGTATTAAAATATCTGCGTTTAATACCCTACTTCAATATAGTTTAACTTCACTTTTTTTTGGCCTCCCTTTGCACGTCAATAAAACCTGAAATGCTTCAGGGAAAGAAAAAATAAAAAGAAACAAACAAAGATTGAAAATAAAGGAAGTCTTCCCAACACAAGGGATTTGGTATTTTTCATGCAGTTTGACAGTAAAAGAATGAAGTATTTTGAACATCTTTTAATAACTAACTATGAAAACTATATCATGGTCTCAAAGAGTTTACAATCTGTTTTATTTTTAGTTACTGACTTCCTGTTTCCATTCAAAGGAGTTTGCATTTGGGCCACCATTATTTTTTCTGCCTCTCAGACATACGTAAATGTGACCTAGCAAAGTTGTTTTGATATATTAGTTATTCTGTTTGTCCATACCATTAGCAGGCTACACCCAATGTATTCAGAGAGAACCCCGATGCCTGTAAGAATCTAGGAAAATATTTGTAAGGGCCCTATTTCACTCTTTAGAAAATTATACTGTTGTGTGATATGAACTAAAGAAATAACAGCAAAAGAGTCATTTTGATAAGGTTCTTTGAAACCATTGTTATAGTAAATACAATCAGTTAATTAAAACAGTGTTTTCTCCTCACTGAAAAATTGAATTTTTCTTTCTAGGCCTCAGTTTTCTCATCTATATATTGGGGTAGTAGTGGAACCAAATAATTTTTAGAGGTGGTCTAAACAATTTGTTTTATAAATTTGAAATTATTATTCAAGATTGTTGTTTTTTTCAAGATGTTTTCTTGTTCAAGGGTACACGACTAAACATCATCCATTTTGTCTAAATTTTAAAAGTTTGGGTATAAAGTAAATTTTAAAATCTCCATTCTGTCTGTTGCTCTAGTACGCTTTCATTTTATTTCTAACTTTAAAAAATGTGTGCTCTCTTATTTTCTTGATCAAATCCTGCCAGATGTTTATCTATTATATAAATCTTTTTAAAAGTCAACTTTTAATATTATTAATCCTCACTATTTTGTTTCTTTGTTTTCCTTGTCATTATCATTATTTACATTTTTATCTTTCTTATTCTTCCTTTGTATTGTTTTGGGTTTACTTTGTCATATTTGAAATTTATTTTAAGAACCCTTAACTCACTATTTCTAGTTTCTTTTTTTCATTAAGTAATTAACATTATATACCTTTCCAAAAATACTGTTTTACATGTGTCCCAAATATTTTTATAGGTAGTATTTGATTGTTGTTCAGTTCTAGGCATTTAGAAATTTCAATTATTGTGTCTTATTTGACCCATATATTATTTAAAAGTGTGTTTTGGGGTTTCCAAATTTCTGAACATTGTTGGCAATTTTTTACATTTCTAATTTTACTGATTTTTTTTCTAATTGTAGACTGTAGACTATCAATTATTTTATCTTTTCTCAAATTTTCTTTGGTGTTCCATTATAGTTATTAACTAATTACCTCTTTTGTTCTAGAAAGTCAAAAATACTTTCTAAGATTAATAAATCAAGATGCAGGTGTAAATGTTACAGTAGGAAGAAAAATGAGTGTCATCAGTAAATTAGTTAAAATACGTTTAAAAGAGCGAAGAAATTGCCCTTGTTAACAGTGTGATCAGGTTGAGTCATTAGGGAATCCAGCAGGTAGGGAAGTTTGGATCCAACCCTCTAGTCTGTAATAAAGAGAACTGAGAACTGCTCTCTAGAGAATGAAATGTGAATAATGTTAATTCATCATAACCTTATTCTTAAAGAAGAACCTTCCACAGTGTCTGCCTCTAACTGCCTACCTGCTTTCTCTATGTCAAAATATGAAGGGGGGGTTACCTGCTCATGTGACCTGGGAAAGTATGCACACCTCAGTCAGAGACAGCATTCAAGGAATAGGCCTGTGGGGGACAGATGTATGAGACCATCAAGGAACTCATGCCAATTGCCTATACTAGTCAACATAAATATGGACAAACAAGAAATCTTTTAGTGAGAAAAGTTTTTATATTATAGGTTTTCTTTTTCCTTCTCTATCACAGTGCATGATTAATACTCTAAATTTTGGTTATCTGTTTTCACTTTGTCAAAAATTAGCCTGTTATAAATTCAGAGAAGACTTTATCATATTTCAAAATTTAAATACACACTTTAAAACTTGATGACATAAAAACAATAATAATTATAAAGCTAACAAATTAAATGGTAGAAAATAGATGAGAGTTTGAAAAAAATATTTAGTTTTCTCTTATCTTTCATACTGTAAATTTAATGTGTAATTTTAATAAAATCAAGAAAAATGGATGAAAGTATAAGCCTTAAAATCCTTATGGCAACCACTAGAAATTAAAAAAAAATGATAATAAAGCAAAAGAAATAACAGAATCTAGAGCTGGGAGATGGAAAGAAGGATGAAACAGTGTTTAGTCTCCCAAATTACTTACTTTTCATACTGATAAGTTAATAGATATTGTTAAGAATTGCCAATTCCAGTAGCTGGCACGTGTGTGTGTGTGTGTGTGTGTGTGTGTGTGTGTGTGTGTGTATATACACACACACATATATATACACACACATATATGTGTGTATGTATATATACATATAATTACAACTGTAATATTTACAAATAATAATAAAAATAAAAATGATTACCAATAGAACAATTTAAAATAGAAACTTTTGAAGTGTGAAGATGTGGGGATAGTATGTGTGTGTGTTTGTGTGTGTTTCTAAATTTTTCATTTTATTTATTTATTTATTTATTGAGACAGAGTCTTGGTGTGTTGCCCAGGCTGGAGTGCAGTGGTGTGATCTCGGCTCACTGCAGCCTCCACCTCCTGGGTTCAAGTGATTCTCATGCCTCAGCCTCCCGAGTAGCTGGGATTACAGATGCACACCACCACACCCAACTAATTTTTGTGTGTGTGTGTATTTTTAGTAGAGACGAGGTTTTACCATGTTGGCCAGGCTGGTCTTGAACTCCTGACCTCAGGTGATCCGCCTGCCTCAGCCTCCCAAAGTGCTGGAATTACAGGCGTGAGCCACCACACCCGGCCAATTTTTCATTTTATACCACTCTAGGTAGTTAAAAATATTAAATCATACACATAACTTCCAATAATTTTAAAATGAATCTATATACAGACAGAGGATTACTGTTCAAATCAATAACTAACTACATCTACATGTGCTGATATGGAAAGAGGACTACAATATATTAATAAAGAAAATGGCCTGTAATCCCAGCACTTTGGGAGGCCGAGGCGGGCGGATCACGAGGTCGGGAGATCGAGACCATCCCGGCTAAAACGGTGAAACCCCGTCTTTACTAAAAATACAAAAAATTAGCCGGGCGTAGTGGCGGGCGCCTGTAGTCCCAGCTACTTGGGAGGCTGAGGCAGGAGAATGGCGTGAACCCGGGAGACGGAGCTTGCAGTGAGCCGAGATCCCGCCACTGCACTCCAGCCTGGGCGACAGAGCGAGACTCCGTCTCAAAAAAAAAAAAAAAAAAAAAAAAAGAAAATGAAAACATAATACATATAATTATGTATATTATAGATT
Source organism: Homo sapiens (assembly GCF_000001405.40). Taxonomy (NCBI): domain Eukaryota; kingdom Metazoa; phylum Chordata; class Mammalia; order Primates; family Hominidae; genus Homo; species Homo sapiens. Next base: position 173,862,574 of record NC_000003.12, read on the forward strand.
CCAAATATGTAAAAATAGAGGGTACGCATATATGTTTGTATTAATCAATGCCTAAAAATATCCAGAAAGGGAAACACCAAGCGAATAACTGTGACTATTTAGACAGCATTTTATTTTGTATTTCTTTGTATTGTTTATATAAATTTTTCACTACTTCAATGCATTGATAATATAATAAAATTTTATTAGTAAAAACCATTGATATCCTAGATGATTTGGTTGGCAAGATATCTTACTTAATTTAATTTACTCTGAACTCCCAATATTCAGGTAAGAAGCTACGTGGGTACAGGAATTCTCTGTGCCTTGCTCACTTCTCTAATCTCTGCCTCCAGGCCAGGTTAACCCCTATACCCATTATAAAATCTCTGCAAATAGTTCTGTAGTGAGTTAATGAATGTCAGAAATCACCTTAATATAATAGGTGGTATATAGTAGTTGTGCTAAAATATGTTAAAGCTTTGTTTTGTTAAATAGTCTATGTGAACCAGTAAGAATTAATAGCATTGAATAATAACATTTGAAAACTGTTCAGAGATAGCAATGTGAGCGATGGCTGATAAAAAAAAAAAAACTTTCTTCTATTTTATGTTAAAAATTACCTATTTGTATATATGTTCCTTTTTTAAGTTAAAAAGCTATAAAAAATTAATGTGATTGTTCTGGTTTAACCAGAACATTCTCATTTATGACTTTTATATTTTTCTCCATGACATATACCTGCTGTCTTTGTGGTTCATATACTTAAATCAGAGTTCTCTAAAATGGATATACGTTTCCTAAAGCTTCTTCATTATCATCTTTCATATCAGTAAAGCAGCAGCAGAAATCTTTGCTTACTTTAGGTTTCTGAATGCTAATATGTAGAATGATGTTTCTTTTCTATAAGTCTTATTACAACAATTTTTTTAGTGTGCGTATATAATGGCATTTACTTCCTCAATTTCATTGTAAATGCACTAAAAGTTGTGTCAATGAAGTCATTCTGAATATCTTTAATAGACAATAAGCCTCAGTCATGATCAGAATGAGGAAAAAGGAGGATGTGCACATGGACTAACTTGATGGTTATGGCTTCCAATGAGTTTCTATTTCCCTTCAGGGTTTGGACTAAAGCTGAAAGCAAAAGAATATTCAAGATGCTTAAGTTTCTCCCTTGCTCTGATGTGGCTGTATGCAAATCAGCTGCGTTACTGGCAGGACTAGCATTCCACAGAATGATGGTGACCATAATACAGAACCCTATAGAGTGAGGTCTGGAAGTCTTCAGGCAGAAGAGAGCTTGATTGGCCATCATTGAGCTTTCATATTGTATTAATGTAGAAAAAGTGATCAATCTATTGCAGCAGACATAGTTAACGCCTCCTTCAGATCCCAAGTACAACGTAACAGAGCTGCCTTCCATATTTGGATGATGGTGATGAGAGGAAAATTGGAAGAATAATGATCTGTCTCAAATGAGAAAGCTATGATAAAAAAGGAAACATTTAAACATTTTTGCTTTGTTATAAATACAACTGTCAACCCAATAATGGACTGTTGAATGGCTTGTTTAAATGCAAGAATTTAGTGAAGTATTCATGAAATATGATAATATGCCCCTTAGTTTCACAAGCATAATATGACAGGAAAAATAACCTTTTGTCTCCATTTTAGAAATGAGATATAAGTAACATATTATAAATTTGTCCTAGTTCAAGGGTGTGACACTTAATAGATGTACATATTGGCAATTTGCTTATAGATTATCATTTACTGTCACTTTTTTAATTAGAATGTGATCTTCCATTGTCTTTAATCTATTTACATCATGGATGACAAATTTCTTTCCCGTAAAGCAAAGTCTTTATTTATCATAAGACAATTTTTACCAAAATTATTACACGTTGAAGGGGGAAATCATAAGTGGGATCATTTAGCTTTTGAATTTTCAGACTACCTGGCATCTTTAACACAGTAATAAAACATATTTTAAGTGACTGATATTTGCACATTTGCCTTCTCAAAAACATTCTTAATTTTGCTATTTACCATAAATCTGTTATGATTTTACCATTAATTTTGGAACCATGCCATGAAAAGTTTGATTAAATTTACGTTCTGTTTATGTATGCAACTGAAACTTACACGCAGGCTGTAATTCAATGTTTCTAGTCAGCTCTGAAGGCAGGAGTCCCCTCCATAGTTTTCACATTGGCATATGCATCTCCTTACCCACAGAAAGATTGTTAAAGCAAATAGTTCTACTGGTAAGCAGGGATATTTGTAGAGGTACTCTGGGAATTGGAATGGTGGAGGAGAGAGATGGAAAACCTAGAATGAGAACATCTAAACTGCCTTTTAGGGGGAAAAATACGGTTTTGATGGGATATATGATTCCTTGCCATCAATTTCTGCTGGGAATATAACAAAAAGTATATTTAGATGGTGTTTAAGTAGTGAAACTTTGTTTAAATATTTCTGATTGGACTGTCAACTTAATGGTGTGGTGGTCTGGTACTAATGCCAGGGTAAGATTGTGAATTCAGCATGATATTTGTCAAAGTGAATGCTACTCACTGTTAGGTGGCATCTTTAGCTTTATTTTAGAGGTTTAGTGTGAAGTAAATGTAACCACAGTTTGTATTAATCCTTTCTTTAGGTGTTTTATGTTTATTTCACTGAGTTTCTTTTTTTTTAATCTCAATTTTGAACCAAACTTCAACCCTTTAATCTCCTAAGACCTTAAAATCATGGTATATTATTTGATTACATATGTACTGTCATTTTAGTATCTTTAGGAAAGATACATCCTCATCCCCAAAATGCTCCATCATTTCTAGTAGTTTGCTTAGTTCTTACATGTACATAATAATAACCAACATTGATTGGACATAGTATGTGTTAGAAACCATTCTAAGTGTTTTATGTGTACTAAGTAATTTATTCCTCAATAAATCCCTATGATTTCAAAATGATTATATTCACAATCTTACGGATAAAAACTTGCAGCACTGATAGATTTTTAAAAAAACAACAAAGAAACTTGATCAAGATTACCCAGCTGGGAAGCAGAGAAACTGAGGTTTAAATCCAGGTAGCTTGATTCCAGAGACATTGCCCTGAAACTTAATCATAGAGCTTTGATATTTAAAAGTAAACTGCTTCTTGGAAAGGTGACCTTAAATGTAGTTATTTGACATTATTTATGCTTCAAAATGAATGATCCGAAAGAAGGCTTTGATGTGCATAAACCTGACACTGGAAGAGAGATCGCTCTTTGGGGAGGAAATATGATGAAGAACTGAGATGCTGGAATCTTATAAACATAAGCCCCTTCCTTCAAAATTTTCATTAGAAAATTGTAAACACTTTATTCTGCTATTAACCACATGGGCCTGGAGACTGAGAAGTGGAAGGCACTAGGCAGGCTTCCTCTTTAACTAAACTCTACCTCGGCAGGGTTAGATCTGCATAGTTGAATCAGCCCCCTAAAGGAAACAGACACCTGTGACCACATCTGCTTCTTTCCCTTGAGCCTGACACCTGTTCTTTCATCAGGATACTTCTGTAGTTTGGGAGGATGTGGTTGAAAGAATGTATTTGTGAATTGCAAGCAGGTAATTAAGGTAGCTCAGTACCTTGAACATTTCTGATGTTAGGAGCAGGCATTTGAAAACAGTAATGACAGTAATTAGATAGGTAGTGATTCTCGCTTGAACCCGGGAGGCGGAGGTTGCAGTGAGTTGAGATTGCGTCATTGCATTCCAGCCTGGGCAACAAGAGTGAAACTCCATCTCAAAAGAAACAAACAAACAAACAAAAAAAGGCAGGGATTCTTTTCCTGCGTTATTTATTATTTACCTGTTAGAAACTAATGTATGTCTCTCTGTAAATGCATGAGTTAAAAAATAAACGAATAAATGAATGAGAGAGACTAGTGATATTTTGTTGAGAAATTGGGCGTATGTTTGCTATAATCTATTATGAGCAAAACTATTTTAGAATTGAATTTTTCAAATTGACTTATATACAGTTGATTTTATATTCTCAACTAAGTTTACATCGATATCAAATTTGAAACCTCAGCGGCATTCAATTGATTTGTTGGTTTTATATAAAAAGAAATCTCATGGAAGATGTTGTGCCTGTGTTAATACATAGCCACTGAAGGGACCAATTTTTCAATAAAGCCATGTTTTCTGATTTATATATTCATTAGGTTGGCAGTGGACATTTATGTAGTTGTGGGGTTAGTTATACAGCACCCTTTTGGGAATGGTCATCCTTTTGTCATTAGAAGCGATAGGGTTGAAATTGTTCCACAAAGATAAAGATGTTTCTAATGTATTTATGGGGAAGAAGGGGCAAAGATGGAAAAGAGTTACAAATGTAAGAATTATACCATTCAGAATTGTAAGTCTGAATCTGTATCTTTGAATGTGTATGGCTTAAAACAGCCATAAACGGCATAGTACTATTTTCCAACAGCACAGTCTGTCTGTCTGTACTCCTAGGAAGATCTAGCAGCACATTAAGGATAATTTTCCTCATCAACTAAGCATTCTTAAAACTAATTTAGATAAAAACTATCAAATAAAATTTAAAATGTAACCCCCTCCTAACCAAAATATGCAGAGATGATATCAGATTACAGTGCAGCAGTTAATTTTCTCTCCAAAATTTAGTTTCAACCGAGCAAGAAATGTGTTCCCTGTATTGATACAGAAAGTAGAGGCAATCTTTGCCTATAGCTTGATTTTATACTCGTTATATTAAATAAAGAGAAATGTGCATTTTTCTGTATTGGCTAATTTAGAATGATTTGCATAAGGTTAAAATACAGAGTTACTATAACTGGCAATTTGTGTTACTTATAATACGGTTCTGACTTTTATTATCTTTGATAAATAAATTGAGCTTTAGAGTAGTTACTTTATGAATAATTCTTTTTCAAATATAAAGAATCTGTTTTCCATAAGTCAAATAACTATACCAGTTTTTAAAGAAACATATAATGTTGGTATGTTCTCTAACCTCATGGCATGTTAGTAAATTAAAATATTATTTAATTAATATTAATTATCAGCCAATATCTGATAATGAATAAAAAGATGATTTATCATTATTATATGATAGTGGTGATGAAGGGTACATTCCAATTACTCTTTCAATTGTAATAATACAGGCACATTTGTCCCCTACAAAAATCACCTGAAGAGGCAAAGTAAGAGGAGCATGTGATAGGTTGGGAAGTTTAAAATCTACCTACTAAAAATAAATGAATGTATAAATATTTTCAGAGTGAGGTAGGCCATTGCTTTTTGTTGTTGTTTGAATTGAATATTGGACTTGCTCTAGATATAACAGCTACAGCCCCATAGGAGAATGTTCTCATGTGGCTTATTGCCTTTAAAATAATTTACTTGAAAATCTTAATCTCCACTAAGAAAATAGCCCAGATCCTCTACATATCTTAAATATATTACAAACCTGTAACTTTTAAATATTTCCCAGTTACATTAGTCAGTGCCACCCAATTTATATCTATGGCTTTCATTCACATGAAGGAAAAGGGTAACTGTTGGGGAGTTCTGAACTTTCCAGCATTTACAGAATCCTAGTGGGCTGATTACTTAGTGGAGGGAGAAGCAAGGTGAATAGGTGAGTATGGGCATGAGAGAAAGTGAATATGAGCAGTTATGGGAATTGGATGACCAAGATGTTAGGGAAGCTATTGAAGGCAGTACTATTTTAATTGTTTTATCTATATGTGTTCAATCAACAATTATGACTATATCGATATAATTCAGAGACTGAAAAATATTGTGGTTTAGCCACCCAGATAGTCTGGCAAATATGGATATAACAGGGTTTGTGTGGTAGATAATTGTTTTGAAAAATTAGTATGCGGTAAGTCTCAGAATAAAGTTACACTGACTACTATTCATTCATTGGTGAATAAAAATGCACTTAGACAACTTGTGTTCCTCCTGGTCCAGGTTTCTCCACCTTGGGGAGAGAGTAAAATAGTTCCACTTATAGTGAAAGGAGGGATTCAACTGGAAATCTGGCAGGGCCTGACTGCTTAGAAGTTCTAGGTAAAGAAAGTCTACACCAGTGGCTCCCAAGCTTCACTGGGCATATTAATCTTTGATAAAAATGTAGACTTTACTGGGGCCCTATCTCCAAAGAATCTGATTCAGTAGGTCATAGGATGCAACATCTGTAATTTTAACAAGCATCTCAGGTGGTCTAAGGCTAATGTTTCATGTCTCTAGTTGAGCTTAAACCCACAATATTTACATGAGGTACTTAAAAAGTAGGGAGAGAGCAACAGAGAGAGAGACAGACAGAAAGAGAGAACAAAGAGAGAAATAAAAGGAAAACCTTGAAAACACCCTGAATTGGACTCTAAGGCAAAAGTTGTCAGTAAGTTTTCAAAAAGTATAAGGTACTGTCTCTTCTCTACTTCAGTGCTATTTTTCATATTTTGAGTATATTTTACTAAATGATATTCCATACTTTTAAGGAGCATAGTAATAGATCAGAAAAAGTTAATTCCAACTGCAGAAGATATTATTCAGCCACATCATAATTTGTAAGTACAGATAAATGGCAAATAGCATTAAATCCTAACTTTGTAGTTTAAATGGCAGAATCATGCACTGCTAGAAATAAAAATAATACCTTTCAATTAGGAATTGTTCCTGTTTGACAAAAATGATCTATTTTTCTTAACATAGAAATTAATATATGCCTTTAAAACAAGTTCTACATGTAAAATATTAGTAAAGAGATCCATCAACTTAATGAAAATGATCAATAATCTTTAGCTTTGTGAGAGGATAGTATTTTGGATTGTATATGCATGCAAACTAATGGCCAATGGCAAAGGTTGTTTGGTTTTACTCCCTGGGCATCAGAAACTAGTAGTCTTTCATTTTAAGAAAAACTGAAGATCTCTTTAAATCTATACCCCAAATCTACCATTAAGAGGACAGTTTTTCTGTATTTTAAGTAAGAAATGGGTGAAAATATCTGTCTGTAGTAAGCCACGTTTGCTGGTGTTCAGTAAGCTAACCTCAGCACATCAATGTAAACCCAGTCTTCTTGGTGTAGAAAAAGAAATTATCACAGGTATTGGGAGACACATAGCACAAAAGAAAGTATTTCCTTCAACTTCTACTCCCCAATATTTTTTTAGTGGCTTTTACTGGAATTAAAATACGTATCCTACAAACGAGGCTTTAATTCATTGTCTCTTTGACTGAAATTTTTTTTTGCTGTTTGCATCAGATGTTCAACAGAGGACAAATTACAGTTTCAGACTGTATCAAGTATTCCAGCAGGCAGAGGCATCTGATTCAGATAAATTGAGCACACATTTGAAAGAAAGTCTTTTATTCTAGACACGGCTGACTTCATTGCTAGCTCTGATGTTCAGCAATAGATCTAGAGGCTGGAAGACAGGAAATGCTGACCAGTACAAATGCATTTCAGTGTGTGAAGTATGCTAGATTATCAGAAAGTATATTTAGAGAAAGCCTTCCTAGGTTTTAATAGACATCCTTACTTTTGTGTCAAATAATGTAATTATTATACATGTAATGAATATACATGTTACCATTATCTCTTCTAATCTGTTATTAAGTTGCATGTATTTATATTGTTTAAAATCTCTGTTTTAAAATAAATTCATTTACATATATTTCCTCTTGCTTTCAAATCCAATAACTATGAATTCCATGAAATTCAGAGCTATATCTTCACAAAAACCTAATAAAGTACATCTTCCCTAGATGGTGCTTAATGACTAAGTGTTGAAAGAATAAATACTTGCTCAGTTTGAGGCAGCCTGGGAAATTAAAAAGAACTAGAAAAGCAAACAGGGCCTGGAAGCTGGTTTTAGATAACAAATTTATCGCCAAATTTATCTCAGTTTTCCGACAGTTTCAACAAAAAGGGGGCTGTTTTGGTTTTGGTTTTGACTGTTCAGTAAAAGGAGCATCCAGGATGAGAAATTTATCTGGCTCTGAATTTAAGAATGTATCAATAGAATGGTTAAAAAGAGAGGTAAACATAATAGACTATCATTCTCCTTCTGAGTTTCTTAATTTATATTTGGTGATTGATTTCATGGTTGATGCAAAAATTAGAACATTCATTGTGGTGCTTAATACATGCAGAGAAAGTACACTGTGATCGAATGAAAAATACCTGTTTGGTCTCTGCCTCCAGTTCCTGGCACAGAGCTACTAAAACTATTGTGAAGTCCTGGTGCACTTAGCATCTTAAACTCCAATATTTGGTCTTTGAACCCATTTCTTGACACAGAACTCCTAATACCTTAGAATTTCCTAGGTGATATGAGGGTCCTTTGTTCTAATGAGGCAGCTCTTGGTAGACTCCTGGATGGAGGCTGGTGACCAGAAAGACCAAGCCATAATTAAGAGCTTGAAACTTTCAGCCCCACTATCCGATTCTCCAGGAAGGGTAGGGAAGCTTGAGTTAATAATAGGTCATGTCTACACGATGAAGCTTCTATTAAAAATTCCTAAACTACAGGGTTCAGAGAGTTTCTGGGCTGCTGAACATGTGGTGATGCAGGGAAGATGACGTGTCCCGAAGAGGCTAGAAGCACCACACCCCTTACCACAGATTTCACCCTATGTGCCTCTTTATCTGGCTGTTGATCTGTATTCTTTCTTATATACTTTATAATGAACCAGTAGATGTGGAAAAAAAGATGTATTAAGCTGGAATAGAGTTGCAAATGTATGATTTTTTTCAAAAAAGACAAATACAATCTTTATATTTTTGTATTAGCCCTCAGTGATAACAGGAAGTATGAAATTAAATGTTTACTCAGTGAAGATTTTACATTGAGGAGCCACTAGACGTAGACAGATCTTGATCTTTCTTTTCCTAGGGCTTGGCAAAATTCCTGGCACCTAAGAGCATCTCAGTAAATGTTACTTGAATGGAAATATTTCAAGCTCAATTAAAAATCAAGTTGAAGATATTTCACTGGTTTTAATCCTCTGAAAGATAGCATAGCTCTACTGGTGGCTAAATTTATGTATAATCTCTGAAACCCAGAAACTGTACAACAAGGCCATGCCTGGAACACAGTCTTGATGATACATCAAGAGTGACTCCCAGCTGGCTGGAGCCTGCATATTCCTGTTTCGGTTCTTTTTCCTCCAGTAGAATGGTCTAGACAGAGGCCATGGGAACAGGCCTGGATACCGGAGTTAAGGTGTGATATGTCCAGTCACTATCTTGAGCCTGGAGTGTTTAGGACACTGTTTAGGATACAAAAATTTTTAAGATTTGGGTGACATTCAAGAAAACATGAAATATTTGTTATCATAGGACCTTTCAATTTCAACCGTTCCTAAGAGTTAGCTGGAATTCACAAGAATAACATCTTGGTTTGTAATTTAAATAATGAAGACTGGTTGGATGGCCCACCGTGAGGGGGGGAGTCAGGGCTAGCTGCAGTGAAGGTGGGTAGGTCACGAGGGATGCACTGGAAAGCACGCGCCTCATGGGCAAGAGTGTAGGAAGTTGCCTCCCTCTCGTGGACTGAGAGAGGACAGGGTAGCCAACGAAATTCCGTGGTAAATGGCAGGCACATGTCTAAGCCAAACAGGCAGGAGGACGATTTGATTTGACTGACTGACTGACTAGCTATTTAGTCTAAATTGAGCACGTGGACAATAAAAGGTTTTCTAATGCGTCCCCAGTGTGGGCCTATGCTAGTGATTGAACAAATGTGATTTAGACTGCAGTGTAGTCTGAACTAAAATGGGTCAAAGAAATATGGAATGGCAAATAGCTTCTTGGCCATGTTCCCTGTTTTTCTTCAGGCACTAGAAAAATGCAAAAACATGACCACTGGATTTTTCCAATGATCTTGACAAAACAAAGTTTTGTGTTAAACAGAAAATTTATTCTTCTGCTTTTACTATAGAAAAGACTTTGGTGTGAGTTTGTGTGTCTTTGTGCATGCAAATGCCCCTGAAGCATCTTAGTTCCCTCAGGCTAAACAGAGGCCCCACATCACAGGATTTTTTAGTGTTTAAAGTAAGTTAAAGTTTCTTCAGGGCTATAAGAATGACAGATTTTCTTTCCCACTGAGGTCCTGCCGACTTGCTTCAAGGATTTTAGTGTTCAATTTCTATCTAGCTTTTCTAAATGTAGTTTTGAAGTGGATTATAAAGCTTTTAATCTACTAAGTATCCATAGTTTATTTTTCAACACAAAGGGCTTTCATTTGAATAATATCTGGAACCTCTCCCCACCCCCATTTTGACAGCTTTGTTTTTTGTTCTTTATTACATAAGGAGACACAGAGGGGATATAGGACAAGCAGATGAAAAAGGATGTGAAACGATCTTAGAGTTTGATGATACAATGTCACATACACAGTAATTACTGTGGAATGTCCCCAATGCCCAAGGTCAATTGGGGCTGGCACGTGAAGGAACTCAGTAACTACTTGCTAAATGCAGGGATGCATGTATGATGGATTTTTTTTTTTTTTTTGAGACCGAATCTCACTCTGCTGCCCAGGCTGGAGTGCAGTGGCGCTATGTCAGCTCACTGCAACCTCTGCCTCCCAGATTGAAGTGATTCTCATGCCTCAGCCTCCCAAGTAGCTGGGATTACAGGTGCATGCCACCACATTGGGCTAATTTTTGTATTTTTAGTAGAGGTCGGGTTTCACCATGTTACCCAGGCTGGTCTCAACTTCCTGACCTGAAGTGATCCGTCCATCTCAGCCTCCCAAAGTGCTGGGATTATAGACGTGAGCCACCACACCTGGCCTGATGAATTTTTAAATATTGTATTTTTAAGCTAAGAAGATGATTTTTGAAAAATATTCTCTGTCAGTATAAGAAAAACTAACATAACTATTTGAAGTTATAAATAGAAAGCATTTAAAAGACAGAAGCATGTGTAATTGTAGATTTTGGGGGTTATTAACATAAAACAAGAAATTATTTAAAAATTTTATTGTATTTCAATGTGGATTTATTATTATTTTTTAGTAGTAGAAGATGGTTTATGCATTTTGCATACATTTTTGTAGTAGTCTTTCAATCAAGTTAGAATGGCCTGATCATCTGTAAAAGCTTCTTCTCTTAATTGTCATCATCTCATTTCGGATATGGTATTCCTTCAGCTGCACAGCCTGTCTCTTGGACCAGAGATCTTGGACAGTGATGGTTATGGGCTGAACTGTTTCCCAAAAAAGTCATATGTTGCGTACCTAACATCCAGTACCCCAGAATGTGACTCTATTTAGAGACAGGACCTCTAAAGATATAATTAAGGTAAAATGAGGTCATATGTGTAGGCTCTAATCCCATATGACTGGTGCCATTATAAGAAAATGAGAGTAAAATATAGACAACACACAGACCAAGGGGCAGCCATGTGAGGACACAGTGGGACGATGGCCATCTGTAAGCCAAAGAAAGAGGCCTCAGAAGAAATCTAACCTGCCAACACCTGATCTTGGACTTCCCAGCCTCCAGAACTGTGAGAAAATAAATTTCACTTGTTTAAGCCACCCAGTTTGTGGCATTTTGTTATGGCAGCACTATCAGACTAATACAGTGACTCTCTTTTCATATTGGGCAGTCAAGAGACTTTCCAGTCTCATCCTGGAGGATGACTGGGCTGTCAGCTATTCCCCTTTAGCTGGATTCTAACTGCTTTTTGTTCCACAGACCTGTTAGGCGGTCTGATGAATCCTATGGATCCCTTCTCAAAGTGATGTTTAAATGTGTAAAATAAAATACATAAACTTAGAAAAGGAACCAACCTTATGTAAATACAGTTTTCAAAATATTTTTTACATGTAAGGCTTAAAATTATATGGGCATCCTTATTAGCCAGTGAATAATAACATCTAGCAAGGGAATATAATTTTAATAATATTTGGGGCTATAATTATAATGTGAAAATATCTGTGGTTTCTATTAAGGACAAAGTCACAAGTACGATTTATCCTCCTGTGGTTTATTTCCAACATTCAAAATGGAAGACAATGAAAATTTTCAATTAGAGGTTAGTGATGATAAACATGTAATTTTCCCCCTCATCCAAGTTCCACAGACTAAAGTTAAGAATCCTTGTCTTAGAGAAATAATAACAGCATGATCTCCACTGTATAAAAAGCTTAGGATTAGAGACCACTAAGTAAAATGTACATTTTGGGTGATAAATTTGCACAGATCTATTCTATCTCTTAATCATTTCTCTTTGTGACTAGTGGTATGTATTTGCAAGGAAGTGAAAAGAAGGAAGTAATCTGACATTAGGGGTAGAGAAAACCTAGCCTGAGCCCTAGGACTATTGCCGTTTATGACTAGTGGATTTTTGAAGTGCTTAGGTGAAGATGTGGGCTACAGGCTTTGCAACTACTTATGTTTAGTAACCTCAGAAAGTCTTTAGGCTTTTGGTTTTCAAAGTAATATACTATTGGGGGTATAAATCACATCCCCTTTGTTACTCCTGTACCTGAGCAAGGAATTTTTCACAAGCCTCTTCACTTCCTGTCAGACTTTGCCATTCATGACATACCATGGATAGGAACAGCGTAGAAGGTGTTTGACCACTGCGGACATTGAATGTGTCTTTGGTGAGTCAGTATAAAAACTGAAGCCATGGCAGTTATTATTTCTACATATGACAGTGACCCTCTGCCATCTGAACTTTACTTGCCAGGTAGAATCTGTGTCTGGAGCCTTAATTTGTAAGATCTGTACTCAAGTCCTGACTCTACCACTGGACACTGAATATCTTTCACTTTTAGTCTATTCATTTGTAAAAGGGATATAATAAAAATACCTGTTCTGCTTTCTAAAAATATTTGTTTAAAGCATAAAATGTAGTGACACATGCAAAAGCCATTAAATGTAAGTGATGAAGTACAATGCTAATGTAAGGCAATAATACATTTAAAATAAACATAGTGAACATTATACTAGAAACTTCAAGTTAATGTAGCAAGACTTATTATTTATTCCAAATAATTTTGAACAAAAAAGTACCATTATTTTTAAATGAGAAAATATTATGATTTTAAACCTTTATTAATAAAAACAGAATCCTCATAATGCCCTGCTTTTTTAAACAGTTGTGCTTTCAATTAGGCTTATAATATTAACAGGATAGAGACCCTAGATATAAGGAAGCTTCTTCCTCTCTGAAGTTCTAGCAAGAATTCAGCACTTCAGTTCAACATTTTATCTAATCTAATGACAGTTTTTATTTTCACAAGATTAGGAAGCAACCTCAGATATGACTTTGTAAATGAAATATAACTACTCAGAAAGAAGTTAGGAGATGCTTACAAAGAGTTTAGTGCTGGTCAGGCTGGGGTAGATAAGAGTTTTAAAAGCTTAACATGTGCCTTAAAAGCCTCTCAAAAAAAAATCCCTGAGAAAATTTTAAAACTGAAGATAATGATTGATGAATGTGATAAGATTCTAAGTATAGCAGTAGTGATAAAGAGTTGAAAAATCAAACTGATTCTCCTGGAAGGCAGTAACATATTTAAAAATGTCAAGTTGGTAGGGGTTCTTAAAGGAAACAAGATGTATAATTTTTGAACAGTAGGTTATGATGGCTGTGGAAGTGGTAATTTTGACAGTGCATTTGTGGTGGTTGAGTCGGAACAGGTCAATTAGCTTTTACAAAATGCGTTTTGCCTTAGTAACTTAACCACCGAATATTTATATATCACAGTTTAAAAGATTTGGGTATGCTTCATTTTACTTTAAAAATTTAGCAAGATTTAATTAATTCTAATTAATTAAAATAATGTTCAGGGTTTGTTTGTTTGCATTCATCAAATTGAAACACTTCTTGCAATTCAGAATAATTAATGAGGAGACTAAATTCAACAATAATTACAGATTTTTAAAGGGAAATTGTTGGTTTACATTGCTGTGTGAAAAATATGGAGCACTGCTAAAAATAGTGTGGTTTTAAAAGCTATTCTATGATTCCAGAGCTGGGGCAGGAAAACATAAGATGAGCCTGGGGCATCTTTTGTTGCCAGAAAATAAAAATGTGCTAAAAGAGAAAAATGGGGCATTTCAAAAAGGCTTAGACACTAATGGGAAAGAGCTCCCAGTGGCCAAAGTTGGAACAACTTAAACAACATTATAAATAGCATAAACAAAAACATAAAATAAGCAAATAGAAAATTTTGGATTAAACTCAAAAACTAAAATAAATATCTATGAATACATACTGACAAAAATATATAGGTGAATAAATGCATAAATGTCATGGAAGTGAGAACTCTTCATTACCAAGGAATTGCAAAGAATTAATACAGAAAGAATGAGGGAAATAGAAAATCAGCATTTGGACACCAAAGTAATAATTGCTTTAGCCAAGTGGATATTCAAATTGGTGAGTAAAACTTTAAATAAGAATAGGATATTTGCCTAGTCCCCAAGTATCTCGCTCCCAAATAATAACAAAGGAACAAATAACCGTACAATGTTGAATCTTGGCAGACACTACATTAACCAAGTGATCGATTTTAATTACTAGTACTGTGTGATCAAATTTAATTACTAGTACATAAAGTGATCAAATTTAATTACTAGTACATAATATCTGTGGATATCATGTACCTTCTCATATGATACACAGAAAAGGGCACAGGACCTCTCTGATATCCTTGCCAACAATAACTAAACTCATTCTAATAATGAGAAAACATTAGATAGACCAAATTGTGGGACGGTCCATGAAATTTCTGGCCATTATTATTCAAAACCTTCAGAGACATAAAGGACAAGGACAGACTGAGAAACTGTCAGAGACTGGAAGAGACAAAGGAGACATCACAACTAAATGAAATGCAGGGTCCCAGATTAAATCCTAAAACAGAGAAAAAAAAAAAGTGAAAAAAACCCTGCAGAAACTTGAGTAAGTTCTGTACTCTAGTTAATACCAGTAGTATTGTATCAGCGCTAACTTCTTAGTTGTGATAAATAGGCTATGGTTATGTAAGGTGCTATCATAAAGGGAACCTGGGTGAAGGGCATGTGGGAACTTTCTGTACTATTTTTGCCACTCTTCTATTAAGTCTAAAATTATCTCAACCTTAAATTTTTTTAAAATAAAAGCTCTTATAATAAAATGTACATATCCAATTTTAAGATAACAGCTAACATTTGTGTAGCAGTATGTACCAGGCATTGTTACAAATGCTTTACATATATTGACTTATATAATTTCTGCAATAGTAGCTGCCATTAACATCACCATTTTATAGATGAGAAAACTGAGGCAAACAGAGAGTTTACAGTAGAGCTGGGACTTCAACCTGGAATTTTACTTCTGGAATATGTACTCTTAACTACTGTTATATGGTCTTCAAATTAACTGACTTACCTCTAGGGAATACAGTTACCATAATAATGCTACTTTAAACACCTTGAGAATTATTTTTTTTTTAATCTTTTTGAGACAGAGTCTCGCTCTGTCACCCAGGCTGGAGTGCAATGGTGCAATCTCAGCTCACTGCAACCTCTGCCTCCCGGGTTCAAGCGATTCTCCTGCCTCAGCCTCCCAAGTAGCTAGGACTACAGGTGCATGCCACCACGCCTGGCTAATTTTTGTATTTTTAGTAGAAACAGGGTTTCACCAGGTTGGTCAGGCTGGTCTCGAACTTCTGACCTTGTAATCCCCCTGCTTGGGCCTCTCAGAGTGCAGGGATTACAGGCGTGAGCCACTGCGCCAAGCCAAAATGCATAACATATAATATTGTTTTGCAGCAGGCTTTTTCATTAAACACTATATCATAAATACCTTTCTGTATCTATAAAAATGTTCTGCATTATTTTTAATATGAAAAAATTTAATTCCTTGAATATATAAGACTTCGTATAATCAAGTATCTTTTTGAAAAATTGGCTCGATTATCTCAGAAAAAATACTGCTATGAAGATCATTGTGTACAAATTCTTGTGTCATTTTCCATTCACACATTCATGCATTTATCTGTCTTTTATTTGTTCATATAAATGAATATAAATATATATACTTATATATGTGTATATATATATATACACATACATATATAAGTGTGTGTATATATATACACATACATATATAAGTGTGTATATATATATTTAACCTACTGTGCTTCAGGCTCTGTGTAGGTAATAGGGATATAGCAGAGAAGAAAACAATTATCCCTTGCACTAAGGATCTCATATTTCGTAGGATAAATTCCTGGAAATGGAATTGCTGAATCAAGAGTTATGTGGATATTTACACCTTTTGACTCACTCAGCATATTGTTGCCTAAGAAAGTGGGGAAATTGACAGTTCCGTCAGAAATGTCTTATTGAGGCTGGGCATGGTGACTTAACGCCTGTAATCCCAGCACTTTGGGAGGCCATAGCATGTGGATCACCTGAGGTCAGGAGTTCGAGACCAGCCTGGCCAACACGTTGAAGCCCTGTCTCTACTAAAAATACAAAAGTTAGCTGGGCATGGTGGCACATGTCTGTAGTCCCTGAGTACAGGCAGCTGAGATAGGAGAATTGCTTGAACCTGGGAGGTGGAGGTTGCAGTGAGCCGAGAACACACCACTACACTCCAGCCTGGGTGACAAAGTGACACTTTGTCTCAGACAAAAAAAAAAAGAAAGAAAGAAAAAAATGTTTTATTGAGTTCAGGTAAACTGATTCCTCAATACTTTTTCTCTCTGTTCTTCAGACTGAACAATTTCTATTGATCTGTCTTCAAGTTCACTGGGTCTAATGCCATCTTCAATCTGCTATTAATCTCATCCACTGAAATTTTAATTCAGATATTGTATTTTTCAGTTCTAAAAGATTCATTTTTAAAATAGTTTCTATATCGCAGCTGACATATCATTGTATTAATGCTGAGCATGGTTTTCCTCACATCCTTGAGCATAGTTATAATAGCTGTTTAAAATCCTTGTCTACGAAAGTTCAACATGTGGGTCACTTTAGAATCAATTTTCATTAGTTGCCTCTTCTATTGAATATTGATGACTTTTTTCTGTGTGTTTTTTTTTTTATCTAATTTGGATTATATTCTGGGCATCATGAATGATACACTGTGGAGACTCTGGATTCAGTTATGTTCTTCCAAATGTGTGGAGTCTTGAATCCTCTGGAATCTGCCCATTTGTAGTTTTTGTTCAATGTCTTCAGATAGTTTTGCATGTTTTCTAGAATTTCTAGTTGTCATCTTTGAGACAGTTGTTCCAATAGGAGCCACTTAGCCATGATGAGAAACAAAATTTCATGTAAATGAATTCTTAAAAGCATTTCTCAAGTGTATTTTAAAATACTTTGAGCATCAGAGTATTATTTTGCAGACGGAAAATTATTTGGACATATAAGTTCTTTAAACTTTGTTTAAATTTTATTTCTTTGTAGCTATATCCTATAAGCAAGCATAGTTTTTCTTTCTCATCTTAAAAATATATTGTGTGTGAAAATCCAAAAAGATTTTCTTCTTTGCAAAAGTAGATCAACCTTAAAAATATAAATTTAGGTAAATACCTAATTTAAAGTGAGCTACAGAAGTTTTTAGGTAACTTTAACTGAATGATACATAACTGAAGAAATATATTGCTCACATGTAGATTGTGTGGTTGTACAAGATAGAATGTAAAAAGAAATAAAATCAAATGTAGACCTTTTCTAGACTTGATCTTAACCAAAAGGCCAAAAAATGATGAAGGTAGATGTTTTCTAACAATTTTCTTAGCTGTACCATTGCCGTTTTCTTTTTACTAATTTATTTTAATTAATAAATAAAAATAATATACAGGCATAGCTCAGATATATTGTGTTTCAGTTCCAGACTACTGCAATAAAGCAAGTATTGCAATCAAGTGATTCACACAAATTTTTTTTTTATTTTCTAGTGCTTTTAAAAGCTACGTTTACCCTATACTGTTGTCCATTAGGTGTACAATATAAGTATGTTTAAAAATATATATATATTAATTTAAAAATATTTTATTGCTAAAAATCATTAACAATCATATGAACCTTGAGAGACTTGTAAACTTTTTTGTTCTTGCCTAAACTAAGGCTCTTGCCTCAGTGTTTATGGCTGCTGACTGATCAGAGTGGCAGCTGCCAAAGCTTGGGTTGCTGTTGCAATTTCTTAAAGTAAGACAACAAGGAAGTTTGCCACTTCAATTAACTCTTCTTCTCATAACAGACTTTTCTGTAGCATTCAGTGATGTTTGATAGCATTTTACTCACCGTAGAACTTCTTTCCAAATTGAAGTCAATGCTTTCAAAATGTACCACAGCTAAGTTTATGCAAAATTCTAAATCTTTTATTGTCATTTCAACTATATGCACAGCATCTATACCGGGAGTGGATTGCATCTCAAAAAAAACCACTTTCTTTGCTCATTCATAATAAGCAACTTCTCATCACTTGAAGTTTTATCATGAGATTGCAGCAATTTAGTCACATCTTCAGGCTCCCTCCTTTTTTTTTTTTTTTTTTTTTTTTTGAGACAGAGCTTTTGCTCTTGTCACCCAGGCTGGAGTGCAGTGGTGCGATCTCAGCTCACTGCAACTGCCGCCTCCTGGGTTCAGGCGATTCTCCTGCCTCAGCCCCCAGAGTAGCTGGGACAATAGGCGCACAACACCACCCCTGGCTAATTTTTGTATTTTTGCTAGAGACGAGGGTTCACCATGTTGGCCAAGATGTTCTCAATCTCCTGACCTTGTGATCCACCTGCCTCGGCCTCCCAAATTGCTGGGATTACAGGCCTGAGCCACTGCGCCCAGCCAGGCTCCACTTCTGCTCCACTCCTTTTTTTTTTTTTTTTTTTTTTTGAGACAGAGTCTCGCTCTGTTGCCCAGGCTGGAGTGCAGTGGCGCAATCTCGGCTCACTGCAAGCTCTACCTCCCGGGTTCACGCCATTCTCCTGCCTCAGCCTCCCGAGTAGCTGGGACTACAGGCACCCGCCACCACGCCTGGCTAATTTTTTGTGTGTTTTTAGTAGAGACGGGGTTTCACTATTGTAGCCAGGATGGTCTCGATCTCCTGACCTCGTGATCCACCCACCTCGGCCTCCCAAAGTGCCAGGCTCCACTTCTAATTCTAGTTCTTGTTCTATTTCCATCACATCTGCAGTTGCTTCTTCCACTGGAGTCTTGACCTCTCAGAGTTATCCATGAGGATTGGAATCAACTTTTTCTGCACTTCTGTTAATATTGATGTTTTGACCTCCTCCCATGAATCACAGATGTTTTAATGGCATATAGAATGGTAAATCCTTTCTAGAAGGTTTTTAATTTACTTTGCCCAGATTCGTCAGAAGAATCACTCTCTATGACATCTATAACCTTTTTAAATGTATTTCTTAAATAATAAGACTTGAAAGCAAAAATTACTCCTGATCCATGGGCTGCAGAATGAGTATTGTGTTAGCAGGCATAAAAACAATAATCTCCTTGGGCATCTCCATCAGAGTTCCTAGGTGACAGATGCTTTGACAATAAGCAGTAATATTTTGAAATATCTTTTTTTCTGAGAAGTAGGTCTCAACAATGGCTTTTAAATATTCAATAAGCCATGCTATAAACAGATATTCTATCATCCAGGCTTTGCTGTTCCATTTTTTGAGCACAGGCAGAGTAGATTTTTCATGATTCTTAAGGGCCCTAGAATTTTTGGAGTGGGAATTGGCTTCATCTTAAATCACCAGCTGCATTAGATCTTACTGAGAGTCAGCCTGTTCTTTGAAGCTTTGAAACTGGTCATTGACTTCTATTTAGATATGAAATCCTAGATGGCATCTTCTTCTAATATAGGACTCTTTCATATACACTGAAAATCTGTTGTTTAGCATAGCCACCCTCATTCACAATGTTAGCTAGATCTTCTGGATAACTTGCTACAGCATCTGCACCAGCATTTCCTGCTTCACATTGCACTTTTATGTTATGGAGGTGACTTCTTTCTTTCAACCTCATGAATCAGTCTTTGCCAGCTTCCAACTTTTCTTTTGCAGCTTCGTCTTCTCTCTCAGCCTTCATAGAATTGAAGAGAGTTAAGGGCTTACTGTAGATTAGGCTTTGGCTTAAGGGAATATTGTTGAAACCTTCTCCATATCATCAATAAAGCTGTTTCACTTACTGATAATTTGTGTGCTTACTATAGTAGCACTTTCAATTTCCTTCAAGAACATTTTATTTGTATTCACAACTGGGCTGTTTAGTGCAAGAGATCTAACTTTCACCCTATCTTGACTTTTAACATGTCTTTCTCACTATGTTTAATCATTTCTAGGTTTTGATTAAAGTGAGACATGTGTGACTCTTCATTCCACTTGAACGCTTAGCAGCCATTGAGGAGTTATTAATTGGCCTGATTTTAATATTGCTGTTTCACTTACTGATATTTGTGTGCTTACTATAGTAGCACTTCCAATTTCCTTCAAGAACATTTTCTTTGTATTCACAACTGGGCTGTTTAGTGCAAGAGATCTAGCTTTCACCCTATCTTGACTTTTAACATGTCTTTCTCACTATGTTTAATCATTTCTAGGTTTTGATTAAAGTGAGACATGTGTGACTCTTCATTCCACTTGAACGCTTAGCAGCCATTGAGGAGTTATTAATTGGCCTGATTTTAATATTGCTGTGTCTAAGGGAATAGGAAAGTCTCAAAAGGAGGCGAGAGATAAGGGAATGGCCAGTCGGTGGAACAGTCAGAACATACATAACATTTATTGGTATAGTTTGCATTCTTATATGGGTGTGGTTTGTGGCACCTCAAAACAATTACAATAGTAAAATCACAGATCATCATAACAAATAATAATAATGAAAAAGCTTGAAGTATTGCACTGATTACCAATATGTGACACAGAGAGGTGAGCACACATGAAGTGAGCATATGTTGTTGAAAAACCGGTGCTGATATACTTGATTGATGCAATGTTGCCACAAATCTTCAGTTTATATAAAAAAATAAAACTGCAATATCTACAAAGTGCAATAGTGTGCAATAAAGTATGCCTGTATATTTATGGTGCACAATGTGTTTGAAACATATATACATTATGTCATTACCAGTTTCTGATTTAAATCCCTGTACTATATATATTGATTTGTAATTGCCCATGTTGACATGGCAGTATCATGGGCCATGATACTTTCAAAATAATTGTTTTATTAGTTTTGATTAAAGGGAAACTTTCTTTTTTTTTTTTTTTTTTTTTAGAATTCCATGACCTTTAAAGGTAAAAATTAATTCTCTCAGCTTAGTAATAGGAATAGAGACACAATCACACTGATATTTCACATGAGAAATTGTCGTTCTAGCATTTTTACTCTTTCCTTGAATAGTACTGTTCAACCATAATAAATTATCCTCCCCTTTGAATACGTATTTACCTTTGCATTTAGGGTAGGGTAAACTAAAGATTTCTTACTGACTTTTTTTTTTTAATCGAAAGAATCATTAGCAACTAAATCATCTTAGGATGTTGTTTGGCCTTTATCGTGCTGACCCAAAATTTTTGTTTGCAATGTCTTACTAACTTACATTGTCTTTGAAAGGAGTTCTCTGCTCAGTAATTGACAAGAATTCTCTGGGGGAGATAAAACCATAAACTGATGTTTAAAAAAATAAAAAGTAAGCCAGAAATGTTAGAGATAAGGGATCAACTGCAATTTCTGATTTGGTTTCCTAGCACCTAATTTCTATTTCTAGGCATGCGCAAACATCCCGTCCTAGTCTTACAGTGTTATCCTTATGTGCTATTTGTAATGAGGCACAGTAAGAATTTAGGTGGTCTTTGATTTATGATGTGTGCTATATATGTTCGTAATGATCTTTAAGTAAGTAGCATAAATATAACACTTTCTGTAGTGTCTGGTAATACAGTGTTGACAATTAGTGATGGGAGATACTGATTTAGATTACTTAAAAAGAACCTACATACTTTGAGATTAGTTGAAATTTTTACATCCACACATACTGATAGTATATGGAGGAAACTAAAAGTTTCCTACATGTGCATGTACATAGGACTCTAGACTTTATTTATTTTCTTATTTTTATCTCATGAATTAAAATCAGATGAACACATCTGTAATCTACCAATTTCTTAGTCCATTTATACTGCTATAAAAAAAACGCAGACTGGATAATTGATAAACAATTGAAATTTATTTCTCACGTTTCTGAAGGCTGGAAAGTCCAAGGTTAAGGTGCCGACAGGTTCATGTCTGTTGAAGGCTGCTCCCTGTTTCCAAGATAGCCCCTTGTTGAGATAGCCTCTGAAGAGGCCAAATGCTGCGTCCTCACATGGCCACAGAGAGGTAAAGAAGGGACTTACCCTCTCAAGCCCTTTTATAGGTTGCTGATCTCATACATACAAGCCCACTCTTATGACTTAATCACCTGCTAAAGTCCCCACCTTTGAATAGTATAAAGTTGGTGATTATTTTTCAACATAATGAATTTTAGAGGACACATTCAAACCACAGAAACCAAAATGGTAAGATTCAGTTGAAATTTCACTATCTCCATAGATCTGAGGGTCTTTAATCTAGCAAATATTGATATTTCATTTAGAAATTTTGTTGTATACTTTTTTACCCTTAATTTTATTATTTAACGCATTTTTATAATCAAATCTGCACAGTTTAGAACATATTCATATACAGTGTGCTGTTATTTTTTTCAAACATATGATATCTGCCTAGTTCATTTGAAGCACCTTATATAATTGAAACTCAAAGTAGCTGTGCTAGTATACAGTAGGTGGTTGAAAAGTGAAAAGAATCTCTTTTAAGTTATTTATTTTCACTACTATATTAAAGTGTAAAGGCAAGGGAAACACTTTAATACATATTGTAAAACTAAACTACTTAACAGAGTAAGTGCCATATAGTTAGGCCAGAAATAGATCCACTTACAGATAAAAATTTGATATATTGCTATATTAAATATATAGTAAATAGGAATTATGTATCTATAATAAAAAGCATATTCAATAAATGGCTAAGGGATAAGTGTCCAAAGGAAATAATATTTATGTCACCATAATCAATTCACTAAATAGTTAAACACTTGAATATTTTTATACTGCTGGATGTCAAAATTTAGGAAGCAGAGAAAACACAAAGAAGAAATAAACTTCAGGGAAGAAAGATATAAAAAATTGAGACATCATTTTCAGCAAATATGAAAAACTGTATAAATATTCATTACTTAATGGATTCATAAATACTGGAATATGTTAAAACCCAGAAGATAAATGGACAAAGACATGAAGTGATCATTATGAAAAACACAACTATGTAACTCCTCTTGTATTTCACATTTTCTTTACAGAACCTATTAGTAAGAATAAATCTAAAACATGAAGAAAGTTATAGGGATGTTTGTTTCAACATTATTTAAAACCGTCATATCCCAAACACCTAGGGGCCCATCAGTAGATAAATACTTAGGTAAATTATGTGTGTACACACAGACTCTTATGCAACCACTACCAATATTAGTCATTAGGACCATGTAAGATCGTGGCAACATGTGTACTGTTCAATGAAAATTCATCATTTAAAACAGGGAAAACAGTATAATTATAGCAAGGCAAAAGAAGAACACTCATGAAAAAACAATGAAAGTAAGTACTTCAAAATTATAAGGTGATTTGCATTATGAAGAAGAGACTGTGAGTATTTTTTTCTCATTTTTCTAGTCCTCAAATTTACTGTTACATGAACACTGCCTTTCAAATGTGAAAAAACGTTTAAGGTATAAAAAGAAGAAGAAGCAAATGTGCTTCTTTAGCTAGAAATACTCTAAAGTACATTTTACATTTTTTCAGCAGTAGTTTCATCCATTTTACTAGTTATTATTTTTCTTTTATTAAGACAAAGAATATTCAACAGGGGGCAAATGCAAGCATCTGTTTGGTTCTCAGGATTCCTACAGCTCTTAAATTATAAACTGAGAACTTATACTATATATAAGGCAAAATAGTTTAAAAGGAAAATTAATTCTAACAATGCATTTTACCAGTAAAATATAAAATAGGGATGAGTGTAAAAATCGAAATAAATGAAGAAATATGTCAGTCATAAAATTTCACCTTGGTGTTTCAACTCAGGCAATTCCTAGAGGGAAGAGTGGCCTCCTGACTCCATAGGAGGTATAATAAGTGCATGACCAGAGACTGCTGAAACCAATAAAAATAACCGTCAACCCACCACTTGTCTTTGTAATCACTCCATATCTTGATTTCCCTTGCACTATAAAATAGACTAAATATAGGCGAGTTCAAGAAAAAATTGATTTAAAAAATATGGCTCTTTTTTTCTGATTAGATTTCATAATTTATCAGAGACAAAATATCTCTACACTTCTTTGTCATACGAATCAACCTTGAGATATTCACCTTTCAGCATGTAGGTGAAATTTTAAATAGTCAGTATTCATCATTGCCATTAGTTATTGTAAGGTATAGCTTATTCCTCTCATTGGAAACAAAGTGCATTTCTTACCTGACCTCTGTGATTCTTAAACAATATTCATTTGAAAAGCTTGTAGACACCACTGAAGAGTGAAAATATCTACCTTTCTTATTTTCAGGATTTGATCACAGTAAAAATGCTTTCATTTGGGGAGATTCTACCTATATTTCTTGGATCACAATGATTCTGGAATCCTAAAGAGTTCAGAGTTTAGATTGCATATGTCTTTTCTTTTTTGACTTCTTTCACTTTTGTAGCTAACAACTTGATCGTAATGACTCAGTCCAAAAGAAATATGAACCTATTAGTTTTAGTGATCATGAAAACAAATGCTTGGTGAATTTTTTTCTAAAACATCAAAAAAATTTAAATTTTAGAATTGGAAGAGGTCTTGGAAAATGTTATCTAATTCTCACTCTTCACCTCACTAAAATTTTGAAAACTTTAAGTGATTTCCTAAAGGGACACAGCTAATTAGAGGCAGAGTTCTAACAGAAAACCCAAGTCTCTTGATTCATTTCCAGTGCTTTAACCAATATATTATGTTGCTATGTAGGATAGTTTAAATTCTAATTTTCCATGGTTAGTTTTAAAATACAATCATTTTTAAAATATACTAGTAAAACAGTTTTTGCTTTCTAAAAATAACCAGCTCTAAAAGGGATCTTTTCAAGCATTATCATTATTTTAATAACTGGTTTTTAAAACTATCAATCTGTATTAGTAAAATTTTCACTCAGAAAATTTGACTACAACAAAAATAACACTAAAAAAAACCCACTTCTACCACTACTGTCATCACTTAATATGGATCCTTTTCAAGAAATAAAATTATAAACTTTAATTGAAACTTTCTAAATTACTTCTAACTGATCTTCTAATTATATCCCATTCCTTAAAATAAGCAGATATTTAGCACCAATAGGAAATGCCTGTAGTGACAGTGAAACATGGTGTATATGAATCACCCATATAATGCACATAATAAAATCTTTGTGAATCACAATGTTCCCTTTATTCTATTCCCAAGTCTCTCAATTATAGGCATATCTGGAGCTACTAGTCCAAATATAATTGATTTAATAATAGATAGCTTAAAGCACAGTGAGATACAGTCATCCCTCAGTATCTGTGGGGAATGGGTTCCAGGACCCCAGAGATACCAAAATCCTCAGATGCTCAAATCCGTTATACAAAATGGTATAGTATTTGCATATAACCTAAGCATATCCTCCCCTATACTTTAAATCATCCCTAGATTACTTATAATACCTAGTATAATATAAATGCTATATCAAGAGTTGTTATACTGTAATTTTAAAAATATTTTTATTGTTTTATTGTTATTTTTTATTCTTCTTTGTTCCCAGTAAATTTGATTGGCCATTGGTTGAATTGTGGATGCAGAACCTATGGGTATGGAACTTGCAGATACAGAGGCCAGCTATTCTGAAGTGCTTTTAAAACATCATAAACTAAATAGCAGTGAGCATATTTTTTGTGTTATGTTCATATTAATACATGCTAATTTTTTGAATATATAATAAACTTATGACATTTTATTAATACGAATATTTGATGTCCCAAAACTTCTATATAAACCAGGGAAAGTTTATCGTGACGTATTTTTTTCCTAACATTATGTATTTACATTTTTTTTGAGTGTTGAAGAAGACATTAAGATGTTTAGGAGTATTTAAACTCTGCAATAACCCAGTTAAAATGAAAGCTCAGAGGTTTTCATTTTGTTACCTTTATTGTCACTTGAATATGGACTATTGACAGCTCACCATTTACAAGACATGCACAAAGACAGATTTATTATAATTTAGGTGTTGATCACTTTGGCTGGAGATTTTCTGTTATTAGAGTAGAATACTACATTTCAAACCAGCTATACAAGTTTTTTGTTTGTATTCACTGTCTCCATGAAGAATAATTTGAAACGAAAATTGAAGGCTTCTAATTTTATGCAGAGTGACAGCTATGTATTTCCATAAATGTATGAGCATTTTGACATGAAACTGTTATTTCTCATCCGAAGTCATAATTGTTCAGCATGAAAGTGGGCCATGAGAATGAATGATAATAATAATTTGCCTTTTTGAGATCATGGCATTAATAAGCATAATTTTCAGAGCTGCATATAAGCAAAAGGAGTTTGCCTGTAGACAGTATGACAAGACGGTTATTGGGAGGAGGGTATGTGAATTGCCCACCTTTGCAGCCATCTTGCCTTTCTGACCTTTCTTTCTGCGTAACTGTAGCCTCTAGCCAGCTACCTTCCACTGTTTTACTACAAACAGTGACAAAGAGAGCAAAAAAGAGGTCAGTGTAGGAATTCCAAGGAGTTAATACCTTTTACTACATAGCTCAATGGCATGACCATTTAGTTGTGACATGTCGTTTTTAAAGTAGTCTGTTTCCTTTTAAAAGAATCCCGTTGTCAAGAAGTAAAAAGGGGTTTTGTTGTTGTTAAATGATGTTTTAAAATCCTGTCCAATTTATGTTAAAGAAAGTACCTATGGAGGTTGAGACTGAAAGACAGTGATACATGAAAAGGAATAAAAGAACACAGCAAACATAAGGTCTGGCAACGACCATGATAGTTGTTTGCCTGCCAACAGCAGTAATAAGGACTAGTTGTACCGGTTGAGAAAGCTGTTTAATTCAGATGCATCCAAAAAATATGCATCCTTCAAAAGAGATACGGTGCATACATTTATACTTTAAGAAACACCACTGTGAACTTCAATCTTGAATGACTCAAAGAAAACGTTTAAATTCTTCAAGCTTACAGACATAAGAAAGAATGCAATAAATTGTGGGAACTGGTAGAGATTTTGCCAAAAATAAAGGGCCTTCTCTTTTGTGTATGTATGAGGGTGTGTGTGTGTGTGTGTGTGTGTTTAATTAGGTAAAATTATGTAAGTTCATTTAGGCTCTGCAGCATTTTCTGATGACCCAGTAATCATTTTCTGTTATCCCATTTAGCTGTTAAGAGCAATGAATAGAAATCTGAAACCAAAAGCCATTCCCTTTAAAATTCTACATGCATTAACTTGGGTTGCAGGAGGAAATTCCCTTATAAAAGTGAAGGTATTACCATTAACACAGAGAACTCTTTCAGTCGTTCAGATAATAATTCTGACTCTCATTTCTAGGACCTGTCCCTTCAGTTGTTTTGCAGCTAATGGTCAGAGGTTTGTTCAGAACCACCCACACACACTTGTTTAGTCCCTGGGTGACCAACAGAATGCATTTATGAGAAGGTTGGGCCGGAGACCGCAGTGTGTGCCTTTGGTACAGAGATTCTCTTTGGTGCAAAATCTATCTGGCCTTTATAGATATTGCATTAGCATCGAGCACAAAATGTTCAACTGCCTGACTCTTGAACCCTTTTCCCTGACCTCAAATGAATGTTTTCTGAAGATATAAATGTGTGAAAGGTGGTCATTTATATAAACCTGGAGAAATACAAGGAGATAGCATTGAAAGAAAATTGTTATTGCACTCTGATCTTGCAGGAAAATTGATTTATTATTATGAAATAACAAAGTACTCTTAAGGCTAAAACCTTTTTTGCCCTACTTCAACCTGACGAAAAGGTTTACCTCCTAGTTATAAACCCATCCATAGCGTGGTCTCTAATGGAAAAATCCGAGAGCTCCTTCACACATGGCAATAGGAGCCAGTGCTCTAATAAAAGCCTTCATTAAAATATGGTTGGAATCTATGTGGCATGGCAATTCTCAGCTACAAATTGAAAAAGAATTGGTTGCACCTGTAATGAGAGTTCAATTAAGTGATCTTGGAAAAAAGCTAGAAGGAAATTAAATATTGAATCCTTCATCATTGAGTGTTTATCTTGAAGGGAATAATGTATGGACTGAAGACAAGTGGAGATCAGCAGACATAACCTCTCCTGTGTTTATTCTTTATGGTGAAGGAGCTTGCCCTTATTCAAGCAAGGCACTTCTCTATCCACATTTAATTCTGTGGTAAAATAGGATAATACAAACCACATGTTTACTACAACATAGAGATGTCATACAGGTTGACAGGTAATGACAGCAAAGCACTCTGGACACAATGCTAATATTGTGCACTGTTCATTATTTGAATTATTGATCATGTGCAACGGCCTAAATAATCAAAATAGCAAATATATAGCCTGATCTCTCAGTTCCCAAGTGGAAGGATTATGGGCTGATAATCATATCCCCTTAGATTCTCTTTAACCTAATGTGATATTTTGTAAGACTTTCAAGCTATCTGCATAGTCAGAAAATCATTTTAGATATTTAGGCAGCAAAAGCCTCTTCACAGTACTGCATTTGGCAAGGTGCCATCCTAAAATAGTTCCTCTTTTCCATATGTGTTATGCCCTTTGCCCAGTCTACCTCCCTTCCCTTTTTGCCTAGTTTGGCCTTTATTCCTTCTTCTAAAGTTTCCAAACCCATGTTTTCCTAGCTGAGCCATCCACAAACCTTAAACTGTGAGGATGATTTACTCCTGGCCAATGTCCAGGCCCATTTGCCAACCTCCCTAGCACAACTCTAAAACTTACCAAGGCAGTGGATATGAGCGGCCACTGCTGAGGGATCCTTGGGACACTTCTCAAATCCAACATAATCAGATTTAGAAAGGTTGGGTCTTTCTCATACCCGGTGTTCAAAAGAAACCTAATGATACAAGAAACTCTCCAGCTCTGTCCTAATCAAGTCACAACAATGCCCATCATGCAGAAAAGACAAAATTGCTTCTAACACACTGCCTCACACCTTGCGGTGAGTAATAAATACTTGATGAATGAATATGCAAGAAAGTGCACTAAATGGCAGAAAGTATATTCCACAGCCAAGGTCACAGCAATTATGTTTCTAGAAGCAGGAGTCACAGGAAAAATAACAATCACCTGAATTACTGTTCTACTTAAGCACATCATTGAAATGGTTTTGTGTATCATGGAATCCTGATGCGTGAGAGAAGTCATCTATCTTTACAAGCATTTACTCCTGTTAAGTACCTATTATGTCATTAAAACAGAAACTTTGTCACGTATATTTAAGGTTTTTTTTTTTTTTGCATTTCCCTTATTTTTATGTATTTGTATGTTAAATCCTTTGTTCTGCTTGGGCCTGTGAAAACTTATTACTTTATAAGTCTCTGTGTGTCATATCCTCCAATAGATCCTGCCATCTCTGTTCTCTGTTTTTATTTTATGCAACTGCTTTTTCAGATATGTTGTGACCTTCGTAAATGTAGGTTGGGAGGAACAAAACATTATTAAGATTTTCCTATGTATGTTTTATATACATCATTTCCTTTTAACTTTCACAATAGCCCTGTAAGGTAAGGATCAGTAGCCCCAGTTTACAGATGAGAAAACTGAGTCTCAGAAAGTAGATCACTTCTTGCAGGCTAATATGTGTCAGCATCATATTCAGAACCAGGAAAAGAAGGCAAACTAAAAAAAAAAAAAAAATGACAGTTAAGAAATGAGGAATAAGAGATTATATTAAACTAACATTTTTAGCACTACCTACTGGAACACTGCCATGATATCCAATTGCCAGACACTCGTGGGGTTTCCATCCAGCTCTACATCCGAGTTATGATTCAGGAGCCACTGGGCAGGAAAATGTGAGGACACAGAGGAAGCTGACTGAAGCAGGTAGACGAGAAGAGGAAGTGAGGCATGCCAGAGAGGCACCGTCATAACCCCACAGTTAGGTTTTAACCTGACTTGGAAGCTATGTTGTCCCTGACAGCCATTGTAGTAGGTAACAATATTGTACTATCTTGGAGACTTGGGGAAGCCTTTTTTCCCCTTTTCTAATATCTAAAATTAATCTGTATTATAACTATGCATCTTCTGAGCCCTTGCCTCTTGTATACCTGCTAATTACATTAATATTTGAGCCAGCATGAGAATCAGACAGAAAACAGGTATCTCCTATCCACACTTTTGTGAGAAATCAGGCGCAGAAAATCAGGGGCCCTCTCATAGGCACCTCAAACCCAGCATATCTCAAATTGAACATGTTTCCAACTTCTAGCTAGTTATCCCTCTTTTTATGACCTTCCTAACTAAAGACACTCATCCATCTAGTCACCCAAGCCAGAAACCTGGATGTCAGCCATGGGAAGACAAAGAATTGTGGTGGTTAAGAGCATAGCTTTTGAAGTATGTGTATTCTGAGTTCAGTCACCGAGGTTTAGATTTCAGCTCTGATACTAACAATGTGACTTCGAGAAAGTTACTTTACCTTTTGAAGTCTCAGTTTTTTCATCAATAAAATGGTTGTATCAATCATACCTTTCTCATAGCACTATTGTACGGGCCATATGATATAATCCAAGTAAAGAGTTTAATAAAATAGCACACACGTATTAAGACACAGGAAAAATTAGCTACACTGATGACCATGATGATTAATGATGATGCTTGACTTTTTCCTCAACCATCCTTCACCCTAAAGGTCATCAAATCCTGTACATTCTAACTAAATACTTTCAGATCTTCACCTTGTGTCTATCACTTTGTCTTAGGCCCTAAATAATTTTTTGCATAATTATTATTGCATGGGCTCCTAACCTGTTTTTATTTTTTTTAACCTCTTACTTAACTCACCTCCCTTTGTCCTTCGTGTTGCCCCAGAAGCATAAATACAATTTTGTTTTCCTCTGCTTAAAATTCTGTGATAGCTTGCCTATCATTTGTAAATCCCAACCTCCTTTTTATGTCATCGCAAGTCTTGCATGTCTGCACCCTGAATACTTATGTTACAACATCTTTGGCCTCGTGCTACTCACATCCTTTATTCCCATTCACCTCTTCATGCCTTTTTTGTGACATTAATTCTAACTGAAATGTCCTGCCAGTTTGTCCAACTTTCACACTTTCCCTTACTCACTATTTCAAATCCCATGAAGCACCTTCACTTCCTCTTTCCTGCCATCCCTTGGGGTGAGCTTGTTGCTTTCTCTTTTATACAACTTGGGCTTGGTATTGACTTCCATTATAGCACTTATCACAGGGTGTTACAATTATTATTATAATAGCACTTATCACAGGGTGTTACAATTATTATTATCATCATCAACATCATATAGTTAGTGTAGTCCTACTAGAGGCCAACATCAAACACACTACCTAGCAAAAACCTAGGTCGAACCAATGAAGCACCGTGACTTACCAAGAGGTAAAAGGAAGGCAACCAAGCTAATTGCCAGGCATAACTCATCTCCAGAGACTCAAGTTGATAGGAAAAGAATACTCATTGGAAGCTTGCAAGTTTTCAACCTCCTGGGTTGGAGAAAGGAGTTTCTAAGTCATTCATTCTCCTGTATGATTTACATAAATTGAATCTTGCTTTTCTTTGATATTTATTAAAGATACAGTCTCATAGATACTTCAGGGTCATATAGTATATGAGTGTTCCATTGTTTCCATACCAATTACCTCAAACTTAAACATTTTTAAATGTTTAAAATAATAAATTTCTTTTCTTTTTTTTCTTTTTCTTTTTTTTTTTTTTTGAGATAGAGATTTGCTCTTTTTGCCCAGGTTGGAGTGCAATGGCAATGGCACATTATTGGTTCACTGCAACCTATGCCTCCAGGGTTCAAGTGATTCTCCTGTCTAAGCTTCCCAATTAGCTAGGATTATAGGTGTGGGCCACCACGCCTGGCTAATTTTGTAATTTTAGTAGAGACAGGGTTTCACCATGTTGGCCAGGCTGGTGTCGAACTCCTGACCTCAAGTGATCCACCCGCCTCGGCCTCCCAAAGTGCTGGGATTACAGGCATGAGCCCCCTCACTCGGCCAATAAATTTATTTTCTTATAGTTAAATAGGTAAAAAGTCTGACACAGGTATCACTGGGCTAAAATCAGCGTATTACAAAGACTGGATTTCTTACTGCAAGGTCTAGGGAGAATCTGTTTCCTTGCTTTTTTGGTGCCGGGAGGGGGGGAGTTGTTGATCTAATAATTCAGTTTCTTGTAGTTGTACTACTGAGGAGAGTCCCCAGCTTCTAGAGGCCTCCCACATTCACTTTGTATCCTTCCAGCCTCCTCTTTCCTCTTGCATCTCTCTGAACACAGTCCTTTTAAGGACTGATATGATTAGACTTGATCCATCTGAGTACCACATCTGTAAAGTCCCTTTTTCTATGCAAGGTAATATAGTCACAGGTTCTTGGGAGATACTTCATGATTTTATTACAAAGGCATCAAGATGCTAGCAGGTGATGATCTCTACCAGGATTGCCCGGAAAGGAAAGCAATGAAACTAAAACTTGGGGAATCTTACTGTGAGGCAAAGAGAAGCCAAAATATGGTAAAGATTTTTAAAATATTTCCTTTCAGACACCATATAACAGGGTACTCAGAGAACTCAACCTGAATGGAGACACTCGACTTCCCAGTGTCAGAGACTTTTATTCTATGTTACCAGGAGCCTCCTAGCTTCCAGAAAGACCAGAGACCAGTAATCATTTGGTCCTTTGAATGATAGACAGAATAATTTTCCCCAAAGAAGATCTCACAGAGAAGGAAAACTTGGCAGCTTCCAAGGACCCTTTTTTTTTTCTTTTTTGAGACAAGAGTCTCACTCTGTTGCCCAGGCTGGAGTGTAGTGGCATGATCTCGGCTCACTACAACCTCTCCCTCCTGGGTTCAAGCGATTCTCCTGTCTCAGCCTCCCAAGTAGCTGTGATTGTAGGCATGTGCCCCCACACATGGCTAATTTTTGTATTTTTAGTAGAGATGGGTTTTGCCGTGTTGGTCAGGCTGGTCTCGAACTCCTGACCTCAGGTGATCTGCCCACCTTGGCCTCCCAAAGTGCTGAGATTACAGGCATGAGGCACCGCACCTGGCCTCCCCACACCTGGCCTCAATGACTATACTTTTCCTATCAACTTGAGTCTCTGGAGATGAATTATGCCTGGCAATTAGCATGGTTGCCTTCCTTTTACCTCTTGGTAAGTCACCATGCTCCATTGGTTCCACTCAGATTTCTGCTAGGTAGTGTGCTTGATTTTGGCCTCTAGTAGGAATACACTAGCTATGTGATGATGATAATGATGCTTATAATTGCAACATCCTATGATAAGTGCTTCTTAATCTGTTTCCAGTTTCCCAAAAGATCTGCTTTGTGAAGTCCTCATGGGGGAATCATTCTGCCCATCATACATAGGACCAAATAATTACCGTCCAGCTGATCCTTCTGTGAGCTAGGAGAATCCTGATAGTGTAGAATAAAAGTCTCTCTGGTTCTGGGAAGTAGAGTCTCTCCTTTCAAATTGAGTTCTCTGAGCACCCTGTTGTGCAGTGTCTGTGAAAAGGCTAGGAATAGACTTACATTTCTCCTGTAGCAGTTTTAGAATTGCTTGGGTGAGTTCTTCATGCCCTGGGAAGGCATTTTACTTTCATAGTGTTTATGAACTTATTTGACATTTGTTAGTTTGATCCTACAAAATATGAGCATCTGGAGCAAAGTTGGTGTATGCTTTATTAGCATATATTCTCTGACAGTACCTTTACTTTTTCATTCTCTTCTCCATCCCAGTCTCTGGTCACAGTTCTCATTCATACCATAGATGCTGACATGCTTCATTTTAAAGTGCCAGCCAGCCCTGAAATCTCCAGCTGTCTCAATGCCACCTCCTTATCTAGCACCACTCCCATCCGCTCTTCTCACCCAATCACCTTTCCCTCAGCTAGAGACCTGGACTCTCAATTATCATTTCATTCAAATAAATTGTCTCTTCCTTGCCACACTCATTGTTCCTTTTCCTTGAACTTGACTGTCAATTAGTGATCACAAACTGCCCTGATTACCACACTTACTACTAAACACATCCCTCAACACCTCACTATAAACTACTCTTGTTTCTTATTCAACCTGTTTCCGGGGTCCCAAAAGGTGTTCTTTGTCAGAACCAGTGTTCTTTCATCCAGAAGTAAGTATCTTTCTTCCCTTTCAAATTTAGCTACTTTCTTCTTCAAACTCTCTATTCCACTGATCCCATGATTGTTTACATATGATTAAAATCTTCACCACATTTTTCACTCTTTTGCTGGGCAATTAAGATTCCCCAAGATTCACTTTCACTGATTTTCTTTCCAGGCAATCCCGCTAGAGATCATCACCTGACTAGCATCTTGATGCCTCTGCAATAAAATCATAAAATATCTACTATCTTCCCAAATATCCATCCCATTAAATTAAGATAGTAAAATTTGGTATCTTCCCTTGAAGAGGACATTGACATATTGCTATTGCCTTGTTTAGTTCCTATAAATATATCATTCAACAAACAGCCTGCACTGATGTCCTCTGCAGTTTTGTAGAACCAGAAATTGAGATCCAAATATGAATAGCTAAGGTTAGATGAGTTGTTGAGCTACTAAGTGTAGTCTCAGTCAGCAGTAGGCCTAGCTTATCCCAATATAAGCAATTTTACTTTTGGAGTAAAATCCAATGACAATTTACATTTTGATCTCATTATGTCTAGGTTAGGTAAAATGTTATACTGATACCCTCATTTGGATGTAAAACAAATAAGGCATTCTTGTTCTAACTAGTGAAGGCAAGATAAACAATAGATATCTTATAAGAGGAAAGTCCTGTTCACTGAACCAGATAAGCTTTAGGGACTCAGTTCTACAAGTAAGCCATAGATTTCTTCTCTCCTTGTCATGAACATCTACCACTCATGTTACAAATCAATACTAATAGAATAGCATGGTGTTCTTGCCCCCTTTAGACTACATGAATCATTGCAAACAATCAGATTTGCATTTGTAAAAGCCATGGTGTACTGTAAAAGTTAACACTGGAAAAATTAAAGAATTCAAAAGCCACATGTAAAAGAAATGCTTTTCTAGATTATACTTGAATTATCATGATTCAATAGCAAAAAAAAATCCTAATAAAAGTTTCTGTCTTGAAAATTAGCTTTCACTGACATTTATAAATGGTAATTTCTTTACTTAGGCATCTCCCTATTACTTGTAACAATTCTAAATTTTGCTAGTGTTAAGACCTTGAATTGTAAGTTGTCCTGAAGATGTGCTTTAAATTCAATGTTTTTGCAATCTTTCAATCATTGAGATAATTTCATTTTATTGTGGAAATATACAATTTTACAGAAAGTAAACATAGGAAAGAGTTTTGATGTTCAGTTTCTCTTTTAGATATCAGGAAAAAAATACTGCAATTTCTTAGTACCAGGCAGTGAGGTGCTGAAGCCAGCTCATTTTGGCTTTAAAAGGCAAATCGTGTGCATCTCTTCCCATTGTGCATTCAGAGATGTCACTGTGGTTGCTAGAAATAGACCATGTCAAGGTATTCACACCATAGAAATGAGTAAATGCTCCAAATCAGGGCTTTTCATCCCAGAGACCTGGTATTAAGCATTAACCAGCATACTACTGGTATGGCATGTTAACATACACACAACTTCTATAACAATGTAGTAGCTTCTAGCTCTGGGGAGCCAAATGGACTGATTGTTGTTGCTGTTGTTGGGTGTGTATGTTTTACAGTTAACTAGGGACTTATTCATTTCTGTAGTAAAACTGTCACTATTAACTGTGAATCCATTTTTAGTAGTAGGATTGTATGCTACTTTGACAAGGTACCAGCTACAAATATTCCCTGTAATAAATGGAGTATCAGCCACAGGATCAACACACTTTCAAAGAGACCTCATAAACTACATTGGATTAAAGCTGTCCCAATGACTTTAGACAAACTTTAAAGGAAAAAATGAAATTGTTTTGCGGACCATTCAGATACAGCTTTAAGAGAACACCAAAACAATAGCAATAATAAAAATGAAGTTTGATCTGGGGTAAGGAGTTAGAGTTCTTTCCAAGAATAATAAAATTATTTGAAAATGTTAAGTGTTAAAGTAATTAAGTTCAGAGACAAAATGATAAACATGTACATCTCTGGATCTTTTAGAAAAATAATACAAGCAAGAAGCCAGTTTTATTCCTTCAACTTTTCCTCCAGTGTACCATTCCCACCTCCATCAAACTGTGGGTTCTATTATTTTAGCAAAGGCAGAAAGCTTTAGAGGTTTTGGGGTAAATACATTTTAAAAACCTAAAATGGGATCTTAGATAGCATAAATTTGTTGAACTTGATATAGAGTCAGAGCAATTAACACATTGAAAGTTTTTCAAATTAGTAAAAAATTTTTCAGACTGACTTGCATTAGTCGACTATACTAAATGTTTTTAAGAAAAATTTGGAATAAGCGTAGAACATTTTTTAATGAAACTTTATCATTGAGAACATAGATAAACCTTGGCAATTTTTTAAACCAATTCTCGTTAAATGAGTCTAGCTAGATTAAACAAGGGCTTGGCAAACTATGACCAATAGGCCAAACCTGGCCTCCTAGCTGATTTATACAGCCCCTGAGTTAAGAATGATTTTTATACATTTTTAAATGGTTGAGAAAAATCAAAAGAATAGTATTTTTGTCATGTGAAAGTTACAGGAAATCCAAATTTTCCATTAATAAAGTTTTATTGGAACACAGTTTCACCCATTCTTTTACGTGTCATCTATGCTGCCTTCAGGCCACAAAAGCTGTGTTGAGTAGTTATCAAACATTATATGGCCTATGAAGCCTGAAATATTTGCTATCTGCTGCTTTACAGTGTAAGTTTGCTTGCCCATGGACTGAATGACACTTATTTTTAATTTGGATGTTTTAATTCCTTTTCTTTAACTTGAATCAAATTCGAGATCAACAATTTTCTTAAGGATATTAAATAGCTACATGTTAATTATGAAACATGTAAACAAAGAAATAAATGATGCATATGCAATCAACTGAGTTCATAAGAGATAATGTGTTCAGATTTTCCTTTTTCCTTTCAATCATCTCCAGCCAGAGGCTGTTGAGCAGCTGGTGAATCTTCTGCTTCTCCTCACCAGAACAGAGAGGACAAAAGGGCAAAACTTTGGAGCTATTAAAAAGAGGGTAGCAAAGATAATGCTCAAAACAGAGAAAATAAAAAGAACTTATAATTATATTGTGTTCTATTTTTGAGTGCTAAAAACATTAATTTGTCAAATGTATGCTTTAAAATGTGCCAAGTTTTATAAACTCTGTTTTGTTACTACTTCATTTTTTAAATACTAACAACTTCCAATGATTGGAATTAACTGGACCTTCTCAGGGCCTGACCATAGCTTTGGGTGCATCTGTTACAGTAGAGATGTGAATATACCCTAATATCATTGCCCTGCTGATATGCAAATTCAGGTAACTAACCAGAGGAAAAGAAAGTAATTATTTCCAGATGAAGACTGGCCAAACGTAGACAGAAATTGATTTTGAAAACTCATGGATTTTTTTCCATGAATCCCTTTAATTACTTTTCTTATACAGTATTACTAAATATGGTTTTGAATAACTCTATCTCCATCTCTGTTCTTTTTAGTTTTTCATAAGAATGGGAGCAGAGAAAAAGGGAATTTAACTTCCAATTTTTAATAGGCAAGATTTACTTAAGATTATCTATTCAAAAATCAAATGGCTTTGAGTTCTTCAGAGTTTCAGGGGAAGACGGTCATGCAAAGTACAAAGATCCAGAGAGAAACCTATTAACACTGGGATGGGGCAAAATTTATTTTCACCAGTAGAGTAATCCTAGAATGACAGTAAAACAATTAAGGCTTAATTATCATTTGTTCAACATTTTACCCTGATAGAACCTCTGGTAGGGGAGCATGTGTTATACTGACATGGCGGGAAAGAAAACTAGCAATTATGAAATGACGTTTTCAAGGTCACAAAAGTGATAACTAATATAGCCATGTTTAAGGCCAGGTCCTCTGACTGGAAACTCGTGTCTTTTGGAACTGCTGTTTAAGAAAACATCATAGAGTTCAAGAAAAGCACCTAAGAATACTCTTAAGACTTTTTTGATCATCTAATTTAAATAATCTTTACTTAATGTTATTTGGCCTATAAAAAGCTAGAATATAGATTTATTTTTTCTCACCTTCCAAAAAAATCCCTTTACTAGTGTTTGTCATGGAATTGAGATTAATAATGCATTAGGAGTTCACATATATATGCACTCCTTAATATGTGCATGTGCGTGTAATCCTGTAACTGCAGGAAGGAGATGAGGAGTACAATTAATACATAGACAAGTTTCTGAAACCAGTAAATAAAACAATAGAAATATAAATAGAATATTTGAAAAACTAGTATTTTTTTTGGGGGGGTGTGTGTGTGTGTGTTTAAAAACAGTGGCTTGGCATTTCTCTATGGCATATTAGATTTGGATAATATAAAATTACACTTAAATCTGTTTACAATCTCATTTTGGAGTTTATTCCATTTGTTAGCTGCCACTAAAGAGTATTTCTTATTTTGCTTATTCAGGGTATGCATATTCTGTATGTAAGACTTCGGTATGTATGATCCTTATTTCTAAGATTGCATACAAAATGATAAAGGATTATATTTTGCAAAACTGAAGTATAAAATAGTAATATCTCTCTTTGTGGTACTCAAGACATCCTGATTTGATAATTTCATTTTGGAAACTTTATTGGGAAATGATCTGAATTTACACAGAACACTTAATTTCTTTTTCGAGAACAGGCCTTAAAATGCTGTTGAATTTTATTGATTTGCTCTGAGAATCACTGCACTGCCCTTCAAGAAATCTGAGCTGAATTGAAAGGACGTACTGCAGTTGCTGTGTCAGAGTCAGAGCCATTTGTCTCACAACATTACACTGTATATATTGAGACTTCAGACACATTTTGCTTGTCTAAAATACAGCTTTTATATTTAAGCCATTTTAATGGCAAGTTAGTATTAAAACTGACTATTGGATCTTCTGATGTGGATTTTATTATTAGTACTTTGCTTGGCATCCAAAATTTGGTTCCCTACACAGATAGCCCTTGACGGAATGTTATTTGATTATCCAAATCAGTACTCACACTTTTTCAAGAAACCTTGAAGAAAATTTAGTTTCCCGCACTCTGCCACATCCCATACTCCTAACTTCTTTTAGCTTGAATACTTTTTCTTTACTTTTTCCAGACCTCATAGTTTTTCCACTCCTCCTGGATAGGATCCATTAAAAGGAGGTGAGTTCACTTAGAGGTCACAGCTTCTGTCTGTTGTCTTGACCTTTCCATAGGAATACACACATGACTGGCCCATGTCTTACTTCCTCAACTGGTGAGGATTTCAGAATTGACATAGAAATAGCTTATGTTTGAAACAGAAAATATGATTTTTAAGAGAGTTTATGTAAGGATTTTAAAAATGTGATATCCCAGAGTTACAGGTCAACCTGATTTCATATAGCAACATTTCATGATAGTTATTCTTACGTAGAGTTTCTCTCCACAATATGGAATAATTTAAGGTTACATTTATCATTACACATGACCTTTGAGTAACCTGTGGCTACTCAAACCAGTTTTTAAGTTGGCAAGCCTCTGGCAACTATATGCTAATATTTGATTGTGGTTATTTCAACAGACTTTATAGCCTTATTCTTTTTTATTACTTAGAGAGAATCATAGAGTAGGCATGGAATAGTGAATTTTGGTTTATTTCTGGGCCAAGAGAGAACATGATTATAATTAGATGAGACTATAACTATTCTGTGAGCCCACAGCATTAAGTCTAGAGATCATACCAGGAGCATTCATTTAGCAAAAATGCATTTTGTGAACTACTGTGTGCCAGGCACTGTTTTGATGCTAGAAACAGCATCAAAGCGAGGCTTAGTACTTGTATTAAAGAGGTCTCATGGGGTGAAACAGATAAACACAATAAAAGTACCATGTGTTTACTGCTATAATCAAAATGCTATAGGAATTTGAGGGCTTACCACCCAACTTAGCTTTGGTGTGTCACAGCATTCTATGCAGATGAATAGCACTGTAAAGTTCTGGAAAAGTTTAGCATGAGGAAGGGACTTGTGAAGTAAACAGCAGACAGGTCAGAAAAGGCATTGAGTGTTCTGTTAGGAATTCATACTGGGGAAAAAGGGATAGCATTGATGGGCTTTTTGGAGGGTAATGGCCTCATTAGATCAGATCGGCAGTAATCCAGGAGGAAGACTGGTGATTGGATCTAAGGAAAAGGGATTAGCATGGGGAGGAGAGGATGATCAGGAGAGAGAACAGACCAGACTCAGCTACTGACTGAATGAAGGGATTGATGGAAGTGGAGTACTCAGGGTCAAGAATGGTGTGGACAGATGACAAGCCTTTTACCTTTAGTCATATATGTGTTATGTTGAAGAGTTTTTGCATGGTAAAGATAATTTAATCTTTGTACTTTGATTATCTGAAATATATTTATGTAAAACATAAACATGTTTCTCTCAATTATTTAACAAGTAATGCTCTATACTACTGCATTTTCCTATTTGTTACTAGAGGTGACAGATGGAAGCTGCAGATTGGGAAGAAGTGATTAAACAGTGAGAATAATCTATTGGTGAGGCCAGGCCTACATATCAAGGTAGCTGTGCTCAAGGTACAGAATATAGAAGAGAGGGTAGGAAGGTATACCTGCGGGCAAGGAGCTATGGAGGGCCTCCTGAAACAATGAAGCGATTGCTGAAAGCTGGGACAGTTAGTCTTCTATTTTAAAGTCTCAAATGAGAGTTGGTGTCAGTCTCAGCCAAATTCCTTGAAATACTGTCATATATTTCAGGGAGCTGTAAGGAGATCTTTTATTACATCCTTTCAAATCCTGATGTGCCCTCTAGAAGTTGGCTTTAAAATACTTGTAGTCTTTTTTCCCCAGCACAGACTCAGAAGGCTCTTCTTTTTTTTTTCCATTTCCAAGCAGCTACAAAGTTTACTGTTGAAGTAGAGGTTTACTTTTCTAAGAAATTTTTGAAGGACTTTTATATTACAGTACAATTTAAACTTTTAAGAACTTTGTAATAGATTCAACTTACACGACTGTGGGCTGTCAATTTATTTTATTATTTGAAAAGTCAAACTATCAATGGCTTTTGGTTTGCATATAAATTCTTTTGGGTTCCTTTTGTTTCATTATTGCATGGGCTTTTTAAAATAAAAGAGGTATGATGTAAATATCTCCCTTTCTCATTTTTTAATCTCTCCTTTTATCTCTCCTTTCTCCTTTCCAATTTCAGTTTAGCAAAAAATTACTCTTGGGCTAGTTACATTTAAGGCATTGTGCTAGCTCTGGAAAGACAAACAACATAGGAAGATATCTCTAGGATCAAGGGGTTAGAATCTCTTTGTCCTGGCTTCTCTCTTCTTAACTTTCACCTCTTTCTATTTTGCTTAATTTTTCTTCCTTTTTTTTCTCCTAAATGGAGTATACTTTTGCTTATATGTGAAGATAAAGGGTTTTTTTTTTTTCATTTAGTTTCAAGTGCATAACCACAAATATGTGATAAATAGGCCTATTGAATGTTCCCATTTCGGTATGGCAGCTGGAGGAGGATATGGAATAATATCTTGAGAGAAATATCCATCCTAATGTCTTCAGAATTTCAGGGGAAGAGACACTCATATTCTTTTCTGGGTCACTTCTGTTTCTAAGAGGGAATGCCTTAGACCAGCTCTGACCATACAAAGATATGTTTGCATTTATGATTCTGCTTGCTGGTCAACAAAGCGGTGGTGATAAGATTTGACAGAAAATGCCAACAGATACAGAACAAGAACAAGTTATTTTCAGGCAGGTAAAGGAAAAGCTTACAATAGCACACGCTGATTATACAAGACTGATGATATTGCAGTGTTCCAAGGGAGAGGGCCAACCTGCCCTGGCTATCCAGGCCCATAAAGAGCCTTATATTGCTGCTTCTGTCCTCTTCTTGAGGTGAGAATCTTATCAAAATTTTGGAAAAGCTCCTTTTTCTAGTTTCATGGGTTTTAAACCTCCGTGGCTCCTCCTGACAAAATTCTGGCTACCCGCCTGATGCAAAGAACTGGTAACAATTTCACTATTTCCCTGTCTGTTTGCCTGAGTTCTCTTTCCCATGTGGACTATCGCCATAGCAGGGTAGGGCCTTGGACCTGCCAGAGGTCTAGTCCCACAGATTCCAACTTCTGTTAGTTTTTACAGATGAATGGCACTGCAAACTCTTGTTATTTGTTTATTCTTGTTTTACACACTTTAAATTTGCAACTTCAGCTGAATTGTTAAAAAGACTCTAGAGTGAGGAGAGCCAAAGGGTCCATATTAGCTTCCAACCCCAATTTGTACTGTCCACTTAAAGCAATACGTTAAGAAAGATTTCAAGGCTTCATGCTGGTTCACTGAGAAAGAGCTCTGGTCCATCATGTATTCCACAGACAAGGGAAGGGAATAATGGCATGCATTCCTGACATTTCCTTTTCCTGGTCTAGCACCATCCTAAATCTTTAAGAGAGAAGAGAGACCTCTCATGTGGCCCTCCCTTGAGCATACACTGGCCTGTTGGATCTGGCTGTGAGTTATATTCAGAGACCTGCCAGGGACAATGGATGTGATAAGAAATACATCACTTGGGGCATTTCAAGCAAGCACAGAAATGTTTGGTAAAAATAACAGAAGACATGGATCCAGCAGCACTTTCCCTAGCAGGTTTGCCTCTATAACTGCAAAAGAAGTCTCAGGACATAGCCTTTCCTTGAAGCAAAATGTCTGTCACTGAATGGTAGGATTTGTGGGGTTCTGACAACTCTTATCTAACAGAAATAAAAATCTATTTCATCAGCTTGTAGGTAGTCCCTGAAATTTAATCACGGGGGATGTATTCCTGTAGTATACTAGGAGATTGAGGTCTACTGCATAAACAGAATGTAGAATTAAAGAACTCTTGGACCAAGAACAGACACAAGGGCGATGGATTTTAATACTATTGTTTTCTAGTTGAGGAAACAAAGGCAACTTAACCAATAAATTCTCTTTAATTTCAAGGGGAAAGAGAACCACTATTTATTCACTGTAGTTACTGTAGATTGTTTTA
This sequence comes from Homo sapiens, assembly GCF_000001405.40. Lineage (NCBI taxonomy): Eukaryota > Metazoa > Chordata > Mammalia > Primates > Hominidae > Homo > Homo sapiens. Next base: position 173,906,120 of record NC_000003.12, read on the forward strand.
TAGATTAGGAAACTGTAGAGAGTTTAAGTATTGTGTTTAACATCATGCAGCTAAGTTAGTGCCACAGTCAGAATTTGAATCCAACTTTATCTGGGGCCTAAGCCTGTGTGCCCTTTGCACTGGATCGTATTGCTCTTTTTTATTAGCATTTTTTCCATCCTTTCTCCTCCCTGTCCCACTGACTTGCTGTATGTATATCTTACTCTACTGAAATCTGATCTCTTCTACTTTGGATCTTAGTAAGATTCTGATAAACTAATTGATAATTTATATTAATAGTTGATAAAACTCAATGCCTTATGGCCTTTATTGTGTACCTACTTTGGGATAGTCTCTAAGGATATAAAAGAGATATCACCCCTGCCCTGAAAAATTCCAGAGTAGCACTGTGCTGCCGTCTATCTAATCAACCCATCACATTTTTGTAAACAAATTTGTGATAAAATTATTACTATATTTTTCGCCTTTCCCACGATGGAGGCAAAACAGTGGGTGATTCTTTGGGCTATTTCAAATCTACTTTTTCTATAACACTATATTTCTTTCCCTTCTGTGTCCTTTTTTAAATTAAATATTAAAAATGTTAGCCAGGCATAGTAGGTGCACCCGTAATTCCAGCTACTCAAGAGGCTGACACAGGAGGATCACTTGAGCCTGAGTTCCAGGCTGCAGTGTGCTATGATCGTGCCTATGATTAGCTACTGCACTCCAGCATGGCTAACATAGTGAGACCTCATCTTTAAACAAACAAACAAAAACAAAAAAAAAAAAAAAAAAAGAAAGGGAAGTCCACGTTACTGAGGCTCTCTTTAATTAATAAATGCTTGAAAAGGTCTTTGTAAGCCTCAAATACTTACAAAATAAATGGTAAAGTATCTTCTTCTATGGGTTTGGGCATTTTCCTGCAAGAAACAGTTGAAGATCTTCCCAATCTCCCAGGCCTGGTAGTCATTTTAAAACTTAAAGAAGTATAATTGGTGACATGAAATATCCACATCTTATTGTTGCTGGTCAAGCTTAGAAGGCAGGAAAGAGTCAAAACTCAGGAAGCCTAAAGCTCTGCTTCGTTATAAAGAAACGCCACCACCAGCACTTCTCACATTTCTTTTGGAAAGAATATTTAAGTGTAAGGATATTTTCCTCAGCAACTCCTTGTTATTCATATCAAAATGTTATGTCAAGTTGATTTCCTCTTACCGTGAGGCATCACTTAAAATACCTACCTATAGCTATGTCCAGTTAGTGGAGAATACTTCATTTGTTGTATTTCCAAGAGTCCAGGATTCTACAGAGAATTTTTTCAGAGTTAAGAACAAGCACTCTACTTCCCTATTTCCCTACATTTCTGTAGTAGAGCTGAGTCCTCTTCTCTCTTCTTATCACATGTAGAGAGTTGTTAGGGACTATAAAGAAATGAGGATCCAGGAGAAGGCGTATCTTAGATGGCTTTATCTCTCTCTCTCTTTTTTTTTTTTTTTTTTTTGAGTTGGAGTGTTGCTCTGTCGCCCAGTCTGTAGTGCAATGACATGATCTCAGCTCACTGAAACCTCTGCCTCCCAGGTTCAAGCGATTCTCCTGCCTCAGCCTCCTGAGTAGCTGGGATTACAGGCATGCTTCACCACCCCCGGCTAATTTTTGTATTCTTAGTAGAGACGGGGTTTCACCATGTTGGCCAGGCTGGTCTCGAACTCCTGACCTCAGGTGATCCACCCGCCTCAGACTCCCAAAGTGCTGGGATTACAGGTGTGAGCCACCACCCCCGGCTAATTTTTGTATTCTTAGTAGAGACGGGGTTTCACCATGTTGGCCAGGCTGGTCTCGAACTCCTGACCTCAGGTGATCCACATGCCTCGGCCTCCCAAAGTGCTGGCATTACAGGCGTGAGCCACCACGCCCAGCAGATTGCTTTATCTCTTTTACCTTTCAATCTACTGTAGAGCTCAAAGAGAAAACAGGACAACTTTTATAAAAATATTGATTACTGCATGTTAGTTAAAACTCTAAAAATAAGGCACAAATAAGGGACCATTTATACCAAATAAACTGGAAAAAATATGTATTTAAATGGTAATACCTAGGCTAGTTTGATTGCAGTAAAAACATCACACGTATCTAGTGGTTCTTAGCCCAGAATGGTGCATTAGAACCACCTGGGGAGTTTTTGCAACTTACCAATACCAACCTTCCACCTCTGCCTCAAATTCTTAGTGATGGAGTAAAACAAAGGATGCTTTTTGAAAGTAATTTTTATAATATCTTTAAATAGCCACACAAAAATGTTTGCATTTTCAAACCTCACAATCTCACTTGTGGTAAGATATCTTTATAAAACTGGAAATTGGGAAAAAGCTGCATGAGAGAAGCTCAGAGTTGTTTATTATATTTAAAATTTTAAACAGCCAAAATCTTGAATGTGCAATATAGTAATTTCTATCCCCATCACCCCACACTCACTAATATAACAGCACCTAGTTTTAAAGTCTGTCTAGTGCAGAGCTGACTATGAAATCAGGCATGGTACAGCCTACGTGTAGCAACATCTATAACTCTAGTGGGGCTGGCAAACTCAGGGGCAATTAATACTGATGTAATTGTGGAAATTACATTAAAAAATAGACACTGCTTATAAACAACTAGAAGGAAATAGAGAAAAATAAAAATAATTTGGCTTGTTGAGATGATGGCATTGCGTTATTTTTCTTTCATTTTGAATTCTGTTAACATAATTTTGATGTCTATAAAAACATTTTTAATGGGGACTATTGGCAGGCTAAAGATGTTTTTAGCTTTATTAATTTATCTAAAGATTGAAATGTAATAACATCAACTGGCCAGACTCAAGTAGCTTAAACCCAGTGTCTTAAGAATCATTAGTCTTTCCCTATCACAAAGTATCCCTCTCTACCAGTGAGGTGGAAAAATGGATCATTTTTCCATTACTGGCAAACATTTGTATTAGAACATTGTCTCCCAAGATTAACATTATTCATTTTAAGGAAATAACTAGTATGAATTGTATTCTATTAGCTAGTCACTAAGTCAGGAAGTCCTTGCAGAACGATGCAAGGAAAGTAAGATTTGGTTTCGGGGGAGGTTCAGTTAAGATAAAAAAAAAGCCCAGACAATGGCATTTGGCACCTAGAAGAGAAAAGCAACCTGAACTTCAATTTAACCCTGGGCTTAGCCATCTTTTTTATGATAAATTTTCCCCGGGGACCTACACTGCAGATCATTCTTTATCATAGGACTTTCCCAAACAGAAGCATCTCATCCTTTGGGGCTTTCCCTGAAAAAAGTTTAATTCAAATAGGGATTTGTGTGTATCCTATGCCAGGCACAGTCACAGTCCCTGGTGTCCTAGACCTTACAATTTGAAATGAAGACTCACTTGTTCAATTTCCACTATTGAGCAATCAGCTTGCCTGGAGAAGCTAATGGTTGCTGGTAGATTATATTATTTTCTCACCTTTCAGTGGTTACATTTAAGTATGGACTTCTCAAGGGAAGCTTCATTGCAACCACCCTCCCCACAGCATTTATTTATTTATTTATTTATTCATTTACTTATGTATTTTTTGAGATGGAGTCTTGCTCTTGTTGCCCAGGCTGGAGTGCAATGGCATGATCTCGGCTACCGCAACCTCCACCTCCCAGGTTCAAGTAATTCTCCTGCCTCAGCCTCCTGAGTAGCTGGGAATACGGGCATGTGCCACCACGCCCAGCTAATTTTGTATTTTCAGTAGAGACGGGGTTTCTCCACGTTGGTCAGGCTGGTCTCAAACTCCTGACCTTAGGTGTTCCACCCTACTTGGCCTCCCAAAGTGCTGGCATTACAGGCGTGAGCCATCACACCCAGCCTCCACAACATTTCTTATAGTGAAGGCATGTTAGGTCAATGGGGGAGAGATTTGCTAACCCAAGAGTCTCTAATATTAAACCCTAAACTCTCCTCAGACTTTATTCCAGGCACTTGACACTACTGGGTTGTTCATGCTCAGTTTCTTTCTTCTCCTTCCTGATCGTTGGTAGAAGTTTCAGAGGATGCAGTGCTTCTCAATACTAATGTGCACACAAATCACCTGGGATCCTGCTAAAAATGCAGATTCTGCTTCATCAGAACTGGGATGGGGCTTCAGATTCTGCAATTATAACAAGCCTTTTGATGCTGCTGCTTGTGTTGTTTATCTCTGTAGTATCTGTTGAATAGCTTGGGAAGTAAGCTTAACCTTGAAGGACAAGGACAGGAAAAAAATGAAACTTTTCCTACAACAGACTGGATATCAGTGTTCATTGCCCATTCCAGTAATACATATGATCATTCTAAGCCTGAAATTTGAAGTTTTGCTACCATTTTATTTTGCTTTACAGTGATTCTCTCTTTCTTCTTTTCTAATTTCACACAGGATAAAATAGGAATAATTAAGTAATCCCTTTATATAGCTTGTATTTTCTAGTATCCTTTGATTTAGATCTATACAAGGTATGCAGATTTTTCAACTATATTCTACTAAAGTTCTTACGATTCTAAAATCACTAAATTTTAATAAGTAATATATAATGCTCACAGCAAATGTGTGCTTCCTTGAGGAAAAGAGAAACAAAATTATTTTGGTAATAATGTAGCATAAAAATCTCCATTTGGAGTGAGAGACTTGATTTTAAGATTGAGCTGTTTTGATCTCATTGTAACTGTGGCCATTTTCTTATCTTCTCCAAGTGTTCTTCGTCATCCATAAAATGGGTATGATAACTATATCAGAGGGTATCGGAAAGTAAAAAGGAAAACAAATTATTTGAAATGCTTTGGGAACTGAAGACACTTTAAATAGCTGCTAATTATTAATTATTCATTACATTTTCGTGTACCTTGCCTGAAATCACAATGTTTTATTGCATTTCACACACAAATATTTATGAATATTACTAAATGTAGGTATAAGAGACTAAATTTGTGAAAAATCTCCTAAACTCACTGTACTTGCAGAAAGAAAACAAACTGTTATAATATCCAAAGAGAATTTATTAAGAAAGCAATCCCCCAAACAATAAAAATGTACTAATTTTTGAAAAATAATTGTTTAAGCTGTTACAAGCGCCAGTGCTTTTTATAGCTAATATTCTTTTCTCTAGCTTTGCTAAATTTAGTAGTTTATCTCAATTATTAAGTGACAGTAATATGTAAGTATCTAAGAGGTGAAATAAATCTACGTTAACCTTGTATAGAACGGTTTCTAAAACAATGATCAAACTTTATGAGAATGCAAAAATACTCCTTAAATATTGTAATCATCCAGAAACACTGACACACATGTCTAATGAGTCAAAAATATTAATTTCCTTTTTCTCTCCTTCAATATATGTAAATGTTAGCAAGCCTGATGAAAGGTTGAATCAGAGATTAGCTCAAAACTGTCAAGGAGAATATCAAAACGACACCTTCTGGGGCATGTAGGCAAACCAAATGCTTAGTGGAGACAGGCTAATTTATCATAGTGCAGTTGCGATGGCAACAATAGTTCTTGGTGCCATGTGACCCAAAGCAGTTTCTGTTGACTGGCTCTAACTGACTGTCAGTTCAGCAAAGGTTCCACTGTTTGCAGTGAAAAGGAAGAGAGAGCATTGATACTTGTTGAAAAGGCATAATAATAATAGTGTATCTCAAACCATGAAAGCATCCCTTTGTTTCCTCGAAGTTTATTTTTATGCTGGCTAAAAGGATCCCTCTAATTTTTGTTACACAAAGACCCCTTATTTATTCACAGATTAAATATGTGTCCCTCTGTTTACTAAGAATTCTATCTATGCCGATAGAGTTGCAAACAACAAGAATTTAAATCTTTCAGGATAATAATAATGTTGTATTTACAATGTGCTAAATTTTTTACAGAACTTTTTCTAGTATATTTCATAAGATCACAAGAAATCTGGTTGTATGAAATATAAGCCAGTAACTAAATTCTCCTGCATATAATTTTTTCAAATGCAAAACATAGAGCCTGACAGTGTTCCCCTCTGATCCGAAGAGAGCATGAGATCTTTAAGAAAGGTAGACAATAAGTATTCACTTTATTCTTCTTGTCTCCTTTTCACTGTTATTTTCATTGATGAGCAAGTAACAAGGGCCATGGAGATAGTCACACTCTTTGATTCAACAATTCCACTCCCGGGATTTTATCTTGGGGAAACCTCACTAAAGAAATAGTTCTATGACATAGAGGAGAAAGAATGAGATTTGGAGTCAGATATGAATTTCAAATCCTGGTTCTGCCACTCGCTCACTGACTGCCCTTGGGGAAGTATTTTTCCTCTATGAGCTTCGAGTTTTCTCATTTGTAAAACAGACTTCAGAGTATCCACCCTGAACAGTGTTCAGGGGCCTTATAAATCATATGTGCTAAGTGTCTGGTATATGCCCCATGTATCTACCAGAGCTCTCAGTATGTGGCGTTTCTCAATGCAGTATCATCTCTAAAAACATTGGAAAAACAATCCGCATTCCTAGAATTAGAAAAATGAGTTAGTAAACTGTATAAATGAGGTGTATCAACAGAATTAAGCATGATCTAATAATCATTTAAAATTTTGATGAAAAAACGTGACTATGGGAGAAATTTTATGATATAATAAAAATAATACTATTACAAAAAGCACAAGTAAAATTATGGACTTTATAATATTCTATCACTGTATAAAATACACATGTCTGAAGATTGTAACTGGCTAGACGAAAATACTATAGAAAGTATGATTACAAGTGATTACTGTGTTAATATTGATCCCTCCTTTAAGGTACTTCACTGTCCTTTCCATTAAAAATATAAGGAAAGAAAACAGTATAGAGGTTGGAGTGGTGAGAGGAATGCCTTCAATGGCTCACACCACCAACAACAGCGACTAGAATGCATTTAAAATCCCTCTTTCTCTTCCACTTAAGAATACCCATTCACCCCAAGTCCATGGGAGGCAGAGGCAAAGTTAACTAAATATGGCTCTGCAAACACTTTTGTGCATGTTCTTGGTATTCCCTGACCAGTACTGCCTCAAGGAAAAAACAGAAAAACATTTATAAGAAAGAATCCATGTGTGGAAGGATTCTAAATTACACACCAAAGAAAGAGTAAGTGGAAGAAAAGTGGGAGGTTGAGAGCAGTTTGCAAGATTGATTAAAAGGTGTGGTTCGCCTTTGGAATGCATTTGTGTTCAAATTTGAGATTTAGATGTTTGATACCCTGGCATGTGGGAATAGCAGCTATAAGTCTTTTCCATAGGATTAGAAGTTCATTATAACCTGGAACTAATGGCCACAGGAACTAAGAGCCAAAGGATTTTCTAGCTGAGTCTTTTTAAGTGGCAGTTGAGCAGTTCACTGAGGGCCATGTTCAGTGCTGACAGCCCAGGAACGAGTGAAGAAGGCAGATAACAAGGCATTGACAGGGGCAGCTGGGTAAGTCTCTCAGTGAATGCTGACATGCTTTCCTCTCTCAACATCCCAGCTAAACTGGCTAGTGTCCAGGTACTATTATCTACTCTGGCAAGGACAGGCCACATTTCACTTCATGCAAAAAGTATGTCGAGCAGAAGAACTCAGGAACAGCCAAAGAAAAGTGCTTGATTCTTTATTACACTCTTCTTACCTCAACTGCTCTGCTCCTAACTATAAGGTGTTCTTAATTTACCAGTCTCTGTTAAAGAGTATTGCTGTTTTAAAGCAGAAAAACATACACTAAAAAAGATAGAAAATATAGACTGAAAATCCATCTTGTTGGTCTTCATGGAAATTCTGTTAGTCATTATTAGGGTTCCCTACCCAAGTCAAAATCACACTGCACCGCAGGAAACTTGTATAGCATACTCAAAACAAGGAAATGACATCTAAACTCCAGTCTAGTGTGCTCGCAACTGGCATCTTCATTAGCAAGTCAAAGTGATCTCATGAAATTGAAATTTGGTTGCTCTGTGCTTCCTTACAATACACAGTTGATATATTTGGGCTGTGGTTCTGCCTCCCTAGGTACTCCAACAGCCATCTCTCTTTGAGGTCTCACCATTCTCTAGCATGTGGCTGAGTTCCCATTGTTGTTTTAGTGACAGAAGTATCCCCTCCCCCACATCCTTAAAGAAATCATTATTGAATCTGAAGGAAGCCTCTGCCCCACTACAACCTCTCACATTCACTTTGCCTCTTCTTCAAAGGGTTTAGGCTTTTGTTTCACAAAAGCCAGCAAGACTTACAGGCTCTGCCTGGTTTGTGGTCAGCCTTATACTTCCCTGGAGAAAATGAAGCATGTGAAGCATGGAGGCTACTTGAATGGCCAAAAGGAAAAGGAGAAAATAGAGGAGAAACACACACACACACATATATAATGAGCCTTAATGAATATATGTATGTGTGTATATATACACATACATCTATACATACACACACACACACACACACATATGTATATATTTGATGAAGACTTACATCGTCAAGCTCTGGGACCAAGTACAAGGTAGAGAATTCGTAGAGTATGTGTGTGGTGGCAGGGGATGGGGTTACTATGTAAAAGTGAAAGCCCCAAGGCACAGGGACACTGAAACAGGAAGAGACTAAAACCAACATGAATCAATAAAGACAAAATCACCAGGTTGAGCGGAGTAACGATTTGAGTTTCCTGATATAGGCTCTTCACACTAACACTAGGTCAGCTCTAAACATCACTGATTGCTAAATCAATAACTGTTACAAGATTTTTGTTTTACTTTGTTTTAAGTTAAAAGAGTGTCATACTTTGTGTGGTGGTGTTCCTTAGAAGATGTGCCTGTACTTGAATGGAGCACAAGATTTTATTTTCAACGGCGAATAATCCTTGCGGTTTTTAAAACAATTGCTGCAATTACAAATAGCATTAATTATGACAATGTTTTCTTTTTAATCATTTACACCTTCAGTTAGACTTGGGCTCTTAAGATTAGCTGGTTGGAGCAACATATTAACAGGACCAAGATCACAGGCGTGGATATCTTGGGGCCAGCTACGCTGACTCTATTTCATGATTATGGATTGTACTTCTAACCTCAGCCTGCCAGTTTTTAAATGCATTCTTCTGGTCTCAAGGGGTATTTTGTAAGAACACATGAACAAATCGATGAAAATCGATTTCCTATTGGAAAAAACTCAGATTTTATGACCTACATCTCATGAGTAACCAGCCCCTTTGCATATGAGAAACAATTAATTAATTCATTTTCAAATGGAGCTGTCTACAAGGATGTCAGGGCAAAACAAATTTACATTAAAAACATTGTTTACTCTTGACAGATCAGTAGACTGAAGTCTATATCTGCAGGAAGAAAATGTATTGCTCTTGAATAATATCCAATTAAGCTTTTCAGCATTTTCCAAGAGCATTCAAGAAGGAAAACATATCCCTTATCAAGGATTCTTTGCCTTATAACTAACCAGGTAACTTCTAGAATCATTCTCACTATTGCTGATACAATCTATTCAAAATAATATCGTGAAGAACGCCGATTTTATCTGTAATCTATACGGATACTGTTGTGAGTTAAAGTAAGTTTGCTAGAAATAGTCGTGGGAACCCACAGTTTTAGAGGCTCACATTCTATAATCGTTCTTGTCATGGGCTAGTCCCTTATTCAGACATTGAATAGCCTTTTTCTTTCCAGAAAACCATGGTACTTATATTTTTGTCTTCTTTTATTTTCAAGGACCATGTAGCTTTTTTTTCATATTTATGCTCATATGCAAAGCCTATACTAGTCTTTCTTATTATTTTCTAATTTTTATTTTTTTAGATTATAGTAGCATTTTAGGCTGAATCAGGATTGTGTGAGAAAAGTAGCAGGGTTTAGATCGTGAACTTTAATGTGGCGCTCCAAACAGGCCTTGCCTTTACTGCAGTGGGTTAACATGAGCATGTTTTACTCCTCTGAGCCTCAGTTTTTACATTTGTGAAATATAGGTACTGATCCCCTATATCTTAGGTTTCTTGTGAGAATGAGATTAGATAAGCATGTTATATAAACTAGCACAGTGTTAGCATGTAGCACATAGTAAAAGTTAGTATGATTATGATATCTTACGATGATCATCAAATAATGAGGAGTTTAAGTTCAGTTGCCTTTCAGCTACCCTACTATTGCTGAGTTTAATGAGTGACCTCTAATGGAGTACAGAGCCCAAAACACAATTGGTAAAACATTATCTATGGCATACTACAAATATTTTGCTCATTCATTCACTCATTCATTTATTGATCACCCTAAGTGGAAGGACTGGAAACAAGAATATAAGCTCTAGCTTAAGGAAATAGATAGGAGAGGCACATTATTGCAATATAGCCTAATTATAATATTTTATATCAAATAATTTAGATACAGGTAAAAGTTCTTTGTAAATGTTGTCATAATAATAATTAGGACTACATGAAAGCCATTAGATATGGTGCCCTTCCAGATAGCAATTTCAGTAGAATGACTCTTCTAATGCTATTTTTATTTATTATAATACCTAAAGAGATACATATTCCAGTGAGGCTTATACAAACAACATGAAAATTTCAGATGAGGCCACCTTTTTATAAAAGTGCTTAAATTTGATCAGACTGGAATATAGGATGCGTGTTCTAGTTTATCCATAAAGATACCCTAATCTGAAGTTAAGGATTCCTTGAGTCTTGCTGAATACTGAGAGCAAATCTAAAATGCCTTAATTAGTAAAATTTTTAAAAAGTAAGAACAAATTGAAATTTTCTGGATGGTTTCCTGTGATTGGACCAAACTGTTGAAGGAAGCAGAAAGTAGAAAAGCAGACTTGTTTTGTGTAAATGTGGGTGTTTTGTTTTGTTTTCCAACTTCAGACTACAATTGCTGAATAAGCTAGTTTCCAGCCTACTATTCAATCAAGTGAGAATAACATAGAAAGGGAAGAAGGCACACATTGCTTAAAAACTACTTCTAGCAAGAAAATCTGAATCAGTGCATTCCAAAGTCAAGTTGATAAACTATATAATGGAAATTAGTGACAAATTTAGATTAAAGATCTAATTTGCAGAATCTGATTTTGCTTCACTGTATGAGAAGGGATTTCATGGATTTTATAATAAAGGAAGATTACAAAGAGACAATAATCTCTTGGATTACTTTATACTTTCTCTGGATTGATACTTTATCACGGGTATTGGAATCAGACACATAAGAAACTAAATTGACTATAATTTTAGACAAACCTTGTAAGTCTTAGTTACTTCTTTTGTAAAAATGGGAACATTAATATGTATAAAATATTTGATAGTGATTGGCATAACACCAGGAACATAATCAATATTCATTACATATGAGTTTAATTTTGCCTAAATTTTTAATACAGATACTGATACTTTTCTTAAGAAAATAGCAAAACCAGAACTTAGATTGAATACAAAAGTAGATTTTACTAAAACAAGAGAAAAGTAAACATATCCTTCTTTGCCTCTATATTTTTCTAAGCCCTGACCTAGAATAGCTAGTCCTTAGTCCCCTAGTGATAGTTATATCAATTACTCCCTAGTCAGGAAGATGTCTAAGCCAAAGGTAAGGCAGAAATTCTGGAGAAATTAGCCATCAGCAGACACGATGTCTAACTGCCTCCACCTGATTGAGAATTCTCATATCCATGACACGATGAAATATTATCAGCTGAACTTAGGAAGGGCGCTCTGAAATTCTTACAAAGCAACATTGTGTGTGTGTGTGTGTGTGTGTGTGTGTTGGCCTTTATCTGGATTTATTGTTGATGAATGGCTTGATTTTAAATCAACAGGCTATGGTTCAAACCATTTCACTTCCTTTCAGTTTGTCCATTTGTAAGTTAAACTTTTAAATTCAGTCCCTTTTCTGTAAAACTGCAGTAAGAACACGTACCTCTAAGGCTGTTTTATGAATTAAATAAGATAATGTATGTAAGATGGTTATCATATTGGCACATATTAAGTATTCAGTCAATTATAGTACTTGTTCTTATTATTTATTAATAGAAGTAATGCATTCGTTACTTATTAATATCTTCCAAAGCTTGAACTTTGTAGTTCTTTAAACGTATTTATGTGAAATCTTAACTGTGCTTACTTAATGCTTCATTAAGTGTTGCAACATGAAATGACCTCACTATTATTAAGTATCATTACAGTTCTCTGTAGCTTGCTACACATCTACAAAAGGTATCAAACACCGGAATTTTAAAATGCATAGAATGGGCCGGGCGCGGTGGCTCACACCTGTAATCCCAGCACTTTGGGGGGCCGAGGCAGGCAGATCACGAGGTCAGGAGTTTGAGACCAACCTGACCAACATAGTGAAACTCTATCTACTAAAAATACAAAGATTAGCGCCATGCGGCAGCGTGTGCCTGTAGTCCCAGCTACTCGGGAGGCTGAGGCAGGAGAATCACTTGAACCTGGGAGGTGGAGGTTGCAGTGAGCTGAAACCACACCATTGCACTCCAGCCTGGGTGACAGTGAGACTCCATCTCAAAAAAAAAAAAAAAAAAAAGAAATACATATGTGTGTGTGTGTGTGTGTGTGTGTGTGTGTGTGTGTGTGTGTATATATATATATTGCATAGAATGGTAACGTCTTCTAGTCCATTTATTGCCTTTATTGAGTGTATCAGTTTCCCATTGCTGTTGTAACAAATTACCACATATTTAGTGTTATAAAACAACATAAATTTATTATTTTATAGTCCTAAAATCAGTGTGTCTACAGGATTGCATTACATTTGGTGGCTCTAGTAGAGAATCTATTTTCTTGCCTTTTCTATCTTCTAGGGGCTACCTGCATTCCTTGGCTAGTTCCTCTGCTGGTTTTGAATAAACTAGCAGTCCAGCATGTTCAGATTTCAATTTCTGTCTCTGATTTTGCTTCAGTCACCACATCTTTTATCCTGATTCTCACTCTCCTACCTCTCTCCTTTTCTTACAAGGACTCCTGTGATTATATTGAGTCCACTTGGATAATCCAGGATAATCTCTATATCTCAAGATCCTTAACTTAATCATATCTGCAAAATCTGACAAATGTATTTGTAACGTAACATATTCAAGATTCTGGAGATTAAGACTCAGACATCTTTGGGAGGCCATTTTGTATCTGCTACAGAGAATATGAAGGAAAAAGCTGTTTATCCCCTTGAGGACATAAAGGACATATTAAGGAAAAGATTCAAGTTTACTGTTGTTCATATTTTACTTTACAAGCATATTTCAAAGAGGACAGAGCAGAAAAAAATTTTCTTGGGTTTTTACCATATGACAGAATCCATGTGAGATAATTTACACAATTTCATTAAATTGTCTAAGCCACACTCACTTTATTAGGAAGGTTCCATTAGCCACATTTCACAGAAGAGGAAACAGGACTCCTAGAAAAATTTGTCCAAAATCATCCAGCTAATGGTAGAGTTAAGAATTTGAAATAAGCCTGGCCAATTCCAAAATCCACACTCTTAACTAGGTCATGCTCTGTCTATAACTCATTGTATCTTAGCTAGAACAGTTTAAAAGAATTCCTAAAATATGGATAAAATATTTAAGGATTTCTATATTATATTAAATGGCTAATTGTACATTTTACTCATGTTTTTATCTTCTGTTGAACTAAAAATGAAAAACATGCAAACAAAAAATGTTCTAGTAGATATATAGCTATTAAATATGCACAGTTTTGCTATAGAGAAGACTCATTTTTCTTTCTTAATAAATAATAGACATTTTTCTAAAAGTTTTATAAATCTTAACATATATGCAATCAATATTTAAAATATTAACATGGATACTGAAGAGCTTTGTACTTAATTTAATCAAAGGAGAATGCTGGGATGCTATTTTTTAAAAAAATATTTTAGTCATAGGACTTTAGATTGCAAACTGCCCAGAGCAGGGTTGAGAGAGACATTGAGAAAAAAGGAGCAAACCTAGTATCTTGAGAAACTGAAAATTCTAATGTTGATCTTCAGGCTGAAAGGGCAGACTAGATACAGATACTCTGAGGCCACTTATTTGAGATAGAAATAAAAAAGGCTTGGATTATCTCTTATGGTTATCAAGTGTTCTAGCCTACTACTAGACTAGATTACTGCATATGAAGTACCAAATAAGTGGCCCTTTGGATTGAATGATTCATTGACTCCTAAAGCAGGTGTGTTAGAAAGAAAGCACAAATGTAAACGTTATATTGCCATTGACTGTGCTCATAAAATAATGAAAACTATGATAATATAATTTGTTTTCTTCAGATTTGGGCCATATCTTGTATCACATCATATAAGAAAAATAGAAGACACAGTCTGGCACAAAGTTTACTCAAATGTCACAGGTGCAGATTGTTCTTGGTTGAAGGGACAGATGCTACCATAACACCTACCAACCTGCTAGTTCGGCTATTTTCATCTTCAGCCACCTTCAAGCATGTGAGAATGCATATGAGTCATCAGACTTGCTGTTAACTTCCTCTGAAGCTCAAAGTTTAAGAGTCAGTAGCTCATAACACTCTATTTAAGGTTCACAACCCCTGGTTCAACCTCTAGGTTTTAAACATTGGAGCCACCTGCTGAAGGAGAAAAGATTGGTGAATAATAGAAGACTTAAGTGCTCCAGGTCTTTCAACCTGTCAATCAGAACTTTTCAGTTCTTAGCTTGTTTAGGTAGAGAGAGATAGAAACAGAGAGAGAGAGAGAAAGGGAGAGAGAATGTTTGAAAATCACTGTTCTAGAACCTTGTAGCTGGCTGATAAATGTATACATATGTTTAAAATGAGAAGCTTATAGTTTCAAATTTTGAATCATAAATTCAAGGAACACAATATAAACAACGAATTGGAATTCAGCATATGTGTTTCAATTTCAAGATCTTTTGTTGACTTACTTATCCAACTTACTTTTTAAGATGCCTTTATGTTTTGGGGATTTAAATGAGTTAAACCTCAAAAATCCTCCAAAGCAATTTGGAATTTACAGGAAGTTCATAGCAATAGATTTCACTCGAATTTGGTCCTTAATATATATATGTAATATATATTACATATTATATATACAATATATATGTAGTATATATAATATATATACTATGCATGTATAATATATGGTATATATATGTAGTATATATAATATATAGCATTATTATACATTTAATATATATTATATATTTCTACTATATATTATATATAGTGGAAAATAATTCAATTGATTTTAGTAATCTATTGTTTCATTTGTAGTAATTTATTTTTTCTGTGTTCAAGTTCAGTTCATACAAGGAATGCATTTACACGTAAAAAAATGGTTTTCTTTCCTTTCTCTAAAGGCTTCATTTATACTGTTTTAATTGTGATCAAATCTCATTTATTTTACCCTAGGAAAATATTATTTCTCAGCAACTCAAATTTAATTAAATTTATTAATTTAACTTTTTATTTCAGTTAAGAGATTATCAAGATATTTTTCCAACAAGATTATTTTACCCTCATTGAAGGAAACAGTTAACATGTGTATGAGTTCTTTGACTTCTCCCAAGTCGTACAGCTAATGAGTGTTAAAACTTGAAATGAGCTGAACCCTCCTAGCAACGAGTATGTATTCTCATCAGGATGTTCCTTCTTCTACGTATAAAACCTTTGAAAATACGGTTATCAGAAATTGACATCATGAAGAATTAAGTGGTGTTGATCATTGCTAATTGTAGTAGTTGGGGCTATTTGAATCACTGGCTGACTGAAACAGACCCTTAGGGCATGCTTATTCTAACTTGCCACTCATTTTCTAAGCAGAAGGTTTTTCTTTGTGCCACTCTGAATACATTATACCAACAGCTACAGCAGAGCCCAATTCAGGGCCTTAGCAACCCAGGGTGGTGCTACATAATTCCTAAGCTTTACCTAATGTCTTTTGGTGGTGGTGGTGTTTCTTAGTTATTTGCTACTTTAATCAGTTTCTAAATAATGTTTTAAGGAAACAGCCTCATTGATCCAGGCTAATACAACTGCACATATTAACGAATAATATAGAAATCTATATTTTTTTATGACTTGGAATTTTAAAATTTGTATAAAGAACTAAATATTTATGTTTTTATGTGTTTGATCAATTTTTATTAATAAATGTTTCTTGAACTTTAAATAGAAAGAATAAGGCTAATATAAGTTATTTGCCAAGCACTGTGGAAGAAAAAGACACAAATATAGTTTAGACAGTATACCGGTAGCTGCATGTATACTACAAAAATGTGAAGAGAATTATATATAATGTTAACTTTGCTAAGAAATATAGCTCAAATTTTTAAAAAGCTGTTTCTCATCATGCATCTGAACATATTTGTTCACATTCTGTTTTTCCTAGGAAATAAAAACATTAAATATTATGTTTCATAAAACTATTATACTTTCATAAAATTATTTAAAATTTCATCCCAAATGAGTTTTGGGTACATTTTTTCAAGCTGGTTATTTATATTAATTTTACACACTTCAAGAACTGCAGATTTATCTTCTCAGAATGGAGGAGATGGAAGATTTTTGGTAAGGATTATTGATAAAAAGAAGCTTAAGCTCTTTATTAGAAACAGTTAACTACTTTGGCTTCTATTCTAATGCCATGTGTCGTCTCTGGAAAGCAATTTCCCCAACTGATAGAATAATATTTTAATGGAGTAGTGTTTGTTAGGTGAACTGACATAGCAGGTAGACTGCTTGGGGTTAAATTCCACGAGCAATTCCATTAAACTCTTTATTCTTCAGTTTCTTCACCTGAAAATGGGAAGAGAAATTGAGTCCACTTCATAAGCCTGTTCTGAGATTTGAATAAGTTAATGCATGAAAAGCTTTTGTAATAATGACTGGCACATACATACTATATAATTATTATCATCATCGTCATTATTGTAACTTCATATCACATTTCATCAACATTTTTTCAGCAATCTTACCTACAAAGCCAAAAGGTAAGATACCTAATCTAATAGTTTCGAACTTTATTTGACTATATTTCATATTTTTAAGTCTATGAGTCTTAAAAGTGAAGAGGAAATAGGAAGCTAAGAGGTGGAAAAAAGTCAGTTTACTACCATGGTTGCTAGGGTCTGTGGGAAAGGCAGCAGAGATAGGAGCCTGAGTAGAGGGTCTGTTTTGTGGTAATTGTTTTCTTCGTAAACTTCTGGAACTTCAAAAGGACTTTCCAAAAGTTTCAGAATCAGCATTTCTAAAGGAATTGAGATCTGCATCTTGAATGGTCATACATACCCCACCCTAAAATGAATTGGCCAGAATGAATTGCCTGCCACAGAGAGCTATTACACTGTATTCCTTTTCTTCTTCCCTCTTTAGAAGGGCACTTCATAAAGAATGGTGTACATCTCTCTCTTCCTATAGTTTACTGATCCTGTGATTTAAAAATTGCTGGTGTGGGTTAAACATCTTCCAAGACAAAGAAATTTTGAGAAAATATTCTTAGAGTTACCTGAATGATGTATGACATAATCTCCCTCTCACATCTCATTAAATTTTCAGTATAAATCTGATAAATAAATTGAAACAAAAAATCCTTAGATCATTAAGTAAAGAAAATATTTAAAATATTGGTGATTGTATTTAGAAAAAGAATGGCTGAGTAAAAACTCCTTTTACAAGTCAGTTAATTTTCATTTCTTTCTTTTCAACAAAATTGAAGGTGATGATAATTGAGTTGTCAGCTGAGAGATCATTAACAGTAATTTTTATCATAGATATCTACATGATTTTTGGCATATAACTTGGAAAAAGTTCAAATAATTGAATGGCATTTTTTAGAATAAAACTTCTTCCATTCTCATTTACTTTATGTGAATTTTCTCAAAACTGACATCTATAAAAATAAAACTAAGCATAAAATCTATGTTTAATATTACCTTATAGCAATACAAAAAATTCAGCCATGACTACAAAAACTGATTGGAGAAACAGAGATCATCCATCTCATTAAGGACTGAATTCCCAATACATTTAAAAACATTTGTTTAGTAATCATCAAATGTATTTATTTATTTGGATCAAGTGCATATCAATAATAATTTTACAAAAACCTGAAAGAGATATATTAACAATTTTGCCATCACAGGAATTTTTTTAAATTTAAATTTCTATTTATATACATATTTTCATTGCACAAAATTTTAAGACCTGATAAAGGTCTCTCAAACGTGAAAAATGTATTTCATTAAAATACAGTATTATGGAGAAGGTGAAATAAAAGTCCAAAGACAGAAAGAAACAATGCAAAATCTTTTAACTGTGCAGGGCTTTTTGATGCATTCTATTTTGTAATGTATGATAGTAGGTCTTAAATTGATGTGGCCTTCAGAGTCAATTAGGTATGCCTGTAGTCCAGCACTTTCAGAGGCCAAAGTATGAGAATCCCTTGAGCCCAGGATGTCAAGGCTGCAGTGAGCCATAGTCACCCCACTGCAATTCAGCCTAGGCAACAGAGTATAACCCTGTCTCAAAAAAAAAAATAAAAATAAAAATAAAAATTCAATTAGATACAAATAAAAGAGTCAAAACAATTTTTATAACATGCCAATATTTACTGTATGTTGGGAATTATATATTTTTAAATGTTAAACTTATGAGAAGCCATTTAAGTGACATAGTTCTTAAAATATTCTTTTAGAAGGTATATGGGTAAAAATATATATAAACCACTAACTTGAACCCTTTCAAAGATCATCTGGTTCTAAGATGGCATGATTATTTTGAAAATGAAATATTTACTTGGTATATTTACTAACATTTTACTTAAATTTTAATCTAGAATTCCTTAGAAATATTTACAGTATTACCTTTAAAAACCAATTTTGAGTTTTTTGGTTTTGCCTATGGATATTTTCTTTGGCATCTTGATATTCTTTCTAAAAGTTAATAAAAGAAATAATAACACAGAAACATTGAAACACAAAATGGATCAAACCTATTTTTTTCTTTTGGTGGGGGAAGAAGATGAGAAGATAAAATGCAGGAATATTAATTAAAACACCACTTAGTGTACTAGAAATTCACATTTGTAGATGTTAGTAATGTTATCCATTTTTAAGTACTTAATTAAAAAGTGACATTTTAGAAAGCTGTACCTGGATAATGAAAATAAGCCACTGAGGATCTTTTGGGGATGTTGGTATTTTGATTCAAGTTTTGGACTAATAACAGTTTGAGGAAAAAAAATAGTTCATTTAAAGAATTCAGAGAGTAGGAACCTTCTGACAAATGAGCTCAATCCATGGGAGAAATAAGAGAAGAATATACCACTGCAGCTGCTGTTTTTATTTCACCAATTCAGAATAATTAGAATGTCATCTACCTGGACCCAGTATAGAGTAGTAACAATTACTATTGCCCAGATGTTTTCTTTACCTGCCTCCCTCACAGAACCATTGTGCCACTTTCTGCTAACCTGGGAGCTGGAAGAATACAATCCAATTGCTGGGTGTGGAACCAGGACAGAAAGGAAGAGCCTGCTCCCAGAGCAAAGGCCAGGGAGCCTGTCTGCAGAGTAGGGGAAGATAAGATTGGATATCTTTTCCCAAAAAGTGGATCTGTTGACAAACATATATGTAAGTGTATTCTAAGAAGATTAATTATTTAAAAGTAGACCAGAGATAAAAATTATAAATATATATATTCATAGCTTAAAGAATAATAATGAATCAGCACCCAGATTAAGAAATAGAACATTACAGTACCTTTAAAAAGTTGATTATTTTAAAAATAAAATCTATGTCATTGTTCTGATTTCTCTCACTCCAATTAGAAAGCAAAGATTTTCAAAAAGCATACATGCCATTCAAAACTTCTTTAGCTGTCATTCATTCTTATTTTTAGTGCTGTCATTTTCATTAGAATCTTGGTATACTAAAAATTCTAAGATCTTACTATAATCTAATTCTATTTTTAAAAAAATTCAGTGACTAAAAAATGAAATACATTTAGATTTTCAGGTCTAAAGATTTTTTTTAAAATACTTTTTTATTAACTTTAAATAGTATTTTTTTTTCTGTTTTCATGTTATCTAAGGACAAAGATAACTGTATCAAAAAAGACTACCACTCTTAACAATTTAAAATAACTCTTAAGGACTATTAAAAGAACTATCTCTATTCTGGAAAAGATAATTTTACTAATTATGATTTAAGTATACTATGAAATCTCAAAAACGTCTAAGTCTCCAACTCTAGTTTCTCTAAATAATACTTTTTTATTTCATCATTTTCCCTAACCACAAAAGTCAAGTATAACTCGCAGCTTGCCATAGAGAATCAAGTTCACCTAAGTGGTTTGCTGAGTCCCATGGTCTAATCCCAATCTTACTTCCCACTAAATTCTGAGAATAATCTGCTTCCAACAAACCTACCGGTGTATACATCCATGTATTTATCATTCTCTACTATTTATTCAAATTCTCTCCACTTTACAATGTTCTTTATCTAGGCAAGAGCACAGTGAATCTCGTTTCTTTTACCTCACGAGATTTTCATTACCTGTAGCTATCTTATATCGCACCTTGTAATGTTCCATGTTTACGTGGCATCATGCTCCATGAAGGCAGGAAATGCATCCATCCAAGTTAGAAACTTTTAGAAACTCTGTTTGCGAGTGGGTGGGGAAAGTGCAGGGAAGTATTTTCAGTCCTGATGTTAACATAAACCTTAACCCACCCATTGTTAACCATACCTTTAGGCAATTCAGTACCACCTTCAAAGTTATAGGACTATTAACTGCTTTATTGCCTGTAATGATCTTGGTAGAGTGTAACTGGAAAGCCAATTGAGTCTTTCTTACCACTTTCTCTTTTATCCAGATGTGGCAAATGATTTTTTTCTCCCCATGATCAGCAAACTTCTCATTCCTTTTCTGAACACCTTCTGAGTTATGAATTGCCTTTTTTTCCTTTCTTTTTCTTTCTTTTGAAATGGAGTTTCACTCTTGTCACCCAGGCTGGAGTGCAGTGGCATGATCTCGGCTCACTGCAACCTACACCTCCCGGGTTCAAGGGATTCTCCTGCCTCAGCCTCCTGAGTAGCTGGGATTACAGGTGCATGTCTCCACGCCTGGCTAATTTTTGTATTTTTAGTAGAGATGGGGTTTCACCATGTTGGTCAGGCTGGTCTCAAACTCCTGACCTCGTGATCCATCCACCTTGGCCTCCCAAAATGCTGGATTACAGGCATGAGCCGCCATGCCCAGCCAAATTGCCTCATTTTTTAGTATTTAAAAGTGTAGAGTTTAGCCTAATATCTAAGCCAAAGTCTCTCATCTAGTGTGAATCCTCCCCTTCTAACTCAGTCATGACATAGGCTCAGAAACTTAAGGGAGGGATGGGGACACAATTAGTCTCTCCTCCTGCTCTTCCTGGCTACTATACACTTCTTCCCATTCACTGCTCAGGCTACTTCTGGCTGTTTCCAAAGTGTAAGAGGAAGATGGGGAGTAAAGTTAGAAAGACCTCCCTGGAAAGTTAGCATTTGCACATTTTTCAAGAGTGGCCTCATTTTAGGATTGGAGGAGACAAGGGGGACATTGTTCTCCCACTCTCAACTGCCGCTCCAGAAAACACACACACACACACGTACACACAGATACAGAAACACACATACATACATACATGTACATTCACAAACAGGTATGCTGGTGTGTCACAGAAACAGGCTTTCTTCCTTCTGAACCCGAGAGCAGCTGCAGAGGGCCCTGTGATCCCTGTAGCATGCTTCTTCAGTGATAGGGAGAGGGGCTCCAAGAGTCCTTACTTCTCTGAAGACCTGGTTGTGTCCGGCACAGTGCTTTTTATGTAGGAATTGTAGAACACCCCTCTGAGTAGTTGAAATTCCCTAACATTCAGGGTTGCACACACATTTTCTGAAATACAAGTGTAGCTAGATCTCCATTATTTGTTTTTATTACCATGACCAAAAAGAGTTATTGTGATTATTCTTAACAACTTTAATATTAAACTTCTGATTTTACAACCTAAGTTGTGAGTTACCTATTGTTAATCTTATAAATTGGCTAGTGTTATTTATATATGGAAACCCAGACTCGGAAAATTAATTTGTCCAGGGTCACACACTTTTAAGTGACAGAGTCTTCTGATCCTCTGTTCTTGGGGATCACCACATAGCCTCTTTGGTAACTTTCCTTTTTGCCTCGTGAGTGACAGGAGCCTCAACTGTGTGGTACATTATCTTCTGTGATCATGACAAAGCACTTGAACTTTTCGAGTCTTAAGTATCTTATCTCTTAAACAAAATAATCTTAAAAATACTTGCCTCAAAGATTTATTGGGATAACTAAGATCTGTAATACTTGGAGATAGGAACTATGTCACATAGTGCATGACACATGAAAGGCACTTAATATTCATTGAATTGAATTAAATCTCACAGATTTAAATAAAAGGCCTTTGCCTTAATGTTCAACTTTGTATTTGGTATGAGGTCTCTCTGTCTCCCTTCAATTAAATGATATTTAGAGGTATGCTCACAATAGATTAGACATAGTTAATTTTTTTTTTTTTTTTTTTGAGATAGAGTCTCTCTGTTGCCCAGGCTGGAGTACAATGGCACGATCTCGGCTCCCTGCAACCTCTGCCTCCTGGGTTCAAGAGATTCTCCTGCCTCAGCCTCCCCAGTAATGGATTACAGGCATGTGCCACCATGTCTGGCTAATTTTTTGTATTTTTAGTAGAGATGGGGTTTCACCATGTTGACTAGGCTGGTGTTGAACTGCTGACCTCAAGTGATTCACCTGCCTAGGCCTTCCAAAGTGCTGGATTACAGGCATGAGCCACCATGCCTGGCCTGACATAGTTAATTTTTGAGAGGATGAAAATTTAAAAAGGAAAGGTCGATTATTATAAATCCTATTCTTGTAGAATGCTGTATTTAAGAACCTCTAAATTTTTTAGTGAAATAGGTTCTATGTATCCAATCCAAAGGTCTTATATCAACTGGAAAAATTAGATATATTCCATTTAATATGTGTTCAATATACAAAACTTACATGAAGTTCTTACTTTTCCCTGATTTGAAAGGAGCAAAGCGCTCCTTGCCTAATTCAATTGCTCAGGATGGCTTCAGATGGAAGAAAAACTTGTAACCATTGCAGGATGATCAGCTATCTTCTTGTCATCAGGGGCTTACAATCTGAGCACGATATGGTTGGTGTCATTTATTTTGCATTCTTGCATCTTTTTTCTTTCTTGAAAATAACCAGCTAAGTTGTATGTTCACCTTAAAGAAATTCAAAGGATATTGCAGGTTGTCAGATTTGCCCACACAATATCTGAAGTCAGACCACACACAGAGAGTTTTAATTGGAGTTACCTTTTGCTGAGTGGATAGGTGTTATGTGACTTTAGATTCTGTAGTTACAATGGAATATTTTATAAATGATCACTGTCATTTCCAAAAAAAAAAAAAAAGGAGGAAAGAAACCAACTTAAAATTTCCCAAATATTTTCTGAGAGAAACAAATCTCCTTATTAAAGTGTATGTCTACCCAATAAGCTTTTTTTTTTCTTTTTTTCTTTTTTTCTTTTTTTTTTTCTTTTTGAGACAGAGTTTTGCTCTTGTTGCCCAGGCTGGAGTGCAATGGCACGATCTTGGCTCACCGCAACTTCTGCCTCTCGGGTTCAAATGATTCTTCTGCCTCAGCCTCCCGAGTAGCTGGGATTATGGGCATGTGCCACCACGCCCAGCTAATTTTGTGTTTTTAGTAGAGATAGGGTTTCTCCATGTTGGTCAGGCTGGTCTCGAACTCCCAACCTCAGGTGGATCCGCCTGCCTCAGCCTCCCAAGTTCTGGGATTATAGGCATAAGCCACCACGCCTGGCCAAGCTTCTTCAAATAAATTCCTTCCTACAACTTTTTTCTGATGACACCTGATGGCAAAAAAACAAAAACAAAACAAAAAACTAGTAGGTGCTAGTCACGGTGAGAAGAGAATATTTATCTCAGCATCTCCACTTGATGCTTTTATAAATGATGAATGTTTTAGCTTGGAAATTCCGTACCTACTGGGAGATTTATACTTTAATATCATTTATCAAAAATGTAAATCGCATATTATTCCAGGTTGGGGATGATTATTCTAATTATTGTTATTTATTATTTTTTAGCACCATCAGTGCTGCACCAGGTAACTCTGGCAAAAAATGTTCAAGTTAGAGGAGGAACTGTTATTTTCATATTTCCTAAGCAACATCAATTTGTATGGCTAACATTTTAGCAATAAAAAGCAAAATGTAAAACTGCAGCCCGCTGTGAAGGGAAGTCTACACATTGAATGAACACTGCAGGGACATACTCATAAATATTCATTAAACAGGGTTTCATTGAAAATGAAATTTAAGTACTTAAGGTAATGTAATACAAGTAGGTGAAAAGCTATTTCACCCTAGCTAAGAAACCAGGATAGACTGAGATAATCTAAGAAAGAAGGATAGAGTTTAGAGGATGTCTTTTGTACCCCAAAATACGAATTAAGAAAATGAAGTGTTAATTCAATTGTCATATTCATCCTGGTGCTTCGGAAGTCCAGTCTTCATAATAAAAGAGAACACAGTGTCTTTTAAACACCCTATAATTATGTGAATTAGGGAGGAGATTTGAAGGTCTAGAGAGTTCTCTTGGAGTAGGTAATGAAATACAGTCTCCAGGAGATAGAATTGTTCAAGAAGTCAGGGTGGCCTGTTTAAAATCTGTGTGGCCTCCAGTAAGTCACTAAGCTCTCTGATGTTGTTTCTTACCTATAAAGAGAAAATAGTACTACCTCCTCACTCACAGTCTTTTTAAGAAAAGAGAGTGTGTGTATATTTAGAAGTATTTTGTAAACTATAAAGCACCATGAAACTATCCATTATTGTAATTTGCTAGTATTCATTTCAGTACATTTATGGAGCCTAATCTCAATCTCTATGATTGCTTAGTTATATTGACATTTTTACATTCATTGCTTCTATTAGAAACTCAGTCAATAAATTTTGAATGAAAACCTATGATTTTCCAAGCATCACTCTAGGGGCTCTGGAGGAACCAATAAACAAAACAAAATGAGAGGCTCCACCTTCATGGAGCCTATGTCCTATTCAGGGGAAGTCAATAAGAAGCTAACATCATAAATATATAAAAATTAAAATGTTAGTGGGTGAGAAGTGCTTTGAAGAAAAAACAAAGCATAGAGGTGGCATAGTAGCATAAGGAACATGGAGGGTTACAGGGTGGAGGGGGCTTGGGTCCCTATTTTCAAATAGATTGGTCATGGAAGGCTTCAATGAGGAAAGATCATTTAAAGACAGGTTTTGAAGTAAGCTAGAAAGTTAAGTCTTGTGGCTATCTAGGAAAGAGCATTCCAGGCAGAAGAAATCGTAATTGCAAAGGCCCTGTGGCAGAAGTGTGTCCTGGATATTGAAGGAACAGCAATAACTGAGGGATTGAAAAGTGAATGAGAGAAAGAGTGAGTAGAAATAGAGTCAGAGAGTAGGAAGCCAAATTCTGTTAGATCATTGAAGAATTTTACCTTGCCTGGGTAGAAGGAAGGAAATCACTAGAGAGTTTTGAGAGGAAATGTGAAAAGATTTGACCTATATTTAACTGCATCATTCTGGCTTCTGTGTGGAGTTAGGTGACCAGTTAAGAGACTATTGTAATAATCCAAGTGAGAGAAAATGGTGAATTGGGAAGGGGTAGTAGCATTAAGAGTAGTAAGAAGCACTGAGAGTATAAATTATCTTGGAAGGTACAGCCAAAATAATCTTTTCACAGTTTGGATGAGAGATGCGTCAGAAAAAAGCAGAATTAAGATGACTTTAAGGTGTTTTTCTGTTTTGTTTTGTTTTAATTTTTTTTCTGTTTTGTTTTGTTTTGTTTTGTTTTGTTTTCCAGAGCAAATGGAAGGATTGGGTTTCCATTACTGAAAGATAAGAGTTATTTTATTTGTTCTGTTTTCTTCTTTCAATGCATTTGTGTCTAGGTGAGCATGTGGGTACACAGGATCAATCTTAAATGAGCTATTTGGTTATTTTTTTCAGTTATTTGTAATCAGTTGTCCTGTTTCCACTGTGATCAAGTTAAAAATGGTACTGTTTCAAATTGTCTTGTGTCATTGTGGCAATAGTTTAGTTTTCAGTTTTTTCCTTAAGTTGCTTCATAAGAAATAAATTAATCTATAACTCCTCTTTCATATCGTGTTATCACTAAGCTTGAGTTATATAGGGAAATGTTCTGATATGATTAATTCAAGGATGCTGAAGAGCAATGAGTTGTGTGTAAGCAGAAAACAAACCAGTACTTAACTAGGACATCTGTCTATGAGAGAGAAAGGAGGTGCACATTATTTAAAAAAAAAAAAAAAGTGTGGTAGGATTTGTCTGCAAATTAAATCTGGAGAATAGAAAGAAAGAAATTAGCTTTAATACTATTGCTCAGGAGAATTGTTCAGATAGTAACAGCACCTACAGTGACTGAGAAGTTAGGGTGTGTAACCAGATTCTTTGTGGAATGACTAAAATGTTCTTTCTTTGCTAATCTTGATGAGAGTGATGGTTTCATCAAATTTCTTAGAGGCTAAAGAGAATTAAAGTGTTCAGCCCTCTTGAAGGCTGTTTGGCTGGGTGACTTGCTGAGTGCCAGGGAATAGCTGATTTGCATATATGAAGAGTCAGTTAGATGTGACTCATCCCAGACACTGGCTGCCCCAGGAGGTGCTGTATTATAGCTTAGCTCATGTGTAAGTGTAAGAATATCTGCCACAGTTCTTTTGGCATAAGCCATCTGAAATTAAGAAATATTAATTTATGTATAAAGGTAATGGGGTGGTGGGTAAGGATGGGATTTATTGGAAGATACTCAAAGAATCACAAGAAGTCCTAAACAAGCAAACTCTGAGACAGGCAACAGAAAAGCTCAGAAAACCTTAAGAGAAAGTAGGAGAGGCCTCAGTGAAGTGTGAAAAATGTTATTTTGAGAGTCATTAAGTAATTGAATGGGAAAAATAGGTGTCAATATGAAAGAGATAAGAAGGCAAACAAACTATTCAGAAGGGCACCTCCGGTGAAACACTAGAAGCTCAGAGAATGGCAGGAGAGAGGAGGTAGAAAAGTAATGATTACAAAGCCTCATTGTGGAGAGAAGGGCTGATTCCCACCACTAGATCTTCAAAAGATAAATATGAGCCTCCACTAGTGGGAGACTTTACAATAAGAACCATTTCAGTCAAGGCCAGAACTTCAAAGGATCTGTGGATTAAGGGAGTTTGATGACTACAGATGGGGATTCTAGAGAGAGTGTAATAAAAGTGTAAGAAAAATGGCCAGAGGGGTATCTATCTTGGTTGACAATTAAAGATAGCAGGTATCTGAGACACAGTTTATTTAGCTTGCCGCAAATGGCAAGTTATTCAGATCCCTGGTACTTGGGAAGACCCCAAGGATTTTGAGAGGAGTCAGATTTGACATAGTTCTTCCTTCTGGTCTTTTCTATTTCCTCTTTCAGAAACATATGATGAAATGATAATGACTATCAGATAAATCAACTGAGCTTTCTTCTGATATTTTATTTACTTTCCCCTAATTTAGACACAAATCCCATTAGGCAGTGACTAGGTTATTTCTTTGTTCTGAATAACATCAAGCAAATTCTCAATGTACTTCATAAATGTTAATCTCACATGTATCTCTCAACCTCAAAGGTTCAGTTTGGTTTGGGTAATTTTTTTCTTAAGATATCTGTCAGATCACAGTCCTTTGTATTAATATATATTATAAGTGAATAAGGATGTTCTATTAAATAATAATAAAGAAATATTCCTCTCATTGAAGGAGAAATGTTTCAACACCTAAATGATACACAGTGCTATTAGTATTAGGAGAGGTGCAAAAGACACTGTATTGCTTTGCAAAACTGTATAATATCATTAGAGAAAAACCATATGTGCAATAAAATAACTACATGTAAATGAACTTTAAATAACATCTAACAATTTTCCAGAATCATTAAAAAAGTTGGGGTGTTTTGCATTCTGTGGCAGGTAAAAAAACACGAATATCTAAGTTACAATAATAATAATAATGTACTATTATAGTATATAATACTATATAGTATTAATATTAGTAGTAGTTTTAATATTATACTAATATTATTTAATAATAAACCATTATTATGTTATAATAATAAAATAATTGATATCTAACTTGTTTATTTCATTTTGTTTTATGAAGCGGTTGCAAGAAAAAGTGAATAATGACGTCAATAGTAAACATTTGCATTTGAATTATCAGCAAATATTTTTATTGACTGCATGCAAACCACAGGTTACATTAATATTAGGATAAAACTCAAATGGTGACTTTTTATATGGAGGATAAGAATTACTTTGAGTAAATATACACTTATCATTGGGCTTCTTAGCTTTCTGGCCTTTTCTCAAGACAGAGGTCACATTTCACACTTTATCTTCCCCTGATCTTTTACACCCTGAAAAACCGTATTCTGTAAATAAGAAGCAGTTTGTTATTTTCTTTTATGAGTATTCTCAAAGTATTTTCTCAGAAAACCTCTTGATGAATCCATCTTTATCACAAAATTAGCCTTTAGGTAAGAATTAAATCACAAGGCAAGTTGAGGCCATACCTTTGTCACTCACATGTCACTATTTAAATATCTGATGCAGCTGATTTAAAAACCCGATAATATCTCTTTAAAGACATAATATATTATGTATGCCTGTGGCAAATTTCTTAATAAAAGAGTCTCTATCCTAGTATTTTGTTTCAAAAATTTATTGCAACCTTGTGAGGTAGGTATTATTATTTCCATTATACAGATGAGGAAAGTAAGTCTTAATGGTTACAATGTCTGTCCCAGACCACTCCATTATTTACAAGCAAAGCTGCTTTTTCAGACCAATCATTGCTCTTAAATTCTGTGCTATGTTCCCATCTTCTGGGAGTTCTGGAATCTTTCTCTTCCTTATTATTCCCACTGCCTTAGTTCAGGCCCTCATCATTTTGCATCAAATCCAACCTGGTTTTTTAGCAAGCAAAGCCTATCACAATTTTGCCCACGTCAGTTAATTTACAGTTAAACTATCTGGGGGTTATAAAGGTTAAGGGACCTGCCTAAGGTTATACAGCTAAAAATATCAGAGATGAAGTTTAGCGGCAGCTTAGTGAATGAAAGGTACAATTCTTGGTTAAAATCTTGTAATGAGAATTAATAAAGTCTAATCTAAAACTTTCCTTTTATGTAGTCCAGCATGAAAATATGGACTTTTTTTTACTGCCCTGCATGTCAGTAGATACTGGTTTTATTGGAGCCCAGGAGAAACAAAAAATCCAGTAATGACACTCTTCCACAAAGTTAGCCAACTTCTAGAATCTTGAAGTTCAAAGTGACAGGTTCCATTTGTCATGAGAATATACAGTCTACACACACACACACACACACACACACACACTCTCTCTCTCTCTCTCTCTCTCTCTCTCTGTCTCTCTCTGCCTTACTGTTAAATTGATTCAGACCAATAAAAATCCACTAAAACCAGAAATTAGATTTTGGATAGACTAGTGTGTTTTGGTTTTATTTTGTGTGTATGTATTTTTGAATCTTTTAAACCAATTGTTAGTGAAAGAAACAATGTTTAGCAACCAAGGATTAAAAATTACTAGAATTTGTAAACTAAGAGAAAATATTGAATTATATCATGAGGGAAGTTGATAGCTAATACAGATTTTGAGACACCAAAGACCTACTGCTCCCCATGGACAGTGTGAAGCCTACAGCAAAAGCTGTTCTGAGCAAGTTAAAAGTTCTTAAGCACATTTTCAAGGATAATACCTCATGGAGAATATTGAATTAGTTCCCAAAATTTTCATAGGCATGGATTCTGTTGTGCAAAGTTGTCATTCTTTTATAAAGACCTTTGGATTTGCACATTAAGTCTTTTTTTTTTTCATAGATCTTATGTAATGGTTCTCACAAAATTGACATAAAATAAGTGGTTGGTTTCTGTATTGTGTTTATATGTTTCAAACATTTATTCTAGTTTTGTAGTTTATAAATTCAGTCTCTACATCTGCTTTCTCCTTAAGGGCACCATTTTTCATCTTAAGCATGGCCATGTAGATGCCTACCTCCTACACTTCTTCATAAGTACCATGCATTTTATGTTTATTACAGTGTGTTTAATTTGCATTATTCCAGATCCTTACACCACGGGTTTAGAAATTTCAGGTCAATAAACACTACAAGAAGTATTTCTCTCATGTATTCTAGCATTATAAGGGTAATTTACATCTAAGCAGTGTGACACCATTGTGAATTTGCTTGGATGGCTAGGATTACAATGGCAGATGGCAACCCTTGGACGTTATTACTGCAGTTTACTGCAGTATTTTCACAAGTTTTTACATTAAAATTCTCAACTGAAAGGGTGCCACAAGATTGAAGATAGGACCTTTAGAATGAACTAACTTGCATAAGCATTCATTAATTACTGTATTGATTCTATCATTTTTTAGGTCCTCAAGGTATATGTCTTATTTAGTTGTAACACACTGTTACAACATTATAGCCGGAAACGGCAGACTTCCTTGCATCAGTTTTTCACCTGAAAATTGGTGCTTTTGCTTCAGCATTCATCATTATGTGTTAGGCAGTAAGTATATTTAAAAATTAGAGAATTTTGAATTGACAGTGGTTTTATTGTATCTGTATTGGGTTAACATTTTTATTTTCACTATTTAGAAATACAAGAAAATAAAACAGGCTTCTTCCTTAACTAAAGTAGCATGTAAAAAGCATATAAAACTCATTTGAACACAGGGATATATGTATACACAGAAACACAATGAAAGTTTTCTAAATTAACTAAAATGTCAAATTATGGAACTAATAACTTTCCTTCTTCCATCCCCCTCAGCTTCCTCTGATCCCACACTATAGGTCCCAGAGCATTCAGTGAGCAACCAGACCAAAAAGATGTTTAGAAATGTGACCAAAATTAGGATTCACTGGCTCTGAGTAAGAATATGAGCTATTAATTATGCGTACATAAACTTCAGCTAATGAACTCTGTGATGATATTAGCTGCATAGGTACTTTTTTTTCTTCATTATAAACTGGATTTCAGATTACTGAGCTTATGAAATAATTCACCCATCAATGAGAGGTGTTGAGATATATACAAATAGAACAAAGATTATAGCTCAGAGAACAAATTAATATACTTTATGAACTTCACTAGTGGCTCAAATTGGGAGATTAGATTTATCATTGAGTCCAGGAAATGATGATACTTCAAAGAATAGGTGTAACTTGATCAAATCTTTATATTGCAAGTTATTTATTACTACTGAGAATTAAAAATCTGAACTTTGTGAATTTTTAAAATTAATTGCAATGGAAAACATTAGACAGGACTTGTATGCAGGAGAAAACATATAATCTGCAGCTTATCTATGCCATATCCCTTAGTAAGTGATGGTTAGAGATAAATTACTAATAGCTACTAATCACTTGACAAGTGATTTTATTTATGTCATCTGTAACATCTTTGCATTATATCTCTGCAAAATGTTGGGGTTTTGTAAAAATGTGATTAACGCAAAATAAGATAGTAGAAGCAAATGTCTTTCATCAAAAAATGCAAGGCAATTTCTCTGGTCAATTATGTATGAAGATATACATTAGTGTTTACATTTTCAAAGTTAACCCTAGATGCTCCATTAACATTTCAAAATTTAAAATGTAATATTTGTAAATGTGACCCAATAATGTAGTTGTTCTGATGTTAAAAACAATCCATCTGGGTTTATATTAAGTACATATAACACTTATAACAATAAACATAAATAGGCCATTATGTTATCAAATACTTATGGAGCACCTATTAATTGTCAAACACTGGGAATACAAAGATGATTAAAAGAGGGTCCTTTTCTTCAAGGAGCTCACTTTCTAGCATGGAAAACAGAAATTGCATCATATTTTGAGTGTGGTTGAGTAGTCACTAATGCTATTCACAAGAATTGCAGTTCTCCTCTTTTCAGGCTCGGAGTAGAATGATACTTTCCAGTGCCTCAAAGTTAGGTATGGCCATTCGAATTGTTTTAGAGGATAAAACGTGAGCAAGTGCCCCTCCATAGCAGAAAATGTAAGAGCCAGAGCATGACTCAGCATGTTTATTTTTCCCTTTACTGTTGATGCTGAGTACTGAAGCATTTATTTGCCATGGAAACATAGTCTTGGTGGCTGAGTTACTAGAATGAGCAGAGGCCTTTCAGTGATCTGCAGTGAACATGCATAATGACCAATAAATGTATATTTGTTGTATTAAACCACTGAGATTTTGGAGTTCTTTGCTACTGCAGTGTGACTTAGCCCGTGTTGACATATACTGCTATCACATACAAAATGTCAAGGAGGTGCAAAGGAAAAACTTCTAAGCATACTGCTCAAGCTTGTAATAGATAGGATCAAATGAGTAATTAATCATTAATTTGGCTTCTCTAATACTATAGCTTGACAAGAGGACTAGAACAAACACCCTCCAGATTAGAGGAGGCCCTTAGCCCCCCTCTTTTCTACTCTGCTTCTTATCTGATCAGCTCCTACAGTATGAAGTACCGAGAAAAGGCATCAACTCAGTGGCTCCCAGCATCAGTGATTTATGACAGATGTCCTTAGTGGCAAGAGCAGGATTTAGGGATGGTGATCTATAGCCCACACAACATTCTACCAGCTAACTGAGTCAGAGATATAATTTGGGGTGAAATAAGTAAATCAATGCTTTCCAAACCGAGCTTGTCAACACAATGACCAGAGGAACCTATTTTAAAAAATTGAAAAAAATATTTTAAAGTATGACTGAACACATGAGAAAAAATGCAAGCCATAGCAAAAGGTTACATGATATAAAGCACACATCTCTTTCTTTAGCTAGCCTGTAACACTTACTCCAAAAATCAATTAATGTACGTAGTTTTCGCATGCTTCCAGAAATATGTAATATGTGTGTATATATGTATAGCCCTAAAATTTCAGCTAGAAATGTTTATCTAACGGAGTTCTCCTGAGTAGAGCTCAACTGTGCTGGACTCAACCATCAACATTGATTTTCCATGTTCTTATCCCTTCAACTGAAAAGAATCAAGTTAAATCTGTAGGGAATGAAAACTAAACAGCTCTTTACATGAAGTTCCATGTCCTATTGCATTTATCTCGTGGGTTAAAATCATTCATTGATCGCTAATCACCTGTGGTTGTTTACACACAACAGGTTCCCTGGACAGCACAAAACCACAAGGAGGATTATACATACCACAGGAAACAATCAATAAAAAAGGCACATAATGATCTTCCTGAGAGGAAACTGAAAGATTTTCCCTTTGTGACAGTCTGTATATGTGTGATAGGATTGTCAAAACAGACATAAGGGTTTCCAGCTGGCAGGAAAATGTTTTTAACATTTGGTTTTCATATCCACTTTTCTTGTCTCACTATAATAATATTAAAAATGAAAAAAATCATTTCAAAATTTCTTTTAATAGAGAATTCAATGCTTGTTTTGCTTTTCTGCCCAAATAATAATGAAACAAGCCTTTTATCTCCTTTGGAATATTACTGGGTTTTGTTTTTGTTTTTGTTTTGCCTCGCTGATGCCTAAAATATCTAATCAAGAGTCCATTTTTGTTATCCAAAAGAAGTTGAATGACATTAGTTTAGGATTCTAAAAATTGATTTAATGCACTTTTAATTCAAAAATGATCACTCGGTCTTAAACAAAAATCACATTGTGTATAATCCACTAAAAATACTAAAACTTATGTTTCAGGCACTGGACTAGAAACAAACTAAAACCTTGAATGAAATTAAAACTATTCTTTTTAAATTTTACACTCAAATAGTTATAGCTTTTTTTTTTTTTTTTTTTTTTTTTGAGATGGAGTCTCGCTCTTGTTGCCGAGGCTGGAGTGCAGTGGCACGATCTCTGCTCACTGCAACCTCCGCCTCCTGGGTTCAAGCGATTCTCCTGCCTCAGCCTCCTGAATAGCTGGGATTACAGGCATGCACCACCACGCCCAGCTAATTTTTGTATTTTTAGGAGAGGCAGGGTTTCTCCATGTTGGTCAGGCTGGTCTCGAACCCCTGACCTCAGGTGATCTGCCTGCCTCGGCCTCCCAAAGCACTGGGATTACAGGCATGAGCTACCATGCCCGGCCTCAAATAGTTATATCTTGTAGGTTCCTGGTCTACAATATATACCTAGTTCTCATTTGAGGAAATAATGGAACTCTTTAACTCAATCAACACCAGTTTATCTTTCCTCATTTTCTTTCAAAGCCTTTAATATTTATATAAAACTACAGATTTGATATGTGTCATTCGGAAAAACTGTCCTGAACAAATTCAATTTAGAAATAAATCTTTCCCTCCAAGTGCCAAAACAAGAATGAAGGAGTCTGACCCATCTGAGAACATTTGCACATAGGGGGACAGAATATCAAAAATCCTTTGAGATCTTCTAATAATCCTATCCTGTTATATCCTGATTTCATAAATTTGCCTTACAATTTCTCCCCCAGTGATATTTGATAGTTTTATATTTCTCATAAGTAGTTAAAGATGACTGAATATCTACGTGCATTTGCCTATGACGTATTCTTAGAACTAGCCAACTGCTTATTGTTATAAATTTCATACTAGTAAATACTTTTACTATATTTTATAAATACTAACTGTGCATTATTTAGTGGTCACCATTTACTTTCCCCACTTCTGAAACTTCATGATTCTTACCCCATTTTCCATAATTAAAGAAAGAAAAGTTTTAAATGTTACGCTTGGTACAGTTTTATAAAGGGACTTCTGTGTAGCTTTCGTGGATTAGTTATGAAGAGAAAACAGGTGAGAGTTCTCTAATTGTGTAAATGTGTAAACTCTTTGAGAGTGAATGTCAATATCTACATGCCAGATAGTTTTGCTTGCTGCTCCAATTATCCGAAGATCATAGTACAGAATCATAATTTGCTCTTCAAACCATTCAGGCCTTCCAGAACACCACCTGAAATTAAATCTTCTGCTTGTGCATGGCTTATAAAAATTGAATGGCAGTTCATTTTCACAACACGTGACAAACACAAAGGAAATTATGAATTAATTTTAAACCTTGCTTAGCAGAGTCTTATCAAACTGATGGCACCCTTTGTCTTACTGAAGTCAGGCATCAGAGCTGATATGCTTAATTAGAATCAGGCATCACTAAATGTTTTAGAGTGACTGTTCAGATCATCCTATTGGACTCCCAGGCCTTCCAGTGGTTGGAAGCCTAAAACAAGGCAATTGACTCAAAAGGTTGACTGGATTTGACTTTCACTTCCATGCATTACCTTAACCTCATCAAAACGCATTATTATGCTGGATGTTCAAATAAACAAAAGCAAAGACTTTTGAGGGCTTTTTTAGATAGGTGGATGGAGACTGAGATAGATAGATAATAGATCAATTAAAAATATGTATATATATAGTGTGTATATATATATAAATACTATATATTTGTAGAAAAACTGTGTTATAGGAAAACAAACTGAAGTTACAACTAACTGTCCTTCTGCAATTATTCAGGAACTAACTATGCATTTGATGAATTATTTAGATTTTAGCCTTTCCCATTTTGGCCATTTCCCTATTCATCACATGCCATCATGAGCTTCTAATTAACACCAAACCATAAATACATGTCCATTATCCATCTTAAAAACATCCTGCTTATGAAGAAGTGACATCCACAGATGCTATGGGGCACTGGCTGTTTACTCCTAGTTACAATGCTGACACCGAGAGATGTCCACTATTGATGCTCCCTTCTTATTTACTGCTAAGTTCTTGTGTTTGGAATATTTTTCCAGGGAAACATCATGGTCAGGAATATTGGTGGTTGGGGGTGTGTGTGTGTGTGTGTGTGTGTGTGTGTGTATGTGTGTGTGTGTGTATGTGTATATATAATATGTGTATATATATATACACATGTGCATATATACATACATAGTGAAGCACTGCCTATATTCTGGGCATCTTATAATAATTGCTGTACTGTTTTAGAACCAAGCACTATCTATGGTAGGTCAGGTATAGGTCACATCTACTTAATTAATTTATAAAAGTAACCAGAAGAGCACCCCATTCTAATAGTGTTGGCTTGAAGCAGGATCATAAGTGTAAACTTGCAGTGTATCATTCAGTGACGACTGACCTAGTAGCCATTATAGGATGAAAACGAGGTACCTCAGCCTAGTTCAGGTCATTGTGACATGGTTCAGATTTTACCAGCATGTATCCTGAGCTCAGAATAGCGCCAAAAAGAGTTGAAAATGTGGCATCAACTTCATAGTTCAAGGTTTAGTTTCAACGTTTTCTTTTTGCTTTGGAGGAAAAAACAGTTTTTATTCCCTAAGACCAAAATGCAACCAAAAAAGAACAAAATACAGTGAAAAGGTATGTGAAACTTTCTGATGCCTATGAGAAAAGTTGTATTTGTTATCCCTTTTTTCATAGTTAATGACAGCTTCAAATATTACCTTCCATGACTGACTAAATCTTCCACTGAAATAATAATATTCATGACAACCAGGGAAGTGAAAGATACAGACCTGTATGTTAATGGTAAAACTGCATTTTCACATATTAATTTAATTAAACATACAATTTATTTACTCTTTATTCTCTTTTTGGACTGACAGTGTAACATATTGGTAGTCCTAAAAGTAATGAAGGACAGATCAGATGCAGTGGTTCACACCTGTAATCCCAGCACTTTGCGAGGCTGAGATAGGTGTATTGCTTGAGACCAGGAGTCTGAGACCCTCCTGAGAAACATGGCAAAACCCCATCTTTACAAAAAATATAAAAAATTAGTTGGGCATGGTGGCACATGCTTGTGATCCCAGCTACTCAGGAGGCTGAAGTTGGAGGGTCATCTGAGCCCTGGGAGGTAGAGGCTGTAGTGAACTGTAATGGCACCACTGCACTCCAGCCTGGGGGACAGAAGACCCTGTCTCAAAAACAAAAAAAAATAATGAAGGGTATAAAAATATATTTTTCCTTTGTGAGCACTTTAATATTAATTACTTTTTAAATAGGACCTTATATATTTCTCTAATTATTGCAACCCCAACATTGTCCTTGTGGGGGCAAGTATTCTTTCTTTGGATTTCAGAACCAAACAGCTCTTAAGGCTTCAGGGCAGCCCCTACAACTCTCACCTAGAAAACAAGTGAGTTCAGGAAAGCACCTAAGTCTATAACTCAGCTTCAATGAAAGTACATGCACAGTGAATTACCTCTGAGCTGTTTCCTCTTTGTTAGGTAATGGCGAGTCTGGTCCCCTTGAATTGGGTAACATATTGTGTCATCTACTTTGTTAGAGTGCTCTAAGACTTGATAATGAATCAATGATTGAAGCTTTTGGAGGAATTCGGCTTCTTGGTTCGTGGGAGGAGGGGTAGGTCTGTGTTTTTGTGTTTTACAGGCAAATTTTCTTCCCTGCCATTTTATTTTGCACATCTCTTAGCATTATTGCTGAAATGTGAGAACAGCATTTAGGAAGCCTAACAAAGCTTCCCAAGTGTGAAGCTGTGACATTTTGTTATTCTAGAACCACTTCAGAAAGCAACGTTGTATTTCTACTTAACATTTAATGTTTTGCAGCTGCTAAAGAATTATTTACAAAGTAGTAAAACAGAGAAAAAGCAATCATTTCCCAACATCATTAGTAACAAATATGTTTGCTTATATTTTCTAAAGAAGTGACAAGAAATGCAGATAATGAGTGACTATTTGACAGACATGTACAAATGTGCCAGCCAATATTAGACAAAGAAAAATACAAAAACAAGGAACTGAAACGTTTTATAATCTTTTTGTTATAAATGTCATTTTAAATGTCCAGTTAATATTATGGGTGTGTGTGTGTGTGTGTGTGTGTGTGTGTGTGTGTGTTTTGTCCCTATGCAAGGAGGATTAGAAAGCTTCCCGAAAGGAGGCATTGTATCACCTTCCTCATTTTATAATATAAGGTGTACTCGTATTTTAGTTTATGGTAATTCCCAATTGAGCCTATTTAAGAATGAATCACAAACATACATGTGGAGAAAAAAATGCCATATTAAAAAAGGAGAGAAATTAAATTTCTCTCTGAAGCTTTGTTTACATGGGCAACATGAAGTCAATAGAAACCATCTCTGCAGCATTTACTTGATGCTCTATGTTAGAAATAAATAGAGAAACTGGGAGGGGCAACCTTCTCTGGCCCTGGAAAAGTTGACTGGATGAAATGTTACCAGTCAGTTATCCCTCTCCTAAACCTAGGATGTTTGCCACCAAGGGTATAGTCTGACTGGCAAGGCTAAGAAGGAATGGAAATATGATTCAAGCTAGAAAAAAGGATGATTCCAATCAAGTCTCTTAATAACTTCTCCTATCATCAACTCAGGTTCAACTGGAAAGTGTGAAACTCCTCTCTAAGGCTTTTACTTTTTCCCATCATGCCTAGCTTTTTGAGTACATCTTTGCTCCTTTCTGGTCTGATAATTTAATGCTGGGTATATTAACTATGTAATTTGTAGACTGTTAGCTCCTTGAAGGAAATGGTCATGCCAAATTCACATGGGGTGTACAGAGTTGGTATTCAGTAATCATGATTTGTATAAATGGATGTGTAATAAAGAGAAGAGTTTTAACCAAAAATTGTATTTGTTCTGTCTGGCTAGGATTCTTTGGGTAACTTTATATTTGACAAACTTTGATGGTGAAGAGAAAATGAGATGGAGGTCACTTACTGAATAATTTGGACCTTTAAGCCCCCTTTACCTGGACTTAAATGGAAATTTGATTGGATTGCTTTCTTCCAATCTGGGCTTCATTTGACCTGATTTGAAAGTCAATAACATGGTTTGATAGAAGGACTTTAATCTATGCCTCATCTGCTTGATTTCAGAAGTCTTTGGAAAATCTGAAAAAGGTGGGTGTTTTCCGTCATGCCTGGTCTCCCTTTAGAGGGGGTGGTGGGAACAGGAACCAAAAACTCTGCTCTCTGGTGATGTTGGTTACATCTGTGCAGCTATCAGTGTTTCCTCCTACACCTCTATCCTAACAAATACATTTTTTGATGTGGGTGTAAACCTAATTTCCCTGTGCATAATGCTAGTGCCTCTGGAGTGTGCAGAGCTGGCTGGAATGTGCTCTAAGTGGTTTGGGAATAAAGGCTTTTCTTGTCATTATTTGCAGTCTGTAGTATTCAGCTGCCAACCCATGCCATATTATTTGTGTGATGCTTGGTGACAGTCTGTGTTGAGTTTTAGCTATGATTTTTGACATAATTTAATGAGCTGGAATGCCATTTTCCCCTGTAAGAAATATGTACATATTTTCAATGCCAGTGAAAAGTTGTTTATTTTATACATGTATTATTTTTCTGAATCCAGAATGTCTACTCTTAACAAATATTAACATTATATGTTCAGTATGTAAAATGTACTTTTTTCCCCACTCGCATTTATGAG
This sequence comes from Homo sapiens, assembly GCF_000001405.40. Taxonomy (NCBI): domain Eukaryota; kingdom Metazoa; phylum Chordata; class Mammalia; order Primates; family Hominidae; genus Homo; species Homo sapiens. The sequence continues at coordinate 173,945,725 of NC_000003.12, forward strand.
AGGTTTAGTCTTCAGTATAATTGAAGGAAGAAAATGTACCTACCTGGTTGCACAAGGGTTTGCTTCTTTCCTACTCTTCCTAATTAGCTTTTAACAAGCTGTCAATCTTCCACTCTATATGTTGCATTTGTAAAGAAAGGACAAGGATGAGTTGCAATCTCCCTGTGAAAATAGACTGTGCTTCTTAAGGCAGGTATCTCCAGGCTGTCAGGGTAGGGCTTAGCCCTACAACTTTGAGTCAAATACAATATGATTTTTGCCTGGTGCCATAAACTGATGCTGAGCATATGTTTATGTGTCTGTGCCATCTGCCCTTTTCCTTAGAGATGTCATCAGCTTTTTCCTCACAGACTCACTTTAACACAACAGGAAAAGGCCCACCTAATACTTTTCCTTTTGTTAAATTAGAGTTTAGAAATGCAAATTATTTTTTTCTAATAAAAGAAGTAATACACGTTCAGTGTGAAGGATGTAATTCACAAAAATTTACCCAATAAACCAAAATCACTTCTTAATCAATCATGCAGAGATAACCAATTTAATATTTTAATGCATTTCTTTGGGCATTTAGATAATGATTTGTGTTTGGTTGTGTGTGTGTGTATGTGTGTGTGTACAAATATTTGTTTTCTTCATAGGAAGGTTGCATTTTACATATTATTTTTGTAGCATGTATTTTTATTTAGCAATAGTTTATGAACATTTCCTTTGTCAATAGTATTGTTTACAGCACTATTTTTAATATCACTCTAGCATGAGGCAATACAGTAATTTACTTAACCCTCTATTAATGGATGTTTAGGTTATTTTTCAGTTTTTGCTGTTCATAAATTATCTCTGTGCGGTTCACCTCATGTTTTTAGTATAGATACCTAGCCATGATATTATTGGATCAAACACTATGTACATGTTGGATCTTTTATATCGATTGCAAACTGCCCTACCGAAAGATTAACTCATCTTGTACTTCCGCTAGCAGAGAATGAAAGTCTCTTCCTATTCACTGTCCTCTACTCAGTGGGACTCTCATTATCTTTAACCATTGCCAATATGTCCATTGAAATATGGAATCTTGTTTCTTTAATTTACACTGGCGAGAATAAATGCTTGTCATATGTTTAATGGTCATTTCATTGAGACAAGAAAACGCAACTTCAGTAGCATCATAGTATCATGTTTAAGTGAGGGCTCTAGGGCATCAGAAAACCTGGTCCTCCACAATGCTTCACCCAATTCATGTGGACTGGGAATTGCCTTCACTTGTCTGTGTAATGTAGTGAGCAGTGGAAACAAAATCACAGATTGTTATGATTAACTATCTAGCAGTTGTTAGGATTTTTTTTTTTTTTTTTTTGAGACAGAGTTTCACTCTTGTTGCCCAGGCTGGGGTGCAATGGCGTGATCTCGGCTCACCGCAACCTCTGCCTCCCGGGTTCAAACGATTCTTGCCACCACGCCTGGCTAATTTTGCATTTTTAGTAGAGACAGGGTTTCTCCATGTTGATCAGGCTGGTCTCAAACTCCTTACCTCCGGTGATCTGCCCGCTTCAGCCTCCCAAAGTGCTGGGATTACAGGTGTTAGCCACCACGACTGGCTCAGTTGTTAGGATTAATCAAGTCTTAACATACAATAGTGATAAGAACAATAATAATGGCCTGAACATCTCCATAGTACTTACTGTATGCCAGGCACTGTCCTTAGCACTTTGTATATTTTAACTCTTTTACTGTATTATGAAGCTATATATAAAGCTCTTAGCATAATGCTTGTCAGGTAGTGAACTCTCAATACATATTAACCGTTATTTTTTAAATAATTACGCTTTTCTCATAACGTGCTGCCAAACATGCACATGGATTAATTTTATGGATGAAAAATAATTTTATCAAAACATCTTCAAATCATCAACATTAAATTCCTTTAAAATATACAATACAGGCATGAAATATCATGAACATTCACTTAGAATTTATTTTTAGCTTAATAAAATTAAAGATAAAATTATAAGAATGGATGTTTAAGAATAGGTTTTTAAGTAGTATAATTATTATTGAACTATCAAATGCCAATATCCCTTTTCATACTAATAGCCATACTTGGAATATACAAATTAAGTATAGAGTTAAGCAAATATCTAGTCAATTGGAGTAATAGAGGGACTTTATTTGATAATTAAAAAATAAATGATTTCTTCATCTCACTCAATGGTAGTACCTGTTGCTGTAAGAGGTCAAGCAACTGAATGGTAAAATAGCTAACCATGTTCATTTGCTTCTTAATGGCCTGATATTTGGCTTCAAGTGAAGATGAGTGTCTGTTTTCTAAAGTTAGCATCAACATACAGGGTTCTGTGATACAATGTGGGAGACAGCACAGAGGTGTAGCTATGAACACATATTTTATTGTTAGAAAACCTATCTTCAAACCACAGGTTTCCTTTTTAGAGTTGGTTGGCACTGGGTATGTTAGTTAAATTCTCCAAATTTTAATTTCTTTATTTATATAATGAGATTATTTACCTCAGAGCCTAATGTGAGAATTAAATGAAATAAGAAATGTCAAGCACATAGCACAGGGTCAAGAACACAAGGCATGTAACTAAGCTGTTAGCTGTTGATTTTATCATTACGGCAGAGACAATGCCAGATTATCCAACATGTGTTTTGTTGATTTGCAAGACCTGACTTTGAAGTATCTGCAGGACAAAAAAAGTTGAGACGGCCAAAAGACACATAGGTTGTTTGGTCTGAAACTCAGAGGAAAGACCAGAGTTTGAGAAATAATTTGTCCTCTGTAGAAGGGTGAGTAAATGGACAGGGATAGAAGTTTTAGGAGAAAGATTGCCCCTGAAAAGGTGAGAGGCAACAGAGTCTAGGACAAAGGAAGAGGACACATTCCATAGACAGGGAGAAGAACATCTATGCCATAGTAACAGGAAGATAGACACAAGATGGGTACACACAGTTGCATGAATATTTACGTGATATTTGTCTCAAACTGTTCTGAAACTCCAGTACCTGTGCTTATGACTGTTAAACATTAATGCTTTCCTTCCTGATTATTCCTAAAGTTTTATTTTCGAATGATTCCATGATTGGACATTATACTTGATTATGATAAACTCAAATTTAGTGGCAACCCAGACAGACTTTAGATAAAGTGAAGAGAATTGGGGAAATTAATAATATATTTTAAATAATTATTTTAACATGCAGAAGATAAAATTTAGTAAATTTAAAAAAATAATATTTTATATCCTCAAAAAAGTTTGCCCTATTTGCAGACACCTCTCTTCACTAAATTTTTTTTTAACTATGGTCAACCTATGTAAAAATATATTAACTCATAAATAGAAACAGCTAAACAAGATAATCAGAGTAAATGAGAATTTAGAAAAATAGCTCTCAGCACATTCTTTCTGAACACACAGTTCTCTTTATATAAAAATAGCATGTTTTAGATGCCTTTTATTATACTTGCAAATCTCAAGGTGTAAATATATTTTTCTGAATATATTCCTTAATATTTCAATAATTGGCTGCAAAAAGGGGCTTTATGTATGATGCAGCCTTTAGTCATTTTTCTCTCCTAGCAGCAGTGATACATTTAAGAAAGATAAAACTTCTTAATCTACAGAGTGGAAAAGAGCAAAACTGTAAATAAGACATAATTAGAAAGATGTATCTTCTTACGTGATTTGGGGCATTTTGCAAGTCCTTCCTCTGCTTATTTATATTTTCAGAAAAATTCCCCTAATAGCCAATGCATAATTGTCAATTTATAGACTCTGGGGTAAAAGAGGCATCTGGATTGTGCTTTTGAGACCTTGTCTTTACTACTTTCAGACTGAATGTGATGAATTGTTAAATAATCTTCAGTTAGTAAAACCAAGCCTTAAAAAATGAAGGCATCCTATAAACATTCAGTTTGAAAATACTAAAAAGTATCTGTATAATATTATGTCAGAAAGTGAAACATGACACTGTCGTAATTCTAAAATGAAAATTAAATAGAACCAGAATTTATACAAATTTATTACCGTGAGTTTACCAGTGTTGCTGGAGTTTAAGATGTCAGAGGAGGAAATCATTATGTCTGGCATTGCTGGATCAATTACCTTTATGGCTTCTAATAAATTTTGTCTTCTGATTTTGATGGATATTTAATCATCTGCTTCTGGAGAGATTTCCATTTATATACCTGGAAAATGCTTCAACTGAGTACTTATTAACTGTTAGCAATAGATATAGTTCTGAAAGATAGATATAGTTCTGTGGTTACTGTGACTTAAACAAACATTGGGACCACACGATCACTTTATAATGAGATTTAGTATCCTTTTGTAGTTAAGAAAAATAAAAAATTTGGTAAAATTATTGTTTTTCTTTATTATCTATAAATGCTTCAAAGTAGTTAATAAGAGTAATTTATACTAAAACTTTAAACTATTGAACAAATGGAACTGTTGGTAAATACTTTGAAATTTTGTTTCTGTGAATGTAAAACTTTCATTCAGCCAAGTTTGTTTTAGCTCATGTATAAATATTATGTAAGTATTTGCTGACATAAAAATATATTTACTAGGAACTATAAAATTTATTTTCACATTTACAAAAAATATGGTATCAGATGCTTATGTGTATGCTGGAACTTTATTGTTATTACTAGGTTGGTGCAAAAGTCATGGCAGTTTTGCCATTACTTTCAATGGCAAGCGCTGAACTAACAAATACGTATGTTTATGTGCAAAGGAGAGTTTAAGAAAATATACTGATGTTCAAACTTGTTCTAAAAAGGTCCTAAACAACTGGGTGTGGTGGCTCATGCCTGTAATCCGAGCACTTTGGGAGGCCTAGGTGGGTGGATCACCTGAGGTCAGGAGTTCAAGAACAGCCTGGCCAATGTGGCGAAACCCTGTCTCTACTAAAAATACAAAAATTAGCCGGGTGTGGTGGTGCACACCTATAATCCCAGCTACTCGGGAGGCTGAAGCAGAATTGCTCCAACCCAGGAGCAGATGTCGCGGTGAGCCAAGATTGCGCCATTACACTCCAGCCTTGGCGACAGAGTAAGACTTCGTCTCAAAAAAAAAAAAAAGGTCCTAAATAATACAAAATAAATATGTTATTAATTTTATTTATTTATTTGTTTATTTATTTGAGATGGACTCTTGCTCTGTTGCCCAGGCTAGAGTGCAGTGGCGTGATCTTGGCTCACTACAACCTCCGTCTCCCGGGTTCAAGCGTTTCTCCTGACTCAGCCTCTCGAATAGGTGGGACTACAGGAGTGCGCCACCATGCCTGGCTAATTTTAGTATTTTTAGCAGAGATGGGGTTTCACCATGTTGGCCAGGCTGGTCTCGAACTCCTGACCTTAGATGATCCATCTGCCTCGGCCTCCCAGAGTGCTGGGATTACAGGCCAGAGCCACCATGTCTGGCCTGTTATTAATTATACAAATAGAGTTTTAGCACAACTCTTTTTCCACCTAACTGGAAAAAATGAAAATGAAGAAAATTTTCTTTGGAAAATTATTTGGTAGTCTTTCAGTTTGTTCAAATTTGTCTAATCCATGCATATGTCATCTGATAAAATCAGACTCCGGTTAAGACCTGTGTTCAACCTTTTTAGCAATTTTGATTAGTATATTAATAACTCTGAAGCCACAAATTGGTCTACCTTATATCTTCTTTTTCCTATTAGATGTAACCTTTCTAAGAGCAGGTATCATTCTTTTTTTTTTTTTTCTTTGTTTTGAGACGGAGTCTTGCTCTGTCGCCCAGGCTGGAGTGCAGTGGTGCGATCTTGGCTCACTGCAACCTCTTCCTTCCAGGTTCAAGTGATTCTCCTGCCTCAGCCTCCTGAGTAGCTGGGATTACAGGCATGGATCACCATGCCCAGCTAATTTTTGTATTTTTAGTAGAGATGGAGTTTCACCATGTTGGTCAGGCTGGTCTCGAACTCCTGACCTCGTGTTCTGCACACCTCGACCTCCCAAAGTGCTGGGATTACAGCCATGAGCCACTGCGCCAGGCCGAGACCAGGTATCATTCTTATCTCTGTATCCTATATAATACGTCTTAGTGTCCTCCAAATAGTAAAATCAACATTTCATGTATGTATATCCCATACCATTCTTGCAAATTTTAATGTGTGCCTTGCATATTCACATAATTTTATTATGGCTTAGTGTTAAACCATTTTGGTTAGATTTTTCACAACATAACTTATGCATAGTGCAATAAAAGTACATGTCTATGAACAAAGGCATACTGTTGAGAACATTTAATATTGCACCTGATATTGTAGCCAGCATTATTTCCCTTTCTTTTCATAAGGACACCATTTTTATGTGAGGGGTGGGATGCAGGTAGGAAAAACACTTTGTTCCATTCATCAGTCTATATACTTCCGACATAGCAAACTTCCTGCAGGTCTGTAGATGAGCATGTGGCACAGGTCTGTTCAATCAGTCCAGTCAATCCCATAAAGATAGGTTTAAAGATGGGCATATTTCCCGATAAGAGCCAACAAGTCTGGAATCCCAGACTTCAGTCTCTCCGGAGTCACTGAGATGAAGAATGTGTGCCTGGAGCTGCTAGCAGTCTTGTTGCCCTCCAGAAGAGAGCTGTTGCCTAAGAATGTACACAAGAGGTGAGACAAGGAATAGTCTTCGTGACATTTTTTTTATTCCTGAATCTTGTCAGATTTTACTCTAGTGCTATCCTGGATTTTTCAGTTATAGAAGCTAACAAATGGCCTTATTTTTGCTTAAGCTTGCTTGAATTGTATCTATAACCCTTGCAACTTAAAGAAGTCTGATTAATAGAGTCGTCTGTACTTTGGTTATTTCATCTACGAAGCAAGGGACTGGAATAGATAGCTGTTTCATGATTTCCCTTTCAGAAATCAGTCTATATGTACAACAGCATGAACTTAATTACAGAGATCCCATATGTTTATTACATCAGGATAAACTGAAAATGTTTATTATTTTCCTTCATTTTATTTTTTTATCTTACTACTAGTTTTTTTAAGTGGTTAAAATTTACCTTTTTTTTTTTTTTTTGAGACAGAGTTTTCACTCTTGTCACCCAGGGTGGAGTGCAGTGGCACAATCTCAGCTCACTGCAACCTCCACCTCCCAAGTTCAAGCGATTCTCCTGCCTCAGCCTTCCAAGTAGCTGGGATTACAGGCACACAACACCCACACCAGGCTAATTTTTGTATCTTTAGTAGAGACGGGGTTTCACCATGCTGTCCAGGCTGGTCTTGAACTCCTGACCTCAAGTGATCCACCCACCTTGGCCTCCCAAAGTGCTGGTATTACAGGCGTGAGCCACCGTGCTCAGCCCTAAAATTTACTTTTAACCTCTATATCTTTCCATGATTACTCTGCTGTTTATCAGCAGTCAGAGTAGCTTAGAATTATCTATTTAAAAATTACTAATAAAAGGCAAGTAATTGTATTTAAACATGTAAGTGACTGTCAGAGAAAAGAATTCACATTTATAAATCAGGTTATTATATTAGGTTCTCTTATCTAATTCTTACCAAATCTTGTTATCATTACATAAGTTGTTTTTCAAAAAGATGAACTTTGTTTAAACAAAAAATAATACTTATTGATTTTCTTGCAGAAAAAGCTTCATGAAAAAGAAAAAAAGGTATTGTTATGTTTCTGAGTTAAGCTCTGTTCAATTTTAGAGCTGCTTGTTATCCAACTGGGCACTAAACTAAGGTGACCATTTATCCTGATTAATGGTAGACAGTCCTGGACTGCCTGAGGCCATTTTATTTATTTATTTATATACTTACTTACTTATTTATTTACTTATTTATTTATTGAGACCAGAGTCTCACTTTGTCACCCAGGCTAGAGTGCAGTGGCACTATCATGGCTCACTGCAGCCTCAACCTCCTGGGCTTAAGTGATCCTCCCACCTCAGCCTCCCAAGTAGCTGGGACTACAGGCATGCACCACGTCTGGCTAATTTTTTATAGATAAAAGGACTCAATATGTTGTCCAGGCTGGTCTTGAACTCCTGGACTCAAGCTATCCTCCCACCTTGGCCTCCCAGGTGCTGGGGTTACAGGTTTGAGCCACTGTACCTGACTCATTTCTATTTATATCTGCTTTCCTGATGTAATTGCTAATGGTCCCCCATTTTACTATCAAAAGTATTCCAATTATGAGAAAAATTATGTGCTCATCCCAGGTATGGCCACCAAAGATGTTCTAAAGTTAAATGATAAAGGAAAATGATATAGTGATGAACTTGTAACACTTTGACAATAAATGAGGTATCTGAGAGACATTTTACCACTACAAATGGTAAATATGGAAATAATTTGTAAAATCAGTAAAAATGTAAAATATTATCATCAGTCTACTGTAACTTATCGACAAGAAAAAATGAAAAAAAAATGCGTATGTTTATTGCTGAATTTATCTGTACCACTAACCCTCAATGAACTATTCTTCAGAAATAGCAATCAAGCCTGACCCAGGAATAGTAAATGGCTTATGTATATCTATGCATTCTATAGCAAAACTCTGTGCTAAATGAAGCACAGATGTAATCATCTACATCAGTAGTCACCACTAAGAAAATCTTTCTAAATTTTAAATCTTGAGGGAAGTGTAAAAGGTTATTATTATTATTATCATTATCATTGAAGTGCGTAGAAGTGTAACTGCTGTCATTGGGAAACCTGCATTTGAAATTTATAGAAAATTTGCTTTGCAAGATAAATTTCATTTCTAGCTTCCTGAATAAACTGTTAGGTTGAAGTGGAATCAGCATTTCACAATGTCTGCCAACCATTTCAAATGTCACTTCTTGAGTTGCTTCTTCCCATATCCCACCTTCTTCTTGCATATTCTTTCAGTAGAACCAATGTACTTCTGAGGCAATAAGAGAAGTAATCACTGATTAGGTAGAACTGACTATTGCTCACACGGTCACTAAACTAAGGTTTAGACACAGAGGACAAACTGAAACCAAGGTTGCTCTTTCCAAACTCTCCTTTTTAGTTTATTTTCATCATTTTATGTAGAGTATCTTAAATAGCAACATAAACATACATATATATGCACACATACAGGAATAGTGCATTAGCTCATAAATATGAGAATTAGTCATTGAATATGGAAATAATACTGAGTACTTGCAAAATGCATGAAATCTCCATTAGGTATCAACAGGTCGTAGAGAGGGAATTGGCAATTTTTTTTTTCAGTCTAGGGCCAGGTAGTAAAAGTTTTTGGCTTTGTGGATCATATGATTTTGGCTACAACTATTTGACTCTGCCATTGTAGCACAAAAGCTGCCACAGACAAAACATTAACAAATGAGTGTGGCTGTGTTTCCATAAAAACCTTTATTCATGAACACAGAAATTTGATATTCATAGAATTATCATAAGTCAGAAATAAAATTCTTTTTTTGAAATGTTTCAGCCACTTATAATATAAAAATCATTCATCCTTGGCTCATAGGCCGTGCAAAAATAAGTCAATGGGCAAAATTTGGTATGTGAACCATCTTTTGCTGATGCCGCTCATAGAGCATTAATACTGTTCTCTCTCAGGGAGAAAAAAATAAAGAATTGTGTGTGGCATTTAGCAAAGGTTCCCAAATGTGCTTTAAGATGCATGTAATGTTGTTAAAATGAGGTGCCATATTTTTCCCCTTACAAAATACAGATTATTAGAGTGCTAGGAAAGTGCTATGAAAACAACAGTTTCTAATTTTACATAAAGAGTCCATGGTAAATACACCTCCAGAACAATGCTTTGTTATACAGAGATATGATGTCAGTTTCATGTATAGCCAGCTTCCTTGCCAATCAAATAATACTATAGATAGGTGTGACATTATGTCTGGGCATAATCAGTTTTGACTGATAGGTTGGAATCTAAACAAGAATATAAACAAGAAACTGGAGAATAATTGCTTGACTTAAACTTCAGATAAAAATAGTTGAAGAAGACTAATATTACTAACATATGAATGTATTAGAAATTATCTAAAAATTGTTTCTTCTTTAACTGCCAAGATGTAATCTAATGATGAGAGAAAGGACCTTGGAAATTTCTATTATTATTTAATTTATTGTTTAGTCAAATGGGTCATTTTAAATAGATCACTATTGCAAATATAAGTATTTTTGGTACAATTAGAGGTCATTCCGAATACACAAGAATACATATAGTTTAACGTGAAAAAATAAATTATAATCTGATGCCAATTATTAGCAAAAAATATAATTAATGTTATATTCCTACTAGAGAATACATTTTTTAAAATACAAAACTTTATACAATAAGCTTTCGTAGAGCTTATATAGATCTTCAATTATGTTAATATTCAAGTACCCAAATTTGATAAGGCAGAGTTTAAATGTTTCATTGCATCATGTGGTTTGTCCAAGCCTGTCTTTTTAAAATAAATAAATCAAGCAGAGAGATGCAAAGGGACTTATTTAAGGTTACACAGCAAATTAGCAGTGAATCAAGACAAGAATACAGCCTTTTCCTATTACAATATTATATAACCAAAGGAAGCAAGAGAAGTCTAGCTTGTGAACAGAGGAAATAAGAATGTTTGAAATTGACCAAAAGGTTTTTCTTTATTGTTGTAATCTCCTTCCTCCTCTTTCCCTTCCTCTTCCTCCTTCTTCCCTTATCTCTTCTTCCTTTATAAGCTAGTTATATGTTATTCTGGGAAAAAATATTATTTGTAGTTATTGCTATCATGAAAAATAAAATTTTATGTGTCCTAAATTTAATTATATTTTATGAAACATTAACTCTGACATGATGTGGTAACCATCATGTAGGCAGGACTTCACTGGGGACTCTTCCCCTTTCTGCCCTGGTGCCTGTTTGCTTCCTGCCACTGTATGGTTGAGTATTTCTGAAGTCCTAAATACACTTAAAGTTGTGGCTTTTATGTATGGATATGATAGTTTTCTTTAAAGAGTTGTCAGTGTAAACGTTCTAAATAGAACAAAGCATAATGATACTGGTCATGATTGAAACTTTTTGTTGATAAATAGCATTAAATATAATCTTCCCACTCATGATTCCTAAGAAAGATTAGTAAAATCCTACATAGTAAACAGCTCACAGACTTCTATAGAGATGGGAAAATTTATTTTTCCCACTGATGAGAACATATGGAGGATTTTCTTTTCTTCAGAGAACTCACAGTTTCCAACTGAGTTGGATTTTTTTTAAAAATGAGTTAATAACATTGTGAACATTATAAAATGGTGATTTTAGGCATGTATGAAAAGCTATCAATAACAAAAATAGAGATATATCTACAGAATTATGATGCATATTATAATATAGCAAAAAAATTTGGAGGGTAAAGTGATTTAATGAGAATTAGATACTATTTAAGATAAATTTTAAATATCTTAGTGGTAAAAGTATATGTCTTTCTGAGAAAATCAAATGTGTTTATTTGCCTGGATAAGTTGTTTATCCAGACAAATATTAATCAACACTAATTAATTACTATCTATATTAGGGCAAAAGGGCAATATTATGAACATTTTCTTCCCCAAACAGCTGCTCAAATTCTGCAGATCATAATGCAGATATAAATAGCATAGCTCATTATATTTTAGATAGCTGGAGTCTATTAGGCACTTTTGAAAATTATTATTTTGCTCTGCCTATTTTTCTCTCATGGGTTACAACTAAATACTGACATGTAAAAGAAACATTATTTAAAGCTAGTTTTCCCCCAATATCCATTCTCCCCTTCTTGAAGAACCTGAGATTTTTAGCCCAGAATAACAGCTATATTATTTAGACTCCTAAACAATAATTTTTAGGCAGCTAAACAATCATTTCGAGAGATATCAGCATTATTTAGACCTACTGGGTCATGGCAGAAAATGCTATGTGCTCCTTACGGGTTGGACTCTTAAGAGAAGGAATACACCTTACTAATAGTTTCTGCTCCCTCCTATGGTCCTGAATGTAGATTTGGTAGTGTCATGAGATTCTTGGGGTGTTGCTTCACCAGCCAGAAACCTCCGTAGCCAGTGACGCCTTTGCCTCGGTTTTGCTTGGGCCTGCTGGGCTCCTTCTGCCCACTCAGCCTGGCAGGCTGTGCTCAGCTTGTGCTACTGGCCTGGATCCCACACCTGCCAAGATGAGTTAAGTGTGGAACAGCAAGGGGTGTGTGAGTGAGTGAGTGTTGGGTCCAGCCACTGCACACAGCCAGGCACACCAGATGCTGGCTCCCTGTGAGGCTGCAGCTGGACCAGATATACTGCAAGCAGCTTCCACAGTTGGCACCAGAAGCTTGGAGACACCAAGAACTGCAGAGCCCCAAACAAGGTGTCACAGCCCTGGCTTGGGGAGCTCCTAGGTCTGGGATCCCCAAAGGGCTGTAGCTTTTCTCTCCTTTCCTTCTTGTCACCCGCAACATAGCGAGCAAGGGGCATGTTTCAGCCCTGTTACTTACAGCTCTTTTAGCCCCACCATTTGGCAGATTCCAAGTTCCTGTCTGACATCCCGGAAAAACGAAGTACATGGACAAGTGGAGGTTGAGCAAGGTAAAGAGGAGCTTTACTGCGTGACAGAATAGCTCAGGAGGGAGACCCGCAGTGGGTAGCTCATCTCCACTGGCAGGGTATCCTGATGAGTGTTCAGCTTTCAACAACTGGAGACCCTGGAGTGGGTAGCTCCTCTCCGTGGCTGATTGTCCACTCATTTACTCAGCTCTCAGCAGGGAGGAGACCCTGGAGTGGGTAGCTCCTCTCCACAGTGAGGTCATCCCATTTTCTCCTTGAATCTGACAGTCTGGGGTTTTTATGGGCTTCAGAGGGGAGGAAGGGTGAGCTGATTGCTCCAAGGGCAGCCATGGGTTGGAAAAAGCACTGTAAGTTCCCACTCTGGTCTGTGAGACTGGCAGCCTGGCCCCCAAGATTCAGGCCTTCCCCAGCTTGAAGGTAGGGCTTCACTAGGGACTCTCCCCTTTCTGCCCTGGTGCCTGTTTGCCTCCTGCCATTGTTCATGGCACCCAGGCTGTTCATGCTGAGAGATGCCTGCAGGCCAGTGTTGAGCTGCCCTCAGCACCCCCTTGGCCTCTCTCCCATGCTCATTGGTGCCCAAAGTCTGGAGGGGGCCTAGGCAGCAGGGGGTTGTCACGTCAGTACTGCCCTGAGCATGCACGCACCTGGCCGGGTTGTGACAGTGCCCTAGCTCAGCCTCGACTTTGCTCTGAGATCAAAGCAAGTGTCAGGAGCAGGGAGAGGCCAGGCAGTGGAAGCAGGCACTTTGGACCCTGCAAGGGAAGGGGGCACCTTCCCAGGCCCTCGAGAGTGCAGAGATGCCTGGGTCTGCAGCTGTGGCTTGGGTGGCTGCAGCTGTGCCCAGGAGGGCAGGACACCTGCCTACTTCCAGCCTCCAAGAGCACAGGGATGCCCGGGTCCACAGTCACAGCTTCAGTGGTTGCAGCTGCACTTGGAAGGGCTGGGCTCCTACCTGCTCTGTGGAGCCCACAGCCCCAACTGCTCCTTCCCACTGCAGCCAGTGTTTTTGCAGTGGCTGCTCCAGAAGGGCTGCTGCTGCTATCAGTAGTGAGACATATTTATCAAACCAGAAGCAGGAAACACCTAGGGATGGCAGAGTAACAAGAGAAAAGGAGTCTATGTCTCCCATGCCTGGAGTCACCATAGGAATCCTGGACTAACAATGCTTATGTTGATACATGAGAAAGAAATAAACCTTTGGCTTCTTGTACCCTAACTTTCAAATTTTGTTACTTATCAAGAGAACCATATAGTTTTTTCCCATTATCTAATAATATGAGGAATTACATAAACATTGAATAAAATATTCAAAGCATGAATCTTTTGCATTCTTGATAAAAGCTCTGCTTGGTCAACTTTGCAATAGATTCAATTTGTTACTATGTCATTTAATTTAAGTTATTTACATCATATGCAAAAGTGCTATTAGTCTGAAATTTTTAATTTATTTTTTAAATGTTTTGGTATCACAGTTTTGCTAGATTTATAAAATAATTTTCAGAATCTTCCATATTTTCTATGCTCCTACATAATTTATATGTCAGGTAAATATTGGTTTTTGGAAAACTTTAAGGAAATTGCTTTTAAACCACTATGGCCTAAATATTTTCACCCACTTTTCCGTTGTTATATAATTGTTGATATTCCTAGGCTTCCTTCTTTTTTGTTTAATCAACCATATATTTTTAGAAAATCATTATACTGAGATTTGTATATCAGATTACACAGATTTGTATATGACATTCGAAAACATTTTCTCAGATTTTGGATCTTCTTTCTCATTCTTAATATAGTGCTCTTCAGTTTTGTGTATTACTTTTTCCTTGGCATTACATAAGACAGAAGTTTATCTATTTAATTGTCTTTGTCAAATAATCTCCACTGACTTTTCTTCTTTACAGTGTATTCATTACTTCCTACAATACGGGCTCTCTTTTTGCTTTTCTTGTTTTGTGTTTTTCTTTTCTTGAATTGATTGGTTAGTTCACTTATTTGTAGGGTTTTTTTGCTTAACAAGAAAAATATTTGCAGATAAAAATTTTAGTTTCTGATTAAACCTTTGATCGTGCTAAAAATGTTTGATATATATTATTCCCACTGTTATTTTTCTACTAATATCTAAGTGGAATTTTTGTTTCTCCTTTGCTCCAATGTAACTTTGGGGAGTTCTTTTTCTTTTAAATTTTAGAGATTTGTAGAGGGTTACAATTATATTACTAATTTCAATTGTTAAATTATTGGATTCAGAATATGTGGCTTAAGACGTATCTACCATTGAAGATTTATTCGGGTTATTTGGTGCCTAACACTATAATTTTAAAAAATTTTGCATAAAATTTTAAAACAGATATAGGATAATCATTTAAATATAAACTATACAAAGAAAAATATGTTTCCTATATCTATTAATCTTATTTTTCAGATTCTTGAAATCCTTGTCTGTTAAATATTTAAGTTAAAATAGATAGGAAGACAACTTATTTTTTTTTTCAGTCCTCTAATATTTCTGTCCATCTACACTGGAAGTTCTAAAGGGTTTATCTTTATATAGTTAAATATAAGATTATTCATTTTGCAAGTGTTTATGTCTGATCTACCTTTAATATATACTTTACAGATTATCAATGATGCAACTTTAATATCTGAAATACTACTTAAATTTATACTATTGAGATCCCTGTTTTCACATTGAATTTGAGTAACATATCTTTATCTGTCTTTTTGCATTTAATTTTCTTGTTAGTCATTCTTTAGGTGTGGTTTTATGAATAGCATTTAGATTTGGTTTTCTAGACCAATGTGATAATCTACCTTCCAATTTTTTGTGTTATTTTGCTATTTCCTATGTATACTTTACTTTCCTCGGAAACATGAAGTATAGAATATAAAATATACAGTATATGTTTTTTCCAGCCCATCTCTTGACCTCCTGCCCCATTCCTTCTTGCTTTTTTCTCCTCTTAGACCTATTGGCTCTGTATGAAGGTAGGTAAATAAAACGGTAGAAACAATTGTAGGAGGACCTTAAAAAATCAATACCCAGAACATACGCTGAGGACATCTAGCAGAGCTTGGTTTTGGGGACATGTTGAATTTACTTCCAATTTTACTAATTACAATGTATTATAATTTGATTCTTCTTTCATCCCAGGGATGATTTAAGAGTGCTGTGAAAATATTGTTTATGCATATGGATTATTTTTTGAAAAGATTATAAAGAAGTCATATATTCATTGGAATATATGGATATGTAACTAGTTCATTTTTGTAAACTACTTAAGATGAAATTAGTGAAGGACATGAGGCATAGGTGTTAAGTATAAAGTGGGTATAACTCTGTGTAATCTTAAAGAAAAACCATATGAGAAGACAGAAGACTCAGGGTACCTCAAAAATGTGGATGGGTGCCCTTATGCAAATGAGGAAGGTTAGACCTTGAATGTCAGATATGAGGATTCAAGCTTCTAATGATTCTTCCTCTTTTTTTCTTATTATAATCAATTAATAACATTACCTCACATAAGCTACCCTGAGTTAGAGAAGCTTTTATCAACCACTTCTACCTTAAACTTTAACAGGGAGGTCTCTCCTGCCTACTCAGCTCTCCCCACAAAAATAACTCTGGACTAATTTGTCCCCCATGGGTGTCTTCTTCCTCAAGCTATCTTTTCTGCTTCCTGCTTCTTAACTTTGTGCTGGTCTCTAAGTAGAAAGTGGAAAGGAGATGAAAAAAAACAATAAGCCAAGTTTTGAAAAGTCTTCTTTTTACTTCATGGACCTTTGTTACTGAGAAGAGAGTTAAAAAAATTAATTTGGTTTTTGAAAATCAAACACAAGACAAGGAGTATACAACAAAGTGAAATTTGAAATATATATATTTTTAGTCTGCCTTCATCAAAAGTTGGCAGGATTTCCTTCCACAGTCTGGCAATTTGTGAGTTAAGCTTAGCCTGCATATTAGGTGAGTTTTATTATTTTCTATTGTCTTCAGACGCATTTTGAAAGTCATATTAGGAAGAGGTTAAATAGGAAGTGTCTTTGTCAAACATCACCTTAAGTTGGAAGCCCCATTAAGAGGGAATTTTACTCTCTCTTTTATAATATAATGCATTAGGTCAAACATCTTTTTCAAGCTGGGCTTAGTTACCCCAAATGTGTGTTTGGTAGATACTCTACCATGGACTGTCACATTTTATTCAAAGCTTTCAACATGAACATTTTATTTTTGCCTTTTACCAGAAAACACTTGAACATAGTTGTGAATTCTAAAACAAGTGTTACATTGAGTCAAATATTTCCTAACTTAGTCATTTGTTATTTTGAATTGGAGATTTAGTTCCCAAAATTAAAGTTCTGAAAGGATAAAGAATTTACGATGTAATAAGCTAGGAAATTCTCTATTAATATAAAGGCATGTTATTTCCATTAACTAACAAATATGTTCTTGGATTTGACCCAATAACTACAAAGTTATCCTTCTGATACAGAATAGCCTAAGGGTGCTTTCTAATTAAAATTTTGAAAGTTGATGCTCAATATACCTTATCTGTCTGCAATTCTAAATTAAGCTGGGATCTATTATATTGAGTTAGTCTATAATCTTTTCTTTCACTGGTATGTAGCAGTTGAAGAAATGCTAATTTAGTAAATCAGATCAAGTTCAATCCTAAACTATTATTACGATAGCAAATAAAGTTAGTTGTAGTTATGGTCGAGTTGCAATTTATGGAACCTCATAATCTTACTAGTAATAAAAATAATAATTCCAACAATAATAATATGCTACCATTTATTACACTCTTGCTGTGTTCCAGGCCTTTAAAATGCATTATCTCATCTGACTTATGCTACAACTATAAGAAGGAATTATCACATCAATTCCATAGTAAAAGCAGCTGAGGTGAGAAAATAGGATGGTTTTCAATAACAAAGCAATGGGCGCCAGGGGGTGTTGAGTAATTGGATGGAAGGTGCAATCCAAAAAGAGGATTCATTAAAGAGCTTCTAAAATCTTATAATAACATTTATTTTAGGTTTTAAAATTGCCTTAGTAGCAGACATGTGCCTCAGATGACATGGAAAGATGGAGCAAAACGCATAAGAAAATAAAAATCATAAATTTCACTTCACAGGTTACATTTTACATGAGTGGGAAATTTCCAGAATCTGCCTACCCGTTCTATGTACGGATCTGGAATTCAGGAGGGAGGTCTGACTGAGTTATAATTTTGGAAATCATCAGTATGTGATAGAAGTTGAAGTCTGAGGTATGGATAAGACATTTTAAAAGCTTTGTGGACTGAGAAGAAAAAAGGACAAAGGATATGATTTGTGGAATTTGGATATTCAAAAAGCAATAAAAATGAGAAATAATAGTATAATTAGGACAGGATGTTATCATCAAAACTAATAAAGATTATATGAGGTAAAGAATAGCTGAAAATGTTGAATTATGTTGTCAAGCAATACAAAGTTCAAAAGGTGTCTAATTGGCTTGCCAATTAGTCAGCTACAGACACCCATTCCTGGTGAACAGAGGTGGGCAGACTTGGAATTCAGTTTTCTAGTGCATTCAGGAGTAAATGGTAGGTGGGTAGGTGAGGAAGTGAATGAAAATTCTATAAAAGCATGGGTGTGCAGAGATTAAGAGGTCGGTAGCTAGAAATCAAGAAAACAGTTTTATCAGAGAGACTACAACACATTTATCTCTGCACAGGAGTGAATGGTAGGTAGGTAGGTGAGGAAGTGAATGGAAAGTGTAAAAGCCAGGATGTGCCAGAGATTAAAAGATCAGTAGCTAGAATCAAGAGAAGACTTTTATTAAGGAAACTTAAACACATCCTATGTGTGGAGAGAGAGAGAAGATTGAGACGTAGGGCAGACAGATGATATGACAGTGATGCTTGAAGGAAGTCCATTGCATAAATCTCAACAAGATGTCCTGGAAGGGCTGCCACAGATGATAGTGCAGGGCAGTGAGTGGAGGGGTGAAAGACAACACAAAGTCGTGCAGTTCATCTTGTTACCATACTGAAATTACACATTGTCCGTGATAGAAAGGTCCTTAGGGTTATCTACTGCAACATGCAGCTGTTATATTTGTGCATATTCAGGAAAGTGAAGGACTTGCCTAGGGTCAGATAATAACTACATAGGGACAGAGGCAAGACCGGGATTTTGTTCTGATTTGTAATTCAATGTTCTTTCTGGTACACCAGGAAACACAGACTCAAGCTTATACTTTCTGGTGATAGAATATCAAAGCAGTTCTTAACAGCATCCTGAGTATTGAATTCACCTTTTATTGAGGTGAAGGCTAGAAAAACTAATTTTTCTTGCTTTCTAAACTTGCCCTACTCCTGAAATCTGTATGAATCAAATGTAATTTTGACTTCTAATTTTTAATAATGGTTCTTCCAAAATGGATTAAAAATGGTAGATGTATGGCAGTTTGATTTTGCATGATAGATTTATATATTTATGTTCTCAAATCTAAGTAACTATCATATTTTTGAAACTATATACCAATATTCTTGAAAAACAAGCACGGAAAATAAACATTTTCAGGTACGAGTACATGAGGATGGGATTGGAAATCACATGGATCAGTAAGGAGATCTGGGATTTTGTGGTAGCTGTTCAGATATGAGATCTTCAAAGCTGTTTTGAGTAAAAATATTCACAGTTATAAGTAGCTATGCAGCACAATTCTGAATAGTGGTATTCTGAAATTTTGATTTATATTTCAGTCATTGTTTTCCAAATTTTGGTTCCCGAGTTGCTTATAGGTATTTTTTTAATAAAGAAGTCTGTGGCCAAATTTTGCCATGCTTTCACTGTATCCTTTCCTACCCCTACTTGAAAATTATAATGCAGAGTTAAAGATCTAAATAATCCTACAGAGTAGAAGATCCAAAGAAATCTAAGAACTCCAGTTACCTTGTTGAATCCATGTTTTCCAAACTTGTTTAACCACAAAGCAGGGTTTTGTTTTGTTTTCCTTTTTTTCCCCTAGAACATTTATTATTAGTAATATTATTATTATTATTTGAGACAGAGTCTCACCCCATCACCCAGACTAGAGTGTAGTAGTGTGATCTTGGCTCACTGCAGGCTCCACCTCCCGGGTTCAAGAGATTCTCATGCTTCAGCCTCTGTAGTAGCTGGGATTACAGGCGTGTGCCACCAGGCCCGGCTTTTTTTTTTTTTTTTAAGTAGAGACAGAATTTCACCATGCTGGCCAGAATGGTCTCGAACTACTGACCTCCCTGATCCACCCGCCTCAGCTTCCCAAAGTGATAGGATTACAGACGTGAGCCACCCAACGCGCTGGCCCATTCCTAAAACATTTATTATCATCTCAAAGGTAAAAGTGTCCCACAATTGGGAGAGAATTTTCTCGACTGGATTTTCTCTTTTTCAGGATCTTTTATTCAGTATCCAAATTTTTAAGACACCTGTTGAACACAAGTACTTATCTTTCTCTGAAATAAAGGTGCATTTGCCACACTAAAGGAGCTAAGAGCTAAACAGCTAAAGAGAAAAAAGGGCATGTTTTGCTATAGTACCTATACATTCTATCAATACTAACATTGTAAAACATAATTTTTCAGTATATAAATATACATATTTTATATTATATACATCTGTTTGTGTGTACATTTTGTGGGACAGGTGTTAGCAGTACAAATATCTATCTTTTAACCAGGCTTGTTGGTATTTTGGGAACGTCTAAATTTTGTATAGCTCATTGGTATTTACCTTGCCTTCTTTATAAGAATGAAAGATTTTAACTTTGGTTAGCACCAACTGATATTCAAAATAAGTATTATTTCCGTAATAATTTGGTTTATTGTCCCTTTCTGTAACAATAGAGCCAATGACCAGTTGCCTAAAATCTCTCCTTCCCATGCTTAATATTAAACATTTGGTCCAGTAAAAAGTCCACAGCTCTGCCTTTCAAAGCTTACTTCAGCACACTCCTCTTACAGGTGGTGGTATGTTTTCCTAAGTCCAAAAAGAATCTGACATGTGACTAATCTAAAGATGCCAAGAGAGATTTTCTTTTGTTTTGATTTGAAATACTATTGTGAAGTAGAAGGTCAATCTTGAAGGGGCTAGCATTAGAAACATGTTACTGTGTCATCTAACAAAGGACATAAAGATAATTGAACAATAAACTAAGAAAGTACATGAATTATTTGTGCCACCTATTTTTTAATTGCATAAAACAATATGGAAAACTGTAGATATCGGTTTAAGAATATTCAGATGCCCCGGCTAGTCACTGAAAGCACATACACATTTCTTACACTGACTCCATCCGCCTTGGATTGCCAGACTTAGTGATAAGTGGACTTGATAAGTTGTGATGCCTGCTTAATCAGCAGTATCCACCTTGATAGTCTGACATATTTAGAAATACCAAAGTTGAATAAAGCATAATATAAAAATAGACAAAATTTTTTCTTAAAATAGCATCATTGTAGTTCATTGCACTCTTGGTAATAGACCTTGGGAAAATCCCCAAACTGAAAGTGGTTTGCTGAACCAGGATGTATTTTGCAAGGTAAGTGTACACCCTATGACATGAACCAAGTTTTTAGGTTTATTCAAAGAGAAAGGTCTATAAATGATGACAATGTTCAAATATCTTTAGTAGTTGAATTGGAGACTAAAATCTGGAAAAAATTCATATAGTTTGTGGAACAGTTTCACCAACTTTGCCTGTGAGTCATACTTAACATCTAACGATAAGACAAGGTCAGCAACAGCAGGATCCCAGGACATCGGCATGGAAGTCAAGCTCACTGAAATTCAGATTTACTGGGCTAGACATGTATGGAAGATGGATATCAGCAGGGTGGCGAAGCAGCTGACAGACTAGCTGAAATGGAGTGATTGTAAGCACAGTGGGCAAAAGAAGTACTCTAAGGCCTTTAAGCAGTGTGGCATAACTTCCGACTGGTGGACAGTGATAGCAGCAAACAGACCATGCTGGTGCACAGCAATCGGAATTTGTGTGGCTCCCTTCAAGTGACTGTGCTACGCAAACTCTAGGACTCTTGCTTGAACTGTAATAAGGTAGCTGTATAGAGATGTGTAATGGTATGCTTTCCTTTTGAAATAGATGTAGCTAGGTCTTTATTGCATTGATTTGAACACAACTAATATTTCTACTAAAAAAGAATTCTTGTCAAAATCTATCCCTTAGTGTCCTCACAGGTGATTTTTCACTCCTAAGTTACGCCAAACTATCCTGTAACCTCTCTTTATATTTTCACATTACTATATAATTTAGCTTCTCAGAAATGTTTATTTAGTTTCTGTTTTCTTTGGCATGTTCTCTATAATTTTTACTTCTTATTTTCAAGGTCTACTATGATTCTCAATCCTTCTGAAATGCATTTCATCCCGTTTCCTTCTGCTTTATTCTGTCTCTGAACTTATCAGTTCAATGAGCCTTTACTTTCACAGGAGCTAAGAAACAAATAAGAAGAGATCCAATGAATACATATTATGTGATTTATCCTCATTGCTATTTCTTTATATATTTCATTTTTCTTTTTTAGAAATTTGACATAAAGCTTAGCCCTAGCATGAAGTCTTCCCAAACCAGTGAAGTCAATTAGAACATATTCAAGTTTAATTTTATCCCATTAAGCAAACTGGATTTCAGGGCCTTTGAGCTTTGATGGTAGCTGACGCGTGTTCCAGTAACTTACAATTCAAATGCGACTGTAGAGTTTGCTGTAGTTTTGAACTTTATCTCTGAAAGGTTGTGTGGTTCAGACTTGTGTGTTTTTCTTTTCTAAATTATAATAAAGTGTAAAATTTCATTTTAAGAGTCCTACAATCCTTGAAAACATCGTGGGGTTTTTCAATTGTAGAGATTTAGAATAGATCTTATGATTTATGTATTTCTCAAGTCCATAACACCTGATCTTGTTTAGTTACTATCAAGAACATCTTTTCACCCTGTAGAAAAGGAATATTTTAAAGAATGACTTAATTTTGAACTGTTATTTTATCTTCCATACAAGCTATTTGATTACTGGAGTTTTGCCTTTCAGAAATAATTAAACCTAATTTTAAAAACAACTGATTATGGGATATATCTGTATCTATATTTATTTCTATATCTATATCTATCCCTCAACCAATTATAGTCCTATAGAATATTTAGCAGTTCTAAAAAATGAGTCAATGACCATTTTTGCTTTTTTGACAAAAATACTGGATGAGGCTTATAATTAAGTGTGTTAATCAGAAAAAAAATACTTTATAGCAAGAATATATATAATGAATGCCTTATTGAGTCCTAAGCTTTCTGGAAAATTATCACAGAATAAATTTTGATGTGTCCACCTTCTCTAACACCCCACAATTACTGAAAATAATCTTTTTTTTTTTTTTTTTTTTTTTTTTTTTGAGATGGAGCCTTCCTCTGTCGCCCAGGCTGGAGTGCAATGGCGCAATCTCAGCTCACTGCAACCTCTGCCTCCCAGGTTCATGTAATTCTTCTGCCTCAGCTTCCTGAGCAGCTGAGATTACAGATGCATGTGCCACCATGCCTAGCTAATTTTTGTATTTTTAGTAGAGACGGGGTTTTACCATGTTGGCCAGGCTGGTCTCAAACTCCTGACCTCAAATGATCCGCCCACCTCAACCTCCCAAAGTGCTGAGATTACAGAGATGAGCCACTGCGCCCAGCCTAAAAACCATCTTTAACATTACCAGATTGTTACTTGGATGAGAAAAGAATATGCAAGAAGATTTAAAAAAAAAAATTTGTTACTGTTAACTTGTTGATTATTTTATTTTGTTTATTTTTATATTTTACTTATTGTCTAAAAAAAGACTTAAGGATGAGTTCAACATCAAAATGTGACCCAAACAAAGGGAACCAGAAATAAATTATAAGGTGTTTTGATTTTCCTTCAGTTAAGGCCATAAGGACAATATGCCACATGATATGATTTTACTTATTTGATAAAGGAGTGAATGCCAGTTCATTTGGAGAAACAGATTATTTCCTAGTACTAAATTCTAAATAAAATCTATCATATAAATTTCTACAAAGGGTATTAAAGTAACATAATTAGCTAGGTATTTTATAGGAAAAAGAAAAATTATTTTAATATTCATATATTACCCATTCATAAACACTAAAAATTAAATATCGCTAGTAAATATAGTGGGCACTATCCAGAATTTAGATAATTTAGATACTAAATTAATACATTGACAACATATATAAAACTAGAGCAAGGTTTGGCCTGCCCATTGAGAAGTCTATCTCAAATATCCTTGACTTACGTGAGCTTGTTTCAGGATTAAGGTATAGTCAGTTCAGGGCTGGATTCTATGATGACTATCTGGAATGCCAATATTCTATGCTGTTGAAAGCAATCCATATTCTTTAAATCTAATATAAGTCTATGGCAGAACTTACATTTATTATGAAAATCTGGAAACTTGATTTTTATTGTCACTACTTTCATACAGAAGGGTGCCTCTGCGTAGAATCAAAATTGCTACCAAAAAAGAGTTTTGACTCATTCCAAGTAATTGCCCACTAATTTATTTGAAATTGCAGATTTCTGCATGGAGAAGATATTTGGGCTTAAAAAAAAAAAAGATCTAACCACAAAATAAAACATTTAATTGCCTATTTTTATTATATAACTGTAATATTTTTAAGTGAACTCTATACTAGTTCACTTATATGCACTTGATATGCATTAAGTATGTGCATATCAAGTGTTGCATTTCTGATAGTTACAGTTTCTTTTTTAACTTCTTTCATATATTTTAACATCTAAAAGAGTAAAATTAAGATTGGCATTTTCCCAATGCAAAACCATTTAAACAAGTCCTTTAGTCTATTGTGCACTTACGATGTGATAACCACAGTCCTTGTTGCTAAAGACTAACAAAGCATTTGTTTAGTGGAGGGTGAAACAAGTAAACATTAGTGAAGACTAGTAATATTTTGTGGTAAATGCAGTGAGAGAAAATGTACAGGGTGCGTTGTGAAAACAGGACAATCGCCTCATTGGCCTGAGTCCCGAAGGCCATTTAGTTGTTAATCAGGTGAAGGGCATTTTAGCTAGAAGGAATGGCAATTTAAGGAGTATTGAATCCAAATGCCGGAAGTTCAGTGTGGCTGCAGTCCAGATGTTTTATGGGTAGGTAGGAGTAGATTAAGTAGGAAGGGATGTGGAAGCCAGATGATGAAGGGCTTTGCTTACAATAAAAAAAAAAGTTGGATTTTATCCAGAGTGTTAAGGCATGAATTAAAGCTTGAGGATTTATAGAAGGGGTAGATTCCAGAGCTATTAGAAGAACACAGTATAGCATAGTGGCTAAAAGGAGCTGCCTAAATCTGAGCTTAAATCTAGGCCTTGTCAACTAAGAGTTGTGTGACTTGTGCATGTTATTTAACCTATAAACCTAAGTGTCCTTATCTGCAAAATACTTGCCTGGTACATCGTTACTGTGCAGTAAAGAGTAGCTGGTGCTGCTGATTCTGGTTGCTACTTGCACTTCTTAAAAAGTGGACTTGAAGACTGAATACTGGCAGTAATGGAGGAGTAGGGTGCTACTGGAGAATTCACTAGAAATATAGGAAGAAGAATGGGTTTGGATTTTGGTGTTTTAGACGTGTTAAATTTGAAACAGAAAGTGGAAATCCAATGGAATCCATACTAGTTTGTGAGCTGTCAGCAATGTTGTATGGAAAGATGAAACCGTGAGTTAATGACAAAACTGCCTACATGGAGGAGATAGACAAGAAGATGTCAAGGGTGAAAAACTGCGTGCATTCACTATTATTTGAAAATTATGTGGAAAAATAAAATAAAATCCCTGAACGAGAAAGAGGGAATCATAAAGGGATATAAGAGAAAATGGTGTTACAAAAGTCAAAGAAAGATTTCCAGGAAATAAATTGTTTATAATACTGATTGCCAATGAGATGTCGGTTGTGATAATGCTAGAAAATATTCACAAGAAGGAGCCACTGGAAGTCACTGTCAATGTTCAGAGAGGAAAAGGGAAAATCAAGTTTCAGTGGAATAGGAAGTGATTGAGACAAAAAGAAATGGAGAGTCTAGAGATTTGTCTGAAAAGGAGAGACAGAGGATGATGATGATGATGATGCTGAGAGGAGAGCTCAAGGACTTTTTAGTTTTAATCTGAGCATATTATCACATTGCATGCAGGAAAAGAGCTGATTAAGGAGAATATGTACACAAGAAAATGGGGAATAACTTTGTAATAGAAATTTTAGTTAAAAATTTCCCCCCAAACACTGAGAAACAGTATATATGAAATGCTAAAGTAAGGCATCAAACCACTAAGATGACTGAATTGTTGATTTAGGTTTCTTGGGCTTCCTCGGGACCATTACGTGGGTTCCTTGCAGTCACAAGGCATGAAGGACTGGTTCCTAACTCATACCAAAAAGCCAATACTTGTGTACATATAAAAAGTGACTTTCTAGAATGTGTCAGGGCCAAGGATATGTAAGGATTACCTTTGAACCAGATAGGGACTACAACTGAGAACTGTTATACAGTCATTCTGACTCTGGCCTTAGGCTACTGGCCTAAGCAGCAAGTGGACTGCTTAGGCCAGTAATGAGATAAAGAAGACTATGGGGAGTGGACTCCAGGAAACCAGGAGTCACACAAGTGCAACTCACAGCATGGGAGGTCAATGGAAAGTACCCAGCTGAGGAGCAGCTTCTGAAGAGCCCACAGAAGGCCCCAAGAAAGAGCCAGTTTTAAGCATATAACAGGACTACGGGGCATAAAGCCTCTTAAAAAGAACATTAACAAAGTAAGAATATCCCACATTTCTTTTCCTAATGGGAGAGGAGAGAGTAAGAAATTAAGACTACCACATTCCCCTTCCTGAAGGCAGGAAACCTGCCTGCCTGCAGCGGGAGAAGCTTCAGCTTGGAGAAGAGTTTAGAGTTTTGATTATTCTTTAGGGCTGGCTTACTACTTTATGATTTATTATATGTAATTTAAAGTGATTAGGTTTTTCTACTACCTGCAAATGACCAGAAAAGTCATGAGACTGCTTAGAGCTCTACAATGGTGGTAGAATGAATGCAAAGGCGCAGAAGAACATAGAAATAAATAATGTACAAATCACACTTATTTGGCATTCTGGCACATTTGGTTCAGTAAGTTCCCAAAGAAGTGTGAGTGGATAGAATCCACATTTAGGAAAATTGACCTTGAATAGCACACTTTCACAAATGTGGAAGAGAAAGAGATAAAAATGAGAAAAGATAATGATAAAATTTAGTTGGAGGAAAGAGCTAAAAGAACAGAAATAAATGAGGAGAAATTTGACTTGATGAGCCTTTTCTGTGGGAATTGATGAGCTTCCATTCTGTGAGTTAAGAGTCCTGGTGAGGCAGTGATTAGATTGGAAGATTAAAAATTGAGAGAGGTTTGGAATGAAACAGAGTAGTTGTTCTCAAAGTGTGGTCCCCAGGCTAGTAGCATCAACATCTCCTGCAAAATTGTTATACATCCAACTCCTTAAGTCTCAACCAGACTTCCTGAATCAGAAACTCTAGGGGTGGAGCCCAACAATCTGTATTTTAACAAACCCTCCTGATGATTCTCCTGCACACTGTAGAGTCTAAGAACCACTGTTAAGAGTTTAGTGATTTAAAGCACACGTTCTGTGTTTAAATCACAGCACTGCCGCTTATTGTCTTTTGCAAATTACTAATATTTAACCTCTCCTTGTCTCAGTTTCTTCATCTGTAAAATGAGGATAACTAGCAATAACATACTCATAGTATTCTTGTAAAGTCTATATGACCCAATGCACTGGAAGTCTTTAGAACAATCTCTAGCATATTGAAATAATAATTAACAAATGTGTATTATCATTGTGGGAAAATGGAATAAATTTCTAAGTATACATATAAGAAAATTGTAGTTCTGATTAGTCTAGTGGGCTGTACTTTGTGACAATTGCCCGCTTAGTAGCCAAGACTCTTTGTTTTAGTCCCTTGCCACAAGCCTGTCCGCCCAGGAGTCCTGTTGTCTTTTCTTTTTCTGCACCATCTTCAGCAGCATAAGGCTATTTTGATGAATGAAATGGAGGAAAGGAGGAAGAATAAACCAAGAAGCAAAGTAATGTGTGCAGGGAAATCCATGTTGAATTAGTCAAGCTCTGAAGGAGTTTCGAATAAATATATGATAACAAATTTTTGAGGAATAAAATTATGTGGTTTTTTTTTTGGAAACACTTTAAATGTTTCTTTGAGAAATAATGCTAGGAAGCCACATCAAATATAGTAGCCTGGTAAAAGACAAATTCTGTGTTATCTAGAGAATTTGGTTTCCAGTGCATTTGAAAGAAATGTCTAATTAAATTGATTATATTTTCATTTACTTAGATCTATATGGCTTCATTATCAAGTATTTAATGATATTTTCCAAGACCCAAATAATTTGATAGTAATAATGTTGGCTACACAGACGAGCCATGGTAGTTTTATGCTTATTATTAGTGATAAAACCACATTCAAAAGTATACTATTTGTGTTTTTCTGGTTACACCCTAATAGGCTGAAAATATGTAATAAAATACCCTAATGACTACACCTTGAGAACTAAACCCTATTCTAATTGCTTTGATGCATGGGCTAGCAGGATAATTGATTGACACTAAGACCACTCAGTAAACAGCCAGCTAACAGAATTAGATTAATGAAAACATATGGTAATTACAACTGTGCAGAACAACTTGAAATCTACAACGTAGCCTCAGGATAAATAATCAAAAGTCTGATCAAAGAGCAATTAAAGTTAATAAAAGTCTCATTGTGCATTTAGGATTAAGAAGGGCTGAAAGATGAAACTGTAAAGTTTTAGAAGGGTATTTGATGAAAGATTTACTTCATTCCAAAAAAAAAAAAAGGTTTTGTTATTCTGGAGTAATAATTGAATTTTTGAAAAAGGAAATTCTCATATGTTTTTTCAACATTGCTTAAGAAACATTTATTTTAGGACTCTTCATACTACATTGGTATTTTTATAACACACATTTACTTTTACTTAAATAAGTAAGTCCTTGAACTTTGACTCATTCATTCTTCTAACAAATAATTATTAATCACTTACTATATATAAGTCTCCAAAGAGAACATCATTGAGAAAAGGTAAAACAGTCACAAATCCTGACCTTTACTATTTTAGTCTAGTGGAGAACTAAAATATGTTTTTTAAAAATTTGTGATTTGAGGTGGGAAGAGGTAGAAAAGATTTTTAGAAACATATGAATAAAATATTTGAACAATTAAAAGGAAGAAGTGATTACTTTTGGGGGGGTGCTTCAAAGAAAGCTTTAAGATTCCTTCCTGAGTCTTTTAAGTTTGAAGAATTTGTTACATATGTTGGCAAAGATAGGAATGTTTTGCTTTACAGTACTTCCTACAGCAGGCCCTATTTTCTGTTTTGTCAGTCCTAGCATATAGTCTTTATAATTGAAAGCATATATTTGATTTTATAGTCTTATTGTCTTATTTCCTAGATGGATGAAACTAGAAGTAAAGCCATGGGTCATAAATCATAAATATTAGGCTTTCAAGTCTTACTTTGATTCAAGAGCCAATAACCCTTTTCTCACATGCCACCCTGAATATTTATTATTACATTCAATGAGTTCAAAATACAGTAGTGACCCAAGGACACACCAGTCTAGAGACAGAGAGAAGATTGGCTTAATTGTGTTCACATGTTTCTAGGGCTGGGGTCTGTGGCAGTGTCAGCATCGTGGAAATGGATTGTAACCACTTTTGTAAGATGTGCACGTTTACACTTACAGTTGTCTTTAGGTAAAGTAATTGTCTCTTCTTGGATGCCTTGGGCTAAGTACAATCTAGTTTATGTATCACCAATTTGGGGCTTCAGGGAAAATAGGGAGTGAGTTCACCTGGATATTTTTGAGTAGTCTCAACACTGGGGATCTCTTCCAAATCTCTCCTCTTTGCCCTTCACTCCTATCTGCCACCTCCCTTTCTAATCAATGAAGAGTGGTTGATTGGGGAAGGGAGCTCTGGGAAGGAGAGAATGACAAGACAAGAATTATTATATCAGAAAAAGTTGACAGTTTGGTGCTGTGCAAACCGAGGGATAATATTGATCACAGAACAAAAATGCAATTGATTTTCAAGGAAGGTGAATACCTTAATACTAAAACTTCAAAGTGTAATCGTTCTTTGAAGTATATAAAGATGAGTATAGAATCTCTTTTAAAAGATGAGAAAATTGAGATTCAGACAGGGTATGTGACATTACCCAAGATTGCATGGCATGGGTGAGAAATTATCTTGAGATAATACTTTCCAATTCCTTTTTTAGTGCATTTTTTACTCAGACCAAGAATGCCCAGATCTTCACTGAGCACCCTATCAACTCCCTCCCACACTATCATTTTCTTGCCCCACTCATTGCCCTTTATCATATTTTTGGTGGCATTTTTATGTTCCTGTTATTATATGATTGATTTTCTCATGTGTGAGATTATTTAGTTTCTTTCCACTAGAAACGAAGTTTCTTGAGGGCAGTCATATGTCTTGTTCACTAATGTTTCTAAATCTGATTACCACTGCTGTACCTTCAGCACCTAATATAGCATTGGTAGATCTGCAATATATATTTACTAACTGACTATTTATCTACTATACAAAGTGGGCTAGGTGGTTATAAATCAGAGTAATCCCAACTGAGTGATATGCACTGTGTACAATTGGAGTTGTGGAGATAACATAAATATTCTACAACTCTACATTCAGGGTTTTTATTACGTTATTCAACTATGTTGCAAAATGTATTGCTCTCCTCCTTTCCTGAAAAATGTCCATTTAAACTACACCACAAAATTTTGCATATATTTTTGTAAGACATTTATTGATCCAAGGTATTCTTAAGTATTGGCTATAGGATAAACTATTCTACAGGCTTAACAACACAGACTAGCTAAGTACAAGATTCCATTCTATACCCTGGGGAGTACAACAATGAATGTACTATGGTCCCTGGCTTTGGGTAGCTAATAGCCTAATTGCGTGTAAAACTCATTGGGAGTAACAGGATCAGAATTTTGGAGCTATTACAGACAATGTACTGATGAAGATGTGGGTCAGCATATTTTAGTGATTTAACCAATCAAGCTGGAGGTAATAGTAGAGCTGGAACTGAAACCCAGATTCTCTGGTTCTCAGTCAGCATTTTTCCCCTAAGTGTTTATGAGTTCTAGTTATTATTTTTGCTGATTAACTACCATGAATAAATGTGTCTTACCATGAGCTTGTTTCTCTGATTGTCTTCATTTCATTTTGTTTTTCTGGGCTATGTTGAAGAGCATGATTCTACAAGCCAATGATTCTTTCCCTGGCATCTGCCCTTAAGGAGTCTATGACCTTTCATGTTTCTTAGCTGTCATTTCCTCATGCACACATTGGCAGTTCTATCCATCTTTCCTCACAGATACTTTCTAACCTCTTAATAATTTGATATTTTTAGCCTCTTGCCAATTTACTCAGTGTGTATATTTTCACTTCACTGACTTGTATCTAGGTTCAAACTCAACCTTTTAAGCACTACAGAAAAAAATGGACTCAGTCATTCATTTTTCATTCATTATTTCATTTTACAAATATGAATGCCTACCATGTGCCAGGCACAATGCTAAGTGCAGCAGATAGAATTGTGAGCAAATAGTCAAAGTACTTCTTTTATAAAGACTACTGAAGTGGAGGAAAAAGATACACACACACACACGCACACACACACACACGCACACACACACACACCATTTCAACTGTGACAAATGCTGCAATAGAAAGATATTCATCCTATGTGAACCTATGATAGGAATATTTGACATTGCCAAGTAGGTCAGAAAAGACTTCTCTGAGAAAATAACTTTCAGTTGAAATCTGTAGTATGACCAGATGGCAGTTAAGCAAATAGGAGGGGGAAACATGTCTTAAATGGGAGTGGGGATGGGGGAAGGGCACGTGCATAAACACTGTAATGTGAGGGATCATGGCGAAGGACAGACAAAAGACAAGTGTAATTGTAGGTAGAGTACAAAAAGTGAAGGGCAACTTTATCTGAGTTGACAAGGCGGGTAGAAGTTGGAATCTGCAGGATCATGTACAATACGTTAAGGAGTTTCTTAAGCCCCAAAGAAAAGGTAGTCACTGAAGATTTTAAGCAGGAATTAACAATTTTTATACTAGAAGACAGAGGTTCCAAGGATGACTTCAACAAGCCGGCTTGTGATCCTGGAAGTCTAGTGGTGCTATTTATTGACCTAGAAAAAAAAATGGACAAAGCACAAACTCTGGGAGAGTGAGGGAAGGAAAATCGTGCATTCATTTTGGACCATGTTAAGTTGGAGATGCCTTTAAGATACCCAAGATGAGATGTAAAGTAGGCAGTTCATTAAACTAATTTGGAACTCAAAAGAGTATTATGGCCTAGAGATATAACTGTATGACTCAGTTGTGACTAGATGATAATTGAATCTGTGAGCTTGGATGAGATCACTTCGGGAGAAAACATCAAGTGAGAAAAGGAGAGAGAGCTGAGGAGCAACCTTAGAGGAATGTCAACATTTTGTGGCTTGAGGGTAATGAGAATGGCAATAGAGTAGTAGGGAGAGGCAAGGTAACAACAGGAAAACGAGGAGAGAATTGTCTTGAAGCCAAGGGGAGAGAAAATATCAATGATGTCAGTGTTTATGAGAGATAAGGAAAAGATAATAGGTCATGACTACCTTGTTTCACAAGGAACAAATAAATGGTTTTATTGATTCAGGGAATAGTAATGTCTAGCATCAGTCTGACTTCATTTAAGCCTTCATCATCAGACAGTGCCACTAAGGACCAAATGTCTCTTCCTTTCTGCCTCCTTTGGCATTGGCTCTGTCTTTACTTGTGACAAATTGGATAGGAGATAAGTAATTATGTAATTATATATTGGTGTAACCACTAAGATGAATAATAAAGAGAAAGAGCAGTTTTGGAGGGAAATTTTTAGTTTAGTTATGGGCATGCTAAGTTTGCAAGATATGCGAAGATCCAAGTGCAGATGTTGAGTACGTAGATAAAATTAAAGAAACTGGTAAATGAAGTCATGAATGTTCATGGAAGTACCTATGAAAACAAAGAAGGATAAGGGGGCTTAGCATCTGGAATTGAGAGACTTCAGTATTTAAGGAGTGGGTCCACATGGAATAGTCAATTAATAAGGACCAAAAGTAGCAGTCAAGAAGAAGAAAAATCAAAAGAATGTGATGTCATTAAAGCCAAGGGAAGAAAAGCATTCAAGAAAGCAGTGGTCAACCTTTGTCAAATATTCCTGAGAATCGAGTAAAATGAGGCCGGGCATGGTGGCTCATACCTGTAATCCCAGCATTTTGAGAGGCCTAGGTGGGTGGATCACTTGAGGTCAGAAGTTCGAGACCAGCCTGGCTAACATGGTGAAACCCCTTCTCTAATTAAAAAAAAAAAAAAAAAAAAAAAATTAGCCACTTGTGGCAGACATCTGTAATCCCACCTAATCAGGAGGCTGAGGCACAAGAATCACTTGAACCCTGGAGGCAGAGATTGCAGCGAGCCAAGATCATGCTACCACACTCCAGCCTGGATGACAGAGTAAGATTCTGTCTCAAAAAAAAAAAATTGAATCAAGAATGAGTAAAATATCTATTTTAATGAGCAACTGAGTACATTGGTGATCTTGTCTGGAGCTGTTTCACTGATACACTAAGGACAAAGGAGGTAAGTAGTGGGAAGGGGGATTAAGTCAGATTAGAGTAAATTGAGGAGTGAATGGGGAAGCAAGAACTGTGGAGGGCTTGGTTAGCAAAGTAGATAACTCTCCCACAAGAACAGATTGTAAAGAGAAATAGATAGAGCAATAGCTAAAGGAAAAAGTGGGATACCAAGAGGTGACTTTGTTTGATGAGAAACACCTGGGCATGTTAAAGGATGATAGGAATAATCCAAGGAATAGGGAAATATTAAAGATACATAAAATGAAGTATTAATAAGTGGGAAAGAATGAAATTTAGAGTACATGTTTTACAAGGTGAGCACAAGGTGAAAGTTGATTATTAAGTGTAAGAGCTTATTAAAATAATGGCTAATGGGCTCTAGATTGAAGAGAAAAGGTGTGAGGATAAGAAGGGAAAATGGGTAAGAGGTAAAAAGAAGTGACAATGTGAAGACACCAATGAGACTGACAACAGCTATGGTTAGTGTAATTGAGCACCAGTGTGTAAAGTATGATCTGGTATAACATTAATAGCATATGCTAAGCCTGGTATGCAGTGCAGAATTTTTCAAGATTACCAGTCTTCTGAAGGTTACTGGATGGATACATTATTTTCCTGTATATCCATAGTATTTTTGTGTCATTATTCTAGTCCTATCACCATATCGTGTTATTGACTGCTTGTGCATGTATCCAGATGAGTAGATTGTGAGCCCCTAGAGCATGTCTTTGAGCCTACCAAAGTGTTTTATATATAAGAATACTCAACATGTTCAATGGATTGTGGTAAAATTTTCCATCTGGCACCTTATCAATAACTGTATTTATATCTCTGTGGTTAATCTTCAGCTCCCAAATGGTAACAGTAGCATGCACTTGCTTCCATTCTCATCTTCTGGATTGAAACATGACGTATTAAGAACCTGAAGGTTTTGAAGTAGCATGGTGTTTCCCTTGTTTAAATCTACTTACTCAATACAAATACACTGGGTTGTACCAGCCACTTATGCCTCTTGGACAAAATTAAGTCACTGAAAAACAAATTTGAAAAATTATTCTAAAGCATTAACATATAAACTCCCCATTAAAAATATTATGTATTAAATAAAGAGCAAAAAATGTATACACTGAACAAAAGTAACATTATCTTAATGTATGTTCTTTTTAAGTTTACTTCATGTTATTTTCAGTTTCCATTCATATTTTCCGTTATTTAATCATAGTATATATAAAATATTATAGCTTATTTCACTCTTCATTAAATCGTAAAATTATTCCATGTTGCTATATAGTCTTTTATGTCTATCATTTTTAATGACTGCAGAAAATGTCACTGGGTTGATGCATGATAATATACATGGCCATTCCCCTTTTGTTTGACATTTAGTTTATTTCTATTTTTTCCTCATTATAATAGTTTAACGAACATCTTTGGGAATATAGTTCTTTCTTGTTGGATTGTTTCCTTAGGATACATACCTATGAGTGGGATTACTGATCAAAATATAAAGACACACATGAAAGTTGATATGTTTTCAAAAAAAACATTGTATAATGACACGGTATCAGTGCTTCAAACTCATCTCATCTTTGCCAGCATCAGGTATAAAAATTTTTACTTTAATATATATAGAACAGCACCTCTATTTTAATGTACTTGGGCAGGGGTGGGAATTATTTCAAACTCATGTGACTAATCCTCCAAAATTTGAGTACTATGATTGACCCATTTATATTTTGAGGAATATTAGTTATATCTTATCCATTTGAATTTTCTTTTGGAGAAATTAATACTTTGTAATTTGATCCTTTGATCCATATTTTTTCAGTCCAGACTTTCCCAATTATTTTAGTTCAGTTATTTTTATTACATACAATTCTACATAAAATATTTTCTTACATAAATTTATACCAAATCCTAATAATAGCTATATGTCAGAATAAATTAGTAGCTGAGGCTGTGGGCACTGGAGTCACAAGAAACTTGATTTGAAGCCCAACTCTGCCTCTCTAATTGTCCTCCTGGTGACATAATCCTCTGGGCTTCCTCATGTGGGAATAAGAATAACAACAGCATGACAGTTGTGTGAGGACTACATATAAAGTATTTAAACATTGTGCTTAACAATATTCAGCTATTTGTTGATTTAGATTATCAGCCAACCCAGGATAACTGATTTTATTTTATTTTTCTCATCCTCCTGTAGATTCACCAAATTTTCAAATTGATAGTATTTGGGTGGTTTCACAGCAGACATAAAACACAGAATGGTAAAATGTTTAGTAAGAATATTGACCAAATAAATTTCCGTATGAAGTTGGTTTAGCTGGAAGTGCTGGAAGAGTTGAGGTCATGGCTCACAGGTATCACTGATGTAACACGTAACTCCAACTATTTCTATATTACATTAAAGCAGGGATCCCATTTTATCTGGTACATTACATTTGTTGTTTAATAGCATTGGCTGAATATGTCTTCTATTTCTTGTATTGCTATGTAAGGCCATGTTGTGATACGCTGTTTAATTTTGCTGGGGTTGTATTTTTATATTTGTATATAGAGAAATATCTTATACCTATATAATAGTGTTTCCTCTTTGTGTAGTATAATTCTTCATATTCATCATGATACCAAGTATATTTTCTTACATATAATCATATTCTAACAATAACACACATATTTATACTTTACCATTTAAAAATTCATTTTACTAATTTTCATTTTCTCTTTAATATATGTTGCCTAACTTAAGTAATATGTGTATGAGTGTTATAATCTAGCAATCAACTTCCAAGCTGCTTTCTTTTTTCTTCAAGTGAAATGATTTTAACAGCTGATATTTTTTATTATATTTATGATTTTTGAAGTACACTAGCTGTCACATTTGAAAAAAATCTGTTTTGATATTAAACTCAAACATTTGAGGAATAGAAAACATATAGTATCCTTAATTTATGAGCAAGGAAACTAAGATGTCGCAGCATTAATTGACATTTTGTATGGTCTTATGAATATAAGATGAAATGACTAGGGCTAGAACTTAGGTCTCTAACCATCAGCTTTATTCTAACCATTAACGTGTGCCTTTCTTTGGTTTGGTATAAATATTAACTCCAGGACAGAAGCACTTTTGTTTCTGAGGATTAAAAGAAAATACTTAATTCTGTTGAGAAACATACCAGGAAGCTTTATCTAAAATAATAGATAAAAAAGTAATTGGATAATTTATATTTTAATATTTAATTATTACATATTTGCTTTTTCTTGAGACAAAGAGAAAGAATAAGGCTGACTAAAAAACAGGAGGAAACAATGGAACTCTCCTAGCCTCTCTAGCATTCTAACTTCACCATGTGTTATTAAATGCTTGGTCCATAGAAATACAGACCTTATAGATAAGGAGCCAGAGTATATCACGGACGTAATAAATTTAGAATAAGGGCAGTTAACTCTATAAGGTGAAGGATTATTGATCATTCTGGAGAATATAAAAGTTTAAGAATGAAAAGCAGTGAATGGATTGATGGTCACAGCTAAGTACACTCTGTGTCAATTTCTGAGTCAAACTTTTTGTCATATTGGTTAGGTTGATCCAGTTTTCCTTTCTGTGGCTGCTGCTGTGAGTTTCAGTGAAGACAGTGCAGACATGTACCAGAAACATTTAAGTGCCTTTTGATTGTAGTTTACAGTAAAACATATCAGGCCCAAATTTAGGGTCTTGTGTTACATTGTGGCTAAAAAAGTTTTGTTGTGTGCCAACATGAAGCATCTCCATACCCAGGTCCCTATCTTAGAAAAGGTACCAATCATTAGACAAATGAGTAGAATGTGGATAGTCATCTAAAGATCATAGATAGAATGAGTATGATAGAGTTCCACATTTTTTCTCATAAAAAACATTTTTATTCCATTTCATTCTTTTTCTCTCAAGGAAAAAATACTAATATAGAATAATTAAGTTTAAAAATACAAGTTTTCGAGTTCTTCTGTTTTTTCTTCATTATTTTGGGTAAGTTATCATGTTTCTCATAAGTATTGTTAATTTTCTTTTAGTTCACCTTCATATTTGAAGGGCAGCACATTACTTAGTCTTACTTGGGCACTGTCAATTGCCATGTACTAGTCAATGCCAAATGTCAAATGCCATAAGCTAGAAGTAACTTGTAATTATTTGCAGATAGCATAACTCCAGGATACCCTTTTCTTTAATTTTCCCTAATCAGTTATTGAGTTGGATATATGGGCTGTAAGTAAAGGAGTACTGATCCCACTGTGCTCAGGAAATGCTTCTGGTCGAGTCCAGCAGACACCCAAAGGATTAGTGCAGAATTTCCTTAAACATTTTCCATCCTGAATCAGAGACATGTGTATCCTTGTTTGAAAGGCAGATTCCTGAGTCCATCCCAGACCTACTGAATCACAATCTCTGGGGCTGGATTCCAGGAACCTAACCTCAGTGCTTGTCTCTCTACCTACTCCTTGATCCTTATGCTCCAGCCTCTTGTAGTCTCTGACTCGTGCCCAGTATGTCTCCATTAGAAAGCCATGCACAGCTCTTCCTTTGCCTGGATCTCTTATTTTCCAACTTTCTCATGAATGGTTCCCCCTCATTCAGGTCTCAGTTCAAGTGTCACCTTCACGGAGCAGACTTCATAAACTCCCCAAGCTAAAGCAACCCCCATCCTCACCATAACATTTTCTATCACATTAATATGTTTTATTTTTTAATGTTTAGTGTCTGTCACTTTTTACTAAAATTGAAACTCCACTAGCACAATAGCTTTTCTCTGTCTTATTCGCTGATATATTTGCAGAAGGCACTCCAATACATACTTGTGGATTAACTAACTGAATTTTTAAACAAAAATTCAGGTGGCTGTCACATGCCCTCAAATTTGGCACCACAGGGCTAGAGGATGTCTCAGGACGACTAGCATATGTTTCTCAATTAAAAGCAAAACAATGTGATGCCCCAGGTGATTTTAATTATCTGGTTAAGTGGCTCTTCTCCGAGGCAAATCAAATCTAAGGAAACCTCCAAGAGTACTTAGGTATATCAAGAAACCCTGTGACAATGTGAAAGTTCGCTGAGCTGGGATGGGGACCATAGCTTTGGCTCCTGCTTCTGCTGGCTTATTATGTATTTTCCTTGGGCCAAATAATCAAAGATTATGGACTTCAGAGTTTTGTTGAGATGCTTTACTTCTAGGGGCCTACATATCTGCATATCTAAAATAAGAGAATGAGACTAGATTAATATTTCCCATACTAGGTTCTACAAAATGCTAATTCATTGAGACCTAAACATTGACTCCCTAGAAATAATGCAAGATATTTCAAACGCTCATATGGTCAAAAAATTCAAATTATTCTGTCTCTTTCTGTCTTGGAGATTCAAATTACTATGTCTCTTTCTTAATTGGAGATTCACAATGCATATTTGCAGTGCTAAAATACTAACAAACTTCCAGGAAATAAATTTGTTCACACTTATTTAACCCAACATTTATCAAACTTATCTAATCACAGCATTTGTTTTATCCTGTACAAACTATGAAGTAGTATTCCACAAAATTCAGCATGAGAAGTGCTGAACTAGATTATCTCAATGCTATCTTGTGGTTCTGAGGGTTAAAAATTGCCTGTTGCCAGCTGGGTGCAGTGGCTCACATCCGTAATCCCAGCACTTTGGGAGGCTGAGGCAGGTGGATCACAACGTCAGGAGTTCGAGACCAGCCTAGTCAATATGGTGAAACCCTGTGTCTACTAAAAATACAAAAACTAGCCAGGTGTGGTGGCGTGTGCCTGTAGTCCCAGCTACTCAGGAGGCTGAGGCAGGAGAATTGCTTTAACCCAGGAGGTGGAGGTTGCAGTGAACTGAGATAGTGCCACTGCACTCCAGCCTGGGCAATAGAGGGAGACTGTCTCAAAAACAAACAACAAACAAAAATTGCCTGGTGCCAAACTTCAAGGATGTTTGCTATCTCTTCTGCTCTAGAAGCTCTGTAATCCCAATGGGGCTGGCTTCACATCTGCAAAATAGAGAATTATGACGATTTGAAACTCCACTAGCACAATAACATTTCTCTGTCTTATTCACTGCTATATTTGTGAAATAGAGAATTATGACAATTTGAACCTTTTTGCTTTCAATGCTGAAATCACTGGTCAGCATTCCCTAGGCTTGGAGTCATTCTGTGTGAGATCAACCCCTTTTTATTAGAGCCTGTACCTACCACCTTCTCACTCCATCCAGGCAAGTCCTGGGTCTCAAAAGCTATGCAAATTCTAAGGGATTCAGGCCAAGAGAACTTTTATCTTGGTAGCAGGAACCCATTCTAGTGCCAGGAGAGAGACTAACAGAAAGCATTTTGGTTTTGTCTATAGAAAATATGCATTGAGTAAACAATACAAGGAATTTTAAAAGCTTCTCTTTGACCATCACTGGCACAATATTGCCGTACATCAGGTAATTTAAATGATTCTGCACCAGAAAGTTCATGTACCCCTGAAGTCATACATTTTGTAATAAAGTATTTTTAAAAAAGAAACTATTGTGTGGGTGCACTGATTAACGCCTGTAATCCCAGCACTTTGGGAGGCGCAAGCGGGTGGATCACTTGAGGTCAGGAGTTCGAGACCAGCCTGGCCAACATGGCAAAACCCCGCCTCTACTAAAAATACAAAAATTAGCTGGGCTTGGTTGTGCATGCCTGTAATCCCAGCTACTATGGAGGCTGAGGCAGGAGAATCGCTTGAACCTGGAAGGTGGAGGTTGCAGTGAGCTGAGATGGTGCCACTGAACTCCAGCCTGGGCAACAGAGAGAGACTCCATCTCAAAAACAAAAACAATTTAAAAAAAAGAAAGAAACTATTAAGATCTGCTGTGATTTGAATTATAGTTCCCTCAAGACTCACATGTTGTAATCCTAATGCCCAGTACTTCACCGTGTGACTTTATTTGTAAATAGAGTCATTGCAGATGTAATTAGTTAAGTCGACATGAAGTCATACGGGAGTAGAGTGGATCCATAATCCAATATGACTGGTATCCATATAAAAAAGGGGAAATTTGGGCCAGACACGGTGGCTCACGCCTGTAATCCCAACACTTTGGGAGGCCAAGGTGGGCGGATCACGAGGTCAGGAGTTTGAGACAAGGCTGACCAACATGGTGAAACCACGTCTCTACTAGAAATACAAAAATTAGCTGGGCATGGTGGTGCGTGCCTGTAATCCCAGCTACTCAAGAGGCTGAGGGGAAGGAGAATCGCTCAAACCCAGGAGGCAGAGGTTGCAGTGAGCCGAGATCGGGCCACTGCACTCCAGCCTAGGCAACAGAGCAAGACTCCATCTCAAAAAAATAGTAAATAAATAATAAATAAAAAGGATGGGGGGAAATTTGGACACCAAGACAGACATGCACCAAGGGAAGATAATATAAAGATACACAGGAAGAAGATGACCAAGAAGGAACTAACCTTGCCTACCAACACCTTAATTTCACACTTCTAACCTCCACAAATGTGAGATAATAAATTTCTGTTCTTTAGGCTGCCCGCTTCAGGTGCTTTGTTTCAGCAGCCCTAGCAAACTAATACAGCGTCTAGATGCTGGAATCAAGTCTCTGGGTCCTGCATAGAAATCTATTCAATTGCCAGCTAAATTCCTCCTTCCAGACTACCAAATGTTTGAGTAGACTCGGGACACGACAGAGCAGGACAGTGAACAATCTTCCTCAGACCACTTTATTTAGTTCTTGTGCCCTAGAGTAGCTGGTTTATCTCAAGTCTTGGAGCAGATTTCTTAATGACATTTTGGTGAATCTTCCTTTACTGTTCTAGTGTATTTTGTTTCAGCCATAATAAGCAGAGACTGGAAGAAATTACAAATATTTGGAAAGATAAAAGGCAATGAAATTACTTTGAAACCCACTTTGTACAGCCCTGTAAGCTTGACCAGGCAACATTTTGGGCAAAACTGCCTAGATTTTTAAAGTGGATGTTAGAAACAGGTAATATAGAAAATTGAAGTGAATCTTCCCTGAAATTACTGCTACCATTACCACTCTTCTTTGAAGACCAGTCTAATGCAATTTATACCTCTTCAGCCTAACACTAAGAGGTCAGAGCTTTAAAATGGCACTTGTAACAAAGGGAAGAGTCAAATTGTTCTTGTCACTAATTAGTTCAGATGTTATTTCAAATTCACTTTGGCTCTGTTATTGACTCAAGAAATCAAGATCTGAGGAAATCAACTGTGAGAATGTTACAAACAGGGAAAATTAGGTCACCATTTATGTTTTGCAGCTAGAAAAGGAATTCATTGCCCATGTTTAACTTCTATTTGGCACTAATCTCAATATAAGAGGGTTGACAAAAATCTGAAAATAATTATAATGTGAAAAATAATAAGGCTTGAATCCAAAACTTTGTGAAAATTAGAGCCACTTTTTTCTCTGTTTATAGTTTCTATCTCTTTTGATCCAGCTTACCATAGAATAATAATATCATCATCCACAACACCACAATTATCACCATTAACTTCATTTTCACCAATAAAAGTCACTCGGTACCCTTCTGAAACTGTGCAAAGGCAATGCCTAAACCCAGTTCTGCCCTGTAGTTATTTTTAGTTGTATTGAGAATATGCCATACTGTGGTTCAGTTGGACTTAGCAAATGACTTAATTCTTTTTGGCATTTTTCGGTAAGGGAGACTTACTTCTGAATTCTCACTTGTATTGACAACTAATGAAATGGTCAGTTGTAGTCATGGCTTTACTGTCAAATATTCCAAATGCCTTTCCTTATCAATGGCAATATTTTAAAGTGT
Organism: Homo sapiens; assembly: GCF_000001405.40. NCBI lineage: Eukaryota > Metazoa > Chordata > Mammalia > Primates > Hominidae > Homo > Homo sapiens. The sequence goes on from NC_000003.12 coordinate 173,987,946, forward strand.
ATTCTCATTTTATTAAAGCTAGTAGTTTGGTACTCTGATCATATTACTTGAACAATATAAAGATGCATAGCTACATTTTGGGAAAACTCGCCTTTTTTCTATCACCCAAAATAAAAAGATTCTCAATTACAGAATATGCCCACTTTTAAAATGTAGCTTCATATACAGGAGTACATTTCTTATTTAATTTTCAAATATATAATATATTTGGGGACACAAAGGCCAGTGTAAACAAGAACAAGTCCATGAAATACAACCCGTCTATAATCTAATAGCCCTAGTCAGGGGACTAGAATTGGGGCCTAAAGCCATTTTACTTGTCTTTATATAAGAAGAGTTACAACAAAAACCAGACCATTGTTTAAATGCTTTTTCTTTGTATAGATACAGGTTTTGTGTGTGTTAGATACAAGCTCATTCTACCAAAATAGATGAAGGTACAAAGTTTTTCATTCTTTCTTCTACTATGTTTATGTCATCAACAATCCTTTGTTAATAATCTGATTTTTTTAAGGGTTTCCTATAGCCACTACTTTTAGTCCATTTCAGGATGCATGAAGGAAGATAGCAGGTTGCTCAGACCTTAACAGGAAGAATAGGGTGGCAAGGCCCTACCTTTTAAGCACGAGGCTGCCTATCATGACTTCTAAGGAATACTGTTTGTCCCAAGAATTATTAATAATGCCTCCTGAAAGAATAGCTATGCAGGCAGAAATTAACCTTCTCTCTTCTACTTTTTTTGCTCCCTGCTTAACTTCCCAAAATTCCATACACAAATAGCTATTTTTTTAATCTCCAAATATTTTTTATCTAGTACTTTCTTCAATTGAATGGATTGATCCTACTTTTTCTTATTAAATGTCCACTTCTTATTCTTCTTGTCTTTAATACCACTACTCTCTCCTAAACACCTTATCAACCTCCCTGCCATCTCTACTTACCATCACTGTGATATTATTTAATCCCCTCTCAACCTTGTTCTCTCTTTTTCTGTTGACCAATCCACTTTTGTTTTACATACTTAGGATGCTGAAGGAAAGATAAGGTAGGAGAGAACAGCTAGCAGATTGAGAATAATTTTGATGAGTTGACACTTAATTTGGTAAATTCACCAGACTTTGGCTCAGCTAATTTCATTCTGTCACATCTCTCAAGGTTGTCACTCATTAACTAAGCCCACAGAGCTCAAGGGATAAGGCAGTTGTTATCTCTGAATGAGAAACCTGACAGTCACATCAACTGATAAAACAGCATCAGCATGACTTACACATTCCTTACCATTGGGCAAATCTACATGGGAAATCGCATGCTTGTACTCAGAACAATCTAAGTCAGTTTTTTAAAAAGAAGTAATCCTTAGCTAAGAGACCTTGAAAAACTCTTGTCCACTATAAAGATAACTTTGACCACAGAATAATAATACTCCAAATCTTTGGCCAAAATTTCCTCTCCCATGGGCAACACTTGAATGTGGAAAGTCAGGGTTTATTTTTCTTTCTGATGTTTCTTTTTCTATACTTCCATGTCTGAGAAGCCTCCTTTAGGATTAATATATTTTTAAAAAATTCTGATGATGCAGTGAATCAAGTATAGTCCAATCTAGGAGTCTCCTGTAATGTTAATATGACTTTGTAAATCTCTGATCTCACTCACTATAATAGATGGTGTTCAACAAAAGTAATAGAAAATCTTATTCACAGTGGCTTAAACTAAAAGGACATTTACAAAGAAGACTCATGGGTTGCAGTCTTACCGCAGGTGCATCAAGTAGCTTAATTATGTAATCAAAGACCTTCTCCTCCCACCCTTCCTTTTCCCCGTGCTCAGCATTTTGGCTTCGGTGTTGATGACTGTCATAGCTTCATGTCCTCAGAGAACAGCACACAAACCAAGAAGGGAGGGAAGGGGCCAAAAGCCTCTCTCATCTCAGAGCACTCTCTTATCAGAGCCATTTTTGCACTCAAGCTCTTCCTTCCCAGTTTACTTCTCTGTGGGCATACCTGGATCACCAGCTCACTTACAGACAGATAGAAGAATAAGGTTGGCATATTGGCTCAGAATAATCATGATCCATCCTCAGCAGCTAGACACATTGTTTTGGGTAGGGATGGATGATGTTGTTGCCTTAGTAAGCAAGAAGTGGGAATGGCTGTTAAATAGACAATCAACAGATATTATCACACCATACTCTGTTGGGTGATTATAATAGTCTTAGGCTTTACCCAAAATCTATTGATCAGGCATCTCTGGTGTTGAGGATCTTCATGTAAAACCAAAGGAGAATTGGTTTGCAAGTACTTAGGGTGCTAGGCAACCTCACCATTTTCCCCATGTACTGCTTACAGTACCTTTCTCAATCAAAAAGTTCTCTACAAATTCTGTTTGTTGACTATTTTCTTTATTCTCCTAATCTTGATTGAAGACACTTACAAAAGGGTAAGCCAATAGTACCTCATAGAGAAATACATTTTGTTTGATGCAAACATACTTAAGCTTGCAACTTATTTGAAATTTTTTGCAAATGAGCATGCAAATTTTATATTACTATATCACTTGCGTAACAATTCCAGTTAACAATCATCTATCTTTTTAAAGTTTTATTTTTCAGAGGGTCTTAATCTATTTTAAATATCATTTGATGCAGCCAGTATCCTGAAAATTGTTTATTGGCAACTTGATTATTCCATAATTATAATGGCAGTTCTAGCAGTATGTGCCTTCTTCAGATAATGTCATCATAATTTAAAGAGAAAATTAGTAAACAACCCACAGCTGTTTTGGTATGAAATGTGCATGCGTAGTTATGAATATTCATATTCATAAATATTTTATCCTAATGAAAGATATTAATTCTATATTTTAAAAGAAACAATTGTAATGGGTATTAGAATATAAAACTACTTGTTAAGATTGTGTTTCATTTTCTTATTAAAACATTTTTTCTAAACATTTTAATAAACTTTATTTTTATAGAAGTTTTAAACTCACATCAAAATTTAGCAGAAGGAACAGAGATTTCCCATATACCCCCATACATGCAGAGCTTCTCCAGTTATCAACATTTCCCACAGAGTTGTACCTTTATTACAATTGATGAACCGATATTGACACATTATTATCACACAAAGTCCATAGTTTATATTAGGGTTCACTTTTGGTGTTGTACATTCCTTGAGTTTCAACAAATGTATGACATATATCCAGTCTGCTAATATCATATAGGGTACCTTCACTGCCATAAAAATCCTGTTTGTGCCACCTGTTTACCCCTTCATTCTGCCAATAGATTGATTTTTGAAATGTTAAAAAACCTTAATAATTGATATAATTTAATAGAAAATACCTTTACAATCAATAAAAACATATTATCTATATGACTTTTATACCTTTTAGAAATTTTATATGATTTAGTATTCCTCACTTAATATGAATATATTCAATGACAAAACATTGTGTGACAAATTTTATAATTCATTGAAAACCTCTAGAGCAGGGCTGTCAAATTAAATTTTCTGTGATGAAAGAAATGTTCTATATCTTCCCTGTCGAATAGAATGTTACTAGCCACACGTGTCTATTGAGCACTTGATATGTGGTTTGTGTAACCAGGGAATAGATTTCTCAATTTTATCAAGTTTTAATTAATTTAAATTTAAAGAGTCATATCTGGCTTGTTCTACTATATTGGATATCACAGATTTAGAAGGAAGTACAAAGTAGGAGAAAGAATACTTCTTCTTTCATACCTCATTGAAGGCTCCGTATGCTCCTTCTCAGAATATGGAGATGCTCTTTAATAAAATAGTCTGCAAACATCAGGACACAGAAGAATTATCTGGAGAACTTGTGTTTTTTTGTTGTTGTTGTTGTTTGTTTGTTTGTTTTTTGACGGAGTCTTGCTCTGTCCCCCAGGCTGGAGTGCAATGGCGCGATCTTGGCTCACTGCAACCTCTGCCTCCTGTGTTCTAGCGATTCTCGTTCTAGCAATTCTCCTGCCTCAGCCTCCTGAGTAGCTTGGATTACAGGTGCCAGCCACCATGTCCGGCTAATTTTTGTATTTTTAGTAGAGATGGGGTTTCACTATGTTGGTCAATCTGGTCTCGAACTCCTGACCTCAGGTGATCCACCTGCCTCGGCCTCCCAAAGGAGAATTGGTTTTACGTGAAGATCTCTAGAATAATGACTTTCAAACATATTTGCCTTTTTGCCCACAATTCATAGTAAGAAACAGATTTATTGTTACCCGCACACACACATAATATATGTATATTATTCATAAGTATACATATATTTTTATGTGAACTCTGATCCTTTAAATTACATTTTACTTTATTTCATTTTTCAAAATCTGGTAGTGATCCACTAAAATGTGTCAGGACTCAATTGAAAAAACAGTGTGCTCAATAGCCATAATTGAAGCTGCACACAGGACTCTAGGGCAGAGATACAGAAAGAACAAATTGAGAAAGTCTTTTTTTTACTCCACCCCTTTCCCATGGCTAAGAAATGTCTGATTCAACAAAGTCACCAATGGCTCTTTTTTTCTCTTAAATGATTCAAGAATAAACTACATATTTATGTTGTAACTGCCTTAAAAATCAAACATAAATGTCCCATGAAAGAATTATTTTTATAAGTAAAATAGGCTTATCTTTTTAAAGTATGATGTTGATTTTGTCCAAAAATAGATGTTGTGGTGACTTTTCATGCTGAACTGTAAGTGAGTAGTTTTAAGGCACTCTAGGGTATGTAATGTTAGTTTTTAATGTATTCTTTCATTTTTATAGACCCAGAAAAGACAAGAAGATATTAAGAGCACACATATAGTCTATAAGTCTGTTCATTGTATGAACCTAAATATTTATTACAGACTCTTATGCCAAATAATACAGCAATATTTGTGTTTATTTGTTTAAAAGTAACCTGGAAAAGATTTCCGTTTACAACAATCTTAGTCTACTTTTTTTCTCCTGTTGGAATGGATCTTAATTTTATCCATGTGGGTTACGAATCTGAAGCAATTAAAATTAATGATTGTGTGGCGTAATAGTACAAGAGGCTATTTAATCCCTGGGGGATAAATGGTTCTTCATTATTATTTATTATCCTCCTGTTTCTTGTTAAAATATGTAAATAAATAGAAGAGGGACAGCTTACAGGCATTTTCATTATTTTTTTATGTCACCGGGACACAGTTTAATACTCTCGTTATGCGTGGTCTATACACAGTTGGAATTCTGTATTCAGTGATATAACAGCTTCATAGAAATGTCTTAAATGTGTTGTGGAAGCATGTAAACCATCTTAAAGATCAATGCCTCATGGGTTTATTTGTGTGTGGCCAAAGCAAATCACCAATGTAGTTGTTCATGTTGCCATTTGCAGTTTGTAAAAGACATGCCATGTGTGCACTAAATAGTGCATTTTCGGCTAGCTGTATTTGTAGCACAATGTCAGATTGAATTTGGAGATATGATTCACTCTCTTTGTTCCAGAGCAGATACAAATTATCATGGCATGAAGTAAATAGAGCTACTAGTGGTTAGGTCAGATGTTAAGAATGATGTGTGTGTTTCTTTGTGTCCCTAAGAATGCTATGGTAACTTTTGGTCAGTAGATGGAGTTGCAGGTCCCAGACATGTTTGTTTTCTTTTGGATACTTTGGCCTTATTCAAAACAGAATATAGATAGAAAGATAGCTAGATAGATGATAGATAGATAGATAGATAGATAGATAGATAGATAGATAGTTCAGGAGCCAACTAACAGTAATTCAGTTTTTCCATTCATTAATTTAATAATGAAGTACATATATATAGTGTGTGTATATATATATAAATGGTATATATGTATATAGTATTGTGTATATATATATTTTCCTCCACCCTGCACAAAAACAAAATGTATACATACATGCATTTGGTATGTGTTTGTGTATTTATATACATATACACACACATATATGTATATGAGTGTGTGTGTGTGTATGTGTGTATATATATAGTAACTAGGAACCCAATTTAAGGCAAATTCTTTGTCGTCTCATATTATCGTAAGTAAATATTCCAGATCAATCAATATAAGTAGATTGCCATAAAGGATTTTGAATGTTTAACTTTTATGGAAAAATAACCTAAAGTTGAAAAATATAAAGTTTAATACTTCACTTAAAAATTGTAAAATACAGGGTCTCACTCTGTCACCCAGGTTGGAGTGCAGTGGCGTGATCACAACTCACTGCAGCCTTGACCTCCCAGGCTCAAGTGATCCTACTGCCTCTGCCTCCTGAGCAGCTGAGACTACAAGAGTGCACCACCATGCCTGGCTAATTTTGTATTTTGGGGGGTTTTGCCATGTTGCCCAGACTGGTCTCAAACTCGCTCAGGCTATCTGCCTGCCTCAGCCCCTCAAAGTGCGGGGATAACAGGCACGAGCCACTGTGCCCAGCAAGTACTGGTGGATAATTCTCAGTGAGATTTTCTTTTGTATGAAAATTTTTTATTTTAACCTTGAGAAAAGCAAAAAAAAAAAAAAAAAAAAAAAAAAAGAGAGAGAGAGAGCCTAATTAGTAATGCATTAGCTCTATTTTAAAACCTATTAAAATTTAGTTCTTTGTCTTACATCTGATGGCAAAATTTTAAGCTCATGCGTGATTCATGCCTCTCTTACTGTGAAACATTTTGTTTAGCAAAGATCCAGGCAAAATTAGGTGACAGCATTAATCCTTTATTTCTCTCTACTAGCGTCTAATTTTTTGACTTTAGGTTAGAACTGAGCACATGTGCTTTGGCTGAAGGCTACTGATATTTTTGTTTTTAAACTTCTGAACAGTTTTTGGAACACCATGAGCATTTTACAAATGTCAGATAATTACAGTACTACAAAGTGTAAGGCAAGACCAACACCAACAGCGTTCTAGAAGAAATGTTTGAAACTTTACCCTTGCAAAGAGGAAACATAAGGAGAAGGATGAAAGCTAATGGAGTTAAGCACCAAACCCTCAAAAACTAGTAGATATATAAAAAAAATGGTTGTCAGTGTAAGTTTCTATTTGTCTCCCATTCTTTACACACCTGATTTTGTGAATTTTCTTGTACCAAAGAATTCATTTTTCCTGCTGCTAGTTTCTTAAAAATTATCCAGCCTGCTAGCCCGAGGTTTGCAATGTTTGCTTGCATATGAGAGAAATAAACTAAAGCTGGTTAAGCCAAGAAACGTTTTATCCAGAGATTATTCAGGTGTCTTGAAACCTAAGAGCCAAAATTCAATTGTTCCAAAGGAAGAAACTAGAGCCAGGGGCCTCAAGCCTAGTGAACTATTTGCCATCTCTGCTCCCTGCTTCTCTCTGTCCACCTGCCTCATTCTCGTCTCTGTAGACTGGCTTTCTTTCCTTCACAGGGACATGGAAGAAAACATGGCCACTCCTCAGTTCTTGAGTTATATGTTACAAATCCAGCTGCATAAAGGGGGAGTAAATGAATCTCTATGAATCCTAATCCCAAATTTTTAAAAAGGAGACTGAGCTGAAATAGGTCAAGTGCTGATCCTAGTCCAATCAAATATGTCAAGATGGTATCCCACTGTACAAATGACTACAGAAAACTTTCTGCCCTGAGTGAAGAGGGAATTAGGGAAAAAGTATTGTGAATTGATCAGTCACTCCAAAATGCCCCAATTAGTGTTAGACTTTTTTTGTTTTTTTTTTCTTTTTCTTTCATTCTTTTTTTTTTTTCTTTCCTTTTATTTTTAGCTTTTTTTAGAGACAGGATCTCACTCTGTTGCCCAGGCTGGAGTACAGTGGCTCCATCCTGGCTCACTGTAGTCTTGAACTCCTGGGCTCAAGTGATCCTCTTGCCTCAGTTTCCCAAGCATCTGGGACTCCCGGTGCACATACCATACTCGGCTAATTTTTAAATTTTTTGTAGAGACAGTGTCTCAGTATGTTGCCCAGGCTACTCTCAAACTCCTGGCTTTAAGCTATCCTTCTGCCTCTTCCTCTGAAAGTGCTGGGATTATAGGTGTAAGCCACTGCACCCAACCCTTGTGTTTTGTTTTTAACCATAACAATCACTTTAGTTTGTTTTAAAATATCAACAAATATTTATTGAAAGCTCAAAAACAGTAGAGTATCAGTCTAAGCATTAATGTATTTCTTTGTTGCCATTTTTCAAAATTACAAGTAAGCTTCAAAATTATGAATGGTGCCAGATAGAAAACTCCTAATTCCTGCTTCTATTCAGTGGTGGTAACTCAGCATCTATAATTTACATAATGGTTTCTTGTTAGTCCACATGTTTAAAATTACGTCTATTTTAAGATCCTTGCTGTATATATAGTGCAAGGACATGCTGTTTTCCTGAATCAGTGCTTCCCAAACTGTCTGGTGCCTCAGATTGACCTGGAGAATTTGTTAAAGCACAGATTGCCGACTCACACCCAGAGTTTCTGAACCAGTTAGTCTGGAGTGGAGCCTCAAGAATGTGCCTTTACCAGTAAGTTACGATTTGGTGCTGAGAATGCTAGTCCTGGACCACAATTTGAGAAACCATTGCCTTAAATAAAATTAAATTGAACTTCTCCAAGGTTGGCCAGTGAAATAAGGCTTTCCATGTTAAAGTCTTAGTTGTAACCACTGCCCTCCTGAAGTTGATCTTCCCTGAAGAGACCGTTTTACACACTAACACCAACACTCTCCACAACACTGGCCTCACCAAGTACGCTTGAACATTTCAAATCAATTCATAATTTTTACCTTTGTTCTGAGAACTACACTTTGGACTACTTCAGACTATGTAAACAAGGGATCACTCTGAATCAAGGGGAAATTATAAAGAAGAGAATATGCAACAAAGTAATCTGAATTACAAACTTTGTGTTATGTTTTATTTTCTGGCAGGGGAGGTGGTTGGGGAACACCATAAGAGATGACTTCTAGACTATCAATGAGACTTTATGTGGAGGACACCAGGAATTTCCTTGGCAAAACCACTTTAACAGGGCGTAATATAAATCCCAAATCTATACAAGACAATGTTTTTTAAATAGTGGTTTGTGACATATTAGTGAGTGAGTAAATCAATTTAGTGGGTTATGTCTTTTTTTTAATATTAAATAGAATGGAAAATAGCAGAATAATTCTTAGGCCAATTATTATACTGTGAAACATGTTATACAATATAGGTCATGGTCATAAAAATTTAGAGCAAACTACATTCAATAATTTTTTGAAGTGGATGAGATAATAATTATTAATTATTTTTGAAACATAATTATCTTGGAATGGGACTTCAGTACACTTTTGTGCAAAATGGTGATGATGGAGGAACAATGTTCCCACCACACCCATTCTACAGCCAGACTAGAGATAATTTATCAAACAGAGGAGGCACCAGACATCCATATTAATTGATCCATATTAATTGACTAGGATTCTGCATCTTTCAAATATTTCAAAACTCATTGCACTTTTGAGCTGGATGGAACATCCAGAATCATTTTTTAAGGTGACTTTTAAAATACGTTTACAGAATTCTAAGAGTCTTAATGAGATTTCCAGGGCTCATAGTCCCTAGTCCTGTTTGAATTAAAGCTCTTTATCAAATTGATTCTAAGTCTTGTTGATGGTATTTACTGAGCTCTGACTGTGTTCCCGGCAATATTCATAATCATCCCATGAGGAAGGTAGTATTATCACCCCATTTTTCAGTTGAGTAAACAAAGGCATAGTGAGTTTAAGTAAATTGCTAAGGTTCCAGATTATATTCTTAACCATTACACTATAATTCTCACAGCAAAACTACCGCAGAGCTCAAAACACACCCACTTAAAAAATATCCTTATTTATTCTAGCCACTTAATTTAAAAGGGCTTTTACACCTTACTGAAGTAAAATACTAGAACCAGATTCTAGTATTTTGGTTCTAGTATCTAGAACCAATACATCAGATTCAGGGCTAGAATTGTGATCTTCAGTTTGTTTAATATTATTCGCATTCAACAAGCATTTGAGCAAGATCTTGCCCATTGTCAGTACACTGGGCAACATCAATACGAGTTTCTGTATGGACTGAGCCATACTTGAGATTAGCCAAGGAGATGGCTATGGCTAACCTTCACAGTCTGCAAAACCTCCTGGCAGGCCCTCTTGTTCTTACTGTTTTATGAAGGAGAAAAGTAAAGCCCAACAAGGATACATAGCTCTTCGTGTGTTACCTGTTAGTGAGGGTCACAGGCAGCCTTTCCATCCTAGACAACCTGCTTTCAAAGCAGTCATTCTGTTCACCTCATCCATTGCTGTTTCGTTGGCCAGGTTCCCCATTGCCATATTACTTTGGGAATCAGAACATCCTACTTCAAGGGAAGCTTTTCCATTCACATGGAATTTATCCAAGCTTACAACACACTGTTACAACTTTAGGAGGAAACTTCCATTTTCTTTGAGTGTTTAAGTAGAGGAGGTAATTCGTAATGTTCTGACTTCCCTTCAGCATGTGGCTCAAATAAATTAAGAAGAAACAATAAAATGTACCTTCAATGTCAGGATTCACTTGATTATGTGTATCAAATAAAAAACATCACTTTTATTAAAGCCCAAATTATGATACTTTCATCTCTTCCTTGCCCACTAGGAATTTAATTGCCTAGAATTCAGTTGTTTCAGTCTTCAAAACATTGCCATGTGTTAAGAATTAAGTCTACTTACACTGCTTTCTTCTCAGGAGGCAATAAAATGTATGAGACTTTATTCTCATAAGTCTACTTGCACTGTTTTATTCTCATGAGGGAGTCACTCCCTGTTCTATGACTGCTCCTTTCAGGATACCAGTGGTCATGCTGATTCCAGTTATCTCAAAGCTATCAACCCCTGAAATATTGGTGTGATTCGGAGCTCTGCACATTATTCACTTACATGCACCCTCCAACTTCATGCTGAATGCCATCACTTGGGTCTGAAAGTGTTATTACCCATTATAGTCTAATAAACATCCTTTTCAAATAATTCCTTCACCTGCTCATCTTCAGTGTCTAAACTCTTAGCCGTAGTCGCACACACCAACAAAGGAAACACACTTACTTCTATAAGGATCAGCAATAATCTTCAGGCATAGAGCATGCTTTCTCCAACTTAGAAACTTTTCTCTACAGGAGTTAGTATCTCTAGAAGGACAGTGAAACTCTAGATGCTCCATAAAATAACCTCTTTGTTACTTGACAGAACAGATGAGCTCCTTAGAGCTACAATTGAATAAAAGTCTCATCCATTTTCAAAGAAGATGACTGCTTATATTCTCATAATAGAAGGTCTTCTTGGTGGTTTTCCCAGAACACAAGAACAATTTGCCCCAAAATGATTTCAAGGAGTTTTCAAGAAAGCTTTGAGATGATATTTTTTTTTTCCAACTTCTACTCAGCAAGGCTTTAAAAATTCTAGGACTGAATTTCATTTGAAGTACTTGGTCATAAATAACATTAGAGGAGTTCTAGGAAATGATTTTACCTTTGATACCTCTAAATATATGTTGTAAAAAACCAGAAATATAATTTCAACCGTACATCTTGTAATAATGGGAAAATTGCTGAGACTTAGATGATACAAATAATGGAAGTTTCATAGAATATGTTTGGAAAAAAATACTGACCTTTATTCTCCAACCACCACTTCATTTTTAACAAAGTCCTAATAACATTTTGGGAAGCTACTTCTTCATTTGCCTGCAGGAACAATTTGTAAGACAAAGGCATCAGTTTCCTTTCTAGTTATACCACATTTTGCCCAAAGCTGGTATTACCCAGTGTGACCATTATTTTATTCACAAAAGTAGCTTCAATTGACCTTTCAATTGAAAGATTCTAAAGACCTGAATCCACCCTTGAAGAGTGAAAACATGTTACTAATAAGTAAACTGGGCAAAACATTTCAAAGTACAACAGCATTTTCAAAAGAAGAGTAAAAATTTGCGTTAAACAATGTAGTAACTGCCTGAATTTCTAGAGTCATTAATTTGAAGAAATAACAAACAGGTTTTTTTTTTTCTGGTATAACTAGATCTTGCAAAGCCCATCAAAGCAAAGAATCATAATAAGGAGTTACGTGGTGGATACCTTAAACATTTTATTATTTTGAAACAGGCAAGTACATATTATTGTACCAATCTTTGATGCAAGACTGAGTATTTTCGTTTGTGACTTGGTCCACTGATGATGGTTCCTCTCCTTGTTTCTCATCTATAATACCCTGACTACAGATTTCCAGGTTCCATTTTTTTAGTGTAAAACCTTAAAGAAAATTTCTCATCAGGAATTTCTATTTATAATTTTTGCACCTTCACATCCAATTTACAGCAACTTGAATTTTTCCGTAACATTTAACTTAGTTTTCATAGCAAATGCTCTATTCACATTCGTTTTCATCTTTATAAGAAATAATTAATTTATATATGTAACAAATTCAACTGGCATAAACAATGTCAGGAATAGTTTTCGCAAGCAGACAACTCCAGGTATGGAGGCAAGGTGAGTTGATGAATCAGAGCGAATCCTACCTTCTTTTGGATTCTGTAGGTATTGAAAAGCAGTCAGTAGGTTTTAAAAAGGTAACAGAGAGCCATAGTTAATCCAGGAAGTTGAGTAAATCAAGGTTAGTTAATAAAATTTTAGTATTTTAATTAAGAAATTATCTTTGCATCTTGTGTAATGTGAAATGTATAAAGCATCAAATGTGAAAGTCACACAATGAGGGCAAGAAGGCTTTACCATCCTTTGCTGGAGGATGGTAAAGATGAATTCATGAGGTTAGTTGAACTTAAGTAATGGATAGATTTAAATACATACATGAAATGAAGAGAGAAAAGGTAAGACTTGACTTCTTCATTGTGACAACATGTCCATATCCAGACATGTGTCAGATTAGCAGTGGGCCAGAATTAAATTCTGCTGAGTGGGCAGATGGGTGGACACTGGTCTTCTCCTGACTTTCTCTGAATCCCAGGTTATCCCGGGAGCCCAGTCAAGGACTCCATGTGTATTGTCTATGGTGTGGTACTCCAGCTGAGTGCACACTGCCTGTTCCCCACCCACCTCCACAGACAATTCAATTCTACTTTGCATGTTGGGTGCAAATGAAAGATTTAATTGTACAGAGAATGCATCAGCAAAAGACTTTTGAAAAAACATTCTAAAATATTTTTCATGGAGAGAAAGGGAAGAACAGATGAGAGCAAAATTGAAATGGGTTTTTGAATTGCAAAGCTAAAATTTTCTGGTTTAATTTCAAAGGTCTGAGGTGACCAGAAAAGTGTTGGGCTTGCAAGACAGACTAAACACTGAGAGGGTCAGCGAGAGGGAGATTAAATGACAACTCAGTACTAGAGTTAGAAACAGATTTTTTTCTTTGAAAAAAAAAAATCAGAAAATTGGGAATAGAAGTAAGTTTTGGATAAGAAACATAAACTCACCTTTAGATCCATTTAATTTGGTCAATATTAATTCAGCACCTACTCTGTGTCAGGAATTGAAGTTAAGTCATTATGTGATAAACTTCCAGAATGCTTGCAGTCTTGAGAAAAGATCAGTAACTAAAAGTCTACAAAGTAAAATGTATTGTAGGGGTTAAGAGGATAGTCCCCTGAGTCAAAAGCAGACATATATTGGTTTATATTCTGCACCCATGCATCTCTGACCTTGTTTCCTCATCAATAGAGTAATATGTACCTCATTACTATATTTTGAGGATTAAATAAAACAGATAATCCATGTACAACAGTTAGCTGAGTATCTGGCATATGGAAAGCATTGGTTAATATGATGATGGTGGTGGTGACAAGGAAATGGGATGATGATGATGATGTACAGCAGTGGTCCTCAATGTAATTTTGCTTGTTAGGGGACATTTGCCAATTTCTGGAGATGGTTCATGTAAAAACATCTTATAATGTACAGAATAACCTCCAAACAAATAATTTTCCAGTCCCAAATGACCATAGAGCTGCACTTCGGAAACTCTGATGTAGAAAGAAATGCTATGACATGGATAAAAAGATGCCATAGAAATATGGGAGTCATGGATGAAAGTAGGAAAAGTTAAGGTAACAGAATCACCTAGACAGATTTAAAAAAAAAAAAAAAAACAAGATTAGGGCCCTACTCAAAGGCATGAGACTCTTATGGGGAAGGAGGTTGAAATCAGTATTTTTTTAATTTTGAGATGGAGTCTTGCTCTGTTGCCCAGGCTGGAGTGCAGTGGCACGATCTCAGCTCAGTGCAGCCTCCGCCTCCTCGGTTCAAGTGATTCTCCTGCCTCAGCCGCCTGAGTAGTTGGGATTACAGTTGCCCACCACCATGCCCGGCTGATTTTTGTATTTTTAGTAGAGATAGGGTTTCACCATGTTGGCCAGGCTGGTCTCAAACTCCTGAACTCAAGTGATCCACCCTCCTCGGCCTCCCAAACTGCCGGGATTATAGGTGTGAGCCACCATGCTCGGATTAAAATCAGTATTTTTTAACACTTAAAATGTTAAGTGAATCATTTTTACTTAATGACTTGTAATCAGTAATTACTGTAATCCATATTTTTTAACACTTCCGGGAATCAGTCTTTTTTTTCTTTAATACTTCTCAGATGATTCTAGTGGTACCACAAGTTGAGAACTGCTGCCCCTCATGAAATAGCTAATAGGTAGAACAATGTATGAAATTGACCTTTAGTTTGTATCTCTTGGAAACTGACAAATGTTAAAAACCACAGTGAATTTCTAGTGAAATTTTTTTGCCTGGCAAAGAAGTCATTCTATAGCACCCCCTGGGGGAAAAAAAAATGGAGGGAAAAGTGGAGGTAGTAGTAAAACAGACTGGTGCTGCTCCAATTTCTCTTATTTGTGACTTTGTTAGGGTCAGGCAGCTGCAAGCTATTCATTGCAAGTAGAAATTCTTTTATACTTGTAAGTGAAGATTTTAAGCTAGGTCAGGATAAAGTCGTGAGTAGTCCATTTATCCATCAATTGTCAATGCTTTAGCAGAGAGAAATTAGAGAAGTATATAGATGACTTCAAAGGCATGCAGAAAAGAGTTGAGAATCATACCAAAGGAAGATAGCAGAAAGTTGAGGATGAGTGAGGCTGGGTGGCAATGAGTTAACTAGAAACAAGCTTATCTTTGTTCAGAGAGAATCTCACACTTTGAGGTGGAGGAGCTGGAAAAAAAGAAGGAATAATAGTGTTTAAAAGGAATAATAGTGACATTATTCAGAAGAATAATATCAGAGGGGCTATGGACTTGCAAGAAAGTGACTATTGCAAAGGTTATTTTCTTTTTATGAAAATAACTTATTTCACTTTACCTGATATATTTGGCAGGCATTATTTGAATTTAATTGATAGCTTCACTGAAGCAAAGTTATTAAATCCTTGTCAGTTAATGAGTGGTCCATGGACCAGTAGCATTAGTATCACCTGGGAGATTGCCGGAAATACATAATATGAGGCCCGCTAAAATACGTAGGTGTATTGTACACACATTAAAATTTAGAAGCACTTTTGTAAATTATGGAGTCAAGATATACATTCAAACCAAATGATCTGTGGAAACTCTTTATTTCATATTCTAAATCCTGCTTAGCCTGAAAACAAGTTTAAAAGATTTTAATTCAATAGATATATTTTTCTACAAGAATAAGAAAGAATTTTTAAAAACTCTAACATATCTCTCTCTGTATATTTCGGTGTACAAATAGGATTTGTTTTTATTTTAAAGAAAGATGGAAAATTAGACTCTTGAGGAAAGGACCTTTATCTATTTTATCTGCAAATCCTAAATGATTAGATGCCTTCCCCTGGGTTAATATGATAAGGACTGGTATTTTTTTGCAATTGAATGTATCGAAATAATAATAATTTTCAATGCAAAACTCAGATTTCAGAAGTACTGTAGTCTATAATCAAAGATTATATGTGATATGTAACGCATTTAATCAGATTTGTTTGATGAAAGCGTACTCTATAGTGGTATCTATTTTGCATGAAATCACAGAATCTTAATGCTGGAATAAACTTTATAAGTGAGTTAAAATAATCCACATGCAGTTCTGCAATTTCTTTTTCCATGTCTGTGGATTGGGTTTTGTTTTTCAGTGTCACTTAAAATATGGTTCTCTGAATTGAATCGAGCATCAGATCCACAAGCAGTGATCACTTCCAGTGATCTGGAATCTGAACTTCAATTTGTGTAGCCCAAAGATTCCTGTTAGCTTTGTTATTACTACATCTTTATTAACATTAGTTAGAATCATTTAAAAATTATATTATTAATACAAACTATCAGATAATTTCCCATGAATTCTTGCTAATAGGATTCTCTACAAAACTAGGCTTACACAATTGATATTTTGAAAGTAAAAGCCTGTTTGTCAAGTTATCCGTTGTGTAGATTTATAGTAGCTTGTTAGTATTTGTCAAGATAATTTTGAATCTTGATTCGGTCACTTCTTGCAACAGCTATCATTCCATGTTGTGTAGTATCTTCAAATTTTATATATCTTTTTTTATCCTTAAGTAACTGACCCAAATGGTCAAACCCAAGGTTGTGCTCTGCTAAAACAAAAACATTCTTGGACTCTCATTTACTAATATAGTAATTCTATTTAACGAAATTAGATAAATGTGGAAGAAGAATCTCTGTGGATCTATGTTGGCTTCTTTTTAGTTGGTTATTTTCTGAATGCAAAGATGATAATTTGGTAAGCAATTGGAAAAACAATATTTCTTCTTAAACTTTAAAATGGAATAGAAATTATCAAAATGTAAAAGCATCAGATTAGCATCTATTGTTTAAACAGAGTAAAATGTTATATAGAGAGAGAGGATGAAGGGTGGCCAGGTACAGTTACTGGGAGAGTCATAACAATGTCTTAAATTACGTTCGTGTTAAATCTCAATCATAACATCATTTTACTATAAAATAGATTTTATTTAATTAACTTCTGATTTTACAAGTTATATCTTTATTACTTCTGCAGGAAATGATAAAAGCCTCTAAAGATTATTTGATATATTTAAGATAACAAGTCCGTCTGGGTCAAATCCAGTAATTAATATTTCCCTAATGAAAATAAAATGAAGATTTCTTCTTATTAAATAGTATTATATGCTATCTTCATTTATTAATGTGACTTTGCCTCTTCAATGTACCTTTTATCCAAGGATATAATAGTCTTATAATTTGATCTCTGTTTCATTGATGAACAAACTGGGATATCAGAGGTGTAATGATTTTCCTTGAATTGTATGTCCCATTAATTATGAAGGTAGTTTTATTATAATCTATGACCTCTAATATCAAATGTTTAGTTCCATTCCTTATAAAGTTGCTGATGATCCCTTTAAGTGTTACTAATTGGAAAATCCATAATTTCTGGGACCTCGTGTGTATTGCTTCCCATTGTATCTCTAGATTCTAATGTAAGTGCCTGGCATGTAGTAGGTGTTCAATAAATATTCATTAAATGAATGTACCAATGAAATGTAATATATATGACTCTGTCATGTAGGAAATCCCTGCTATTGTTAAGTTCAAATACATAAACTATACTTACTCTGTCAACTTGTTCCTGTCCTATTTCTTGTGATGAGTACTCAGCATAAGCCCTCTGCTGCATCTGTGCTGATCTCAGTTTACACAATCCCACAACCCCTTACGAGCAGACACAATACTGTGTTCATGCATGCAGTTGCTAAGGTTTTTCTTGCCACCTTAATTGAACTTTTTTTTTTTTTACCACAAAACTAAATTTATATAGAGAAATAAAAGAAGAGCACTTAATATATGTATTCCTGAGTGAGGTGCCTGGGGTCTCTTTTATTTACTAGCTATGTAACAGTAGATAAAATATGTCGTCTATCTGTGTCCTGTTTTTCCCGTCTGTATGATGGGGATTATATCTACCTCATTAGATTTGTAAAAATTAAATGATCAAATAGTTAACAAAGTTATCTTTATTCTTACATTTTCTACTATATTTAAGACCTTGTTTATGTACTGTACTTCTCTCTACTACTATACGGTCAAACTGCCCTCTCCTGCCTCTGCCTTCACCCCCTCCAAACCTAACAGGACTATTTGATAAGGTTATACATTCATCCCCTCATTGCCTAACATAATGGTCTTTCTCAGAGTTTACTCTTCTCAATCTCTCTGCCCCATAAATAGTTATAAAGACCCTATTACTGACTGTAAAAACTCCCTTCTCCAATTTCTTGGCTCACTCCAGGACTTTCCTACTTCTCTAGACTCAATTTCTATTTTCCAGACTTCTATTTGTATTCTTTTCCAAAGAAATCTCACTCTTTTGTGGCCATCAGTATATAGTCATTGATCACAAGAATAAGTAAGTTTTCATCTTACTGTTTTTCTGTCCCTCATTCAAGAGTTATTCATTATGTGTCACATTTTCTTCCACACGTATCCCTGTCTTTCTATCCGTACTGACATTCTTTTTAACCGGGTCACCTGCTGTGTGCATTTGAAAAGATCTATCCAATCTCTTCCTCAGTCCTGTACACTTGACACACAAACATGATCTTTCTAAATCAGAGCTCGAATTCTCTGTCCCTCTCCTACTTACAATTTTTCAGTTTATTTTAGTCGCCAACCAACCTATATTTTATTCTATCTATTCATCTAGTAATAGACCTCAATTGTGGACAAAAATTCATATGTTGAAGCCCTAACCCCCAGTACTTCAGAATGTATTTGGAGAGAGGGCCTTTGAAGAAGTAATTAAGTTAAAATGAGGCTGTTAGGGTGTGCCCTAATCCAATCTGACTGCATTCTTATAAGAAGAGGAGATTAAGGCCAGGCATGGGGGCTCCTGCTTGTAACCCCAGCACTCTGGGAGGCCGAGGTAGGTGGATCAGTTGGGGTCAGGAGTTCGAAACCAGCCTGGCTACATGGTGAAACCTCATCTCTACTAAAAATACAAAAATTAGCTGAGGGTGGTGGCAGGTTCCTGTAATCCCAGCTACTTGGGAGGCTGAGGCAGGAGAATTACTTGAACCCAAGTGGGAGAGATTGCAGTGAGCTGAGATTGCACCATTGCACTGCAGCCAGTGTGACAGACCAAGACTTCATCTCAAAAATAAAAAAATAAAAAGACAAGATTCAGACACACAGAGAGACACTAGGGATGCATGCACGCAGAGGAAAGACCATGCGGAGCACAGTAAGACGGTGACCATCTGCAAGCCAAGAAGAGAGGCCTCAAGAGAAACCAAACCTGTCAACACCTTGATCTAGGATTTCTGGCCTCCTGAACAGAGAGAAAATACATTTTTTGTTGCTTAAGCCATCCAGTCTGTGCTGTGGTATGTTTTTATGGAAGCCCTAGCAAATTCATACATACTTCTTCTGTCCTTTATGGTCCCATGCTTTAATGAAAACATGTTATTATTTTCCATTCTGTGCTTTCAATCACACCTTTTTCTCATTCTCAAATGCTGCAACTCTCCTATCAATAAACAGTCTTCTCAAAACCACATTGCCTGAATCTTTCCTGACTGTGACTTCCCATAGTACTCTGTTGCATCCTCCTTTATGGAAATATTTAGTTTATATCCTTAGGATGGGTTATAGCCAATGATGTACAAACTTATATCCCCAGCTAGGAGATAATTTTCTTGATAGCAGAAACCAGATCTAACGAGACATGCATATTTAGCAGACTGCACTGGATGAAATAAGCCCAATATAGTGAAATGATAACTACTTTTTTATGTTCTCAAGGTTTACATATGTAATCCCACTAATACTGTAAACCTTAGCAGGAGTCATGTTTTATCACAGTGCATATCTGAACATGCAGTTAGAATTATACATTGTATACACACACACATTTACCACACACATTGACTTGTGAGCTTGCACAAACATGATGAGGCTGGATAGAGGTGTAGCAATTGTGAATTGCTGAGTTCTTCAAAGTGAGTACATTGGTTTTGCTGACCCAGACCAGTCTAAGTGTGTGTGTGTGTGTGTGTGTGTGTGTGTGTGTTGTGAGTGGGGATGGGGAGAAGCTACTGTGGTGTTTTGCAGAAGGATGTATTTGCCCTAAGAATGAACTCTCAGAAGAGCTCTGTATCCATTAGCTTTTGCTGGCTTATGCTGTGGTAATAACCTCCAAATCTATATTCTTGCAACAGCAAAGTTTGTGGTTTAGCTGTGCCTCTGTTCCATTTCTTCTTCATTTCTGCCAGGCAAATGCCAGGTAGAGGAAAAAGATTAATAGAAAGATCTCACAATATCTCTTAAAACTCCTGCTCAGATGTGGCATATGTCACTACTGCTCACATCCCACTAGCCAAAGCATGTTACGTAGGCAAACCTGCTGTCATTGAGATGGGAATAATATCCAACCCGTCCCCCCCACCCCCCGCCCACGGAGGAGCTCTGTATCAATAGGCACTTAATTTTGAGGAAAATACATGAAAATTAAGGCAGCTAAAGAAAACTCCTGAGTTCCCATTGCTTCCCAGCCCACCATTTCCTCCCTGTGTTCTCTTCTGTTTTTTTCTCACCTATGTCCTTGCCTTAAACACAAAGCAAGAGTACCTCACTCTTGGCTCTGCAGGCAGGTACTCAGGTTTGCTTGTATAGTAAGCCCCTTACTGAAAGAGGAGAACATGTCCTGAGTGTGTTCAAAATACTGATCCTCACTCTACAGCTCAGACTGTGCTTTGTGGATTTTGGGAGAAGTGCACATTAATGTATGGCAGGAAGATCAGGAACACAGGGCCCCAGATAATCACCTGCACAATGAGTAAGCAAATGTCTTCACAAAATGTAAGGTCCTTTCACAATCTTGCATGTATAGATAGTGTTTCTTGGAAAGAGATTAAAAAAAAATCTCTTCTCAAATTAAACCCTTTAATTTTTTTATTGATTTGATTTCATTCATTTATTCAATCATTCATTTAACAGTATTGAGCACCTGCCCTGTACTATATTCTGTGTTTGACATGAAAGATACTAAATTACTAATGTCTTTGTCAGCTCAGGCTGCTGTAACGAATACCATACCCTGGGTGACTTAGCAATGAACATTGTTTCTCACAGTTCTGGAGATTGGGAGTCCAAGATCAAGGCATTGGCAAACATGGTGTCTGGTGAGGACCTGCTTCCTGGTTCATAGATGGAGGTCTCACCACTGTGTCCTCACATGGTTAAGAGAGAAGGAGCAAGCTCTCTTAAGATTCTTATGAGGGCATTAATCCTATTCATAAGAGCTCCCTCATTACATCATCTAAAATTCTAATTACCTCCCCAAAACTTTACTTCCTAATACCATTCCATTAGGGAGTAGGGTTTTAACATATTAATTTGGTGGAAGGAAATGAGGGGTTGGGGTTGGGGAATAGGCATTCAGGTCATAGGAAGTATTAATGAAAATATCTAACAGCAATTGAGTGTTTATTATATGTCATTCACTACGATAAATGCATTACAAGATGCATTATCTCCTTTCATCTTTACAAAATCCTAAGGGGTAGTTACCATTTTATAGTAAAAGAAAAAAAGGCTTAGAGAGACTACATCCCTGTGCCAAGTTCACTCAGCCAGAAATTGGTGGAGCGAGTACATGAATCCTGGTCTCTTTGACTTCAAAGCTCACATTCTTAACCACACAGTAAACATAGTGATATATTCCCTCAAGAACCTTATTATCTAATTGGCTGATGAGTGGCGGTAGAATTTCTAAGTATCTTCATTAAATAAAATGTAGAAACAAAGTAATATATTTATAATCTGAGTTTCCACAGGAGAAAAGAGAAAAGTAGGAGTGATTAATTCCAATAGGCAACAGACAGGAAACATGGGAAGCCTTCCTTGAGAGGACAATGGCTCAGCTGGGCAAAAAGGGTAAGTAGGATTTCAATAGGCAGAGAGCATTTATAGCTTGAGCAAAGTCAGAGAAATGCTGCCATGCATAGGGGACAGGGCATGGATCTGGGTGATGCTACGTGAAGAGCATCCCCCTAACCTGGTAAGGTTAGAGAGAAGATTGGGATCACAAAAAGAACTTTAATCAATGTACTAGTAAATTTGAACTATTTTGGAAGTCAACACAGAGCTACTTCCCTTCTAAATCAATATTGACTTTTGAATGGGTATTCTAGAGAATGTGAAATGACAGCTTTAAAGATGGCTTTAAAACAATTATTCAAAAAAAATGTTCAAATCAAAACATAATACCTCTGAAGACAAACTCTATAATGCTTTAGGCCAACTCAGTCTCTGAAGCTCAAATGAGCATAAATGCAATTAGCCATTTGCTCCCTTAAAATGAGGGTAGGTCTGTCTAATGTAGCTTGTAATTTGCCAATTGCATGTAAATTATTTTCACTTGAAAATCACTTAAGTTATGTAAAGGGACAGTCCTTTCAACATGTTAATCCCAAATATTGACACTTTTTTCCCCAAGAAATACTGTTGTTTGATTTTCAAGATATACTACAAAATAATACAAAGGCATAAAACTCTTTCCAGTTGAATTAAATATTATCAAAATCCTTCAGGAATAATTTTGTTAAGGCATCTATGCTTAATATTATATATTCCATACACAACATTTCTTTCTGATTTGATTGTTAATATGTTCTACATATAGACACAATTCTTCTTATGGCAGATTTTATATAACATCTGAATTGCTTATCATTAAATATTTTATAACAGGTAAAATGATGAATGAAAAACTTGAATTGGTGAATTAAAGTTGGGCTGCATCAAAATTTCTTGTCTCTGCATGAAAATTGATGAGTTTGTTGATGATTCATTGCATTTTGCATTTAGAAGCATTATATTTAGTGCCACCAGGTTACCATATAAAATGTAAAAGCCTAGAAAAATTAATATCATGTCTCTCAAATTTGATGATGGGATGAGAAGGTAAAATCTAAATCTCAACTTTCAAGGTCAAAGAGGGATTTCTTGCCCCATTCAATTACTGCTCAATTTGATAGCAGTAAAGGAGTTAAGAGCATCTCTCCTATAATTTGGCTAGACTTTCATTATAGAAATAGAATACATTAACAGGAAACCATTAAATACAATTTACGTATGAATAGCCCCCTCAGTGGAAGCTTTGTTTCTTCCATTTGCAGGATAAAGTAAAGGTAACTGTTTCATATCAATTACCAGTCACTGTGGACAACATACTTTTATTAACTCTGTGGTCAAATGCATTCATCTTTATATTTCAAGAATGGCACAAATCTATTCTTTTTCAGTATTAATCTATGTCCCACACAATTACTGCCCTGACATTTATTGGAGTAATAAATTGGCTTTAGTGTTTGTTGGCTTTTCCCTTCTTTCAGCCATTCTGCTTTCCTGAATTTTATAATGTGCCTTCACTTTTTTAACTGACTGAAGGGAAGGTGGTTCTAATTTCACATTAGTGAATGTGGCCCATTTATTTTCATTTCCTTGGTACCCTAAGAGAAAAAGAAAAGTATCTATATTCACAGTTTCAATTCAGAACAATGAATATAAATGCAAACAAGCTTTGAGGTTTAAAGCTTCTATTTAATCATTATAGTTATAGTAGTTATGTTTCTTGGATCCATAACTATACTAAAATGGTTGTAAGTGTGTAATTGCATTGAAGAAACCTGGGTTCAAGTGTAAACTCTGCTTCTCTCTCTCTCTCTGAAACCGTGGGGCCCTAGGAGTTCTCTTAATTTCTCCAAATCTTATTTATTCATCTGTAAAATGGAGATACTACCACCTACCTTCAGAGTTATTGTAAAGGTGAAATAAAACATTTTATATTCAATAATATTTATAGAAATTCATATTGTTCCAGACACTGGTCTAGGCGCAAATTACATCAGAGAACAAAACCTAAGAAAAAACCTTCTCTCCTGGAATTTATAATTATTTCTCATACAAGAAAACAAAGTGCCATTCTATGGTATAAAGGAGGTGCTCATTATTCCCAGATATTTTCAGCCTATAACAACAAAATGAAATGACAATTCTTTCAAATAGCAAATTTTGATAGATGAAAGACCACAACTTCTCCTCAAAGCTTTCTTCAGTACTCTCAGAACTCCCAAGGAGCAGTCTAATGTAAGCTCAGAGAAATGGCTCAAGTTCTCTCCTTTTCTCTCCCTCCTCAGGCCACCATGACAATGAGTCTGTGCTGCTAAACTTGTGCAACTGCAGTTGTACTTGGAATGGCCCTGCACAGGCCTCCAAGGTGTCCCTTACCACCCATCTCCCATACTTACACCCCAGTCTCAGGAAGTGCTAAGTTCACCTGGCCCTATACATTGCGTAGATATTGCTCTAGACAGGAGAAGAATGTATACCCTACTCCATTCTTGAAGAGATCCGTTTCTCTAATTCATATTTTCTGTCCCTTAAATTGATCTTTTTTTTAAGTATGAGTGATTGTGTGAAATCTCACTGATTTCAGAGGAAATACCATTTCCCACTCAAAAGGCACAAGCCCTTACCTTCAGCTTCTGAGAGAATAATTAGTAGAATATAATAAAGCATCCTCTATCATTTATTCTTGACTAACACTATCTGAAGGGTACCTATTACCCAGTCCACATCCTCTTTACTGTTTATCTTCTAGTAGAGGAATTCTACAAGTTATTCCTGCAGTCCTAGCCTTTTGCCTTAACTTTAGAAACCAGCTACTTGAAGATTTGCATTTTATCTTCACCATCATAGTTTCAAAGACATTGGGGTCAAATATTGGTCATAGCTGAGCCCTGAAAAGATAACAGTAGATGGTCTACTCTCTTTTACTGATCTAGCTCCAAAAAGGACCACATTCTCCTTGTCATATATATATAATAGGTTTGAGATTATAGATACCAGTTTCAAGTGATATAGTAGACATGTTAGATTTGGATATAACAGTTAAGCAAGGGCTTCAATTTCTTTGAGGATTTTGATCTGATGTTAAGTTGCCAAAGCAGAACGTAGAGCTTACAGCAATAAAAGTGAATCAGACAGTGAGGAGGGAAAGCAGGTGCTGTATTGATATTTACACATGGACAGTAACATCATCAAAATTGTCATCTTCAAACATGTACAGCAGCTTTTGCAAAAATGAGAGAGAATAGTAAATTCAGAAATGAGAGTAACTTTAAACTGTAATGTACATAATGGGTGAAGTCTTCCAGATAGCTCCTCCAGATTTTGCACAAAGCAGTGAATCTTGAGTGAGTCCAATTTTTGGTTACGGGTATTTTCTTTGAGTTGATAATAGATATGTGGGATTCTGAGTGTTCTTGAAAAAGTCCTTATTCCGGCAGCCCTCATACTGGTAATATTTTGTCATAAAGACTTTGAAAGGTTCTACTGTTGCATGATTTGCAAATGACTGCTATTCCCCCTCAAAATAACACAAATTGGATTTAAGACCAATATCCTCAAAACTGGCTGAAATGAAAAATGAACAAAGTAAAACATAAAATAATATTTCTGCAAAATAATAATATTTTAATAACTCAAAAGCAGTTATGTCAGTAAGTGAGAGCTTATCTTTGGAAGGATCAAATTCAATAATACAATGGGTCAACTTCAGATTAGCTATTGCTTAAAATTATTGGTGATTGAATAGAACTTGTAATTCCAGACTAGTCAACAGAATCCAAGCGTATGTGATGCCTCACATACATTTGTTAAACCAGAGAAAACATTAGATAAATATCGACTTTTCTCTTGTCATTTTGAGTCTAATGTTTTCTTTTCTTTCAGTTTTTTATTTGTTTGTTTGTTTGAGACAAGGTCTCACTCTGTCATCCAGGCTGGAGTGAGATGAGGTGATCATGGCTCACTGCCGCAGCCTCAACATGCTGGGCTCACTCACTCCTACCTCAGCCTCCCATGGAGCTGGGACCATAGGCATGTGCCACCAGGTCAGGCCAATTTTTAAAATTATTTTTAGAGACAGAGTCTGACTATGTTTCCTAGGCTGATCTTGAACTCCTGGGCTCAAGTGGTCCTCTCTCTTCAGCCTCCCAAAGTGCTAGGATTATAGGCATGAGCCACCACACCTGGCTGAATCTAGTATTTTCTAAAGATACTACTAATAGTACAAAGGTATGGTTGATATTGCCACGTCTTAGGTAAATGGAAACTTTACCCAAGATTTTGCAAGTGTTGAAGAGTTAACAAGACAAGTTAACAGAGGTTCTCAAAATTGAAAATAACCCAAGCCCCAAGCCCCGTGAAACATATAAAAAGAAAAAATAGTCAAATCACCTCCAAATATCTTAGGATATGTAAACTACATTGTTGTGTTAATAAGCAAACATCTGATTTAGCCCTTTTTTTCTTACACAATAAACTCCAGACTTCTTAATACACCATTTTAATGTTTTTACTTTATTGTGCCAACGTGCCTTTTCAGATTTGAACATATTTTGCTTAGGCTTTTGTCACATCTGATAATTGCTTGTTCCTGTTCTTCACCGTCTTTCAACATTCTACTTACGCTGCAAGGCACTATTTAAATGTTACCACTTTAGGAAGAAAGAATCACCCACCCTCAATGGCTACATGTGCCACATTCTTCTATTAAATGCTTATTACCATCTTCCCATATTAGGTTATATTGCACTCTTTGCATGTATCTCATTCATTAAATTGTTAGTTTCCAGGAAAAAGAGACATGCCTCATCTCTTTCCTTGATCTCAATGGCATGTCATAAAATATAGACATTTTGGAGTTAGACAAACAAGGTAGGGTTTTGAACCCTAGTTAAGAAGCATTATGTTCCAGAGCAAGTTATTCAATCTTTCTGACCTTCTGTTTGCTTATCTGTAAAAGGAACGTAGTAACCTTCCTCTCAAGCTTGTTATGAGAATCAAGCGAGGGATCATGTAAAGCACTTGGCTCAGTTCCTGACCCCAAGTAGAGGCTTCATAAAAGATAATCAGGACTCTTGAAGGAAGGGGTATGAGAAGAAAAGTCATTTATTTTCAAGTCCACCTGAGTGGCCATGAGCAGTAGGGGCAGGGCTAGGGGACAAACTGAACAGCTGGAGGAAGTCTCTACCAACTCACAAATCTAGGTGATTTTCATGTGGAGAAAAGCATAGTCTTATTTACCTTGTCTCAAAGTGGCGGTTTTATCTTTATAATTACATTTTGCTATATTTGTTCTTATAGAATTTATGATAAAATACATTAGCCCATTATTTTAATTTTATGGTTATCAGTTAAGAAGTAGCACTCCATATTCTTACAGAAGCTATTATCAAGTTATGTGCTATGTTCCTTGGTCAGTTTGGGCTGCCATAACAAAATACCACAGAATAAGTGTTATAAACAACAGAAATTTATTTCTCACAGTTCTGGATACTTGAACTCTGAGGTCAGAGAGGCAGAATGGTCGGGTTCTGGTGAGGCCTCTCTTTCCGGCTTACAGATGGCTGCCTTCTAGCTATGTCCCCCTCATGACAGAGAGTTAGATAGAGAAATCAAGCTCTCTGGTGTCTCTTCTATATGGACACTAATCCTCTCATGAGGGCCCCATTTTTAGGAGCTTATCTAAACCTAATTAACTCCCAAAGGCCCCATCTCCAAATACAATGACTTCAACATATGAATGTTGGGGGAACACAATTCAGTTCATTGCACTGTGTATAAAAATATTTGAATATTTAATCATAGACTCAGCATACTATAGATTTTAAAGAGACTTAGTTACACTTAGCCAAATTCCCCCATTTTTTACAATGGAGAAAACAGAAGACAGGAGTGGTTAGATGGCCTGCCCAAGGTTATTACACCAATTAACAAATAAAATGAAAGTAGAATTAGATTCTCTGATTTTTTAACTAGTATTTTCAGCAAATAAATGGCAAATAAAGTGACACATGGGCACAAACCACGAAAAATGCTCATGCAGAATGAGAGTAAAGGAAATAGAACAGAAAGTTTTAGAAAAGAGTAAAATAAAAGGTGGCTGAAAATGATCATCAAAGGGGTGGCAAGAGATTGGAAAACAGAAGAGAATAATATCTGGAAGACAAAAGCAACATTGAAGGGATGGCAGACAAGGCAGAATTCTAAATAAAATAGCAACATTTCTAACATCCCAGAAATTAGAGTAGATAGTATTGGGTTCTAATAATGTGACTCACAAAAATGGAGTTTCCAAGTATTCTGATTAATAACTAACAACTGTATAGTAACAGATGCTCCATTTTGAGTCTAAACTGTGCCTAATCTAAGATTCCAACATAATTGGAAGCCTAGAAATGTCTGTTTGCTGAAGACCGTTAGAGTGAGCATCAGAGAAACTTTTGGGTTATGACTTTTTCTAAAGCAAAAGAGACTGGATGTATATGGGCCAGACTCTAAAAGTACACGTACAAATACAGCACAGCAATCATTACTCAGACTGTCTTATGACTAGTTCCCTATGGAGTCATGGCTGATTCACACAGCATTGCAATGAAAGAATAAGTACATCTCGGAAAGAGCTGCTTTATTATAATAACCACAGGACACTGAGTGCACAAGATATCAGCAGATTGAGACCAGCAACCATCGCTGGAGCTGGTTTTCTTGGCATAGGGAGTAACACCCTCAATGTAGTAGCATCAGGAGACAGGGGTGATGCCAGAAGAAATGACAGCACTCTCTGTAGATGCTTATAATTGGGTTGCTGTTTTTGGCATGAGAAACTATTAAATTGGTGCAAAAGTAATTGCAGTTTTTGCCATTAAAAGTAATGGTAAAGAATATTTTCATTCTCTATTTTTGTATTAAAAGTAATACAAAGAATATCTTAATTGCGGGCCTTAGCAAGAGAGGGGGAAATACCTGAAGCCACATAGCAGCCAAGAAGGCTTCCTCACAAGGAACAGTAGAAACTTAGAAACCTCCAGCTCAGCAAGAAGAATTATCACTGGAGGTTTATTTTTGCCAGAAACATTGGATTGGGTTGAGAAAGGAGCAGAGAAGGGAAAGATGAAAGAGAACAGAGCCAGAAAAATATTATTGCATGGCCTATTTTAGTGTGAGAGACAGGGAAAATGGCTAATACAATCTGAGAAACAAACAATGCAGCTCTTGACAGTAGTGTGTGATCATAGTACACAGAGTCTAATCAACAGGTACTGAAATTTTAAATGGCTGCTAACCCCATTGCTAGAGGCCTTGCAAACCATAGGTGCTTATATTTTGAAAGATGAATGTAGTTAAACAGATGAAAAGCCTAGATCATGGTTTCACACAGTTGACATAATATTTAGCTTGTTTATTCACTCTTCTTTTGGCTGATGTTGTGTCCAGAACTCTTTATTCTTCATTATTGTGTAGGACTTTAATTGATGTCTGTGGTTGCTTTTTGAACATTTTATTCAAAGCCAGGTGTATGAAGCAGACATGTATACCTTAATTGCTGAGATGTGTATAGTAAATCATTTCTTTGACAGCCTATCAGTGTTTTCTAATGAATCCAGAGCCATTCATATAATTTGTCATTTTAGTGGAATCATAGGAATTGGTAGTTTGTGGTCATTTTAGAATTAATTTATTGAGGTTCTTTCAGGGGAACCTGCCCCCGATAATTCAACATTAATTCACGTAGGTTCTTTTCGATTTCCCTAAGTGTCGGGCAGTCTGAGAAATAAAGGGAAAGACTACAAAAGAGAGAAATTTTAAAGCTGGGTTTCCGGGGGAGACATCACATGTTGGCAGGTTCCGTGATGCCCCCGTCAAGCCGCAAAACCAGCAAGTTTTTATTAGTGATTTTCAAAAGGGGAGGGAGTGTACAAATAGGGTGTGGGTCACAGAGATCACATGCTTCACAAGGTAATAAAATATTACAAGGCAACTGGAGGCAGGGTGAGATCACAGTACTGGGGCGAAATTAAAATTGCTAATGAAGTTTCGGGCACGTGTTGTCATTGATAACATCTTATCAGGAGACAGGGTTTGAGAGCAGACAACTGGTCTGACCAAAATTTATTAGGTGGGAATTTCTTTGTCCTAATAGGCCTGGGAGTGCTACGGGAGACCGGGGCTTATTTCATCCCTTATCTGCAACCATAAAAGACAGATGTCCCCAGAGCAGCCATTTCAGAGGCCTACCCCTGGGAACGCATTCTCTTTCTCAGGGATGTCCCTTGCTGAGAAAAAGAATTCAGCAATATTTCTCCTATTTGCTTTTGAAAGAAAAGAAATATGGCTCTGTTCCGTCTGGCTCTCAGGCAGCCAGACCTAATGGTTATCTCCCTTGTTCCCTGAACATCACTGTTATCCTGTTCTTTTTTCAAGGTGCCCACATTTCATATTGTTTAAACAATTTGTGCAGTTAACGCAATCATCACAGGGTCCTGAGGTGACATACATCCTCAGCTTACGAAGATGACAGGATTACGAGATTAAAGTAAAGACAGGCATAGGAAATCACAAGAATATTGATTGGGGAAGTGATAAGTGTCCATGAAATCTTCACAATTTATGTTCAGAGATGGCAGTAAAGACAGGCATAAGAAATTATAAAAGTATTAATTTGAGGAACTAATAAATGTCCATGAAATCGTCACAATTTATGTTCTTCTGCCATGGCTTCAGCCGGTCCCTTCGTTCAGGGTCCCTGACTTCCTGCAACAGGTTCTACATGGCTTTTTGAACAATAAGATTCTACAGGTACATCTAGAAACGTTCTTAAAACAAAATTAAACTTTCCTTTAGAAGACATCATACACAAGGGTGCTGCCTTCAGGTCACTGAAATATCCAGTGGTGCTCATTGATTTCCCCACTTTTCCTTTTCCTCTGCAACCTCATATGCAAGCCAGAAAGTTCAGGAGTTGATACTGCCTTGATTAAAGTATCCAAATACTTCTGTGCATAATTTAGATTACTATAATGTGAATTATGTGTGTGTGTGTTAAACCTAATACTATATTTTTTAAAAATAGAATCAAGCCAATAAAAATGCAAATATATTTATTTTGGAATATAAGGAAGAAAAACTGAAAAATAGCCCCAAATATAAACAAATATAGCTAATAAGGTGATGATCACAACAATGTTCATTGTATCAAAAATAAAAACTTCCAAGTGTCACAAAATGGAGTATTAATAAATCAGGTATTCAATGCCACCAAATACAAGCAGCAGTAAAAAATATGTATGTTATTGAATTTAGGCAAGCAAATATATTCCTAGTGTATTGATATACTACATAAGTGGCTTACAAAATTATGAGTATAGTATTGCTATGGTTTGAATGTGTCCCTCACATTTCATGTATTGGAAACTTAATCCCTAAATTCATATGTTGATGGTATTTGGAGATGGGGCCTTTAAGAATAATTAATATGAAATATGTTCATCAAAATGGGGCTGCCATGGATAGGACTGGTGGCTTTATAAGAAGAGGAAGAGAGACTTGACCTGGCTCACTCTTGCCCTCTTGCCATTTGATACCTCCCACCATGTTATAACAGTAAGAAGGCCCTCACCAGATGTGGCCCCTCAAGCTTGGCCAGCCTCCAGAACTGTAAGAAATCAATTTCTTTTCTTGACAAATTACCCAGTGCTGTTCTGTTATAGCAACAGAAAACAGACTAAGACAAACATGATATCATATTTTGTTGCAAGTAAATACTGTTAAATATGAAAATATAGTTAGAGACAGGTAGAGAGAAAGACACCAACATCTTAACAGTATCTCTGCATGGTATATTGTCAGTAATTGTTTTTTCTTCTCATTCATTTGGGTTTTCTGCAAATAATATGCATTATTTTGCTATTAAGAAGAATGGGAATGGTTACTTTTTATAAAGGGCTTTATTTTCTCTTAGCATTTGGTTTGCATAGTTACGCACTAGAACAAATGATTGACTGTAACTGAAATAGTAATATATAAATAGCAAGCATGACAGAAACCATTTAAACAATATACCTTGACTCTCACTAAAATCTGGCCCTCAGGTCTATGTCACAAGATTGTATGATTAATTTAACAGTATTCAATGACTTGCTCCTAAAAAAGTAAAAAAGCCTGTAGGTTAGAGGCTTCATATATTAACTTTGTGCTCTAATACATTGTATTATAGTAGATTCTGCTCCTCTTGTATTTTAATGCACACTTCTTTTGAAAATTTTTTAAAAAGATAAATAACTTGTGTAACATAAATTTGTAGGTCACACATCCATCTGAACCTTTCATTTACCCAAATTACAGAACCATCATGTGTAATTTGTCTCAATTAGTAATTTTATAGTTTGCAATTAACTTTATTGTTAATTGATTCCTTCTGTAATAAATGTTTGAGGAAGCGAAATGAATATGACATAATTCTTTGTCAAAGACGAAAATTTTAGGCTGAGACTTGAGCAATAACTGCACTGCCTTGGAAAGACAAGTCTTTTTTTCCTGCCAAAAATTGTCCCCAAGTGACTGATGGAAAATTTGTATCAGCTTTTCATGAAGACTGAAAATTATATTGGTAATTTTAATATTGTTTTACTTCTTACTTTATATTTTTTCTCACTGAAAATGTTACCTAATTTAAAAAACATTGATGTCTAGGTCTTGATGTACTACTCTCCTTAAAAAGATGTAATAAATGTGCTTTCTTAAGGAAATATATTTTAGTAACAGGTTGAGGATGCCTGTATAAATTTATAAAGGATTAATTTTATATTATATTGGAGTCATTCACTAATGCAAATGGTAATTTGAAAGCTTGGCTTGTTGTTGAATCACTGAATATATTTCAGAGTAGTAGTTTGTGTTATGCTCTTTAGTGGTGAAGAAAAATCTTCAGTTTAAAGACTTCATTATGTTTTTGAATACATGGGAGAGACGGGTAAAATACAATTCGAAAACAATACTAGCAAGTTAGTATGTATATTCTTACATAAATGTCTGGAATCCAAAGTAATTTTGTATCCTCTAATTGGTGCTAAAAGCATTTAGAAGTGTGGTCTGTGTTTTTATATTGTGTAGAAATTCAAAGACAGGAAAAAATTTAAATTGATATAGTTCAAAAAGGATAAGGAGCTTAATTCCTTTCTCATAAATAACTGTGCCACTGAGTATATCTCTTTACTCAGCTATTGCTCCTCTCTTGCTTTTTCTGCTTGATTTCTTGCTGTTAATGAATCTGTGTTGGCCCTGGTTTCTGGCAAACTAATGGTTGAGGAGGGTGGCTAGTGGTAAAGATAAGAAACTTAAAACAAGATTGTGCGGAAAGAGAAATATATTAGTGCTCCAGCCAGCTAAATATATTAGCTGGCTTCCATCTCTTGGTATCTTTAAACAATAATTTACAAGGACTGGTGCTGGCCATTGATGATACATTCATTGGTGAAAGGAGAAAAGTAAGGGCAATGTAATAAAGTTCTCATAAAGCAAACTATATTCTATTTAAAGAACTTTATTTTCTTCTAAGATTATAAAATTTCCTCTTTTCTTAGTTAAAAATATCTTTTTGTGTAATGAAATGATGGTGTTACTAGAAGAAAGGTAGTTTTGTTTTTTATTTATCATCCAAGGAAAACAATAAGACAAAAATTATAATTTGGCCTCCCAAATATATGTTTTTACATTTTAATTTTATTATTCTATGAAACACAATAATCTTGGAAGTAGTGTAATAGAAACGAAGAAAAGAAAGGCAGTTCCTCTCTGTATTCAAGTGAAGAAGCACATCTGGGAACTGCCAGTCACGTGGTTCTAGCCTTATGTATAAGCACATCTGAGAAAATTAGAGCTACATGCTGAGAATCAGAAAAGAGACAGAGAGACAGAAGTCATCAGGTTTCCATTTTTGTTATCCTCTCTTGATTTTACTTATAGGAAATAATACATTCCTTTTTTGCATGAGATAGTTTCTGCTGGATTTCTGTCACTTACAACTGAAAGCATCCAGATGAAGGCGTTTCTGGAAAGGGCAATCTCCAGCTCTCTGTGAAGGGTCCTTGAACATTTTCTTTCAAGAGCAAGGTCTGCAGTGAGACACAGAAGTGAGATTCTTGACCCAAGTTAAAGGGGCAGAAATCTGAGAAGAGGGTTCAGTTGTGGTTTCTTCTCCCTGCTCCAGGCTGTGTTGCCTTGGTGTTCTGCCGATGACCTGTAGTTAGTGGAGATCTGTGCTACTTTACCAAATTTCTGATGCTCCATTATCTCTCTGGGTTTCTTGATGCATGCTTGGTTGACTTCCACTAAGAATAAATATCCTTTTAACGTCCAGCACTCCCTAGCAGTCGGTGGGCAACCCTTGGGTCTCTCTTCAGTCTGAATAAAGCTGCTTCTTTTGCTTATTCAGTTTGCCTTACAGAGTTTGCTCTGGAACTGAGTTGAAATTTAGCATATTTGTTACCGTGACATAAACACTCCAGAAAATCTCAGAATTGCAAAATGCCTCTTGGTAATGAAGTTCCCTATCTTGGCTCTTGGTAATGAGGTTCCCATTGCCAAGACAGCATTTATGGAATAGCTTGTGGAAGATGAAAGAGAGAGTCATCTTTTAAACACAGCCAATAATGGTGACTCCGGAAAGGCAGAAAAGGAATCTCTGAAGTAGGTGTCCTGGAGTCAGTTGTTGAAACAATCCTATTGACAAGTACTGTGATAGACAGAACAAGATACATACGCCAACAGGCATATGAAAAAGTGTTCAACATCACTAATTGTGAGAGAAATGCAAATCAAAACCATCTCACACCAGTCAGAATGACTATTTTGGGGAAATAGCCATTGGGGAAATCGTGGCTCTAGATTTTTTTTTCTGGAAGAATTTTCGTTTGATGCAGGGGGTATCTTTTGTCCTTGGTAGAAAGTTTCCCAAGAGCCTTTGAATCTGCAGTTACTGACTTACCATTGTCCTTCCAAACCTTGCAGGACCAAAAGGGGACACAAAGGGGTTTCTGGAGGTGCTAGTAATGGTCTCTTTTAGAGCTGGGTGTTGCTTACAAAGGTTTATTAACTTTGTAAAAGTTCATCAAGCTGTAGATTTAGGATTTGAGTGCTTTTCTCTGAATTATGTTATACTTCAATACAATTTTACTTAAACAGAAAAAATACCTAGAAAGAAGCTTTATTGATATAAAAAATTAGCAGAGGCGATAGCATTCATAAATTATTGGAAGAGGGATTCAATGAGACAAGAAAAGGCAGAAAGAAAAATGAGACAAGATAGACAATATGCCGTTGCTACCTCTCATGTCCCTGCTGCAGCTCACATTGATTGGGTACCTATTGAATGCCAGGAATATTCTCTTTGCTCTACATGTAACAACACCTCACTTAGCTCGTGAGTTAAATAGTATCATTTCCATTTTACACATGAGATACTAAGAGTTCAGCCAAGTTATATGATTCTAGGCTCACAAACCTAGGATCTGCAGGAGCTGGGGGTCTGCCTGGAGGCAGGATTCTTCCTAGGATATATGTAACGCTTTTTGGTAGTCATAGGAACTCCCTTTTTTCAGGCCTCCAAAAACGCTGGCATCTGCTTGCTGTTTGCAAGGGTGAAGAATGGGATATGGGTAGAAAGGCATAGAAAGCGTATTGGAAAATCTCAAGGGGATTAATTCCCATTCCTTCCTTTGAGGTGGAAATCCATCATCTCAGTGTGGGGAGGCACTGCTGTTAAATTCTCTGCCCTCTGCAAACAGCCATCTGTCTGAGAACTCCCTGAAGTGGCTGCTATCCAGGATGACTGTGTTGCTGCAGTCTTTGAGTGGTTGGAGCGCTGTAATGTCTATGTTAATAGCTGGGAAATCGCAGTAGCAGCAACCAGACCACTCCAATGGAACAATCCAAGTTGGGGTAAGTTTGATTGAGCAAAAAAGTCATGCTGACTGTGTGATGAAGAGGCAGAACTGGTAACAGTGACAGGCCCTGCAGTCAGCAGCTGTGGATTTTATGTGCAGGGCAGACTGATCTGGAAAATGGGAAGAGCTGACTGCCAATAACACCTTGGGGGGAGGTTTGTTCAGTGCATCTCCCTACTCCTTGTATACCTCTGATGACATGCAGAAGCTTAGGAAATAAAACACACTTGTAACATCACAGGGTGCAAGTAAGTACATGTGGATGCCAGTGTAGAGAGAAGCGAAAGCTAGTTTTCATTGCAAGAATCCAAACAGAGTAACAGGGCTTTGTCCACTGTCTCCAGTCCATGGTTCCCTGGTGTTCCTAGAGTCCTATTAAAAAAAAAAAAAAAAAAAAAAAAACACGGGCTGGACCATAGTTAAACTGCTGCAGCAGAGCATAGATCATCCATCAGTTAGCTATTATTTAGGGGAGAACAAAGGGATTTCATGATTCCTATCAATAGGAGTTTGCAGACTAGTTAAGGAGATGATGATTGTCAAGAAAAGGCAACCAAGAACTTTGCCCAGTAAGCGTTAGCATGCCAAATGAGTAATGCGGCCATGAGAACAATAGGAGTGCATCCCTCCTCAGAGGAATAGGTTATCTGCTATGTCGAATCAATTATATTTTAAGGAATAAGAAAAAAGCTAGGATTGGGGACACTTTAGATTTATGGTCTATGTGTAACAATGCACAGAGTTAAATTTTCTATATCCCACTAAGAAAAATGTTCTTTTTGTACACAGGACTGTAATTTGTATGTGGCCCTCTGTAGAACTCATCCAAGGCATTTCTGAAAAGAATAACATAAAATAAATAAAAAATAGTCATTATTCAGTGCTGTGGAAGGCTCTGAAGTCTTCTATCCAAAGCATTGAATATTCAGTTAAAAAGTCAGATTGCCTGAAAGGGGCACCATGACTCAGTCTTTCATAAACACCAGCAACTTCTTGAATTCTTTTATCTGCTCATTGACAATATAAAATCGCCATTGCTCTGTCAATCTGTCATTAAATATTTGGCTCTAATAGTGATGCCATTTGGGATTTGTGGCATCTTTCACTTTAAATCTTTAAAATAGAAAGTAAACACATTCAGTTTTATCAGCATTTAATTGTACAAGCTCAACATAAAAATTAAACGTTCACCTCTAAATCACACTCATCATTTTTCATGAGCCCAGGCTGTTCTTTGTTAGCTCTTTTTGGCTAATTATTTCTAGTAGTAATAACAATAACTGTCGTTTAGTATATGCCTACTATGGGCCAAGAGTTAAAAATGCTTTAACAATATTTATTTCAGTTAACTGCATTTTTCATTTCTAGTTAATCATAAATTTATGTAGAATTTTTTTCTAAATTTAGCATTAAAAGACAAATTAACAAGTACCTAGGCCAAATCTATATTTTTCAAATGAGGTCACTAAGGCTGAAAATGGTTAAGTATCTAGCTTGTAATCTTTTTAACCTTGGATTGTTTTTAAAAGTATGACTTAAACATGACTTCAAAAGCACAAATCAATTGTGCACAAATTGTCAAAACATAAATAAATTAAGAGTATGACTATAAGGATATTAAAATATTCTATTCAATTAAGGAAATTACATACAAAGCCAACAGTTTAAGAGAAGATATATTCAACATCTAGATTTGATAAAGGAAATATTATACAGAATATACAAAGAATGCATTCAAATCACCAACAACAATAATTTTTAGGGACTCCAAGAGAAAATGGACAAAGAATGAAATTAAGGATGCAGAAAGTTAAGCCCAAATGGATGACAAGCATATAATAAGATATTTAAACTTGCTAGTAAATAGGAAAAAAGACAAACTATAACAATGCAATATTTTATATCAATCAGATGGACAAAAATTAGAAAGATGAGTAATTATCAGGACTGCTAAGGATGCAGGAAGCTGGAAACACTATGCACTGTTGATAGGAAAGTAAACTGGATTAGCTATTCCGGAAATGATTGTCACTGTAGAGATGTATTTATATGGCAGCTTTATGACATTGGCTACCTGGTAGAATTTAGCTGTGTAAAATTCTTATATTCACCAAGAGACAGAATTTGTATTTTGTAGAAAATACTTATAAGAGAGAAAGGAAGCCATTTTATCTGTAGTTTCAAACTCTTAACTAGAAATTAAAATTAGAGTTTTTTTGTCAGATATAGTTATTTAGTCCTATATTCCCAGAGGCCAAAGACTATGTTCATTATTGTGCATTGAATGTATTTGATACTAATAAATAGCTGTGTATGAATAAGAGAATTTAAAAAATTAATGTAGATGATTTATTTTTATTTTTTATTTTTATTTATATTTTTGAGACAAGGTCTCTCTGTCATCCAGGCTGGAGCACAGTGGCACAATCACTGCTCACTGCAGCCTTGACCTCATGGGCTCAAGCGATCCTTCTCCCTCAGCCCCACAAGCAGCTGGGACTATAGACATGTGCCACCATGCCAGCTAATTTTTGTATTTTTTGTAGAGACAGGGTCTCACTTTGTTGCCCATGCTAATCTCAAATTCCTGGGTTCAAGCAATCTGCCCATTTTGGCCTCCCAAAGTTTTGGGCTTACAGTCATGAACCACCACACCTGGCCTACATGATTTTTTTAAATCCTAATATCCTACATATACATAGAGTCATATGGATCATCTTAAAAATGATGAGTGAAAAAAAATAGTTCAAATGAGAAATACAGCACAAACACTACTCATATAAATAAAAGCAGATGAACACACAACATTACTATATATTTTATAAGCACAACTCAGAACATATATCAAGCTTAATAGAGTATGAGGTGGGGGAGAAGTTGGATAAAACAGG
The DNA here is from genome assembly GCF_000001405.40 of Homo sapiens. Taxonomy (NCBI): domain Eukaryota; kingdom Metazoa; phylum Chordata; class Mammalia; order Primates; family Hominidae; genus Homo; species Homo sapiens. The sequence goes on from NC_000003.12 coordinate 174,026,656, forward strand.
TGTTCAGAACAAAAGGAGAAAAGAAAGCTTGAGCAGGATTTTAGAATACTTATCATGACTATGTCCCATGCACTATTAGGAATGGTTAGCCTAATTCTCTGCACTTGAGGTCCAACAAGCAAACAAAACCACTTCTATTACACAGCTTGTTAGCAGCAAAGGCAGAACTTGAAGCAAAGTTGCAAGAATTTCTGTTCCTAATTTTATTCTCTTTTTATATTGCATACTGCTTTTGTACTAAATATTTACATAATATATTCATGTGATAAGGATATTGTAATTCAATTCAAATACATTTATTAAGCAGCAATTATATGTAAAAGATTGATTGTCTTGGGTGTTCAAGGACAACACAGCTAGACGTATAAGCCAAATAAAGCTTGGCTAAGTTTGGTCTAGTTCAATTTTTTTAAAAAAAAAAAAAGAAAAAGAAATATGAAAAAAAAGCAGTAAAAATAGAAATCCATCTTCACCAAGCCTTTAAAGCAATATAAATTTATACTGAGGTTCCTGCATACTATAACACACAGAAGGAATTCCTAAAAATGTTCTTTATCCAGCTGTCTACCCAAAGTTCTATCATCCTGGCAAACTGCTCTCTCCAAAATTCATCATCTTGGACTCTCTCTGAAACTCCAACCCTTCTCTCTTATACCCTGTTCTCCAACATTCGAATTTGTTTAGTTTGTCTTCTTCCTAATATAGCTATTTCTGTTTACCATTTTGAGCTCTGGAACTCTAACCACTACTTACCACCAAAACAAAAGACTAGCAAGTAGGTTCAGGGGAAAGACTATACATAAATACACAGGTCCACAATCTCTTTGGTGCCAGATGTATTTCAGAATTCCAAATTTTTCAGGTTTTAGGAAGAAATTTGGTGAATAATAAACACCACTAAGGGGACAGGGAAGCACTAATGTAATAATGATATATTATTATTACTGCAACAAGATATATAGTCACACTATATAAGACAGAGACACATCAGTTCAGGTCAAGTTTTGCCCCCAAATATATTCAGGATGGCTCAAGTTTTGCTGTCTAATGAATTTTTAAAAGCTTAATTTTTATAGCTTTATAAATTATGAAATTAAAGATGAGGGAATGTGGTCCTATACATCAATACTCAAGGATCATATGAGTTAATTTGCATAAAACTCATAGATCAGTGCATATCTGATACGGTTTGGCTGTGTCCCCACTTAAGTCTCACCTTGAATTGTGATAATCTCCATGTGTCAAGGGTGGGGCCAGGTGGAGATAATTGAATCATGAGGGGTGGTTTCCCCCATACTGTTCTCATGTTAGTGAATAAGTCTGATGAGATCTGATGGTTTCATATTTAGGAGTTCCACTGCACAAGCTCTCTTTCCTGCCACCATGTAAGATGTGACTTTGCTCCTCATTCATCTTCTGTTATGATTGTGAGGTCTCCCCAGCCATGTTTAACAGTGAGTCAATTAAACCTCTTTTCCTTAAAAAGAGTACAGACTAATACAGTAAATTGGTACTGGTTGAGTGGGGTGCTGCTGCAAAAATGTCCAAAAATGTGGAAGTGACTTTGGAACTGGGTAACAGGCAGATGTTGAAACAGTTTGGAGGGCTCAGAAGAAGACAGGAAGATGTGGGAAAATTTGGAACTTCCCCAAAGTTGAGACTTGTTGAATGACTTTGAAAAAATGCAGATAGTGATATGGACAATGAAGTCCAGGCTGAAATGGTCTCAGATGGACATGAGGAACTTGTTGAGAACTGGGGCAAAGGTGACTCTTGCTATGTTTTAACAAACAGACTGGTGGCATTTTGCCCCTGCCCTAGAGAGTTGTGGAACTTTGAACTTGAGAAAGATGATTTAGGACATCTAGCAGAAGAAATTTCTAAGCAACAAAGTGTTCAAGAAGTGACTTGGGTGCTGTTAACAGCATTCAGTTTTATGTGTTCACAGAGATATGGTTTGGAATTGGAACTTATGTTTAAAAGGGAAGCAGCGTATAAAAGTTGGGAACATTTGCAGCCTGATATTGTGATAGAAAAGAAAAACCCATTTTCTGAGAAGAAATTCAAGCCAGCTGCAAAAATTTGCATAAGTCATGAGGAGTCAAATGTTAATCACCAAGACAATGGGGAAAATGTCTCCAAGGGCATGTCAGAGGTATTCATGGCAGCCCCTCTCATCACAGGCCTGGAGGCTTAGGAGGGATAAATGGTTTTGTGGGCCAGGCCCAGGGCCTTGCTGCTTTGTGCGGTCTCAAGACTTAGTGCCCTGCATCCCAGCCATGGCTAAAAGGGGCCAACATAGAGCTCAGGCCATCAGAGGATGTACGGAAATGCCTGGATATCCAGGCAGAAGTCTGCTACAGGGGTGAAGTCCTCATGGAGAACTTCTGCTAAGGCAAAAGGAAAATGTGTGGGGTTAGAGCCCCCATACAGAGTCCTCACTGGGGCACTGCCTACTGGAGCTGTAAGAAGAAGGCCACCATCCTCCAGACCTCAAAATGATAGATCCAATGACAGCTTGCAGTGTATGCCTGGAAAAGCTGCAGACACTCAACATCAGCCTGTGAAAGGAGCTGAGAGGTGGCTGTACCCTGCAAAACCACAAGGGTGGAGCTGTCCAAGGCCATGGAAGCCCATCTCTTGCATCAGTGTGACCTGGATGAAAGACATGGAGTCAAAAGAGATCATTTTGGAACCTTAAGGCTTAATGACTACCCTATTGGATTTTGGACTTGCATGGGGCCTGTAGCCCCTTTGTTTTGGCCAATTTCTCCTATTTGGAATGGGTGTATTTACCCAATGCCTGTACCCCCATTGCATCTAGGAAGTAACTAACTTGCTTTTGATTTTACAGGCTCACAGGTGGAAGGGACTTTTGACTTGGACTTTTGAGTTAATGCTGGAATGAGTTAGGACCTTGGGGGACTGTTGGGAAGGCATACTTGGTTTTGAAATGTGAGGATATGAGATTTTGGAGCAGTCAGGGGTGGAATGATATGGTTTGGCTCTGAGTCCCCACCCAAATCTCACCTTGAATTGTAATAATCCCCATATGTCAAGGGTGGGGCCAGGTGGAGATAATTGAATCATGGGAGTGGTTTCCCCCATGCTGTTCTCATAGTAGTGAATGAGTCACATGAGATCTGATGGTTTTATAAATGGGAGTTCCCCTGCACAAGCTATCTTGCCTACCAGCATGTAAGATGTGACTTTGCTCCTCATTTGCCTTCCACCATGATTGTTAGGCCTTTCCAGCCATGTGAACTGTGAGTCAATTAAACCTCTTTCCTTTATAAATTACCCAGTCTCAGCTATGTCTTTATTAGCAGTGGGAGAACAGATTAATACAATAGCTCATGGTAAATACATAGTAAATGTTGGCTATAATCATTATCAATACAATTTTATGGCACTGGATAACACATGTGTTATTTCATTTAATCCTTATGACCACTCTTTAAGTTAGCTTTTTTTTTTTTTTTTTTTTGAGACAGAGTTTTGCTCTTGTTGTCCAGGCTGGAGTGCAATGGCACAATCTCAGCTCACTGCAACCTCCACCTCCGAGGTTCAAGCGATCCTCCTGCCTCAGCCTCCCAAGTAGCTGGGATTACAGGCATGTGCCACCATGCCTGGCTAATTTTTGTATTTTTAGTAGAGATGGGGTTTCACCATGTTGGCCAGGCTGGTCTCGAACTCCTGACCTCGTGATCCTCCCGCCTCGGCCTCCCAAAGTGCTGGGATTCCAGATGTGAGCCACCTCGCCCAGCCAGCTATTCTTAATACACTCCATAGAAGAGGACATCAAGACTCAGTATCTTGCCCAAAAATATTTGAGTAGTTTGTGAGCAAGTTAAATTTCCGTGTAAGCTGTGTCTGATTCTGAAGTATGCTTTTAATCATATTGTGATTCTTAATTTCAGAGAGTTAGCCTCTGGTTAAAGATGACAGATTGAACTTATATGTTTACCTGTTCTCTCTCCTGAAATGTAAAATAACAGTAATGGGATATTTAAAAATGCTTAATCCACAGGTGGTGGCAGGATGGTAGAGGTAAAATAACAACAAAATTTTGGAAACTAGAAAGCAGACGGACAAATCTACTTAATGACTAAATAATACCAAGGAAACTAAGTTCTAAGCCAAGAAACAACCCAATTTACATTGCAGAATTTCCCAAAGGCTCAGGACATTACCAAATTAGATATCTCTAGAAGCGAGGATAATATTGGGATGAGAAAAGGAAATATTGGTCAAAACTCTTTAGATTCATGTTAAACCTTTCTTTATGCCACACATCTTAAGTACCTGAACACCACTCTCCCCTGGCCTACAGTATAAAACTGGTTAGAAGGTGAAGAAATTTAAGGGAAGGCTTACATATGGAAGAGTAAAACATTTTACATTCGTTTTGCTTTCAGTGCCCAATACTGGCAGCCAAGTTTATACCCTTCAGAAAGACAGGTGAGAAATCCTTCTTTGGTAGTATCTAAGCAGTCCTAGAAGGCTTCTCCACACCAGTTCCTTCTCCACAACCAGGGCCAACTCTCCAGGGGAAAAGACTGCCAGAGGCTTATCCCAGTGAAGGAAGCACATTATTTCTACTCTGAGCCAGGCTAACTTTCCCTAGCCTTCCCATTTCCTGACTCCAACAGATTCAGAGAGGGAGGTTCTTCACTGAAATGGCCCATCCTAAAGAGAAGCCCAGAGTTGGCAAGCCTCATCCACTGAGCTTTTCATCACCTTTAGTTTCTGTTTGTAAGTGTAAAAATGCCAATGATCAACAGATATTTGAGATAAAGGTTTGTGATAAAAAACATCAACAAATAAGAAAGAGGCAAATTGAAGACTTTTCAGGAGAAAACGACAACAAGCCATTGTTGATATCTTCAGGGATGTAAAAGATTATAATGGCTCCAAAACAAAAAAGCTGTATGGCATAAAAAAGGAATATTCACAGATTAAGACCTCTTAAAAATTTTGTAAATCAATCAATAAAAAATTTTAATAGAAGGTTTAGAATATAGAGTTCAAGAAATATCTCAGAAAGAACAGTAATAATGATAGTCGTAGAAATAGAGAATTGAGAAAATGTAGAGGAGGAAATATCAAATAATTAACTTAAGAAACTTTGCCAGAATTTAAGGATAGGAATTTTCAGATTTTAGAAAGCAATTTAGTTCCTGGTATCCTGGATGAAAATAAGTCTACACAAGGCCTACATTGTGTAATTTTAGAAGACTAGAAGAGGAATAAAAACTTCTAAAAACTGCCAGGAAAGAAACAGCTTTAATAACAAAAAAAAATAGTTATTATATATTTTCTTAGCATCATAAGAAAGTTAAAAAACAAAATTCAAAGTTAAAAAAAAGAAATTCTAAGAAACAAATGATTTCCAAAGAAGACTCCTATAACCAGGCATGGTGTTAATTAATTGAAAGGTAAGAGTAAAGAGTAATTAGATATACAAAACCTCTAAAAATGTAATTCACAAGAAGCCACTGGAGTATGTGCTCTACCAAAACAAGAACATAAACTAAAAAATATGAAGACCTAGGATTCAGTAACAGAGAATTCAGCAATAGAGAGGAACAAAGGGAATTTCTAGTTTAATGTGAAGGGAAATCTGTGAAGGAAATCTTTTAAAAGGATCTTAAAGTATTACATTGAAAAATACTAGACCACACACTGAACCAATTAATCACAAAATCTGGGGATGGGCCCCAGGCATCAGTTTTTTCTAAGCTCTTTAGGTGGTATCAATGCATAGATAAGTTTGATAACCATTGGTGTACAAGCTTGTTGTACAAAATGTGCTCCCTGAGGCAGTAGCATTGGCATCACTGGGGAACTTGTTAGAAATGCAGTATCTCAGGAATGGCAGGGACATGGAAATATGTTTTAAAGACTTGCTACAGCCTGAGTGTGGACTACTGTGAGAGTGAGAAAATTCTAGGGGCTGCAGTCTTAGAGGAAAGCCCCACACTCTCATGGGCTTTACCTCCAGTACCTCCACTAAAATCTTATGGTGAAGAACCAAGAAAGTTGATGTCCTTGTGCCCCCAGCAGAGGAAAGGGAAGAATAATCATTGTAAAAACACCAGTGCCTTCTCCACAAGGAGGGCCAGCTCTCCAGGGGAAGACTGTCAGAGGCTTATCCCAGTGGAGGAAGGGTATTATTTCTACTCTGAGCCAGGCTAGCTTTCCCTAGCCTTCCCGTTTTCTAACCCCAACAGGGGTCAGAGATTCAAGGAAATAGATTTGGAATGCTGCAGCCAGAGAAGACAGTGGGGGACAGAAGCAAATATATGTATATATATTTAGGTCATATATATAGATATAGATCTATCTATATATATAGATCTATATCTATGTCTATATATATCTAGAGAATCACTAGTGAAGGTCACAACCTCGAGACAGCCCACCAAAGAACTGAGATTAAATCATAAGATTATAAAATACTTCTTCTCCCCCACACTGTACCACCGCGCCACGGGGCCCTAATAGAACAACGGTTACAGCTGAAAAGATGCAAGACACAGACTTTCTCTGAGTATTAATTAGGGACGTCGAAAGTTAAGAGTGAAGATAAAACAAGGACAAAGGAATTAAAGACCTCTGGCACTATGACTACTGCAAACATTGAACAAAAACACAAATATTAAAAACATCTAACTCCTAGCCAAATTAACATAAATCCTCATATTAAGGATCATTTATTCAGTTTCTAGTACCTGATACATATTTGGCTTTCAAGGAAAACTTACAATGTATGCCTAAACCAAGAGAAAAGAAAAGAGGTAAAGCAATCATCAGAACAAGCTTCAGGTGTAACACAGATGCTGGAAATATCAAATGGGGCATTTAAAATAACTGTGATTCATGTGTTCGTTGCTCTAATGGAAAACTTAGACAACATGAAAAACAGGTAACATAAGCAGAGAAGTGAAATCTCTAAGAAAAAATAAAGAAGAAATACTAGAAATAAAAAAGAATCTAAGAGAAGTTGAAGAATATCTTTGATGGGCTCATACTAGACTTGACACAGTGGAGGAAAGAATCAATGAGCAGGAAGATAGGACAACGGAAACTTCCAAAACTGAAATGCAAAGAGAATTTAAAAAGCAAAACAGAACATCCAAAAAATTATATGACAATTTTTAAAGGTGTAAAACATGTATAATTGTAATAATAGAAAGGGAAGAAAGAGAGAATGGAGCAGAAGATATCCTGAAAGTAATAATGATCAGGAACTTTACAAAATTAGTGACAGACAGCAAACCACAGATTGAGGGAATTTAGCAAACACCAAACAGGATAGGTACAAATAACTAACTAAATAAATAAACTAAGCATATCATATTCAAGCTGCAGAAAACCAAAGATAAAGACAAAATCTAGAAAGAAGCCAGAGAGAAACACTTTATGTATAGAGGAACAAGGATAAGAATTACATGAACCTTCCCATCTGAAGCCATGCAAAGAAGAAGAAAGTGGAGTGAAGCATTTAGTGCTGAAAAAGAGAGAAAAACCTCATAAATCTGAATTATATACCTAGCAAAATTATTCTTCAAACATGAAAGAGAATTAAAGCTTTTCTCAAACAAACAAAAACTGAATGAATTCATTTTCAGCAGACATAAGAATGTTACATAAGAAATGTTAAAAAAAAATTTTAGGCAGGAGGAAATTGATATATGTCAGAAACTTGGATCTACATTAAAAAAGAGCATTAGAGAAGGAAAGACAATGAAGGGAAAATAGAACCTTTTATTTTTCTTATACTTAATTGACCTAAAAGATAACTATTAAAAAATAATAGTAATAATATTTTAGGTGATTATAGTACATGGATAAGTAAAATGACAGCAATGTCACAAGGGATGAGAAGGAGGAATTGGGAATACTCCGTTATAAATCACCTGTACTACATGTGAAGTGGTATAGTGTTATTTGAAGGTAGACATCGATTAGTTTAAAATATATACTGTAAACTCTAAGCTAAACACTAATTTTTTAAAGAAATATAGTTGATAAACTAAAAGAGGAGATAAAAAAGAATCAGATAAAATGCTTGTTTAAAACCAGAAAATGCAGAAAAAATTTGAGGAAGTGGGAAACAAACAGCAAATGTAACAAATGGAATCTAAGTTACAAATTAGGTAGATATTAACTTGATATCAATAATCATTTTGTGAATAGTTTACACAGACCAATTAAAAGACTGACTGTGAGGGTGGATAAAAAAAAGACAAGACTTATGTGTTTAAATATAGACTCAGGTTAAAAGTTGAGGATTGGAGAAAGATATGCCATGCTAACCCTAATCAAAGGAAAAGTGGAGTAGCTATGTTAATTTCAGAAGAAGCCAACTTCAGGACAAGGAATAATTATCAGGGGTCAAGAAGGATATTACATAAAAAGCACCTGCTCTGTGTCTAACACCATGACAAATTTTTAAAATTTACATTATTTAATTTATTCCTCTTGAAAATACAATTGGTGAGTGGTATTTACTCTATGTTTAAAGATTTAAAAATTAATAAAATGTGAATAATGTCATTATGAATTAGTCTCCTTTTGTTAACTAAATTACATTGCAACAGCAAACAAAAATCAGCATTTGAAAGGTGCAAACAGGAACTCAATACACCATTTCATTGGTTAATTTTATATTTCATTGATTATTGTCATATAAGCCTATTCAAAACTGCTGACACTGTTGCTGCTCAGGTAGGCAAGAGACTCAGGAAAAGGCTTATCAGTAGAACCTTGTACACCAGCCTGTTGTCATGTGTGGTCTGTGGCTATCTTGTCTCACAGGCTGCTGATGCCACACGATCTCACATGTAATCCTGGTGGCAGTTTCTACTGCCACTTACTGTCTCACAGCTTTACCACATGGGTTGATGTGTTTGGTATGTGCTTAGCACATTTTATCTGCCTGCCAAGTTGAGGTTTGCTCCACTTAATGAAGCTCCTGCCTTGGTGTCCTGCTACCATTTATCATTTGCAAACACCTCGTCCTACAGAGCAGAGCTAGAGGGAGCATGGCTTCATGTTGCCGATCTGGCTGGAGTCCAGGTTCTTGTAGCCAGTGATCCGCAATTCCATTTCATAATAAGAAAGAGCTTATAGTATTGCTGGTGAAACTGCCTGAAGAAATCCAGGTGCTGGCAAGTCTAGATCCTATTATATAGGATCTAGATAATGTGCTGACCTGTATATTAGTGTTTAAGTCCACCCCCCTCATTCCAAGTTACATGACCTTCTGCACGACCAACCTTATACATTCTGCATTTACAAAATAGACAATATATTACTTGGTCTGATGTGGGAAATGACATGAGTTATTATACTTTTACAATAAAGAGATAGATGGTATCTTCATTTGTAAATGTACATGGCGATTTATTAACTTATGCAAGAAAAAATATTAATGCTATGTTATAAATATTATTCTTCAACTAAGGACTTTACATGTAAAATCTAGATCAGATTTAAAACAAAATAAAACAAACTAGCAAATAGTTTAATATCAAGATCAATGTTACAGTCCTCACACTTCCTGGCTTTTGAAGTTTATTTTATCCATATTAGTTTTATTTAACACACTCTTATGTAGTACTGATTATGTGATTTAGCAAGTTCTTCAGGTGATTCTTATGGAGGTGAAACCACTGAATTACAGGGAAAAGTAAAGCTCTTGGGTACCTCCTATTATATGAACCTTATTCTCTTACTTTTCAGTTGACTGTTTCTATGCAAATAAAGATCAATAGTGTAATTCTAACTCTATTACACATGAGAAACTTTATATTAAGTTACAAGCTTGGAGGCCACGAACTCCTTGGAAGAGATAGTAGGGAACAACCCAAACACATTTTATCTAGTGACTCCTGGTATTTATGGAAATAGGTTTTTTGTTGTTTTTTTTTTTTTTTCAAATTTAACATGTATTTTAAGTTCAGGGGTACATGTGCAGGTTTGTTACACAGGTAAACTTGTGTCGTGGGAGTTCATTGTACAGGTTATTTCATCACTCAGGTATTAAGCCTAGTCCCCATTAGTTATTTTTTCAGATCCTCTCCCTCTGCCCACCCTGTGCCCTCCAATAGACCCCAGTGTGTGGGGTTCCCCTCTCTGTGTCCATGTGTTCCCATCATTTAGCCCACTTATAAGTGAGAACATGCAGTATTTGGTTTTCTGTTCCTGTGTTAGTTTGCTGAAGACAATGGCCTCTAGCTTTATGCATGTTCCTGCAAAGGACATGATGACATCCTTTTTTATGTCTGCATAGTATTCTAAGGTGTATATGTACCATATTTTCTTCATCCAGTCTACCGCTTATGGACATTAGGTTAATTCCATATCTTTGCTGTCGTAAATAGTGCTTCAATGAACATACGTGTGCATGTCTCTTCATAATAGAATGATTTGTATTCCTTTGGGTATGTACCCCGTAATGGGATTATTGATTTGAGAGATATTTCTGTTTTTAGGTCTTTGAGGAATCACCACAGTGTCTTCCACAATGGTTGAACCAATTTACACTCCCACCAACAATGTATAAGTGTTCCTTTTCCTCTGCAACCTCATCAGCATCTGTTATTTTTTGACTTTTTAAGGAAAGGGGTTTTAACCTATAACTCACATTGTATAGACATACTTTCATTTGCCTTTGTTTCTGTTTAAAAACTAAATAATCATCCGTGATAATTTCTTGATATGCCCCAGGAACAAGTGAACCACCTTACTGTCAAAGGGGCTGCTCTCTACCAGCATGACTATACTGGAGAAAACTATCTTTTGATGTTAGAGAACACGATGTCGATGAAAGCACTAGCAATATAATATCCCTCAAAGCAAAATGGTTAAGAACGTAAGCTCTGTGGAGCAAGTATATTTACATAGTGCCATCACACAAAGTATTACTTACAGACAAACACAGGTGAGGAAATAGGAAAGAAAACTATTTAGATATTAGCTAAGGCTGATAGTTAAGGACAGAATTTGTTACATGTTAATTTAGGATACTTAATTTTAAAAGAATAAATACATCACTAATGCTATTTTGCATGTTTTAGCACCTTTTACTTTTTCTGAAGTAAACACATGGAAAGAGAAATTAAAGAGCCTTAGATGAAGGTTAAGGCAGTGGCTTTGAGCATATTAGTTGGGTGGTAATTTAAACAATACAAAATTACAATTGACGGTGTGGTGAAACATTATTGAAGCAGGATGTTATGAGGACTATGGTTTTAACAGGTTGCAGGAGAAAGTGTCGATGCAAAAAGGGCAGAGATGGTCCTGATATTAATGCCTCCAGTAATGATAAAAATATATTGAATGAATTTTATGATACAAATACATTCGCAAATATGGAAAATTGTTTCTTATTCAAAGAATGTTATGAGGCATGAAGCCTGCTGAAGAATATGAGCTAAAATAAGCTAATAAAGAGAGAGAATGTGGCAGTCGCTGTGAATCCAGGCAGTATAATTCTTGTCAGGTTTTTGCTTTTAATTCTGTAAATCTCACTCAGCTTCTATGAGCAAGTCATGGAACTTTACTGCCCCACTGAATCGCTAGATTTTGGTCAAAACTGAAGATTTTTTAACGCCAAGGCTAGTCGCTCTGCAACCAACAGACAGCCTTTTCTATCGAGTGTACTAGGCTGATTCGATGAGGTGTCAGTCATTCCATCTCTTACTTGGCTCTCAGTTCATGCACCAGATTGACAAGGAGTCTATGTCATTTGCCCTTCTTGTGATGTGGGACATGATCTCTACCAGAAACTCCTTTTCAGAAAAGGATTCTCAGCAGCAAGTCACTTCTATAACTTACCCTAATGGTGGTCTTTACATCATCGAAGTGCATACTAAAAATAAAGTTTAATGCTAACCTTTCCACATCATTCTTCTTTAAGGATTGTTCAGAATGTTCCTCCATGTGCTACATCTTATGGAATATTTACTCTAAGGTTACCCCCCTGAGTCCATACCTGGTTAACTTAAGAAAACACCTTCCTTCCAAATAGGTAAAGTCAGCTTCTACAATGAGTTAAATTTATGATTTAGAGAAATATTATGTTCTGGGTATTCAGAAGTTCTAATTGCCTTATGTTTTACTTCTTGACTGTCCAGGTGGCCTTTCACAAACCCTTCACACTCTTCAAAGTGGCTTCCTTCTTCTTTTCAGGGAAGCTTGAAGAACTAAGAAAATGTACTCTAGCCCTCTTAATCTCTCTCCTTCCATACCCACAGTAACCAGTGATGCTTAGCTATTTTGTAGTTTGAATTGTTTCATTTACATAACTCCCAGGGAAAGAACATGTGGTGTTTTCCACAGGATCTACCATAGACATGAGCATCAAAAATTGCTCATTGAATATAAAAGCAATTCGCTTAGCGAGCTCTAATTTCACTTGAAGTTGTTTCCCATAGCGTGAGACTCCTCGGGCATGAGAAAACAAGAGAGACTCCCTTAGGAGTCAGTTATTTAGAAAGGAGGCATTCAGTCCCATATACCAGTTGCCTCATACATTTTACCTTCAGACGCAGAACATAATATATATATATAAATATAAAATTTTTATTTTTTAATCTTTTAAATTTTACTTTAAGTTCCAGGATGCATGTCCAGAACGTGCAGGCTTGTTACATAGGTATACATGTGTCATGGTGGTTTGCTGCACCTCTCAGTCCATCATCTAGGTTTTAAGCCCGGCATGCATTAGGTGTTTGTCCTAATGCTCTCTCTCCCCTTGCCCCCCATCCTCCGACAGGCCCCAGTGTGTGAAGTTCCCCTCCCTGTGTCCATGTGTTCTAAGTCCTCTATGGGAAGAACTATCCAAGATGTCTAGGTTAATTCTTGTATTTCCAAAATGTTTTCATTGGCTCTCCATGATTTTTCTTTTTCCTTTGAAGATGAAGCATTCAAAGGCACCAGGTAAGGGAGATAAGGCTCAGTAAGTTAGTGAAGTTATTGGAGCTCGCTTATTGCAAAGGACAAAATATATACGCCTGAAAAGTGAAAATAGCAATAGAGTGATTTCCAGGGCCAAAGAAGTCAGGGCTTCTGGCAGCGAGGTTGAGATGGACAATGTGTTTGGAATCGTTTGTGTTTATGGTGCCTTTGTAGGCCTGTGACTGCCTGTGCTTAGGAAGATAAGAAACGCTGAGAGGTAACAATTTTCTGCCTAAGAATGTGAGAAATGACAGCAAAATAAGTAGGACTTTCGTGTTGCAGCAGTGGTAGCTGGAAAGCTTACTGAAGTTGAGCTACTGATAAGCCCAGAATGGAAATAAGGCCAACCCTCTGATGCTCCAACCACCTCCTTGAAAATGATCTTTGTGAGGCCAATATTCAAAATTCTCACAATTCAAAGACATTACTGTGTCCTAATTATCTTTGACTTTCCATAGCATTTGGCTCCCCACTATTGATGGTAGTCTCTAATTTGACATACAGGTTGCCCCATTCCTCTGTTGTCTTTTTTTTTCTTTTTTGGCCTACTCCCCTCTTTTCAGAGAAAAGGGACTAGGGGCTAAAGAAGGCTAAATGCTCACCACATGTCTTCTGATTAACTCTGTGTGTTACGTAAGGGGAATGACGGAGAGAGCAGTCTGTTACTAGGTGAGGTCAAGGACATCCTTCAGAAGAAACTGAGCAAGTGACTGCTTGGCAACTATGTACAGAAGGGATGAAGAATGAAAGTTAAGTAGACAATCTAAATGAATTCTCGAAACTTCTGAAAGGAGCTATCTTTGACCTTGAAGGGGAATGTAGGCAAAATAAAGGATAAAATAACTGACACTCATTAAAGACCAAATTTGTGTAGGGCACCTCATTTTATACATTATACAAGAAAAAAATTGATAAACAAAAAAATTAGACATTTCTGCTCATTAGAGGACACTACTGAGAAAATGAATAGGCAATCCACAGAGAGAATAAAAAGAAACATTTGCAAAACATATATTTGAGACCTCATTGTCTCATTTTACTTCAGCAAATTCTGGGGTGTTAGGAATTACAGTTTTCCTCTTTTAGAAAGTAAGAGGTTTTTAATTTTGGAGAATTTTTAATAAAAATTCTCAAACATTAATAAAGCCAAAAGAATTTTACAGTAAATGTTCATATATCTATCACCTAGATTCTATCATTAACATTTTATTATTCTTGTTTTGCTACAAATTTATTCATCAATTTGTTTTATTTTTTAATATGTAGTTCAAAGTAAATTGCAGTTAACAGTACACTTCTCCCCACATACCTCAACATGTACGTCATTAACTATAATTCAATATTTTTTATGAATCTTTTTCTTTTGATATAAAATATACATATATATGTGTATGCAATGAAATTCACAAATCTTAAGTTTATTCACTGAGTGTTGAAAAATACAAACATACCTGTGTAAGCCAAGCTGCTATCAAGATACAGACCGTTGTCATCACCATCATGCTCCATTCCAGCCATTGCCACCTGTCCCCAAAGTTTTAATCACTGTGTGGATTTTTTTTAAATTGTTTAATATTGCCTGTTTAGAAGTTCTTATAAATGAAATTAAATAGTGTGCACTTCTTCCTGTAAGGCTTCTTCTACTCAGCACAATTATTTTGAGATCTATCTATGTTGTCAATATGTTAGTATTTTTTCTTTTCATTGTTTACTAGTATTCCACTGTGTTATTATACCACAGTGTGCTTATTGATTCTATTATTAATAGATATCTAGGCTGAAAGCAGTTTGAGACTATTATAAATAAAACTGCTATGAGTGTTATTGTACAAATATTTTTGTGAATACATATTTTTAAATTCCTTATGTGAATACCTAGGAATGGAATTGCTGTGAGATATTTCTCAAAAGTGACAGTATCGTTTTGCATTTTTACAAAATTAGATGTGAGTTGCAATTACTCCACATCCTTACCAAAATTTGGTGTGGTCAGTCTTTTAATATTTGTTATTCTGGTGGGGTTTGGAGTGGTATCTCATTGTGGTTTTACTTTTCATTTCTCTAATGATTACTGATTTTGAGCACTTTTTCGTGTGTTTATTGGCCATTTGTATTAATATATTGGCCATATATTATTTTGCGAAAGGTTTGTTCAAATATTTTGCCCATTTAAAAAATTGAATTATTGGGAGTCCTAGATGGGCGGATCACTTGAGGTCAGGAGTTTGAGACCAGCCTGACCAACATGGTGAAACTCTGTCTCTGCTAAAAATACAAAAATTACCTGGGTGTGTTGGCAGGTGCCTGTAATTCCAGCTATTTGGGAGGCTGAAGCAGGAGAATCACTTGAACCTGGGAGGTAGAGGTTGCAGTGAGCTGAGATTGTGCCACTGCACTCCAGTCTGGGTGACAGAGTGAGAGTCTGCCTCCAAAAAAAAAACATTAGATTATTGGACTTTTTTATTATTAAAGTTTAAAATTACTCATATCCTGGATACCTGTTCTTTATCAGATATATGTTTCACAGATATTTCTCCCTACTCTGTGGCTTGCCTATTCATTTTCTCAATGGTGTCTTTTGATGAGAAGAAGTTTTAATTTTGATGTATTATTTTTTTTCTTTTATAATTATTCTTTTGTGTGATCTGTTTAAGAAAGCTTTGTCTAGCTCCAAGCCATACAGGTATCCCCCTGCATTTTTCTGTAAAATATTTAGCGTTTCATATTTTACAGTTGGGTCAATCTTTAAATTAATTTTTGTGTGTGGCGTGAGGTAGATGTTGAGATTTATTTTTTACCATGTGGATATCTAATGATTAGACTACCCTTTGTTGAAAACACTTTCCTTTCTCTATTGCATTGCTTTGCCTTTTCTCTGAGACTTTTACATAAGTTGTCCAAGATTTCAGTTAGTAGATCAAGGGACATGAGTCCGAACTTATGTTTGATTGATAAGGCCATTTGTGTTCTTTCCCGATTTTTACCTAACGAAAAATAATACTATCAATTACCAACACTTACTAGTCACTGTGATAATTGTCTTAGCATAGACTGTTTTATTTCATTTGTAAACTCTATTAAATAAACTTTTTTAAAAATAAACATTTTTATGATGTCCACTTAAAGATAAGGAAACTAGGGCTCAGAGTGGTAGAATGTGTCAAAGCCACACAACTCATAAGTGACAAAACCAAAACTTGACCTGAGGCCTGTCTGAATCCAAAAATGGCTCTCCCAACCAGTGTGCTATGATGCCCTGTATTAGTTCCTTCTCATGCTGCTATGAAGGAATACCTAAGACTGGGTAATTTATAAAGAAAAGAGATTTAATTGACTCACAGTTCTGCATAGCTGGGGAGGCCTCAGGAAACTTACAATCATGGTGGAAAGCACCTCGTCACAGGATGGCAGGAGAGAAAAATGAGTGCCAGCAGGAGAAATGCCAGATGTTTATAAAACCATCAGATCTTGTGAGAACTCACTCACCATCATGAGAACAGTATAAGGGAAGCTTTTCCCATGATTCAGTTACCTCCACCTGATCCCTCCCACGACATGTGGAGATTATGGGAACTACAATTCAAGATGAGATTTGAGTGGGGACACAGCCAAACCATATCATTCAGCCCCTGGCCCCTTCCAGATCTCATGTATGTCCTCACATTTTAAAACACAATCATGCACTTCCAACAGTCCCTCAAAGTATTAACTCATTCCAGCACTAACTCAAAAGTCCAAGTCCGAAGTCTCATCTGAGACAAGGCAAGTCTTTTCCCCCGATGAGCCTGCAACATCAAAATCAAGTTACTTACTTCCTAGATACAATAGGGGTACAGGCATAGGTAAATACATCCATTCCAAATGGGAGCAATTGGCTAAAACAAAGGAGCTACAGGCCCCATGCAAGCCCAAAATCCAATAGAGCATTCATTAAACCTTAAGGTTCCAGAATGATCTCCTTTGACTCCATGTCTCACATCCAGGTCATGCTGATGCAAGAGGTGGGCTCCCATGGCCTTGGCCAGCTATGCCCCTGTGGCTTTGCAGGGTACAGCACCCCTCCCAGCTGCTTTCACAGGTTGGTGTTGAGTGTCTGTGGCTTTTCCAGGCACACAGTGCAAGCTGTTGGTGGATCCACCATTCTGGAGTCTGGAGGATGGAGGCCCTCTTCTCACAGCTGCAGTAGGCAGTGTCCCCAGTGGGGACGCTGTGTGGAGTCTTTGACACCCCTATTTCCCTTATGCACTGCCCTGGCAGAGGTTCTCCATGAGGTCTCTGCCCCTGCAGCCTGCAGCACACTTCTACCTAGACATCCAAGTATTTTCATACATCCTGTGAAATCTAGGCAGAGGTTCCCAAACCTCAATTCTTCACTTCTGCACACCTGCAAACTTAACACCATGAGGAAGCTGCCGAGGCTTAGGGCTTGCATCCTCTGAAGCCATGGCCTAGGCTGTATCTTGGTCCCCTTTAGCTATGGCTGAAGCAGCTGGGATGCAGGGCATCAAGTCCTGAGACTACACACACCTGGGGAGCCCTGGGCCTGGCCCACAACACCATTGTTTCCTCCTTGGTCTCTGGGCTTGTGATGCTAAGGGCTGCTGTGAAGGTCTCTGACATGCCCCGGAGACATTTTAACCATGGTCTTGGTGATTAACATTTGGTCCCTCATTACTTACGCAAATTTCTCCAGCCAGCTTGAATTTCTCCCCAGAAAATTGGTTTTTCTTTTCTATCACAAGACCAGGCTGCAAACCTTCCAAAGTTTTATGCTCTGCTTCCTCTTGAATGCTTTACCAGTTAGAAATTTCTTCCACCAGGTACCCTAAATCATCCCTCTCCAGTTCAAAGTTCAGCAGATCTCTAGGGCAGGGGCAAAATGCCACCAGTCTCTTTGCTAAAGCTTAGCAAGAACCACCTTTATTCCAGTTCTCAGTAAGTTCCTCACCTCCATCCGAGACCACCTCAGCCTCTCAGCCTGGACTTCATTTTCCGTATCACTATCAGCATTTTGGTCAAAGCCATTCAACAAGTCTCTAGGAAGTTCCAAACTTTCCCATATCATCCTGTCTTCTTCTGAGGCCTCTGATATGGTTTGACTGTGTCCCCTTCCAAATCTCATATTGATTCGTAGTTCCCATAATCCCTAAATGTCATGGGAGGGACCTGGTGGGAGGTAATTGAGTGATGGGGGCAGTTACCCCCGTGCTGCTCTTCTCATGATAGTGAATTCTCATGAGATCCAATGATCTTATAAGGGGTTTCCCCCTTTTGCTTGGCACTTCTTCTTCCTGCCATCATGTGAAGAAGGACGTGTTTGCTTCTCCTTCCACAATGATTATAAGTTTCCTGAGGCCTCCCCAGCCAGGCAGAATTGTGAGTCAATAAATTACCCATTCTTGGGCAGTCCTTTATAGCAGCATGAGAATGGACTAATACACCATCCAAACTGTTCCAACCTCTGCCTGTTACTCAGTTCCAAAGTTGCTTCCACATTTTTAAGTATCCTTACAGCAATGCCCCACTACCCAGTAACAATTGACTGTGTTAATCCGTTTTCATGCTGCTAATAAAGACATACCGAAGACTAGGTACTTTTTAAAGAAAAGAGGTTTTAATTGACTCACAGTTCCACAGGGATGGAAGGAAGAAATAGGCCTCAGGAAACTTACAATCATGGCAGAAGGGAAAGCAAACATGTCCTTCTTCACATGACAGCAGGAAGGAGAAGAATGAGCGAAGAGGGGAAAAGCCCCTCATAAAACCATCAGATCTTGCGAGAACTCACTTACTATCGTGAGAACAGCATGGAAGGACTACCCTCATGATCTCATCACTTCCCAGGAGGCCTCTCCTGCAATACATGGGGAGTATAATTCAGATTACAATCCAAGATGAGATTTGGGTGGAGATACAGAGCCAGACTATATTATGTCCCTTAATGAAAATCAGTGTGCCAATCATACATTTTACCTTGTGGGAAGTAACTGAGACATTAGCTAAGATTGCTTCTACTACATAGAAAATAAGCATATTTGATTCTATGTACTACCCTGAGGAAACTGGAATTTCAAACCAGTATTCCTCTAAATGGTAGCTCACTTTCTTTAATGACTTATGTTTTTATTCTTTACTCTATATTTTACTGACAGTATTTGAATAAATCTGCTTGCAAATGTAATATAAAAGTAGCCCAGAGTAAGTATGGAAAGCTGAGCTTATAAAATTCTTCTTCCTTATCAGTTGAAACAAAACAGACATTTCAGTCCTCTGAAGTAATTTCTATAATAAGAATTCCAATCTGAGATCAGATTTTCTTAGTTTCAAGAAATCTGAGGAAAAGCATTGTGATTTAAAATCCTACTAGGGCAAAAGCTACATGTCTATTTGTTCAGAAAATATTTGGTCATTATACTCTTAGTGTTTCAATAATGACCTAAAGAGAAAGGTGCTATCTCAATATATGTGAGATTTATTGCAAGTATATTTGTAAGGAGAATTGTACCAACTATTTTGCAAGAGCATGTAAAAAATTGAAGCTCCATACTATATTTCCTTAAATGTAATTCAGCAGTAACTTGAAATTGCTTTCATATACAAAAAATGACAATAGTATTTCCTCAAATGGATTTGAATACAATGGTTTTGTTCTTTAAATAATAATGGAAAATTGAAAATTGGCACAATAAGATATTCCTTCCTGCTTTATTAAGATCAGTCATGGCTGCATTTAATAGAAGCAGGCAACTTTTTTTTTTTTTACTGTATTATTTTGTTTGTTCACTTTTGCCTCTTGTAGCTCTACATTAGTGCAAAGAAAATGGAGCTGTGAAGAGCTTCTGGGATTTGCTCTTGATCTTGCAAGCACAATCCCCTCCCCCAGTGTGACATTTGTTGAACTCCAATTACTACTTTTATCTGTGTTTGAACACACATTGCTAGGTTCAACAAACACATGCTTTACTGTGCTTAGAAGGAATAAAGATAACAATCTCATGCAAGTTTGTGACTGTTTCCTAAGGATTATACCTTGGAAGTATAGAAGAATAGATTTATAGTTCTATCTCATAATGGGGCTTCCTAAACCATGCCTATTTATAAAATTAAGAAGAGGATCAAATGAAATAGCTAAGTAATGTATATTTGTGAAGTATGAAGGGGCAGATTCTATTACTAAACAAGGAATTGCTTTCTTATTCCTTAATTATATTTAGTGCTATGTCATTCATCCATCAAATTTTACAGAAGTGAAAAGTGAATGGGTATGAGAGTTGTATAGTATAGTTAAGAAAATTTATAAAAGGTTTGGAAGTATTAAAAATAAATCTACATTGAATGTAAATGAAATTGTTAAGGAAAGTTATCAATGATGAAAAGGTAAGATTTCTAAAGTTTTAAGAGAGTTTAAAATAGATGTTCATTAGGTCAGAGATTGTTACATTTTTCTCTGCCTTAAGTTGCTATGTTTATTATATTTAACTTAAGCACAAAACAATATTGCTGATATATTAAATATTAGTATTTATTTGAAGGTTATAATTTTACCATAATTCACCATGAATTTATCATAATTCACCATAATTTTATATACTGGTTGCATTAATAGTATATTTTTATAAAGTGTACATTTTTCTATTTTCCACAAGTTAGTGAAAAGACAAGATTCCACTAACAGAAATGTATTGTACAGTAAACCCTAGGATTACATATCTATTCTACCTAAGAGATTTCAATTTTAGCCAAGGTCCAATACACAATTCTATATGTAATTGAGATGGTGACTGAGAATTGGGTTAGGAATTAAAGTTTAGTGACAAATTTAGAAACATCCAAATCCATTACTGAGTTGCCACCATATGCACATACTATTGTATTTGCTTGAGAAAGTTGAAAAAATATTTTGAGACAATTTCTGTCCTTGGAGATTTTACAGTCTGATAGGAGAGATAAGATAAATGAAAAAATCTTAAACACACATGCACAGATGCATATAAGCAGGCACACACACATCCTACATACAGATACACATAGTAATACGTGTTAAGTAAATATAAAAAACAGCCAGAAAAGACATGATGTGTTAGAAGTCTAGAGACTTTGTATCTATTCGTATTCCTATCATTATTTTATTTGCTTAAATATTCTTATCCTGTTTTATTCTCTCTAAATATTTGAGATAGTAAAAAAAAAAAAGATATAATTTGCAAGATTTTTAAGACAAAGTTAATGGATGAAATATGTGTGAAGAAAAAATTTTGCTAGGAAAAAGTAATTTAAAAACAAAGGGACAGTAGAGTTCAAAATGGATGTTCTGCGATCTTAAGCACTTCATAGATGTAGGCAAAATCGTTGGATATGAACCTTCTAGAAAGCAATTAAAGGGAGATCTGATTAGGTTTGTCATTTTAAAAGTCTAAATAGAGCAGTTGCACAGGAGGGACTTATCTGTCCTCCATACTCAGCAAGGAGAGAATTGTTTTCTATCTAACCTCAAAAAGAGAACATTGTGGGATAGAGTCAACATTCTCAACACATCGTTGCTATAAACATAACAGATTTCATGGGATTATTTTGATGACATCCTTCCAGATGGGCTGCTGGTTTAATGTTAATTTGATCTGGAGATAGTCGTGATGTGTAATTTTGGACCAGTCACTTGCCCTTTATAAGCTTTAGTTTAGTTTCTAAGTTTAGTTTCCTCATCTGCACAATGAGGGAATTAGACTGATTGGATGATTTAGAGAAGAAATTATAGTTTAAGTGCCCGTGAGAGGTGAAATCATTGGTGTCAATGATGGCAAAGAAGGATTGGAGAAAGAGGTATTGAGTTTGGTCACAGACAAGTTGACAGTTTTGCAAAAACTTTAAGGAGACAGTTGGAAACAAGGCCGCAGATAATTACTGAAGCTGAAAAAAAATGTAGGTCCGTGCTACATATCAAAGATTAGAGATATGAAAAAAAAATTTATCCTGGGGGAAATCTGTAGATAAAAGACAAAAGCCAATCCATAAAGAATGACAGAAGTAAGAGTCACGAAATGAAAGAGGAGCCAACAAGGTGACAGAGAAATACAGAAATCAAGCATTTAAAAAGGATATAATGATAAATGATAATTGTATGAATTATCATCAAAGATAATACTTGAAGATAAGATACAATAATAGGTGTGATAAAATACAATTGATATATTCAAATTAAACACACAAAGAAAATTATATTAGTAACTATAGATGCTAGGTACCACAGAATATTTTTTTCTAAGACATTTATGGCTCTCAAAACTATATTATGGGAACAAAGTGCTGTAAATAAAAAATAATCAGAGCATAAGCTAGAGTATCACAAATACCCAAAGATAAACAAAAATTTCTGCATCTTTGGTAAAGATGGGTTACATTCAGCCAACAGTCCATGGTGGGTTCAATTAAGTAAAAAAATTAAAAATTACACCTACAAGACAAAGAGACAAGATTAAAGAAGGGAGGAGGAGTAAAGTATTTTTGAATGTCAGAAAAAGCTTGGACAAAGGCTTAGACATAGGAAAGTTTGGGATTTTCAGAAAACAGCTAGTAACTATGTTGGTCACATAGAGTATGTGTAACGCAGTAGCTATTGATATTTTCGAAAAAGTTAAGTTGAGACTCAATAATTCTAGAGTAAGAAAAGTTATACTTAATATGTTGGATGATGAAAAGGTATTCAAGATTTTTGAGCCAGTAAGTGGCATGATCAGGGCAGTCCCTTAGTAAGATGCATGTGACAGTTATAGATAGGACAAAGGAGAAAAGGGTTGAGCAGGGATAAGCTGGGATGGGAGTTCTCATTACACCATGGCAATAGTGTAGGTGGCCTGAACTGGAGAAGTCACAGTAGAAATGAAAAGATCCAGAGGGCTAGCAGACCTGGGCAGAAACTGAATGTCAGTGTGTAACTACTGGCAAATAATAGTGGACCCTAAGGCTAATTCCCTATCTCCCTGCCATCTTTCTTACTTAGTAAAAATGGATTATGGTGTTTTGCTTCTACCTATCTCAGTGATGCTGTCAGAATTGATTATGCATATTTCTCCAAAGTAATCTAAAGTGCTTTAATTCTTTGGAACTGGACACTATGTAAATACGATTATTCATTACGTGTAAAAGAGGAATACAGAATGATGGATGTGCCTAGCTAACGTGAGAGAACTGTTTAAGAATACAGAGAGGGAAATAAGCTAAGTAATCAATATCATGTTTTAATGTGGAGAGCTAAAGACATTGATAGAAGGATACTGAGTGGAAGGGAAATAGATGAGGATAATGCGTTTGGGAGTTAAGACTGATAAAAGAGGGCTATGTTACACTAAATAATTTCAAGAGAAAAGGGGAATATTTTAGGTTCAGTGTTCAATATTATAAAGTAATAAGAAAAAAGTTTAAAATGAAAATTAGAGGCCATTTATAACATTTATTAAAAAGTTATAAGAACAGTTAGGTATGTAGATGTACATTCTGAATTTCACATCAAAAGTGATCAACACATACACAAATGCATTATAGAATAATATTTTATTTCAAAGACAAGTCACTGGAATTGTACAGTTCAAGTGATTAAAGTCAGGTGACTAGTATTCAAAAGGATGGGCACCATTGTAGGCTACTATGGCATTGACATTAAGGTGTCAATTTCTCTGGAGTACACAGAGATCACTTTAGGATCATGTTTTTACTTGGTACCTATAACAATAGCCATGAAAAGAAAGAATTATGACAGTGAAATTTGGACTTTGAAACATTTTTTTTTTCTGTTTTCAGTCCAGGATTATGGATCAGATTGACCTAGCATTTAACATAGATTAAAAGTCTATGGTAAACTGTTAGAAAATAGTGTATCACTTTCTTGTTTTCTCAAGCCACTGAAAAAATAATAATTAAAAAAGAAAATAGTACATCGCTTAGCATAAACTAAGTTATGTCACGTTTTGACAACTAATGCCGTGGCCTGGTGCAGAGAGTACTCTCTGCTTTGGATTAAGATAAGAAATGAATTAAATTGGTCTTTTAGGTCCCTTCCCTCCACCTTTATTGAAACCTTACCACACTAGCTGCTTGGTCTCCTTCCCATTTAGAATGGCTTTAAAGCTTTCCCTCCTATCAGCTGATAGTTTTAAGATTAAAGTGAACATATGAGTGTTGAAGAACATTCTAGGATTCAAAGCTATAATGGTGACATGAGGACTAGAGGTATTTCTCTGAGGGCAAGAAGTATCACTTGTGTCTGTTTGTCTGGCCAGTTGAGCACGATGATTCCAGCCACGAGAGAAGAGAACGCTGGGCTGAGAGGTTAGCTGTTGGAATAAGGTTTGGTTAACTTTGGAATTATACAATCAGCAAAGGGATGTCCTCACCAGTACTTCTAAGAGATCAAACAAGAGGCCTCCAGCTCCCTAAATTCTGGTTCTACTGTACCAACTCTGCTTTAATTTGTTTTAGGTAATGGGATTCCAGGTGCTATTACATTAAGAATTCTAATTTAACTCTTAAAAAGTGTTTTCTTAGATAAAGTAACTGGGACTCAGGGAGATAAAGTAACTTAGTGACTCACCTAAGTTTCCCCTTGTCTCCAATTCCAGGGTGCCACCCACCGTATTATGATGTTGATTTGTGAAGAGACTCTCAAGTAGGTTCAATTTCATAGTCCCAGTTTAAGAGAGAGGCCAAGTGAGGATTTGGCATACCACGTCGGAAAGGTTGCCAAGTCCTGGATTTCACTGATGAGACGGTTCCATTCTCATCTATGTGGCTGGTCGGCTGCCACCTAAACCAAGGAGAGCTCCCATTTGCTTTGTGTGAACTGGCTTTGCTGTAGCAGTGCTAACTAGCCATGAGGTAGATTTCTTACAATCAGTTTGGCATGGCTCTTTGCTCATAGCCTTATGTATGACAATCAAGTCTACATGGATGCCTAGAGGATTCTTTAGGGATTGGAGGACATAAATGGGACTGAAAAGCTCATAAATGAGGGCATGTCACAAAAACTGAAATTAGAGAGTAATTATGGTACTTAGGGCTATGGGAAGAACTAATGGGATCAAACTAATAAAATATTTCTTGAGAGCAAGTGACATTAGCTTGTGTGAGGAGTCCAAAAAGACTGTGGAATTATGTTCTGTGCCATCAAAATCCTTACCCCATCCACCCAGAAGAGAAAAGTATATCCCTCACAGGCAGATTGGCCTCATATGCCTTTGCTCTAATTTTCCGTTTGTCTGAATAAAGATGTAACACAATACAATTGAAAAAGGATGCGGATTCAGTGCTGGACAGTAATAGTTCTAGCCATGGGTTCTCTGTCTTTCTAGTACCAATAAAGAACCCCCTCTCCTCTCTGTGAAAAAAATTAGTTATTCATGTGGCATAATCGGTTTTAACACTTAGTTCAAGGCTCACAAAATCCAAGTGATTCTTCAGTAAAATGTTAATTTCCTGTTTTACTTGCAGCCTCACACCCATATTGAGATGTCACTGGGCTTTTTTTCTCCATGAACCATTTTACTGAATGTGCCAAGTGAGAAATGTAAAATGAGGTTGTCATTTCAATCTGGGGGGAAAGGCAGGGCATGTGTTGTGTAGGGGAAAACTCAATGCAGCAGTCTGTAATGCATATGTAAGACAAATTCAGATGATTTGGGGCCCTTTTGATAGCATGTTCTACTTTTTTTATAAGAATATTAATTATTATATTTTCCCTTGAGACTTCATTGAAGAGTTAACAAGATTATTGATTTTTTTTCAAATTAAGCAAGGAATGTACTTGAGAATGCATAATTCATAATAAATAAGCATCAAAACACTTTATAAAGTCAACAAGCAAAGTTCATTCTGACCTATTCAATTTTTAACTTGAATAAATTTCATATTTCTTACCATAACATTATACTTCAATGCACTGAATACTGATATACAAGTATATTTAAATATGGCAATAAAAATCAGCTGGAACCAATCAGATTTATGTGATAGGACCCTTGAGGCTAATATTTTACTATATCATTTATTTAAACTCTTATCTTACTAGTCTATTTAATAGGACAAAGTGATTAGGTGCTTCTATTTGAGAGTGTACAGTATTTGCGTTCTGTGTCACTGACACTAATGGCAGGGATCTGTGTGATTTTCGGTACTGGAAATTAGACAACAAAATTCACTATCAGTAAATTTCCAAGAGGATTCACAATTTGGCTTAATCAGTGGATATTATTATTTTACAAAGCCACCTGCTTTGTGCAAGTAGCAACAATGTTCTTTCTATCAAAAATGCTCCTACAAAATAGATGCGGCAGTAAATGTTTTACAACTAGCTAATTGCTACCTGTTCCTATGAAGGCCATTATGGAATGATGTTATTTGCACTCCATTCTTATCCTCGTACTATCCCAAAGCACATGTGTAGGACTTTACTTAGAGTTATCATATTGTCAGAGCAATATTATCATTTTAGGGGGATAGTGTTGTGTTGAAGAAAGTACCCCCAAAATGAAATAAATAGATTGGGTGAGTTTCTTGCCTTTAAAACTTACTATCAGGTGTTTCGGGGCCAATCTCTAAATATCCCTGAGCCTTAGTGTGCTTCTCAACAAAGTAATAGTAAAATATTTTGCTCTACTCAGGTCTCAGGACTGTTATGATAATTAAAAATGACAATAAAAAGTATTCTGTAAACTGTAGGACAACAGAAAAATGGCCATAATTATATTTTTAAAATGTATGCTTCTGGTGGTCTTGTAAACACAATTTTATTAACTACAAATGTACCATTTGAAATGGAC
Source organism: Homo sapiens (assembly GCF_000001405.40). Classification (NCBI taxonomy): domain Eukaryota; kingdom Metazoa; phylum Chordata; class Mammalia; order Primates; family Hominidae; genus Homo; species Homo sapiens. Next base: position 174,053,433 of record NC_000003.12, read on the forward strand.
TATCTATACAGTTTTGACATCATATTTAATTGATTCTGTTTTTTCAGTGGGTTTACCCAAGCTTCAGTTAGTTTGAAACTGTTACAAATAAACATTTGTATACTTTTAAAATTATTGTTTTGATGTGCTGGTATTTGGGAAAAGAGCAGTAAGTAATGGGTAAAACTTAATGATCACTGTCCTCTAGGTGCTAGCATTGAACAGTTGTGTCCCTTTTTGGCTTCAACTCTTCCTTTCCCTGCTTTCTTTCTTACTCGAGCCATCTTGTGTCTACTCTCTTTTCCTATTCCCTAATCCTTGCCCTTTTCCTTCTTTTACTGTTCAATTCATCCATTTCATTTGCTACCTTTTCCTTGGGTGTCTAGTTATTAGGAAAAAACATTCACAGCATTACATTACACATGATTACTTTAGAAATTTGATTTTCTTTGCTTATATTGAATATATTCCCTATATTGAAAACTCTGAAATTTTCAATATAAGGATTTCTGAAATTTTCAATATAAGGAATTTATTTATGCCAAGCTTCTTGAATATCTTTTCTATTATCAAATACAAATCTGAGCAAGTTCCTAAAACTTAAGTAGTCTTGGAAAAAAAATCACTGGAACTTTTAAGGACATAACAACAGTTTGCCAGACTTCTATTAAAAAAGTAGATTTGCTCAAAATATAGCTTCTTTGTGAACTATAGGTATGGCTTCAAATGTTTTCACTGACTGCATAATGAGCAACTAGAGAGCAAGGATTTGGTCTAATTTATGGCTGTATACCTAGTATCTAGCTTGGAGCTCTGAGTAACTAAAACAAAATGGTAAATGGACTTGGTGTAGTCCCAATTGCTACATGGAGACTCTTGCTATGCAGCAAATTACACACACATGCAAGTAATTTTATTCAAGAATTATTTGACAGTAAAGACCTAGGCAGTTGTGAGAAATAGTGGTATCTAAAATAAAATCAATCATTAACAAAGAGTTTACAATTTTGAAAGAATAATTCAATGAGTTCTATAAGAAGAAATTATTATGTTGGCTTACATAACCCTTCATTATCTGATCCTCTCTTTATTCTCTATTTTAGTTTCTTTCCATCCCTCCTCCCTAAGCTTTAGGGGTTCTGAACTGGTGCTTTTCAAATTGTGTGGAAGAATGATTTGCTTTTGTTTGTTTGAATATTTCATTTCTAATCCACTGTGGACGTGTGCATGGATCCTGCTGCATGCATATGACTAGTACACTGCTCATTTCACATGACAATACAAGAACTGGTCCAGACTATATTCAAGGCCATGATGATGAGTTCACTGATACTCTAATGTTGTAACAGTGTCCACTTTCCATAAAAGTTTCTAAGCACTTATTCGCAATGTCCGATCTTATTTCTGTGCATAGTCTGACAGTGAATTAGTGAATTAGTGGATCACTCTCCACCAATTAGCACACTCTTAAATTACTTGCAGTTTGCAAGCCAGTTGATGCCCCCTGCCATTTTGCTTTTGGTTTCTCCTTCCTGTAATGACCCTTTCTTCTGCTCCCGACTAATCTTCTACTAGTCTGTTGAGACTTAGCACTAGAGTCACCTCCTCCAGAAAGCCTTCCAAGACTGATACAAAACTCTATTACTATGCTTATCCTCCACATATATCACAGCACCTATTGCCTGGATCTGAACATGTGTGCTCAATTTTCTGAATATCAACTCCTTAAAGGAGCTTGCTTTTTTTTTTTTTTTTTTTCTGTCCAGTGCCTAAAATGACCTGTGGTCATCATTTACATTTAATATCTAATTATTGAATAAATTAATCATCAAATGAAGCAAAAGACATGTAAATGACTCTGGACCCACAAAATAGGGAGATACTGATTCTGGTTGAGGGAACTGGGAAAGTTGTCGCTGAAAAAAAATTTTGAACCAACGTTGGAAAGAAGAGAAAGTTGGCAGGCATAGGAAGGAACAACATATTTTAGGCTGCAGAAAAGGCAAAGAGGCCAAAAGGGCACCGAATTGTGATCTGATCAAGCAATGATGACTTGTCTTATGTGACTAGAATGTTGAGTCTCTGGCAGATAAGGCTGAAGAAAAATCTGGAGAGGGAGGCATTTAGATTTAACTTGTGGGATGTGTGAAATCATTAAAGATTTTAGGCACTCTAGGAAAATTCATTCCTGTGTTCAGTCCACAGCTCCTAAGCAACAATTGAATGCCATATACCATGTTTGGCCCTGCTACTGAAGCATAATCCCCATCTTCAAACAGCTAGTGGAGTAGACACACAAGCAACATGAAACCATTCTCAAGACTTTTGGTGAGAAGTAAATGTGTAAAACACTTAAAACAATGCTTGGCATATTACAAGCACTCAATAATTGTCAGCAATAATCATTCTCATACCTGACTTATTATTCTTTAATCTTACAAGTTTACAACATTCTTAATGTCAGGTGTGCCTATCCAATAAAAGTGGACATTGATTTTTTTTTTTTGCTACTTTTACAAGTAGGTTATAGCCCATTGTCTCTGTCCTAGTAGAATCTGAAAATAAATTGTGTTATCGAATAAGAGAGCAGATTATATGCTAAGTATTGTGCTCTGGGCTTTACATGTGTTACCTCTATTATTTAATTCTCATAGCTCCATGAGCCAATACTATTATTACTTCCCTTTAAAGATGTATAACCTAAAGCTTAGAGGGGTTAAGTAACTTGTCCAAGGGAATCTGAGCACAGGTCTATCCCCAGAAAGCAAATTCTTAACTATAACATTCTACAGCTATTTATTCAGAAATACATTTTTTATATTTTGCCGTGATGTAATGAGTATGTTGGTAATTCCTCGTGTCTGCATTTGTTTCTTACTTTATTGTTCCTCTTCTTTCAGATTATCAAAGTGTGATGTAGGCTGATTTTTTTTAAAAAAGCTTCTTTTTAAATAATATTTTTTCTACTGAAATAAGTAATTTCTTTTTCTTTTCATTGAATTGTATGTCATATAAAATGATTATTCTCATGTCATTGTAACAAACAGACCTATTTGTTACTTTTTTCGCCTAACTCAGGGACATAATTTCCTTAAAAAACGAGTAAGCTTTGAATCTCTCACTGGAGCAGGTTTTACTTTCAGTGCAAACGAGAATCCAAAGTTTGTATCATGGAAGTTCTCTAATACCAGGATACATAATGGGATTTTTATAGTCACTCCTCAAAGATAAAGGCCATTTATTTTTTTATTTTCCCATAATGAACCATTTAATAAAACACTAAGTGTCTGTATGCCATTTACAAATACGTTCAAGCACTATATTTCAGACTTAAGGAAGCCATTCTCCTTTCAGGCAGTTTTAATAAATTGAGAAGCCTTGTCACTTATTACGGTAAACATGAACTCAATCAAATTATTAATAAAAGCTTTCTAATTCATCTTTGGATGTTTTCATTCCCCTAGGAAATACAGTTTTATAATCTAACTTTTAAGCCATATATATATATTTTTTTTCATTTTTCTACATTATGATTAATCACTTGCTGATTGACATTTTCAGTTGGGTCTTATTTTCTTCCTGCCTAATTACATCCAGTCATTTTGTTATCCTTCTGTAATTTCATGACAACTCTACTGAAAGTATTGTGACTGTAGATTGATGTTCCACAGCTTCTTATAGTCTTGTAATTTAGGGCCTATTAATGGCAGACTGAGGGGAAAAAAAAAGAACTTAATTGGTTTTAAATTGCCCTTAAATTGTAATTAGAGGAGAAGAGAAGTAAGTCATAACTTAAGTATTTTTTGTCACAACAAAATTTAGAGGCATCCATGTGACACGGTACTGTTTTTGATGGGGACGGGGAAAACTTCTTGATAACTAGATGTGTGAATGCTACTGCAATGCTTACTGGGAAAATAAACCAGCACCTTATGGAGATGTGTATGAGCCTGAATGTGGCACAAGGGCCTGCAGGGAAGGAATCCCATAGTAGCAGTATGACCTTAGGTCTGGGGGTGACTAGACAGAAAGGTGAAAGCATAATTTAATATAAAAACAAAATCTTCCAGCAAGACATGGGGCATAGAAATGAGTTGCTTCCTAACAGAATTTGAGAAACAGCCCTACATAAGATAAGTCTTCTAATCTTCCATGTGTATTTTTGTTGCCACCATGAGTCGACTTTGGCTGAAAGTACATTGATCCTGCCATGGTTTTGGTGTGGCCGTGGATGGAAGGGCGATCTGGCTGCCACATCTGTCACCCATTGATTTTCCAGTTGATTTTGCCATGACTTGGTAGGTGGGGTCTCCTTTCTTTCTCCATCTGCATCTCTCCCAAACCTCAATCAAAAAGAATGCCCTTATAAGGAGCAGAAATCATCTTTAGTCATGTTGTTGAATTCTATGTGTATAATTTCAAAACTAGCTCTGCTTGTAGAGAGTAGATAATTTTATATAATTTGCTAAGTTACTCTACCTCTTTTACAGTGGAGGGAAAATAGTCTTAGATGTTGAAGAGAAACACTTGTGGAGTCAAATACAGAAGGAAGAATATAAGATTTAAGATTGGCATAGGTTATGATTTTGAGGGAAGAGACAGTTGTAGCTAAGATGATTTATTTGCATTATCAGTGAAGTGACTGTTGAAATGCAGTAACAATTCAGATGGCAAGTGGTAACAAGGCAGGTAAGAGTATATTCACCAGTATTTTTTGTGCTTCTTTTGTCAAGTGAGTGATTTCAAAGCCTTTCATATCATTATTCATGGATATGCAGTTTGTGCATCGGGAATTAGCCAGAGAGGCAGTTTTTATTTTCACAGTTGACTTTCAGAATTATGAAAACCTAACTTCTTTAACTCCATTTGCTTGTACATTGTTTTGACACATTCTGTAATGAAATTTTATGACAAGGTAAAGCATTTATACTGGAGAGTACCTGATTCAGTTAAATTAGATAAAAGCATCTGAATTGGACACACTTCCCATCCCCTTGCAGATGAATCTCACTTTTACAGATTGTAGAAAAGAGCAAGAGGGGTGCCATGTTACAACACAGAGAGATTTTCATCTTGCTTCTTTCTTACCCTTTCCTAGTGCCTGTCAAATTGCCTGAAACACAGTAGGTAGATACTCGTATACATTTGTTGAAAAGTTCATAAGTAAGTAGATGAATATTAATTACAAACTATGTAAAGAATTTGTATCATAAATCAATTTTTCATATACATTTTGAAAATTAATAAAACTATTAATAAGTCTCTTATTATTTTACCTGACCTACCTCTGCCTGAACCTGTATGGGTAGTTTAGTGGTAGACATGTACCTTGTATAGTTATAGTGAAAAAAAAATTCCTTATAGTAATCCATGTCATTTATCTGAGATTTTTTTAAGAGGCATATTTGTATGTAAAAATACATAAAGCATTAAATTTTTCAGTACTTCCTTGTCTATAGATAATTTCTGTTGCCAAAGGTTCAGCATTTCCTTGGGCGGGATCTTGAGAACTCAAAGCAAATGCCAGTTCTTTTACACTCAACCCTGCAGGCTTGAGGATGAAATATGAATAATCTGATCTACAAATACATTCACAAATGTGTATAACAGCTGTATGTAGACAGAATATGAACAGTTTCCCGTTGCTGTTTAATACTTTTCTGAGCTTTCTTCAAGTGTTTGGTGCTAACTGGGCACCTCAATTATTCTCCATCTGTGCTCACTACCAAAGCTGCCAGCCATCATACTGCTTGGGCCCCGGAGCCTATGGCAGAGAGCCTGACGGGGTAAATGGTGCAATCTAGTACTTCTTCCTGGGCTAGCCTAGCTAGTTAATCTAGTGAACAGATTACTTTGTCTTCAGCATTGACTTAGACTACGAAATAAAGCTATGGGTTGTCACAGCCTCAAAGGCAACTTTGAATGGAGAGGATATTATATTAGAATTCCGTTCAACAGTGTTTTTCATTGCAAATGGGATGAAATGGTTTAAAAGTGAAACTGCTATAAATGAAAGGTTTTGGGTGGGGCAACAAAGGAGTTAAGTAATCAAATTAGAGGATGAGATATAAAATCCATCAGCCTCAATTTCCAATTTCACTCCCTATCAAATAGTATGCTAAGCTAAACCAGAGAGCCTTTTGTTCTTTAAGCCTATAGACATTTTTCACTGATATGGAGACTTTTCTTGGTAAAAATGGACATCCATGATTTCTCATAATATTTGAATCAAGTAATATGTCTTATGATGACCACAATTACCATTTATGGAGAATCCATTATGTGGCAAGCTCTGTGCAAGAAGCCCTATGATAGCTAATTCTTGTAATAACTCCACAAGTTAAATGCTATTACAAATTGACAGGAAGGAACCTAGGTTCAGAGCAGTTAAGTAATGCTGAATTTATACGGCTAGCAAGTTTCTGTGCTAGAGATTTGAACCTGGCTGCATTTGGCAGCATAACAGTTATTCTTAATTTATTTCACACTCTGCATCTAAGAGCCCAAGGCTCTCATGGGTTTGGAACCAATTTCTGCAGCTTCTGGATTCTTATCTTCACTTTTTATAAAGCTGCAGATGAATTTGTGAGTGGGAAGAGGGACACTCAAAAACGTCACTTAACTTTTCTAAGGGCATTGAGGACAATCATCATGGCACCACCAATGTGATCCTAAATTCAGAGACTTTTTACAAAAAATTTGTATTTCTACATGGTACTTATTTTATGGTTATATTTCACCATGGTATAAAATATTAAAGAATATATATTTTTTAAAATTGGGGGTTCAGCTGATGAAATGGTGGAGAAAGCAGTGAATTGGAATGTTTTCTCTTTTCCCACTAAGCCTGAACAGACTGCTCCATCTCATATGTTAACAGATCACACAGCCTCAGCCATGGATAACTTGGACTTTTCAAGTTGATGTGAAGAATAGGGAAAGAGGAAGAAGAAGGACAGGAAAAGAGAAAATGGGAAGCAACTCAGGATCTGATTTAAAACTGTGAAAAGAAGAACCAGAACATATGCCCCCCTTTACCCTCCTTGAACAGTAGGACTTAAAGCAAGTGGAACAAAACTTTTCCCTTTCTTTGTCTCTCCCTAAGCAAATATTCATTTTCTTGAAGGAGATTGCTGATCAGAATCAAGCTCTCCCTACCTCTCTCTTGCCACATCCCATCTTGCCCTACAATTCAACTTGCTTACTCCTACACCTTCAAGATTCCCCCACTTTCAGTCAATCAATCATGTGAAGAGCCATGCTGTAATTTTGTGCTTTTCACATCCTCAACTTATGTTACAATGAGATTTCGAGGTGCTTTTTGCTGGCTCAAGCTGATAAGAGAAAATATGTAAGAGTGTTGGCTTCTTGAGCTAACATCAGTGTTGTGAGTTATATAATGAAACCTGTCTGGATCGGAATCCTAAAGCTATTATCTTTCTAGAACTGAGATAGGACACTTAAGGAGCCATTTAGAATCTCTTAGCCACTTATAGGTTGGGAAATCAGGTTCTTTTCCTCTTAAAAAAGGTTTGTTGAGGGTAGCTTACCATATTGTCAGCATTTTGCCTTATCAGACCTTGGGAGATATACTGAATTCTAAGGTATGATTTCTCCATACGGTTATTTTGCCTATTAAATAAGGTCTCAATATCTATTCTGGTGGTGTTTGAAAAGTTTTCACTTGGGATCTTCTGTGACCTTGGTGTTGTGTGCCATTTGTGCATCATTAAAAGGTCGTAATGAAGTTCTGCTGCACACAGATTGTAAAAGGTCAAGCAGAAAGTTGGGAGCCAATGAGGTTGGGAAGAAAAATTGTGCTTGCTGCAGAAGTTGAGGGATTCATTATATTGATGCTATGGGGTTTTCAGCAGAGTAATAACTGGGTTAGCAATAGAAAGTAAATCTTCTCAGCCACTTAGTCTGAATCTGCTTCTTCTTGATTTGTGGGGATATATTTTTAACAGAGTACAAGGAAAGTCATTACACTCAGAGGAAAGCCAGTAGAATTGGTAAATGCACTGTAGATAGACCAGCCAAAAGAAGAGCAGAGCTAGAGGGATAAAGCATGTCAGCTTCCTGGTTCCCACTCTGAGAGGTATTGTCAACCCATATAAAATAATTGGCTGAGAAGAACTTTGCATAAGTAATTATTTTAATTCTTTAAAGGATCTAAAGGACTGTTTTTTAACTTTAATGTCCTGGAGGTACAAGAATAGCTAATTAACTTGCTTAAAATAGCTATCAACAGAATTAATTAAAATGATTTAACATAAAAATAACATCAAAATAGCAGCAACTTCAAGTCAATTTATTTAGAAAGGATCAGCAAGGTAAGCTAATAAGGGCTTGGCTACTCTATAAAGTGCAGAAGCTCCAGTTACTGGATCTCCATTGAATATTCCCTGGTTGCAGTTTCTTAAAATGGGACTCTAGAAATTATGTGTAAAAGTGCAGCAGTTGATTGCATGTCTCACAAGCTTACATATGGAGTGAGATAATTTCTTCTTTAAACAAGCCCCAAACCATCTGTTGACTTAAGTCAACCCTCTGAATTTTACTTTGAAATAAATCGGAAGCCTAGTTATTCCACAAGACTAGTTTAATGTGTTTTCTAAATTCATACATGTGAATGCTTGGGGGGGAAGAAACTGTAAGAAAGCTTTTTCTGTAGAAGGATAAAAGTCATTAAGATATGGCTTATAAAATTAAGACTATTATTAGGAATTTCAACTTAATTCAAATCCACTGATCTTAACTGAGTGTTTAAAAGGTTTTAAAAAAGAAAAAGTGACTTTTAAGAAAGCTTTTGAAGCTTGGGAGTGAGGGACAATGGGCGGTTACTGACAATTTATTTAATTATTATGTTGTATTATCAAGTATTTTGGTATTAAGGCACATAATCTAAGGTAGAAGGACTACGTATAGTTCTCTTTTCCATAGGTGGCACCCTGTTTTATATAGAAACTGATTTTTTTCTTCATCAATACCACATGTTGGCTAAATGGCCAATGTATCAAGTGGAGTTAATCTTTTATTGCTGTTCACATATAATAATCTCAACATCTTTTAAATTTTTGCTTTTAAAAAATTCTGATTAAATGCCAACTAAGAAGACAGTAAATTCAATGGCTTGAACGTATTCTCTAAAAAAAAACACTAATTATATGAACCAGAATGTTACATGACAGCCCTTTAGAATCAGAATAGTGTATGTCATATATATCATTCACTCATATAGCCTTGTTATTCAGAAGATGAAACTATTGTTTCTATCTAATTTTTTTCTCTAAAATGAAAATGTTGTTGAAATTGCTATCTTTGTGATGAAAGAAACAATATTTATTAATACATTTTTCTTTTATCTCTTTAGAAACTATTTTTTCTATTAAAATGTACATACTCAGAATACTATCATTATTAATTTAACAGTGATTTAAATATAATAGTTATGTGGAAAAATATTACATTTATTATTTTCTTCCCTCAGTATAACACTGTATTAGATACTGATCATAACAACCAGAACCTTTGTCATGGCAATCTTATTCATTCATTTACTCATCCATCAAACAGTTCCTTAGAAATTGTTCCATACCAGGCTTTGGAAAGTTTCCTCTGAAAGAAAACTCTATTATCTAGCAAAGAACCAGAGATGTAGAAAAACGATTGCAATCTAACATGATAATGTTGGATGTAAAATATCATTGCATACATAGAAACAATAATATGGAATACAGCTGATCTCTCATGAGAATTAATGGAGTATGGACAACAATGGAATGACATCTGAAAAATGTTGAAAGACTGTGAAAACTGAACTCAGAATTTTATTTCCAAGGAAAATAACTCTCAAAATTAAGGCTTAAATAAATACATTTTTAGATAAATAACAACTGGCAAAGTTCATCACTGCAGACCTGTTTTACAAGAAAAGCTAAAAGAAGTTCTTGATGCTATGGGAAATGACATCCGTAGAAACTCTGATCTGCAGAGAGGAATGAAGAGCACTGGAAATTATCAATTTTGAGATAAATAGAAGAGATAAACTTCTTTTATTTTCTTATTTTTTTAGGTACACTAATGTCTGTTTAAAATAATAACAAAATATTGTGAGTTTTCCCATATATAGATGTAAAATATGACAACATTTGCACAAAGGATGAGAAAAAATAAAATTATGTCATGAGGTTCTTATATTTTATATACAGTACTAAAATTTGTTATCAACTAGCTTAGCAAAAATGGTAATGTGTGTATTTATGTGTGAGAGAGAGGGAAACAGAGAGACAGAGACAGAAAGAGACAGATTAAGAGAGAAAAAGGATGTTGTAAAATTTTAACAGTTGGTAAATTTAGGACAAACATTTGTAGGCATGTATTGCATTAGTCTTTTAACCTTAGTATGGTTTTGAAATTTTTAATAGTAAAAGGGTTAGAAGTAAAAGGAAAAGCAGATCCTAAAGGATTAAATAAATAAATAAATAAAAACAAGGGGGCTGGGTGTATCACCTGAGGTCAGGAGTTGAAGACCAGCCTGGCCAACATGGTAAAACCCCATCTCTACTAAAAATACAAAAATTAGCCAGGCATGGTGACAGGAGCCTGTAATCCCAGCTACTCGGGAGGCTGAGGCAGTAGAGCCGTTTGAACCCGGGAGGCAGAGGTTGCACTGAGCCAAGATTGTGCCATTGCTCTCCAGCCTGGGCAACAAGAGTGAAACTCTGTCTCAAACAACAACAACAACAAAAAACAATAGCAACAATAAAAAAAAGAAAAAAACAAGGGAAGATACCAGGAAAAGCATATAGAAAGCTTCATGAAGACAACACTTTTTTCCCAACACCTAATATAGTGATGGAATTTAGTGTAAAATATTTTTTGGTGAATTATTAATTATTAATGAACAGGAACTTGACAGGTGAAAGAGTAGAAAAAGGAAAAGGAAAATAATTCGGAATATTAGCCTATCATCATAACTACATTAACATATAGTATAGTGATCAAGAGCAGGAATTCTGGAGCTAGATTAATAGTTTGGGTTTGAATCTTGACTCCACTACTTACTAGCTGTGTAATCTTGGACATATAACTTAACCTCTCTATGCCTTAGTTTCAAATGAATTTAATTACAATGCTTATTAATTACATTAATATTAATTATAATATTAATGTATGATACATATATTAATAAGGATATATGAGAATATGTATATGTATAATAGGATATATGTGTGAATATATATATGTATGTATAAATTTAGGGAAAGCAGTTACAGATATTCATTACATTAGTCTTTCAACTTCTCAATAGTTTTGAAATTTTTAATAATAAAAAGGTTAGAAGTAAAAGAAATAGTTCCTGAAGCACTAATTATTAGACAAATATTCAGAGTAAAAAAAGAAATAAGAATGTAAGGTTATATATATGGATATACATTATATTAATACACATAGTAAGTACTATATATTAAGTACTATATATTAAGACACATAGTAAGTACTATATAAATGTTAGCTTCTATTATATTGTCTTATAAAACATTAAAAAATATCTTAAAGAAAACTGCATATTCAATTCAATGAGGTGTCAAGTATTTTATAAATAAGTACAGTATATAATCCTTAAATTAAAAAGAAATAAAATTGTATTTTTTGAAATAAGTAGAAGAGATACACTTTTTATTTTCTTATTTTTTGAAAGACTACTATCTGTTTTAAAATAATAATATGTTATGGGTTTTTCCATATGTAGATGTAAAATATGACAGCATTTGCACAAATAATGAGAAAATAAATGAAATTAAGTTGTGAGGTTCTTATATAAGTGCTAAAATGTATTATCAAAGAGCTTAACAAAAATGATAATGTGTGTGTTTCTGTGAGAGAGGGAAACAGAGAGACAGAGAGAAAGAGACAGATTAAGGGAGAAAGAGGATGTATGTATAATTTATATGTATAAATTTATCATTCACTCTTTGTCAATTATTTGATCATATCTTTTGAAATATATTAAGTAAATATTCTCAAAACACATAACCAAACCTTGACTTCTGAAAGAGAATTTTTCTTGGTGTGGAAGAATAATTCAAGCGTGATTTAAACATTTTAAGACATTGATTTGAATTCCTCAGTGTAGTGTCATAGCCTGCTTCGAAAATACGTCTCATTGATTCCTGCCTCCTGATATTCTTGTTCTTGTGTGTGTAGATACTTCTTCTGGTATACAAAGTTCCTACTTACTTGCTTCTAGTGAATAGAATATGTTAAAAGTGATGAAATGTTACTTCTAAGATTACATTATTAAAAAAAAAAACAACATGACATTTCTGTTTCCCTTGTACTCTCTCCCTCTCTGGCTCTTCTCACCTGCTGTGAGGAAGACAGCCACCATGTTGTAACCTTCCCTATGGAGAGGCCTATAAAGCAGAAAACTAAAGGCAGTCTCTGACCAATAGCCGGCAAGAAACGAGACCCTCAGCTCCACAGCATGCAAGGAACTGAATCTTGCCAACAATCACATGAGTGAGCCAGAAGATCCAGCTAAGCAGCACCAAAATTTGTTATCCATAGAAACTATGATGTAATAAATATAATTGAAGTTTTGGGTTAATTTGTTACACAGCATTACTAATGCACTTGGATTTGTAAGACTGCTTTTTAAAGCAAATTTAAATAGCTAGATAACTTAATGACATTTCTGAGATCTTAAAAAAGGGTCATTACAACAGACTTGATGCCAACTTTCCCACAATACAAATAATTTGCAGGCTAATTATTTATGATCTCACTAATACAAATTTTCAGAGGAAGTTTATTTTCCTTATTTTCTTCTGTTTCCCTCATTTAGAAGAGATAATCTAATAACTAAAGTAACTTGAAAATTATGGACAGGTTTTTTTTTTAAGATTCTAAAATTATCTGCCTCAAAGGAAAAACTGAAATCATATCAAGATAAGGTATTTATTTCAAATATTTTTAAGTAAACTGTCAACCTGTTCCAAGGTTAAGTGTGGTTTTACAAAAGTTGATTCTCTTTCCTTTCACTTTTGACCCAAATATCAGTTTCATCTAACCACAGTTTTTAAATAGATTATGGAACAAGTCTCTCTCTCTCTCTCTCTCTCTCTCTCTCTCTCTCTCTCTCTCTCTCTGTGTGTGTGTGTGTGTGTGTGTGTGTATCTCATAATTTTGGTTGGTTTTAGGTTATAGATAGTTCCACTGTAGTGAAGTAAACCAGTGTGTTATCAACAAATATGTATTACATGATCTAAAGGTAAAATTATGTCTTGTTAACACTCTTTTTAAAATGCTAAACTTAAATGGGTCCTTGCTATGGGCAAGGTGTGATTTGGCAGGACCTTAAATCTAAATGACTTGTTAATGTTGGAAATTATGACCAATACACAAAGGGTTGGAACCTACAGTCTGTTCAAATGACTGTTCTGGTGTTTGATATAAAAGGAATGTAATAGTAAGTTCTTCAAATATTCTCAATGAAACTAAAGTGTTTTTCTCAGACTGTGATGCTCTTGGTGATAAAAAATAACATCAACACAAGAAAACTTACTTGACATACTTAATTTCAAATGCTTTTGCTTCTCTGTATTTCTGAATTTGTTGTTTAATAAACCTCATAAATATTTCACTGTTTCACTGAGAGAAGTTACCTTAAATAACTCCTTCAGATAAAGAAAAAAATTAAAAACAAAGTCACAAAGGAATATAGTTATATGATACTATGTTGAAAATTGTCAGGTTTGGCAAATCCTGATCATTTTTCTTCCGTTGCTGAGAGACTGAAATAAATTTGATTAATCTACCTCTCTACCTCCAAAGCTCCATTAAATTAATCAGAATACAAATGGGAATTTAGTAAAACTAGAATATATTTGAGGGGGTATATTTTTGCTGATTATAAAAGCAGTCTGAACTGTAATAACTTTTATTTCTACCAACTATTTAGAAATAGTTGATCAATAATTGCAAATTCAATACCCAGAATTGATTTCCTTCCTTGTTAAATTAGAGAAGGTATTTACAGTGGCATTTGTTTACAAAATGCAGCTTAAACATCTGCTTCCAAAGTCGGTGTTTTCTTTCTTCTACCGTTACTGAGTCAGATGAAGTCTTAACTGCTGTCAACGTAGGCAGATCTGAGTACATTTCTATGAAAATACTTGTCCTCAGGTCTCCTCTACTCTGATGGGCACAGGATGTTCCACTGGAGGAATTTCATCGGACAAAGTTTTCACAAATCTGTGCAGATCAGTTCTATTTAGTACTTTAAGTCCCCTGTTATACCCTGTACCAGGGCCCCCTGATGACTAAACTTAGATATCCTTTAAAAATGGAATGATCAGATTCAACTATTTGAAGAAAATACTTTGGGGCACCTGGGGAAAATTCAAAAGGACGTAAATATTAAAGAAAGTAAAATGTGGAATGTTCAAGTACAGAGAATTGTCTTGAGAATCAGGACACAGAAGTTTTCTAGTATCTGTTCTACGAATAGCATACCCTAGTTCTTTAAAGTAATATAGGATCTCCTCTCAACAGGCTGGCCTGAGGCAAACTGGGAAGTAGGTGAGGCTGGAGTGTTTGTTTCCCACTTGTATCATTCCTTCTAGCAATAAATATGCATTAGCATTTTAAGTGGGTGTCCTTGCTTTGACTACTGGAAATTGGCATTTTAGGCACTGTGAAGATAGCTAAGAGAAAGTGTTTCTGAGTAGCAGTAGCCTTTTAGAGCTCCAAGATCAGCATACAGCTGGCAGCCCGCTCTGCCTAGGTACTCTGGGGCTCTAATATCTTGAGGACACATTAGGTAGCACAGCAAAAATGTTGTATAGAATACATAGGTATCCATAGGAAAGCTTCAGGTCTGTCCCACTCCCTTCCAGCCTGCAACCGTGAGCCCAGTATGCTAGATATTCTGACCTCTATGCATCTCCTTTCTAAATCAATAGTAGAGCCCCAGAATGCTTAGGCAGAGGGGGCAGCCAGCCATAGGCTGAAGTTGCAGCTTTCAAAGGCTACTGCTACTCAGAAACACTTTCTCTTAGCTATCTTCACAGCGCCTAAAATGCCAATTTCCAGTAGTTAAGGCAAGGACACCCACTTTCTAAACCGCGCATGTACTTGACCTGAACCTAAGTCTATCTTATACTCAGAATTAGCTAAATATTATTTGCTTAACAGAAATATTTGCCTTAGACTGACTATTTGCAGGCTTTCAAAATTTGTTTTAAATATGGATTTAGAGAATGTTGATGACCTCAAAAAGAAGTTATATTTGATATAAAAATGATTAGAGTCACCATTTCGCTTTAATCAATCTCAATAATCTTCTGCTTCATTTTTTAAACTTTTAATGAGATTTATCTAAGATAATAGGTGAGGTCAAATAGATTTTTTATTTTTAATATAAAAATGTGAACAGAAAGCAATTTATTGAATAGCAAGCGTATTCTACATTAATGTGTGTGCCGATGCTGTGGGGTAATTCTAGAGATTTATTTAACACCTGTAACATGCCACGTGAGAGAAATGAGTTGGTGGGAGAAAAGAGTTATTGTTAAACATAGTAGTATTTAATTCTGTGCCAATCTGTGTGGTGGACTTAAGGAGGATAACAGAGTTTCAAAGGCAGGGGTCATATTAGAAGACAGGAATGTTGCACAGTCTTTGGAGAGATATAAAGAATGGGGTTTAATGTTTCTTGAAGATCCAGGAGGAGCCCCATGGTTTAGAAGCCAGAATAGACATGACTTTTCATAAATCGTAGATTAAGTAATACTTTATCTATAGTAGAACCTCATGGGGAAGTGAGGTAAAGTGCATAAGAGGAATTTAACTGCCTTGGATATGAGGCTAAATAATAAAAAGTTTTTCCTGTAGTTTGTGAATCTGGGTGTGGTATTACCAAAGTAGTGTTTTGGAACTATAACTCTGATAGCTGTGCCCAGGCCTCATGAGACATGAGAGAGGAGGCCAGATGAAGGAGACCAATTAGAAGGATATTGCAGTGACGGGAAAGATGATCATAGTGGGAATGATAAGGAAAGGAATGTCCTAGGGACAATTTTCAAAAGTAATTAATGAGACTTCCTATTTATATAAACCTATGTTATCAAAACATATATTTTTCAAAGCAAATGAACACTTTGAGGCTGGATGAAGGAAAAACAGCACACTTGGTTGTAGACAGCTGGGCAGGGAAGTGTGAAACTGCCCACAGAGGGTACAGTATAAGGGGTTCATTGATTGTTCAGCTGTTTGGGCAACTTCTGCCCTGAATGTAAAAAGAAGATGAGGAAATCATCTCAGGGTGTCAGATAAGTACCAGGAAAATAATTCAGTCTTCAATTTTGATATTATTTCTGGAAAATCAGTAAAGTGGGTATTAGCATAGGCTCGGAGTCAGAAAGACCAGGTTTTGAGTTCTATTTAGCTGTAAACCTGACTACTTGTGTGAACTGGGTTGAGTGACTTAAGCATCACTAAATCTCAGTAACCACATCTGTAAAATAGAAACAGTAAATGACCTTTATAGTTTGATTGTAAGGATTAAATGAGATAGCTAATGTACAATACTGAGGAGAGAGTTTGACATGTAGTAATTAGCCAGTACATAAATATTAGCTGTCGCTGTTCTTATGGTGACGATGTTATAAAATGGCCAAAAGAACATAGGATGATGGCTTTGGAAGGAGTTAGAAGCAACATTGCAAGTCTGATATTTTTCTGCAGCTCTGGAGAAAACTAAGGCTATGAAAGGCTAAATTTAAGTGAAACCAGACAGAAGATTCCTACCTCACATTTTTCTATTAAAATGAGAATAAAAGCCTGAAACTATGCCTTCTACTTGGTTATTATTTGCAAGATAGTTCATAACATATACCTCACTATCTCTGACTTTTTGTGTTTTTTTTTTTTGAAATGGAGTCTCGCTCTGTCACCCAGCCTGTAGTGCAGTAGTGCAATCTCAGCTCACTGCAACCTCTGCTTCCTGGGTTCAAGTGATTCTCCTGCCTCAGCCTCTTGAGTAGCTGGGATTACAGGTGCCAGCCACCGCGCCTGACTAATTTTTGTATTTTTAGTAGTGATGGGGTTTCACCATATTGGCCAGGCTGGTCTTGAACTCCTGACCTTGTGATCTGCCCACCTCAGCAATCCAAAGTGTTGGGATTACAGGTGTGAGCCACCGCGCCCGGCCTTATCTCTGACATTTTTAAATGAAAAGTTAACATATTAAATATTAGAACATTATAAAACTATTTTTATGAGAATGTCAGGGTTGGCTAAATATATAAACTGATAAATTACTATGAAGTTGGTATACTCATTGATAGTAATGGGCACTGGGTGCAGTGGCTCACGCCTATAATTCTAACACTTTGGGAGGCCAAGGTAGGAGGATTGCTTGAATGCAGGACTTCAAGATCAGCCTGGGCAACATGATGAGACCCCCATCTCTATGAAAAATTTGAAAATTAGCCAGGTGTGGTAGATGCACATGTGGTTGTAGCTACTCCAGAGGCTGATGTGGAAGGATCACTTGAGCCCAGGAGGTCAAGGCTGCAATGAGTCATGATCACGCCACTGTACTCCAGCCTGGGCGAGGGAATAAGACCTTGTCTCAAAATAAATAAATAAATAAGTAGTAATGGGCAAGAGTAAGATACAAAATTTTTAAACATTGAAAATTTACGTAGGAAAACTCCGAAATTTTTTGGTGACCACAGGGAAGAAAAACAGGGAAGTGAGGCAGCTTTTAGTTTTTTGACACTTTAGCATTTATTCAGAATTTTATTTTTAAGATGGCAGCATTTAAGCCAGGAAGACAGAGAAATGTTGGTAGAATACTGAAGGACATAGCTAGTTAGGAAAATAGAATCAATTAGGAAAAAGGAAGTGAATGCTTAGTTTTCTTGTATGAAACCAGAGGCAGGAGTAGGCTATCCCATCTAAAAAAGATGTCAGGTGGATCAGGTTTGATGTCTTATGCCTGTAATCCTAGCACTTTGGGAGACCGAGGTGGGTGGATCACTTGAGTCCAGCTGTTCAACACCAGCCTGAGGAACATGGCAAAACCCTGTCTCTACAAAAACAAAACAAAACCAAAACACACATGAAAAAACAATTAGCTGGGCGTGGTGGTATGGGCCAGTAGGCCCAACCACTTGGGAGACTGAGGTGTGAGGATCACTTGAGCCTGGGAGGAGAAGATTGCAGTGAGCCAAGATTGTACCACTGCACTCCAGCCTGGATGACACAGCGAGACCCTTTGCGAGACCCTGTCCCAAAAAAAAAAAAAAAAAAATCAAGTGTGCATTTGTTTGGAAATATGAATCTGACAAGTGAATAAGAAATATTCTCAGTTCATTCCGTTATTTATTATGTACATGTTTTCTGACCGAAACCGTATTCTGTGAGAAACTAAGTATTTCCAAGAATATAGAGACAATGGTTTGCTCTCAAGAAGCTTATGTCCAAGTAAGATCTAGTCGGAAGATCTGGAAACCCTTCTGAAGAAGTTAGCATTGAGAATGTCTTTAAAAAAGATTTCAGAGGGCAGAGATTAGAAGGCGCCTCATGTGGAAAGGACCAGAATGAATTAAAAGGTGGAAAAGATGCATAGTTGATAACAGAGAAGTAAAAGTAATTATGTTACCTGGTTGCAGAAAAGGGAAAATAAAGGGGAGAATCTTTGAAAAGTAAGTCTAAGTCTACTTTCACGTTATTGTATTTATCCTCGCAGTTACTCTGAGTGGTAATTGCATGCTCCTTTCATTCTACAAATGAACCAGAGAATTCATGGGTTTGCCTAAAATCACTTAACAAGAAAGTATGGTACAAGAACTCCCCATCCTAAGGAGAGACTATGTCCTTGGGGAAGGAAGCAGAGGATAAGATTTTGACCTTGGGTGAGTTAAAAGATGGCATTGTAAGATAGGGACTAGAGAAAGCCAACAGAGAACTAACTTTGGCATGAGGATGAACAGTGTGTGCTGTAATGGTTATTTGACAGGTGCCAGTAAGAGAACAAAAATAAGATTGGAAAATATAGACTCAGGAGTTTTATGTGAATAAAACCATGAAAGTGTGGGGCACATCAAGGATACTGAAGGCAAAATAGAGGATTTGGGTATAGTAGTGAGGTCTGAATTAAAATTGAGCAACGGGAATGTGAGGGCAGCCACGTCTGTAAAGCTGTCTAACTGCTTCCCACAAAGCTTGCAGTCCAGAGCAGGAACAGACCAAGCAGACACAGTGAGTGACAGAGAGAAGGGTATTGGTGTTTGCCACTTTAGCATAAGGTAAGATGTCAAAGATTCGTTTTGGAGCCCCCCTAGAAGGAACTGACCATGGAGTTCAAAATGAGTTCATAGCAGAGTAGCAATGAGGAAGTTAAAGAGAATGGCTGAGTGAATCACTACCAGTATTAATATGTCCATACCTATGAAGTAGATTTGAAACATAAATGACTCAACTTGAAGACAGTAAGATATATTGCCACTCCCAATGTAAATAGTATCATATTTTCTGATTAATAAATTAAATGACTGAGTAAAACATGCCCTCTTGAGTGGAATTTTCTGGAGTGAAATTCCATATAAATATCAAATGGCTTCATTACCTAAATAACTCCTTAGGCTATGTTTGTATGATATTGATATAAATATATATAACAACTATCTAATCATATTTTTAAGAGAATAATGAATCAATAAAAATAAAATTTTAGATACAGTGAGTTCAAGAAAATCATAGGTTTTTTTTTCAAGTGAAGAAACAGAATGAAGTCATGCTAGGGATACAGAAGCCATTCTTTTAGAACATTATTCCATTCCATCGCAAAGTTTGTGTACAACTTCTACAAGTTTTAGTTTATATTTAATTAAGATTAGCTAAGAGGTTATGCTGCATGTATTTCAATAACTTTTGAACAATAAAATTTCAGAATTTTGGCGGGGGGGCACTTTAGCATATGTAAATAGTTTCAGTATGAACATTGAGCAGCACATCTTTTGAACATAAGAGCTAATGAGGTTTAACTAAAATCATTTCTTCCACTGGTAGAAAATTCCAAATCTTGGCGTCACTCTTTTGGATGAAGACACTGGTTCTCTGAGTTCTTTTCCTTCTAAAAGTCTATATGTAGCAGTGAAGCCTGAAAGATCATTTTCAATGTTTTGGAAATTCTAATGAAACTCTTAATTTACTTCTTCCCATTTGGTTGAAAGTATCACAGTTCTAAATTCGTGCTAATCAGAAGCTCAGATTAATTGCCGGTGATATCACCAAAACTTCTGGAATATGATGATAGAGCAGACACACTTACCTGAATCATATGTCTGATTATCACAATACCCATATCCATCACTTATTTTCTTACAAATACAAAATGACAGTCAAAATCTTTCAAAACATAAGATCCACAGAGGAATAATAGAGTGGTCCTTTTAGTTAAATAAATGATAAATACTATATTTAAGGTACTAGGAATATCTTGACTTAAATGTAAATGTTTCCTGGAATGAGGTAATAAGCAAATTGTTAGCTTTCATCTAATATAAATGTGGAGAATGGTTTGTCAGATACACTAGCAGAAAGTAGTCTGTTACAGTATGCAGGAAGGGTGTCAGTGCACTGAAAAGCTTGGGAATAGAATTCTTTTGGGAATGTTTGTAACATAAGCTTGTTTGGAATCCAGTGTAGAGGGAGCATCTCAAAATAAAAGGCTTGATTTCAAATGGAGAATTGAGGATGTAAATAACTCTCACGTGTTTCTGTCTAAGACTGACTCTATATAAATACCTAGGAAAATTAAGAGAATCAAACAGACTTTATAAATCACAATTATTGCCCATTTCCTATTGGCAAAGATGATAATGTGCTAATATTTATGGTTAAGCTTCTGTGGTTGGGGTGTTGTTTGTGATTATAATTTCACACTAATTTAAATGATGTTTACTTTAGTAGAAGCATAAATATACAAAAGGAATTATTTAATTCCAAACTGTTCTTTATAGTAATGACCAACTACATGATGACAAGGGTGAGTTTAAATTCTGGGTGATTACTTATTTTCTTGTTGCAAACATATTGAAAATCTGGAATAAAATGCAAGTCATAATATTTACGATCAGACACGGATGTTACTTTGGCAAATTACACAGGGTTTACTTTTCTAAAGGATAGAAAGGGAAGCCAGTACAATCAAATTTGAAGGCAGAGAATTCAGCAACATTATTTTACCACAAACATTGATATAAGTTTCTGAGCTTCCCAGTGCCAACTCACTAGTGGAAACGTAGTTGTGGATGATTCTTAGCGTGTAAGGGGCACATCAGACCTTCTGAAAGTTCAATTACTCTCTTCAGCCTAGCTTTAAAAAGACAAAAGTTAAGCAGTCCGTTACACAGTCTTGCCCAGATACATGCTGGCCACAACTACCACTGAGCCGTGGGCTTCTTAGTCTTAGGGTTCTACCGTGCACAATGTGATTGCTAGTATATAACAGACACACTTAATTTGGAATAAACTTCTAATCCACCACTCTTGGTCTTCCCAAGATTGTCTCACTTAGACCCAATACATTCCTGATTCTAGTGCTGTGGCATCAGAACAAGCCAAACATCTCTTGGAGTGGCTAACAGACCCTTGGATGAGCTATAGATGTTATTTGGCAGGAGATTACAAAATCTACCATAAATCTGCATCCTGAATTCTGGTGGCATTTAAAATATGTTCTTACAATGGTCGAACTTAATTTTTAACTCTACTAAAAATAAATACAAACAATCTCATTATATTTCTAAAGAAATATGTTTCCACATCATAAGAACTGGGGAAACTTAGGATACAATCAATAATTCTTTATTTTAAGAAAGCATACTGTCAAGATAAGTTATTACATGAAGATAATGATTTTAAACCACATAATATTGGTTGATTTGGATCCTTAATCAATAAAAATTAGCAAATCTATTTAAATGATAATCAGAGCTCCTAGATTAGAAATAATTTTGATGAAGCGGTCCTTTAAAGTAAATGCCAGACATGATTGAAAATGTCACAAAAGGAATCGGAATTTCCTCCTGATGCCCAACCTGACAGTACGACTTGCCCAGGAATTACACATTCTTATTGAGAGGAGAGTGGAGCCAGATAGGCACAGACATTTCTGCAAATTTATATGACTCTTTTCAGTTTTTAACAGTAAGACTGGTAAGCATTTCTATATTAAAAAATGTCTTAAGGAAAAATAAAATTTTATTCCAGATACTTATGTTTCATCATTAGAGCTAAAAAGAAAAATGAAAAGGACATAAAAATAATGCATAAGTGGATTATTGATTCTTGAGCATGCCAGTATTTAGATATAAATCTCAGTGGAACTGAAGATAAGCTATTAATATTTAAATTTCATTGCTTTAATTAATTTTATCAGTATCAAATCATGCATGGAAATAGCTAATTTGACACTAAAAGTATACACTTTACATTGCTATATGAAGAATCACTGTGGGTGTAACAACATCTGACTAAGTAATTAAACTAGGCGACATCACTTTATTTTACATATGTCTGCCTACACTATATCATTCAATTAGCTCATAATTGTAAAACCAATTAAATTCTGATTTTTATTAATTATTTGTCAAATATATGTGATATTCTGTGTCCAAAATTTGACCAGTGGTTTTAAAGCAAGATGTTTTGTCATTTTAAAAATAATTTATTTTCAAATAAATTTTGTTTTATTTAGAAGTGATACAGGCAATAACATAATTCTAAGTTTTTGAAATATATTTAACATTTCTTTACATATATGTATATATGAAAAGAAATGCTATGAAATGTCATATGTTTTATATATATTTATTTATTTAACAAAGTCTGTAAGAATTAGACTCAGTTTCCTTTATTGGTTTAGCCGTTTGAAGAGCATAGGGAAATAAGGCCTTACCCTTCTTTGCATCACTCCATTCAAACCTCAGTGCCATTTCCTGAACACTCACATTTGGTCTGAATCTGCTCTGGATTCTGGGGACTCAGGATGCGTCTGAAGAGGCCCAGACAGCGTTCCTCTGTTCTCAACCAAAGGTTTCATCTAAACTGGAAATGTTTTTCTGTATTCTCTTTGCCTAATAAATTCCTATACATCTTTCACAATCCAATTAAATTGTCATATTTTCTATGAAACCTTTCCTGAAGCTGCTAGAGAGTGCTAATAGTTCCTTTCTCCTCTGGGACCATAGAGAGAGAGAGAGAGAGAGAGAGAGAGAGAGAGAGAGAGAGAGAGTGTGTGTGTGTGTGTGTGTGTGTGTGTGTGTGTGTGTTTATCCTCACATGTGTGTATGTACATATGTGTGTTTCTAAAACCATCAACACTTGTCAAGGATTGTATACAGGAAATGGCTAATGAATTCTATCTATGTGGCTGTTACTTTTAAAGGGTTAAAGAGTATCACCACTTGGTTAAAATTGTTTGTGGCCCTTGGAAATCACTAACAATGGTACCTAAATAATTCAAATTTCTCCTATCCAAAGCAGCTCCAAGTATGTTCAGCTTGTGAACAATTAACATACAGAATTCTCTACAGCTATTAATAAATGCTGATTTGTTTAAATAACTGGACATTTAAAACTGATTCTCAATAGAAAATTTGCCTTATGTATCTTACATGCATATTTTCCTACTAAATCAATACACTGATGGACACATCGAGTGACAAATTACAGATAAAAATATATTTCTTTCCAGGAAAAAAAAAAACCTATTCCCACTTTTAAAATGAGATTATGTAGAATACATTGTGGGAGGAAATGAAGCATTATAGTACTTAGAAAGTAATGCTCCCTTAAGATCCAAATGCATCAACCTAGATACCCTGACTAATTTTACAGGAGTTTAATGCACTACTAGAACATTGAAATCTGTGAAACAGCTCCACTAACTTGATTTTTAAGTGAAACTTCTGTTGTTTAAAGGAAGCAGTTTACTTTTAAAGTTGTTAAAATAGAGAAATTAATTGTATAAATAGTAGCAAATGATGATCAGAAAATATTTGGACAACATGAGGAAATATATATATTTAGACTTTTAGCTTCTTTCTTTCTTTCTTTTCTTTTTATTTATTTATTTATTTTTTTTGAGATAGTCTCTCTCTGTCCCAGGCTGGAGTGTAGTGGCATGATCTCGACTCACTGCAGCCTCCGCCTCCCGGGTTCAAGCATTTCTCCTGCCTCAGCCTCCTGAGTAGCTGAGACTACAGGCATGTGCCACCACGCCCAGCCAATTTTTGTATTTTTAGTAGAGACGGGGTTTCACCATGTTGGTCAGGCTGGTCTCGAACTCCTGACCTCATGATCTGCTGGCCTCAGCCTCCCAAAGTGCTAGGATTACAGGCCTGAGCCACTGTACCTGGCCTATCTTCTGTCTTTTTAATAATTTCAGCCAAGGAAGGCACATTTGATCTTTATAGGAAATGAAAACCAGAAAATTTCACAGATGTGCAGTTACTCTCTAATGAGTTAAAATACTGTTTCCTGGGAGGTGGGGGAACAAAATGGAGGAACAAAACCAAACAGTGAAATATGTATCTATATATGCCACATAGTCTTTTGTCTACAGAAGAAAAAAATCTCAATATTGCTAAAACTTAAGTAGAATATTTCAAAAACCATACTATATGATGTCTCTATTATATTTTTAGAAAAAAAACACTAGTGAGGTTTTCAAGGAGAGGAACAGGTAAGATAGATTATTTTGCTAATTAATGTATAGCATGTAATTCTGGAAAAGGATGACTAGTATGTGTGTCAGATTCATCCTTTTGGAGAGATGTTTGAAAACATCCCATTTCATTATGTCAATGTAGTTCCCTGAATCCACACAGCTTGTGCAGTGTGGAAACACAGAAGAACTCAGTAACATTTATTAGAAGTATTAATAGTGATCAACTGTCCATTGGAAGGGTTCTAGGCAGAAATTTAGACTAGATTGTTTCTGAAGTGTCTTGCAACTCTGAAATTATATGTTGTCTTAATTTTGTTTTCCTATTTATGTGTGTATAGGATTAGAATATTTCTTACACAAAAGTATATAGACATTTTAAAAAAAAGAAGTAATGACCTAATGGAAGGGTTTTACTCTTTGGGGTCACAAAGACCAAAATGTAAATCCTAAATCATTATGATGCTACTTCCTACCTATGTAGCATTAGGATTATTTATTTAGTTTTTGAGACGCAGGTTCTTTCTTCATAGGGTGATCTTAAGGTTGGAAATTACTTTCTCTGTTTTACGCCATAGTCTCTGAAAAAGAAAAGGACTGACAACCACAGTGGTTTACTGCTGTTTCAACTTAGAAGAAACATTGGATTTGTTAATTTTAGAGAAACTTTATTTCAGTCATATTTTGCAACTTACTACTCTGGGAATATCTTGCATTTACCCTCTCCTTTCCAAATCAACAAATCTAAAGAATGATTCCTTAATACTAGCTGCATTTCTATAAATGAAGATTATATATCCTTTATTTTTTAGTGACACAAGTACCGTAATACAACGGTGTGTGTGTGTGTGTGTATGTAAATGTGGATATATTTTTCCCTTTAGTCTCAGATTGCAACGTTAGTGCATTTGGCTAAAGACTGTATATACTCTCAAACAGACAACCTGCAGAATGGGAAATTATTTTTGTAAATTATGCATTTGATAAAGGTCTACTATCCAGCATCTACAAGACACTGAAAAAAATTTACAAGAAAAAAAAAACTTTCCCATTAAAAAGTGGGCAAAGGACATGAACAGAAAATTTTCAAAAGGAGATATACATGCGGCCAACACTCATATGAAAAAAAGCTCAGCATTACTGATCTTTAGAGAAATGCCAGTCAAAATCAAAATGAGATACGATCTCACACCAGTCAGAATGGTTAAAGAAATTTAAAAGTCAAAAACAACAGATGCTGGAGAGGTTTCAGAGAAAAAGGAATCCTTATACACTGTTGGTGGAAGTGTAAATTGGTTCAACCATTGTGAAAGACATTGTGGTGATTCCTCAAAGACGTAAAAACAGAAACACCATTTGACCCAGCAATCCCGTTACTGGGTGTATATCCAAAGGAATAAAAATCATTGTATTATAAAGACATGCATATGTTCATTGCGGCAATATTCACAAAAGCAAAGACATGAAATCAGCCTAAATGCCCATCAATGGTAGTCTGGATTTTAAAAAATGTGGGACATGTACACCATGGAACAGTATGTAGCTATAAAAAAGAATGAGATTATGTCCTTTGCAGGAACATGGATAGAGCTGGAGGCCATCATCTTTAGCAAACTAAAACAGGAACAGAAAACCAAATAGTGCATGTTCTCACTTATAAGTGGCAGCTAAATGATGAAAACACATGGACTCATAGAGGGGACCTACACACACTGGGGCCTATTGAAGGGTGGAGGATGGAAGGAGGGAAAGGATCAGGAAAAATAACTAATGGGTACTAGGCTTAATATCTGGGTGGTGGAATAATCTGTACCACAAACCCCCATGACACAAGTTTATCTATGTAACAAACCTGCACACGTACCCCTGAACTTAGAGTTAAATAAAAAATATTAAAAGATAAACAATGGAAAAAAAACTGTACATACTCTCCACATATTACATTTGATTCTTTTGGCCCTTTGCTGTAATAATTTCTGTCCAATCAAACATTTCACCAGTGCCTACATCCAAAATATATACCCAATGCGATGGAAATGCTCAATCATAACATAGAATAAATTAACCCTTTCCTATAGTTCTGTTACCGGCAGCAAATCCGTACGGGTCTGCAACAACCCCAGTTCTTGCCTCCTCAGAAGAAAGAATTTGACCAAGGAGGCATAGGGCAGAAGGAGAGACTGAGACAAATTTTACAGGAGTGAAAGTTTATTAAAACATTTTAGAGCAGGAATGAAAGGAAGTAAAGTACATTTGGAAGAAGGCCTAGCAGGCGACTTAAGAGATCAAGTGCGTCATTTGACCTTTTGACTTGGGGCTTTGTATGTTGGCATACTTTTGGGGTCTTGCATTACTTCTCACCTGATTCTTCCCTTGGGATGGGCTGGCACATGTGCAGTGGGCTGTCTGCAAGTTCAGTGGCCAGTGTGTTTAATGGAGTCGTAGGTATGCTCACTTGAGGCATTCTTCCCTTACCAGTCGTTCCGAGAAGAAGATCTAGGTTAGACTCCACCATTTTGCCTCTTAGTGTGCATGCTTAAACCCACTTGCCCAGCTCCTGAGATCTTATCAGGAGGCTGCTGATCATCAGTTTCAGGTTTTTTTTTTTGGTTGTTTATTTGTTTTGTTTTGCTTTGCTTTTGTTTTTTTCTCTATTGGGAGACTGCCTTTCCCTGGTGCTGGCTGAGACCAATTATTATTTTAGAGAGACAGTTAACAACTGCCTAACCATCATTTGAATTTGATGGTCGCCTGACATTCCTGGTGTGTGTGTGTGTGTGTGTGTGTGTGTGTGTGTGGTGATAGGGGAAGCGCTCTCCTGCCCTGCTCATACCTGACTAGCTACCTACTGTAATAGTTCTGGTAAAAATTAAACGTGAGAAATCTAGTTATTGTGTTGGGTGGGCTGCTGAACTTAAAGATCATGTTCATCAGTGGATAAGTTGCATCCTTCATCCAGTTTACAAGTCACGGAATACACTTACCCATGACTTATAACTTAGACAAGAAAAAGTCTGAATTGCTCCATGTTGGTGTGCATTGGAGGGAGAGAAAGACACATATTATATTTATTTATGACTTGGTGAAATGGGGATACTTAAATTATAGAAGCTTCCTTTCTTAGTCCATTTAGGCTGCTATAACAAAATACTATAAACTGAGTGGCTTATAAACAACAGAAATTTATTTCTGACAGTTCCAGAAGCTGAGAAGTTCAAGATCAAGGCACCCGAAAATATGGTGTCTGCTGAGGCCCACTTCCTGTTACATATAAGGTGTCTTCTCATGGAGTACTAGCATGGCAGAAGAGGGCAAGACAGCTCTATGGGGACTTTGTTACAAGGACACTAATCCCATCAATGAGGGTTCCCCCAACCTGATCTAATGCCCCCCTTACATGTCCCACTTCCTAATACCATCAAATTAGTGATTAGGTTGTTTTTTTTTTTTTTTTTTTGAGACAGAGTTTCGCTCTTGTTGCCCAATGGCATGATCTTGGCTCACCGGGTTCAAGCGATTCTCCTGCCTCAGCCTCCCGAGTAGCTGGGATTACAGACATGTGCCACCACGTCCAGCTAATTTTGTATTTTTAGTAGAGATGGGGTTTCTCCATGTTGATGAGGCTGGTCTCGAACTCCCGATCTCAGGTGATCTGCTCACCTTAGCCTCCCAAAGTGCTGGGATTACAGGCATGAGCCACCATGCCCGGCCTAGGTTTTCAACATATGAATTTGAGGGAAACACAAACATTCAGACATTACCATCCACCTTGAATTATTTAATCGAATTTGGGGACATTCCTACTATCCAGTTTATCCATATGAGAGAGTAGTTGATGATTCCAATGTGAGCCATTTAGGCTGTAAGATTGATACTGAAAAATGTACAATGGCTGCAGTGTAATTATTACTTTCCTAGTGATGTCATTAAAATGAAGATCTAAGAAACTGATTTCATTATTCAAAGTGGGCTTTTGTAACTGCTCCTGTATTTAAAGAGAAAATATCAAACAACTTTAATAGAGCCTTCCATCCGAGGATTCTCTGTTGAGGCAAACCACACATTTATATAAGATATATACATATATTCCCAATACTTTCTTGACATGACTACCCAGCACTCACTTTTGATATGCCCATCCTAATGTTCTTTTATTTAAAATCCTACTTAGATCATTGGGCTAGTGAAAAGTCAATTAAAAAAACAAATAATAATTTAAATAGGGAGGGTAGATATATTACTGGGCTTATTAACACTAGCTTTAGCAATCATTTTTCTATGACTTTTCATTTAAAATGAGACACTTTTAAATGCAAGCAATTGGCAGCATGTTATTCAGCCATTAAAAATAATGGTAAAAAAGACTACATAATAGAGTTTAAGATATAATAGTAAATAGAATATATACAATAGTATATACTGTATATACAATAGTAAAAGAATATATACAATATCTACTAAGATTGGAGCTTTGTTTTAAAAAGCAATACATTTTTAATAAGAAAATATATAAACATATTAATAGTATTTATTTTTACGTGTGTGACAGAATTTCTGTTCATTTTTTTCTTTTTTTTTGAAACAGAGGTTCATTCTTGTTGCCCAGGGTGGAGTGCAATGGTGCAGTCTCGGCTCACCACAACCTCCGCCTCCCAGGTTCAAGCAATTCTCCTGCCTCAGTCTCCCAAGTAGCTGGGATTACAGGCATGCACCACCACGCCCGGCTAATTTTTTTGTGTGTATTTTTAGTAGAGACAGGGTTTCACCATGTTGGCCAGGCTGGTCTTGAACTCCTGACCTCAGGTGATCCGCCCATTTCGGCCTCCCGAAGGGCTGGGATCACAGGCATGAGCCACCATGCCTGGCCCTGTTTATTTTTTTCTACTTTATTCTCTATCATTTTATTTAATAAACATAGATTATGTTCTTAAATAACATATTAGATCTAATAAATGAAATAAATATCAGACATATAACATATATGTTAGAAAATGACATGTATAGTAGATGAACATATGTTAATATAAAGCTATACAGTGTAGGGAAATAATCCTGTAGATTCTGGACTCTGACAGAACTTAGATGGTGATTCCCCTTAGCAAGTTAGCTCAACTCTGTGTAGCTCCATTCATTCATGTATAAAATGGGTATATACAAATAATCTTAATTTATGAATTAAGATAAATATATTGTTAGGAACAGATGTATTTATATATATAATGAAACTAAAATAGTGTCTCGCACATAGTAGGTAGTAAATATGTATTAACTATTATGATGAAATTTATACTATAATGAAAACACTTTAAAATTGCAGACAACCTAATATTCAGTGTTCTTCGAAAACACATAGTGAATTCCTGGAATTTAATTTAAAATACATAATAACATCTCATATATTGAGGTTACTTGCATGACATCTTTAACTATTTGGAAAAAAGTAAACAATATAGATTTTAAGTATTGGAATACTTTTAAAAAAGAAATGCCGGAAAGTTCATAGGCTGATGCTCATGTAACTCATTCTTCACATAGTCTCAAGCTCTCACTCAGAGAATTTCTTCTTATTTTGCATCCAATGCTAATACCCGGCTAATATAGAAATTTTTTTCCCTTATAACCACAGCAAACAAGGAACAGGTAAAAAAAAAATGGTGGCCATTGGAAACAGTCTCTCTGACAAGAGTGAAAAAAAAGAGCTGATAGCCACATGGTGGAAACAGAGACAGGACTGCTGCACATTATGAAGAAACAAAACCACGACCACAACAAAACCAAGCACTGTTCATTCTGTAGAGGGATAAACAGCCTCTAGATGGAAAATATCATTTTGTATTTTGCTGTAGAGTGAATACAAAAAGGTGATGCTTCTGCTAAATTATTATGATTGTTATGGTTAGAACTCACTGTTTCGGAAAGCAGGAATATTTTTTCACACATTTTTAAAGAATTTTTTTAACTTTAGTACTTTTGTGTGGGATGGGCTATGGAAAGAAATAATTGCATTAAATAACTTATTCCTTAACAATTTCAGATAATTGAGTAACAATACAGAAATTCTAAATCACAATTTTTTAAAAAAAGAGTTTTCCTCCTTTACAGTTCAGAATATTTAAAAAATAATCTACAGGCACTTACATTACAACAAAGTCAATCAATTTAACTAACAATAGTTATTGAAGAAGAAAATTCATTAGTGAATAGGTTGCAGCAAAAATTAACGTATCTTCACATAGAAATTTTCTCCAGATTTTACATTTTTAAAAAAATAAGACTTTCTGCTCTCTAAAAAGACAGTGCAAAGTGAAAAATGAGGAAGAAAAATCAACAGAAATTGAACATGCAAATTATATTCATTTAATCTTTGTCCTCTAAAAATTCAGAATATAATAGAAACCAGATAACCAAAATAAGGGAGAGATTATAATTGTGTTTATCAGTATTCAGAAGTCAAAAAATGGTAAGAAGGGATTATCCTGGCCTAAATAATGATAGAGTGATATCAACCACCTAATAACTTCTCTGAGAAAATACTGTTCCTGACATTTAATGCTCCAAATTCTTCCTGTAATCTTTGTTCCACTTTTTGATATGTCATAAAAGTTTACACTTTTGTAATTCAATCATGATTCATGTTTTTATATTGGAATAATGAGCTTCAGTCTTGATATCTTGCTAAAGTTAACTCCAAATACTTAAACAATGTGAAATATTTTTCTTTTAAAAACTAAACACGAAACTCAATAGGAAGACTGAACCATAATTCTTCTTTTTTGTCAAAACTAAGACTATATTTCCTCAATTGCAAATTATCTTTGATTGTAAGAATCATCACCAAACTAGCGAAAATTCTTGAAAGAAAAACATTCTCATATTTAAAATATATTTTGGTTGTGAAATGAGATTTAACTTCACAAAAGTTAAAATTATAAAAATGTAAACATTATTTCTTAAAATTTGCTCCTTAGGGATGGATAGATAATGTGATAAAGCAAGTGTAACAAAATGTTAGGTGTAGTTGTTATATGAATTTGTATTATATTCTCTTTACTGTATGTTTGAAAATTTTCCAGATAAAATCTTGGGAAAAATATGCTTCTTAGAACAGAGAAGTTTAAAACTCCTTATTCAAATTAAGAAAAATAACATTTATTAGGCTTTCAATTGCATTTACTGAATTCCCTCTCTATGATTACTCATTTATAAATGGTTTTATAAAATCGTATCCTCATAAGTCAGGTGTGAATTAAAGTCATTTCTTGGGCAATACAGTCCACATAAGTAACTTCATTCTTACCCATTAGTCTTATTCACATTTTCTCCTTTCCTGGTACTCCAAACCTCCTCCCAAAGAATTTTCAAAATATATAGATCTTCCCTTTGGAGCACTTTTCAAATTAGACCTTGTATTGTGGTCATTGTGTCTGACCTTAAGCATTTTGAGTGAACATATTTTGTACTTTATCCTTCATAGCAGAAGATTACAGAGTAAGAAAGGCTACCCTTAGAAAGAAAGTGGATATGTTTTTCTTCTTTAAATTAAAAATCTAATGGGCAAATTTCTAATTTTTAATCTGTCACTAAACTATTGAAAAGTAAATATGTTGTCTGTTGGCAGCAAAAAGATTTAAAAATACATATAAGCTCCACTTTTTTAAATGAGCTATTCATTCTATAACTTTTCACATATTAGGCTGGTGCAAACA
This sequence comes from Homo sapiens, assembly GCF_000001405.40. NCBI lineage: Eukaryota > Metazoa > Chordata > Mammalia > Primates > Hominidae > Homo > Homo sapiens. The sequence goes on from NC_000003.12 coordinate 174,085,866, forward strand.
TAATCGCGGTTTTTGCCATTACTTTTAGTGGCATTATCTGAGCTTCTATCATGGTCAAGAAAAGACTCTGACTAGAGCAGTCTTCCAACTTCCGTTACAATGATGATTGTCAATGGATTTGTAATGAAATTAACAAATTTTTGGATAAAATCATTAATATTTATGCATAATTTTTAAAAGGCCAAATAGTACAAAAACGTATATATGAAAGTTATTCTTTTCTGATCATACATACCACAAGCACCAAATATTTTACCAACTTTCTACAGTAATGACAATCACTTTTTCCTTTCAGGAATATTTGATGAAGTATATATATGTGTGTGTGTGTGTGTGTGTGCGTGTGTGTGTATATTTATGTATGTGCACATATATATTTATGTATGTGCATACATATATATATTTATGTATGTGCATAAATATATATATATTTATGTATGTGCATAAATATATATATATATTTATGTATGTGCATATGACCGGTTTTTGGATTATATTATATGATTGTTAAACAAATACTTTTTAATTTTTTTGCCTAATCTTAAGACATTAATTACTAATAGTTTTAATATGCAGCCTTTAGGAAAGAAATCACATATGTAAAAATATTCACTACATGCTCTAAAATGAGCCTTGGTGGAAACATGAAGAGGATATAACATAACGTTAAGTTCAGAAAAGAATACGAGTTTTATAACTCAGTATAAGCCACTATATAAAACATATAGTTACTTAAGATGATTGGAAAAAGAAACTGAAAAATTTTAATAGCCTTTGTACATTTGTGGTGAAATTTATGGAATTTTTTCCTCCTATTTCACCCAAAACTATCCCAAAACTTTAAAAAATATTCAAAATCTTACTATATTTAAAATAAATATTTGAATAATGCAAAATAAAATAATATGTAACATTTATTTTTTTCTTACTTTAAATGAAAAGTTTACAGTAGAATCTCTACAAAATCGTTTGTGTTTGGCACAGTTATTTTATTTTTCTTGTTATAAATCCCCAAAGCCAAGATTCAGAATCTTTTAGCATCCAAAATGTAATCTGGAAATGTGGTGTAAAATATTTCCTGAAGGAATACTATTATCTTTACATAGACAAAACGTGGAGCTGGAGGCCATTATCCTTCGCAAACTAATACAGGAACAGAAAACCAAACACTGCGCATTCTCACATATAAGTGGGAGCTAAACAATGAGAACACATGGACACATAGAGGGGAACAATACACACTGGAGCCCACTTGAGGGTGGAGGTGGGAGGAGGGAGATAATCAGAAAAAATAACGATTGGGTACTAGGCGTCGTACCTGGGTGACAAAATAATCTATACAACAAACCCCGTGACATGAGTTTAGATTATCCATATAACAAACCTGCACAGGTACCTTTGAACCTAAAATAAAAGTAAAAAACAAGTATGTGGGTGTTTGTCAGAAGCACTCATTTCCTTACAGCCATTTTGTTTTATATCTAGCGTGGTAATAACAAGCTGATTAACTTTTCTGGAGTAGTTAAGTGTAAAATTACAAAGCTGCCAATGCATGCGTATTCTGCTGGTATCTCAGAAAAAGGTTTTATGAAAAGTGCTTTTATTATTTTAAGCCACAATTATACCACGAAAGAAAAACACATACCTGCATAATTTTCCAAAGTATTAAGTAACTACCAAATACGTCCCGTACTCTCACCCCTAAATCCAAACCCAGACCTGGGTTTCAGATCTTTGCATACACACATTCTCTGCATTTTTTCATGACTGTGTATCCTGGCCTTTAGATATAATGTAAAGTTCTATGCCACAACTATACCTGTGGTCACTACAAAATGAATTTTAGTATGTTTATATTTGCCCACATAATTATTTGACACTTCATAATTGATCGTAAGGATCCATCACTCAATGAATTTCCCTTTTGAATAATTAATTATGAATAAGAAATGCAGTCAGTCATGTGTTTAATTTCTCTTAGTCCCAATTATGTATCAGGGAAAGAAAGCAAATGAGTTCTCCATTTTAAGAAGTATTTTTTGTTTGCCTTTTGCTTTGTATTCCTGCAATATGGCATCATTTGCTGCTCAGGGCAGAGACTTTTAAATCATTATGAATGCAAGCAAAGTGTTAATAGGTTTTGCTGCATGGCATATATGCTATTATATATGTGTATGTATAGCGTATATATGCTAATATTACATTTTGTTTTTTCCTCAAATGCCAAGATATAAAATAAAGTAATATCATAGAATAATAATAAAAAACATTCATTTTGCTTCAAAACTTATTTTGTATTGACATTAGTAACATAAGTGAATGATTAATTTGCAAAAGGTAAGCAATTAATATCAGAGGCTAGCAAAGGTTCAGATACTTTACGAGAGAAGGCAATAAGGTTCAGAAGCAAGTGACAATAAAAAGGAGACTAGAACAGGAAATAGAGATTACGTAGGAGGCCTTTGGAGAACATTCAAATGAAGGACATGTTACAAGTTCCCATTTTACTGCCTTTATTGCCGCAATTGAGGGCGTTGTTTATCAAACTGTCAAAAGAAAAGAGAGAGAATAGGATTTTTAAAAATCATTAATTAAAACTAAATTATTTTGGCTGGGCACGGTGACTCACGCCTGTAATCCCAGCACTTTGGGAGGCTGAGGCAGGCGGATCACGAGGTCGGGAGATTGAGACCATCCTGGCTAACAGTGAAACCCCGTCTCTACTAAAAATACAAAAATTAGCCGGGCGCGGTGGCAGGTGCCTGTAGTCCCAGCTACTCGGGAGGCTGAGGCAGGAGAATGGTGTGAACTCGGGAGGCGGAGCTTGCAGTGAGCCGAGATCGCGCCACTGCACTCCAGCCTGGGCAATAGAGCGAGACTCCATCTCAATAAAAATAAATAAATAAATAAATAAATAAATAAATAAATAAATAAATAAATAAAACTAGATTATTTTTTACTTCTTAAAAATCAACAAGGATCCAAATATTTCAAGACACAGTAAAGAAGGTGCCTGAAATTCATCACACCAAGTGTTGGTCTCTGCAGAGTACCTATTTTATGACAGGTTTGAAATAGAAGTTGGGGATACCATAGAATATAAAAACTCCGATCTCTTTTTAAAAATCAATAGCTTTTAAAATCCTAAATGCTCTCACTTCTGAGATTAATAAACACTAAGAATCCATCCTGAACACACACAATGGCTTCTATTACAAAAGGAAAAATGAAAACAGTGCTATTACTGACACAGTCAATAGATCCCAACTCAGTGTATATTGTACTTTCTATATTTTTAATTTAAATGCATACAGTTCTAGGGACGGGAGCGTGATCAGCATTCATTCACTTCAGAGCATAATAGAAGATATGGAAGTTTTTCCCATAAATAAACATATAACCTGTCTTGGGTACTATCTGCTTAAAATATTTTCTCTGGAAACTTATCTAGCCATTCTCAGTACGTGGTTCTTCCGCTAGCCTGTTCTTTATTACTGCTTTCCTTCCTTCCACTAAAACTTGAGCAGAAAATCATGAAATTGTGGTCTCTGCTTCAGGTTTGAGGACATAAAACCTAGAGTCCACAAAAACAGCAGCCTTCCTTGAAATAAGAGAGGATACAAGAAAAGTTTGCATTCACACTTTCCTTAGCTTAAAGGAACACACAATTTTAGAAGCATAATGAATTTTCAGAGTACCTGAAAATATTTCTTACTTTTTGTGTTTATATGCCCTTACAGTAAAAGGGACCTCTACTTTAAAAATTTTTAAAGTAGTTAATATATATTAACTCAAACAATCCTTCAGCAAGACTTCTATTCTTATTATGAAGGGTGAGACTGCCAATAAATCATTCGAGAGAGCTTTACAGTATTCATGTGGAGTGTGCTGCAGATCCACTTAATCCAATTAAGTTCAAGAAGTAATTCTCTCACTGATGGCATCCAGAATTTCTATGGCAAATTCACAAATGCATTCAGAGGGCAGAGTAAGCTCTATAATATTTGCCTTGGGGACTGCATAAACAGGCTTTTTTTTTTTTTCTTTTAACATATTATTTGGCAGACGTAGGTTTTAGTGGTGGTACAATCACTATATCTAGAGTTATCAGTTTATTTTAACTCATTAACTCTTTATCAGCCAAAAGGCAGTTCTATAATGAAATTTATCTTAATGAAAAGCAAGCCTTTATTTATTGAACTGCCTTATTAAAAAATGTAATCACTTTTTCTGTATGTGAACCAGCAAAGTGTTCTGTTTACCTAATGTAAATTATTTTGTGTTAGAATTTTAAATAGAAAAAAGAAAGAAAAAGAGACTAAGGTCCGGGCGAGGTGGCTCACACCTGTAATCCTTGCACTTTGGAAAGCTGAGGCGGGCAGATCACTTGAGGTCAAGAGTTCAAAACCAGCCTGGCCAACATGATGAAATCTCGTCTCTATTAAAAATACAAAAAAAATAGCCTGGCGTGGTGGCAGGTGCCTGTAATCCCACATACTTGGGGTGCTGAGGCAGGAGAGTCGCTTGAACCTGGGAGGTGGAGTTTGCAGTGAGCTGAGATCGCACCACTGCACTCTAGCCTGGGGGACAGAGCGAGACTCTGTCTCAAAAAAAGAAAAAAGAAAAAGAGACTAAGACAGTAATTGTTTATTGCTCCAGAAAGTCCCACCCGCAAAGATATTTCAAGGGAGAAAGAATGCTTGGACAAGTTCATACACTGAGAAGGTTGGTCATTTGAGAACCAAATTGAAAGGAATTGTCTAACCAAACCAGTAAAACTCAGGTTGAATATAGAGACACATAAAGATCAAAACCCCAAGAGAAATGGCAATATTTGTACGTGACGGAAGGTGAAATTTAAGAAAACAATGATTTTTTTTTTTTTCAGAATGTTATGGCAATCTTCCAGAAAGCCACAGATGATTCAGCCCCTTGCTACTCGAAGTGTGGTTCTCAGACCAGCAGTATAAACATCATCAGGGAGATTCTTAGAAATGCTGGCGTCAGGCTTCATTCTGGCACATCCAGGGGATTCTTATTCCTTCTAAACTAAGAGTAGTAATTTTTGCCTTCAAAGATACTTGCCATCCCCACTGGATTTTAACAATTGTAAATAACATTGTGACATTGATGCATTGCTAGACCATCAGTTCTTGCAGCTGAAGAAGTACAGTGCTGCAGCCAGGAGGCAGGATTTCTCTTTTTCAGACAGCTCTGACCTTCCCAGGGCAGTGATTGATTTTAGATGACCAGGTGCCTGAAGAAAATTAACCTGGAGTTGTAAAATCAAGATGAAATTTGAGTTAATCTCTAATCAGTCTGACGAATGATTCAAGGGCTTCAACATTGGTCATCTCCAGTGAAACCTTTTAAAACAGCTATTTGTGTTTATAGCTTTCTCTTATAACCATCAGGCGGTTTCTATATTTATTCAAAAATTATAGAATGCATTCTACTCTGAGTTTTTAAAAATTTCTCTAAGTGATTTATGCTGACTTAACACCTGTTGAAAACAAATGCCTTTCAGTTACTTAAAAGAAAAACTCAAATTAATAATAGGCTTGCCTTCAAACTTTGCCTGTGGCACAAATATTTTCTTTAACTAATGTACTATAGTATTTAGTCAGGGACCATGCTGCTTCCAAAATAGATCCAGAACTATTGTTTGTTCATTCACAACAAATTAACGAAGAGGTCATGCTGCAGCTACCATGATTTTTAATCCAAAAATACTGTTTTTAAACATAGGTTGATGAATCATTTATTTTCCTTCTCAGGAACCAAATACATATTTTTGTTACAGTGACTGGTTTTATAAAAGTAATATATAAAGTTTAGGGTATTTTATTTTTGCATTTAAGATACTGTAAAACTTAAATCCTACCTAGTTACAAGTTAAATAAATGGTTATGTTTAAAAGATAATTTCTAATTCATTAATTACTAATTAGTGGCTCCGCTGCCTCTTCCTGCCATGTAGGCTTTGATTATTTTACTACTGTTATAAGCCTCCCCAAACATGGCCAAGTCCCAAAGGGAAGAGCAATCAATCAAATCTATTTTAAGAGTACTGTACTAAGGAAGTTTTGGAGTAAATGAATTTTAAAAATAAATCTCTGACCCTCTCCCAGCTTATAATCTTTCAACATATAAAGATAAATATGTCCAAATTACTATTACAAATAAAAGTGCATAGAATATAAATATGTATGAAGAGATAAATAAAAGGAATATGTTTGTGCAAAGCATTCCTCTTAGCCCATGAATATGTGCTATAAAATGGAGTTGCACTGAGAAGGCACCAGAAACAGATGACTCTTCAGAGCTTGTAAGACGGTACTGAACTGGTGAATGGAAGGAGGAAATTATGAGCTGGGGAGAGACACATAAGCTAAACCAGGGGAAAGAAGACATGTAGAGGAAAATATCCAAGTATGATAGAAAATAAAGAATAATTTCACCAAAAATGGGGAACAGGTACTGTAGGTATAGGCATAAGATTGGGAGTCATTTTAACAATGTCAGGGAAAATTTTGTGGAAGATGAAATGAGGATTTTGGCAAAAAAGTTTTCATTTCTTCATATATGCTCTAAGAGCTATGTTTGCTTCCTGTTAAAAACACTTGTCACAACAATTTGCCATTTGGCAATTATTAAAAAAAAAAAATGAAAGTAATACCAGTGATGGCATTCTGTTTTCTATTTTTGAGATAAACCAAAGAGTGACATTAGTCATAACATTATAACGTTTCTCTTATTATTATGATGATGGTTATTATTATTATTATTATTTTACTTCAGCAGGGAAATTGGGTCTCTAGGGCCCATATCTGCTGCCATATATGCACTCCAATGCATGACAATACTGGCCACTTCATGAAGATATATAGTTAGTCCATTCCAGGTGTCCCTAAAGAGAATATGAACATTCAACTTAATGATTATTCAAAAGTTAGGGACAATTGCCAATTCAAATGTGGACCATGGATTCTAACTTCAAATCTGTTCTCTGTCTCCCTTTCCCCCAATGTTTCATTCATCAAGTCCTTAAATTTTCTAAGCCATTATCAAAATGAACTGGATCTGCACCAGGATTTTAGAAAGGAGCAGTCCCATAGCTCATTGTCATTCCCTTGAGCTAGCCAGTCCCATGGGCCATACCTAACAACAGTGAATGCAAAGAATAAATCAAACTCTCGGGTCACTTTAAAAAGCTTAGTTTTCTTATGAAAATGAAGCTTTAACTTTGCCTGGCACATCAGGGATCTAAAGGAATACAATCTTCCATTTATTTGCATTAGCCGGAAAGGTATTGTGCCAACACGGAACCTTATTTTCAGCAAACGCAATTTTGCAGGAGAGAAGGAAAAGGAAGAATTAAGATATCTATCTGAAGTGAATTTAACCAGATACAAAAATTCTGTTATGGCTAAATAAGTGCAAGTAATAAAGATACCTGTTTACAGAATAGTGCTTTCTTTACTAAAATTCTACATTGCCTGTTAGAAGATGAGAGTATGTCAGAAGCACACAGCTTCGAGCTAAGCAGCTGCAACATATTTCAAAGCTGTACATGAGCTATGCGTTAGAGGAAGGAAGTAAAGGCTCATCTCAGTATATTTTAGAGAACAAATTAAAACAGTAGTTTGTCTCTCTGAAGCAAACTGATTAATAGTTACACACAAACTCATCAATAATGCTAATGCCTAGCAATAGGTTAATGCTGTACATTAGCCTATTTGATATAAATGAAACCACAGGAAACATTTATTTAAGTTGTGAGTTTCATTGTGTGATTGCCTCTTTCCCAAGTTTGACCTTATAATTAAATTGTTCACACCACACATATAATTATTTTCTGCTAGTTGGTGTACATTTAATATTCAGGCAATCCTTTTAGCCAATGTCAGTATAATTTAGTTAATAATCACTATCTATTACAAATACAAAGATTGAGCCTCTTTGCTCCTCTCACCTCCAACATATATGCATTCTAAAGTGTTTCAGACATTTCCTTTTTTTCCCTCTCTAATGGTTTTTCTTCCATATAATCTCATATATCTCATGAATAAAATTTAGTATCACAGTTTGGGAATTTAAGTGAGGAAATTTTGTTTTCCACTGAAATTAATTTGGGGAAATTTTTCTTTATTATATAAATCTACAAATCTGAACATAATCCAAAAAAGTAAAAATCTATATACCGTAGTGTGCTGTATAGTATAGACTAGATTTAAAGAATTAGTGAGGCTAACCAAAAACTAGTGGTAACAAGATGGTTTTATATATTTTCTTAAACTGTTTATTTACTTTATATTTTATTGATATATCATTTGATTATCTAAAAAGCAATTTATAAGTTACGCCCCCAAAATAGCACCGTATAGACACATAAGTGAAAAAATAATTTCTACCTTTTGTTTTTCATTTAATATGTTTGAACATTTATATTTTAAATACTCATTATCTTATATAGAGACTTGTAGCTATAGAGCGAGCTTGTCCAACCCATGGCCTGGTGGGCCGCATGTGACCTAAAATGGCTTTGAATGTGGCTCAACACAAATTCGTAAACTTTTTTTTTTTTTTGAGATGACATCTTGCTCTGTCACCCAGGATACATGACATTGCTTCACAAGATATCTTCAAACCCCTTGTCTCCTAACTTAGCACTAATTTGGTAATCATTCAGACGTTATCATTACAAAAACTACAAAGCCTATTCTTTCTTTCAGGCAGTCTGCCCTGAGGGTATAAACAATAGTATTTATTACATATTCTTTAGGACCCCCATGTTATACCCTATTAAACCTTGATAAATATTCTTCTGTGTTTCTAGAACAAACAAATTGCTTTCCTGCTCATTGTTCCTTGGCTCCGCTAAAAAAAAAAAAAAAAAAAAAAAGTCAAGCATATTTCAACTAGAAAAAGGAAACCATAGGCAGCCAGACACAGAGACTATACTGTTTCTCATTTCATCAGCCTTGGGACTTGAACAGCAGGTCACTCCATTTGAAAACTAGCAGACGTAATAAATAGAAAGAGGCATAGAAAGCAAGCTGACCACAGATTGGGCTGTAGCACCCAGCCATTTCTGTCTGTCTTGGAAAGGCCAAAGAGAATGCACTGTATACTGCCATTGTATCAAATGTTTTGGGCACCTTTTTCAGGGCATTTATGAAAGAAAAAAAGAAAAGGGAGGGATTAAGGACTGGATAAGCCTTTTCCTGCCTGAGTACCTGTTTCATGATGTTTCTTTATAGTCATCATGACTGGCAAAATAATCTTTAAGGTTGCTTGGCAGTGTCCAAAAAGTAGACAAATAGACCTTGTACCTGTGGAAGAAATTTTAAAAACTAAAAAAAAAAAAAACCATAAAGTTGCTTTATGAAAAATAAATTATATGGGTATGGAGCTAAATTTGGCTAAAGAAGAAAAAAAATCTGATTTTAGTAACAGGTAGCCAATGAAAAGCAAATTAAGAGCAGCCCTCACATATCTTATATATTAACTTCCCAGAAAGTCACTAGCAGTTGTAAAAAAGTATGCTAAATTAGATTGTACACATGATAGGGGAGTCACTTTCTTGTGCAAGAGCTGATGTGTGTGTATGCTTGTGTGTGTGTGTGTGTAGAATTATGGAGGTGACACACACATCCATTATATATCTATATATATATATATAAAACGTGTGTATGTATGTATGTATATGTACATATATAAATGCATTGTATATATACACACATGTATAAACTGTGTGTGTATATATGTATGTATACATATGTAAATGCGTGTGTATAGATACATATATACACACACACATTTTACTATATATATTACATTCATAATTTTAGGCTGGGCACAGTGACTCACACCTGTAATCCCAGCACTTTGGGTGGCTGAGGCCGGTGGATCACCTGAGGTCAGGAGTTCGAGACCAGCCTGACCAACATGATGAAACCCCATCTCTACTAAAAATACAAAAATTAGCTGGATGTGGTGGCATGTGCCTGTAGTCCTGGCTACTCGGGAGGCTGAGACAGGAGAATAGCTTGAACCCAGGAGGCAGAGGTTGCAGTGAGCCAAGATCGCGCCACTGCACTCCAGCCTGGGTGACAGAGCGAGACTCCATCTAAAAAAATAAATAAATAAATAAAAAGTAATTAAAAAATAATTTTATAAACACCATCATGAGCCTTATATACAAAGAGTGAGTTTTCAAACATTTTTAACTGCAGAATAGCTTTTGATATAACATTTTTAATGGACACAATGTATATAATAGACAAAAATGGAATTAATGTGATATGTGTGTATAGAATATATAATACATATGTAATATATATGTGTATATGTATATATGCATATAATATACATAAATATAATATATGTAATATATAAACGTACTGTTATTGAGAGGAACTAGGAACAGAAACTGGATTGTCTCCTCCATCTCCCTTGGTGACCCATGAAGGGTTCTCCGCAGAACATGGGTTGATTTAGTTAAGTACAAATATAACCTAGTTATACTATAATAGTGTAAAACTTTCTAAAATGCATTTAACTTAAACAATATAATCATGGAAATATCATTTTATAGAGCATTAATTCCCTGAAAGATATTGTAAATATACCTCTACCATCAGAATACAAAAGTAGATAGAAGGTCGGTTTGAAAATGGATAACTTTTAAATGGGAAAGTCCCCACCAAAATACCTACACCATTCAAGGTGAATGTTTAAATGAGATGACATTTGTGGTAATATATTATAAATTTTAGAAAACCAATTATAACATGATTTGTAACACTAAAGTCCACCTGGCTTCTTTTATGTCATTTAAGTTTTTATTAGATGTGATCATTTTTGAGAAATCATATTGAAATATATTATTCTAGTGAGTACTCTCAATATTGCTTTTTATAATTAAGAATATTAGAATTTTTCTAATGTAATTGAACGTGTAGAAACCATGACAGTGGTATTTAGAAACAAAAATTTTCATAAGTGACCTCAGAAGACAAGGTAACATATTTCTGGAATTAACATCTGGGAATGAAATTTAAGAAAATAAATAAATAAGTTTTTGTGTATGTATGTCTGTGTGTAATCATGTGTGTCTATAAGTTTTTTTTTTTAACTAATGGCTTGTGGCTTTTGCCACAACTGAATATTTAAAAGGCTTCCATTTATTCACCTTGGGAACGATTTGAGGGTTAAGAAGACAATAGGACTATGAGCGCCACTGTAGAAAGATGCTAGCTAGATATAAATGATTATAATTATCCAATATTCTGAATGTTTTCTTAATCAACAGATGGGATATTTCTGTTCATGGCAAAGAATTTCAAAGATGTAATGATTTCATTTTTATAACTATTCAAAATTTTAAGTATAGCTCTGTTTAGAACTCAAATCACTTTAGAAATCATTCATATTTATTCTTCAGGGCAATAATTAGTGAATGGATATGAGTATCTTTGGACTGTCTACACACCAAACAGCAAACTGAAAACTTGGCAGTTGTTCAATTTATTTGATCACTGTGGATTGTCAAAGGGAATATTCATGGCCCAAAAGGGAACCTTTAAAATTATTTGAATTTAGAGCTGCAAATAATCATTTTTATGTTTTAATATAATGTACATGAGTCATTTCTATCCAGTCTGTGTTATAAACAGATAATTCTGCCAGTCACTCACTCAACCTTTTGAATCTCAATCATTAAATCTAAAATTATTTCAATTGATGTGAATGTAGGGCACAATTATGTAGTGTTTTGGAGTGAGTTTATCCAGCCAGCTATGAAGAAAAACATAATATGTAATGGAAAAATATCTGATCCAGTTTACAAAGAAAGTGGTTATAAAGAGTTACTGAAATAGCTCCTGGAGTTTGACAGAGATCAAATCCTAAGGGAAGTGGTCAGAGGTGTGGTACAGTCTCTAATTATGAACAAGGATACTGCTCATTATCACTCCAACACCAGTTCACCCTAAGAAGGTAGTGATTCATTGTCAGTGGGTGAGTGGTGCATAGTTAGCAGAATAACTGCCCGCCATTTAACTAACTCGTGTAGCTCTAAGCATGTGTCTGGATTACCTGTTTTATCAGTTAATCCTCCTGCAGTAGCTTCTCTGCAGTATATCACTGAGGTGGTATTAACATTCGTCTGATAAAATCAAAGCATTTCTCCATAAATGTTGGACCACAGCAAACACATATACAGGAAAAATAAAAAGGAAATTTACATACAAATCACCTTCATAATGTTACTAATTTGTTGCTACTTGCAGTAAAGCTCTTAATGAGATTATCCAGGATTGGGACTATTTCCTTTGAGAGTTTCATTTGCCTCCCGAACATTTTTCCTTCAATTGTGGCTGTGCATTTATTACACTCCATTACCTATATTTCACATTTTGTAATTCAGTTTGTGCAAATTTGTAAAATGTGTTCTTACAACAAAAGGAAAAAAAAATTAAGAGGAAGCTTGTGCATGATCACACTTTTCTTACTATAATATGCATGTCTATGTGCATTTACCTCTATACCCACCTAGCAAATTGGTGAGGGTAAAAGGAGGGTCAGTGGGAAACATTTTTACCAAATTCAGAAAATCTGCTGCCTCAAATGATTTTTCCAGTGTAGTAGATGCTAAGAAAATAAATAGACATTGGATGTCTAGCAGTCTCATCTTTCTGCAGTCCTACTGAGGACTGATTTCACTAGAGTATAGAATGGTACTTCTCAGACTTCCCTGTGCATTGAAATCACCTGATGGTCTTGTTAAAATTCAGATTCTGATTTAATCAGTTCAGTGTTAGGCCTGAGTCACTGCATTTCAAACCACATCCCACAAAGGCCACTGGTCCACAAATCGATCACACCTTGAGTAACAAGAGTATAATCGATTAAACTACTAGTAGATAAACTCACTTTCAGTTTAAATAACTGAATATAAAGCAAATGCATGTTGTAAGCAAACACCAAAAAAGTGAGTAATGCCTTAAAAATGCATAAGCCATTAGAAGATTTATTACATAAGAGCTTGTTTATACATTTAATGAGATTTTAGCTTTGTTAACTTAAATGAGATCTCATTAAACCAATGAAAATGCCACAAAATTAAGATATCAACTAAGTTGGGCTCCCTGCTGTGAAATTCTCATAGTCATAGTGAAGATAAATTATTAAAACTGGACATTTCTATTAAAATCAAAACAGTCTTTAACAACAAATGTATAAATCAAAAAGCCAATGTGCAAAGGAAAACAGTAGAAGTTATGCAACAGACGTTTTAGTCCCAGCTATGCCATAGAACCCGTTTGCATTATTTATACATTGAAGATGATAAACACCTGGCTCGAATCTCATAAATATGTAGTTAGATCTGAATATGATAATTCATTTGTAAGCATCGTGAATGAATTATAATTTATACCTAAGACTTTTTTAAAATTGCAATATTATTTGCTGCTGTAGATAACATGCATATGCTAATTCACAGTGTTTAAGGCTGTTTATGATCTCCAGGTTTTAAGATATGTGTGGTCAATTTTAGTTGATATTGCATTTTTAACAATGCCCCAGTTTCACTGCAAAAATAGACTTAAATGCACAGATTTTGTTGAAATTTATAGCAATGCGTAACAATATTAGTTCTTATTGAAGGCTTTCCCTGGACTTCTGAGGATTAAAGGTGAGAATATAATTCCAAATCTGAGTAAACACTTATAGAAAGTGATTAAAACTTATTTAGTGATAGAAATCAGTGATTATTTTAACTTGGCAGTCTATGTGCCACCATTTTAGCCTTTTAGTATGACATAGTAAAGTAATTCAAAGGGAAGGCTTAATTAACTTCAGAAAAAAAAAGTTCAAAAGAATGCAGTAATAAAAATAGGCCCTCTTGTGAAAAGAAAACTTGTTAGTTAATTCTTATATCTCAAAGAGAGATAAACTGTGAAAATACCTGTAGAGTTCATTCTCAAGGCAATAGAGTGTTTCTCGACGTCCACGTGTGGACAGGATGCAGTTCTGATGTGTTTTGCTGAGTCAGGGATTTCTTGTGGCAGCTGTCACTGTTGATGCATCATCTTTAAAGACGTGCCTGAGAACTTTGCCATGACCCTTGGCGGCTTGTTGATTTTTCTGTGGAAATGTATGAAAGTATAATTTAGTTTGTTTGGGTTTTACATGAATTAAATATGGGGTTTTTGCTCCTCATTGAGCAAAATAAGGTGAAAAAAACTTCCTTAAATATTTCAGAGTTTGACTCGAAACGAAAACTCAAAATGTAATCTTGTGCTGTTATTTTTGTTTCCATTGTGTGATGCCAGAGGCTATAGACAACTAAGGAATCTTTCAACATGGCTTGAAATTTTGCATGTATCAATAAATACCTATGGTAAAAAAAAAAAAACTTTATTTTAATTTTAGCTACTCTATAATGTTCACCGTAAAGTATAATTATTTTCACTTATTTTTATCAATTTAATTAAACATATTTTATTGAGCTCTACCCCACTGCTAGAAACATATTCCAAAAGTACAAGGCTCATCTTGTCTCTCTTGGTTTAAAGTCTTTCAATGCCTTTGCTTTCCCAAGGCATTTGCCTAAAGTTAAACCCTTTCAGTGTGGCCCACAAGCCCCCTTAGGATCTGTCTCTGTCTGCTTGATGTATAACCCAACTTCTCCCCTCACCCCATCACTTCACATGCTGGCTTCCAGCCACACGGAACTCTAAAAGTGGTTTCTCCAATGTGCCATCTTCTCTTAAGCCACCAGGCTTCACATAGGCTGCAGTTTATCACTAAAAAGGAAGTTTCCTTTTTTTTTTCTTCAAAATCCCTTCATTTCAATTAAGAAGTCACCTTCTGCCTCCTGCTTTCTAAGATCTTCATAAGGGGTAAGAAAGGTGCCCCTTCTAAGTAAAGTGACCATTTTTTTTCTAGTTCACCAGAGAAAGTCTCAATTTATGTCAATTTTCTCAACATTTCATTTATTTAGCACTCCCTTTCACTCACAATGGGGTGTGTCATCCTGGTTTGGATGACACACTCCACAGCCATCATACTTCTAGAGGCTCCGTTTTCCCCTCTGCAGCAAGTACGAGGCCAAGAGCATAACTGTTTTGGAGTCAGCCAGGCCTATTTTCAAAACCCATGTCTGCCTTCTGTCAACTATGTGATATCAACATAGGTAGTTGCTGAAAATTTTTGACCTTGATTTTCTTACTTATAAAATTGGGACAGTGATGTTTAACTTCTGGTACTTTTTGATTTTTAAATTCAACCATGCAAGTAAGGTACATGGCTTAGCACCTGGTACATTTTAGGTTCTGTTAATAGATAAATGTAGGCACATTAAAATGTTAAAGAGTTACTTCGGACGAGGATTCATGAATCAGGCAAATCAAACTATAAGCAGTTTGGACTCCACCAAAGGAGCATGAGACGAAAAATTGTATAAGGTGTTTGAGGAATTAATACACAGAAACTATTTGCTTGTTTAAACTGGAACAGTAGCTTTCAGGTCTCTAGTCAGAGATGAGTTGGCAGTTTCTGGTTGGTTCAGCTGAAGTTTCGTTTTACTGTTTACACTGAGTTAGGTTTGATCAGCTTACGTCTGAACCCAAAGTGCTGGAGCCATCTCAGCCTAATGGCCTCCCAATTAATTTTGTAAACAACTTTCAATGAATCACAGCTTTTTAAAAACTTAATGATAGCAATAGCACTGTGTTCTAATGATATGTTACTTCCTTCACAGGACTGTATACCTCTTAAAGTCAAAAACGTGTCTTTGTCTTTTATTTGTTTTTCCGCAGGCCCTCGCACAATAGTGCCCACACTATAGATTCATAATAAATAGTTATCAAAGGGATTAGTGACTAGAAAAATGACTGACTGACTAAAAAATGAATGAAAACATATTATCTGTCCTCAAAGGAAGAAAGGTACTTTTAATGTAAGCCACTCTCTGTGTGTCATAAGTGCTCCCCAAAAGGACAAAGAAAACAGTGAAGAAATTACCCTATTTCCAATCGGGAGATCAGGGAATATTCACAGAGCAAATGACATTTAAATAGGGCTTCAGCAGGAAGAAAGATGTGTTATGGAGTAGTACTTCAGACAGAGGGCATGATCACCACATTTTCATCAAATAATAAATATGTTAATGAAAGATATGTACTTAAAAATAACAAAAAAGTATTTCTACAATTATATGCATAAGTTTAGATTTTCCACCCTCCAAAGAGGCCTTTGTGGTTGCCATTCTTTTCACTGACAAATGTACTGCTGAATGTGATTTCTCTTAGGTTGATATGTAGTATAAAAAATCATAGCCAGCTTTTTTTCTCCCTCTCTTGGTTTAACTCTTGCACATTCACACATGGGGGGGTATAAGATGTTCATTTTTTTTCCTTTGCTTTTTAATACGAAAATTATCTCTTAAAACTAAAGTCGAAATTAATAAAGATCTTTTTTCTAAAATTAGAAGGATCTATTTGCTTTGACAAATTCTAACTGTTTATAGTGTCACATTATTTTCAAAATATTACAGATGTGGAAAAGGGGTAGAATTAGTTTTGAGTAAAATTATGGCTTGTCAGCAGATAACACAATCAACCTTTCAAACGCAAACACCTCTTTCCAAGTGTAATTGTTAGGAAATGAGAGCCGTATTCAAATGCTAAATAAGAAAAATGACGATAGGAATAAAAACTCTTCTGGTTAAAAAAATAACGAAGAACAGAATTTTAGGCACGGTTTTCAAAAGCTCTCCAATTGCAGGTGCTACCTGGCTGTTGACTGGTTGATTGGATGGCCTTGATAGTGTTGACAGCCCATGAATTCTCTGACAGCCCAGGGAATTCAAGTTAATGGACAGTTAATATCATGATTGAATGGTGCCTGATCTATTTGAGGATGGAAAATCAATAGTCTATTAGATTCGCCAGGAGAAGTGGGGGAAGAATAAGCATGCCTATTTGCCTTCATTGCTACGTCTACACTAATTAAGCACCACCTTAAGATGGAGGAGAGTCTGGAGAATTGAACTGGTAATGAGATTCCGACTTGAAGTAAATGAAGCAACTTTACCATAAGGCACACTGACAGACAATTAAACCTTTTTATCAATGCAGCTTTCATGCAGAAATAAAATCTCATATGGCAACTGTAAAATAAATGGAGGACTGGAAGGAACTGTAAATCTTTTTCTCAGCTTGCAGTTGTACTTGTAACTTCCACACTGTTTTGACATTTGGGGTTTTTGCATTAGAAGTCATAGTGAGTAACATTGCATTTTTCTACATAGAAGTTCCGTGTGTCACATTCATTGAAATGTTTCAAGAAAGGTTTTGATTAAACATAAAACCAATTAGAGATAAGCAGTTTCCTTCAAAAAATTTTGGACTGGAAAGAGGAAATATTCTAAAGAGTAACAATTGCTGTATTTCAAAAATATTTTAAAATATTTTAAAGCTGTTAGTTGTATAGATAAAGGCTCATTTTTGCTTATACAAATATCTCTTTTTCCTCACGTTAAAAATACTCTAATAGGAAAGACCATCATACATAGCCAGAGAATCTTGCCATCTTAATTTTCAGAATGGGAGTAGATTTTATTTTAAACATAATGATGGGAGAATGGGTTTTTTATTGGCAATTAAATGTTCTAGTGAACTGACAGGTATTAATATGCCATTATAATATAGTAAAGTAACATAACTCAGCTGCATTTTTAAAGAAAATATGCCTTTGAATCAGAGGCCTTTTGTTATGTTGCAGTGAACTAGTGGTATGATAAACTGTTGTACAAAACATAAAGATATTATTACCTATTAGAATCACACCTAAATTCCTCACCATCAATATTCTTGAATATAGTTTTTACTGTATGACCTAGTCATACATTTACCTGTTAAATTTCTATAAATAGAGTCTAAACTTTTTTTAGGAAAATGGCCAGAGCATATAAAATTTTTTTCTTTACTTTTTTCATTTCTGTGTTATAGCTAACACTGTGTACTTCACACTACTGCTATTTATTATTTTTCTTTTTCTATATAGATTACTGGCAACATTTCTAGTTTATCTTTTGTATAAAAGCAGAAAAATAGAACACCTGGCTGTTTCTTCTCACCTCATAGAGTAATGATATTTTACTTTATCTTTTATTTACTCTGATATATTTAATACAATTTTTCATTTCGCAGTCTTTTGCAGTAGCTTCTCTTTTCTCCTTTCAGGTTTCAAATCGTCCTTCTTTAAGCCCTTGTTTTGTCCTTATTTCTTCTGCAGTTATTTAGTTACTTGTCTCTCTATCCATGTCCTATGGCTTGGCTATTCGAGTTTCAAAAATATTATAGTAATATTTCACTTAAATTGACTTGTGAGCTTTAAGATATTATAATAATATTTCACTCAAAGCCATTTTACTCAAATAGCTTTTATTGAGCACCTGTTAGATATATTTCACTGGGCTATATTTATACTATGATTCAGATGTGTGCAGTAATTCATGGTTTTACTCAAAAATATTTATTAAATGTTTAGAATTGTGTGTTCTGCATGTGCTCAACACTGTGAAACACACTGGGGATTCAAAGACTGCCTTACTAGGCATAGATTATGCCTTTAAGTATCTTATAATACTTGTTTTTAAAATACAGCATGTAAGTTAGACACGTAGGAACATTAAATGTAATCTAAATAAGAATAAAAGATATAAAAACATGCACTTGAATTATAGTGGTACAGAAAAAGTTGAGGAATTTTGTTGTATTGTTCTAACTCGAGACAAAAAAGAGCTTCAGAGAAAAGATAGGATTTGAGTTCAATCTTGCAGATAAACAGGATTTTGTTAAGTGGGGAAGAAGTGGAGAGATGCTCATGATCAGGTAGGTGTGCAAGTCAGCAGGGTTAGGGTTAATATTTTCTTTGGCAGAGTTTTAGGTTGTATTGAGATAGGAAACAGGAATTTAGGGTGAGATTATAGAAGGTATTGAGTGTCATGCTGAGGAGTTTAGACATTATTCTGGGGTCAAAGATGGCTTCTAATCAGGAAATTACATGACTTGATATGAGTTTTCAGGATATGGCTAGTGACAAGAGTAGAAAAGGATGTGTTCTCAGATTATAACTAGCAGCAAACATGGAAAAGAATGAGTCGTCACAGAGTTCAGTGAGGAAGTTATTTTATAAATACAGGTGAAAATAATATATGCTTGTGTTTTGGCCAAGTAGGGTATAGCTAAGAAAGGGGAGACAAAGAAGTAGAATAGAAAGACATAATTTACGGGACTTAAGTTATGACTGGATATGAAAGTTGCAAGAAGGGGAGGAATTGAAGTTGAATTTCATTGTTTGGATCAAAGAGTTTGGCTGGCTGACATGGTGGCTCATGCCTGTCATCCCAGCCTTTGGGAGCCAAGGCAGGTGGATCACTTCAGCCCAGGAGGTCAAGACTAGCCTGGGCAACATGGTTAAACCCTGTCTCTACAAAAACTACAAAAATTAGCCAGGCATGGTGGCACGCACCCATATCCCAACTACTCAGATGGCAGAGGCTGAGGTGGGAAGATCACTTGAGCTCAGGGATGTCAAGACTGCAGTGAGTCATGATAAGGCCACTGCACTCCATCCTGGGCAACAAAGTGAGACCCTTTCTCAAAACAAACAAACAAGCAAGCAAAACCAGAAAACAAAGAATTTTTCTTTTAACTTAAATCAGTGACACCAGATCATGTTTATTCAGGACAATTGTCTTCACCATACTGAGAGATTTCCTTCCTTGGAGACATAATATCTATATGTAGATATAGATATCTATATCTATATCTAGATATATATATATCTTACTCTTCTAGCATTTCCACATTTTACCTAATGAAGTCCTATTACCTTTTCCAATAGAAAATAATAGTGCACAAGACTCTTAAGGACCCATGGAAATATATACTATTAGCAATGTTGGTTTTGGAGCAATTATGTGAATGGCTACACTATCCCATGGCCATGGAATTTATTTGAGGTCACATTGGTTAATTGCTCAATGAAACAGAGGATCATTTTTTGACTGATATGCTGGAGCCCCTGAAAATAATTCAGTAATTACCATCAATTGAGAATCTATATTTTACTTGACCCGGTGATAATACCTTTACACGAAACATCTTATTCAATTCTTGGTAAGGACCATAAGGCTTCTTTTACAGATGTGTAAAATGAAGTTCAAAAAAGTTAAATCATTTGATCAAAGCCTCAATTAGAATCACCGAGGAAGGATTTTAACTTATGTTAGAATCTAGAGCTCGCATAAAGTTTATATACTCACTCTGAACTTTTTGAGGTGAGAGGCCTCTTTAATATATGCTGTTTCTCCAAGAATATAGCATTATGCCTGGTATATATATAATAGTTTCTCAAAAATTCAGGATCAGTTATACTTTTCTATTATGAACTAAATCTAGATTTTTTAATCTGATCTTTTCTCTCAATATTTTTGTATCTTGAAGCAAAAACACAAGGATGTTCCAACCACCCATGGTCAGGCTTCCTCAAAAAAATATTCTCTTCTTGTCTTTTATGGTTTTAAGAATTAATTGTGTTCACATATTCAAAGAAATTAAAAACCAAGAATTTATATATACTATATTTTTTCATTAAACATTTTATTTTTAGATAATTATAGATCTATATGCAATTGTAAGAAAAGGCAAAGAGAGATCCTGTATTAGTCAGAAATCTCCAGAGAAACAGAACCAATGAGATATATAGAGAGATATATAGGAGGAGATTTTTAAATGTGAACTGGCTCACATGATTATGGAGGCTATGAACTTCCACCCTATGCCATCTGCAAGCTGGAGAACTCAGAGAGCCAGTGGTATAATGCAGCCCCACTCTGAAGGCCTAAGAACCAAGAGCTGTGATGTCTGAGGGCAGGAGAAGACTCATGTCCAGTTTTAAAAGATAAAGAGAATTCACCCTTTCTCCTTTTTTTTCTTCTATTCAAGCCCTCAATAAGTTATATGATGGCTACATACATTAGTGAGGGTGGATCTTCTACTCGATCTATTGATTCAAATGACAATCTCTTCAAGAATCACACACACACACACACACACACACACACACACACACAGAGAGAGAGAGAGAGAGAGAGAGAGAGAGAGAGAAATAACTCTTTACCGTCTATCTGTGCATCCCCTACTTCAGTTGTCACATAAAGTTAACCATCAAAGGTCTTATGTTGCCTTTACCCGGTTTCACAATGATAACGTATTGTGAAACTATACTACAGCATCACAGCCAGGATATTGATATTGATATAGTCAAGGTAAAGAACACTACCATCATCATAAGGATCTCTCATGTTGCCCTTTTGTAGCCACTTTCCTCCAGCTCCACCCTCTCCTAAACGTTACCTATGACAACCACTACTCTGTTCTTCAATTCTATAATTTTGTCATTTCAAGAAAGTTATATAAATGGAACCACAAAGTAAATAAGACAAAGTAAGACTTATGCCCGGCATTTTTCCCTTAGTATATTTCTGTAGAGATTTATCTAGGTGATTGTGTGTATTAATAGATCTTTCCAGTTTATTGTTAAGTAGGATTCCATAGAATGATGTACCATAGTTTGTTTAACCATTCACCCACTGAAGGACATTTAAACAGTTTCCAACTTTTGACTATAAATTAAGTTGCTATAAACATTCATTTACACATTTTGAGGTGAATATAAATTTTCATTTCCCTGAGAAAAAAATTCCCAAAAGTTCCATTGCTGGGTTATACAATAGTTGCATTTTTATTTTTTTAATAAACTACCATATTGTTTTTCAGCTGAGGCTGTACCATTTTACATTTCCACCAGCAATGTATGAGTGATCTGATTTCTCTGCATCTCCAGCAGCAATTGCTGTTTTAACTCTTTTATTTTAGCCATTTCAATGGGAATAGTGACATCTCATTGCTTTAATTTGCATTTTTCTAACATCTAAAGATGTAGAACATCTTTTTATGTGCGTATTTGCTATCAACATATCCTATTCAATGGAAATGGCTCTTCATGTCTTTTGCCCATTTTCTAATTGAATCATTTGCTTCTTTTACTGTTGAGTTTTTAAGTTCCTTGTACCATATTTTTATATTTTAAATAGTAATATTTCGTTAAGTATGAAGTTTACAGATTTTTCTTTCTATAGCTTGTCTTTTGATCCTTTTAACTGCATCTTTCACAGAGCAATTTTTTAAAATTTTGATAAATTCTATTGTATTGATTTTTTTTCTTTCATGCATTGTACCTTTAGTAGTATGTCTAAGAACTATTTGTGTAACTTATCCCAAAGATTTTCTCCTGCATTCTTTTATAAAAGTGTTATAAGTCTGCCACCAATTTTGAGTTAATTTTTGTATAAGATGTGAAACTTAGATTTCTGTTCCTTGCTTGGTTGCCCCTTTCCTGATCCTTTGACTAAAGAGAGCAGGCATTTTGGGGACTATTTTTTGTCTGCACTCCCTGGTATTTCCAGGTACCTCTTTTTCAATACCAAGCCTGGACTATATGAGGCATAAAGAAAACACAGCACACTCGCCATTGTTAGAAAAAGCTAAGCTGGACAGTACTTAAAGAGGTGAAGAAAAAAAATTATTCAGGAACTATTGCAATAGGAAAGAAAGAGACCTCAGTATAGAACTGAGCTCAATTCTGGATAAAGCATTGACAAGTGGAGATTTATAGCCAAGGAACAGGGTAGGGGTCAGTGCATGGAAATTACTAAGAGGAAACATCAGGAGTAAGGGGGAGTTCTGGCTAAACCAACTTGCAAGGATTCTTGCTAAGACTGAGTGATGCAGGTCTGGCAAGGGCAGGCCTAATTGAGAAGATGGGTCAGAGGAGCCTGGCTAAACTTTGGTCAAGGAAAGCAACTTAGTCATCAGCATGTCATTTCTTGGGTCTGAGGTCCCTAACTGATCTGCTGATCTGCTTGCTCTTCATATTTCAAAGTCTCCGTCTCTGTCTCTTTCTCTGTTCTCTCTCTATGTGTGTGTGTATGTGAAATATATATAGTACATACACACACATATATAACAGGTTTTTTATAAATGTGAATATTAGGTATATTTATACAGCAAAAACTGCCCTATAAATTTTAAAGAACTATTTGAAAAGATACAGGCTAAATATTTTTAAATAACCTTTACAATAAATTCTTATTAAATTTTTTCCTTTGCTAAAATTATAGAATTAACTGGTTTATTTAGAAAGAGAAAAATGAAAAACAATTAATAGTATAATGCAATCTAAAACAAGTGCCTTCTAATTATTTTAAAGTAATATTATTATACTTTTGTAGTGATTTCTCCTTTTGAGATAATTTTTTAAATAATAAGTTCCTTTTCCTTCAGTTTTAAAAATATTTTCCCTCATACTTATTTGCACCCTCCTATGACTGTGCATTATTTTTTGTGTACCATTTTCTAGTTTGCACGTAAAGTCACTGTTATACTCTGTTGAATAGCTATTATTGCCTTTTGGACTTGCTTCTCAATTTTTTTATTCTCTATTCCTCACTTATAAGGACTCCCTCCTCATGTTTGACCATGCACATTTTATTGAACCACATAATTTTCATGAATATTTTATTTGACCTACAACTGTCAAGAGGATCTTTTCTCTTTTTCATATAATAATGTTTTTCTCTATATCTGACCTTATAACTCCATCGAGAAATTAACATATTAAATGTATTCTTTTATCCTTCTTTATTGAGGCTCAGTTGAATTTTTATCCAACATAGAAAAATGTATTAGCTGTTAAGGTACTATACCTTATTGGAATATTTATTATAAGCAAAGATGTGAAGATATTTTAGGTGTCTAAATATTCCTTCCAGTTTTGTGTTTAATGTTGCTTTCAAGGAACAAATCACTTGAAATTTAAATTTGGATTCAGTGTATGCTGATACTACAGCATTTACATTAGAAGTAAAATCAGAAGCCATCCACATGTTCCTCAACTATGTCTGGTATGGTCAATTGAAAAGGAGCCAATGCAAACGCCCCTTTGATAATTAAAGACATTTTAAAGAACTGCAAAAACCTAAATCACCATCTTTGTTGAATTGTGTAGAATGTTCCACACTTTTTTTCTTTATTTTCATTATTTTTTGTTTGTTGTTTTTAGAGTGGTATACACTTGATTTGTCATTTTTAGAAGTGAACATTCTGCCAGTACCTACTTCCCAAGACTTGTTAAAGTTGGAAACTACAGATGTTCACTTGGGTGGCTTCTCCTCAGTGAACATTTCCCTGATTTGTAGTTAATTCTCTATTCCATTGAGTACTGTGCTACATTTCCCTGTAGATTTGTGCTTGCTTTTTCCAGCTTTTCCACATCTCCACCTCTCAAATGAACTAATCATAACATTACGTTTGGTTGCTTGCATTATTACTGTGTTTAGTTTTTATTTCTATCTAGCTGTTTTAAGGGGATGTTCGTTGTATTTTTTCAGGTAAGATTAGATATTATTCCTGTTTTTGCCTGGATCCGACATCCAGAAAAAGCGTAAAACCTGAAACCAATAAGAAACAAATGATTTTATTCCTTGCTATTTAACTCTTCAAGCATTTTCGTTGGGTTTAAGTACATTGTAAAAATTAATGAGTATTATTAAAAGAGTTAACTATTATGACACTAACTCCAAGGATATGCCAAGTGCATAGTGGGTACTTAAAAATATTCCAATGTACAAAGAAGTAAATAATGAAAAGCGTTAAAGGACATTTGCTTGATATAGTCTGTTAAAATACATAATTCTGACCTAGGAATTCTTTTCTAACATGATGACTTTTTCCCTAAATTATCTGGATAAATGCCTTCATTTTAAAATATGTTTTGTATATGTAAACATAGAATCTTGGAATATTTTCTTTTAATCCAAAGAAACCCGAGGTAAAATGTAGATGAATTAAACCAATTTAAAGCACTAGATAAGAAATACGTGATTTTAGAGAACAATCTCTCTATGGCCTTTGGTAAATAGTTACTTCTGCTTTTTAAAGGTCACAGTCAGAAACACCCAAAGTAAGTGTTGAGGAATATTTATCGTCAGTCCTTATACACACTTGGGCACCATCCAGCATTAAGCAACAGTAATTTCTCATGGATTGGCCAGAATACACTGTATTTAAGTAATTATTTTAATCCAAAAAAGGTATCTTAAAGAGTTAAAATGTTGTAGTTTTCATAACTATTAGATTTTACATTTTGCTAACTACTAATCTGCCAGTCTAAGAGAGGAAGTACCAATTCATACTCCACAGTATGGCTACATAAGCTAGTGAAGCAGGCAAAGAATGGGACTGTAGAAACTGGTGTGGCCCAGAAAGACCAGTCCCCAGTAACTAGTAGTTAATTCTTATCTGAATTGATCGTATGTAAGAATGGAGACCAAAAATCTCCAAATGTTACAATTTTAAGATTTTAAATTTAATAAAAGCCAGAACTTTGGATTTTTATGTGAACCCTCCTTTCCCAGTTTTTAAAGGTTGGCAATTATTTCACAAGCTTTTAAACCCACTGTGATCAAAATAAGCTACAGGAATATGCTAAATACAGGTTAATTTTAACAATATATTAAATTTATATTGAATTTTAAAATGATCATAGGCTAAAAATGGCCTGTTACATTTGGTAAAGTTAAAAGTTATAAGATCTACTTTTAATTAATACATGTTTATGCAATAAAACCCTAAAAAAAGGAAAGCAAAGGAGTAGTGTAGTGAACACAAGGTTATAGAATGGTAATTACACTTGGTAGGGGAAGGAAGGGAATGAATTATTAGTTATTAGTATGGTTTTGCCTTATGGTCTGAATGGAGAGTTACTGGGTGCTATTATGTTATTTAAAATAATCAATTAAATGAAAACTAAATAAATGAGAGCAACACATGAACGTGCAAGGAAAGTATGCCATGAAGCAAGGGCTAAGTTCCATGCATATTAAATCCAGTTTTAAAATATATTAAAACATGCTAAACATATCGACTCTTGGATGTACCAGTGGAAGTAGTCCTGGAACTGCCAATTTGGAACTTCTGTTCTAAGAGAGGAACCCAGCCAGCAAGATGATTATGTGAGTGAGAAGTTGATGCATAAGACAAACAGAAGTTCAACAGAATGACTCAAAAAATGTCACAAAGTAATGTCTGAATAATTACCAAATTAATATAGAGGCAGTTGGCACTAGATTATAAATTAGAAAAATTTCTAGTGGCTTAGAAAGATGCCTGAGTATAAAAACAGTCCTGGTGTACGAGGAGTTTATATATGAAACTTTACAAGGTTGAAATGTCTAGTTGAAGAATGAAGTCACTGGATATTGAAATAGATAAGATGATTGATTAATAAATGGAAATCAATTAAAAATTTCTCTTTATTACCATACCTGTAAATATTTTTTAAAACTTTCTCAATGCATCAGACTGCTGTTAATAATATGAGAACAAATTGACAACATAGAGTTTGAACTTCTTGGATAGAATCAAGAAAAAAAATGTGAGAGAAGCCACTATTCTTTTTCTTCTGAACCGATCACAGCAACTTCTATTTCTCCTTTTTAGACTCAGTGCCATTTCGGTGATATTTGCTAATATCACTGTATTCTGCTCACTGTTCAATAGATCCATGACACAGATTAACTGCCCTGGTTGGATGCAGGATGTATTTTATATCTTCTGTTGTATTGAAAAGTCATTTTAAAATGTCACTCATTACTTCCGCTTAAAATGATGGATTCATACAGTAGAAGACAAGATTAAATTGATTTAGAAGTCCTTATTTATAAGCTAATAACATCATGTTTCTAAAAATATGTTAGATTAAAATAAAAATATGATTTATTTTTATTTTAGACCCATTATTGATTAAAGAATTTGACACGGTGATTAGTATATAGTAAGTACTCAATGAGTAGTCAGTGAACATATGAATTCATGAGTATGTGCTTGGCCTTTAATTGATCCTCTTAACAAGCTGATACAAACCAAAAATCTTTATGGCTAAACAGAAATATATGTGTATGTGCTATTTTTAATAGGATATGTATATAAACACATATACATAGTATCTTCTATAATTCCTTATGCCCATTTTCAAGAAATATTGTTAGATAGGATGGAGGGATTAGTAAGGAAAGGAAGAAGAGGCTACTTAAAATAAAGTAATCCCATCACACATCTAGATTTTAATGCTTATTTTTTATGTTCTATATGGTAAGTACTTTGACATTTTTCTTACCTTGAATGCATTGCTTCTAAGAGCATTTGTCAATAGTATACAATCTCCAAAAAATACATTTTCACATGCAAGTAGGTTAAGATACTAATTTTATGTACTTTCAAAGTTTGATCTTCAAGAAATCAAACAATAACCTAACAGTGATTTTGAGCTCTAAATGTTTCTAAGGAAGATTGACAAAATGAAAGCAAAACAAAAAGAATATGATTTATTTCCAAAATAAGACAAAGTTTTATGAGACATAGTCTTTACTATTCAATTCAAATGTATTCTACTCTAGTATTTATTAGGGGAACATGTCAGTAAAAACTGATTTAAAACTTTATAGAACTATAACTTTCTTATCATTCTTGCATCTCCTAGCTAAAATGAATTTCAATTCCCTTTTTTCTGAGAATTTTGCAACAATTGTTGCCATTCATTAGCTGTGTGTCTTTAGAATATTCACTTAATTTTTCTGAGCCTGGATTTAATGATTTAAAATGTGGGCATAAATAACACTTATCTATGTCATAGGCATGTTGTATAGATTTAGTAAAATGATTCTTGAATAGGTCTTAAGATAATGCCTAACATTTAGAAAATTAATAACACTTTATTATTTCTGATATTTTGATTAGTTCCTTGTCAAGTTTTTATTTATCACTAACTGTACGTAGGTGAATCAACTGAAATGTTCAAGGCTGACAATTGGAAGAGTCTATATCAGCTCTTTTTATAGTTACGACGGAAATCTTTGGAAATCAGGATTGATAACAGTAGAACTGATAGAACTTAACTACCCCACAGCAGTAGTAGGAACCACTCTAATAAAGATAATTTATTTTACCAGATGCTCTCTTCTCTAACTTTATTTTCCCCTCCTTTATTTTTAGATTAAGTGGTACAAAAATTAGCTAGGAATGTCCAACATATGTTAAATAGAACTCCTCTTGTGTGACAGAAATATATTTCCTCATCCTTATCTAGGCTGAAGCATTGGCCTTAATTTTTCAGTGCCATGCCTGCACAGGCTTTAGTTTTTATGCCATGTGATGCTGGCTGTTTTCACCCACATGGCTTTAATGGCACTACAAGTATTTAGGCGTGCAAATTGCAGTAGCAAACATATTTTATAAACATTAAGGGAAGATTTTATGTAATTCATTAAAATACTAACCTATGAATATCAACTTACAGCCCCCAGTAATGTGAGTGAAGCTGTAAAAATGATCTCTCTCATTATGGATAATCCCCAATTTTAAAATGGCATATAAACAATTTCAAAACTCCCGGAAGTGCTCTAAATATTGTAAAATGGATGCGTCATACCAATTTATCTGATGCCTTACTCAATGAGGCTTTAAGTCTCAACCCAATCAAGTCACAAAAATTATTAATCTTTCAAATACAACAAAAAGGTAGCCATCTTTTCTCTTTTTTCAGTATGTTTCCTTTTAAATTACAATTTTGTTAAATCTGATTTTGCTCGCATAACTTCTAGTGATGTTTGTCATATTTTATCTAACGCTGCATAGTTTACATGCACTTATACATTATCCGTAAGGTGTTATACTTTTCCACCTCATAGATGTACCCAGAAAATGCATCTTTCTTTATAATGTTCATTTTTACCCCAATTCGAAGGTTCCTAACAATACTAGGAAGAGACTAGGCTCTTCCAAGTATCAGGAATCTCTGACTTTCCAAATTCCTTAATCTCAAAATTGTCCTACAAAATAGCAGGTATCTATTAAAGGCAAGTAAACTGAGTTACAGAGTAATTTGCTTAAGAGTATATAGCCAATAAGGAGCAGCAATTGGATCAGAATCTAGATTTTCCAAACTTTGATAGACATATCTTTACTGCCTGGTTAACAAAGGACTGTTGACTATGCTGACATCTAAAATGGTCCTGGGATTGTGGACGGTCTCTTTCAAAATTAATTATATTTTGATTTTTGTACTTTCAAATTAAAAATGAAAGTAAGTAGAGAATGGTCAATGACTCAGTACGTTGAAGTTAGATTTGGGTTCAAATTTTGTACAGCTGCTGGTTATCCCTATGACTTTGGAAAGTGATTTGATCAACTGGAGTTTACTCATTTTCCAATGAGATTAAATGAGAGAACTACAGGGCTTAGTTACGCATAATGACTGATACTTAAGCACAATATATAATAGCCACTATTATTGTAAAAATTGAAACATGGGAAAACAAGATTCGATCTCAGCTGTTATTTAGGTTCTATCCCTGGTTCTCCATGTCACTGACTTCTGCATTACCCTAAGCAAATCTTACCTCTAGATATTATTTTTGTCATGTGTTACACAGATATATAAAACCACCGTTATAGAATCCACGTTAAGATAACTGATTCATGGAGAGGTCCTTCCATCCAGAGAATGTTGGGGTCATGGAGATAACTTTGGAATCCCGACCCAGAAATAAAAGGTACAAATGAGGCTGGGAAGAGGTGACAAGGGAGAGCGTGTTAGTTATCCAAAAGACTATGTAGAGATAAAGGGAGCCTGGGGATACTCTTACATCCAGATGTCACAATAACAAAGACAAAGCTCTAGGGTTTAAAAGTTTGGACTATAATTTATCCTCTATCACTAATTTTCTGGGTAGCCTCAAAAAATGTCATTTAACTCCTCTGAGCTTTAATGCTTTATTTGCTCAATGAAGATGTTGAAGTACATGACATGTGACTGTGGTCACCTCAAGCACTAAGGTTCTATATGTCTCTACATTAGATGAGGGCATCCCAAAATATATTCCATTTAACAGTTAAAAATGTTCCCATAGTGAATTGTGCATATGCCTTGTACCATCTAAAATTTCCTAGTAAAAACTCTGAGAATATTAAAACACTGGGAAGTCCATTACAACAAGAAAATTATTAACCATTCAATTCCCAAATCCCATAGCCTCCATGGAATTTGTTTAATACACTTTTATAAATACTGAAATAGACAATATAAAAGCTTTGAAAAGTATGTTTAGGTCAAATATAAGATATTATTATTATCACCATTCTCATTGCTGTACACCACCACCATCAACACCACTCGTCATCAACATCACTATCATCTTACATTTATGAACACAAGTTCTATATGCTGCATTGTGAATTGTGACATGTAAGTTTTTTTCTGGGTTTTCTTTTTTTTTTTTTTTTTTTTTTTTTTTGAGACAGTCTCGCTCTATAGCCCAGGCTGTAATGCACTGGCATGATTTCAGCTCACTGCAACCTCCACCTTGCAGGTTCAAGGGATTCTCATATCTCAGCCTCCTGAGTAGCTGGGATTACAAGTATGTGCCACCATGCCTGGCTAATATTTATATTTTTTGTAGAGACAGGATTTCACTATGTTGTCCCGGCTAGTCTCAAATTTCTGGCCTGAAGTGATCTGCCTGCCTTGGCCTTCCGAAGTGCTGGGAATACAGGCATGAGTCACCATGCCCGCCCAACATGTAAGATTTTTAGAACTCATAGACTAAGATAGCATTTGGAAACTGTATACATACTCACATACCACAAAGATGAATGTTGATCATGAATTTCAATATTAACTCAGTGCGAATGTAGAATTTAAATATTCTTAGATAATGGCAATTGAAATAGAAGGCATATGAGCCATATTTCAGTTAAATTTCATTTCAGTTCTGAATGAGTTTTACTTATTCTATCTTCTCATTTCTTAGAATAATTAATAAAATGATATATGAAAAAAGATTTCTATTCCGTGAATGGAAAGTATATACTGGAGTTGACAGTCTTATAATTTAATAATACATAGGGTTCAAAGCATTGTACATCCATTATTTTATTTTATATTTGTAACAGTCATTTAAAAGTTGGCGTGACAGATATTATTTTATTCATTTTATGCACAAGCACACTAAAAGTAAAAAAGGTTAAATGCCTTCTTCAAGGGTACAGATAATCTTGAATTTTCAATGATACTTAATATTTTTAACTTTATAGCCTATTTTGTTTTGCTATCATTCCCTTCAATTACATTATGTCTGTAATAGGCATCTATCAAAAAAAAAAAAACTGGTTCATGTGAAAGAATGAAGATTTCAAATGAGAGTAGATCAATGTTTCTTGAGTTTATATATATAATATATATCACAGCACACAAAGAAAAATCACTGGGATAGGCCGGGCGCGGTAGCTCACGCCTGTAATCCCAGCACTTTGGGAGGCCGAGGCGGGTGGATCACTAGGTCAGGAGATCGAGACCATCCTGGCTAACACGGTGAAACCTCGTCTCTACTAAAAAATACAAAAAAAAAATTAGCCAGGCGCAGTGGCGGGCGCCTGTAGTCCCAGCTACTCGGGAGGCTGAGGCAGGAGAAAGGCGTGAACCCGGGAGGCGGAGTTGGCAGTGAGCCGAGATCACGCTACTGCACTCCAGCCTGGGCAATAGAGAAAAAAAAAAAAAGGAAGAAAAATCACTGGGATAAATGAACCAGCCTGCTTATGGCTGGTGAGGAATGGCCATGAGAGTGGCAAGAGGTCCATGTCTAACACACCTGAAACCTCTTTGCAACACACCATTGTGTTGCTGCCTATCAGCTGGAAAGCTCTGAAATCCATAAAAAGTTGATTGATTTAACCAAAGATTAGAAGGAAACTCTATCACTGTCATTTTCATAGAGCAGGTTTTATTTTGTATGGCCCATTAAAAAATGCCCTTTATTTAACATACAATCTTAACAGACACTCAAGTCGAATACTCTATTTCAGGATCTGAACTAATCTGGCTTCAAAGAGAACAAAGAAATTCCATATGCAGGAAATAAATGTGCTCACCAGGAGTTTGTTTTGTTTTTTCTCTCTGTTAATGAAGGCCATGTCATTAGTAGTTATTTGTTGTTGATTTTTCATCTACTTTAGAAACCAGTCATTTTTCTCTCTTATTTTTATTTTTTATATTCAAAATTCATAAATTGTTTGAGCCATTGCCACTTACAACTGCTCAGGGATTTTTTAAGTGGAATGGGCAGCAAGCATTTTCTCTAAATTCTTCTCATGACCCTAATCACTTTCTTCTTATTCGTATTATATTTATTTGTATGTATTTCACCTCTTTATCTAGTGGAAGAATCTATGCCTGCTTCAGCGTCAGAGCTCTCAGAGAGCTTACTCTAATATCTTGCATGTAGCATCCTAACTCCATGACCCAAGCCATTCATTTTTGGAACACTTAATTTGGAATTAATTTCCAAAGCCTGTTTGTTGCAGGCTCTGAGAATTAAAACAAATAATAAGAAGAAGATATGGTTTTGTGAGTACCTAATGTAGTGATAAAAACTAAGGTTATATAACAATTTCAACATGTTGCAATAAATGTTAAGATTTAAAATTTTTTAAGCATAATGTATTCACTTGTGGTAGAGAAGGAGCTAGTGAGGAAACATCTCACCAAAGAATAAAATTCTGAAGTTATTCTTGAAGGATTCTTAGATGTTCAGCAAGTACATATGGGGTGATTTCAGGAGTAGGAAGAAGGAGGTTTCTAGCATGTGCCTACCTTCATGATCTAAAAGAGATATAAGAAAATCGAAGCATTTGGAATGATCTGGAGAGGAGATGTTACATCCAAGTAGAATGCAAATTAGGAAATTGGTGGCCGTGTATTACATACTAAAGGTCATAGTATGGTTTTTCCTGTTGCACCCTTGACTTGTACAGATTACATAACTGAATGTGAGCACTGCCTGACATTCTTCATGTTATATAGTAAAAGACCGTATGTAATCTCAATATTCTTCTCTATAATCTTCTAGAAAGGCAATAATAATTGGTATTCTATCTCTAGCTAAGGCAGAGGACATAGAAAAAAAAAGTCAGTGGAATATGCTTTTTTCTTCGTGCATAGAACATGTATGGTTAAATTAAAATAAAATTATTATAAAAGTAATACATGTCTTTTATTGAAATCTCAAATAATAGTAAGTTTAGTAGAGTAAAAATTGAATGCCTTCTTTTACCCACAGCACATCATCCCATGATTCATCCTTTCAGAAGCTACCATTAGAGTTTTGTATGTGAATTTCCAGACCCACTTCTATGCATTTCTAAATGTACATGTTTCTTAACATGATAAATAAAATCTTTATATGTAATGTATTTTCTACAATTTGTTTCTCTTTCACTTAATTATTTGATGTAGACAACATCTTCTACATTATGCATAGGTTTATCTCACTCTTTTTAACCACTTCAAAGTATCTCATAGCTTGGATTTTTTAGAATTTATTTTTAAATCCCCCTTGTCTTAAAATTTTGTGCCAACCTATTAGACTGGCTAAATAGTTTCATTTCACATGGATATAGGAAAGCTGTTTCATGTGCCCAATCATTCTATGGACTTACATTGGGGTTGTCTATTCTATAACACATGCTATTGTTAGAGTCTTTAAAACTGCTCCAAAACAAGAGTTTCTCCCTGGAATGACTACAGTATTACTATACAACTTACTTAGAAGCTAAACTAGCTTCTTAACTTAGAAAGTGCTCTGGGAATATTTGCCTGGGACCCATCACTTTAAGATTTACCTCAATCAGAATTTCCCAACTAACTTCTGTAGAATACTAGTACATCTTAATATGTGTTCAACCCAAAGAAATTCCTTTGTCACATAATAAAATTCTACCTTATTTTCCCTTATATACTCATGGTGCAGTGACTTATATTAAAGACCAGAAAGTTCCTGTAGTAAAGATATTTATTTATCTTTGTTTTTAAGAGGAGCGCTAAGCTCCCTTTTAAATAATAGCTATATTTTATTAAATACTGCTATTCACAGTTTGAAAACCACTGATATAGATGCTTAAATACCTCACAAAATGTCCATTGACATTAAAAATAGCAAACATTGACAAACATCCAAATATCACAAAAATATAGAGCTTGAAATAAAATCAGAAATGTAAGGTTGTTTTAAGGGTTAAATGAGATGATGTGAAGCAATTTACATGGCATCAAGTACATAGCAAGTATTGAAAAAAAGTACTGACTTATGGCCAGGTGTGGTGGCTCACGCCTGTAATCCCAGCACTTTGGGAGGCCGAGGCAGGCAGATCACAAGGTCAGGAGTTTGAGATCAGCCTGGCCAACATGGCAAAGCCCCATCTCTACTATAAATATCTCTACTATAAATAAAAAAAAAAAAATTAGCTGGACATCGTGGTGCATGCCTGTAATCCCACCTACTTGGGAGGCTGAGGCAGGAGAATCACTTGAACCCAGGAGGCAGAGGTTGCAGTGAGCCAAGATCATGCCACTGCACCCCAGCCTGGGTGACAGAGCAAGACTCTGTCTCAAAAAAAAAATAAAAATAAAAAGTACTAATTTATTACTAGTTCCACCTGGTCATCTCATAAATTCATTTATTAATTTGACTCATAAAAAATATTTACCAGTGACCCACTTTGACTTCTTAAAGAGTTTGAATTTAACCCTATGGCATTAAGAAACAACTGGAGATCTCACAACAAGATATGACGTGGTCATACTTGAGTTATAGAAAAATATCTCTTTCTCTCTCTCTCTCAGCAGTATGGAGATTTAATTGACAGAGGAGAGTTATGCTCCCAAAAGGTAAAGTTTAAACCTCAAAAAGATAGTTTCTTGGCCAAGTTATCACAACTTAAAAGCCTTGGAACTCAAACATAATTGACTTTGAATCCAGGCTTCACTGCTCACGACTCTACTGGCTATATTCCTGACTCTTGCTATAAGGAGGCCCAGCACTGTTATTTGACCCTCAATATATCTGTATCTGCAGAACAATAGGCCTTGTTATGTTAGCCATTCACTCCAGTAAGCTAGTAGTCTGCAGCTTTCAAAGTTCTGTAAGTTATGTGCCAGGAATTACCTTAGAGCAAGGGAAATTCAAGTTCAACTTGAATAATACCTTTAGAGTCAACTGGGTAGCCTTGTGTGTGCCCTACAGTTGGTAATACATTGAGAGTTCAGGCCAAGCACATATGCTCATTATTTCTGCTGCTTTGGACTGGTAACTAGTGACAGCATTTGAAAGAACAAAAGCAGCAAGTTCTGTCTGAGAGCCACTTGACCTTTTCAACTCTACTTGACCTCCACTCTGTCCATAGGTCCTAAGTGGAATGAATGTTACTAGGAATATTATTGTCTACAGCAGCATTTTATTTTGAGATTACTGACCAGACACATTTCCACCCAATAGGGTGACCTGTGCTTTGTGTAAAAATGCTGTGTGTAAAGCACAGGGCAACATTGTCACACTGGGTCCACATTTGTATTCTAGACAAGTTGGCAAGTATATGAAATTAATTAGCTAATGTAATCAGCAATTCTGGCTTGAGCTTCAAGTAGCCTTAGAAATTAGTTCTAAACTAGACTTCCAGCACAGGAAAATAAGAAAAATAATATTTGCTCCATAGCTATGGGCATACAATTTCATTTGGAATAGATTCACTTCTGGATGCTTGAATATCCAGTTCTCATCACTGAATTTTTTATCAAAAAATAAACAATAAGTT
The DNA here is from genome assembly GCF_000001405.40 of Homo sapiens. Taxonomy (NCBI): domain Eukaryota; kingdom Metazoa; phylum Chordata; class Mammalia; order Primates; family Hominidae; genus Homo; species Homo sapiens. The sequence goes on from NC_000003.12 coordinate 174,121,708, forward strand.
TTAACTTTCAAGTTCTTATACCTCCGGTAGCTTACACAATGAGAACTATATACCCATATATTAAAGCGTTCATCATTTAACTTACATAGGATTTTATGGGGACAAAATCGTAAACTAGAATATACTACCAGAACATATGTTTCTAATTTCTTTACTTTGTAGAGCTGAGCCTACATGAGCATATAAATATGAGAAACTGAACTCACTATTCTTGCACTTGTCATTTTCTTCTGTAAATCAAGCAGACTTTTCTGCCTCTAATTTACACCCACGCTCTCCTCCATCTATTCTTTTACTTCATATATGTGGAAAATTTTTCCGTCTTTCCTAAGTAAAGACTTCTCTTTCTGCTCTTTGAAATTCCTTCTCCTTTGGACTGGCTTTCAGTCATACTGTCTTAACATACCCTGTAGAGTTTTTATAAAAATAGATAATAGGAAAAATGAGTAAACGTATTTCCCAAGCCCAATCATATTGCCCATTTTCGATCTCTGTAAAAACATAGTAAGTTGTTCAATGCCATCCGCATCTCATTATTTTCCCCCGTATAGCAGATAACCTCTTTGAGATCAACATTTTTTCACATAAAGTTTTAACCCATTTGGAAGACTGGTTTTCTGCATGTTATCTAAGAGGCTGAGCATGAAGGAAAGGCTTAATAACCATAAAATAAAAATGGCAGGGTCATACAAAGGAACTGTAACATTGCTGCACACTTTCTTGCTTTAACTGAAAGACAGGTTATGTCCTCTGCTAGCTGAAAATCCACCAGGATCCCTTAGTCTTTTATTATCTTCTACCTAGAGGGGGAGATTATTTTTTTCCACCTCTCTGATGACATTTTCAAAATAATTCTTGTTCTGTAATAACCTCTTCAGGGAGAAGGAAAAAATGCAGTTGACGCAGCCTCATGATCATCATGTGGCAAATTTGCCCTTCAGATTTAACAATGACGTTGTTTTTAAGCCAAAGCCCAGAGCTAGACCTCTCAAAGAAAAGATCATTTGCTCTGGTTTTTCCCTCACATGGAAAATCATTTCCTACCCTTGCTTAATTTATGGGTTTTTAATTACAGAGAGAAGATGAATTTTTTTTTTCTCATTCTTAGATCCACTATACCTATCTATGCCGATGTTTTTGGTTGTCAGACATGTACAAAGTCAATTTGTTTCAGCAGCATGCTATTTGTTAATAAAAATAAAATGTAATAATAAATAAATTAATAAATAAAAATTTCCTCTTTAAAATGAGACAAGGAGAAAGCTTTTTTAAGATAGCAAGCATATGTGCAAATATCAGCTGATATATGAACATATCTTGGAACCACCAAGAAGAGGATGTCAAATGCTATCAGTTATGCATTTAGGTAGAAGACAAGTGAAATGTGAAACCATGGATGCTTAATTTAAGGTAAATTCACCTACCACGAGATTTCTGGCATAGACTCCAACTCATCAAGATTCATAATTGAGAATCCCAAAGCAAAGAGCAGAGAGCCATTTGCATGCAGGTTTTGGAGATGAAAACCAGTGACAAAGGCAGAAAAATTAATGGCCACCAGAGTAGCAGAACATTGGGATTTGTTGCTGGTGAATTACAAAAGAGACAGCCGAGAGCCCATGCATCGTCTGTGGTTGTCAAAGATTTCTGCCTGGGAGTTCATCAATGTTGAGTCTGTAGTCAAGAGGCTGTTTTTGTTGTTGTTTTGTTTACCTTTTGTTTTGTTTACAATTCTGCCTTGGGGTTTCTTCCCTGGTTTGGAAACATTCCCTTCACAGTCCCCCATTCTCATAGAATTCTTTCTATCCTCTTGCTTCATAGAGTCATAAATACATATTTTTTTCTTCCAAGCAGTCATAGTGTATTATCTTTCTGTGGAAGTCTCTTAGAATGATTACTCCCTTTCATATATTCCCGCTTCCATTACTGAAGCTCTTGCTTCCATGCCTCATACACTGGTGAATATCATAGCCGGCACCCATTTAATCTATTCTGCCTATAGGTGCCATATTAATCTTCCTGTGAAACTGTAGTGGTCATGCTTTAAAGCTCAAGAATCTGCAGTTATTTCTAAGGCTTCCTTCACTAATCAACACATCTGTTCAGCTTTTAGAACCTCTTATTAATATATCCTATGTACTTCAACTGCCTGCTCCTCCAGATACGTTGATGCATTTCAAGTCTTGTATATCATCATAAACCATTGTGCTGTGGTCTGAATTGTGTTCTCTCAAATATGTATGTTGAAGCCCTAACCTCCAGTGTGACTCTATCTAGAGGTAGGGTCTTTAGGAGATAATTAAGATTAAATGGGGTCATAAGGGCGGGGCCTTACTCTAGTAGGATGGTGGCCTTTTAAGAAGGGGAAGAAAGAGAGATCCCTTTCTGTGAGAATGTTCCCATCTACAAGCCAGAAAGAGAGACCTCAGAAGGAACCAAATGTCCGGCATTTTAATCTTAAACTTCCCAGCCTCTAGAACTGTGTGAAAATAATTTTTGTTGTTTAAGCTACCCAGTCTATGGTGTTTGCTATGACAGCTCAAGCTGACTACTATACATTGTCACTGGTATCATTGTTACTGCTCTGTTAATAGCTACCATTTATTGAACATAAATCCACTGAATATTCCTCCATTCAAAGATATTTCTTGAGCACCTGTTTTGTACAAGCCTGATACTAATTTATGGGAATACATTGGCACTGATAAATAAAATCACCATAGTCCCTGTTCTATGGGAGAGATTAAAATGAAACAAATATATTATAGATTATGTATATACACATATATGTGTATATATATAAGTATATATACATATGTACTTACTTATATACATATACTTATATATATACGTATATATACGTATACACATATATACGTATATATACGTATACATATATACGTATATATACGTATACACATATACGTATATATATAAGTACATACTTATATATATGTATATGTGTATATACATATATAAGTATACACTTATAGTATATACTTATATATTTATACGTATATGTGTATATACATATATTACACACGTATATAAAATATGTATGTATATTATGAATGAGCTAAATGCTGGGATGAAGAAACACAGAATTTTATGGGAGCATGTAACAAAAGGACCAAATTTAGCACGGAGGTTCCTGGAATCTTTTCTGAGAAAGTTTAAGCTAACACTTGAAATTTGACTGTGAATTGACCAGGCAACATTAGAAGGGCCAGCAGATTGAAAGAGCCTGACTCAGGTGCAGGCTTGGGACACTTGAAGAATGTAAAAAATGCTAGTCTAGCTGCAGAATATTGAGAGTGCATGGAGAATGGCATGAGATGGAGTTGGAGGAATATTCAAGTGCCAGATTATAAGGTAGCATTTTAGGCAAAGGTTGAGGTTTTTTATTTGTATTCTAAGAGCAATGAAAAGCCATTCTAAGAGCAATGAAAAGGCTTAAAGTTTAGATATGATCTTAATAGATTTTCAGATTTGAAAAGACTTTTTGATGACTCTGTGTAGGATGATCTAGGTGAAGAAAAAGAAAGTAAGACTCATTTAATATTTTAGCCTATAGGCCATATTGGCTTACACTAGGTTGCAGCAGGGGAAGATAAAAAGTTGAGGTTTGATTTAAAATATATTTAAGAGGAAGTCATAAAAAGATTTCATGATTGACTGTATATGAGCACAAGGAGGTGAAGATTATCAAAAATGATCCCTAGATGTGTGGGCTGAACAACTAGCCAGATGGTGGTGCTGTTTACAAAGCTAGAGGGAAGTAAAGGAGAAGGAGTTTAGGTGGGGGAGCTGTGTGATACAGGGAGTTCAGGTGTGGACATACTCTTCTTAGGATACTGGTAAGATGGTCAAATGGAGATACTGAATAGGCTGCTGCATATTCCAGTTCGGAACTCAAAGAGAGGTCAAAGTCTGAAATATTGCCTAGTGAGTTGGCAGAATATACATGCACATGTCATGGTTGTACATGAGATTGTATACAGAGAAAGTATACGGTGATAAAAGAAGCAGATAAAACTTGGCACTGAGTCCCAAAAGAAACCAAGAGTATTCAAGAGATAGGAAGAAAACTTTTAAGATTGTAGCATCCCAGGCCACAAGGAGTGAGGAATATTTCCAGAGAGTAGTCGTCGGTCACTTTGTCAGAAACTACTATGCGGTTAAGTCATAAAAAGAAGAAAATAGCTGTTAACTTTAACAACACAGAGCTTCTACTTTAGGGCAGACATCATGCAAGACCTTTTACATCTAACTTTTAGTCTCACAGTGCAATAAGTAATATTGTCATGTTGCAGATGAAGAAATGAGCATCTGAGTGCAAGGTCACACATTGAGAAGGAGTGGAGGCAAATCTGTGTTCACCCGGGCATGATGCTGGAAAGAAGAAGCCTTATACTCTGTCACTGCCACTAGAGCCTTCACCTTTCCCTTTCTTGAACTGGATTTGCTGTATTGTCACTGTTTCTTTGTTTGTTTGTTTGTTTGGGCTTTAAAATCAAGGCCACAGAACTAGTTTCTGTTTATTTTCTTATTGCTTTATGTGTGGTAGCCCTGTCTCTCCCATTAGATTTATGAGTTCACTGAGGGCAAGCACCAGACCATAGTGTAGAGGAAAGAAAATATACTTTGCAACCTGACAGACCTGGGTCATAGTTTAAAAATTATAATGTCCATGAAGTGTCTAGAGGAGTGACAGGTACAGATGATCCAAGTGTTGAATGGATGTGACTTTTATTATTTCTGTATATTCCTTCCAACCAAGTGCACTGCAGAGAGTAAGATTAAATATTTATGTAACTTAATTGTTAGGATACCATGTGTGGTAATAAATTCTTCCTCAGTTAATTGTTCCCATCATTATTGTTAATATAGTTTAGGAGTCAATTCACTCTCCATATCAAAACTTGCCTTAACCTGGGACTGAGAAGAGAATATAAAATAAGATACTGTGCCTTTCCTTAAACCTGTGCAAATGCCATATTGGAAAACTAGACCCTTGAAAATCACCAACTACTGGAGGACAACTTCTGTGATTTTTCTAAGCTGCCTTTTCCATGTACCTAATCTAGCACCAGATACATGGTATTTACACAATACTTACTAAAAATAAATAAATAAATTTGTTGTTAATGAAGAGGAGATTTCTTGGCTCCCAAAGACATTAGAAGCTTTTTTTCTGAACTACAAAATGTCATGTGCTAGCATGGCATGCTAACTTCTTAACTATTGCTCTAAACTCTATTGGTAAGATAGATAGTTAGATACAGTTTATACACTTGCACAGTAGGGTATATCTCACCATTTTTTCCAAAAATGTCATGGGGATAATATGATTTTATAGGTTATGTTTGACACCAAAAGAAGCTAAAAATGTTTCCTAGACTGAAGCTGAGGCTTAATAAATATTTTTACCATCATGACTCATCAAGCTTAATATCTTGGAATACTGTGTGAGAAATCTTATCTAAACAGTTTAATCATGCCCAAGTGTGTGGTAGTTTGATAAGATCAAGTAATGTAGATATTTAGAAACTTCTAAATTATCTGTATTCCTCTCCTTTCAACCTTTACTAGTAGAGTGGAACCATGTGATCCAAGGGTGTGGTTATTTTCTATTATTTAAGCATTGTAAGGACATAATATTTTAAAGCCACTTGATTCTATGTTATCCTGTTGTTATTTTCTGGCAGATTTTTTACTCGTAATAGCTAATTCTTTTGACATAGTAACAATAGCCCCTGCATTTTTTGCATCAGGTGTAGGGCTCTGAAATAGTAATACTCCCTCCTTCTTCCCATATTCCTGCCAAACTCGTCTCTTCAACATTCTTAAATGTGTCGGTCATACTACCTTCACCTGAAATGTCACCCTCCCCATGCATCCTGCTGTAGAAACTCCTCTCCTGTCAAGGTTCAGTTCCAATACTAACCCTTCAAAAAAGGTACACGTAGCAGGTACTTAATAGAGGCTTGAGTTGAGTGTAATAACAGCTGGCAATTTTCTTCCCAACTTTATCCTTCATGTATTATTTGAAATGCAATAAGTTGGGTCCATTTAAGGTCTCTTTCTAGAATTTGGGTGCACACTGAAAGTATATTCCAGGCATCACAAACACAAATGTTTATAGGGACAAGGCAGTTAAAATAAATTAGTATAGTGAGCCTGGTTGTCTGAATATAATATAGGGGTGGTGGGGGCTATGATAAAACTAAAGTACAAAAAGCTGTGTACAGAAGCGGCTTCTGCTAGTTCTAGCTGATTTTTGCCACTTTGTTCTGTCATTTTCTCAATGTGTACAAAAGTGCCCATCTCTCAATGAGAATTTGTTGAATGAGTCACTGAATGAATGACTTAATGCTAAATGAGAAACCATTGCTACGAAACCTCCTAATTTTCCAATACATAAGAGGAATATGAAATTTTTATTGGAAACACTCTCAATTTTTAATTTTGATAGTCCCCTAAAACAAAAGGTCTTTTTTGACCAAATAGATTCACACGCTAAGCTTAGCCTGAGAGCCAGCAGGAATGCTACCTATCCTACATTCATTTTTAAGAGGTAATTCATTTCTAATAACTTTGTAAAGGTGTAATAATTTAAATTTGACTTCCAGCTTCCCTCCAGCTGGAGTCATGAAAAATAGTAAAATAATAATAGAAAAGATAATATGTGGGATAGATAAGAATTAAATTTTAACGTTTTCTGAAATATTTTCATTTGGATCCTTACTTGATCCTTACAACGGCTCAGTTGAATGGAAAGAAAGTAGCTTTCGCCTCCATTTTACTGCCTTTGAATATATCCAGTCTCTTTACTGCTGTTCTGATTGAATGGCGATTATTTACTGACCCATTTTAAAAGCAGCCCCAAAGTCCATGTAGTTCTCATCTTTGTACATTTAGTCCAAGTGACTGACCTTAGACAACCCATAGTGAGGGTGCTTTTACCTTCTCAGTTGGTAGCTTGTAACTTGTCCATTTCGGGACAAGCTATTTCAGTGGGCTTCATAAAGGAGACACCTGCCTGGACATTCAGGAAGGCTGGGTTCTTTAGATATGGTGCTGCATAAAGCAACCCGAAAAGAACATCATAAAGCCTGTCCTGATTATCAATCACCCTCCTCACTGCTTCATCTGGAAAATGTGTCTGCCTGCCAAATACAGCAGGCCCAGGAAATCAAAATAGAAATGGGAAACAAAGGAAATTAGAGAGAGAAATTTCTCATCAGAATGCATCCTTGTCCTGTGGAGAGCAGAACGTTGCATCTGTTTGGGTCATTACCTGGACATTATAGGTAACAAGCTTCAATTAAAACATGTCCAAACATGTATGGTTAGCCTGTTGTCAAATCTGGAGATAAGAGCCCTAACACAAGCAGATAAGTAGCGTATAAAAGCCTTGTCTTGCCACTCCTTACCAAACCCTCATTTGGTTTCAGAAATATCAGTCGGCTAGGGAAAGTTTTTATCCTCTACATTCAAGACTTAGAAGTGTTGAGGCCCAAACGATCAATTTTTTGGCTCATAATTTAAAGAGGTAAAAATCTCGTTTTGTATGGCATAGATGAATAAATGTGATTCAACTCACCACCTGTTGCTATATCTATCTCCCCCCACCCCCGGTTTACAACACACACACACACACACACACACACACACACACACACACACACACTCATTCATTCATTCTACAGTATCTAGGAAAAACATATGAAGTGGAGCTGAAAAAATTTACAATCACAATCTATGTTTATTTTTAGGAAAAGCTCAGAATTTTTCAAAGTTCACTAAAGGTGAATTTATTAGTCAAAGTACGTACGACATTTGGGTTAAGATGGGGTTGTTAGATTTTTTTGAGGGCGTTGACTTTTTCAAAATTGTACTGGTTAGACTTTAGCTATGCTGCTGAGGGGGATACCCCAGCCAGTGAAACAGTATAGCTTTATCTTTAAGCCTAGGGCTGGGAATTAAGTCCTTATCATTGTATATGTGAAGGGAAATTTGTATTTAATAATGTTTTTTAAAGTATGCAAAGTTAAAGTAATTAATGTGCCTTATAAAATAAGATACCTAAATGTAAGTAAAAGAGGTTGCAGTGGGTCCTAAGTATAATTTTTCACCCTCTGATCTAACACATTTGTCACTGAAAGTTCATGTGTAATTTTCAAATGAACAATATCTTTACATTTACTACTGATAAGACGACGTTGTTCATTGAATCCAAACTTCTCTTGTAACCATTAGGATCTGTAAGAGCCTGTCTGTTGCTAGTTTGCAGAATGCAGCTGCAGACCACACTAGGAAAGAGACTGAACTTCAGGGCAGGGAGCAGATAGCACTATCCTGAGATCAAATCACTGTATAGAAGGCCGGGCATGGTGGCCCTCGCCTGTAATCCCAGCCCTTTGGGAGGCCAAGGCAGGTGGAGCACCTGAGGTCAGGAGTTCGAGACCAGCCTGGCCAACAAGGAAACCCCGTCTCTACTAAAAATATAAAAAATTAGCTGGGTGTGGTGGCAGGCACCTGTAATCCCAGCTACTCGGGAGGCTGAGGCAGGAGTGTCACTTGAACCTGGGAGGCAGAGGTTGCAGTGAGCCGAGATCGCGCCGTTGCACTCCAGCCTGGGTAACAGGAGTGAAATTCCGTCTCAAAAAATAAAAAATAAACATCACTGTATAGTAGATCGCCCTCACCCCATGCCTCCAAACCTTGGTCCAGTTTCCAAAACAAAATTTGTTCCTTGCCTGACAGCTCTAAGTCCTCGAGAATCTAAATGGGCTGGGTGTAATATAATGAAAGAAAGGAATAAAGGCATTCATCCCTTTATTCACTCCACAGAGTTTTAAGGACCTATGATATATCAGGCAATATGGTATGCAGGAGACACAAATCACAAACAGATGAACTTTTTGGGAGATGATGGCCAGGAGAGAAAATGGCAAAGGTGTAGCAGGTGACGCAGACAACAAGAATAAAAGCAAAGGGACAGAATTGTTCATTGGGAGAGTTACACTCATTAATGACGGAAGAATGAGTAGAGTATAAAGGGGAGGGAAATGAGAGAAGAGGATGAAAAGTGGGGTCTAAAATTTGATTTTTATACTGAAAGTTAAGAGCATGTAGATCATTCTTCAGTTAATGGCAGAAACTACTTGCTAGCAATTGTGTACTGCACTGTCTGCCATTCAGTTCCTGCCAAATACTCACAGTGACAATAAAAAAAATTGTCACAGGGATATAAACTTTTTTCTGTGAAAGATCCTCATGTGATTCTTACTCATCATACCCCTTTCCTGAGAAGAGAAAAAATAGTGTAATGAATGTATCAATTATCTATTTATTAAATTTCATCTCTCTAGTAAGCCAGGTTACCCGGAAGTCCTAAAGCATCATTACACACTTTAATTCCTCATGCAGATACTATGATGCCCTTGCCTTTCTCCAAGGCTAATGTACGAAATACATGGAAAATGAGATTAATAATTATAGTATTAATAGCAATAATAAGTAACATACCTATTATTTTATCTGACAATAATAGACTTTTTATGTATGCACTACTCTGTTAATAAGTGTATTGTCCATAACATTGTCCAAAATGATTTGTATAAACGTTTTCACACATAGTCCTTAGTTCCCTGTGTTCTTCTATTAGCCATAAGAAAGCTACATAACCACGATGTTTCTCTCTTTATTGTGGATGATGAGAAGCCCAGAGCTGAGTTCTGATTCACATGGTGGCCACAAAGTTTTTTCTACATTAAACTCTCTGAACTTCAGTTTTCTTGTTTGGAAAATGAACCTTATAATGATAATATTAATAGCAATAATAAGTAAGTCACCCATTATGTTATATGAAGATAATATACTTTTTAAAAAACTTTAATATAAACAGTGTAGTGTGTGATTATATATGTCTGTTTAAGTAAACTATAATCTATTCCTTAGCATTGAAGGACTCAAATCAGGACACTACCTTTCAGGGTGGCTACATGAGCTATTCAAATACTATTAGTGAAATTACACCAGAAAGCTTGCCAATTAGCTCAAAAGATATTAGAAATCTATATGGTAAAATGACAAGTGTTTAAAATTTGTCAATGGCTAGAAAGGTTGTATTGATTTCACTGCTCTTTCTTAAATGAGGCACTAGAATATAAAATCTCAACAGGTTCATACTTTCAGAAAAGTGTTCACAGTCTGGATGCCTATTTGGTACCATGTGTCTCATTTCATGGCCTGCAGCTCAAACACTGGCTGGCTTCACCTTGTTTCATCTGCCTTGGATATAACAGAAAAGGAATTTCCATTCATAGTTGTTATTCTTCAAGAGTTCTGAGGACAGAAGGTGTGTGTTCCCTTGAATATACAAGGAGACAATTTATGAGAATATTTGTGTCTGCTTACTAATCAACCTTTATAAAAATGAGAGTTTGCTCTAAGACTTGCTTTCACTTTAACATAATACTTGGCAGCCTGGAGAAGTATAGAACTCCACATGCTTCTGATTACTAAAGGCTAAAGATATTTACAAAACAACTAGACAGTTGAGGGTAATGTCATCTCAGAAGATTAAATAAAATAGCCAAAACCTTTCCATAAATATTTGACATCCTGATTGCATTTGCAAACCCATCTCCGAAAGGTAGGATATTGAAATTTTTTCTTTCATGTTTCTTTTCTTTTAATAGGATATTGAAAATTTTTCCTTCATGTTTCTTTTCTTTTAAGACTGCTTCAGAAAAAAATCAGTTTGAATACTCTTGTAAGTCTGGCCCTGTCTTGAGGGATTTATGGATTTTTTCAGTCTGTTTATAACCTCCTGTAAAGCTTCTGAAACCTTTTGGATTAATCATCAATAAACATTTACTAAGCACTTCCCAGAGTTCAAGGTACTCGACTAGTCACGTGGGCTTAAGAGTGTTCAAGGTAGACTCAGTCACTGCCTCAGGAGTCAGCAAAATGATTCTGTTCTTTATCCAGTAATGAGATTATTTTATATGATCGCAACAAGGACATTCAATCCAACAAATGATTGAGTATGTCCCAGATATAAGACTCAGTGCTCTCCAAGGGAGTGAAAGAGATTGCATAAAGGGCATCCGAATTAAAAGAGCCATGGAGAATGTTTACCAAGCGAGTAACCCAAGGATCTACTAGGGTCACTCTGTCCTTTGGCCAGTGACAAATTAGGCTTAACCACTAATCCATGATTTCTGGACAATCCAACACCCTCCCCAAAGTTGCTGTGAAATCTTGAGTGTCATTGATTCCACCTCAGCCTCTTCTAACCTACTGCCAGTAAACTAAAAATGATCAGTTATAGATCATCTCTCTATAGTGCCTTTTGGTTCTTGTTCCTTCTATGTCCATTTAGCCTCACTCCTTGATTTTTGTGTGAAAACACAAGGATATTTGGCACTTATTAGACTTTCCTGAGTGGTCATTTGGTCAGTAACATTACAGTGTGTAGGAAGGGGAGAAATGTAAAACCAAAGAAAAAGTAACCAAGAAGTTAAAACCTTCACATGCCATTCATTCCTTCGTAGAAGTCTCCAGATCCTAACCTGTTTTCTTGTCTTGAGCCTCACTTGGAAAATATCTTCTAATCTTTGACATCTAAATCTCCAATCATCTTTCAGAAAAAACTCCTCCCATTTAATCTTTCCTTCGGGATCCATTCCTCTTTTTCCCAACAGTGTAAGTCTGGAGTCTAAGAAATTCAGTATTAATTAACGCCTGGGTTACCAGCCAGTCAATCTTTGGAGGTATTTTGTTCTTTAAATCAGATACAATTTTGGCTTTTGTTGGGAAGGGGGTAGACAGTATGATGACAAGGAGGTTGAGGATGAGAAAGAGGCTTTGACAATCCGAGTTACGCAAATAGTACAAGGTAGGTCAGAGCTCCTTGTCTAGTTTCCTTGAAGGTCTTCTCTCCATAAGAGCTGAAGATCTTAGTTATTCCTCTGACTGTAAGAGCAAACTCGCACACTTCCCAAAGACAAGCAGTAAGTTTTTGGAGGCAGATTGTCGGAAGTCCCATAAGATAAAACCTTTGCCTAGCTCCCTTCTTAATTAGCAAGATTATCTTTCTCACAATGGAGTATTTCTTATCATACAAAACAAGATGTGCTTTTTCTTTATCTCTCCCCCACCACACCCCACAAAACACACACACACACACACACACACACACACACATATTTTTTACTTGAGCCTTTTTAAGATTTAGAAGCAGACCTGAATAAGTTATTCTAATACCTGGACAAAGCTTTAAAGCCACTGCTAATAAGATTTTAGACTGTTAATAAGTTCATAGGCAAGGTCTTCCTCCTCCTCAGCTTTAATCTTGAAGGTGAAGGAAAAAGACAAATTATATTTTATTGTACCCACAAAACGAAAAGAAACAGTTGCGATTAAAGGACAGAAATAGGAGAATTACTGACTTAAGTAAACATTAAGAAAAGAATCAAAAGGATCATTTTAGAAAATGGCAGATGGGAAAGCCAGTTTGCAAAACATTAAGGAGTGACTGGCTGCCGGGGAATTGGTGAGGTTAAAAACCAACAGCGCTTTTGTGAGATCTTAGGGTGAAACTGAGAGAGAAATGGAAAAGCAGCATGACCCATCTTATTTGGTTATCAATTCAACACTTTCATGTACATGAAGCAATTTATTTAGCCAAAACATTAAATAAATCATCTGGGGGAGCTTTATAATTTAAATTATATCTGCATTTAACACATTACGGATGAAAAAAAGTCTGTGTTTCTTTCCAAATCTGAATGAGATATACTGTCCCCTTCCAGACTTTATACTGAAGGACTAAGAAACCAGTCTCATGGTGGGTGCCCAAAATGACATTACATGAAGAGGCTGAAGCATGTGAAGTAGTGAGAGAAACTTGATTCTTCTTGGTATTTCTACATAGCCCCCCAAAAGCCTGCAACTTCAAGATAAATGACTTGAAGCTGGATAGTGTGGACCCTGGCAATTCTGAGGAAACTCTCGTATGCCACCAGGAAAGTAAGGACTGGATCAATTTCTCATACACAGTTAAATGCGACCTGACCAGTGGAGACACAAGTGGGTGCCCAGGTAAAAGCAGAGGCGAAGGTCTAATTCCATATTCCCAGATATCCAGCAAATTTTTGGAAGCATATGCAAGAAAGATTAAGGCTGTGCCTTTCTACTGTATTCCTGGAGGAGCTGGCACCCTGTCTGATATTTATGCTTCCTTTTCAGAAACAATTGTAGGTACTTCTGACATAGAAAAAAACCCCGCAATTTAGTGTTCTGCCAAAGTTCTGAGATTATTAAAACCATTTTCCTAATGTCTTTATTATAATACCTATCATTCTGATCATCCCACGTGTAACACTATTGTTTCTTAAGATTTCTAATGCATCTTAATCAGACATTTGGTATCCTAAATTAACCATTATTGAGGCAATTTCATGGAGGTTGTATTTCTCAGAATCTTTATTTTAAATAGTTTATTAGGTAAATGTCTGAAAATACTGAGCAAACTGATAAGGTAAAAAACATTTGTTTTTATTTTTTGACAAATGAAATTGTAAGTAGTTAGCTAGAACATACGATAGAATTGTTTTTGGTTACATCCTAATGATAGGCAGAGGACATAAAGGTGTAACATGTTTCAAGGTAAACAGTTAAATATGCTCGAAAGGGAGCAGTAGTTGTCTAGAGAATATGTGGCTTAAAGCAAATATTTTTCTAACCCTCGAGAGATGTTAATGATTCCTATTAATAACACAGATAAATCTTTGAAATAACAAGCTTTTTTATTCACTCTAGTTTTTAGTAAATGGGTTTGAAGTGCTAACAGTTTTGACTTTTAAAAGAATATTTGGTTATTTCCAGATCTTCTGTGTAACAGAATTTACATATTTACAGTAGTTGAAATATGACCTAATAGAATACCAGGGAATACAGGATCCAGTGCTGGAATCGTCACTGTGGTCATTTGATACTTAGTTTAACTAAAATAAAAATTGAATTTTATATACTGCTATGTACGTGAGACAAAATTTACCGATCAAGAACTATCTTGACTAAGTAATTCCTTATTATTTTAAGCTAGTACTTTTAGGAAAAGCCATTTTTAAGATTCAGACCCAGATCAAATCTGGTGAAATAATAAAATGGGAACTATTATTACTGTAGCATTGAAAATTGAGATTCAATAAGTAAAAAGTGACTACTATTTGCAGGCCGCTGTTATTAAATTTTAAAATTCTACCTCTCGCTTCTTCTTTCTGCCTGAACATGGCTTAATTTATCTTCTAATATGTTTAAAGCCATGCATGCTTGTGGAGGGCTTTGATCTTTGCTTCCTCTGGAAATAATTTTGAAATTGCAAGATTGGAACAGTCCTCAATTTCTGAACATCTGCAGCAGGATACAATAGATATAGGTTACAAAAGATGTTTGTAAGTTCCAAAAATACATATCTGATATATTGGTGGAATGTTCACATTAATATTAAGAACAGGAAAATAAAAGGCACATAGCAATACATACTATTGGGTGTTTGTTACCCCCACTTTCAGATACTGTAGGAAATAACTACATTTGAATAAATACTTCAGCCTGTTTCCATGACCCTATCCCTAAACTGATACGCTTCAGTATTATTAAATTGGGACTTAGGTCATTGTTTTGTGAGGTCACAAAGCCATATAAGATATAGGAGAAAATTGACACTTACTGGGTGGGCAGAGCAACATTGTTTTGACAGTGAAAATTACCAATTTATAATTTTTTAAGAAAAGCATGCCTAGCACAGACCACCTGATTACCAAGAGGAAGCTGAAGAGGAGATTCTACTAGAGGTAAGGAAGAGATATTGTTTTCTTGACTCTGTTCATTAGGTTCAGGGTAAGCAACTCTATTTACCAAGAATAAGCTAGCTCTCTTTCATTTGAAAATATGTCTGCCCAGGTAGGCCTGCAGACATAACAATGTTAAAAACAGGTAGCTTTATTGCAGCACTTATCAGTACCTTGACTATTCAAAGGTGTTAATATGCCAGGTTTCCCAAAGTAATTAATTTTTATCTTACAGAATATTTGTTCCATTTACATAGTTTGGGAAACACAGCCATAAATGTTACAGATGCTCCTTGACTAATGATGGGGTTGCATTTCAATAATGCCATCATAAGTTGAAAATACCGTAAATGGAAAGTGCATTTAATACATCTAACCTACCAAACATAGCTTAGCCTAGCCTATCTTAAGCATGTTCAAAACACTTACATTAGTCTACAGAGGCAAAATCATCTAACAAAAAGCCTATATATATGATAAGGTGTTGAATATCTCATGTAATTTATTGACTACCGTGCTGAAAGTGAAAAACAGAATGGTTATAAGGACACTCACCATTAACATTCGCAGTTGAAACCACCATTGCAAAGTTGAAAAATCATAAGTGGAACCATCCTAAATTGAGGACTGTCTGTATTTTCTTGGATATTTCCTGAAATATGTTTCTATGTGTTTCCATCTAATAGAAAATGGAATATACCAGCAAGCAAAATGTCTAAATATTTATTTCAACCCCTGCGTGGTTTCCTAAGGCTGTTTAAACCTTAAATTCTAATATTAGGATTGGATATGACATAATTTTATAGTAAAGATTGGTTTAGAAGTCACTAATCTAGGTTTTAATCTAGACTCTACCTAATTAACTAGCCATATGACCTTGGAAAACTAATGTCAACCTTCTGAACCTTAGTTTTTCATCTTTTATATGAGAGCACTAAAATCTACTTTGGCAAACTTGCTGGATTGTTGGAAATCTCAAATAAGGTCATGGTACTGAAACAATTTTAAAAACTCTCACATCAAGGGATTATTTTTATGCTCTACCAGAAATTATATGTGTCATTTAATGCCTGAGGATAAGAAAAGACTGTAAATATGCATAATGAATCAAGACAGCCATATTAATTTTGATATGTCTTTGTGGGAAAATACCTATAGTTCTATATTATTTTATCTGTTTTACATGTGGGAAAACATAAATCTGAAAAGGAAAATCATTACTTCTGGTCTTATTAGGTAGAAAGGGGCATTACTATCTATTCCAGCTCCTGATTTCTGGGAATAAACAAAAACAGACTTTATTTGCACATATGGTGCCTAAACTGTTCTAGAAATCATTTATCTGGTAACATTTGGCAAAGTGTCACTCTACTTGTTAACATCATTAGCATAGAAGAAATTGATCACTCCAATTGCTCTGCTAATCCATTTGACTCGAAGTTAGAAATGACACTATTTTCTAGCAATTCTGTTTGTTATTCTATAAGCATCATTCCAAACATTTGGAGGCTTCAAGTCCCCTAATATAATGTTTTAGATGAACTGTTAAAAACTTGGCATTGGGGTAAATAAATAGTTTAATAGCACGTTTGGTCTCAAAGGAATTTACCCGCATACTATATATATAGCAGTTATTTGAAATTTGGCATAGAAATTTAGTTCCCAATGTTTAAGGTCTCTTGGTAAGTCAATTCAAGTTATCAGAAAAAAATGTTGGTTGCCACAATGTATGCAAATTATTTTCAATAATGTTGTTTTTACCCTCTCAAGCCTTCATTTTAGTTGTAATTTAGAATATAATTGAATTATTTTGTTATAATTTACTCTACATTCACTAGTACTGCTTTCTACTATTCTTTTTTTTTTTTTTTTTGTGAGACAGAATGTCGCTCCGTCGCCGAGGCTGGAGTGTAGTGGCGCCATCTCTGCACACTACAAGCTCCGCCTCCCAGGTTCACGCCATTCTCCTGCCTCAGCCTCCCAAATAGCTGGGACGACAGGCCCCCGCCACCACGCCCGGCTAATTTTTTGTATTTTTAGTAGAGATGGGGTTTCACCGTGTTAGCCAGGATGGTCTTGATCTCCTGACCTCGTGATCCGCCCGCCTCGGCCTCCCAAAGTGCTGGGATTACAGGTGTGAGCCACCACAAACAGCTTCTACTATTCTTAAGATTTAGTTCTTTATGCACAGCTGCATAATTCTAGGTGTTTTTACAAGATATTGAGTATATTGCTTTACTTATCAATCTTTATTTCCTCATTTTTGGCTCTTTGCAAAATGGGAAAAAAAAGGGAAAAGGTGGTGCTGAAGGTAAAAAAATTAAATTATCTGGTTTAATTAAGTTCAGGCAGTAAACTTAAAACTTCTTTAAATTTAAACTTAATTCTCTGGTTGTTTTATAATCATGGCTAAAGAATATAGAAGCCAAACATACTTTTAATACCCAGTTACAAAATATTTTGTAGTAAAATTAAAATCTATGTTGTACTAAAACTAAGTATATTGCACATCTTGCACAAGTGATGATAATTGACACATCTTTATCACTCAGAGTCCCTGGTGTACCTTAGGGTTCATTCTCGGTGTTGTACGTTCTGTGGGTTTGGACAAATATATATTGACATATGTACACCATTGTAGTATCATACAGAATAGTTTCACCGTCCTAAAAATCTGTTGTATCTGCCTATTTCTACCTTCCTCCTAATCCCTGGCAATCACTGACCTTTTTACTGTCTCCGTAGTTTGGGGATTTTTCCAGGAAGACATATAATTGGAATCACACGATACATAGCTTTTTCTGATTGTCATATTTAACTTAGTGATATGCATTTAAGTTTCCTCCATGTCTTTTTATGGCTTGATAGCTTATTTTTTTTTTAGCACTGAATAATATTCCCTTGTCTGGATGCATCACAGTTGATTTATCCATTCTTCTACTGAAGGACATCTTGCTTACTTCCAAGTTTTGGCAATTATGAATAAAGATACTATATCTCAGTGCAGGTTTTCGTGTGGACCTAGGTTTCCAACTCCTTTGGATAAATAAAAAGGGGAAAAATGCTGGATTGTATGGTAAGAGTATGTTTAGTTTGGTAAGAAACGCCAAAATGTCTCCTAAAGTGGTGGTACCATTTTGCATTCCCACCAGCAATAAAAGAGGGTTCCTGTTGTTTCACATCCTCAACAGCATGTGATGTTGTCAGTGTTCTGGATTTTGGCCATTCTAATAGATATGTAGAAATACCTTATTGTGGTTTTACTTAGCAATTCCCTAATCTTTTCATATGCTTACTTACCATTTGAACATCTTCTTTAGTGAGGTGTCTATTTAAGTCTTTTGTTCATTTTAAAATCATGTTGCTCATTTTCTTACTGTTGAGCTTTGAAAGTTCTTTGTATATTTTAGATAACAGTTATTTATCAGATGTGTCATTTGCAAATATTTCTCTCAGTCTGTGGCTTATCTTGTTCTTCTCTTTACCAGATGCTTTTCTTCTGTTGAAATATTAGCTGTACTTTTAGGGGGATTTGCTATATATTATTTATTTAACACCTTTAAAAACATTTGTAATATTAGACAAGCAAAATTTTATTATAAGGCTTTAAACATAGAGTTCATCTGTGATTTTTTTTGCCAGATAAATTTATATACTAGCTTGAATATTTCTAGAACAGTTTCTAAATTTGTTTTAGATGTGTTCATTACCTAGAGTTAGGTTTTAGTAGATATCTTTTAACATATTCATTATTTATTTCATGCAGAACTTGAGTTAGATAAATTAATCTTTATTCTTAAAGTTTCATAGTTTGGGTAAATGGTAGTAATATTTATTGAGCATATATTATTTGCTGGATGTATTTTAAGTATTTTATATGAATTATTTTATTCAGTCCTCAAAACCCTAGGAGACAGGGAATATTATTTTCATCCCCATTTTATGGATGAGGAAATGAGGCAAAAAGAAAGTAAATTTCTGAATGTCATACAACCCATACATGAGTGGAAGAGTAGTGTCCAAATCCAAGCAATATGGTTCAGCAATGGGCTTAGCCATTACTCCACGTTACTATATGTCATCTTCCACCTTCTGGAACATTAAAATTCTTGAATTGCTCTTGGTTGACAATATCCTCTTTAGTTTTCCATGTCATGGATTATTTTTTAAAAATCAGTGATTTTTACAAAGATTAAATTTTGAAGAAGGAGCTGGGTGAAAGTTATCATTTCAATTAGGCTATTCTTTTATTAAGTGTTCACAAATTTTATAGCCAAAAGTTGAATAATTTTGTATAACTCTATGATTGGGAAAAATTATATTAGTTAATGACTCAATTTTGGGAATTGATGTTAGAAATTTATTTTTAATCTCTATATTAAAGTATTATCATTTGTTATTTCTAGAATAGTTAAAAGCCAAATAGTGCAATTTCAGTTAAAGGAAAATTTTAAAATGCTTATGTTAAATGTTGTTTAATGGCTTCTTAGCTCATCTTATAATTGTTACACTTCACTTAACATTTTTCTGGTTTTCTTTAGTAATTAAGTACTTCAGGCTTTTCCATGCCATTTAAGTAATAGTTTTTACACTGTTTTATATTAAGAAATTAACAAGAAAAAGACTTTTTTTTAAAATGCAAGCAAATCATTTTTCAGGCAGTTAACAGGAATAGGATTATATCCTTCAGGAAATTTATAAGTAATTTTCCTATCCAGTAATAAAATAAATGAGAGGAGGTTGCTGAAGTGTTTCCTAATCTTTCATCTTGTCACATTAGGATTCATTTAAATGCCAAAATTCAAAATGTCTCATGTGAAGAAGAAAAAAAATCGCACATGTCAATGACCAAATATACAAGGAAGAACAGTGGGTGCATGTATGGGAAATTTGGTTTGATAAGAAAATGGTTTCATTCACTGAACATACAATGTTGAACAAATGTAATTGAAATCTAAGATACTTAAGGAAAAGATCCATATGTACCTGAAAATGTCTTCCTCATAGTACTCTGGAGCTATATTTGTAATAAATATCTGCTGGTGGTTCATTAAGTCAACAAATATGTTTAGTACCTACTAATTGCTAGAGAGTCTCCTATCCTGAGCTCTCAACCACAGAAGCCACGTGCCAGCTTTGTGAAGCCTGCAGTCTGCTAGAGAAGTGGGGAGAGATGAACAATAAATAGATCAGCATTAAATTAATAAGGTCATTTCAGGTAATTGTAAGTTATGAGAAAATAAAACAGGATATGATACAGAAGGACTAATGGTTTATATTTTAGTTTTTAAATTAAATGTTAAACACATGAAAAATGTTATTATTTGATACTACATTTATATTATTTATTTCATGTGTATATCACATATATAAAACCAAAACACACGGCTTCTTAAAATCTAGTGAAGAAATCAAACATTTAAATCCCCTATGTACCCTTCTAATCTCAACTTTCCCCCTACCCTCACCTCTAGAAGTTGCCACCATTTTTACTTTTGTGTTTATCACTTGCTTAGTTTCCCTAATTATTTTACCACATATACCTGTACCTAAATATATAGTATCATTTTGTATGTTTAATATATTGTATAAATGAAAGCATACTCTTGTTTAATAACTGCCTTTTGAGGGTCTACATTTTGTTTTAGACATTCATCTATGTTGATGCATATTCATTTGTTTTTCAATACTAGGCATAATAATTCACTATATGAATTCATCAGAGTGTATTTATCCATTCTTTCTTGATTGGCATTTAGTTTGCTTCCAGATTGTTTGTTTTTCTCTTTAATTGCCATTACAGCTGATGCAGCTCTGATCCTTTTTGATCACACTTTTGACCTGATACATATGTATAAGTCGTTCTCAATGGGTATGTGCCTAGGTGTAGTTTCTGAGTTAAAAGGTATGTTAGTACAAATTTTCTAAATAAATTTTCTGGTTTGTTTCAAGCAGCAGTACTGATTTACAGTAGAAATGTGAACTTAGAAGCAGAATGCTCTCCACAGAGAATACAAGCAAAGGCCCTGAGGTAGAATGAGCTTGGCGTATTCTAGGAAGAGAAAGAAAGACAAAGAACTAAAACATAGCAAGACATCTAAAAGCCAAAAAAAGGGTTAAATCAGGGCATTATAGGACATTTGAAATAGGAATCAGGATGAAGAACATATAATTTTATG
Organism: Homo sapiens; assembly: GCF_000001405.40. NCBI lineage: Eukaryota > Metazoa > Chordata > Mammalia > Primates > Hominidae > Homo > Homo sapiens. Next base: position 174,142,757 of record NC_000003.12, read on the forward strand.
CACAACACTAAATTATTGGTACAAAGACATATGCATTTATATTATATGCGTGTTCTTGCACTGCTATAAAGAAATACCTGAGGCTGGATAATTTATAAAGAAAAGAGGTTTATTTGGCTCACAGTTTTGCAGGCTGTACAGGAGGCATGGTGATTGCATCTGCTTCTGGTGAGGCCTCAGGAAACTTACAATCATGGTGGCAGGCAACAGGAAGCCAGCATGTCACATGGCAAGAGAAGGAGCAAGACAGAGAACGAGGAGGTCTCAGACTGTTTGAAACAATGAGATCTCATGTGAACTAATTCAGTGAGAACTCACTCATCACCACAGGGATGGTGCTAAACCATTCGTGAGGGATCCACTCCATCAATCCAATCACCTCCCACCAGGCCCCACCTCCAATACTGGGAATCACAATCCCAGAGAATAGGAGAGGACATCCAAACCATATCAATCAGTAATATTATTTATATTAAATAGTACATAAATACTGTTTAATAAGGAATTTATGGGCTACTGCAGATTTTATAGAGCAGGAAGACAAGTGAAGCCACTGTTAGCCACAGGGAAAGTTTTATTTAAGAACTTCATTCAAGTTATGAAACCAAAGTGAAGAGAATGACAGAAACCAAAGATGCTATGATTATTATTTGGTCGTAACTTTACAATTATCACCTCGACAAAGGGCATATCTGGTCTCCCTCAAGATGTCGCCTTTCATAATCTCTGTATTCCAAGTGGAATCAGTAATTGCATAGCCTGAGCAGCAGTTTTTGTGCTAAAAAGCAGCCAGCAAAAAAGACTTCTATTACATGAAAGCTTAGCCTTCTATATTTACTTCAGTTTGACTTTATGACTTGCTGATGGAGATTTGGTGGGGGGGTATACAGCATCTCCCCACAATGCACTCTTTGGCAAAACCACAGAGAAATAGTCTATGTATAAAATTACGGTCAGTCACTTCAACCTTCAATGTGTTTATTTTCTTCCATCAGACACAAGTTTAGGATTGGTTAACAAATTCTTCATAGCAGGAATTAATTACTGAATAAACAACATCTATGAAGCTGAATAATGCAATGTTGCTTGATTAATTAGTGTACCAATTTTTTTTAATTTTAGACTTAGATGCTTTCTTGCATTCTTGTTTCAATTGATAGTTTTTTTATTATTATTATACTTTAAGCTCTGGGATACATGTACAGAGCATGCAGGTTTGTTACATAGGTATACACGTGACATGGTGGTTTGCTGCACCCATCAACCCATCATCTACATTAAGTATTTCTCCTAATGCTATCCTCCCCTAGCCTCCCACCCTCTGACATGCCACAGTGTGTGATGTTCCCCTCCCTGTGTCCATGTGTTCTCATTGTTCAACTCCTACTTATGAGTGAGAACATGCAGTGTTTGGTTTTCTGTTCCTGTGTTAGTTTGCTGAGAATGATGGTTTCCAGCTTCATCCATGTCCCTGCAAACAACATGAACTCATCCTTTTTTATGGCTGCATAGTATTCCATGGTGTATATGTGCCACATTTTCTTTATCCAGTCTATCATTGATGGGCATTTGGGTTGGTTTCAAGTCTTTGCTATTGTGAATCATGCTGCAATAAACATACATGTGCATGTGTCTTTATAGTAGAATGATTTATAATCCTTTGGGTATATACCCAGTAATGGGATTGCTGGGTCAAATGGTATTTCTGGTTCTAGATCCTTGAGGAATCACCACACTGTCTTCCACAACGGCTGAACTAATTTACACTCCCACCAACAGTGTAAAAGCATTCCTATTTCTCCACATCCTCTCCAGCATCCTTTGTTTCCTGACTTTTTAATGATCGCCATTCTAGCTGGTGTGAGATGGTATCTCATTGTGGTTTTGATTTGCATTTCTCTAATGACCAGTGATGATGAGCTTTTTTTCATATGTTTGTTGGCCACATAAATATCTTCTTTTGAGAAGTGTCTGTTCATATCCTTTGCCCACTTTTTGATGGGGTCTTGTAAATTGGTTTAAGTTCCTTGTAGATTCTGGATATTAGCCCTTTGTCAGATGGATAGATTGCAAAAATTTTCTCACATTATGTAGGTGGCTGTTCACTCTAATGATAGTTTCTTTTGCTGTGCAGAAGCTCTTTAGTTTAATTAGATCCCATTTGTCAATTTTGGCCTTTGTTGCTATTGCTTTTGGTGTTTTATTCATGAAGTCTTTGCCCATGCCTATGTCCTGAATGATATTGCCTAGGTTTTTTTCTAGGGTTTTTATGGTTTTAGGTCTTACATTTAAGTCTTTAATTCATCTTGAGTTAATTTTTGTATAAGGTGTAAGGAAGGGGTCCAGTTTTAGTTTTCTGCATATGGCTAGCCAGTTTTCCCAACACCACTTATTAAATAGGGAATCCTTTCCCCATTGCTTGTTTTTGTTACCTATTTTGTATTTACAGAAATAAGATGTTTAAGATAAGACAGACGGTCAGGAACAGTGTCTCACGCCTGTAATCACAGCACTTTGAGAGGCAGAGGTGGGTGGATCATGATGTCAAGAGACCGAGACCATCCTGGCCAACATGATGAAAACCCTTCTCTACTAAAAATACAAAAATTAGCTGGGCTTGGTGGCGCGCACCTGTAGTTCCAGTTACTCAGAAGGCTGAGGCAGGAGAATTGCTTGAATCCGGGAAGCAGGGGTTCCGGTGAGCCAAGATGGCGCCACTGCACTCCAGCCTGGTGACAGAGTGAGACTTCATCTCAAAAAAAAGAAAAAGAAAAAAAACAGATAAAATAGACAAAATAGTTAAACAAAAAGGCATTGAAAAACATATATTACACCTGCTTTTTAAAAATGAATCATCATTCTTGTCTTTGACATTGCTACTTGCATTTTGCAGCACATTTGATTGTATTCCAATAGAATTCTCCTTTTTAAAAGACTAGATAATGCTCTGAAAGTCTAGGACATGGCTATCATTCTTGATTAGTAAAATTATAATACATTTTAATAATTTTATGCACTGTAAGGCTAACGGTGCATATATTTTAAAAGTTGTTTAAATCTAAACTTCACTTTTACCTAAAATATCAACAAAACTTAATTAAATATTACAAACTCCAATAGGAGGGAGCAATGTGCCATAGTGCAGTAGTTTAAAACTCTTTTGACCAAATTTCTGTTAGAAAAAACTATTTTACATCATGACTAGTGTGTGTGCACACACTTGTGCCTGCTCACACGCATTCACAAACCTTGTAACTGCATCAAAAGTTTAAGAATCAAAATTTACTATTAATATATGCATGTACCTTAATATAACCTATTAATCTATTCTACTCTTTTCCTTCCTTCCTTCCTTCCTTCCTTCCTTCCTTCCTTCCTTCCTTCCTTCCTTCCTTCCTCTCTCCCTCCCTCCCTTCCTCTTTCTTTCCTTCTATTCTTTTACACTTCTGAAGTGGTTAAGAATGTTACTCGGATATACAAGACATATGTATAGCAAATCATCATGTTGTACACTTTGAGTATATACAATTGTTGTCTATCAAATATTTTAAGATTTTTAAAGAAGCATTGTTAGGCAAGTTGTTTTATCTCTAGGTGTAAAATGAAAATAGCAATAGCACACACAATATGATTTTTGTGAGGTTAAATAAGATAAAGTATATAATCAGCACAATTTATAACCACTAATAACTGCTCAATAAATGTTAATGATCAGCAAACGTGTTTTTAGTTTTAATTTTAAAGAAAAGCAAATTATTTTAAATGTTTAAAGATCATTCAAATAAAATTCTTTATAAAATATCTGACATGAATCTTTTTTTTTTTTTTTAGACGGAGTTTTGCTCTTGTTGCCCAGGCTGGAGTTCAGTGTCGCGATCTTGGCTCACTGCAACCTCCGCCTCCCGGGTCAAAGCGATTCTCCTGCCTCAGCCTCCCGAGTAGCTGGGATTACAGGCACCCGCCACTGCGCCGGGCTAATTTTTGTATTTTTAGTAGAGACGGGGTTTCACCATCTTGGCCAGGCTGGTCTCAAACTCCTGACCTCAGGGCATCCACCCGCCTCTGCCTGCCAAAGTGCTGGGATTACAGGCGTGAGCCACTGCGCCGGGCTGACATGAATCTTAATTACAAAGTAGACCTTTAAAAATAATTTGTAATATATAGTATACCATTCTTCTTAGTAGTGTTTACATAAAACAGGTTTAAGAGAAGAAAATTCCGTTCATAAAAGTTATACTTGAACAAGAATGTAAAACATCTTTTGAAGCAGAATGGAAAACTTTTGTTCAAGATGGTTTATCGGTATGTAGATACCCAGTGAATCCCTGATAGCTGAGATTGGCCTCCCCCGTCATCCCCAGTTATAGAAAAAGCATTCTAGTTACGGCCGGTATTTTTTGTTAATGCCAAACCACAGCTAAGCCTAGATTACCCAGGTGAACTAGGGTTTGTGTAAGGATGTCATAGGTAGCGTCTGTAAAAGTTCCCGGCTCCAGGAGACCAATGAAAGTGAGGCTACCTGGAGTCAGAGCGCACGGGCCCCACCTACAGGTCTACCGAACAAGAGCAAATTGTTGCTACGCGGTGTAGGTCCATTGTTGCCAGTGCTTCTGATCTTGCAAAGGGGAATGAAAATCTGAATTTTTGTGTAATGGCTCATGGCTTTTTTTTTTTTTTTTTTTTTTTTTTTTTTTGAGACAGAGTTTTGCTCTTTTTGCTCAGGCTGGAGTGCAAAAGAGCGATCTCGGCTCACTGCAACCTCCACTTCCTGGGTTCAAGTGATTATCCTGGCTCAGCCTCCCAAGTAGCTGGGATTACAGGCGGCTGCCACCACGCCCGGCTAATTTCTTTATATTTTTAGTAGAGACAGGGTTTCACATTTTTAAATTCTGGAAAGTAATTTTTGAAAATTAAAAACCGTGTGGGCCAAGCAAAACACATTGCTCACTGGATCTGGCCGAAAACGTGCTAGTTTAAAACCTGTGATATAATTCAGCCTAAAGATTCACACCTGCTGAAATCAGAGGAAGAAAGGGTGTGGGAATTAATTAGATTATTGTGAATAAGAGTTTCTTAATATATTTGGAAAGACCTCCACTTCAAACACTGCATATGAATAATACATGATAATGACATGAATATTATTATACTTTAAACATAAATGAACTACCACATTAAAATAGCTTCTAAATCCTCCTCTTGTTCTTAGTTGCAGAACAAATTTGCATGCCCCAATTACCAACATTCTGGTGTGCATTTTGCAGAAGAACACTTCTACAAAAGAATGTGTGTCATTCAGTGAAGAACATGGCATAACAGTTTCAAGCTACTAAACTGAACAATGAATTAACTTTCTCAGTGACAAACATGAGCTGTTCTCCAATTTGATTAAGGAGTATGGGTATTTTCCCATTTGTAGATGTTGCACTGTTTTTCTGGTTTAAAAGAAAAGAGGTCCTTAGAAAAATGTGTTACTTGTGAATGTGTTAGGTTTCTGTTCAGTTTTAGTAGCTTAGATTACACGTAAAAGGGGACACAATATGTCCTAGATAATACAATCCTACAGAAGTCATACATTTCCCAGAAGAAATGATAGGGTGTTAAGTAATTACAACTCTATGGTAAGTACATCTCCACTTTAAAAGTGCTTAAATAAATATAAATATACATTCCCCTCTGCTAATTTAGAAATACATACCAAATTGCCATAACCCTATAGCTACACTTGCATTTTTTCTCTTTCCTACTCTCTTGCCTATCTTTAAATCTGTTTTCAGTAACATATAATTAATACTCAGCAGCATAACCCAATTTACTAGCACTTAATCGTCTCCTCCTAATTAAGTATATAAATCTGTTTAATAAATACATCATATACACTTTTGCATGGGTTAGAAGAAACTTTACTTGCTCTAAATCTAAATAGAATTATTAAATAGAAATCAAAAATAGTTGGCCATTAAGGCTCTATAATAACTATTTGTGTGATTTCTTTCCTTCATATTATTCATCAAATGTTTACTTAGCATTTACTGTGTCCCTGGCCCTAGTATGTGCATGATACAGTGGTAAAGTAAAGCATTTATTACTTGTACTCCACATTTCCACAATTATATTATTCTGCTATTGCAGGCCTTCCACAGGCATACCAAATGAAGTACAAGGTATTGCAGTGTGTCATTCAAAACCTGTTAACAATAGGACACATTTTTTTCTTACATTATTTCCTACTCCTCTTTTATGTGTGCTAATGTTCTGGTCACATCTGATTATGTTATCAATTAGGATACTTTGATTTGCAAAACATGGTGAACAAGGAAGTTCTTAGTGGGTAGAAAAGAAGTTCCTAAGGCAAAACTTCATCCAACAGGCATGACTTCATTAAGCTCTCATACATTTACATTTAGTGAGGAGAAAAAACTTTCAGAGTAGCATTAAACCCACCTTTGATGTCCCCCAAGGTTTCATTGGCCAGAATTGAATCACACAGTCATAACTAGCCAGCACTGTGGAGTAAGCTAACAATACTATCTACCAAAAATTCTTACTGTAACCCAAACCTAGCCATTTCTCATCTCCACCTCCCTCCATGGCATTCCTTTGAAATGCTTTCTTCTTCTGACTTCTGCATGTGTTAAAATTCTACATTTCAGCAGCCCACTTTTTCCCAAAGCTTTAATATTTCTCTGCTTCACAAAGAAAAGTGACTTCAGCATTCTGTACACTTAATCTGTCCCTATCTTCTCTAATGTTTATGCTTTGTTCAATAGTTGTTAGCATGATTTTCTTTATTTCATATCAAATTATAAACATCCTTGAATGTAAGGGCAGCTAGGTTCTTATTATTTATGGCCTTTAAAACTATCACCACTTTATGAAAATAATGTAGCCATTAAAGAAATATTGATAAATTTAATAAAACTCTAAAATGTTAACCCAAAGATCTCTAAAAATATTTGAAGTGATTTACAAGATATGATAGATAATAATAACACAGTAGAGACTAAAGAAAAGAAAATTGAGTAGCATAGAAAACCTGGATAAGCACATCACTGAGGTTGGGTATTAAATTGGTTTGAGAGCTTTTGAATAACTAGGTGAAAAAAAGGAAAACAAGCTGGATTAAACAGATGTTGCATTCTGGTAAAGTGTGACTTAAAAAGTCATATTTTCCTGTAAAGAAACTCAAGATGTGTATATTCAATACATGGATAAATTACACCACTTATTGATTCATAATCTCCAACATTTTACTACTTTTCCCTGAAAGAATCTTAAAAACATTATTTGTCCCTGTCCTTATACGCTATAATTGGAAATTAGCAAACCAGTCACAGTGTAGTTACCACTGTAGAAGTTGCCATTGCACAGCTAGTAACATGGACAATATATAGCTATTCAATAGAAACTTAGTTATTTCTCTAAAATATCAGAAATATGACCACATAGTGGGCATTATTAATATTTTAAGTGTAAATATATACTGGCACCTACAAAAAATAATTCTGCATCCTCTCTTTTCTGTATCAAAGTTAATGTATTTCAGAAAAGTTGTTACAAAACCACAAATATTTCTAGTGCAGGGTTTCTCAACTTCAGCATTATTGACATGTTGTGACAAATAAATTATATGTTGTGGGGGACTCTCTTGTGCACTGTAGGATGTTTAATAGCATTACTGATCTCTGCACCTTCTCAGTTGTAACAAACAAAAATGTCCCTAGGCGTTGCCAAATGAATCCTATAGAGTAAAATTGCCCCTATTTGAGAACCACTGTCCTAGAGCCAACCCTACCTTCCTAGAATTACATTTGGACCTGCAGTTAAGCCCAAATTAAGAAAGTTACACAGCATAATCGAATAAGAAACCATATGAATACTGAAGTCTCTTATCTGATCATTGCTGCAGCTATCATTAAAGGTCATACCCATTATCTAGCAGAGATTCAAAAGGTAAATATTAGGAAGAAATGATAAATCACTACTTCTATTTGGAGCAGGAAGTACAGGGATGGAGAGTAGAAAGCCGTAATGTTGGAGAATACAGTGGCATAGGAAAACATTAAATAATCAAAGATTAAGTTATTGATAATAAACATTCCTAAACAAAAATTAGTCCTGTAGCATGCTGGTCATTGTAGTACAATAATTACATCAACTACGTCCTCTCAAACTAGCCATACTCTATCTAGCAGGCCATTTGTCTTAATAGCATTTTTCTCATTGTGGACACCCTCCTCTGCCTTTGAATTATCTGGTTCATAGACTTTTTTTTTCCCCCAAGTCTGAAACATCTCTACAGCTCACATAATCCCCTCTTTCTCTTCTATATAAATGTGTATACCTAACAGAGTAGAGCTGCGATATCATATATTGATGAGTGGTGTCTTTTACACATAGAAAGCCAAAAAAAAAATACTCCTTCACTTTGAAACATTGGATTATATAAAATTAGTTAATTCCTCACTTACCCTCACTTTTACAAGCTTAATAACATGTTTTTGTATAGTACCTTATAAAAAAGATGTTTATTAGTGAAAAGGTTGCTATCTGTTGATGAATTGATCAATCTGTATTTGTTAATAGTCATAATTTTTACTTTCTACCTTCATTATCTCCTAATTTCATCAGAGTATTTGAAATAGTTGCTGTAATATTGAATATGCTGATTATGTGCATGATGTTTAAAATTTCTTCTGACATCTTTGCCATAATATGGGCTTGCATTTCTCTGAAATGTTGAATTGTCCTGAGGCCTCTAAATTAGAATGTATTTATCTTTTTTAATAAAGTTCTAATAAAAACGTATGACAGACAGATTAAGTTTCTATGAATCTCTAGAATGTTTGTTCTTTGTAAACCTTTACATAGCCTTCTGAAAACTTGCACAGCTTGATACAGATTTACTCAGATCATTGTGTTATGTTGATGGGTTTCCTTTGTGTAACCTAGTTCTACAAAGTTTTCTGCATTAAGCGCTGAGTGACTGATCTAGAACAAATGTGCTGCCTGAATCACTTGAGTATTAAATGAGACACAGATATTCCTAAAGTCTTCGAAAGAGTTCCTCTTTTGCTCTTCGACTGATTTCCACACTACAGATGGACAAAAAAAATTATTTTAAAACTCCATTTCTGAGTTAAAAGTTTGCTGAGAAAAAAATATATATACCATGAACTTCCATATACCAATTTTTGAACCTCATAATGTGAATAGAAAAAAATAACTGTTAGAGAAAGAATACAGATACCAAAACACCTTTGCGTATCTGTTCTAATATCAGAACATTATGAAAAGGCCTTACATTCAAAAGTTTTCATCCAGAACAAGTCTGATATTTGTCTTCTTCTGAATTTCAAAATATAATGGTGAGAAATAAAAATCATTAACTAAAACTTTAGATTTGAAGAGAAGTAGAGCTAAACTTTTCATCTAGAATTATCTCAAATGTACCACATAATATTCAAATAGGAAAAAAGTTTATGTCTATATCTATATGTCTATCCTTCTATATATATGTCTATCCTTCTATATACATAAATATATCATCTAAACCATATTTAGTGTATTTTAGATTCTTCACAAGGAAAAACAAACAGATGTTCTTAATGTCAAAGAAATATTTAAAGATTTAAAAATACAAAAAAACAAACACCGCATGTTCTCACTCATAGGTGGGAATTGAACAATGAGAACATTTGGACACAGGCAGGGGAACATCACACACCAGGGCGTGTTGTGGGGTCAGGGGAGCGGGGAGGGATAGCATTAGGAGATATACCTGATGTAAATGATGAGTTAATGGGTGCAGCACACCAACATGGCACATGTATACATATGTAACAAACCTGCACGCTGTGCACATGTACCCTAGAACTTAAAGTATAATAAAAATATATATATAAAATAAAAAAATTAATAGTACTTTGCTTATTAAACATATTAGGTTTAAAGGACATATCATTTAGGCTGACACATAGTATTCATTGAGCATCAAGTGAGTCCTATAATGTTATGTGGAAACATTTTTTATTTAATCTCCAACTAAGAAAACCAGATACTTAATATAACACGATAATCCTAAACCATCCACATCTGTCATCTATTATCTGTTCAGCACCTAGTATGATGACTTTTTAAAGTTTATCAAATCATTTTATTCATCTACTTAAAAGTCTTTACTATCTTTTCATGCACTTAGAATAAAATGTACATTCCTTGCCTGTCTCTTCTAAATTCTGATCTAGCCCTTGCCTACCTTTCTGACTTTACTTCCTGCCTCCCATCTCCATCACTATGCTTTGCAGACATAAAATACCAGTTCAGGTCCTCTACATGGGAAACCAGCCTCTTTTATTGACTGATTTCATAGGCTTCAAATCTTAGTTCAAATGGCACTTCTTGAAGAGGCTTAGCTATAATATGTCACTCCCTTATTCGACTTTTCCTCAACACTTCATAGAATTTACCACAATTTATAATATTGATAAATTGTGACAGTTGCATTCATTGGACAATGCTCAGTATGATGATTATACTAATGTAAGCAAGGTAACATTTCAAGGACAATGTTAAACTCAATTTTCCTTAGGTTTGAAACAAACGTGAAGGTGGACATGATATTCACTTTCCCACATACATTTAAAATACCTATAGGTATAGACAGATGTAGAATTTTGCTTACAGAGAAAATTGCAGTGAATATATCATATTGTCTGTCCAGAGGTCTTGAGCATTATCTTGGTTTCTAACATCAACCCTACAACTTAATAATCACATTTGTATATATACTTATGTTTTCATGATTTTAAAACAGGAAACATCTTTGAAATGTTTATGATTCTATTGAATTTAAATTGAGTTAAAGTTGGCTCATAATTAAAATCACAATATGTTATAGTATAACTTTTTTTCAAAAATCAGCTACATATTGAGCTCTGAAGATTCTGAAATTGGCCAGTTACAGTGGCTCACATCCATAATCCCAGAAATTTGGGAGGCCACAGTGGGAGGAGCGCCTAAGCCCAGGAGTTTGAGATCAGCCTGGGAAACATAATGAGACCTTGTCTCTACAAAAATTTTTTTTAAGCCAAACATGGTGGTACATGCCTGTGCTTTGAGTGAATTCAGCTGAATTTCTCTCCTTTGACTTAGTTGCTATTTTTCCAAACACTAGCCAATTCAAAATGGCTGTGAATTTCTCTATTTGTGTATTTTATTGTCTTTGGCATTCACAAAAGAGTGAACCACAATGTAACCAAAATAAAATGTAACTGTGATTCACTTCCATATGTGGTTAATGGCCCATGGCAAAATTTTGATGATAATTCATCTTTATTGAATTATATTAGGTTATTATGGAATCAGGAAGACATCTAGAACTATCATCATTCTTTAAGAATAGCATTTTTTTCTTCTCAAAGTTGACGTCAGCAGAAGGCATCCTGGACAGAAAATGAATCACCAAAGAGTTTATGCTTCATTTTATAAAGAACTTCAATACCAGATTTTTAAAAATAAATTTTATTATTTAGGGTGATAGTATAAATATACTTTTAAGTGCTGTAATGGAAAAAATAAGATTGCATTTCCGTGGAAGAGAGTGACAATATTTCCCATTTAATCTAGGGCTCCCTGTTCTCAAATAAATTGTTCCGTAGGTGACACAAAGTAAGTGATTTGGTCCTTTCTACACAAGATTTTTCACATCAAGTTTTTATGAAGGAATATTACTACAAGGAATTTTACTGAACCGGAAAGTGTAAATGAAGGATCATTGATGAAATGTGTTACAATGAGAGCAAAATGTGAAATGTTGCTGAACTAAAATGAACTTTGTTTTGTCTCCAGGGCAGTCATGACTTAATGAAGTACAGCTATAAGCAAGATAAGTCAGACTTTGTGCAGAAAACTGACAATGAAAGTGATTACATAGGAAAAATGCCCCCTAAGTAGATTGTGTGTGTGTATATGTAGATGGTTGTGCATATGTTTGTATGTATATGTATTTATATACATGCATGTGTATTTATAGTATATATGTTGTAGATAAAGATATTGTAGATAGATATATAGATATTGTAGATAGATATATTGTAGATAGATATAGTATATATAGTAGATAGATATAAAGATTTTCATTTTCATTTTATATTAAGATATTTATATTTAATTTATATTTTATATATAATATATAATATAATATATAATTATATATAATATATTATATTATATATTATATATATTTATATATTGATATAAATATATAAAATTATAATAATATAATTTATATATTATTTAATATAAAATATTTATATTATTTTAAATATTTAAGATGTTTTATCTTAAATATTTGGAATGCTTTTGTTACACAGTTGAGAGATCTAAAGCCCATCATTTTAACATCAAATAGCATAACTTGCATTTTTTTTATTAAAAATACTTGCCCTTACTATGTCTTTTCTCAAAGACAAGACGTTGATACTCTAGGTGGAGGCTGTTTATGTTTTTTTCTTTCAAGAGATGCTTGACAGCTGCTCCCTGGAGAGGAACTCAGACTCCTTAAATTTTTATTAGGCTACAGTATTTGAAATTTGGAAAGTAGACATTAGTCTTTGAGGTACAGTGTTTGATGGTATGAATCTTTTAAGCTGTAGTACTGCAAGAGAAGATTGCAGAGATTAGCTACAGACCATTTGTCAGGGGAGACTGAAGCATTCGTAACAATGTATAGTGAAAATATACTTGCAAACTTTTCATTAGACAATATAGGGAAATCTTATTGTGTGTTTTTCAGGTTTCAATGTTCTATCAAATAACATAGCTACTAAGGTTGTAATGGAGTTTTTTTTTTCCCATTTGGTTCTCATTTTCAGACAAAAGAAATGTCTTCCTGGCTAAAGATGCCTTATATTGCAGAAGTAGCATATAGCATAAATTGCTTTAAAAATAAGCAAGAACATGCAAAGTGAATAAAGAAATATCGAAATGAGTAGGGAAATAAGGGTACCAAGAACTGGAGTGTGTATATGCTAACGTTATTTTTTTGTAATTTTAAAAAATAAAAGGCTTGTGGTGTTTTCAGGGAGCAAAGCCAATCTTAGTGAAATCTATTTTGTAAGCCTTAGAGCAAGGACATAAAGTTATTCCTTTAATTTGTTTCCTTACAAGTGTTTCTGTCTTCATTTATAATCTAGCTACAATACTTTGAAACACCTTTACATAATAACATAAACTGTCAGGAGGCTAAATTTAAGGCACATATTGGTTATTTTAAGTACCTAGGCTGTGAGAAGAACATTTACTACATTTAACTAGTTAAGGTATAAAGAGCAGTGGTACAGGTCTTGGTAGAAAACGTTCTTTTTAAACATATAACATCACGCCCTGCTTCTTTTCTACTTTAACGCATGTATGGAGTAAAGGTGGCTGAAACTTGTTATTTGCTAGATAGTGACTTTAGGAATACCATTTAAGCCAGTTAGCTGACTTAATACTATAGTAAATGTTTTTAACTAACAGCTATTTCCGGAACATTGTATTTCTCTGGGAAAGCTATCTAGGAGATATTTCTGGCAGGGTCAGCTGGGCTCCCCGAAGTATGTTCAGCCTTGTTGCCTGTGTTTTCTTTTTGACCTAATGTTTTGCTTCGTTTTGTTTTTTTAACGCTGCCCATTCTCGAAATGAAAGTAAGACGATGTTATTTGAATGGAACACTTGGAAACACCTTTCACGCAATGACTCTGTATAACTAGTCATTTGTCAGGGAAAAGTGAGATTTTTCTCTAAAATTAATAGATTTGAGAGTAAGATTCCATATTTAGTGTATCAAAGGTATTGTTTTAAGAATGATATGAATTTTAAAATAGTCTAATATAAAACATAAGGGGGTTCTCACTTAAGGAGGTCTTCATATTTAAGAGGTAAAGTACAGTTTGTAGTGTGCAAATCTGAAAAAGTATGATATTGATAATATTAACAAAGTCTGACTTTTGCCCAAAATTTGTGATTAATGTCAAAATGTAAAACAAAACATTATCAAAAATAGCACTATTGCAAAGCTACGTGGCAAGTTAATTGTAAACTACATTTACTATATTTCTGCACTATAGCAACACTTACTCTAGAAAATATAAATATCCCACTATCATTTGCATAGATTCATTTTAAATTGCGTGATTTTAAAAATTAAACTTTGTCTTTCTACATAGTCTTATTTAAGGAATATATGTATATTTATATATATAATATAAATGTAGAAAAAAATATATGTATATATATTCCTTAAATGAAATGTAAAAGGCCTGTATTTTAATTACATATTACACTAATGCAAGAATTTCAAAGGCACTTGGTGAGTGGTGGACCTGAGGATGTGTGGATGTGTTGGAGGAAAAAACGGATGTTTCAGTGCAAAGCCAAGTTGACCAAAGTGCTGTGAACAAGATTTTTAGATCATTTATATTCAAGGATGCTTCTTAATAAGATGCTTATTTAACTAAAAACATACACACAAAACCCAGTGTAACTGGTAACCTTAGAACACGTTTTTCCCCCTCTTTCTCATCATTGCGTATTAGCATATTAAGGAAAATAAACAGTGTGGTATATTTTTATATGACATCTCCACTTGTGCTTATTAATAAGTATTATAAGTCACTATTAAATATGATTGATGAAAGGTTTTTAAAAAAATTCATCAATGGGTTTAGATAATTCAGATATTCATTTTTTTTAATGTGCTTTGAATTTTTCTACCAACGATAGTTGACGTAACCCCCCTCCACCCAAAAAGACTAAAAGGAAACAAAATGCCTAACACAATGATGGTCTTCAGTAAATGTTAGAAATTTGTAGTAAAGAGAATTTGGACGACATACTTGCAATGTCTCTTTAAACTCTAATGATGCTGGGAACTTTTACTTGCAACCTTAACCTCTTCGTCTGCTGGAAATAGATTGTCTTGATCATATTTTCAGTGATCTCTTTTCCAAGCATGGGGAAGAAGCAAGGAAAGAGTTCTGCAAGGAGATTGAAAACAGATTGGGGCAGAGAGAGATAAAAGTTTAGAAGCAGCATCATAAGTGTATATAAGATATTTCCTTAAATCTCTTCCTTTCCACCCTTAGAACACTCACTCCCACTATTTTTCTTTAATACTTTTTAGTCTTAAACATCAACCAGGATTCTAACACCACTTACAAAAATTACTTATTTTCTTCTGCCTTAAGTAGAAAGTACATTGTCCAGCCCACTAGTCCCTTCTATTATGGAGCTTCTGGAGGGTCGTAAGTAGAAGAGAGTATTGGTGACAAATGAAATGCTATGTCTAAATGACTTTAAGATCGGACGAAAGAACAGCAGTATGCTTTGTGTTTACTTACCTTGTTAAGTGTGTTTTCACTCACTCCTCAAATCAATTACAGTTTTTAGTCTCCTTTTATTTTCATGTGCTAACCAATAAAATTTCACACGTTTCTCAAATGCGAAGAAGAAAATTTGTGTTCAAAGACTTTGTAAAGTAATACATTTAATATAGAATTTATTTGAGCGTGTATTCCTTGAATGCCCACTACGTATCTGAAACTATAATGTATATTATGTGGAAATAAAATATAAGTAGAAACCAAACCCCAAAAGTTTATAAATCTGGGTGAAAGAAGAGATAACATTTCTAACCATATAAACATTAGAGACAATATAAAATAGAATATCATTGAAATTCCCTGGAAAGTCATTGTGATATATAGCCTTACTACTCAGTGTTGTCTATGGATCAGAAGCCCCGGGCATACCTTGGTGCTGTTATAAATGCAGAATCTCAGACCCTGTTCCAAATCTACTGGGTCAGAATTTGCATTTTAGCAAAATTCTCAAGGTGTTTGTGTGTACATTAATGTTTGAGAAACACTTAGTTGGAATAGTGTTATTTTGTGTGGGTATAAATGTATTTTAGAGAGTGAGGGGCTGGAGGAGGTGATAAGGGGAGGCAAGACAGGATATATGTACCATAGTTTGAAAAAGCCATTAATCAAACAATCAAGGCTTAGTGTAGATGCCAGTTCATCATGTCCTGGCTCCTGAACTCCACCTTGTTATCCAACAGTCTGCATTCCTTAGGCCTTTCCCTTCACTTTCTATTTTAATCCAGGCCATGGTAAGCTCCTTACTACTACTGAGTGCACTCAACTTTTTTTCAGTCTCCTTTTTCAAAAATTGTGTTTTTGCAGTCTTCGAGATGTACAAAATGAAAAGATACAAAAAAATCTTCTCTGGTTATTAGAGAAGAATTCTTTACTGAGTAACTCCTGAGTCAACTCAGGAATAGCCAGGCTGCTATTCATCCAGTATACCCTCGGTAGTATTGCATCTGTTGTAAAATACATTCACCAGCTCCCTAGGAAATGGCTACTACCATAGAAGCAAGACTACTTACTCTGAATTCTGGCACTTTGAAAGCCAATTATGAAATAAGATATTTGTGAGGTTTTTTTTACTCTTAATATCTATACGTCTGTAACTAAGGTTAAATTTTGGTCCATTTTTCAAGTGTTACTTAACTACAGACAAATTAGTAAAGAGCCAAATCCCAGGAAATATCAATTTGTGGGCAATTTTTAATTGAGAGAAACATTTGAAAAACTCAGCTCTAAGTATAATATTCTAAGTGTCATATTATATTCACTAAACCCAACAACTAAATTTTATAAAATACAATTTGCTCTGATTATACAGTCAGTAATGGATGAAAAAGAAAATCAGGATCTAGTAAATAGGTGGGCAATGGAAAAGAGAAAGAAAGCCCAACAAGGTAAGAGATTTTCTAAAAGAGGTGGAGAGACAAAGAAATATTTATAAAGAGAAGATCACACAGAAGAGAAAAAACTGAGACAAGCAGCAAGGGACAAGTTCCCTAGGCTATGAGGCTGATGTGTTAATCAAGTTAGGCGGCTGGTTGGATTCCACAGTTTATTTGTACTATAGTCATCAAAGTAAGTTATCACCTGCTATCCCTAACCTTTGAAATTCCAATGAGCTTTTCAGCAATTATCCACTAGCCACTGCTCTTCAGCTATTATTATTATGCTTAACCTTCGCTAGGCATTTAACAAGATGCCATGACAGCCTCCATGGGGGATTGATTTCATTCTCTTAGTTGCAGCATTAAAGCCACAGCAGTATCATTTCATGAGTACTTGAAGTGGGCCAGATGAAATCAATTTCTTACGAGATTTTCTTTCTTATGCAAAATAGACATTCCGTTTTTAAATATATTCCTGATTTTTAGCATGAATTCTTTTCCTTTTATTCATCTCTAGAACGCCAAAATAAAGACACACAAACACATACACACACACACACATGCTCTATAAACAGAAGCCATTACTTTTTTACTCTTTCAGTTTTTATTTCAAATAGTTTCACACTCACAGAACAATTTTAAATATTATACAAAGAAATTCATCCAGATTTTCAAATGTTAAAATTTTGCCACATTTACATTCTATCTCGTTTGGTTTTTTTCTCAGCCATTTGTGAAGAAGTTGTAGACCTGTAGATCCTGATTCCTCTCTCCTAAATACATCAGCATTCCTCTTCCTCCCCTGCCCAAAATAGGAAATCCTTTTACATAACCATAGTAATGAATAACTTAAACTTTTTTTTCATTATTACAAATATTTGGCATTCTCTAACAATGAATTTCTTATTTACAATAAAGAATATGTTTCTTATTTAGCATTGTTCTTTCCACAAGAGCTTTTCTTCAGTTGCTAACATCTCATTTCTTCATATTCATCCTTATACTTCTGTAAAGTATTTTGTAAGAGATGACTGCAAAGCATAAAATTTTGAGTGTGAACACTTTTCTTTCTCCTCTAAATATTTATCTTGTCTCCTTCCTATATAATATATAGGAATATATATTATTCCAATATAATAATTGTATATTTTCTATTATAATAGTTTTATCATATTGCCAATATAATAGTTTTATTCATCCCCCCAAGCATTTATCCTTTGTGTTACAATCAGTTCTTTTAATTATTTTAAATTGTCCAATTATATTATTATTGACCATAGTCACTCTGTTGTACTATCAAATACTAGGTCTTATTCATTCTTTCTAACTATTTTTTTGTACCCATGAACCATACCCACCTCCTGCCCTCAACCCCTCTACTACTCTGCCCAGCCTCTGATAACCATCCTTCTACTCTCTATCTCCATGTTTTCAATTATATTGACTTTTAGATCCCAATAAGTAAGTGGAAACATGTGATGTTTGTCTTTCTATAGTCATTTCTGTTTTCATAGAGAAAATATTGATCAAACTTTAAACAACTTAATAATATAGACTGTGTTTTCTTTACCTTTTCCTTTTTTCTATCAAGTTGCATAAAGTACTGTGAAATCAGCTCCAAATCTGTGATGGAAAACTTCTTTATGAATAATATTTAGCCTAATGGATCATAGCCTAGAAATGCAATGACAGAAAAAAAAAATCACCATATAACTGTTACTCACTGAATTTCACATGTCAGAGCTACAACATCTCCCAAAGGAAAACATTATTTTATTTGCACTCCAGATAGAAGGAGCAAAATATTTAATTCATGCTATGTGCTTGTATAAAAATTTGTTTTATTGTGATTCAATATTTTCTATGATTGTGTTACCAAAACACTAGGGTTTAGTTTACGTCTTGCTGCTTGCCACACAGAAAGCTAATCACTGAGACAACTAGTATTGCCAGTGAAGAAGGCTTTAATCATGTGCTGCAGCCAAGGAGATGGGAAATCAGTCTCAAATCCATCTCTCCGACTGACTAAAATTAGGGGTTTCTATAGCAGGGAAGAAATCCAACAATGTATAGGAAAAGAAGGAATTAGGCAGGGGTAAGGAAGAAAGGTTAGTCAACAGGAAGCAGGTAGCAAGTGATACAATCATGACAGGACTAGCGTCTCATTTTCCAGTTGCAGTGATCTGGTAAGTTTCAGCTCCTTAATACTATCCACGGGGTCTGATGGTAGATTTCCTGAGAATGGAACTGATAGAAGACAAATGTAACTTTCTCAAGTTTTAAGACTGGGAGGATCAATTTCTATATGTATTGAAAGAAATCATAAATGTCAGTTCTGTGGGGCAATTGGACTGGTCTCAATTGTGAGCCTCACTTTCCACCTGCTTCCACAAAAGCAGGAATTCTAGGGTTGGAAGAGCTTAACATGGATGGTCCAAATCCCATCTAATATAGGAATCGTCACCATTAGCTCAACAAACAATGACAGTTAACTCCTGGGGTAGTTACATAAAAATACAGCCAAAACTAGTTTTGGACAATTTAGTTTCTAAATTGAGGAACAACCTGACCCCCCAGAATTCTGTACTCATGTGTGTTAGATATGATTTTTTGAGCAATATAAATGTAGTTATATCATACCTTTCACACACAAATAGAATTAAAAACTCTCATATTCTTAGGTTTTTTTCTCCTTCTCTAGGCTCTGTTTAATCAGTTCTTCTGTCTCTTACTAATATGAAATGGTTTCCAGATGGTAACGTCATTCTGTATTTTGTATCAATAAAACATCTAGGAGCAATCAGTGTAATCCAGTTATGGATTGAGTTTGGAGGGACTATAACCTCTCACTAATCAGAAACTATTGCCATTGGCTCAAGTTTGAGAGCAGTTGCTTCACATTTTTCATTCATTAATACAATGATCGATAAAATCATTATGTTTGTTCTGCTTTTTAAGAGCAACTGCTATCAACTGCATTATGTACAATTCTGTACTGTGCAATTGATTTCTTGAATTTAATCAAGATTTTATATTCATTATTCATTATATATATTCATTATATTCCAACAGCTGAAGAAGCTGTTGGATTGCCCTCAATTAGAGAATGACTATGGATCCTAACCATGAATTAGCACTAAGAAATGAGACAAGTTTAAAACAGTCCTATGACTGTTCTACCATCTTGTGAAATGTGAGCTTCCCATGGATTCCTATCTAGTGTGTTGTCATAGCCTATAATTCAAGGAAGAGTCATCTGATTAAATGAGGATGAGAGAAAAGAAAAAAAATCGCTTTAATTCTATGGCTACTCTCTGTCAGGCACAGGATTAGGTAAATGAAATATCAGTTTTTATTGACACCTCTGAGAGGAAGATATATACAGCCTTTGTACACAGCCAGATTTAAAGCCTAGAGACTTAGACTCACATCTTTAGCCACTACTT
The DNA here is from genome assembly GCF_000001405.40 of Homo sapiens. Classification (NCBI taxonomy): domain Eukaryota; kingdom Metazoa; phylum Chordata; class Mammalia; order Primates; family Hominidae; genus Homo; species Homo sapiens. The sequence continues at coordinate 174,163,004 of NC_000003.12, forward strand.
TTTAGCTCTGTGTTCACAAGCAAGTTCCCTGGATCTTCATTTTAAAGTGGAGAACAGATGAAATTAAGCTTTACAAAGAGAATTTTCATTAATAAGTACTGTTTATATTAAGGTTATTATTAACTACAGGATACCACTGTCTACTAGACTAGATTTCTTTTTTCTAGGTAGAATCGAAAATATTCTAAGAATACGAGCATCAACCTTATTCTTCAGGTTAGGAAGTTACCCACTTTAAAAATTTTTTCTCCTTTCATGAGATTCACTGCCCATGGATATTTCTAAACTTAATTTCTCTCATTGAACTTTTGTTGTTTCTTTAACATACAAAGTAAATTTCCATGTTAACTGGAACCTAGAAAACTTTTGTTTTCCCTTGTATTACACCTTGAAGGATTTTTTTAGTTGTTAATGTTTCATTTAATTACTCTTTTCCAACTTTTATTTTAGACTCAGGGGTACATATACATGTTTGTTACCTGGGTATATTGTGTGATGCTTAGGTTTAGAGCATGAGTGATCCCATCACCCCGGTACTGAGCATAGTACCCAACAGTTTTTCAACCCTTGCTTTCCTCCCTCCCCGCAACTTCCAGCAGACCCCAGTGTCTCTGGTTACCATCTTTATGTCCACAAGTACCTGATATTTTGCTTCCACTTCTAATTGAGAACACACAGTATTTGGTTTTTTGTTTCTGTCTTATTTCATTTAGAATAATGGCCTTCTGCTGCTTCAACGTTGCTGCAAAGGAAATGATTTTGTTCTTCTTAATGGCTGCATAATATTCCATGGCATATATGTACCATGTTTTCGTTATCCAGTCCACCATTGATGGGCACCTGAAACTGATTCCATGTCATTGCTATTGGGTATAGTGCTGCATTTAACATACAAGTGCATGTGTCTTTTTGGTAGAATGATTTGGGCTTTTAAATATGTATACTCAGTAATGGGATTGCTGGGTCAAATGATACCTCTGTTTTAAGTTCTTTAGAAATCTCCAATCTGCTTTTCACAGTAGCTGAACTAATTTACATTCCCACCAACAGTGTACAAGTATTCCCTTTTCTCCACAGCCTCATCAGCATCTGTTGTTTTTTCTTTTTGACTTTTTCATAATAGCCATTTTGGCTGGTGTGAGGTAGTGTCTTATTGTCGTTTTGATTTGCATTTCTCTGATGATTATTGATGATGATAATTTTGTACGTGTTTGTTGGCTACTTGTATGTCTTCTTTTGAGAGGTGTCTGTTCCTGTCTTTTGCCCATTTTTTAATGAAATTACTTAGCTTTTGCTTGTTCAGTTGTTTAAGTTCCTGGATATTAGACCTTTGTCAGATGCATAGTTTACAAATATTTTCTCCCATTCTGTAGGCTGTTTACTCTCTTGATAGTTTTATTTTCCTGTGCAGGAACTCTAGCTTACTTAGGTACCACTTGTCAATTTTTGGCTTTGTTGCGCTTTTTCTTCTACTATTCTTACAGCTTGAGGTCTTACCTTTAACTCTTTAATCTATCTCGAGTTAATTTTTGTGTATTGCAAAAAGTACAGGCCATTTTATTCTTGTGCATATAGCTTGCAAGCTAATCCAGCAATATTTATTAAATAGGGAGTCATTTCTTTATTGCTTGTTTTTGTCAACTTTGTCGAAGCATAGATGGTTGTAGGTGTGTGGTTTTACTTCTGGGTTCTCTATTCTGTTCCATTGGTCTAAGTGTCTTGTTTTTGTACCAGTACCATGCTGTTTTGGTTACTGTAGGCTTATAGTATAGTTTGAAGTTACATAGTGTGATGGCGCTGGCTTTCCCAATGCTGTTTTTTTCCAGTGCTGTGTAAAATGACATTCCAATGCTGTGTAAAATGACATTGGCAGTTTGATAGGAATAGTATTGGATCTGTAGATTGCTTTGGGCTGTATGGATATTTTGATGATATTGATTCTTCCAATCCATGAGCATAGAATGTTTTTGCTTTTGTTTCTGTCATCTCTGATTTCTTACAGCAGTGCTTTAAAATTCTCATTGTAGAGATCTTTAGCCTCTTTGGTTAGATGTATTCCTAGGTATTTTTTGTGTGTGTCTATTGTAAATGGGATTGCATTCTTGATTTGGCTCATAGCTTTAATATTATTGGTTTATAGAAATGCTACTTATTTTTGACTTTTTCTTTTATTATTTGAATGCTTTTTCTTTCTCTTGTCTGATTCCTCTGGCTAGCATTTCCAGTACTATATTGAATAGGAATGGTGAGAATGGACATCCTTGTCTTGTTCCATCTCTCAAGGAAAATGCTTTCAGTTTTTTGCCCATTCAGTATGATATTGGCTCTGGATTTGGCATAGACGTGGTTCTTATTTTGCGGTATGTTCCTTTAAAGCCTAGTTTCTTGAGGGTTTTTATATGAAGAGATTTTGGATTTTATCTAAAGCTTTTTGGGCATCTGTTGAGATGATCATATGGTTTTTGTTTTTAATTCTGTTTACATGGTGAATCACATTTATTGATTTGCATATGTTGAACCAACCTCACATCCCAGGAATGAAGCCTACTTGATCATGGTGAATTAGCTTTTTGATGTGCTGTTGAATTTAATTTGATAGTATTTTGTTGAGGATTTTCATGTCTATGCCTATCGGGGATATTGGCCTGTAGTTTTCTTTTTCCACTGTGTCTTTGCAAGCTTTGGTATCATGGTGAGTCTGGCCTGATACAAAGAGTTACAGAGGAGACTCTACTCCTCAAGTTTCTGAAATAGTTTCAGTAGAATTGGTACAGGCTCTTCCTTATATTTCTGGTAAGATTTGGCTGGTCTGTGAATCCATCTGGTCTGGGGCTTTCTTAGTTGGCAGGTTTTTATTACTGATTCTATTTCAGAGCTCAATATTGGTCTGTTCAGTGTTTCCTTCCTGATTCAATCGTGGGAGATGGTGTGTTTTCAGAAATTTATCCATTTCCTGTAGATTTTGTAGTTTATATGTGTAGAGGTGTTCATAATATTCTCTATGAATCTTTTGTATTTCTGTGAGATTGGTTATAATGCCACGTTTGTCATTTCTGATTGGGCTTATTTGGATCTTCTCCTTTTTTTTCTGCTTTTTATTCTAGTTAGTAATCTATCAATCTTATTTATCCTTTCAAAGAACTTTTTGTTTCACTGATATTTGTGCAGATTTTGAGGTCTCAATTTCATTATGTTACATTCTGATTTTAGTTATTTCTTTTCTTCTGCTAGCTTTAGAGTTAGTTTTTTCTTGTTTTTCTAATTCCATTAGGTGATGCTAAGATTATTAAGTTGAGGCCTTTCTAACTTTTTGAGATAGGCGTTTAGCACTATAAACCTTCCTCTTAACACTGCTTTTTCTGTATCAGAGACCTTTTGGTATGTTGTGTCTCTATTTTTATTTCAAAGAAGTTTTTGATTTCTGCTTTAATTTCATCGTTTACCCAAACGGATTAAGTTGTTTAATTTCCATATAATGGTATGGTTTTGAGAGATCTTCCGAGTATTGATTTCTATTTTTACTTCACCATGGTCCAAGAGTGTGGTTGGTATGATTTTGATTTCTTTGAATTTATTGAGGCTTGCTTTATGGACAAATATGTAGTCAATCTTGGAGTATTTTCGGTGTGCAGATGAGGAGAATGTATATCCTGTGGTTTATGGTTGGAGTATTCTGTAGATTTCTATTATGTCTAGTTGGTCACATTTCAAGTTGAAGTCCAGAGTTTCACTGTTAGTTTTCTGCCTCAATAGTCTTTCTAATGCTGTCAGTGGGGTGTTGAAGTTCCCCACTACTGTTGTGTTGCTGGTTAAGTTATTTTGTAGGTCTATAAGTACTTTTTTATGAATACGGGTGCTCTATGGTTGGGTGTGTAGATATTTTGTATAGATAAGTCTTCTCATTGAATATAACCTTTTGTTAATATGTAATGCCCTTCTTTGTCCTTTTTTTACTGTTGTTGGTTTAATGTCTGCTTTATCTGATATAAGAATTGCAACCCCTACTCTTTTTTGTTTTCCTTTTACATAATAAACATTTCTCCAACCCTTTACATTGAGTCCAGGGGTTGTCATTACTTGTGAAATGGGTCTTTTGAAGACAGAAGAAAGATGAGTCTTGTTATTTTATCCAACTTGTCACTCTGTGCCTTTTAAGTGGGGCATTTAGACCATTTACATTCAAGGTTAATATTGATATATGAGGTTTTGATCCTATTGTGAAGTTGTTAGCTGGTTGTTTTGTAGTTTCTATTGTGTTTTATTCTATTTTTGCTTTAAAGGGTTTACAAACTATGTATTTAAGTGTGTTTTGGTGGTAGCAGGTATCATTTATTTGTTTGTATGTTTAGAACCCCCTTCAGGATCTCTTGTAAGGCTGTTCTAGTGGCAACAAATTCCCTTAGAGCTTGGTTATATTTTATTTCTCTTTCATTTATGAAATTAGTTTGGTGGGATATGAAATTCTTGTTTGGAATGTCTTTTCTTTTAGAATGCTTAAAGTATTCTCGCAATCTCTCTTGGCTTATAAGGTTTCTGCTCAGAAGTCTGCTGTTACCCTAATGGGGTTCCCTTTGTATGTGATCTGCCCCCTTTTTTTTTTTTTTTTAACCTAGTTGCCCTTAAGATTTTTTTTTTTCTTTAGCATTGACCTTGGGCAGTCTGGTGACTATATGCCTTGGTGATATTCATTTTGTGTAGTATCTCATAAGTGTTCTTTTCATTTCTTCTATCTGAATGTCTACCTTTCTAGAAAGATTAGAGAAGTTTCTTTTATTATTCCTTCAAATATGTTTTTCAAGTTGTTTGCTTTTTTCTTTCTCTCTCAGAAATGCCAATAATTAACAGGTTTGCTAACTTTACAAAATCCCATATTTCTCAAACGCTTTCCTCAGTTTAAAAATTTTTTTTTAAATTTTTTTGTCAGATTGGCTTAGTTTAACAGACTTGTCTTTAAGCACTGAAATTATTTTTTCTGTTTTTTTTCCAGTCTATTGATAAAGTTTTCAATTATATTTTGAAATTCCTTAAGTTTTTTATTTCAGAAATTAGTTTCTCAATTCCAGAAACTGAGATTTATTTCTTTTTAAGATGTTTATCTCTTCCTTCATTTCCTGGATTGATTTAGAGGATTTCTCTGTGTTGATTTTCAACTTTGTCTTGGATCTCATTGAGCTTCCTTGCAGCCATTCTTTGAATTCCTCTGTCATTTCTGAGTTTCTAATTTGGTTAGGGATCATTGCCAGAGAGCTAGTACAATTCTTTGGTGGTGTCACTACATTTAGATTTTTCGTGGTGACAGAGTTCTTATGCTGGTCCCTTCTCATCCAGAGATGCTGGCACTTCTAATTTTTGTAATTATTTCTATGCAAGTAGGATTTTCTTCTTCTTCTATAATATTGTTTTTTAATTATTATTTTTCTTTCTCTTTCTATTTTCCCCCTCCCTAGGAGATGTGACTGTAGAGAATGCTGGACAGGGTCATTTGGCATTGTTTTTATAGCTCTATGCACATCTTTCAGCAGGCTTTATATTGGCTATTGGGCTGGGCAGTTCATCCTACAAGCCCATAAATGTCACTTATAGGTAAGAGCTGGCTGCAGCCAATGTGACTGGGTATATACTTGATTCTTAGTTATTTGCAGAAGCTGTCTGTTGTCTCAGGCAATCAGCTGATTTGACGACTGTACAATGGTCTGAGCTCCCTGCTCAGCCCTAGGTGGTGTGGGCAGGGAGCCAAAACAGGAGGGGATGACCGGGGCACATCCACCTGCAGGTTCCCTGATGGCAGGCATAGTATTAGCACCAAGAAAGAAGCCAGTGGGTGGCCTAAGACACTCAGAGGTGTGACAAACACTCAGGAGAAACTTCCTTAGCTCCAAGTTCTCTGCATGGGGATAGGGGGTGGTCTAAACTCCTAATCCAAGAGAGTGAGTACTCCAGATGCCTTGTGGACCTGACTGAGTGTGGAACAGGGAAGGCCTGCCTACACAAAAATCTCCACACAGGAGGGGTGGGGTGACTCAGTCTGCTTCACCAGGCTTGGAGCCTACCTGTCTTGAAGAATGGTTGGAGATCTGCCTGGGCATGGAGCAGAGAGGGGTCTCTGTACAGGAAGGGTGGAGTGACTCAGGCTGTTGGACCAAGCAAGCAAGTGCTCTGAATGCCGAGAGATATTGCTGAGCATGTAGCAGAGAGGGTACTCCTGCACAAGGATCTCTGCACAAGAAGAGTGGGGAAGTTCAGGCTGCTGAGTTAGGCAAACAAGTGTTCTGAATGCCAGAGGATCTGCCTGGATATAGATCAGAGAGGACCTTGATGCACCACATCTATGCTTAGGAAGGGTGTCGCAACCCAGGCTGGTCAACCAGGTGATCAGGCTGCTCCTAATGCTTGAAGATCTGCTTGGGCTTAGAACAGAGAGAGTCCCTCTGTACCAAGATCTGTGCACAGTAAGGGTGAGGTGGTTCAGGCTGCTGAAACAAGTGAGCCAGTTCTCTGGATGCCCGGGCATGGAGCAGAGAGAGTCTTGCTGTACCACAATTAATGTGGTAGGAAGGATTAAGAAGGATGGGTGGCTCAGGCTGCTGGTACAGGCAAGCAAGTGCTCCAGATGCCTGAATTTCTGCCTGGGAGTAGAGTAGAAAGGGCCTAGCTTCACCACAATCTCAGGGAGACAGAGTGGGGCACCCAGCAATGGCACACGCAGATCAGTTCCAGGTCACTAAGCTGGCCTGGGCTACGAGTCTCACCACCCAGGAGAAACTGTAGCTGTAGCAGCTCTCTTCTTGCCCCAGGCTTACAATGGGGGAGAGCACAATTCCAGTGCCTACTGCATCTGGGGAAATGTCTGCAGCTTTTCCCAGTGTCTTTCCCTCACAGCATTTTCAAGCCTCTCCCTAAGTAAATTCCAGGGCTTGGGAGAGGCAAAGTCCTGTCCCTCGACCTGGGTTGCTCGGATTCCCAGTGTAAAGGTGAGTCACAAAGGGAGCTTCTCTGTCTCTCTCACATACTGGGGCTTCACTCACTTTGAACAACCAGACACCATCATGGGGGCTGTTTGCCAGTGTTTTCCTCTCAAGCTTTGGGGTATCCTTCAAGATTCCAGTGGATTCCTGTTGTCTTTCTTGAATTAAAGCCCACAGAGTTGATCTTTATGTACTATCTTGCTGTTGCTAGGTGGTTGAGGTGTGCTGAAAACCTCTAATCTATCATCTTTGAAAAAAAAAAAAACTTTTAAGTTTTGTTCAATTAGTCCATCAAACATTTCCCACCTCCTACAATCTTTGATAACACTTTAAAAAAATTCTAAACAAAGCTTTTCTAGGAAGTTTTAGTTTTTTCAAAGCTGCTTTGCTTTTGTGTCTCAGTAATGGTGTATTACAGGGCCCAGCAGCACATGGATGATCCACTGCTGTAATCCACCAGCAGGGATCCCTGGCTCCGTGATGGATTATTGCATTACATCATCAGCCCAAGGGCTGACAGGAAAGAAAGTACTTCAAACAGTCCTCCTTCGTAAATTGTTTTAGTCTTAATGAAAGAAAAGATATGGTTTTGAATGGGTATGGATGAGTAGAAAAACTGACTATACCTTTCAGCTCTGTATTGAATTACATACATGTGAGAGCAGCTACCAAAATGCTCTTGGTTCACAAGATGGAATTTTCTGTTCATTTTAAACATATGGCACTAGCTAATGTGCATAACAGTGACCACAATGAATATAATATTCCATAAAATAATGAAGAGATTTTTAGATCATCTGAATCAAAGAAGAAATTTAAGTAGTATTAGTATAGGTTTTATAATATGTGCATTTTAGTTCTTCAATAATGTGTGCTATTGCCCTATTAAGCCAAATGTTTGTTTAACCACATACTACATTTCATATCCTTGTCAGATAACAGAATTATCGCTGAACTTGAATGTATCCATTTACATATTTTTACATGAAAAATGTGAAATGAAAATTTACATTCATGTCAAGGGAAACAAATCACAAACTCTATTAATCGTCTTACTCAATATTTTAAATTTAGTAAGGTGGTAAGTTTGTTGAAAGAATAGATAGGCAAATAAATTAATAGACCTTTAAGTTCACTTTTTTCTTTTTAAGAAATCAGTTTCAAATGTACAGTGATGTTATGTTTCTGAGAGTAATAAATCAAATATTTTTGCAAACAAATGAAATACATATCTTTTACCACTCTAAAATAACTTAAAATCAGGTGTCTAATTGGTTGTTATTAGAGAATTGTATGGAAAACATAGATTTGAAAGACCGAATTTTTATTTTAATTTGCCTACATTTCTCTTCTTTATTAAAAGAAATTAAATAGCATCACGAACAAAATTAACTATAGGACAAAGCCTGTTATTTCTATTATTGTGAATATGCCCCTTCTGCGTCATTTTCCAAATGTAGGATTTGCTCGTTAAAAATAAGTAGTGGCACACTTTATGATATTGGCAAAGAAAAACATGATCTAGAATATGATCTTGTAAAATAGTTTCTACCCTTTTCTAATAACTCATTTAATGTCTTAAAGAGATCTTTAATGTTGAAAAATTAAATATTAAAGTCTTTAATTTCCTTCTGAGGCTGCTAATAAAATTGGGTAAAATGAATTCATAAGCATTTTTACAGAGTTGTCATAATACCAGCACTACAAATCATATGATAGTTTGGAATTTTGAATCTTTAGGTATTTTATTACACTCTACCTGTGAAACATTTAGTTATATCAATTTAACTCTTCTTTAACAGTCCCACGACCTTTTCCTCGTCACCAATTTCCCACCTCTCACCCCAAGTTTGGGACCTTGAGAAGCTCATGATTCCACATGTCAGGGTCACCAGCTTGGATGACAATAACTATCCTCTTAGTCCTCCCTCAGATTTTTATGTATCTGACAGATTATTTATTATTTTGGTTATTATAATAATCATTTCAATATTTACTTACTGAGACCCAAATTCTAATATAATCCTTAGATAGAATTTAGACTCAAATTTTTGGATCTTTGCATGCCAAGAGTTTTGTTCAAGGTTTTCTCTATTTCTCCAGTTTGCTAAGTATCTCTTCTGAAGTTCTCTTGATGTTTTTAAATTTTTTTAATTTGTATGGGTTTTTAAATTTTCATATGATCATAGTCATATGTCATATGTCATAGATCATATATCTATATGGGTTACATTAGATATTTTGATATAGGCGTGCAGTGCATAATAATCACATTGGGGTGAATGGGGTATCCATCACTTCAAGCATTTATCCTTTCTGTTACCAACAATCCAATTACACTCTTAGTTATTTTTAAATTATAATTAAATTATTTTTGACTATGATCACCCTGTTGTAGTAGCAAATACTGGGTCTTATTCATTCTTTTTAACTATTTTTTGTACCCACTAACCATACCTACCCTCCACTTCATATTTTAAGGTCTTAGTTTTAAGTTTTTCACCCAATTTGATGTGATTTTTGTATGTGGCAAGAGATAGAGGTCTAGTTTTATTCTTTTGCATATAGGTGTCCAATTTTCCCAGCACCATCTATTGAAGAGTCTGTCCTTTCCCCAGTGTATGTTCTTGGCACCGCTGGCAAAAACAAGTTCATTGTAGATGTATGAATTTATTTCTGGGTTCTCTGTTATTTTCTACTGGGTCTATGTGTCTGTTCTATGCCAGTACAATGCCAATTTGGTTACAATAGCTCTGCAGTATAATATAAAGTCAGGGAATGTCATTCCTCCAGTTTTGTTCTTTTTGCTTAGAATAGCTTTGACTATTCTGGGTCTTTTGAGACTCCATAAAAATTGTATAACTGTTTTTTCTATTTCTGTGAAGAATGTCTTAGGTATTGTGATAGGGATTGCATTAAATCCATAGATGGCTGTGGGTAGAATGGACATTTTGATAACAATTTTTCTTCCAATCCATGAACATAGAATATATTTCCATATTTTTGTGTCCTCTGCAATTTCGTGCAGCAACAATGTTTGAAAGTTTTTATTGTAGAGATCTATCACTTTTGGGGGTAATTCCTGTGTATTTAATTTTATTTGTAGATATTGTGTATGGTATTTTTTTTATCTCTTTTTCAGATGGTTGGCTGTTGGCATATAGAAATGCCACTGAATTTTGTTTGTTGATTTTGTATCCTGCAACTTTACTGAATGTGTTTATCAGCTCTAGTTTTTTGGTGGAGTCTTAGGTTTTTTCAAATATGAGATCATATCATCTGCAAACAAGAATGGTTTGACTTATTCCTTTCCAATTTGGATGCCCTTTATTTTTTTCTCTTATCTGATTGCTCTAGCTAAAACTTAAGTATTATGTCAAATAATACTGGTGAAAGCAGTCATCCTTGTCATGTTCTAGATCTTAGAGGAAAGGCTTTCAGTTTTTCCGCTTTCAGTGTGATATTAGCTATGTGTCTGTCTCATATAAATCTGTCGAATTTGGATTATAGGAGGGTATGTTCCTTCTATACCCAATTTTTGAGGATTTTTTTATTATGAAGGGATATGAATTTTATGAAATGCTTTTTCAGCATCAGTTGAAATAGTCATTTGGTTTTTGTCCTTGATTTTGTTGTTATGATGTATCACATTGATTGATTTACATATGTTGAACCATCCTTGCATCACTGGCATAAATTCCACTTGGTCACAGTGAAGATCTTTTGTGTGTGTGTGTATGTTTGTGTGTGTGTGTGTGTGTGTTTCTCAGTTCTTTAATTTAATCAGCAAAATTAATTAGCACTCTTTCCAAAGAAAATCTACATTTTTATGTTCTTTTATCTAATTTCTTTCTTTCTTTCTTTTTAATTTCCAAAGCTTATTGGGGAACAGGTGGTGTTTGGTTACATGAGTAAGTTATTTAGTGGTTATTTGTGAGATTTTGGTGCACCCATCACCCAAGCAGTATACACTGCACCCAATTAGTGGTCTTTTATCCCTCACCTCTTTCCCACTCTTTCACCCTGGGTCCCCAAAGTCCACTGTGTCTTTCTTATGCCTTTGCATCCTCATAACTTAGCTCCCACATATGAGTGAGAACATATGATGTTTGTTATTCCATTCGTGAGTTACTTCACTTAGAATAATAGTCTCCAATCTCATCCAGGTCACTGTGAATGCCTTAATTCATTCCTTTTTATGGCTGAGTAGTAATCCATTGTATATATATACCACAGTTTCTTTATACATTCATTCATTGATGGGCATTTGGGTTGGTTCCATGTTTTTGCAAGTGTAATTGTGCTGCTAAAAACATGTGTGTTCAAGTATCTTTTTATATAATGACTCTCTTCCTCTGGGTAGATACCCAGTAGTGGGATTGCTGGATCAAATGGTAGTTCTACTTTTAGTTGTTTAAGGAAACTCCACACTGTTTTTCATAGTGGTTGTACTAGTTTACATTCCCACCAGCAGTGTAGAAGTGTTCCCTATTCACCACATCCATGCCAACATCTATTTTATTATTATTATTATTTGATTATGGTCATTCTTGCAGGAGTAAGGTGATATCGCATTGTGGTTTTGATTCGCATTTCCCTGATCATTAGTGATGTTGAGCATTTTTTCATATGCTTGTTGACCATTTGTATTTCTTCTTCTGAGAATTGTCTATTCATGTCCTTAGCCCACTTTTTGATGGGATTGTTTTTTTCTTGCTAATTTGTTTGAGTTCTTTGTAGATTCTGGGTATTAGTCCTTGATGCATCATCAGGTTATTTAAAGTTTTCTCTTTTTTTAATATATAAGCACTTATAGCTGTAAACTCCTCCCTTAGTACGGCTTTTGCTGTGTCCCACAGGTGATTTTAGAATATTGTGTTTCCATCATCATTTGTTTCAAGAAATTTTTCAATTTCCTTCTTAATTTCTGAATTGACCCCCAATCATTCAGAAGCATATTGTTTAATTTCCATGTGTTTGTATAGTTTATAAAATTCTTCTTGTTATTAATTTCTAGTTTTATTTCATTGTGGTCAGAGAGATGCTTGATATTGTTTCAATTTTTTTGAATGTTTTAAAACTTGTTTTGTGACTTAACACATAGTCTATCTTTGGGAATGATCCATGTGCTGAGGAGAAGAATGTATACTCTGCAGCTTTTGAAGGAATATCTATTAGGTTCATATATTTTATAGTACAGATTAAATCTGATGTTTCTTTGCTGATTTTTTTTGTCTGGAAGATCTGTCCAATGATGAATGCGGGGGAGTCTCCAGCTATTATTCTATGGGAGTCTCTTTCTCTCTTCAACTCTAATAATATTTGCTTTATATATCTGAGTGTTCCAGTGTTGAGTGTGTATATATTTACAATTATTATATCCCCTTGTTGAATTAGCACCTTTATCATTATATAGTGACATTTTTGTCTCTTCTTATAGTTTTGTCTTGAAATCTATTTTTTCCTGAAGTAAATATAGCTACTCCTGCTCTTTCTGGGTTTCCATTGGCATGGAATATCTTTTTCCCTCCGTTTATTTTCAGTCTATATGTGTCTCTATTGAAGTTTTCTTGACCTTTACATTATCCAACCCCTATTTTAGTGGCAAGAATATTGCATGGAAAACTGTCATTCAAATTCTACTCCTAGAACCCTCTGATATCTGTTGATTCCATCTCACACACACTGAGTGCTATAGCATTTATAAAGTACCTTAATGTGTAATTATTTTTAAAAATTTGTGAGGTACAATTTTTTTCACCATTTTCAGAATGAGGAAAATTAGACTCAGAGGAGATTAAAAGATTTCCCCACGGTAACATGATCCTGGTATTTAGTTAAGAGCTACACCAATCCTGTAGGTCTTTATGCTAGAGATATCACAGTACCTTCCTAATAACTCTTCCAGGCTCATTACTGGCATGATTTCCATCTAGAATATCTTCAGGATATTTCTCTCTTCACATTTATAGTACAAATATTAGATTTGTCCTTCTCATTCACCACAAAGAGCATATGTTTTTCATATTAAATCTGCCTACTTAAACATAAACAACTCAAAACATACACAATTGGGAGGACTTTTGTACTTAATATCCATCCATGAGTTCTGTTTTCAGGTCAGGTTTCTGGCCCTGAAATCAGGCTTGTTGAATACTTTATTTTACTATGTAATTTACAAGTCATGTTGGGAAGTTGGACCCTATAATTATATGTATTTTTAGTGCAAAATATCATCAATCTTTTACCTTTAGAACACCTAATTTAGATCTAATGAAATATATTTAAATGAAATGTAGAAAGTACTCAAACAAGTCTCCCCAATTCTGTTACCTATACCAATATTTAGGATTTTTACAATAAAAATCTTCAAAAAGTATTAAATTTTTACTGTCATTGGTTAATTCTAGTTTTTTATAGATGCAAAAAAAAATCATCAGTGGTATTTTTAAAAGTTCCAGCCATAATGTATGTTGCAACAGAACTTTGCATTTACAGTAAACAGCTTTTCTGCAGGCCATCAGTGGTGAGACTCCCTTTCTCTACTAAGCAGACTGCCTCCTTGGAAAAGAGAGAGCCATTTTAGCTTAGCGCTTCAGTTCAGTTTTGTTTTGTTTTGTTTTGTTTTGTTTTTCTAGAAGGATGTAAATTGTTCTGTTTGTTCAAATGCAGAACAGTGAATGAACAGTGAATAGTAACTTTGTAGTAGAGATTGCTGTCCAAAGGGAACAGGGGAAAGAAACGTCATTTTAATTGAACTCAAAAATCAAGAGTGTATCTTTAAATACAATTGCATGTATGCAACAACGCAAACACTTACACAGTTAATATCATTTGGCTTCATCTTTAGTCATAATTTATATTCATTACATATGGGTAATGGGTATGACTTACCTCAACTGAAAGGAACAAGTAGGGGCTGCCTCAATTTTAATGACTCTGAGTTAATCTACACATACTTGTAACTGTGCAGTGCTAAGTTGTGTAGAACACATCAAATAAAGAGTTACCTGGTTCAGCGTAGCATAGGAGATGTTTATAATCTGACAAATTGAACATTTAATTTTAAATAAGGCTATCATAAAACTAAGTTAATGATTTAGAAGAGAAAATATACAAATATTATTTATGTGCTCCTAGCTGTGCACAATACTCAAAATTTGGAAACTATCTCAGAGATTTGGGCTGTATAGACATTCTAATTCAACAATAAACATTTTCTTATTAAAATATTCATGGAAAAGTTTTGAAAAGATATATGGTAACCCATTATTTTTCTCTAACAGAGGGTATTATAGGTACTTTTTCTCTTCTTTCTACATTTTTATTTTTCTCAATTTCCTATGCTGAGTACTTATTTCATGAGCTTTGAAAAGCTTCTTCAGAAAATCACTAGAGATCAAAATTGTAATATTTACTTAAATGTTTAATGTTAATTAATATTCTGATTAGAAGCGATGACCATATTGTTTGGCAATAAATTCTGCTTGATTCCTCTGTTTGGAAGCTCCATTATTAGTTTTACATTAAGTATATATTACATATAATAAAAGTGAAGGAATAACTAATTATAAGTCAGTGTCTTCAGCAAGGAAGAACATTAGTTAAATTTATGGAATAGAGTTCTTTTCAGTTTAACAGTTAAGAGTAATTGTCATTTGGACGCCAACTAAAGAACTGTTCCTAGATTAGCAAGTCCTAGTATAAAGAAAAATATGAGATTCTTATATTCAATTATATATGCATATAGTCAAAATACAATTATTTACTCATGGCCTTTCATTATGTTATATTCTCCTTAAGAAATATGAGTGGTCTTGACAATAGACATAAAAGCATAGTCATAATTAATAAATTTTTGATTTATTCTTCATGTTGGAATTAGTCTTTCACCATAATGTAACAACAGCCTAGACAGCAATACTGCCCCGGATGTACCTGCCTCATCATGGGAAGGCAGAAGAGTGAAGTGATAAGAGCATCAGTTCCAGGGTCGGGTGTGAGATGAATTCTTAGCTGTCCCACTCACTAGCTTTCTAAAATTGGGCAAGCTCTTTAATCTCTCTTTGCCTCCGTTTCTTGATCTGTGAAGTAGGAACAAAAAAAGGTAAAGTGGCTTAATAGTGCTTGGCACAGTAGGAAGTTCATGACAAAGTTTAACTATTTAGAAGAATAAGTGGGAAGGAATGCACACTATCTAGTGAACTAGGGCAGAAGCTTTTTCTCTTGATTTATTCAGATAACTGACCCCAGAAGTATGCTTTCTGTTTTCATTTGAGTTATAGTCATAATTTTCGCTATTCCCAATACAGTGTGTGTAGTCAGCCTAGGTGTTATTCAATAGACCTGTTCCAACATCTACTGTGATTGATTTATTTAGAAATACCTCCAGGCCAAAATGAGAATGAAAATAAATGGAACAGATGAAAGTGCCCTGCTGCAAGCAAGAGCTACAGATTGAGGTTAAGAGTAATTGCTTTGGCATAATTGTTATTTGTAATCTTAGAACAAATGCAAATCTCCCATTAGGAGCAGTAAATCCGGTGCTTAAAGTAGAAGATGAGTATTTCACTGCCTAGCAATGGGAAGCCATAACTGAATGCTAAGTGCAACGACATAAAAATTTCCTCAGGCCTTTCATTCAGACTAATAATGCAGGGAATATGGTGGACACAGGAGTACCTTCAGAAAAATGAATATCAAAGATGATTTATTTCTCCTGTGTATTTTTTTTCCAAGATACATTAAAAAAACTTTGTCTTTAGATTTATAAATTCGTGCTGTGCTCTGCTTCATAAATACTTTATATTTATACTGAGCCTGACTTCCAGAAAGCCTGATGTGCTTTTTATGGTTATTAGTCTTTACACCTTCATTACTGAAGTAGATAATAAGGTGAAGATATTAGCTTTACTTTAAAGAGATAAGAATAGAGGCATATAGGAGGTCAGTGACTTTCTCAAGGTTATGAAATCATTCTGTGGTAAAAAGAATACATGATTCAAATTCATTTTAACTACCACATCATCTTTTTTCAGATTACTTTTTAAGTCAGTAGTTATTATTACCAGTGAAATTATGATAATCATATTGATGAGCCAAAGGTTGTCATTAGATTTCTCAAATATCCAACAATTCCTGGGCCAAGATTACTACATAAGAAATGTTGTATTTATTTTTAAATGAATTGTTTGCCTTAGAATAGAATACTATTTTAAACTATTAAGTTAAAGCCTAGATAAGATTAAATTGAGTTCTTGGCCACACAGCAGGTTATCTTATTATCTTGATTTAAAAAAAATAAATGAAATTCCAAGGTCCATGTGTACCTGTAGAAATATTTAGAAATGTAAGTAGTTGAAGAAAAGAGTAGATAGGTAAAGTTGAATATGTGTGTTTGAGAAAGTGAAGGGCACAATAGGATAGAAAATATATTGCAGTATTGCAATAGAATAATGAAAAACATCAGTATTCAGACAGCTTCTGATGTATACATAGCTGAGGTCAAATATCAAGCGGATTTTTTTTGTCTCCCAGACTGAGATCACACCGCCTTAATATTGTTTGTTAGATATTGGCAGGGAAAAAGTTTAGTATGGTATAAATGTATTTTTTAACTTAAATTATTTCATAGATTTTTAAAGAATTCCATGTTAACTCTGGAGAGGAAGGAGTACAATATGTAGTCTGTTGCAAAACCAGAGTAGTATATATTTTAGATAAATGGGTATTTTTGAACTCTAGAAAAATTGAATATTTCTGGGGGTTATTACCCCAAGACTGAAATCCAAATGTCATCTCAGCTTTCTCACAAGGCCCTTAATAGTTGAAGAATAGAACTTTAATTTAAAATCCATCTCTAAGAAGCAGCATCCACAAGACTACCCTCTGATAAACTTTTTAACCTGTGACCTGTTCCTATAGATCTCATATGGTGATACGTTTTGATCTGTGATCCTAGTTAATCGTTAATGGTGCCCCGGATTTCGAGGGACATTCTTTGCAAAACAGTGATAGAATTATAGCAATATAATCCCAAGCTGGTTCAGTAAGACTGTCTATTTTTCTTTAGTAAAATAAAAGAGCTGTCAAGCACTATTTATGCCCCTAGCTGCTATTTCTGTAACAGTCCCTTCCTTCAACTTGCTAAGGAGGCGAAAGAGTCACAGAAGAGTTACAAATGAAAGAAAAATTAAACACAATACAAAAGTGAGAGTGCCTTTTAGCCTACATTAGGGAGGTGGGAGTAAAGTATCAAGGACACAGATATCACCTTCAATGGTTCCCTCACAAAAACAAATGGCCAGTAATTCGGAGCTTTGTAGCTTCCTCACTTTCTGTCTCTTTCCTGTAGGCTACAATGTGTTGTCCAATTTTAGTGTGAGACTGACCTAGACAAATAATTGTATTTAGATAACAAAGTGAATAAACAAGTGCAATTTTGTTTTTGAGCTGTTTCTAGAGAAATGTCATGTAATTATTGCAAAAGCAAATGTGGAATTTAGAAATATTTTAATGGTACAAATGGCTTTAATGAGGGGCAAAGGTTGCTAGTCTCTTCTCTCTTAAAGCCAGTTCTGAGTTATTAATGACTTATATATATTAAGCAAGTTTGGGGAAACAATTCACTTTTGACTTCATTATTTTAAAGATAATAACTCTCACTTTTACCACTAATTATCTACTTATTTCAGTAATTAGGAATTCAGTTAATTCTTTGGAGATGATAGATGTGTTCTTGTGTGTCTACTCTGTGCCAAGCATGATCAACTGAAATGCTTATATAAATGAGTAAGATAAACATTTTAACTTCCCACAGATCACAATCAAGTAGAAGACTTAGACTTTAAAGAAGGAAAGATAAATGCATGAAAAATGAGGTACAAACAATGTATAGAACTATAGACAGGAGAGAATGGATATGGACTTGCTTCTTTGGGGGAAAAAAAAGAGGTATTTAAATCAGTTTTGAAAGATTATTAAGATTCTAACAAGTGATTGGAATGCAGAGAAATCAGATGTAAATTTGATTTACATCACTGCAGGCAAAGAGCAGGGGTAACACTAAATTGCCATGTTCTCCATGTCAGAGACCTGTGTTGCAGAAAATACTGTGTACCTTGATCTGAAATAACCACATCCGGGACACTTTAGTATTGTCCTGTATTCTTTTCAGAATATCAGAACTCCTCCTGGCCCTGCATACTGCTGTCACATGGAATAATATAAATTCATCAAATAAATCATATATGTCCACACTCTCAGGCCTTCTGTACCTACCTGTGTCTTTTATGTCCATAAGTCTGCTTTCTCCCTGCCTTTTTATCCACAGAACATACCTACATTTACCTGGCTATTTATTAGGCTTTAATGACTCATTGTGGGAGTTCTGTCTTCTGAGAAGCATTGTCCGATGCTACCATCTCAAGTTTAAATTAAGTACCCCTCCTCAGGGGCACAGAGCCCATCGCTGTTACCTCTATCACAGCACTTACTTCATGCTCTCTCAATCCACAGGTTTTTCAGATCTCCTCCTTTAGACTATAATCTTCTGATAGCAAAGACAATAATATCAAACACCTGGAAGAGAGCCTGCCCTGCAGAAGACCCTGATTCAATTAATATTTGTTGACTGGGAAACATTCAGATATAAAAATGTAGAAAAAATGTCTATAGTCAGCCGGGCTCAGTGGCTTAAACCTGTAATCCCAGCATTTTGGGAAGCCAAGGCAGGCATATGGCTTGAGCCCAGGACTTCAAGACCAGCCTGGGCAACATGGTGAAACCCTGTCTCTCCAAAAAATAAAAATACACACACACACACACACACACACACACATATGTATGTACACACAAAACTTAGCCAGCATGGCGGCATGTGCCTGTAGTCCCAGCTACTTGGGATGCTGAGGTGGGAAAATCACATGAGCCCAGGGAGGTCAAGGCTGCAGTGAGCCATGACAGCACCACTGCACTCCAGCCTGGGCAACAGATTGAGACTTGGTGTCAAAAAAAAAAAAAAAAAAAAAAAAAGAATGTCTCCGAATAAACTTGGACTATCATTTTCATTGTGCAGCAAAATGAGTAGGTGATTGTACACACCTAACCCATACATTCTGTACTTGTCTCTCCCCTTCACTTTTCATATCCTTAATTAGCAGAGCCTACCAATCTTTTTTTCTAAATATATTTTTTATTATTTCCACTTCCATTTTATCTCCACTATCATTGCCTTAATATAGGACTTCATTTTTCACTTGGACAATATTGCAATAACCTCTTAACTCGTCTCCCAGTTGCAATAAATGTCTATTAAATTTAAGTGGTTGAAATGCTTAAAGTAACACTCCCTATTTTGAAAATAAATCAACTAGCAAGTACCTGCTGCCCACCTACAATATGTTCCAAACTTATTATGTGCTATGAGGGAGTCAGGAGAAGCAGAGCATACAAACTTCCACTTTACCCCCAGGACACTATAATGTGGGCATGGAGAACTGAAACTGTGCTTCTCAAAGTACATGATGCATGCAAGTCACCTAGGGATGTTACTAAAATACTGATTCAGTAGGTCTTGGGTAAGGCCTGAGATTTTGCATTTCTAACAAATCCCCAGGAGACGTGGGTGCCACTGGTCTGTAGGCCATCCTTTGAGTGAAAAAATATTAAAATCCATTAAATACCATATGACATACCTCATAGTGAAGATTCTAAGTGCAGGCAGACTTCATGAAAGTAGTAAATGATACAATGGAAAACTCTCCATGTAAGAGAAGAATGGACACTGAGAAAATGCAAGCCCATTCCCTGTTCCTACTCAGCTTATAAGATGACTCACTTCTCATCTTCTCTCTAAAGCCTTTCTGACACAATCTCACCTTCCTGGCACAATCTCACATTGCCGCTGTCTCTCTACCCCTTTCTATTCATGCTCTAAAGTATTAATACATTCAGAAAGATCTTTCTAAAATACAAAACCGACTTTGCCACTCTTAGGCTTAAAGTTCTTTAATTCCTATCACCTGCCATTTAAATTCCACAATGGAAGGCCCTTCCCAATTGGCCCCTTTCCTGACTCTCTAGACTCAATTTCCACCACTTCTACCACATGTCACCTGCATTCGCCCAGCTTCACCACACTCTTTCTTACCTCTGCTTGTCATAGGCCATTGCCTGTGCCTGGCACCTCCCGTCCCCATTGTCTACTAGGCAACAGTGCATCCATTCTTACTGGAAGCTCAAAAGTTCCCTCCTCCACAGGGCCTGCCTTCTCCTGCCAGGCAGAGTTATGTATTTCAACGCCTTTTTGAGTCCATAGCATATAAAACATTATTGAGTTCTATTTATCTCTACTGATTTCAGTACTCCCAAGAGAGCCCCTATTTTGCAAGGATCTGAATCTCATCTTTCTTTATACCTTCTACCCATATTCAAGATGTGAAAGATGTTTTAATAACTGTTGGTTAAAAGAAAAAATAAATAAATAAATCCGAACTAGCTATTTACTCAAACATCCCTTTTTACCAAGAAATAATTTATGATGGCACTAATAAACAAAACCAATGTGTTCTGTGATGAGATTTCAGTACACAACAGAAGTAAATGTTAGGGTGAAGGGAAAGGAGAAAAAGAAGACAGAGGAAGAAAATGCTAAGAAACACTGCAATGAGGAAAATAGATATTTACTACTTACATGTTAAGTCTTTTCTGAGAACACACATGTGCACACATACACAACATTCATAATTTAAACTGCCCTAAAAAGTCCAACCAAATTTTAGCTCATTCCCAGAAAGCAGTAGACAAGACAGGAAAGTGTGTTAATACTCCTTCTTTTCCAGTCATTATTCACCTAGGTACTGGAAGTTGTGTCTCAGATATTGGATTGAATGGAAATGAAAGAGGGTCTCTTGGTGAGAGCAGTCAATGTTCCTCCTATTTACAGATGGCATGGCTGTGCTTACGGACAATGTATGTGAATTATTATTTTTCAGTTGAAAGCAAAACTCAACCATGAATTTCAGGGAGCAATTAAAAGATAATCCTGAATACAAATAAATCATGCCCCACAACTCATAAGAAAGCCACATAAATGGTCATTTGGTAAAAGAGAAGGATATCTTTAGAATTTTCTTTAGAACATTGCTCAATAAAGAAATACAAAAGTCAATAACACTAGACAAAAAATATGCAGTAAAACCAATGAAATATTTAAAAGACTGTCATTTATACTGAAAAAAATAGACCATCAACATTATTGTTACTCAGAAATCTCACATTCTTAATATAAAAGAAACTTGGCAATGAGTAAAATGATTAAAAATTATTCAGTGTGTCAAAAAACACTCAGCCAAATATTAATGTAAATAGAAATATCAATAAAAAAGTACTCATTATAAATAATAATGTCACATTACATAAAGATTAACTTCAGTATTACATCAAATCATTCTTCTAAAGCTATTTATATTAAATGTCATTTAATTCTCCCAAAATTTTAATACTTTTCTATATCATCTTTTGTGTCCATATTTTTAATCCCCAGATAAAAAGTGAGTGCCTACCAGGTTATAAGTTCAATATGTGTTGAAGCTGAATAAAAGTGAGTTATCATCAGCCACTATATCGATCAGTCAGCCATATTTTCCAGAGCATCTGCCTACATGCTCAGCACTGCTCTGAGAGAAATAGAAGAAACAGGGAGCCTGAAGTTGGTCTCCTTTCCTGGGCATTAAGGTGTAGTCAGGAGACAATACTAAATGCTAACAGTGGGATCAGTGAGAAACGGTGGAAGCTAGTTTATAAGCTATATCATGTAGTTCATGATAAAATTGCTGTATAGGATTCAGAGTAGAAAAGTTCTACCCAGACATGGTCTCATGAGTTGGGGATGGAAAGATTAAAAAGATGTCCAAAGTAGCAGGCATGGAGTGAAGTCCAGAGTGGACAGATCTGAGGAGATGTTGCACTCTTCAGATTCAGGAAAAAATATGACCACAGATCCAAGGGCAGGAATAATAATGCACAGCCGGGCCCTTGTAACACAACTAATATAGGAATGGGACCCTATAGAGCTGCAACTGCACAGCCTGCACAGTATGCAAAGGCCCTGCTATACAGCTTTCTCAACCTGTTGTGCTGTTTTTGGCTTCCTTGAACCCACTTGATTCCATCCTTTGAGACTCAAATGTTATTGTCTCTGTGAAGCCTTTCCCTTTCCCAACCTTCCGTCACACTCTACATGTATTAACAATTTATCCATATGCCATAATTACATATCAATAATTGCATGTAATCTTTATCCCACCAGTTCACTCCTCCTCATCCCACACATTGTCTAAATCAGCAGTGACCAACAGAACTTTCTGTGATTATAGAAATATAATATCTGCACTGTCCAAAACAAGATCCTCTAGACAAATACGGCCACTGAACGCTTGAAATGTGGCTGATGTGACAGAGAATTCAATTTTATTTATTTTAGATTTAAATTAAAATTTAAATAACAGCATCTGGCTAGTGGCTACTGTACTGGACATATGGTTTTATACTATGAACTTCTTGAAGGCAAGAATGATGTATTAGCATCCATATACTTTAGTATAGTCAATCATAGTATGTACTCAGTAAAGTTTTGTTGAATAAATGGCCAAATATGAATGAATCTTAGTATATAGTTGACAAAGTAATGAATATAAAGATCAGACATATGAAAAAGTAACAAATTTAATGGTGTCTAAAGATAATTATTGAAAGATGAGAAGAGAAATAGTGTGATTTGAATGTAGTCTGCTTTTTAAAAAAATGTCAGTAAAGGTACCCTAAAATAGAAATTAACCAAAAAAAAACAAAAACAAAAAACCTGTTGAAATGCTGATACTCTATCTTCTTTATATGTTTATGTTTTGCACTAACTTTTTCCACTATTTTATACTGTCTTAATTATATCTAAGTCTTCAAACACTAGACTGTGACCTCCTTGAAGCAGGTACTTTTATTCCCACTGTGTACCCAGTTCCAAATGTAAGCTTAGACCACAATAGGTACCCAATAAATTTTACAGGGAGAGTGAAATGAGTGATAAGACAGGAAATAAACTATTTTAATAAAACTAGCAGAGTTGATGTTCAGAAAGAAAAGATAGCTGTTAGAAAACATCCTAAGTGACTGTGAACAATAAGGCATTCTGCAACATCTACTTCATGTGTGCATTTATGCCTTGTGTTTGAGAAACCTGTGTTATTTCAAATAATGTTTTCCTAAAACAAACATGACTGTCTTATTCTCCCTGTCTCCTACCTGCCATTCTATAAAGTCCCATTGCTTTTAGCTTTAAATTTGGTTTCAGCCTCTTTGACTCTTTTACTATTTTCTTTTAGTATTTCCATTACCTTAAAAGAGTGAGTACAGTTGTCTTCACTTTCTCGTGGTAGAAAGTTAACAGTATAGAAGTATGAAAATGTCACCAAAGACTAATCAGAACAAATTGCAAGAGTTTTTCCTAATGTCTCTGCTTCAGACCTACCATGTAGATTAGCATATCAGATTTATCATTCTGATACATCAGAGTCTGGTTTATATTTGCCAGCCAGTGTCACTTCTCAGAGCACTGTTTTTTACTCTGAGTCAGAACAGGTTTCTGTGATATCTCCCTTAAGAAATGCCAAGTTTGGCCACCATCTATATCTTTTTCCCTTTCCCTGGGTAGCTCAGAAATCAATAAAAGAGCAGGTTTATGATTGCTGATGCTTAAATTATACTTGTCATTCTAAAGATATTTATTGCACACTTACTATGCAAAACTGTGTTCTAAGTGCTTTAAAGGAAATTGAGATGAATCATGCATGAACCTGACCTCCAAGAATATGGTCATCACTGAAAGATAAGATACAGGTATAATAGATAAAAAGTAGCAATTGCTAAGTACAATTATCCCTCCATATCTGAGTGGGATTAGTTCTAGAACTCCCTCCAGATACTACATTGCCATGATGCTCAAGTCCCTTATATAAATGGCATATTATTTGCATATAACCTATACACATCCTGTATACTTTATATTATCTCTAGATTATTTATAATACCGAATACAATGTGAGTACTATGTAAATAATTGTTATACTTTATTTTCTATTTGTATTATTTTTATTGTTGTATTATTATTTTTTATTTATTCATTTTTTGGAAATTTTCAATCAATGATTGGTAGAATTCACAGATGAAGAACCCTCAGATATGGGGGTCCTACTGTAGAGCATATGGATTTAGAGCAGCCTTGGATTTGTATTTTGACCCCCATATTAGGAGTTACATGACATTAAACAAAATACATTAACCTCTCTGTGCTTTACTTTCCTCTTTTGCAAAATAATACCAGGTTTTGTCTCTGGATTATTGACTTATAATCTGGATGAACCCAAAACCCCTGGTGGAGGATGAGAGAGACCAAGCATGTCAATACCTTAACATTGTTTTGTCCCTGGCACACACATGAAAATGCTTAGCCAATGCCTGATTATAAGCAAAATGCTTTCAGAGTTTAGAGAGATAATGCTTTTGCTGTATGGATGACGTGGATTCTGTCTGAAACTGAAAGATTGTTGGATTTAGACATAGAAAATGCAAAGTCAAAATCTGAAAAGAAGAGTATCAACTATCCACAATAATTCACAAGGCCAGGAGATCGGAAATTATTAATTTTCTTCACAATTATGTTTATTGAAACATTGTCTAAAATCTATGAAGTACCATGCTAGGTGCCTTAGGGAAGAATGGCACAAAATAAATGGTCTCTACTCTCACAGGAGTCATTGAACTAGTAGAGGTTCCTGGGGGAATCACGCCACCTTTAACCTACAGCATGTTTTTCTCATTGGTAGAAGTAATATTGTGGGTTTGTTGGGAGGGTGGACTGCTAGATGTCAGGGACTGTGTTTTAGTTAACTTTGCCTCCACGTTAAGCACAACTCTTAGCACATAGTAAGTACTCATTACATGTTTATTGAATGAATCAATCAACATATTTTGCATGAATATGTTCTAGTGCTTACCCAATAGTAAAATTAAGACTTTTATAATAATTCTTAAAAATAGCTACTTGAGTTCTACACTGTTAATACCTAAATGATGTTTATCAAAGAGTGTAGCGCTTCAAAGGCAAACTTAACAACTGCTGAATGATTTTAATCATGAAATAACATTCATGATAATATTACCACATTTGTGTAACACTTTATACCCTTCTAAAAACGTCTTTTGGATAATTTTCCTGGCTTTTGGTTTTTGTAATTTGTACGTTTATGAAATGTGATATGTTTGAATTTGAGTAAACTCTGCTCACCTAGAATGTTTAGACAAATGAAAAAGTATAAAATAATAACCAATAATAGTAAAAATCATAACATTGATGACAAAACCAGGAGCTTCCATTCACTGCGCAGTTGCTGTGTTCCAGAGCCTAACTACCAGTGCTTTACAGGTGTCCTCTTATTTAGTCCTCACAATAATCCTACTTAACAGGAACTACTGCAAGTTCCCTGCTACAGTGAAGGAAACCCAGAGTTATAAATCTTAGAAAGAATGTCAAAGATCATAAAGCAAAGAAATAGCAAGACCAGGATTGAAACCCAAGTTTGTCTTCTCCCAAAGTCCAGGCTCTTCACACCCTACTACTAAACTGCTACCTACTCCTAAATAATGACAACAGAGACTATTTATAAACTCACCCTTTTTTTCCAGGTATTAGACCTTTAGGGAATCATTTATCCTCAAAATAACACTAGAAGAATATAGGTTTTGATATTCTATTTTCCAGATGAGAAAACTGAAGCTTAAAGAATCTTGGCTGCTTGCCCATGTTTACAGAACTAGCCATGGCAAATAGAGAATAGACCCAAATTTATTTAAGAGGCAACAGGGTCCTTAATCACTATCTTCTATCAATGGTAATTAAGTGTTTTGGTTAGGAAAAAAATCATTGTATTTAGAGTAAGTTCTTACCATAGTTAAAATGAAATAATGTACTTACACTTAACATTAAAGTCACACCAAATATAATTTCCTCTTTTCACAATGATTAGAAAGGCACTTCAGAATCTTGAAGTGCCTCATTATCATGCACATAATTAGCATATAATAATATTTTTAAAGGGTGGGTGTTTGAACCTTTGGACCATTTAGCTTCTGGACATGTGGGAGTTTGTTTTTAATGTTTTCCTTTACTAAACAATTTCTAGCTAAATTATCTGGAAATCAGGTCTGAATGAAAGACGCAGAGCAAAGTATACTCTTAACCCAACCCCTATGCCCTCAGATGAGAGAAATAAACCCATCTTTCCTCAGTGGATAGAAGAATTATGGAAGAAGGTGAGCATAGCTCCAGTGTTTTCAACATCTTAAGTTACTCATCAACATCTATTTCATTTCATTAATAATGAATTCAACCACCAACCAATTTGAGTAATTGTCAGTAATCAGAGAATGTTTCCCCAACCTTCAAATCTATGTCATGGAAGTGAAAATTTCCCTAGCGCCATAACAGAGGAGAAAATCTTAAGTTATATAATGTGAAAATATTTGCCATTTTATTTGAGGTACTGGGATATAAATTATATATATGTCCATCATTCTTCAGCATGTTTCCAAATCTGCAGTGTATTGTATTTTTTGCAACTAATAGAACTCATTACACTAATAGTCTAGTATTATGTAAATGCATTTTATCCAAATATCTAGTATCCATAAGTAGTTTGTTCTCTATATCCCTAATGTAATATATCAAACAATAACTCATTTGTCAAAGGGAGACAGTTCATTAAAATTCAACAACTGTTTGGCCAGGATAAAACAGCAACAGTATAAAAATTGATGTTGCAAAACTTAACAAATGAGGGAATAAGGGAAGTGAGAATAAGGAAATTGCAGGCCTGCCCTCCAGGGCCATTTTTGGGCCACTTGTCTGAATTTTAATATTACAATTGTTTTACAAAAAGTCTCCAAGTTATTAGGCTGGGAGGGAAGCCAATTTACAGCTAGGTGACTTGAATATCAGGGGCATTCAATAAATGAGAACATGATATCACTTAGGACATAGAGTGGAAAAGGTACAACACTTGAGCACTGTGCTACAATTCAGTTTTTAAAAGTGAGTTATTATATGACTTAGCACATATCATCCCTTGTTGAGTTGTATTTAAGTAGCATAGTGAATAAGAGTTTTAGACTGTTTTGTTTGTGTTTTCAAATGTAGTATTTGCTCCATATTTTTTTAAAGCAAAATACCAAGCATAGAAATAGCACCTACCAGAGGTTTAGATAATTTGAAAAGCAAAGAACATGAACCTGTTGATGAGCTGACACCCATTCTATCGCAAAACAGTTTTAGGAAAGGTGAAAAAAATAAAAACATGCAATTTTTGAAGGTGCCTGGAGAAGTACATTTATCATTTGGGATGTATCTATGAAATCTGCTTAAAATTAAAAATAAAAGATTTTTAAATATTTTTAAAATTAAACTTATTAGACTTATTGTAAAAATATTACACTTATTGATACAACTATGTTCACTGAAATCACTTTATTCAAAAATTACTATATTAACATATGCATGTATATTAAAATATTAGACTTATTGATATAACTATGTTCATCAAAATTGCCTTATTCAAAAATTACTATATTAACATATGCATGTATATACATTTAAGAGGGAAAGTTCTTTATGTTTACATGCAAGTGCTGCTTTGTACTTATACATTATTTACTTATTAGCTGTATATAACTTAACTGAATAACTTCTCATCACTTTAATATTACCTACATACTTCTAGAACTTTTTGTTTCTAAACAAGTTTTTCTCCATATGGTGTTATCAAGGAACATCATGTTTGACTCTTCATATAGCCAACAAAAACCCTGATTTTCAAGAAATCTGTCTTTCCAAAGGCAAATACGAAGGGTTTGACTGGGGGCCGAGATCTCTTATAGCTGAGGTTTTATACTATTCTCTCCTCTTTCTAATGGCAGTAGTGTGTGCGTGTGTGTGTGTGTGCGTGTAACTTTCATTTTCCCACATGCACCCAATGTATTAAATTTATTCTTTCAGTTAGCAGAAGCCTTTCCATAGGATAAAAATGACAAGCATTATGAAAGGCATTCAAAGTTCCCAGGCTTCTTAGGCCCATTCGAGGATCAAGTATTCCTTCAAAATCCACTTTCAAGATTCCACAAGTTTATTGCAAGATATTCATATGTAAATTAACAGACCTGTGTAGTGATCTCCCTAACATATTTTTGCTCTATCAAAGTTCTACTTGCTGTTAGAAAGTAGCAGTTAATGTCACAACTACTGTTCTGTTATGCATGCGAGGGAATCAAAGTACAGTAATCAAAGTACAGTAGATAATTATTTTTTAGTACATAGTAGAGTGGTATAACTAAGCTTTCTTTTAAGCTGTTAGTCAAATTACACAGCTAATAAGCAAAAGACAAACGAGCAAAGCTATATTTGCTACACTGTTTGTCTCTTAACGGAGATCAAAGAATGAAGCTGGTTTGCAACTCTGTGACCTGTCATTCTGTGAAAAGTGTGTCTCTCGCCAAAAATGAAACTACAAATCACATGCTGTTTGATGGTGTGCCTGTGCTTGTGTGAACAGGCCACCACATTCAAGCTATGAAGAAGCTGCTAACAGGTGTCATCTGCTTTGCAAAATTACAGTTTCCACAAAGCACCACGAATTGGGATCATTAAGAATACCCAGATGCTGTATCCCAGGCTTCAGGGCTTAAACATGTACTTCAGATTTTCAGGTTGTTTTGTTTGTTTGTTTGTTTGTTTGTTTGTTTTTGTCTTTGTTTTCAGTTTCAATGATCTATCTCCAAATGAGATACTCTGAGTGTTTGAGCTTTGCACCTATCTATGAAATTTACTTTAAGTAGGTTCCTTATTCAATGCTGAAAATTAGGTCAGCTAGAACTTCTAGTCCATTTGACTTCTTATCTATTAAAACTTCTTGTTTGACAGAAGTCTATGAAAAGAAATGAACAAATATGAATGTGACTTATGCAAAGCCAATAAAATTATACTTTAATCTATTAAGCTTAAACCCCTGAAATTCCATCATATTCCGTTGTATATTTCCGGATAGCCAGGGCAGATACATGTTTTGTTTTTGATAGTGTTAAAAGCTGAAAAAACATTGATTTGTTTGAAGAAAAAAAAACATAAAAGGCATGCTGTAATGAGATTTTTGAAACACATTAGAGAAATTTTAACTTAAAAAATTCAAAATATTAAACATAAAACTCATTTACTCTAAATTTATTATTTGAAAAATGAATGGATTTAATCAAGTAACCAGGATTTTTTGCGTGCTTGATGGCTAATAATTTCTTTGTGTGCAAATTACCTTTCAACTAGTTGCTTCGGTGTTCTAAGATATAATTAAAGAGATTAAATGCTTATAGAAATCAGAGATTCTATGCAGATGTTATTACTCATAAATTTTGTTTTCAACAAGTTAACAGGGCAAATACTTTTATTTATCTATGCATTCAATATTCATTCAGTAAGTTTCCACTTTGTGCTTAGCATTGGACTGGCTCCCAGAGAAATGTATATGTAATAAAAACAATGTAGGTCCTGTCACGATTTACTGCTGCTTAGTTTGTGTGCGTGTTTCTGTCTTGTCTTTTCTATTGGCCTATAAGCTCTTGGGGCTAGTTATATAGCATCATGAGTTCCCCAAAGTGCTTCTCACAAAGAGCTCAATTAATAAATAGTTTTATTTGCCTATGAAAAGCATCTGTTATAACTTACTTTCCTTGCCTCATTTTTTCCCCAATTTCCCTCCCTAGCAACTTCCACTCTGTCCACACTGAACTGTTCATTATTCCTTGGAGTGATTTGCATTTCCATATATCTGGGCCTTTGCTATTACTAAACTCCTGTGTGTTTTGTTTTGTTTTTTAATGTCGTTTATCCATACACTTAACTCCTCCTTCAAACCAAGCAGAAGTAGTTCTCTTCTGAATGTACCACTATTAAAGCACTTATTACATTGGTATATAACTAATTGTCAGCTCCTGTCACTAAACTACTAAAAGTTTGGTATGATTTTATTTTCCTCTTTGTATCTGTAGTGCCATGTAAGACCTTTTATAAAGGTGACATATAACAGTTGGTACAAAGGAACAAAATAAAATGGCATACAATAGTTTTAAAAAGTTTACTAGAGCTTTGTCTAACAATTAGTCATTGCTTACTATTGAGCAGGATAATAATGCCTTGCGACTGCTTCCAAATCCCTCTTTCTCTGATCTCTCTGCCCTTCAACTTTTCAAGAGTACCTTTTCCATATACTCTCTACCTCAAAAGCTTTTCACTTAAAACCCTCCTGCCAAAGTTGGGAGAGGGATTATTGGTGTAGTGATGGTACTTTTTCTGGGAGTATTTGAATCCAAACAAGAAATAAATTACCTTAAACCAAAAAAGTAGGTTTTGAACTGCGAGGTTTCAAGGAGTATCAGAAACAAAGGAAACAGTTTTGTCAGAGGCCACACACACAAATCCAAAATCTTCTTACGACTCCATTGATCTTCGTCCTGTGCCTCTTGATGTTTTCATGAAAGATGGAGGAGTTGCTATTACATGAGAAATAAGCTGTTACTAAGATTATTCCATTCTACCATGGCAAAGTAGTGCAGATGGCCATATGGGAAAGCTGAATAAATAATTATTTTATAAAGATAAAACTAAAAATAGTATCCATCTCTCATTCCTGAAAGTAGCATCACTGTGCTATCTTGTGTAAGATTACATTTTTAAGGCTTGGTTTAAAATATTTTCATTACAAATTCTTCTCTGACATTGTTTAAAATATTTTCATTACAAATTCTTCTCTGACATTTGTAAAACATTTTCTATTTGTTTTACAAATTTTATTTTTAAAAATTAATTTAAAAGCCAATAGTCACTGCAGAGCTTAGAATAAATTTCATCATTTTTCTTTATCTACAATTACCAAGGGAACACCATAGCATACCATTGCTAAATGGTGTTTTCATTCACTAGATGACCATCCTCCTCTACTTATGTTATTTTACTACTAAAGAAACTGCAATATTTTTTTATTGTGATATAATATTTATTTCCCACATATTTTCCAAAAGACCAAAATTTTAATCAAAATTTAAGAAACAATCTCCTGGCCAGGCGCGGTGGCTCACACCTGTAATCCCAGCACTTTGGGAGGCTGAGGCAGACGGATAACGAAGTCAAGAGATCAAGACCATCCTAGCCAACATGGTGAAACTACTACTAAAAATACAAAAATTAGCTGGGCGTGGTGGTGCACCTGTAGTTCCAGCTACTCAGAAGGCTGAGGCAGGATAATCACTTAACCTGGGAGGCGGAGGTTTCAGTGAGCTGAGGTCGCACCACTGAACTCCAGCCTGGAGACAGAGCTAGACTCCGTCTCAAAAAAAAAAAAGAAAAAGAAAAAAAAGAAACAATCTCCATCATTCTTTTGTGACATAATCCACCTATATACACTTCTAACTAAATCAAGATATTTAGATTATAGTCTAAGTTAAACAAACCCAGATGTACAAAAATCATCAGGCTATTTGTAGAGAAAGTATTGTTTTGATAAATATAGTTATCTCAAAAAAAAGCAAAAAAATGAGGATATGTTTAAGAAGTAAATAAACATTTGTGTGTGTGTGTATATATATATAGACATAGATAGTTACAGATATAACATTATCTTTTAGACCCATAAGGAATGTTGGGATAAAGAAAATATAACCTATTCACTAAAAAAAAAAAAAAAAGGAAATGAGACCCAGAAAGAAAGTTTCAGTGAACCATTCAAGATTTTTTTTTCTTTTTTCTTTTTTCTTTTTTTTTGAGATGGAGTTTCATTCTTATTGCCCAGGCTGGAGTGCAATGGCACGATCTTGGCTCACCACAACCTCCGCCTCCCGGGTTCAAGTGATTCTCCTGCCTCAGCCTCCCGAGTAGCTGGGATTACAGGCATGCACCACTACGTCTGGCTAATTTTGTATTTTTAGTAGTGATGTGGTTTCTCCATGTTGGTCAGGCTGGTCTCGAACTCCCGACCTCAGGTCATCCCCCTGCCTCGGCCTCCCAAAGTGCTGGGAATACAGGCATGAGCCACCGCCCCCAGCCAAAGATCATGTTTTTTACTCACAGTCATAGCTAGACCCAAACACAGAAGTCTTGACCTTTAAACTAGTTCCCTTCCCATCATATATAGTAATTGTTGAAGAGTTATGTTCAAAATAGAATATACAAGCAAGTTTAAGATCTCTATTTTAGAAAATTGAATCTTTGAAAAATATGTTTGATGATATTTCAGAGGCATTATTAACATCAATTATCACTGTATTAATAAAATTTACATTTAAAAAGTCCAGTAAGTAGACTTATGAATAATGAAGAGTTTATTAACTACACTCAAAGAGACGATCTGAAAAAACAGACTAATAAACCAGAAAAATAATTAGATTAGGAAGCTAATCTGTGTATGAGATTGCTCCTCAAACCAAATCCACTCTGAATTTGGACTTGGACTTAGTGAGGGATTAGAGAAATCTCTCTAGGGGCCAAATTCATAATCCATGGCAGCCAATGCAGCCGAAGTGTCTGTGCACAAGAAATATTCTTGCCTGACTTGCAATATTATCTTGCTGCTACATGCTTCACTAAGTTGGAAGAGATGCCGCTAAAGAGCAGGGGGCACAGGAAACCTGATTCAACTTTTGGAAACCATTAGAGAAGCATGCTGAAGTTTGGAGAAAAAAAAACTGCCTTCTTCAGGGGAAATTAAGTATAATCAGAGGTCAAGGTAGAAATTTACTAACATAGATTGGGCAACCATTTACATGGATTAGGGCATGGACTCACTCCAGTTTCACCAAATGCCACACCTGGAGAGTAAACGTAACTCTTAGGCATCAGTCACCTGGAGTCCCCGGGCTCCTTAATGCTCTGTCAAGATTGATGAGGATAAAGCAGGAGGGGCACAGATTTAAGCCTATAAATTGAATCTTAGGTAAGCCTATAGTCTTAGACAGACTATATTTTAGAAGACAGAATCTGGCACACTTTAAAATCTGATTTTTAGAAATGTTTTTATTAGTTTAGTACATTCACTTAACAAGCATAATTTTATTCACAAATGCCTATCATGTGCCTGGCAATAGGGTCTGAATTCTTCATAACCCAGAACTTTGTCATACTCAGTTTTTAGCCTCAGAAACTGACATAAATTTATAGTTATTGATAAATCAGAAGATAATTCTGTACATCTATTTTTTTTCTCTTTTTTTCGCTGCATTGATAGTCTGAAGATCAAATTTCCCAAGCTCTCCCAATAGTCATGCAAAATTATACTTACTTAGATTTTCTATTACATTTATTTGTAAACTTAAGTTAAAATCTATTTTCAAAAGTTCTCATTTTGAGTTTTATTCGTCTTGTATACACTCTGCACGTAATGTCATCAATTAAAATGAGAATATGCTTAGAAAATCTTTATAACCATCTACCATGGCTAATGATCTTAACTTTAATGCACAAAATGTTATTTCATTGGAAATTTGGTGCGTTCTTAGAGTGACCCTTGTTTCTGTAACATTTTCAGCGATCTTAGATCAAAAAGCACCAACAAATATTTCTAGATTTGTTTTCTATAACAAGTACTCATATGGCACTTAACTATTTGAAAAATAAATCAGTTAAATTTTAAATAATTGCTAACAATCATGCTGTCATGATCTACAATGTATAGAAAAAAATAGCTAACACAAGTAGAACTTTGCATACGCCAAGATTGTACTTGAAATGCTTTACATATATTGACTTTATTCATCTTTACATCAACTCTGTAAGAACCATTATTATCCCCAATAGTAACATTCCCAAGGCCTTTCAGCTTGCAGTGGTAGAAGTAGGGCTTAACCCCAGATGGTCAAACTCCAGAGTCTGTGCTTTCAATAAATATTTAATTTTGTCAATTTATAACAAAGTCATTTGGAGCGTCTCCTGTTGCTGGGATGCATGGATGGCAAAAATATCTCTATCTTTTAGCTATCACCTTTGCTGAAATGTTGGGTGGTCCATGCCCACAGAAGGTGAGAAAGTTTTATATGCTTATTTTTAACAACTAGAACATAGGATTTAAAAAGACAAGGGTAAATTTCAACAATGTAGTGTATATGTTGTCTTCTAAGGAGCAATAGAAGACAACTCTGACTATCTTAAGCAAAAGGAAATGTTTTGGAACAATAGTGGAAAGCCACAGAATTACAGGAAGGCTACAGAACCAAGCTTAAAAACTAACAGGAACCAAGCCGTCTTGGTGGAAGAGGAAAAATAACTATAGGTATAGTTTATATCAGATACAGAGTGAATAAGTGAGCCGTACTAGGATAAATGAATTCCAAATATTTTCAGTCTATTTGCTGCTCTACTCAAGACTTTATAAAAGGAGAATGGCTTTCTTGAGCTACGGTACTTAACCTCAAAAAAAAAAAAAAAAAAAGGAGAATCCAGTTAGCCTGGCTTGGGTAACAATAACTCTTCCTTGACTAAGAGAGGGAGGTGATTGGAACGCAGCCCTGCCAGTCTATGTTCAATGAGGACAATACTTTTCTAAATGCAACTGAGGCTGCTCTTAGAAAATAAAAATAGGTACGGGCAGTCAAAAACCCACAGACATCCATGGTTGTGACTTTCAAAATAATTCCCATTATCTCGTGTGTGTGTGTGTGTGTGTGTGTGTATGTAGATAAGTTAATCTGTCCTAAAAACTGCTTTAAAATCATATTTTGTTAAGATTTATTTCTGATTATAACAGTAACACATATTTACTGTAGAACACTTGGAAACTAAATGTGAAAAGTCACTTACAATCCCAAGAACGATCTAGTATTGACATTTTGATGTTATTCTTTTTGTCTTTCTACAAGTAGTTATACATACACATATATCTATATACTCTATACTAAAATTTGAGATGGTTCCTGTACTTTTGTGTTGTACATTTGTCACTTAGTTGATTGTTACTATGTTTATATTATTAATCTCTAAGAACATGATTCCATGAAATCGATAATCATCTATAATATAATCATTCTACATTGTTGTACCTTTAGGTTGGTAAGTAATAATAGTAGTAACAGAGAAGAAAATAAAACAGCTAATATTTATCAGGTATGTATTGTAGGTCAGATACTCTGTGGCATGCTTTACGTGCAGTTTTATTTTACTAAAGCAGAAACTAAAGCTCAGGGAGATAAATTTCCCCAAGGTCAAAGAGCTAGTGACTATAGAGTTTGGATTTGAGCCCAGATACTCTGGATAGCCTGTGTTCTTGGTAGCTATATCTTTGTGTTATTACTAAATATATTGTGCTGTACATCCTTACATATAAATATTTGCACAGCTTATTTACTTTAGATAAATTCCAAGATGGGAGATTGCTGAATCAAAGTCTAAACATTTACAAAGCCCTTGATACATTTTGCCTGTACAAATATACAAATTTCTATTTTTTCTGGCAGAATATGAGGATGCTTATTTCATAATAGTCCCATCATTGGATAAAATTATTTAAATTTTCAAATTTGAAAAAGAATGTAATGGGATCTTATTTTTGTTCGTTTTCTTTTTTTAATTGATAATGAGACTCACTATGTTTCAATTCATTATTTTTACCTTTATGGTAATTAAGTGACATTCACTGAACCGTATTTATCTGAGTGCCCACACTTCTCTCCCCTGGGGTATTATTTAATGACAAAGGTAATGTGCATGAATCTCTTTTGATCTGGCCTCATGACTAGATTCTTTTTTTTTTTTTTTTTTTTTTGAGACGGAGTCTCGCTCTGTTTCCCAGGCTGGAGTGCAATGCACTGTCTCAGCTCACTGCAACCTCCACCTCCCAGGTTCAAGCAATTCTCCTGCCTCAGCCTCCAGAGTAGCTGGAATTACAGCCATGTGCCACCACGCCAGGCTAATTTTGTGTTTTTAGTAGAGACAGTGTTTCCCTATGTTGACCAGGCTGGTCTCGAACTCCCGACTTCAGGTGATCCGCCCACCTCGGCCTCCCAAAGTGCTGGAATTATAGGCGTGAGCCACCGCGCCCGTCCTGCATATTCTTATATTCATTTTATGGAGCAGCTTTTCTGGGAGTCAATCTAACCTTGCTACGCTGAGAGTATGCAATGCTTTGACAAAGGATGTAAACCTCAGGTTCCGTATTTGTAAAATGATAAGAATAACACATACCCCGTAAGTTTGTTATGATGATTTAATAAAACATAAAGGATTTGAGACAATGTTCGATTCATTTTAAGTGTTTGATCAATGTTGGCTACTATCAGTAATAATGGTAATAGTAGTAAGAGTGAGAGTGGATATGTGGCCAAGGTGATCTTTTCTAAAAAGCACTATTTTCTAATTCTTGGGGATGTGGACTGCCTTACAGAGGGGAGTAAGTCTGAACAGTGTGGAAGAGTTCACCTAGAGCTCACAATCTATGAGGGTCCTTTTCAAGAGGATCCTCTCAATGGGCAGCTATCTGCATCAGTAAATGAATACGATGATTAGATAAGGTTTGCCTGAGGTAAGGACAGAGGTGGAGGAACAGTCAAATACATGCTCCGAAAGGCTCAGGGAAAGAAACTTTCTCCTCATTATCATTTTGGTGCCATAAATTCCATTTTACTTCTGCAGAAATTCAGGTTAGAATGGCATTTATTAGATGCCTATCATGTGGGAAGCACAGTTCTACAAGATTTTCAAACATCTCATCTCAACCTTATATAAAAAGACACCCAATGGATGTGAAAGAAGTATTGTTACTTACAGAGCAGCATTATGTGCAGAGGAGGAAATAAATACCATAGGAGCTTAGTAATTTACCCAAAGCCCACAGTTATAGCCAAGTTTGTCTGTCATTTTTTTCCTGCCAATGGCCATTTCTGGACATCTAGGCCTGGAGAGCTCTCTCTGGAGAGTAGATTTAACAGGAAAGTTTCATAGCTCCTCGTGTGATCAGCAGTGGGATGCTGGGGTCTAATAATAATGGACCAGGAACCCTGAGTTTGACTTCAGCTCCTTTGCCTCTGCCGTTTACTCATTTTATCACTTTGGAAAAATTACTTAATCTCCTGTTTCCTCATCTGTAAAATGCAGGTAGTGACTGCTACCTTGCAGTGCTAATGCAAGAAGAAAAGGTAACTGCTGTAAAGTTCCTAGCACATAATAGGCAATGAATAATTAATAATTATAAATAATGGCTCAGAATATTAGCTATTCAACTTCTAAGGCTTGAACACTGTGTTCTCAACTCTATAACCTCAATATTAAAACCCAAAGCTTGAGTCTTCACATTCTGACTTAGAAAGACTTCCTTCATTGTTCCTGTCATTTATACACCAAATGTAAACTAAGTTCTTACTGTGCATGAAGCTCTTTTTAAATGCTTTGAGAGGTAAAAGATTCATCAGACACAGATTGTTCACTGGAGGGCCCTACAGTATAGCAGACGAGGTGAAGCATGGCCATCAATAACTAGTATCCAGAGTAGAAAGTGGTAAATGCTTCAATAGGATAGATTTCATAGAAAGTGCTATATGTTGCAGAAATATTAATTTCAACTAATAAACATCACAAAGCAATAATATTAACAATCTTTTCTTTTATATGCACTTTTACCTAAGATCAAAATTTCATTTCAACCTCCCTGTCAGCTATTGAATGGGGCAACTTTATCTTACTTGACCCTAAACAGACCAGTTATTCCTCCTCCACTATATATTTTCCTTAACCATCAGACACAACTATTCTAATTACATGGAGCAAAAATCACTGCTAATCTTTTTCTCTGATCCTAGAGCAGTAGTGTCCACAGACTATACAAGTGTGTATAGCCTGGGGGTAGAAATTGAGCCCTGTCAGGGCATGGTTGTTCACGCCCGTAATCCCAGCACTTTAGAATGCCGAGGTAGGTGAATTGCTTGGGCCCAGGAGTTTGAGACCAGCCTAGACAACATAATGAAACCTCCTTTCTACAAAAATTACAAAACAGTAGCTGGGTGTGGTGGCACACACCTGTAGGCCCAGCTACTTGGGAGGCTGAGGTGGGAGGAGAGCATGAACCCAGGAGGGGAGGCTGAGGCTGCAGTGAACTGTGATTGCACCACTGCACTCCAGCCTGAGCTACAGAGTAAAACCCTCTTTCGAAAAGAACAGGAACAGGAACAGGAAGGAAAGGAAAGGAAAGGAACGGAAAGGGGGAGGGAGGGAGGAAGGGAGGGAGGCGGGAGGAGGGAAGGTGGGAGGAATGAAGGAAGGAAGGAAGGAAGGAAGGAAGGAAAGAAGGAAGGAAGGAAGGAAAGGGAAAGAAAGAAAAAAGAAATTGGGCCCTGTTTGCTCTTGGCCTCTCCTAATGTCCTATTTACTTAGAGGTACTGCTGGGACTGATTCTGGGTCTCCCACCTTCCAGCTCTGCCTTCTCTTTCCTGTACAGCATCACCCCCTCTCAGCAATAGGCAGGTTACAAATTACAGCCTAGTGATCTAGAAATTGCAAACTCAAATGAATGAAGTCCAATGAGAAGCAAGGATCAAGATGTCAGAAAATCCTCAAGTTCATTGAGCTTAAATATAAAAGGAGAGGGCAATATTGAAACAAATTTCTTACATATAAATGTCACCCAGCAGCATTGCCATCTGCTCCCAAATAAAGCTTGTGTCTAGATAAGGAAACCTCATTTATATGGACAATATAATGAATCTAAGTATCCATAATAGTGTTCCACAGCACTTATTTCCCTCTCACCATGGTTCTCCTTTCCCTAATTTGCCCTGACCTTTTTAGGTGAAGTTTCTTATTGAAGGCAGATTTTTTTCCTTGTGTTCTCTTTATCATTCAAATTTTCTTTCATGCATTTCTCTGTGTACTTCTTATTCTTTAAT
Organism: Homo sapiens; assembly: GCF_000001405.40. Taxonomy (NCBI): domain Eukaryota; kingdom Metazoa; phylum Chordata; class Mammalia; order Primates; family Hominidae; genus Homo; species Homo sapiens. The sequence goes on from NC_000003.12 coordinate 174,201,979, forward strand.
CCTTATTTCTTTTTCTTATGCTTTCCTCTCTTCCCATTTCTTCCTCCTTCTTTCCTTTTTTCTCCTTTTATGCTCTCAATTCACTTCTTTATATCTCAACATGTCCCCGTCTCTCTAAGTCTTTATGTCTCTCTACCTTTCATCTTATCCCTCTCCGTTGAAATGTGTTTTCTGTGCACAGTACTATGGTACTTGAGGAATTGGGAATAAAATGACCTGGATCCAAACACAAACCCTCTTGCCCAACTAAGCTAAACACAGAAGAGTTGGTATTTTATTCTTGTTCCCTGCTCCTCTTAAATAGCCATGTCTATTTCCAAATGAAAAGTCTGCTAATGACCTAGCAGGTTCCCAGTGTAGATAGGATCCAATTATCTGCTATTTGGCACACAATGGCCTTTCTGTCTGCCAGCCATGTACCAGGGGGTGAAAATAGCATGTCTACTTTATTCCTGAGCGTCAGGGTGTTTTTCTACTAGAAAAAAAAAATAAAACCCTGAAAAATAGTTTTGAAACTCAGAGTATTTTACTCAAAAGGTCAAAGATTCATTGGAATTTAATTTTCTTTTTCTTGTTATTTTTAAGTTGTCATTTTTCTGTAATATTAGTTGTGCTGTGTGTATATTTTCAGCCTGAGTTTTCTTTGTTCCTTACTACTAGATTTTGCCTTAAACTCATAATCCTGACTGCTTTTCACAATGTTCATTTTCCCATGGCAACAGAGATGCAAATGAATAATTCTGGTGTTACTGTGGGGAAGAAAAGAAGAACCTGTGTGTGACTCATACAAGAAAATCTGTTATTCAAGAATAAATATCGCAGCAGTAATAATAAAGGTCAGCACTCCCATCTCACCCAAGGAAGTCAATGAGAGATACACACAGGTGGTTGAGGACAGGCTGTTAGTCCTCAGTGAGTGGTGAATCTTGTTGGTCAAGTGAATTGCCCTCATTTTTCTGTTAGAGGTTGTGGACTATTTTTCTTTACAAGGGAAGCACTTTATTTATTTATTTATTCATTCATTCATTTACTTATTTATTTATTTTGAGGGTAGAGCGTGTCATTGAAAGGTACCTGACCCAAAAAGATAAGTCTATCTAATGTGCTTGCTTACTGAAGCACAAACTTAAGCTCTCTCCTCCTATGATTATGAGAGTTCTTCGCCATTTCTACCCATCAGCTCACATTCCTGACATCAGCAGAAGTTCACTGATGCTTCAATGATCTAGACAAGAGCAGTAATTTTCTGCCCTGTGCAGTCTCTCAAAGGTTAAAAATTCTAATTGCTACTAAGGATTTCCTGCAAAAAGAGATGTTTAAAATCCTTATTTGAAGGTCCACTTCACCGTGCACAGAGGAAGTGTATTCGTGCACAGAGGAAGTATTCATTCCTTCTGTGAAACATAAACACTCACCCCTCCAGATTAGCCCGTGGTACATTTGTTCTTGGGCAGTTCGATGTGGATGAATCTTGTGAGACAGGGAAGCCATGGTAAGTATGCTGTCCTGGGTGTTCTGTCTCAGGACTTTCTTCTGCTGCCCAGGGCACTGCTATTCCATCATCTAGCATGCTGCTACAGCTGCAGAAGGCAGACAGAGATCTGATACATTCAGGGCACCCACATCTATGAGGAAAATGGATGAAAGATCAAAGAACACCCTCCCATCACCACGCTTCCAGCATCACCAACATAGGATGCCATCTTATGTGAATATCGACTAGGGTTTGTGTAATTGTAGCTCATAAAGCAGGATCTTTTCCATAGATACATATTTTTCATAAGGTATATTTCTTCAGAATTTCTAGATTTGAATGATATAGCTGTGGCTATTCTGTTATTATTAGAAACTTAATCCAATCATTCCTTATTAAAAAAAGATTTCCATAGCAACACAGACACAAAACAAATTTCCTGGGTAGATATTATAATTTGTTTCAGATAATATAGAAATTCTATTGGAGTCATTATTTTAAAATTACAATTATTATACAGACTTTTTTATCATAGCATTAATATTAACAGTTTTAAAATGAATTCATGCCAAAAATACAATTTTATATCTTTCTATTAGACATAAGAGACAACAGACTTGTATCTACATAAGTAAAATTAAATCAGATGGTGATTTTTAATGAAATATGTGTTTTTCTCCAAATCTTTTTCTTTTGGAGCAGTAGGGCTTTTTGTTTTGTTTTGTTTTTAATTTTACAAAATTGACCTATTATTACCCCAAGTATTTTCTTGATAACTTCTAATTCCAGAGCAATTTTGTTGTTCTTTAAAAACAATTAATCAGAATAGATTTTAACATTGTACAACACTGTAAACTTGTTTCCAGAGGAAGAAATATTCTTTGCATATCAAAAAAATTTTAACCTAAAATGTGATTAGCAAAAGCATGGATTAATTGTGTTTCCACTGATGTAAAGAAATCTTCATTGAACATTCCAGCCGATCAGCCACTGGATTAGTGCATAGGATAAATGCATCCACGGATGTTAACTGAAGTCCTACATGTTCTCAGTAGAGTGTGTCAGATTCTGTTGGTATTTGCTCCACTAAACATAGGGTTGGGGTTTTTTGATAATAAAGTTTGGGGTGAAAGTCTTGAGACAGCATAAGCTCATGAGGAAGCAAAAATGTAATCTGATTAGCAGGATTTGTATCTATGCATGGTAAATTATAGAAGATTGTGGTCTTTCCGTGACTAATGCCCTAGAAAAGCTTCACAGATGAAAACTTTGATCGTTAACACGGATACTCTTTCATCTCTAAAACAGCTTAGTATATTACCTACCACAACTTTTCAACTTTTTAATTTCTAGGCAAGTAAAACATTAAAATGCATATTAACTAAACTTCAAACAGGTTTTTTTTTTAGATGTCACCTGAAAATCTTTTTGGATTACTCATTTCCAGTTATCATATCCTAGTCTGCAGGGGCTTATTAAAGAAGGATTTAAATGTAATAGGCACCAATGAGTTGGCAGAAATAGAACACAGAAAACTAGTCACATGATCACAGGATCGTGAAGTCTCTTGATCCAGAAATTATGTAACTGTACTGAACACAAAATAGTTAGCAAACTATTGTGGCATTTTTATTAATTTGAATATGATTCAAAATTTTAAAAAAAATTTTTATATGTTCAACTAATATCTTAAATAACATGAAAATACATTGTGGTTTTTCTAATCTTAGGAATCCACTGAAATTTCCTCTTAAGAAAATTTAGATATTCAAAACAATACACTTGAAGATTTAGCATTGATTGTATCATATTCTGTTTTTAGAATACAATTAGCTTGAGGTTAAAGTTAAATATTATAACATTGCAATTTTCAAAAAGAAAATGGAGATGTTTAGATTTGCATTACTCACTCTTACTTCAGCACCTCTTCTACACTTAGTACATAAAACTCTCCAAATGTAATATAAATTAAAAGTTTTAATTTTTGTTAACATTTAAAAATCAAAGTAATTATTGTTATTGCAGAAAAGAATATGCATATTATGGTAGTAATTTTTAAGGTTTTCAACTCCTCAGGACTTTTCAGTGATTTTGCTGTCATAGTATCTGTATATGTGTTGGTCTTTTGTATATATTTTTAAATTGCGTTAATATAGACATTTGTAAGTTATGCTTTACAATAGCAAAAATGAACTAAATCACCTGTAAGTATGTCCCTTATCTAATTTCTGTGTTTTTGTATCTGAAAAGGAAATACCTAGACAGATGACTAATTTGTATATATTAAATAGGAAATACAGTGGCACTTAAATTCTGATTAGACAATGTGTATCTTTTTTATTTTAATATGTTTCCACAATATATACTAGAGAAAGCCTATTTTTAAGTATGTCCCAGAACTGCTAAGTTCAACCTTATAGGATTCTCGTGAGTATCACTGAAATAACTACATGTAAAGTGCTTCAATTCAGTGCCCAGCAACCAGAGCCCAGTAGGCATGGCCACTATTATTTGTATTAAATATTTTAATCAACATAGATGGAGTGGACATGAAAATTATGTGATTAATTTGTTCACTGTAGAACCCAAAATCAAATTTAGCAACTGAGAAAATACTTCAATTATTAAAGTCCAGATGAATCTGGTAAAAATCTCCCAATAAGATGACAACGTTTGTTTCAAACCAGCAAATAAGAACATGGACTCTGATTTTAGATCAAGAAAATGCAGCATGTATTCTCAAAATAATCACAGATAATCTTCTAAGCAGGTAACTCCAAAATCCCTGAGGAGGCATTGTGTTCCTTTCTTCACTTGGTCTCCTCTGCATGCAGTGACAGGGGCGAAATCAGATACTGGGCTCGAGGATCACACCAACTTCAAGCCACCAAGGTCAAGGAGGCAACATCAGGCACCTTGGAAGCAGATCAATCCTTGGCAAAACTGAATTTCGTTTTAGCTAGAGCACCTTTTTATCTTTTACCTCATACTACACCAGGGGGTTCATAGCCCACCCCCTCTTATTTGCTCAAGACCTCTCATCCCTGCTGTCCACCAAGGCCCCCAGCCAAGACAAGGAAAGAGGGCCTGTGTCCTACACTCAGCCCCCACTGCTGTTCATTTTAAACTGCTTTGCAAACCTATCAGTGCTCTATAGAAGTTACCTCTCAGAGTCTCCCTCGGCTTGCTTTTCAGCTACCGGTAAAATAATTTATGATAAGTTCTTCTTTGATGAGAACAGTCTGCTGTGCTTCCCAGCATAACTGGTATTCTGAAGACCTGTGTGGAATGGGGAAAAGAGCATTAGAACCTAGGGAGTACCACATGTTCCTGTCATTGTGAAACTGATAGACTCTTGGAAGCAAGGGTGTGCCTTTGTTTACCCAGCAAAACCCAGCGCAGGGTCTGGCAAAATGTAGACAGACTCTCAATTGGAGTGAGCCTCTTGGGTTCAAGAGTAAGTACTTCTGGTTGAAAGTCTGAAGTATGATATCCTCCATACTTGCCTTATTCCCCCTGGACTGGTCTCAGGATTACCATGGAAACACACACATCAATCAAAGATCCACAATGAGTAAAACAACCCCGCCCAGCCACAGAGACTGCCAGTTGACTTGTGGGAGAAGTGAAGGAATGTTAAAAGTTCTTTTTCTTTTTCTTCTTCTTCCAGAGTGGTGAGATTTTGAAACTGAATGGTGCTCATGTCTGGAGGTGTTTTATAGATTGTTTTTTTGTTTAGCTCATTCATGAAAAAAAAAAAAAAAAAGACAAGCATTGGATACAAAAAGTGCAATATTGAGTAAAGATAACATGCTTGGCTGGTGTACCGCTCTCTCCCCATTGTATCTCCTGGTGTAATGGCCCTGCCCAGATCCTACACAAAATAAGACCCTAACAGGTTCTTCAGCCACAGGCACAGGATTTGGCATAAAGTAGGCACTCAATACATTTCTATCAAATCAATGCACCTGTACTAAGATACAGACAGAATGCAGATTTATTCTCAGCTCAATTAGAAATAAAATGAATATGTTTTTCATTACAAAGAAATTGATTCATGTCATATTGCCAAGCCAAATGTGTGAACTGAATGGACTTTATGATAGTCAAAATGTATATGGCTTCTATATACAGAGGCCACAGGCTATGAGAAATTTCCCCAACAGGAATATTTTGTACTCTAGGATATTTTTCTTATCTCATTCTTCAAGTAAGACAGTCAGAGACAATTGTCCCCAAAGATATTTGCTTGTACCTTTTCATAGCTATTAATAATTTTTTGTTCATGTGTCTTGCTGTCTCAACAAACGACAATCTCTTATGCCTCTTTCAACCCCTCATGGTGTCAAGCACAGAAATTTGCACATTCTAGGCCTTCAGTAGAAGTTGAATTAATATTCTTGTTAGAGATGTACAAATGAATTTCTCTTAATTGAAATATATGCAAACTAGAACTGCTTGCCAAGTTCTAATTGGTAAAAAATGCAAACGCTGCATGTATTTGGTTTGCTTTCTTTGAATACTGCCTGTATTTTTCAAACCCCTTGACACATTATAAAGCAAACCTTTAGCAAAAAGCAAATCAATTTATTTTAACAGAGACTCCTTAAGAATGCCTTTTGGGGGCATGAATGGATGATATAAAATGGGCATCTGCTCCCCATTATTTCCAGGTCATGAAAATATCATTCAATTCCAATTCTATGCTTCCTGCGTGACCACCCAAATCAAAGCAGCAGTCTGACTTTACATTCCCATTTCAAACAGAGAATCATCTGTGGGAGGTAGGGAGATATGGTTGAATTAGATTAGGTCAAACTTTTATTTCACTTAAGAAACGATGTACCAAATCTGCAAAGCAAAGGGCAGGGGTGAGGATAATCTGATTTGTTACTGTAACTTAATAAGTTTATTCAGACAAAAAGATAAAACAGCAGGTGGTCACTCAAATGGCAGGTGAAGGTAGATGACTCACCATTACTGCAGCCAATATGACCCCCTTCCAAACACCCAATTTAGATCTGATTGGCATTACTTTAGAAAGCTAAGTCTAGGGTCAGATATAGGGCAGGTTCTCACTGGAATTTTCTAGTGCTCTCTAATATTACTGGTGCATAGCTGGCCTAAGTAGCTTGTATTTATAAATCTGACAGCCTACTTATATGTTGCCTTCAAAGAGGTACAACTATTGCAAGATAGCGCCATTATAGGGAAAAAAAAAAAAAAAAGGAGAACAATAATTTATCAATCATGAGGCCCAGAAGGTAAACACAATGCCTAGAACCTCAATTCAATCAGCAAAGGCCCAAAGGATATCATCAGCAGACCTAAAAGAACTGAATGTTTATCTTTCTATTCCTTTGTTTGTGAGGGTGTTTAGTATTATATGATGCAGGGAGCAATGTGTGTAACGTGGTGATATAGGCAGGTGGTAATTCTGTATTTTATTTTCTTTTGTTTTCCTTTTCTGTTGTTGTTGTTTCTTTTTTTAGACAGGGTCTGGTTCTGTTGCCCAGGCTGGAGTGTAGTGGCATGGTCTAGGCTCACCGCAGCCTCTGCCTCCCAGGCTCAACATCCTCCCACCTCAGCCTCCCGAGTAGCTGGGACTATAGGAACATGCCACCAGGCCCAGCTAATTTTTGTATTTTTTTAATAGAAACAGAGTTTTGCCATGTTGCCCAGGCTGGTCTCAAACTGCTGAGCTCAAACAATTCACCCGCTTCAGTCTCCCAAAGTGCTGGGATTACAAGTGTGAACCACCGTGCCCGACCTAATTCTGTATTTCCTACTTAGGCATTGCTACTTTTGTTTTGATTTGTTAAAACCTACCTCCATCCTTCCTTCTGACTGCACTATAACTCTGCTTCTTTCTTATTGTATTTTATCACTATGCATTATATACACTTTAGATCAGTGTATAGAGCATCACGAGGTTTGTTGCTTGTCAGTACTCGTTAGCATAAAAATAATATTCATCCCGTATTTTCCAGTGGGTATCTCCATCACACAGTGGCAAGCAAATTCCTGCAGGTAAATGCCTAACAAAGTTGTGAGGTCAGATGAGAATATGTATTTATTGGAGTAGACTTATATTGTCACTTGAGAAAAGATGCTGTTCACCACATTGGTACATGCCCACAGCCTACCCTGGTGTCTATCAACCTTTCTTTCTTTTTTTTTTTTTTTTTTTTTTTTTTGAGACAGAGTCTTACTCTTGTCACCCAGGCTGGAGTGTAGTGGTGTGATCTCGGCTCACTGCAACCTCCACCTCCTGGGTTCAAGTGATTCTCCTGCCTCAGCCTCCCGAGTAGCTGGGGTTACTGGCACCCACCACCACATCCGGCTAATTTTTGTATTTGTGGTAGGGACGGGGTTGCGCCATGTTGGCCAGGCTGGTCTCGAACTCCTAGCCTCGTGATCCACCCGTCTCGGCCTCCCAAAGTGCTGGGATTACAGGCGTGAACCACCGCGCCTGGCTGTCTATTTACCTTTCCACCTGCATCCTCTATCACCCTCATCCAAACCACAATGTCCTGGGCACCTTGGCATTATCTTTCTTTCTAGGCACACCAAGATCATTTTTATCTTACAGATGTTTTGATGCCTTTTCCTGGAAAGTTCTTACCCCAAATCATCACATTATAGGTTCCCCTTAACACGTAAGTATGAGTTCAAATACCTTTTTCATAAAATTCACATCATCTGTATCCTCCAACTCCATCCTCACTCACAAGCATCAGTTTTTATTTGTCATATCCCCTTGTTTGAAAGTCTTCATATCACTTATCACTATCTGAATTTACCACATTTACTTTCTTATTTGTTCTCAGTGTATTTGTGTCTCCCCATTGTGAAAGATACAGGGGATGAAGGCTGTTGTCTATATTATTCACTGGTGTAGTTCCAGCACCTTCAGGTATATCTGGCACACAATATTTATACAACAAATATTTGTTGAATAAATAAATATGCCCTTCAAAGTGTATAGTAGGCCAGATTAATGGAGGCAACTGGTGTTGGCAATGGTGGCAGGGGATGGAACAGGACTGCCTATTGTCCACGATGACTAGATTTTCTGAGGCCCTGAAATGTCACAGAATTTAAAAGCTGCAAAAAGCTTGAGGCCCAAAGAAAACAAGATCTTCCATCTCTTTATTAATAATTGGCAGAACAGAGATAGCTCCAAAGTCTTTCTACTGTTTTTCTTCTCCCTACCAGCTCTCACCTTCAGAGCTTGGGACTCTAAACTGTTCCTAGCTTTATATCAAGTAGCAGTTAAAAAAATACAGTTACATGCCACATAATGACATTTTATCAACGCCAGAGCAACAGGACAAATCTTCTATATGAGGGTGGTCCCATAAGATTATAACACATTCTTTTTACTGTACCTTTTCTAGGTTTAGATACACAAATACTTACCATTGTGTTGCAGTTTCCTTCAGTATTCAGTACAATAACATGCTAGTGTGTCCGGAATTGGTGGGTTCTTGCTCTCACTGACTTCAAGAATGAAGCCGCGGACCCTCGCGGTGAGTGTTACAGCTCTTAAGGTGGCGCGTCTGGAGTCTGTCCCTTCTGATGTTCAGATGTGTTCGGAGTTTCTTCCTTCTGGTGGGTTCGTGGTCTCGCTCGCTCAGGAGTGAAGCTGCAGATCTTCGCAGTGAGTGTTACAGCTCATAAAAGCAGCGTGAACCCAAAGAGTGAGAAGTAGCAAGATTTACTGCAAAGAGCGAAAGAACAAAGCTTCCGCAGTGTGGAAGGGGACCCCAGCGGGTTGCCAATGCTGGCTCTGGCAGCCTGCTTTTATTCTCTTATCTGGCCCCACCCACATCCTGCTGATTGGTAGAGCCGAGTGGCCTGTTTTGTCAGGGTGCTGATTGGTGCGTTTACAATCCCTGAGCTAGGCGCAAAGGTTCTCCAGGTCCCCATCAGATTAGTTAGATACAGAGTTTCCACACACAGGTTCTTCAAGGCCCCACCAGAGCAGCTAGATACAGAGTGTCGGTTGTTGCATTCACAAACCTTGAGCTAAACACAGGGTGCTGATTGGTGTGTTTACAAACCTTGAGCTAGATACAGAGTGCCGATTGGTGTATTTACAATCCCTGAGCTAGACATAAAGGTTCTCCACGTCCCCACCAGAGCAGCTAGATACAGAGTGTCGATTGGTGCACTCACAAACCTTGAGCTAAACACAGGGTGCTGATTGGTGTATTTACAAACCTTGAGCTAGATATAAAGGTTCTCCACATCCCCATCAGATTAGTTAGATACAGAGTTTCGACACACAGGTTTTCCAAGGCCCCACCAGAGCAGCTAGATACAGAGTGTCGATTAGTGCACTCACAAACCTTGAGCTAAACACAGGGTGCTGATTGGTGTGTTTACAATCCCTGAGCTAGATATAAAGACTCTCCACATCCCCACCAGACTCAGGAGCCCAGCTGGCTTCACCCAGTAGATCCCGCACTGGGGCTGCAGGTGGAGCTGCCTGCCAGTCCCGCGCCATGCGCTCGTACTCCTCAGCCCTTGGGTGGTCGATGGGACTGGGTGCCATGGAGCAGGGGGTGGTGTTCGCCCGGGAGGCTCGGGCTGCACAGGAACCCACGGAGGCGGGGGAAGGCTCAGGCATGGCGGGCTGCAGGTCCCTAGCCCTGCCCCGCGGGAGGGCAGCTAAGGCCCGGTGAGAAATGGAGCACAGCGCCGGTGGGCCGGCACTGCTGGGGGACCCAGTACACCCTCCGCAGCTGCTGGCCCGGGTGCTAAGCCCCTCACTGTCCGGGGCCAGCAGGGCTGGCCGGCTGCTCTGAGTGCGGGGCCCTCCAAGCCCACGCCTACCCGGAACTCCAGCTGGCCCGCAAGCGCCGTGCGCAGCCCGGGTTCCCGCCCGCGCCTCTCCCTCCACACCTCCCCGCAAGCTGAGGGAGTGGGCTCCAGCCTTGGCCAGCCCAGAAAGGGGCTCCCACAGTGCAGTGGTGGGCTGAAGGGCTCCTCAAATGCTGCCAAAGTGGGAGCCCAGGCAGAGGAGATGCCAAGAGCAAGCGAGGGCTCTGAGGACTGCCAGCATGCTGTCACCTCTCACTAGGCTGTATCATTTAGGTTTGTGTAAGTGTATCCCATGATGTTTGCACAATGATGAAATCACCTAAGGATGCATCTCTCAGAATGTATCCCTGTCATTATCAACATACAGAGATGTTTATTAGTTTTCTATAGCTGCTACAGTAAGTTACCACAAATATAATGGATTAAAACAACACAAAGTTATTTTATTACAATTGCACATGTCAGAATTCTGACACTGGTTCCATTAGATTAAAATGAGGCATCAACAGAGATGTGTTCCTTCCTGAAGGGGAATCCATTTCTTTGCCTCCTGCATCTTCTAGGAGCTACCTACAATCCTTGGCTTATGACCTCTTCTTCCATCTTCAAATGCTGCAAGGCTGGTCAGGTCCTTTTCATATCATACCGCTCTGACCTTCTCTTCTGCCTTTCTCTTTGACACTTAAAGGCCCCTGTGATTACATTAGACCCACCTGGATAATCCAGGATACTATCCTTATTTAAAAGTCAGTTAATTAACCATCTTAATTCTATAAGCAACTTTAACTCTCCTTTGCCACATATGGTAGCATATTCACAAACTCTGAGGATTAGGATGTGGACATCATCAGAGGCCTTTTTTCTGCCTATCACAAGAAGCATTATGAAAATAATTGCTATGTTTCCCTCTTTCAAAATAACTATGGTTTAAATTTTGGAGCATACGGTACCATTTGAGTTGTGGGCAATTTTGGGTGCTAATAAATTCTGCTATAATAGTTGTCCATAGCCATAGTCAAATGTTTTGTTAGAGTATAATTTTCTGAAAATTAAAAATAGGACTTTCCTTGAAATTTAAGATAAACACATGTCAAATATTTCATTCAACTTATTAATTATTAAAGAAACCATGATTCTAAGACTGGTTCAAAGGAATATATGAGGAACAGAGATGTATAATCAATCAAACAATGTTGAAATAATAATAGTAAGCAATAAGTAATAACAATAAGAAGCAAAACTGTTTAATGTCCCATGTGATAATAAAACAATAACCTTTGTGGTTATTCTTTTCTACCAGGCAGAAATCTACTAGTTAAAATGTAGCATTCCAGTGTCTGCACTTTGCATTCTTTTAGACAATTTTTTAATCCATGGAAGAACCTGTACAAACAATTACATTGAAAAGAACTGCATTCATTCCCTTGCTTTCCAAGTTTTGAATAATTTTTCTTAATATTTTAGAATAAATTCTGAAAGGAGAATCATGGGATTAAAAGTAAAATTTAAATTACTGAATTATTTTAACGTTATAATTTACTTTTGAAAACTATTACATTTTTAGGTGATGATTTATAGCATTTGTCTTCCTTGGATTTAAGATTAGGGATAAAACACTGGTTTCATGATGCTATTTTACCATATTTAATTTATAATTATTTGCCTTAAAGGGCTTTTATCTCCCAAATATTAACATAACAATATATGTGACATGCTTTTTTAGCACTTTAAAAATAAATCACTTAGGACAATGTTACTCAAAGAATTTTGACTTACCGTAAGGGGTTTTTTTGATGTTACTCTGAGGGTATTAGCTGTAGTTTTGTATATTTTTAATGTCTGGAATTTTAAAGGATACAAAACTACAGCCAATACTATAAATTGTGTTGCAATTTTGCAACACAAATCAGAGAGTATCAGAAATGAAATTAAGCAATGCCCATTATGTTCTCAGAATTTAAATTTTTCCATTATTTTTATTGTTTCTTCAGAATTATATTTGCCATGTATTGAGTTTCTGAATTATGCAGTCATTTTCCTGGATTTCATTAGCTTTTCTGAAATGCTTAGTAAATTACAGTGAAACTAGCTTTTAGAAGCAATTACTAGTGAATTCTTAGCCTTCTTTGCTCATGCAACAACAGTGTTCCCTATTAAATATGTTAATAACTACTTTACCTATTTATAGGCACATATTTTAGTGTTATCTTCTGAAATAATACTTATACCTTTAAGAATGGACCCATATTCACAAGTCCTTTTGGTGCCTTTTTTTGGTTATCCATGATGGTAGGTACCAAAACATTCAGTTACTTAGTTTTTAGAAAGACTTCTGGGCTTTGTTTGTTTGTTTTTAACTATGGCAATAATCTGTGTGCAGTTAAAATTCTCCATATTATAGTATAGAAAGCTGAAAATAAAAGTGGCTTTTAAAATAGCTAATCATAGTCTCTAAAGTAAAAAGAGTTCACAGATGGTCAGTAGGGTGATTGGTGGTCATCAGGGACCCAGCATTCCATAATCCTACCCTGAGTTCCTTCTTCAAGGCCATCTTATTGTCCAAGATGCTGGTTCTTAGGACAGTCCACCAAAAACTTAAACTTATATGTTATTGTCTAAAATTTACCTGAAGCAATGTAATTTTTTTTGGTTAGTTACATTATTGCTACCCAGAATAAAATCTGTAAAAGAAGGGGAAAATGGGTATTCAGTGGCAATGAACAGTTTCTGCCACACTTATTTAATTATTTAAATAATTAGAAACTGTCAGGGAACTGACAGGGAACTCAAATGAAAGTCAAAATTTCTGAATATCAAGTCCACCTACTATTAACCAGGAGTTTTTCTCGGTTGGGTTACCTAAACTTTGAGTTTCAGATCATCACCTCTGACTTAATTATTTCTTTGGTTTCATTCAGTTCAGAAATTCAATAATCTTATACTGCAATTTATATTTAGTCTAAGACACAAATGGTGTTTAGATTTAACTGCTATCATATAGGCCTCTGGTATGCTCAAGACATAAATTGAGAACTTCTTGGAGAAATATTTGAGCACACAGAGTGCCACTTGCTGTCTCACTGACAAAAATGTGACACTTTCAAAAGCCTGTGGGTAAGCCTCAAAGCAGAAATATCTATTTAAAATTATACCTCCTGCCTATTATTGAGCTGAGACACTGAATGCTTCCCTTCATCTGAAACTTTAGGGACTATTTGCATATTAGTAGCATAAATCTTAACTAATCCAGCAGGAGGGAAAGTATTTATTTTGTACTGAGAAAACTTTGTTTCAGGCGGAGAGAAGATATTCGAGTGATGATTGTCATCTTTTATATGCCTTGTAACTGTGATAGATGGTCTTGAGCTTCAGTGATTCATAATGGCATTTGGAGGCATGCAAAAAAAGCAGCTAATTCAAATGAACGAGTCAGTAAAACATCACAGCAAATGTAGGTCGCAGAAAACTGTGGAAATCTAACAGAAGGGCAGTGTGTTGCCAATGAATATATTTGAGGACAGTAAGAGAAAACTATTTCTACACTCGTCACTGGCTCCAAATAAAATGGTGATTTTATCTTTTCTACTGCAGCCTCCCAGTGGGACAACCTTCCTCTCTCCATTCCTTTTACCTCCTAAACCTCCTCTCCCCACAGAGCCAAACGGCTTTATACTTGCTCCCTCTTCAACAGTCAAATCTTCTTAACATTCAGAGGAGGAAAATGTGACCCAAAGGAGATTCATGACAACCCAAGGGGTAGGTTATTGGCAGTACAGAGATTAGAAATCCAATTTTACTGGATTTCCAATCCACTTTCAATTGCATTACTGTGTTCTTTAATAATTCCTATTAAATTGTGCGCTTTACAAATTTAGGTGTTGCATTAGTAGCTAACCTGAGGCCAGGATCTGGACTCCTCCCACTGACTCTTTAGCACCACCCTCTGTACATCTTGTCCTCACAAATGGGTTTTCATTGTAAGGACAAAGAAGGCTTCACAGAATGTGTGAGAGAGACAAATAGAGGGACATAGGACTCCCCAGAAAAGAACCCACGAAATTACAACATATGGTGACTTCTTGTCATGAGGATAAGCCAGTTCAGGCTTTATGGATCAATTATTATTTCATTCTTTCTTTCAAATAGCTTTTGAACACATACTATGTACCATCAACTATGCAAGGTGCTGAAGATTCAAGGGAAAGAAAATCAGTTCTTCCCATCTTTCAGTCGTGTTAGTCTTGGGAAACTGAGTAGATAGATGTGCCCCTTTCTGAAATAGAAAAGACTGTATGAGGAGCAAAAATGCAGGACAAGAGCAAGTATCTACCAGAGTGAGAGATACCCTAGACTCTCAACCAATAACTACCTCCTTTGCCATGTTCCTTCCTGTCTTTGCATTACTTAGGAAGTGAAGTTCCAAACAGGATAGTTTAGATGTCAGGTTGTAATGCTAGGTCAGCTCAGAAAACCCTGGAATCAGGACCTGTCATGTGAAATTGATGACTGCCCCAGATCCCTTTCCATCTCAAAACACCTTTCCCATTGACCTGTCAGTTACCTGAGTCACATCATTAGTGGTATTGCTTCTGCAATGTCATTGTCTACTGAAGGCCTTATTATAATAAACATATGTAAGTTATTCAGAAAAAAACATTTGAACAAGTTAGTCTCTGTTCTAGTTTCCTAGGGCTGCTGCAACAAAGTACCACAAACTTTGCTGCTTAAAACAATGCAATTTCATATATCATAGTTCTAGAAGTTAGAAATCTAAAAATAAGGTGTTGGCAGGTCATGTTTCTTCCAAAACCCCTAGATAAGGATCTTTCTTCCGTTTTCCGGTTCTGGTAGTTGCAAGTGGTTTTCAGCTTGTGACAGCATAACTCCAGTCTCTGCCTCTGATGTCACATGGGGTTCTTCCCTTATGTATCAGTAAATATTCTCTTTTTATAAGGACCACATGCTGCATTGTCATGCTACATTTATTGCCCATTCTAATCCAGTCTGATCTCATGTTAACTGATTGCATCTGCAAAGACCCTATTTCCAAATGAAAACATAATCTACAGTAATGGGCTGTCCTAGTCAGCCAGCCTGCCCTGACAAAATACCATAGACTGGGCAGCTCATAAACAGCAGAAATTTATTTCTCACAGTTCTAGAGACTGAAAGTCCAAGATAAGGGTACCAACATGATTGGGTTCTGGTGAGAGCCCTCTATCAGGTTGCAGACTACTGACTTATTGTATCCTCACATGGCACAAAAATCCCATGAGACCTCTCTGTGGGATCCCTTTTATAAGAGCTCTAATCCCCTTCACGAAGGCCCACTTTCATGACATAATTACCTCCCAAAAGCTCCACTTTGTGGGGAACATGAAATTCAGTCCATAACATGAGTGTTAGAGCTTCAACTTATCTTTTGGAGAGAAACAGTTTTTATGAAGTGTAGGGGCAGGATGAGAGAGAAAGAGTAGGGTGAAGGCACCTAGAATGAAGTCGATATAGCAGGCTCAAGTAAGGCGTAACGACAGACAATCCTTGTTCAAATAGGGGACTATATACATACATCAGGCATTGGAGGGAAGCACCAAAAGAATACCCCAGAAAAAGTACTGAGGGGGATAAAGAAGACAAACTTCACCTAACTCATAAGTTTGCCTGAGCCAGAAAATAAATGAACTTTAGAAGTAGAGTTTTGCAATTTAAAGTAAATTAAGTCAATGAATAATTTCCTTGGAAAATTGTCTTTGGCCCACTCACAGCTCTTTTATGGCTTATACCAGCTTTTTCATGGGAAAAATTAACGCTTTAGACAAGTTGAATCCATACCACTTAAGTTCCCTTTAAATAATCAAGCAAGGTTAAAATGAAAGTATTCATGGTAATAGAATCTGCCACCAGGGGATTATAGCTTACTAAGAAAACTATGACTAATACCATTCATTGATTACCCTTTACCTTCCCAAGAGTAATATGGTAAAATTGCAGTAGGGAGGATTTAAGGCAGACAATAAAAATGTTCCCAGTACAATTTTTTTTTTCCAGTATTGCTGCATCATCTTTTCTTCAGTGAGGTTAAGGAATTGGAAGGAGATTATCAGAAAGGGTTGAAGTAAAATGATACCTTACTTCATTCAGTCATAAATATTTCTTGATTCACCCAATATCTTTCCCACCATGAATATTCTTATTCTTTGCTTCTCAGCACAAACCGATAGTTGCTTTTTCAATAAATAGCTCTTACAGCCTTGAGAACCTCACCTCATAATGGTATTATAGTTAAGGTCCGTGCAGCAGATCCCCTTCAAGACAAGGAATCCTCTTCTTTGGGACTCTCTTAGATGAGGGCTAAAGTGACCCTTTAAAATGAGAACCCTCTCTGGAAAATTGCATCAGGACAGCATGATTGAGGCCTTGTTTGTTGAGCCGAATATCAGATAAGTAAGCTATATTTATCAAGTTATCTTTCCCCTCATGAGCTTCATTGTACTTTTGCTTTCTTGGCTCTTGACATTCTCCATGTTTCCCACTCTGTTCAGGGATCCAGCTGACAGTAGCCCATTTTCTATTGTTTGGGAGCATGTCTTGAGTTTCCCAAAGTGGGAGGATTGCCTCCGGGCTGTTATTGCCATTTATTGAGATTGGGATGATGCTCTAGTTCTGACAGAACAGTCCTGATTTATGTTCAGCTGGTGATTCATTATGACCTAGATCATTTTCTACCATATTTGTTCATATTCAATCTTCCCTCATTTTAAAATAAGGACAAAATACCCAAGTGTATTTCAGGCAACTTGTCAGGATATCAAAAAAATGGTTTCCTATTTTCTGAAATTCTGGCAAATGATGTCAATAGCACCAGCTAGTGCCATAAGTATGTACAGTTTATCTGGGAGACCACCCTGGAGTAGGAACCAGGAACCCATGGAAGATATTGCTAAAAGGTTCTCTGAAGCAGTAAAGTGGGGATGGCAAGGATTTTCAAGCCACATAAACTGGGTTTGGATCCTGCTTCTTCCACTCTTCACTTGGGAAAGTTACATAACTTTCCAGTCCTCAGTATCTTAATCTGGAAATTGTGGTTTATTAAATCTGCTGCATTGAGTTGTTGTTAGACAGTATTCCTCAAGACATGGTCCTCAGGCTGTCAATGGCATAATCACAGGGGTTGCTTGCTAAGGCAGATTACTAGACCCCAGAGCTAAAGATCTGATTGATAAATCTGGAATGAGGCCTAGAACTCTGAGATATTAGCATACATTTCAGATGATTACCTGCTAAGCTTAGAGAACTGCAGCAAGGAGACTTAAGTGTAAACTGCTTAGTACATCGTAGGAGTACAACAAAATAGATCTATCCCTGGACAGATAATCAGTTCCTTGAAAGCAGGTTGGTGTGTGTTCACCGTTGTATCCCCAATAGTCCAATGCCTTGGCACAAATCAGATGTTCCATAAACGTTCATTGATGTGAATGGTTAGAAATCACTAGTCAGAGCTGAAAGCAAAGACCAAAGACCAAAATGGTCAGGGAATGTTTGGTTCAAGTAAAATAGGAAACAGAAGCAAGATACACCATCAGAAAATAAGCAAGATTGCGGGCTGCAGTTCAGTTTTTCCAGATATCAGCATTAGTACAGAAGAGCAGCCAGCAGGTGTCAGACAGAGAGAAGCTGTTGGGAAGGCAGCAAAAAATAAGTTAGAGAATATAATGAAGACTGTAGTGGGAAGGGACCAGGCAGGGAGGCAATGTAAGGCTCTGGCAATCAGGACAAAAGTGTCCACAAAGTCTAAAGAGAGAGACAACACTAACGAAAACAGAGACCTTGCCCTGAGAGTCCAAAGCAGAAAGTTTGAGCACCTGGATGAGTTTGGGACTATGTGAGCAGATTCTGGTAGAAAAATCTAGGTGGTTTCAAGGATGGCACTAGACAAAGTCAAAACTAAAAACATAACAAAGGAAAGTGGCAGAATCACTGGTTCTGTGATGAAATCAGATAAACTGAGTGGACCAATAAAATCAAAATTTTGGTTCTAAATCAGTATGGAGATCTCCTACAGAAGTGAACCTATTAGGACTGTTTCATACACTCTGGTATAGGCCTAGAGATATATAATTAATATTTTATAACTAGAGCTAACGTGGTTGTTATTGGAATCATAAACAGCAATTACATCCTTATGTGCAACATTTCCTGACAAAGATATTCTTTGGCTACACACACATACTTGAAGACAAATTTAGACCAAGACGACATTATTTCAAAAATAATAATGAATTGGGCATGTGAAAATTACCTTACATATTTGAGAAATACACTTGATGTGTGCATATGTAAAACTTTATTCCTCTTTCATTTTTACATTGATTACCTCAGACATTATGCAGAACAGTGTGTAGATCCATTTTTTGAATCCTAACATAATATAGTTTTCTAGGGCATTATTTACACATGGTTGTGCTTTCCCTGTACCTGAATTATAGCCTTATATCTTATTATGCATGTGAAATATGTAGACAGCAATTAGCCCAGCAATTCTGTGTATTAATTACTTGCCTTTTAGAAAGCAACACGTCTGCAATCTGCAAAGAGAGCCACAAAAGGAATTCTATGGCAGTACAAGCATTTGTGTGTTTTTACAGATAATTCCATTACATAGAGTCATTCATGAAGAATAAATGGCAAGAAAAAATAGGATTTATCAGGGTAAAGCCCTAAGGGTTGAAGAAAACACAGGAAAATCCAATTAGAACTGCAGGGAGTTGGTTCAATCTCTTAATCGGCACTGCAGCACAGCAGATTAATATTATTGCCTACTATTTAAACTTTATTACTCCATTTTTCTGTCTGTGGTCCTCTGTTTTGCCAGCCCACCTTGAAAAGATGGCAGGCAGAACCATATAATACTTTTTATGGCCTTGGCAACAGCACTGTTTTGTGGTTTGAAAGGTAAGTACCATTCTAGAAATGATGAGGTGAGGAAGCAGGCGACACTTTAGCTTGTTTTATAAGCCAGAGGGTAAGGCTGTTTGCCCTGCATACTAATCACAAAAACCATCAGCACCAGCACTTTGCCAGCTTCTACTGACTGACAGCAAAATTTACAGCAGTCATTTTTCTATAGAATTATCCTCATAAAGTTAGAGGCATCTGGAGACAACGACTACAGCAAAGACTCCAAATAGGTCTTGGTCTTGGGTTCCAGTTATGACACAGACTTACCAGATGATCTTGAGCACTCAATTTTTGGTGTCATGAACAATAAGTTTATTAAAAGCCAGATTCTTAGATAAGTTATACTTAAATAAACATACATTAATTTTTTTTTTTTCTAAAAACTGGGGCATATGAGTTTCCTAGGGCTGCTGTAACAAATTGGGTTGCTTAAACAAGAGAAATTTATTCTCTCAAAGTTCTGAGGCTAAAGTCCAATGTAAAGTTGCTTGCAGGGCCATGCACCCTTTTAAGCTTCTAGGAAAGAATCCTTTCTTGCTTCTTCATAGCTTTGGGTGGCTTCCAGTAATCTCTGCTGTTCCTTGATATGTAGCTGCGTCATTCCAATCTCTTCCTCCATTATCACATGGACTTCTCTGTGTCTCTGTGTCGGATCTGAATGTTGCTCATGTTTTTTGTTTTGTTTTTCATTTTATAAAGACATCTGTCATTAGATTTTGGCCCTCTTCTAATCCAGTATAATCCCATCTTAATTTCACTAATATCTGAGAAGATCCTATTTACAAATAAGTTTCTGAGTTTCCTTGCAGATATAAATTTTGGGGGGAATCTATTCAACCAGCTTCAGTGGGAAATCACATAGCCCTGTATCTTTGAGTATTTTGAGATAAGTAGCTGTGAGCATTCAAATAACTTAAATCATGAGTGTTTCTATTAATGAGTTATTGCGTGTATATACTATACACAATCATGCGGTCTGTGATTTTATGGTATGTTAATTTATTCCACAAACATTTATTTTACCTGAAACCTCTTAGATAGTTATAGTAAAAGCATGTTGTATATTATTTTCCTGTTTATTTTGCAAATACTTCAACTAACAAAATAATTCTAGAATTAAGAGTTTATTTTTTACTTTATATAGATATTTGGTAGGCAAATGTTAATCTTGGTTAGAAAAGTTAGAAACTAAACGTAAGTTTTCCAAACTTTTATCCCCACCACAAATCAATGCACACTTTATTTTATATAGTAAATGGGTGTTGTATATTTCTTACAAATCAAATCATCTCTTATTTCACAATCAACATGGTTCTCTGAGCTAATCATTTTTAGAATGAAAGATTCCTAGGTTAGGTTTGGGGTTTATTTTGCATTGACACAAAATCTCATTAGATTCAGCTCAGTCAATATATCTGGCAAAATAAGATTCCTGTTTGGGCAAGCAAAGTTTTCTTTTCTCTGAGTTTGCAGTTCTCTTCCAGTTTTCAGATTCATAAGACACATGTAAATGTAATCTCCCTTCTGCACACCACTGGCTCATTTATTTCATTTGTTTCTCCCCAGGTGTTGATTAGACCATTCCAGTTGCTATCTGTATCTATTTTACAGTATAGAGTTGTTCAATTGATATAAATGGAAGTGTTTGTTTGAAAATATAACTTTTTTCTTTCTACTTCTACTCTTCTGAGGTTGTACTTTACATTTTAAAGTGTGCTACTAATATTTTTTTCACATTTTCAAAATCAATCTCACTTTATCTAATTTATTTCCCTAGATGCTTATATGCTTTGTGCCACCAGAGAGGAGGTCAGACAATCTCAACTCCGTCAGGGATTTTATATATCTCTTCTGTAAATCACTGAAGATACTTCAACTCTCCTAACAGAGTTCTCACAATGATCAGAGGAGAGCTGACAACTTCATTTTGTTAGCCCTTGTAGCACCTCCCACTTCACCTCACGCCCCTAAATATGTGCTTTATCTAGCTCACTCTCCTTTTGTGCCAAATTACCGTGCCAATTCTGCTTTTTATGTTTATTCTTACTCTGATTAATGTCTTTTTGGTCCTTCATGAGAAGTCCCTACAGGGAAAGCTCAAATCTTTGTAATTTTCTTGGCATGAAAGCAAGCAAAGTATCAAACACGATTAAGTTTCTGACAAGCTTGGTCTTCTCCCTCGGATTTCAGTACGCCTTTTTCATTCATTTTTCTACCTCTTTTACTCTGTCTGTTGCTTAATATTGGTATTCTCTAGCATTTATTTCCTTCTCACTTTTCCTTTACCTAATCTCACCCACTCACCTGCCTTCAACTAACACCTGCCCCTGGCAACTCTCAAATCAGTGTGTGCAGCTGAATGTCTTTTCCTGACTTCTAAATGTGTATCCTAGATCCAGAATAACAACTTTGTTGACAACTGCACTTGAATATCTTATATGTACCTTTTTAATAAATGTTTTTCAAACTTTATCGCCTGCTGCTCACAGAAATAAATGCATATTTGCATCTCAAATCACCAAGTATGTCCAAAGGCCCCAAATCACCACATGACTTGGTGCCTACAGTAGCATGACCAAAATTTACCAAATCATTAACTTCCAAATTGCTCCTCCTTCTGCATTTTCTCCCTGAGTTAATGAGACTGTATTGTAGAAATCTGAAAGTTATTTTAGACTCCTCCCTCTTGTATTTCTCATCAAGAGCCACAAAGTCCTACACATTCTACTTCCTAAATGTCTCTCTAGTTTAACCCAAACTTTCCATCCTGCTTCATGAACTATTTTGTATGATAACCCTGAGAGTTCTGCTTATCTCTTTTCTATCTCATGAATATTTAGTCCATCTTCTATACTGGTATATAAATTATTTTTCATCACTTTCTGTTTGCTTATCTTTCTCGTTCCATAGAGCAACCACTTTCAGGGTTCTAGAAATGGCCAATAAAGAATGCTTCTTCTGAGTTACTTACAATCCAATAGAGGAAACATAATTATAAACTAATTACTATATCATACAGAAAATGTTCTTATTTTGTTGAGCATAAGATATTCAAGTGCAGTTGTCAAATGTTCTCAAATTGTTGAGCAATTTCAACATCTCAAAAAAGGAATGACATGGGAATCAAAAAGAACCACCTAACATGGCTTAAATTTTCTCACTTAAAAATGGAAATCTGGCCGGGCGTGATGGCTCACGCCTGCAATCCCAGAACTTTGGGAGGCCGAGGCGGGTAGATCACCTGAGGTGGGGAGTTTAAGACCAGCCTGACCAACACGGTGAACCCCCGTCTCTACCAAAAACACAAAAATTAGCTGGGCATAGTGTCAGGCACCTGTAATCCCAGCTACTCGGGAGGCTGAGGCAGGAGAATCGCTTGAACCCAGGAGGCAGAGGTTGCAGTGAGCCGAGATTGTGCCATTGCACGCCAGCCTGGGTGACAGAGTGAGACTCGGTCTCAAAAAAAAAGGAAATCTATGCACTCACCTGCCATCACCACATCCACCTTTCCTGCTAGGAGGTGCATCAAGCTAACCGAACTTTTTTTGCACTAGGCTTTCATCTTGAGATGGTCACTGAAATACTTTTCCAGAATCCCCAGGATTTCAATAAACAAGCTTTGCATAATGCTGATGTAGTCCAACACACTCAGTTTAGAGATAAGCCAAAGAGGTCAACTGATGGGTCTAAATTTAGAAGCTTGTTAGGAGTTTAGTCCAAAGGAAAACCAAAGTCTTCCAAAAGACAGTCCAAGTTTTTATCTTTATGTGGACTCTTTCCTTTCCCTCCTACTCTTCCCTCCCACCACTAGAATGGAAAAATACAAGTATCTTAAATATCTCAGTAATCCCTTACTTTGGTTGGGAAGGGCTACCTGTGAAGACTGAGATATTAGTCACAGCATAATATTCTCACGAAATCCCAATACCAAAGTTTTTAATCTTGTTTAAAATATCAATAAAACATATGGCCACTTTCTTCAGACAAAAATATGCCTGAAACCTTAAAGTTTCTCAGATCCCACTAAACGCTTCCAGGGATCTCATGTAAAGAATCTCTGCCCTAAGGGCTTAATGGGCATTTACTTTGTGTGGTAGAAAAAGAAAATTTAGCAACCGGTATCTGGTCCAGCCAGCCTGTAACATGAATATCCAAAGTGATATAACATGTCTTATACTATGGCTTTATTCCTGTAATATTAGATTATTCTGGCCGGGCGCGGTGGCTCACGCCTGTAATCCCAGCACTTTGGGAGGCCGAGGCAGGCGGATCATGAGGTCAGGAGATCAAGACCATCCTGGCTAACACAGTGAAACCCCATCTCTACTAAAAATACAAAAAATTCTCTGGGCGTGGTGGCGGGCGCCTGTAGTCCCAGCTACTCCGGAGCCTGAGGCAGGAGAATGGCGTGAGCCCGGGAGGCGGAGCTTGCAGTGAGCGGAGATTGCGCCACTGCACTCCAGCCTGGGGGACAGAGCGAGACTCCGTCTCAAAAAAAAAAAAAAATTAGATTATTCTTGCAAGTCAGAGAAATGCTAAGGGGGAGGAAAAATATTATTTATAATTAAGACCATGAAGCACCTTTACTATTTGGAGTATTTGGGGGGTTTTGTTTTGGTTTTGCATCATTACAATTAAACTCTAGAGTAGCAAGGTTTATTAAACAAGTCAAGGAAAAATTTCTAGAGCAGAAATACCCATATAACATCTAGTAAAATAGCAGAAAGATCTAATTTTATTAGGAGTTGTGTGGTCATGATCACAGATTTCCATAGTTTTCTCTTTTGTACTGAAGGTGATGTTCTCTTTATGAACCAACATTGAAGCTCACTAATGGCCACCAAGACCAGTTATGCCTCAGATCATCAAAATGTATTCAAAGAGATGATTAGGAAACATATGGCTGGAAGTGCCTCATCTATGAAGAAAGCATGGAAGTTCTTTATGAGCACAGCTATGAAATAATTATGAGTGCCAAAAAAGTACATGGTTTCTAATTGAAGGCATATGATAGTCCTAGGAGCAAGAGGTAGACCATTAGCTACTCCCCCTACCCCCTTACCCACCACCCCTGGTTATCTAGGTTTGCTTTTGACCATCCATTTCTTATACTGTGCCAAAGGCTGGACTAGCTTAGTATAAAGAGTGAGCCTAACAGGTCATAGGTTGAGAGGGATTTTTCCAGTTGTTTTGGGGGTTGTTTGCTTGGTGGCATTATTGCATTTTTCTTGTACAAGTAGCATAACACGGAAGTAATGATTTTAAGTTCTAGTCTGGATATGCCTTTCCATATTGCTGCAACGTTGGGGAACTATTGAAGACTATATATAAGATGCTTTTAGGCTAGTTTTTGTCAAGCTCAGCTTTTAAAAAGACTCATGATGCACTGAATTTTATTGTTACTTCCTCTACTTTTTAAGTATTTTACAACATAAGAACCAGGTGCTATATGTCTGTTAACTTAATTAAAAAGGGTTATATACCATCCACTAAAATTTAAAATAACACTAAATTTTTTTTAAAAATGACTTGCTGAGGTGTTCCTTTGTGAATACTCTCCCCATTCCTTGGGCTGCCTTATTATGGCCATTCTATCCAAATTGGCAGTTCAGGGAATTATTCATTTCTGGGGTTGATGACTTTTTCCATTTGCCCCAGCTACAAAGGAGTACATGTGTTTTAATGAAGTCATATTTAAAGACCTGGATATTTATTACTGGTATACAAAAAATGAAAGCAAGTAGGCATACGATTGTTGACTTTTAGTGATTCTAATATTAAACATAATTTTAGGCCTGGTCTAGTAAGGTTTATGTAATAGGTGAGTTTTTAAGAGCAATGAGGACCAATTGCATAAGCTTTGCATGAATTGATAAATGGAGAAGAGAAATCATTGTACTTAACCTGCCAGGTTCACATAGTCTTCAGGTATAAAACACAAAGCCATGTTTATTACCTGTACAGTTAGCTAATTAAACATCTACGGCAACTTTAAATATTATGAATTCATTACGTTAATCCAAATTCCTGTGAAATATAAGACTGAAAAACAAAAGCAATCCAAGGGAATATTCACCCTTGCCACATAGTGGGGAAAACATATTTAAAATTTTACTGCCTTTTCCATTTCACACATGAGGGATCTGAGACTCAGAAAGGTTAAAGAGAAGGCCACAGAGGTTGTAAAAAAGTTACAGCAGGATTCAAACACAATTCTCTTCAGTTTATTCATATCTTTTTTATTTTTCCTTAGTACCCAAATAGCCATGTCACTTAGTATAACTATTTTGTTTTTACTTCAAATTATTTCATAATTTACCAGGAAAGTTATATTTTTAGGTAGATGTAGTTTTCATAACACAAAAAGGCCCTCATAATTTATCTAATTTAGACCTTTTATTTTACAGATGAGAAAACTGTGATCAAAAGAGGCAAAGAAAATTTCCTAAAGATTCATAAATGTCTGGTGGCAAATGTGTCACCTAGATTTCCAAAAATCTTTCAAAAATGTTTGTGAAATAGCATTACTTAATTAATTCAAGTAGATGTATATTTCAAGTACAAATAATGAAGAAAGAAGTTAATGTTAGCATCATCTAATATTTATTTGACTTATGAAAATATGTGGTGTATTAAATAGATAATTTGACTAATTGCCTTTAAATTTGGCCACTGTATGAGCATAAATAATAGAATCAAATCTGATATTATTTGCATATTATATATGCTTAAGTGATTTTTAATATATAGTTGTACATATTCTTAGGAAAATTTGTGTATTTCATACTGAGACATATTGTTATTCGCTCAGGATTATTGTGTTTTTCTCTCTCCATTTTTTTTTTACATTGAAATTGTTTATCAATTGGTTCTTCCAAAGAGAATTCTTCAGTTAATTATGTAGGTATTTATTAAGATAATTGATTCATGAAATTAAGATTACCTTTTGTTCATTTGATTTTGGAGGAGCACTGCTGTTACAAATAAACAACCTTGTTATTTGCCACTTTTTTCCAGTGACTGCTCATGAAAGAAATTAAAATGATACATCATCAGTGGATCTTCCTGTAGAGTAAGATAGAACAACTTTTGCAAATCAAATGGCATGCAACTTCACATAAAAGAGATTTGGCTCAATTATGAGTTCAATCATAGTTCTGTTAACATAAATCATTTTTCTTCATCCCCAAAGGCACGTATTTGCAGAATACCTGCTAAGTGGTAGGGGCTACAGAAACAAAACTACAGACATCAGTGTATTTTCTGTACTGTGCATACAAGTGTAGAGGGTCATAAAATATCTTTTAGAAAATAGGTTAGATATAGACGCTATTCAGCACTAGGTAACTATATAGTTGTCATTTTAATTCTATGTTAATATGCCCCTGCAAATAAAATTCCATTTGCGCTTTATCTAAGTTGGGTGAAAAAAAGTTTTATTTCAAACTACAGCAATAAATGTGCCCTTCCTTTTCATAACTCTTCTTCAGAGTATTCCCTGCCCACAAACAAGCATTTTTATAGAAATCTAGTGACAGGACAAAAAAGTGGTGTTTCTATTCTATTAGGTTTCTGTGGGAACCAAGAAATAGTACAAATATTGATCATGTAAGTAGACTATTATATTTATTATAATATAGACATTGATTACTTCCTGGAGAGTTTTTACCTTGTAAAAACTAGGCTACAGTATCATATTCCCACTGAAGACAGTATGGATTCCATTTATTTCCAAAGCATGTCAAGAGATGCCACAGTGTTGTATTTCAAGGTACAGACTTAAGTCTCAAATTGCCTGGGTTTAATTTCCAGCTCTGCTACTTCCTGGCTGCGTAAACCTGGACAAATTCTTCACTTCTCAGTCTTTTAACTTCTTCACTGTAAAGCAGTGGTAATTACAGTTTTCATTATATAGAATTATTAAGAGAACTAAATGCACTACTATTTCTAAAGGACTTATAACAAGATCAAGTATGCCAAAAGTGAAAAAGAAAGAACGTGAACTTTGGTGCCAGGCAGAAGTAGATTTGGGTTATGAATCTGTCATTTAACTAGTGGTGTGATCTTGTGCAAGTTTTTTTAAAATGTGCAATCTCAGTTTCCTCATATGAAAATGAGGACTGGTAGACATCAAACCTCACTCATATAATATACATTCATCCTCTTCTCTTTCCGCATCTCCATAAACAGTTTACAAACATTACTGCTTATGCCAACATCAAATTATGCCCTCCCCAAATTAATAAAAGTGAAATGTTAGATTTGTTTTCATTTACTTAATTTGACTTTACTTAATTTCATTTAATTTGAACATTGTATGCTTTCATGTCTTTGTCTTAGGCAAAATTTTCTTGCTAATGAATACTAAAAAGTAAAAGAAAAAAACTGGCAGATATATGTATTTGCAGGATTTGCTCAACTTCCTTAAAACATGATTAGAATTTTAGTGAATTAATTTAAGGAAGTTTTAATTCGGAATAAAGCAAGAGGACATAACAAAATTCCATTTTACTGTAATTGCGACTATGTGATGTTGCTTTTGAAATAATTTCTTTTGGTGGGAAGGTAACTGCAATTTCTTAGCCTTGTTTTACATAAGCCTCTTGCTTTTTATTGACTGTGTGTGGAATCTATCCACTTCTGTGTGAATAGAATACACTTGAGCCTCCAGTTCTTACGTGCTGCTAATCTGACAAGAAATATACTCATCCCAAAATGATTAATTAAACATCTAGAGAAATCCTTACATTCCTTCTCAACCAAAACTATGCTTTTCCCCATTTCATTGTAGTCTTCAGATGCATTTTTAAAGGGAAATTTCCTACAAGTGAAGGTCTCACAGGTCCATATATGGCAGTGTGGTGAAATGCAATAAGACTCTCACACTGATACATTGAGCACTCACTATATGCAGAGATAGGTGCCCCATGAGACCTGACCCGGGAGAGGAATTACAAAATTGAAAAAGCACAACTTGAAACTTTAAAGGGTGACTCAGAAGTGAGATGAATATTTTCCTAGGAAAATTTTAATCATGAACTCTTAAACTTATTTGTGAAAAACATGTAATTTCATTAAAAATTAATGATATACAAATTAAAATGAGATGTCATTTTCCCCAATGAAACTATTAAAGATGAATACAAAATGTATAATACCCAGTGCCAAGAGTAATACAATGGTATGTATCTAACATTCACTATTATTGGTGTGTAAACTTTCTGAGAAAAAAAGTTGTAATATTTACCTATCTTAAAATATGAATAGATTTTCCTTCAGTGTTTTCATTATCAACAATTAAAAAATGAGAATAGGAAAAAAGATTTATGCACAAAAGTATTCACCTTGGCATTATGTGTTTTAGTGAAGTATCAGCATTGGTCTAATGTACAGAAATAGAGAAATAGCCTGGCATGGTGACACAAGCCTGTAGTTCCAGCTACTGAGGGGGTGGAGGGGAAGGCAAGAGGATCGTTTGTGCCCAGGAGTCTGAGGCCAGCCTGAGAAACATAGCAAGATCCTTCTTTTTATGGATAAATATTTAAAAAAAATAGAGAAATAAATTAAAAAATTATAGTACATTTATAAGAGAAACTATTATCCTCTCATTACATACTATATTGTATATTGTAAATGGCTTTAATGGTGTAGGGAATTGTTTTCTTGTTTTGTTCAAATGATAATTTTGAATTTTGAATCTTGTGACTAATTTGTTAGTCCTGCAAAGGCAGTCTAGTCCTCAGGCAGGAAGGGGGTTTGTTTGAGGAAGGGCTGTTACTGTCCTTGTTTCAAAGTTAAGCTATAAACTAAGTTCATCCCAAAGTGAGTTCTGTCTACACCCAGGAACGAACAAGGATACCTTGGAGGTTAGAAGCAAGAGGGAGTCAGTTAAGTCAGATCTCTTTCACCGTCATAATTTTCTCAGTTATAATTTTTAGGGCAGTAATAAGAGAAAAACTTCAGCCGAATTAAATTTAAGAAGTTAAGTGAGTAATGAATGATTTGCGAATCGGAGAGTCCCAGAAGCACAGGAAATTCGCCGAGACTCCGGGTGTGCCTGCTGGTCAGAACACATTTATAGATAAAAAAGGTAAAGTGACCTACAGGAATTGGAAGCGAGGTACAGAAACAGTGAGATTGGTTACAGCTCAGCGTTGGACTTCTTTGAATGCAGTTTGAACATTCAGCAGTCTATGAGTGGTTAATGTACGGTCGCTGGGATTGCCCAACACTCAGCTATTGTTACAGGTGCATACTACTAAGCTAGGTTTTCAATTTTGTCTGACTATTAAGCTAGGGTACTGCTTATCCACAAGGACTCAAATACAGAAGTACGCAGTCCTTCTCAGGCCATATTTAGTTTGCGGTTTCAATGTGGATAGGATTTGGTAATTCCTAATTCTCTGCATAGCAGCCCTTTTCCAAATCTGAATGTCCCTGGGCTCATGATCCCTGATCTCCAGGGCTCTCATTCCTGTTCCCCCAGCCCAGAATCTTAGCCTGGCATGTTGCTCCCAAGTCACGCCAGCCTAGCTGGTGTTGACACGCTTTCAAAATTGCTTCCCTTTTCGTATTGGCTCTACTCTGCAAGGTTCCTCTCCTAGGTGGTTGTTTAGAGGAATTATTTTGCCTTTCTAAGTCTAGGTTTTCTCCTCTATGAAGTTACATATCCCTTAACTTATGGGATAGTGATTGCTAGCCATTTAAATAGTCATCTGTTCTGTGAAAGGACTGTACATGCAAAGCAGCCCCCGGAATAATGAAGGAGCCAAGAAACTGTGGGAGCTTTCATGCGCGTCTGTGTGAAGACACCACCAAACAGGCTTTGTGTGAGCAACATGGCTGTTTACTTCACCTGGGTGCAGGCGGGCTGAGTCCGAAAAGAGAGTCAACGATGGGAGGTAGGGATGGGGCCGTTTTATAGGATTTGGGTAGGCAAAGGAAAATTACAGTCAAAGGGGGGTTGTTCTCTGGCGGGCAGAGTGGGGTTCACAAGGTGCTCGGTAGGGGAGCTTTTGAGCCAGGATGAGCCAGGAGAAGGAATTTCACAGGACAATGTCATCAGTGAAGGCAGGAACAGGCCATTTTCACTTCTTTTGTGGTGGAATGTCATCAGTTAAGGCAGGAACTGGCCATCTGGATGTGTACGTGCAGGTCACAGGGGATATGATGGCTTAGCTTGGGCTCAGAGGCCTGACAGGAGCCATAGGCTGTTGGCCCTCTAAAGGTTTGCTAAAAATTACTGACATGAAGCAGATTGATTAATAGGAGAAAACACATACAAATTTAACATGTATACATGGGACCCTTCAGAATGAAGACTCAACTTCCCAAATACTTACAGAAATGAATATACCATCCTGAGGCCACAGTAAATAATGTAGGCTCATAATGTGGCCGGAAACAGGTAAATCAAGTTTAATGGCAAGACAGGTTGAAAGAGAGAGAAAGGCCGAAAACAGGTAAATTAAGTTTAATGGCAAGACAGATTAAGAGAGAAAGGAAGATTTTGGCTAGCAAAAGTGGCCTTGTCATGTAGATGAAGCCTCCCTCAGGGAGAATAGATGGTAAATGTTTCCTTTCAGATTTTAAATGGTTCCGACTCTCAAAAGAGAAAGGAACAAGCCTGCATTAATGGAGATTCTCTACAAATGCAAATTTCCCCAACTTCGGACAGCTTTGCAAGACCACTTCTGTCAGGCTGGCCAAGTGGCAGCCATTTCAAAATGTGACAAAGAAATATATTTTGGGATAAAATGCTTTAATTTCCTTCAAAACCAAAGAACAAGGTAGACAAATCTAATTTCTCAGTAAAGGATGTTTTATTGAGGGGACTTACAGACAGAAGGGTGCTCTGGGGTGGCAGCAAGACAGGAAGATCTTTGCACTGTTACTTCCCAGATTCTGGGTTTATGTACCTTAAGGAAAGTGTGTATGTGCTCCAGTAAAAAAAGTTCAAGGTGCCAGGCACAGTGACTCACGCCAGTATCCCAGCACTTTGGGAGCCTGAGGCGGGAGGAGTTCGACCTGAGGTTGGGAGTTCGAGACCAGCCTGACCAACATGGAGAACCTCGTCTCTATTAAAAATATTAAAAAATTAGCTGGGAGTGGTGGCGCATGCCTGTAATCCCAGCTACTCAGGAGGCTGAGGCGGGAGAATCGCTTGAACCCGGGAGGCAGAGGTTGCAGTGAGCTGAGATCACGCCATTGCACTCCAGCTTGGGCAACAAGAGCAAAACTCTGTCTCATAATAATAATAATAATAATAATAATAATAATATAAAAAATAAACAGTTAAAGGCAAACCTCTTGAACAGACAAGAATGCTATATGTGTCATACAATTTGTGTGATAACATCAAGGTTGACATATTCTTACACTAGGGACAGTCATCAATAAAGTTGTAATCGGGAGGCATTCTGGGGACTGAGGTTAATCAGAAGTCACCATGGTGTATTAGCATTCAAGATGGAGTCACTTTTGTCTCCACAGCATCTTTTTTGGGTCAAAGAATTGACTTAAAGATGTGGAAACTTCAACAGAACTAGTTCACTGAAGGCATATAATTTAATGGTATTATTAAGTCCACAAACGTAGATATTGCCACAAAATATTACCATCTTTGCCATTTAATTCTTTAGTAGTGATAAAAATGCAGTATTTATTACATACTAATTTCTAACTTATTTTTTGTTGTGTCTATTATATGTTGACATACAGTTTCTTTTTCTTTTATTCTTTATATGGGCATTTAAACTTTAGTTTTCTATAGCTCTTTCCATTAACCTATTTTAAGTTCCATGTGAATAGAAGTGTTTTGGCAGTGAATCTATTTGAGTCTGCAGCAACCTCAATTCTTGCTTCCTCAGAAGAAAGAATTCAACCAAGGGGCATAAGGCAGAATGAGAAACTGAGGCAAGTTTTAGAGTAGGAGTGAAAGTTTATTAAAAAGTTTTGGAGGAGGATCAAAAGGAAGTTAGGGTACACTTGGAAGCAGGGTACACTTGGTCAAGCAGGTGACTTGAGAGATCAAGTGCACTGTTTGACCTTTGACTTGGGGTTTTACGTGTCGGCATGCTTTTGGAGTCTTACATCCCTTCTCCCCTGATTCTTCCCTTGGGTTGGGTTGTCTGCATTCACAGCATCCTGCTAGCAATTGGGAGGGAAGCATGTGCAGTGTGTTTACTAGAGTTGTATGCATGTTCACTTGAGGCGTTCTTTCCTTACCATCCAGATGTTCCAAGAAGGTCATGTAACAGTTAAACTCCACGATTTTGCCTCTTAATGCACATGCTTGAGCCCACTTGCCCAACTCCTGAGATCTTACCATGAAGCTGATGAGCACTAGTTTTAGGTTTTTTCTATCTATTGGGAGACTGCCTTTTCTTGGAGCTGGCTGCAAGCAATTATTTTAGAGAAACAATGTAACAACTGCCTATCACCTGATGGTTGCCTGACATTCCTGGTGGGAGTTGGGGGAGCCCTCTCCTGCTCTGTTCATGTCTGACTAGCTACCTAGTGAAACAAAAGCATATGAAATTTAGTCATTCCACACTAAATCATTCAGTTATGCTTTTAGCACCAAATTAACGTAAAACAAAATTATATAGTTTATAACCTCTATTTTAAAATATATAAGAAAATCCTCTTTTTCCAACATTTTATTTTGAATTTTTTGATACTCCCTTTGATGCATTTTTTATATATATATCATCCTTCTGAGCTTTGTAAAATAAAGGAATCACCTTTTTTTTTTTTTTTTTTTTTTTTTTTTTTGTAAATAAGAGTACCACCATTCTAGTGACAGCCAGTTTTTTTTAGTATTACCACAGCATCAAACCAACATGTGGAGCATCTGACCTGCATTCTCTTAACTTTGCTGCTGACTTGGGCTGAGAAATCAGATTTCATATGTCCAGGAGTTTGCAGTTGTCTCTTCCAAATTTATTTAGAAATCTACTCTTGATAATGTTTAACCCAATTACACAGGAGATTAAATAAGAATTATCTACCTCCTTACCCCTCCTTCATATACACCAAGTCTGTAACTCCCACTCTTACCATCTCTCTTCTCCTGAACTTTTCCTCTTGGCTAAGACCTCAGTCCTAGAGAGTAATAATTAATTTCAGCAAGCCTGGTGTGAGGAAAAAGGAACAACAGAAAGCACATAATTCTTAATACAGTTGCTTGTTCACACTCCAGTTCTACTCTATATCTGTGTGAGATAATGTGATTCTAGCTTAGTGATTTAGCAAACCATTTTTAGTACATGTCATCCAGTGATTTCCTTTTAATACCCTGGGCAGACGCATCTTACATTTAGATTCCTAAGACATAGAAAAAGTAAAACAGAGGATCTGTTTTAATACAACACCCTTCTCAACTGGCTTGATATTATTTTATCTATTTATGTTGTTTGTGATTACAAATAGGACATATAGTTGCACTTTCCTTTTAAAAATGTGGATTTGTTAACATATTTTCTGTGTTATAGATTTAGTAAAATCATAAAAGGCTTAAATCTAAGGAGACTAGTGTCTTCTAAAAGAGTAGAACTAAGAACAGACCAAATTCCCAGTAAGTTTGAGGAACGTGACCTAAAAAAGGCAAGAAATAGAGTTAAGCTCTTTAAAACTCCACAACTCCAATTCCCCTCACGCTTCTTTATTATCTCTATAGCATAGTCTTCTATCTGATATAAAATATATTTGCTGGCTTATTTATTTACTCCTGTCTTCCTCCACCTAAAATGTAAATTCCAAGTAGTCAGGGAGTTGGACTCTTATTCACTGCTCTTTCTTCAATACTTAGATTGTGCTGGCACAGAGTGGGTCCTCAATAAATATCAATAAGTCGTGATCAAATGAATGTTACTAGTATGCTTTTTTGGAATCTATAAAGATTTGAGGCCTACCATACAATCAGTTTTGATAAATATGCCTCAGGTGCTTGAAAAGAACTGTGTTCTCTATAGGATACATGTGGTTCAATACCAGTATGTTACTCGAACCTATTATCCAAAAAACATGTAATTCAAATGATGAAATCCAAATTCTCTATGCCTATATATATTTTTTTCCTACCTAGTCTGTTAAATGCTCAAAGCATTATATGAAATTCCTATAATTGTTTTTCCAGATGTTTCCCTTTTATTATTAATATTTAAAATTACTGTATTTCTAAGAGTCTTATGTTACATGTTTTAATGTAACATCAGAGACATGTAAAGATTGGTGACAACTATTTTCATTGTAGATTGTAACTCTGATCCAAAAAATGTCCCTCTTTTTAAAAAAATTTAAGTTGTTTTATATTGTCTTTCTTGAATTTTACTTTTTCTAGATTTAATGCTGTTCTTAGTGCTTGCTTTGAGTCTGTGTTTACTTGTGAAGTTTTGTCCATTCATTGATTTTTACATGTCTTTAATATGTTACAATCAATATGTATTTGGATTTTGTTTCTTAACCAGTCACAAATTCTTCACCATTTAAAAGTAGAATTTATAACAGTTACATTTATTGTAACTGCACTCTATTTAGTCTTATTTGAACTTTTGTTATTTTATTATTTATCACTGTTGGTAGTTTATTTTCCTAGTTTTTATTATATAGATTCTATGGCTTACTTTTAGTTTCCCAGTTAGTACACAATTTTCAAATCTGTAAAAGTAAGTACATCTATATACACTCTGCTTCTAAATCTAAAGTTCAGTTCATCAATTCATTAATCTACTATTTATTGAGCACCTATTATATACTAGAAAATATTCTAGGCAGTTGAGATACATCAACAAAATACACAACACATGGAACTTTGTTCTAGTGAGTTGCTTTAAATAAATTAGAAATAATTATCATATAATTAATTTATTGATAAAGTAGAAAATTAAATAAAGTCTTTTTTGCTTTTCTAATTTAGTGTAAGGAATTTCAAATACTTTATCCTCACTTTTATTCCCTGCCATCCCAATTTAAAGTCATTGTCAAAACAATCTATGTGTTTAGACCTGAAAGCTTACATTAATATTTATTTACAGCTTACACAGATTCTATTCCAATATTACATTTTGTTTTGTTCATTTGTCTATCCAAAAACTACAATTTACTTATACTGTTAATTATGTTTAACAATTTTATATCACACTAATCCTTTAATGACACCATTTTCCTATGTTAAAATTCTTGCTTTTGATTCATCATTCAGTCAGCTGCAATTCACCTTCAAGTAATATTTGCAAAATGAACATAACTTTCTGAGCCAAGCATATCTGAAGTTAGCATTCTATTGTTTTTATATGTAAATAAATATTTGGTTAGGATACATTTTTTTTTCTTCTTGAGACAGTCTTACTCTGTCACCCAGCTGGACTGCAGTGGCATGATCTCTGCTCACTGCAACCTCTGCTGTATGAGTTCAAGTGATTCTCCTGCCTCAGTCTCCCAAGTAGCTAGAATTACAGGCACCCACCATAATGTGTGGCTAATTTTTGTATTTTTAGTAGAGTTGGGGTTTCACCATTTTGGCCAGGCTGGTCTCAAACTCCTGACCTCAAATGATCTGCCTGCTTCAGCCTCCCAAAGTGTTGGGGTTACAGTTGTGAGCCACCACGCCTGGCCAGGATAAAATTTTTAGGTTGTAAGTTGATATCCTCCCCTGAAAACTCTGTAGCACCTTTTCTATTGCCTCCAGATATTCCATGTGGCAAAGAAGTCAGTTGCTAATAAGACTTTTAATTCCTTTGTGGACAACATTTTTACCTGTATAGTTGACAGTAGGATGTGCTAAATATCTTGATGAATCAAATATTTTGTTCCAGTAGGTATCTATGTAGATTTGCATATTTTCATACTAGGCCACTGGAATAAGGACAGTTCTTTTCACCTCTATACTCATTTGTTTTTGTTTTATTTTGCCTTCAAACTCAGGTAAGTGTCATCCATGTACTTTCTTTTTTTCCTTGCTAATTTGTACTTGCTAATTGCCTCCTTTGCAGCTGCCCTAATGTCTTCCTCTGGAATGTGTGTCTAAACTCTTAAGGTTAAATAGACATTTCTTCAATCTCTACTTTCTGTTTTTTCTTTTTTATTTTTTTTTATCATTTCTTCACTATTATGAAGTTCTTTTTTTTTTGTTGTTTGTTTGAGATGGAGTCTCCCTCTGTTGCCAGGCTGGAATGCAGTGGCACAATCTCAGCTCACTGCAACCTCTACCTTCAGGGTCCAAGCAAGTCTCCTGCCTCAGCCTTCTGAGTAGCTGGGACTACAGGTGCGTGCCACCATGCCCAGCTACTTTTTGTATTTTTAGTAGAGATGGGGTTTTACCACGTTGGCCCGGATGGTCTCAATCTCTTGACCTTTGATCCGCCCACCTTGGCCTCCCAAAGTGCTGTGATTAAAGGCGTGAGACACCGCGCCCAGCCTATGAAGTACTTCTTATGTTTTTTTCTCCCTCTTACAGTTTCCATTTTCAGTTCAGGCTCTAATTTATCCTTATGACTTTGAACCCAATTTCATAGACAGAGGATGCAAAATAGTATGTCTATATTTGTTTTCCAATTCTTGTAGTAAATCAGTTTTAAAGATAAGCACTCACTCTCATTTGTACAGATAATAAGATGATATCAACTGTCTGTCTCTCTCTTTCTTTAATTTTCTATACTTAAACAAAAGGTCATCTACACTGATTATATGTTTGCTACTCAATGGGGTTGGTGGAATGTCTTGGCTTTCATTATTGACTACCTGGGAGCTCATTAGACATCCATTTCTTACCTACAGCTAAAATGCAGAATAATATATTGCCTAGTTCTTTCTTTCTTTTTTCTTTCTTTTTTTTTATTTTTTATTTTTGATAGAGTTTTACTCTTGTCACCCAGGCTGGAGTGCAGTGGCGATCTCAGCTCACTGCAACCTCCGCCTCCCGGGTTCAAGTGATTCTCCTGCCTCAGCCTCCCAAGTAGCTGGGATTACAAGCATGCGCCACCACACTCGGCTAACTTTTGTGTTTTTAGTAGAGATGGACTTTCACCATGTTGGCCAAGCTGGTCTCAAACTCCTGACCTCAAATGATCCTCCCACGTCGGCTTCCCAAAATGCTGGGATTACAGACATAAGCCACCGAGCCTGGCCTATATTGCCTAATTCTAAGAACTTACATGTATGCATCTAGCACGCTTGTACTGTATTTCTCTTGGCCCCTTTCATCTAGAATTTATGCAAGAGAAGGTCCTGTTAGTAGGGGTTAAACATTTGGATTCAGCTATTCCTAATTGCATTTTAGTTATTACATCATGTAACCCAATACATTTCTTTTGTTGTTGTTACTCTTTTTTGCTTGATTCATTTTTAATGTTTCCTTTTGTATTAATTTTTTAAATCCTGGATAAAACAATAGTTATTATTTCTTCATGTGTTTTAGCATGGCAGAAAGAAGGGTAGTCGATATAATTGTAAATGCTAAAAACTGAGTCAGCCAGAGTGTACACCAATCAGCTATCCAGCCTTAGATCTAAGAAGAGGGTTTGGCTCTTAGACAAATTGACTGAGTAGGACCAAGAACAAGTCAAACTCATATTTTGACCAACTGCAGGGATGGAAACCATGCTCAAGGAAAATAAAGAAAAAGAAAACATTAAAAGTAAAATAATATTTTTCCTTTTAAAAATATTATCCAGCAAAAACAATGGATTATCTTAGTAAAAGAAAAGCAGATCTCTGAAAATGATACAGGAACCCCAGAATATAATTTTTAGAAATTGACACTCTTTATAGAATGTATACTACATTAACTCTGAAACAGAGGCATAAATCAGAGAAAATAGATTTAATAAAAAGACATGAGGCTGATATTTAACAATGGGTGTGTATAATAAGGAAGGATACCAAGAGAATTAAACAGTAATGATAGATTTTAAATTCACAAAAATTGATGCTAATAAAGAGTGGAATCAATACAATAGAAAACTGATTCATTGCATGCAGGTCATACTTAAAAAGTTCTCTTGTAATATAGAAGAAAAAACAAAGTTGAAATGAAGAGAAAGAACATAATACATATGATATTAAACATATAGATCTAACTTTAGAATTTTCCAAAGAAAGATATAAAATTGGAATATAAGTATAATAAAATGTAATATGGAAGAATTTTCTTGAGTTGAAAAATTGGCTCAATTATCCAAATTGAAAGAGTCCTCCTTATAATAAGCAAGGATTAAAAAGAAATATCTACATTTAGATAAATCCTGAAAAATTTTTAAATTACCAAGAACGCTGTCATTATACAGGCCAGATAGGAAAAAAGTCCGTAAGAAAAAACAAAACCAACAATAGGATATCTAGAAAGTAACAAAAAATCGCACACCCAGTCTCTCTGCAACTGTATTTCAGAATAGGATAGAGCAGCATCCATAGAGTTTTGGGAGAAAACATCATGACCCATGGATATTACACTTAAGAAAATTTCTTTTCTGGAATATTCAAGGGCTCAGAATATATAGCACCCCTGAATTCATTTTGAAAGCAAAGTAGGGGTTCAAGCACATGTTATATGTAAGAGAATTTGTGGGTCTTTTCATTCTTTGTTTGATTCCAACTCAGGAATCCAGGTGGACTGCTTCCTGTCAGGGGAATTTTGCAACCCAGGGGATATACATGGCTCTACCATATTCCTCTGCTGTTTCTTTTCTGCTTCCACATTTCCACCAATTTCCAAAATCTCTTCCTTGTGCCACGTCTTCTACTTTACCATTGAGATGGCCTCTTGTAACTTACTTCATAGTCATTAAGTAAGTAGTCACTTAAAATAACAGGTGCCATCCTCATCCAACCCCTTCTAACAATGACAAAACTTAGTTTCAAGAGTTTAAAATAGCTTTGAACCCTACATTTTTATTTATTTCCCTACTAGAAAAACAGAGAAGATAAAGTCTCTTTATACTCATTTTAACTGCTAGGAAATTTTATTATAACTCTCTGTAACTTTTTAAAATTCTTATTCATAACCGGAGTCATTGTTTTTTTCTAATATGAAACAGGTAGTTTATTTTTGCCTGTTTTATATATTTTTTCTTTTTCAGGTTTTAAATTTTATTGAGTGTACTGCTTTTATAGTAAATATATACTTGATTAAAATTTTTAAAAATAGCTTTCCCACAGTAGAGATATGGATGCCCAATTAGGTGTGTTGACCTTGGACTTCTGAGCCAGGATTCTTAGAAGCCGAGTTTTCTAGCCATCATTTAGACCTGCACTTATCCACCAATTAAAAAAAAAAAAATGAGCACCTTCCTAATACTTCGTATATATAGAAGAACAAAATCAACACAGTCTTTATTCTCAAGGATATTACAATCTTTTGGGCACACAGGTAGTAAATTGATAAATCCCTACCCCCCAACATCCAACATATCTTTTTTTTTTTTTTTCTTTTTGAGACGGAGTCTCGTTCTGTCCCCCAGGCTGGAGTGCAGTGGCACGATCTCGGCTCACTGCAAGCTCCGCCTCCCGGGTTCACGCCATTCTCCTGCCTCAGGCTCCCCTCCCGAGCAGCTGGGACTACAGGCGCCCGCCACCACGCCTGGATAATTTTTTGTATTTTTAGTAGAGACGGGGTTTCACCGTGTTAGCCAGGATGGTCTCGATCTCCTGACCTCGTGATCCGCCCGCCTTGGCCTCCCAAAGTGCTAGGATTACAGGCGTGAGCCACCGGGCCCGGCCCCAACGTATCTTTATCAATGTGGATGTGTGCCAGCAGAGCACAGTAGCTCTGTTTCATGAAGCACTTCTTAACTTATTTTCTCACAGCAACCGAGCATAACGGTTTTGAGCATGGACTCTGGAGTCAGAGAATCTGGGTTCAAATTAAGACCCTACTACTACTTACCAGCAGTGTGATTTTAATGTGTTGATAATAATACTGGCCTAGTAGAGTGCATCGGGATTGAATGAGTCAACAGTTGTAAATTGTTTAGACTGCTTGGTACACCATAAATCAGGGGTCCCCATCCCCCAGGCCATGGACCGTGCCAGTCCATGGCCTGTTAAGAATCAGGCCGCACAAGAGAATCGCTTGAACCTGGGAGGCAGAGGTTGCAGTGAGCCGAGATTGCGACACTGCACTCCAGCCTGGGCGACAGAGTGAGACTGTCTCACAAAAACAAAAACAAAAAATCAGGTGGCATAGCAAGAAGTTAGCTGCAGGCAAGCAAATGAAGCTTCAAATGTATTTACAGCTGCTCCCCATTGCTCACATTACTGCCTGCGCTCCATCTCCTGTCAAATCAGTGGCAGCATTAGATTCTCATAGGAACCTGAACCCAATTATGAAGTGTGCATGCAAAGGATCTAGGTTGTGTGCTTCTTATGAGAATCTGATGCCTGATGATCTGTCACTGTCTCCCATCTCTGCCAGATAGAACCATCTAGTTGCAAGAAAACAAGTTGAGGGTTCCACTGATTCTACATTATGGTGAATTATATAATTATTATGTATTACAATGTGGCAATAATAGAAATAAAGTGCGTAATAAATGCAATGCACTTGAATCATCCTGAAACCATTCCCGCCCCCATCCATGGAAAAATTGGCTTCCACAAAACTGGTCCCCAGTGCCAAAAATGTTGGCGACCAGTGCCAAAAATGTTGGCGACCACTGCCATAAATGATCTAACGGCGTTAAATGAAATCCAGCATGATAAACTTTATAATTACTTCTAGAAATAAAAGATTCTTGCCATAGCTTAACTCCCTGCCTTGATTTTCATTGTCATTTCAAGCTTTTTATTTTTTCTATGTCCTTTTTCTGAATTTGAAGCAAAGATGAAAAATGATATGTTGGAGTTATTCAGTCAGACACCATTTTTAATCACAAGTCTTGGAAAACTGAATAGATTATCTGAGCAGGCCCAAGCCACTGGTGTATTTAAATGTTCACATATAGACATTTCTAATACCCAAAAAGAAAGTATGCCCTTTGCCTATTGCTTTGATAACCCTTTGCTGTAAGGAAGGAGATCATATTTAAATTCCTCCTTTCAAACATGTCTATCTTCCCAGATCCAGGGCTCACAAAATGACTTAATGTGGCTTGTTAGGCTCGTGGGTGGGCAGGCTGGAGACTCAGTCACTATGGCAATGACAGGTTTAAATAAACAGTGCTAGTAATATAAATAAGCTGCCGCCACAAAGCAACACTTTTAAACCAAACACAGAACCACATTTTAATGACAGTAAGCTTAGAAACTTTTAGTTAATATTAAATTAACTAGGTCTCTATGCTTCAGCTTTCTCTTTCTTACAAAATCTTAAAAATTCCCCTATGTAATTCCTTTTCTATTCCAGTTTCTTTTTATACATTTCTAATATTTTTTTCTGGAAGTCCCATAAGGTTGGTTATATTGCAGTTTCTCGTCAATTACAGTATACATAATTCCTTACTCTTAAGAAAAGGGCTGCAGAATACTTGTTACAGAGAGATAAAACATTTTAGTAGTTCTTCTGACATTCTATTTGAATAGTATGTACCCTACAAAAACGACAACTATCCTGAGTATACACAATCAACACATGTTGACACATTTATTCCTTACAACTTGTTGAGATGGTGCCTCATGCTACAGAGAACACTGTTTCACAGAAGTCAAAGAGCTCACCCCAAATTCATACCACTTTTGGGTGACAGAACTCTCATTTGGACTCAGATATTCTGACTTTTTTTAGGTCCAGGGCCTCTGACACTTCCATCATTATAGGGAAAGAAAAAAAGCTGAATTTGCTTTACTTCTGATTCATTTTTGTGTTTCATCTCTAAGAATACATAATTCATAACTGACAGTAGACTCTTTTCTTTCCTAATAAAATAAATGTGGATTTCTTTATATTTCAGTGTGCTTTTTAATTCAGCTAATGGCTAAAGAAGGGAAAAGAAGTAATAGTTCCAATAAAGCTATTTTTATTTATTAAAAAGTTTATGTTCTTAGTCATATGTTCTAGATTCTGAAAGAAGAAAGTATTCATTTAAGAACAGATAAACAAGTTATAACCTTCCTGTTTAATTTGTGGGAAGTTTAAAAAGGTCAAATATGATGCACAAAATTTTCTGCATGATGCTTGTTATCTACTAAGATGAAATTTTAATTTGGG
This sequence comes from Homo sapiens, assembly GCF_000001405.40. Lineage (NCBI taxonomy): Eukaryota > Metazoa > Chordata > Mammalia > Primates > Hominidae > Homo > Homo sapiens. The sequence continues at coordinate 174,244,383 of NC_000003.12, forward strand.
AAAACAGTAATTAAGAATCTTTCCTCTCTTTACTACAAACACTGCATTTTCTTATTGTTGAGAGTTATATATGCTCACTGAGATGGAAATACCATACAGAACAATGTTTTTCAAATAAATGTCTTTTAATTATTACTTTATTGAAGAAAATGCCCTTTAATACTAAGTACAAGAGAAGAATTGAAATAAAAGGAAACAGTGTAGGTAAAATAATTTTTAAAAGGAGATGATTAAAATTGACTATTACTACAAACAATTGAGGTTGGGGAAATTTAAAAAGGGGAAGTCATGGATGTGTAAAATAGGTATATTGAGTCTTTTAAAAGGCAAATTTAAAGTGTTGCTAGTTTCTGACCAGATATTAGGACAAGAGGTGACAGAGAGACCCCCATTAAAATGCTTGGTGAGCACTCCAGAGGCCGCCTTTGAGTTAATCGGTAATTTTTCACAGACGACATCTAATCTGTGAGTATAAATTACTTTGCACTCTTATTATTCCTTAATTGAAGTGCACCAATGTGAAATTGCCATAGATGTCGCAGGAATGATTCTAGCCTCAATTAACTTGGGTGGAATTGAAGCCCTTTTTTCCCTTAACTGGGATTATTGTCTGACATCTTGTATTTATTTAAATTGTTGCTAGAAATTAGAGGGAGACTGTGTGTGACTAGGTGTTTTATAAGGATGTTCTGGAGCCAAAAGAGCATCTGTGCAATCTATTTCTATTTTAATCTGTACCCATTGTATGCTGCTGTTTTGTGTAATAGATGTACTGCTAGCAGTAGCTTAACCTCCCTAGATTCCATTTGGGAAGTGGAGATTAATAGCACTCATATTTTTTTTAAAAGTGGCATTTACAGTCTTTGTAATTTTTAGTTCAAAAGGCAATCACCCTATTAATTTTTTAAACTAAGTCTCCTACATAGCTATTTTTGTTTAATATATAAAACATGATTTAGGCTTTCTTTCTAGATTGTGGGGAAGGGCAACATGAGTGAACTCTACTGTGTATCCTACTTTACCCATCCTAAAAACTATTGGAAAAATATTTTACCGATAGCTATTTAACATTAATAAGTAACTGAATTCAAATATCTTCTTCTGTTTTTTCCTAATGAGTATCATTTGGGAAAATATTCTTGGTTTGTTGGTTTTCACCTGGAATTAAAAACCATGAAGAAAATAAACCCGGTGTCTAATTACACAGTAACCAAATAGATACATGTAAAATTATCTCTACAAAGACTATAACATGCTGATAAAATTACTCCCAATTCTCAACATTACTAATAAATATTATTGATATCATAGATTATATATAACTGGAGGTGTTTTCTAAAAGTAAATTTTATGAGGTCTCTGTAATAACAAATTGATCAATTTGCTTCAAATATTCTGCCCACTTACTTTACACATTCTTAAGACCTATAACCAGCCTTGAATGTTGTCTCTGAAAGTCTCCTATTAGATGGAAAGGTTACCTAATATGGCAACCTAATAACATATTGTGGAAGTTAATTGGCATTACCTGGAGACTGACATCAAAGGTGATTTTCTCTAGCTTCGATAGAATTGTACCCATTGTCAATTTGATTCAATGTACGTTTATTGAGTTTCTATTATGTGACAAGCCCTAGGGAGACACATTACATGATCCTTTTTCATTCAATATAATTTAGCATAAGTTCATTTAACAGATTATTTAGCTAGTCTCAAACAAATATTCTAGGAATGAGAATTGTAGTACTGTTTCCAGACGTCACTGGATACTTGCTGAGGCTAGAAGAAAGCAGAAAGACTTAAAAGAAATTTAGAAATGGCAAGATTCCCACTACATTTTTACTTACCTATTTTGAGTCAGTCAAATTCAATGAAAATCATTAATTTTTCAGTATATTGGTTGCTCTGTATATGATCTTATCTTTAAAGCCAACTGTTTATTATTCCAAAACCAGCTTTCTATACACATGCAAGATTTTTGAGAAGAATAGACAAGGCCATTATTCTTGAGGAAAAACTTACTAGGATGACCCTAATTCCATTTTTTTAAAAATAGAGACAGGTTCTCACTCTGTCACTTAGGCTGGAATGCGTGGCCTGATCACAGCTCACTGCAAACTCAAACTCTTGGGCTTAAGTGATCCTCCGGCTTCAGCCTCCCAAGGAGCTAGGATTACAGGTGTATGCCACCACACCTGATTAATTTTTCAATTTTTTATGGAAATGAAGTCTCACTATGTTGCCCAGACTAGTCTCAAACTCCTGGCCTCAAGTGATCCTCCTGCTTCAGCCTCCCAAAGCGTTGTGATTACAGGTGTGAGCCACTGTTTTTAGCTCCTAATTCCATTTTTAATAAAGCTATTTTTTTTTTTGAAGCTTAGAGGAAATACACTCATGAATGAATGGATGGTTAAATGGTTTGCACTGGGGGAAAATTGGTCTTGATAATCTGCTGATGGTCACATTGATGGATTGGATCAGCAGAAACCAAAGAAAGCATAGCTGGTTCACTCTAGGAATTTGACAAGTAAATTAAACTAATCCAACCTAAACACCCATTGATCTCATTGATCCTTAGCCTCATTATGCTATGGTCCATGTAGACATACAGAGCAAAACAATTCCTAAGAACCAATAGCATAGAGCCTATATAATTGGAGTATCTCCAAATCTTAAGGTTGATACATCTTAAGCATTCTCTAAATTACTATGGCTCATTTCTACCTATCTTAGGAAAGACTGTGCATGCCTCTTCACAATGCCAATAACATTTTTGAGGTATTATTATTTTTTGGTGTTACTTGGAGATCAATATCAAAGGTTCTTCCTCAGTTTTGACAGAACTGTGTCCATTTTCAGTTGAAGTCAATGTACAGTCGTTGAATGACTATTATGTGTCAGGTTCTGAAGATACGTATCATCTGGAAGCTGTACAACTAGTCCCTGACCTCAACAGGCTCACCAGTCATTGAGCTTCCATTTAACACAGGTTCTTCATTATTATCTGGCTGAAGGTAGTGTGGATGGCTGTGAAAGATAAACCTACCTACGTTTTTCTGTTAAGAGTCTGTCTCTCAAAACTCTTCCGAAGAGCCTTTTAACAGGTCTTTCTTCTTCCTGCTGTCTCTCACTCTACCTCTACACCGTATTCAGACTTCTCATCTAAATGATTTTGTCAGTTCAGCCAGAAGTCTGTCCAATCCTTTAACTTTACTTACAGTTATCTATAGCCTCTTGGTAGTTGACAACTGTCAGCTGGACCAACTTGCATTCATTATTCACTCATCAAGCAACCCAGCCTAGAGATGAGATAAAGAGCCCAAGCCAACAAACAGTCCATTAAAGCTATCTCAGGAAACCAAAAACAGCCATCTCAGCTGGAAACCACCCTGGCTGTGAAAGACCAGACGTTTTCAGGCTCCACAGTGATGGCTACTGCTCTGCTTTGCTCCAATGTCTGACCTTATCTGAACAAGAACTGAAAGGGTCTGTAAATCTGCCTGAAAGTTTGCAGATGTGTGATGTATATTAATTAGGTTCTTGAAAAAGATAATAATCCATAGGACATGTTTTTAGCCTGTGTCTGTATTCAAAAAATAAGCAGACCAGGCATGACTAATTCATTCATATTGGCTGTTAGCAATTGACATGGATCACTGCACAATCAGTTTAGCTTTGGCACTGATAGGCACCAGATTTCTAGCTCCAACTTCAGATTTGCAAGTGGAACTCAGCTAGATGATAGAAAAGTAAAGGGACATGTAGAGAGGATTACAGTGCTCAGACCCCATTTTCACTTGGGAGAAATGATAGCCAGATTCACTTTTTTTTTATTCTATAAATTTGTACATATGGCATACTGTGTGTAGAGATTGGCAGGAGATATATGGATGATTTCTTTTCTTTCCCCTCAACCTTCTCAAATGTTTATCTTCTAATAGGGAACAGAGTCAGGCAAATAGACAGTTGTTTATAAAGAATATCCACCATTAATATGCATAGTCACCAATTCAGCATTTATTGAGCACATAATATGTGTAGAAAGTGTGCTAGGGATGCATTGCATAATAAAGAGCACTAAATATGGACTGTATAGGCTGGGCACGGTGGCTCACGCCTGTAATCCCAGCACTTTGGGAGGCCGAGGCAGGCGGATCACCTGAGGCTGGGAGTTTGAGACCAGACTGGCCAAAACAGGGAAACCCCATCTCTACTAAAAATATAAAAAATTAGCTGGGTGTGGTGGCACGTGCCTTTAGTCCCAGCTACTCAGGAGGCTGAGACACGAGAATCGCTTGAACTTAGGAGGCAGAGGTTGCAGTGGGCCGAGATCGTGCCACTGCACTGTAGCCTGGGCAACGGAGTGAAACTCTGCCTCAAAAAAATAAAAATAAAAGACTGTATGTTGGAGCTACAGCTCTATAATAAAGAACTCTAAATAAAGACTATATAGTATAGGAAATCAAAACAAAAGTGGGCATTATAATCCAATATACAATTTTCATATTCGAGTTTTTTAATACTACTTCCATCCTGTCATCCTCTCCACTCCTGCTTCTCTGCTTCCTACTCTGTGGCTTCCCCACATCCAGGAAATCTGCGATGCTGCTATATTTAATTAAAAGTTTCAGATGAGATTTGTTAGGAACCTTAGAGGGGATGTAGCAATTCCATTAGTGCCCATATATTTGTCTCTTAATGGTACAGCCTTAGACTCTGAATAAAATGATGCACATCTTGAGTCCTATTTTGTAGATATTAAAAACATACCTTTTATAGGTCCTTCCCTTCCCCCATCTTTTCTATGATGTCACTGCTTCATTTATGTATAGCCATAAGCTGAGAACTGCATTTATTCCTACATTTTCATTTTCACATGACTGCTCTAATTCACAAGTTACTTATTTCCCATGCCTCTCTACACTTGGTGCCTTCTGTGGTACCTGTCACATGCTGCCGATAAATTTTCTTTTGAACTGAACTATAAGATATGTTATGAACGTAATTAAGAGAGTTTTTTCTCCCTCTTAGAACCATATAGTACTAAACAGGAGATGCAAAGAATGGAGCTCACAGGGCAAAGATCCAATGTCAGTCTCTTCACATTGCATGATAAGTGAATATGGTCCTTTCTTGAAATAAGGCTAGACAGTTCTGTCCCCAGGAGCTCTGACAGAACACTTTCTTTGAGATGAGTGCTCATATCAACTGAAGCTAGTTCACATTTCCTTTAAAATTAATGTAAAGTTGAATGAGTACTTTATCCACTTACCTACTTTGTAAAAAGTGAGTCCTATTCTACTTAAATGAAAGCTAAAGAAACCACAAGTCATTAGCCTGGAAATACTTTTGATGAAAGACCAATTTTCTATTGAGTTATGTTTAAAACCAGGGGAGTTTTCTCTCACTTTCCTTTTTTGCTTAGTTATTTTTCTCTTCTTTGATTGTGCCTTTGTATTATAAGAAGGAGGCTGCTGTGTTTCATTGTCACAAATGGGTCATGCATTTGTTCCAATGTGTGACCTCTGGAAAGGAGAAGATTATATTATCAAGGAATAGAAGGTTGTAGCTTGGATGATTTGTTAAGGAAGAAAAAGTTAAGTGTTCAGCAGAGAGATACTGAGAAGAGTAGGAAATCTTTTAGGTTGTTACAGCAGAGGAATATTTTGTTCAAAAAAAAGATCATACATAAAGCCACACTTCATTATTAAAATATTAAGTGCACACTTTTTTTTCAGGACAAAGCCCTTAAGTATTACTCTGTCATTAACTCACTAGGGAACCTAAACTCTTATCTTCTAATCAGGGCTATTATATCAATTAAACGAAACATGATATGCAAGTACTTAGCCAAGTGCCTAGCACAGAGTAATGGTCTCAATAAATTCTGGTGATACAACATAGGATTAGTCACCATTATTATTAATTGCTATATGATAGAATGGGCATTACTAAAATATAATTAGTTCATATTCTGGAAAGATCAGACAAATATATGTATTCAAATGAGTTTTTTATTTGAATTGTATTTATTTGATTTCAGTTAAGGGGGTTTATTTGTTTCTGGGGAAAGCATTGCAAAAGACAAAATTATTGCTTGAAGAGCGAGCATCTGTTGCAGAGGAACTTTAAGATGGCAAAGGAAACACAACTAGAAGGACGTTGGCATCACTGAAAGCCTAGAGGAAGACTCTGAGGTCTGGAAAAGGAAGAAACAAAAGCCTGCACTGCCTGAGTCAAAGAGACAGAGGAAAAAAGAAGGGAGAAGGAGGTCATATTAGTGAAGCAGAGTTGGTGCTGGGCCTTGAAGCTGAGTTTGAGAAGTTAACATTCTTTACTTCTGATCATAAACAATTTAAAAACTATGGCCCATCTCGGGGGAAAGAAGCAGCTGTGACCCAGAATATATAGATAATCAAATATTGATCACCCTTTCTACCCTTAGAGCCTTGCTTGTTCCTTTGAGTGAGGTTTCTCTGGGCAGAATCTGACATGCTATTTTTAATAAGAAAAAGCCTTTTTTGTTTTGTTTTGTTTTACTGTTGAGCACAATATGACTACACCAGCTTAGCCTAATAGGGAATCAAGGTTTCCTCTGATTGTCAAACGTGCACCTATAACTGGTGCTGATCATTTTTTATCAGTCAGTGCATCACATGTGCTCTGGTGGAATCCATCTTCCATCACAGCAAGATCAATCAACTCTAATTTTAAAAACCAAAAGGAAACTATGTACAAAAATAGGAAAATGCTATATTTATAACTGTAAAATATTCACAGAAATGGTTAATACAAAATGAACATTTTTCAAATAATGTTTATTTATTATTGGATTTTCAGTTCACAATGTATCATGAGTAATGATGTAAGAAAATTCTTTGTAAGAAATGGTTGGATAGCCTTCCTTAATATTTAGGAAAAAAAGTCTAAGCCTGTTTACGTTCAAATCTAAAGCTGAACACCTGGCCAGAGCTTGTTGTAGACCTTTTGGTGAGCTGCCGCTAATTCATAAAGTAACTTTGTGCAAATTAGAAAAACATACCTCCTGGAGGCAGACTGTCTTGTGCCATTACAATCTCCTCAACCAGGAGGTAGCCCTGTTACATGGGCTACCTTATGGCACCTGGGCAAAGCTGGACAATTGCAATATACCAGCAGGCCTTTCCTCTTAGATAAGCTTGGAAAAAAAGTTAGCTTGTTGCATGATGATATTTCTTTTGGCATGGATAACAGGTAAAAACCCTAAAGAGCACATTATTTTCTGTAGAATTTATAACATTGATTTTGTTACAATTAACTTTATTTAAATAAATTGCAAATTAAGCTACTATAATTTGGCTCTGATCAACAAATATCCATCTACATTATGTATTTATACACTTACATAAAAGTTGGAGACTAGTTCCATGCAACACAGACAAAAAAAGAATTAGATTGCTTTGCCTGAAGAGTAAAGAAAGTATTTTCTTTGAATATCCTGCCAGAGGAACCTGCCAGATGTTTTCCATCTTTTCTGAGTGCAGAAAAAAAAGAAAACTGGCTTAAGCTACGTAGATATTTCAGCTCTGGAAAAAGTTTCCTGACAAAGAGAATAATAAAATTAGTTTATAACAAAACCTTTTTTTCTCAAGGTAGATAGAATTTTAAAGGCAAGAATAAGCATTTTATTGGCCCACATTTTAAAACCCAGTTTTTCCTTTCCTTTAGAAATATAAGGATAATTTCTAGATAAAATCAGCATTTTTAACTGTAAGAAAAATTAATAAAGGTATATAAAACAGGCCTCACATATTCATTTCTTATCATAAAGAAACGGATTTTTGCCTGGAAAAATACCCCTACTTGTCTAAAATAGTTAAGTGTGGATAAAATGTAGTCTGGAGGAAAGGGCAACAGAGTAGGTAGTTTCAATTACTAGATTTTTGCCATCATGTTTCTATAACAAAAAACACCATTACATAAAAATAGTAGATTAGTAAAGCGAAAAGGAGAGGAAATGTATAAAATTCATATTATAACAAAATATTGTTATCTAGAAATAGTTTACTAGTAAAGCAAAAAAGAAAGGGAACATACACAATATAGTGAGTTGTTTGAGTAAAGAAATCCACAACCTATTTTTTTTTCCTTGACTAGCACTGGACTAGAAAACAGAAAAACTAGGGTCCTAACCAGCTATGTGATATCAGGCAATTTACATTCCCTCTCTGATCCTCAGTTTTCTCATTTGAAAAATTATATGGTCACACTAGTTACTGAAGGCTCTTCCAGCCCTAATATTTTTGTTGGAATTCTTTACATTCTTTATCTTTAAGACATCAGAGTTCTCAAATTTTAGGATACATCAAAATCACCTGGGAATTTGATAAGACAGCAGATTCCACCCCAGAGATTCTAAGCCCCTCTCCAGAAACTCTGATTCAGTACATAGGCTCCAAAGCATCATTTTCCACATACTGTCTCCACGGTGAGATTGCAGGAAGGTGCAAAAGAGAGAACAGGAGACATGTCTTATTAAAACTATAAATTGAGTAACTAGCAGAGTGTCTGGCAAAGAATAGATGGCCAACAAATGTTGATTTAATGAACTATTTTTCATTAAAAGATTCCTTTATGTTCATGATATTAATGGATTTTCATCATTATCTGATTCTCTAAGAGAACGAGGGCTTATTTCTAACAGAGGGAAAATAGTCTAGGTTGCTCAGTAGCTACAAATTGATGTAGAAGTGCTTTGTAAAATTAGCAAATGTTTTAAAATTATTTCTTTTTTTCAACATAGCTCCCCTCCAATCTTCAATGTAAAAGAAAAAAAAATGAATTCTGTACTTGTATACTTTTTGTAAGTGGCATAATAACAATATGCTCTTTTTATTCTGAAAAAGGACTCACTCTTTACAGTAAAGTGCTGGAAAATCAAGCCATCACTTCAACCCACAGCATCTGTCTCTTGCACCATCTCTGCCAAATGTCACCCTTCCTCTCGGGTTTGATTGTGCTACTGTATCTGGGAGAGTATGCCTCACTGCATAGCTTGTAATATCAGTCTCTGTGCCTTCCGGTCTCAGATTCCCTCTCATTTCACCTCATGTATATTAATACAGAGATTAGTTTCACTTTTTTTCTTGAATAGCTAATCACTTGGCAGCCAACATCCAACTGTGGCATTACAGGTCAAATCAGCTGAAAAGGACAGTGACTTCAAGCAGGAAAATATAATGCTTAGTGAAAACTGCACCCAGAACAGGACCTCAGACTTGTCACCCGGACATGAAAGATTTATTTTCAATTACAAATCTGAGCTTAATGTGAGGGCACCCTGGGGGAGATTCAGATCACTGCCTCTTCTAAATTGACCTTCTACTTGTTTTAATATTTCCTTCTCTGCTGAACAGCATTCCATGACCCTCTGAGCTGAAGATCCATATTAGCTGCTGTAGTAATTCCAACCCTAGGAAAACTTTTGAAAAATTTCTCTAACTGAAGGCCAAGTTACATGAATAATTTTCTCCTTGGTGAGCCTTCACTGGCTAACACAGCAATAGATTGGGGGCTTCAGACAGTACCTCCAGAGGATTGCGGAAGCCAATATCACCATGTTGCTTAAATTTGAGTGGAATCCAAAAGCCAAAAATTATTCCAATTTTCAATATTAGGTGGATTAATTGTAAACAGCTAACTCAGAACTATCATATATCCCCTTGGCGTTGGTAAACAAGATTCCTTGAGGCTAGCTGCTGATACTGCTACACTGGCTGCTGGAATCAGGAGTTTGCCTCAGGATATTTCAGTTCCTTGTTTTAGTGCATTTATGCGCACTTACCAGATGCACCAAAATACATACCATATGGCCCTAATATAGGGTTCGCAAACTTGTCTCTTAAAAAGTACTGATTGTGATTTCTTAGGAAAAGTCCTTTTTAATTTTTTTTTTTTTTTTTTTTTTTTTGTAATTTAAAGTTTGGGATAGTGAGAAACTTGAATTATCTTTCAAGTTTTATCAGAGACCTGATTATTGAAAAGTAGCTTAGTGTAATTTTCTTTCTTCTATAGCTTTCATTGCATCTAACTTGAGACTTTTCTCTCTACCTGTGTTTCTAGATCATTTGTTGTAGAATACTTACACCATTCTTGGTTGTCACCTTTGAGTCTAATTATTATGCCCATAATCATGGATAATTGTGTTAGATGAAAATAAACATATTACCTTCACTTAGTTAATCTTATCGATATTTAGGTTTTCCATAGTGATTTTATCTACGTAATGTCAGGAATGGTAGATACAATCTACCATTGTGTCTACCAATACAAAAAAAATTGGGTCCAGTTTTTCCTTTCCTTTAGAAATATAAGGATAAAATCTAGATAAAATCAGCATTTTTAACTGCAAGAAAAATCAATAAAGTTATATAAAACAGGCCTCACATATTCATTTCTAGTTTTTGTAAACACAGTGTAGTCTAACTATATTTGTATTTAGGCTATGCATAAAAAGAAATCATTAACTAATTCTCCCTTGTTATATATATTTTAACTACTTTTTTTCCAGAATCAAAGGTGCTTAGAAATAGCCACCTTTAACTTCATAAGTATTTATGATACACCTACTATATGTGTGGCACTTTGCCAGATATAGGGATGGTGTTAAACAAATTTCCAACTCAGTGTTGGTACACAGCTACAAATGAACGTCTAGATTAAACTGGGTGTTTAGAGGAAGGTAGGATAGCTATGTTTGAAGTACTCCCAAAAAACGTTTAAGCGAAACCTTAGAGACAGAAGGAGTTGACCATTTAAATAAGTCAAAGATTGGGAGGCCGAGGTGGGCGGACCACAAGGTCAGGAGATCGAGACCATGCTGGCTAACACGGTGAAGCCCCATCTCTACTAAAAATACAAAAAATTAGCCGGGCGTGGTGGCGGGCACCTTGTAGTCCCAGTTACTCAGGAGGCTGAGGCAGGAGAAGGCCATGAACCTGGGAGGCGGAGCTTGCAGTGAGCCGAGATCGTGCCACTGCACTCCAGCCTAGGCGATAGAGCAAGACTCTGTCTCAAAAAAAAAAAAAAAAAAAAAGCGCAAGTCAAAGAGCAGTGGTACTTTGCAGAGAGGAATCTGTGAATGAGAGTGACAGTGATAAAATCAGCCAAACTCCTTCTGACTGCAAAGACTAGAATATTTTGATCAATTTTGAGATTTAAAGAGAATATTTAGGTTATTATAGAACTAAGTCTTTTTCTCTTTCTTTCTTTTCTTCTATTTATTTATTTATTTATTTATTTATTTATTTATTTTTGAGATAGGGTCTCACTCTGTCGCCCAGGCCGGAGTGCAATAGTGTGATCTCGGCTTAGTGCAACCTCTGATTCCTGGGCTCAAATGATCCCCCCATTTCAGCCTCCTAAGTAGCTGGAACTACAATCATGTACCGCCATGCCCAGCTAATTTTTGCAGTTTTTATATAGACGATGTTTTGCCATGTTACCCAGGCTGGTCTCAAACTCCTGGGCTCAAGTGATCCGCCCACCTCGCCCTCCCCAAGTGTTGAGATTACAGGCGTGAGCCACTGCTCCTGGCCTTCTTCAACAGAAAATTTTTATTAAAAAATTATAAAGGAAGTTTTAAATGTATTGAGCATAGTGTATGTTAATGTTCTCCCATTCCCAGAGTATCGTGATAAGTCAAAGGCCAAGTTCATTAAGTTACATGCTCCATCAGGCAAGAGAGTATAGTAATAGAAGTCCTATCAGGAAGTTCATTCATTTGTTATTTATTTATTATTTCATGAAATATTTATTCCATGGAAATTAAGCTAGGTGTCAGGAACACAAAGATATACTCTGTTTATTCAGGGGACATAGGCCAATACACCCAGTGACAACTTGTCAAGAGCGCCAATGGAAGTAAATCCAGAGATTGGTTGCTTAATCATCTTCTCTACATCTCTCCAAAATGCTGTCCCACTTCTCAGACAATATTTGAAATGTTCAAAGAAAGCTGATTCCTTGCCCTGCTCATTATCTTTATTTTTTCTAGTGACATAATCTACATAACTCATATTACCATGCTGTTTCCATAATCTATGAAATTTAAGCCATTAATAATATTTTTTAGCTAGGATGAATTATAGACATGAGTGCTTTCAATTTTTATTTGGTGTGTGCATGTGTGTTTGTGTGTGTGTGGCGGTGTGTTGGTACTTCTATGTGCAACGTATGTGAGATTATTTAGTACTGTTCTAGATTGTGGTTTTACCCCATTTTATGCCTCTTTTTTGGAAATGAAATACCCCTATACTCCAAAACTTAGGAATAAGCTTCAGTTTCTGTTTCCTGTAATTACTAGAATTTTTAAATAATTTTCATATGCAAAAGTCAATTCAAGATGGATTAAAGACTTAAATGTAAAACCCAAAACTGTAGAAACCCTAGAAGAAAACCTAGGTAATACGATTCAGGACATAGGCACAGGCAAAGATTTCATGACGAAGACACCAAAAGCAATTACTAAAAAAGCGAAAATTGACAAATGGGATCTAATTAAACTAAAGAGATTCTGCACAGTAAAGAAATTATCAACAGAGAAAACAGACAATCTATCAAATGGAAGAAAATGTTTGGAATCTATCCATCTGACAAAGGTCTAATATCCAACATCTCTAAGGAACTTAAACCAATTTATAAGAAAAAACTACCTCATTAAAAAGTAGGCAAAAGACATGAACAGGCACTTCTCAAAAGAAGACATAAATGCAGCCAACAAACATATATAAAAAAGCTCATCATCACTGGTCATTAGAGAAATGCAAATCAAAATCGCAATGAGATACCATCTCACATCAGTCAGAATGGCTATTATTAAAAAGTCAAAAAACAACAGAGGCTGGTGAGGTTGTGAAGAAAAAAGAATGCTTTTACACTGTCGATGGGAGTGTAAATTAGTTTAATAATTGTGAAAGAGAATGTGGCAATTCCTCAAAAACCTAGAGGCAGAAATACCATGTGACCCAACAATCCCATTACTGGGTATATATCCAAAGGAATATTAATTGTCCTATTATAAAGGTACATGCACACATATGTTCCTTGCAGCACTATTCGCAAATAGCAAAGACATGAAATCAACCAAAGTGCCCATCAAAGATAGACTGGATAAAGAAAATGGGGGTACATATAGGCCATGGAATACTATGCAGCCAATAAAAGGAATGAGTTATGTCCTTTGCAGGACAGGATGGATCTGGGAGCCATTACCCTCAACAACTAATGCGTTTGTTTGGTTTCCTGTGTCAAATACATGTTGTATTAATCAGAGTTGTCTAGAGGGACAGAACTAGTGGAATATATATATATATATATTTATTCAGCTTCTGTTTCCTGTAATTACTAGAATTTTTAAATAATTTTCATATGCAAAAATCAAAACGCATGTGTGATGGTTAATACTGAGTGTCAACTTGATTGGATTGAAGGATACAAAGTATTGATCCTGGGATGATCTGCGCAGCAACTTTATATCTCCTTATATATATATATATATAAAGTTCGAAAAATAGTAATTTTTATAATTACCTTTTGTAATTTTAATTCACATTCATTAAATTTTTTGTAAATTTAATTAATTTGATAATTACTAAATATTTAGGAATTATATATGAGAAGACCATTCAAAAATTTTAACTAGACAAATAAAGGAAAGCCAAAGTCCCCTAACTACTAGTTAGAGGTTTCTTGTAAAATTGCTGTATTTATTGTGCCAAAGAAAAGATGTGTTCAAAGGTAATGGGTACATGTCAAAATGACATAGGAACCAGCTTTGAGGGGCTCCCATTAGCCATATGTGGGACAATTGTAGCATCAAAATATGGCAGTAAAAGATTATAACCACTGAAATAAAATAAGAACCCACGAGTCCATAATGGTATAAACAAATGAATAAGTGAATAAAAGTTGAAAAGAAGAAAAAGCTTTTTTAACAGCCAATTCCAACTAATAATAAAACAAATGATAACATTAAATTTTCTTAAAGATCATCAACAGACGTTAAGATTAGTGTGTAAAAGTGATGAAAAAGAAAATGTTCATAGTTTCAATGTATCTATATACTTTATACTTACCCCATGCAAAGGGAAAATAGTAACTTTCTAATGGAGTAATGGCAAAATTACCACCCTAACCAAACGGTCAATGGGCAAAGCAACATCATGTGCCTCCTGTTGCAGTGCATGGAGATGATACAACATTTCTTCACTAATCTTTTACCAGAAATCTGTAACCTGAATATAATTATGAAGAAACATCAGATAAACCCTAATTGAGAGACATTATATGCAATAACAGACCTATATTCCTCAAAAAATGTCAAAGTCAAGAAAAATAAAGACCAACGAACTGTTCAAAGTTAAAAGGACTAAATAGAAAACTAAATTCAACATGTGAGTTCAGGTTTGATAGGAGAGGGAGAGAAAAGAAAGGGAAGGGAGGAAAAGGAAGGAAGGAGAGGGTGGAAGAGGGGAGAGTAAAAGGTATTATGTTGAAGATATGGTTGAAGTTTAGACAGTAGCTCTTTCCACCATTTTTTAAATGTTTCTGTAATACTGAAAGTATTGAAAAGTTTTAAAATCACTAAATCAGTCAGAATAGCTTTTAATTGAGAAGATTATAATATTATCAGCATGTAATAAATACCAGGTTTTCCTAGTCATTCATTAGGGGGACATTTATCCTCTCAAAAAATCTTAAGATATTAGAAATAAAATATGGAAAATAATCTAGTCTAGCCAACATTCTTGCTAAATTATCTTGTCATTTTTATACATTACCCAGACCTTATCTTATATATTTCTCTTTTTATTATTTGTGTCTGTCTCAGGGATCAGCTAGTGTGGAATTAAAGACCATAGCATCCCTCTTTCCCACTCAGACCCAGCTATTTTCAGTTAATCCTTGCTACCTCTTTTATGATGATCAGATTTCTCACACATCACCTCTCTCTCTTGCTCTCTCTCTCTCCCTCATTCTCCCTCACCCTCACACTTTTTTTGGAGGAGATGGCTTTTTTTTTCTACTCTCTTTTTTCGATAGCCTAAGAATTACATCAATTATGTGTATTAGCAATTAAAAAAAATCTATTCTAAAGTAATGAATTGCCAGCAAATCAAGACACAATGTCCTCTATTTCATCATCATCATAGTATTTTGGCTTACAAAACTGTTTTTATTACAATACAATTAAATGTTTGGTTTCAATTCTAAGAAACTACCTACAGTGAATACAAACATGTTTCTTACCCTTAGTAGAATTCCTTTTTTTTTTAATTATACTTTAGGTTTTAGGGTACATGTGCACATTGTGCAGGTTAGTTACATATGTATACATGTGCCATGCTGGTGCGCTGCACCCACTAAATCGTCATCTAGCATTAGGTATATCTCCCAATGCTATCCCTCCCCCCTCCCCCCACCCCACCACAGTCCCCAGAGTGTAATATTCCCCTTCCTGTGTCCATGTGATCTCATTCTTCAATTCCCACCTATGAGTGAGAATATACGGTGTTTGGTTTTTTGTTCTTGTGATAGTTTACTGAGAATGATGATTTCCAATTTCATCCATGTCCCTACAAAGGACAAGAACTCATCATCTTTTATGGCTGCATAGTATTCCATGGTGTATATGTGCCACATTTTCTTAATCCAGTCTATCATTGTTGGACATTGGGGTTGGTTCCAAGTTTTTGCTATTGTGAATAATGCCGCAATAAACATACGTGTGCATGTGTCTTTATAGCAGCATGATTTATAGTCCTTTGGGTATATACCCAGTAATGGGATGGCTGGGTCAAATGGTATTTCTAGTTCTAGATCCCTGAGGAATCGCCACACTGACTTCCACAATGTTTGAACTAGTTTACAGTCCCACCAACAGTGTAAAAGTGTTCCTATTTCTCCACATCCTCTCCAGCACCTGTTGTTTCCTGACTTTTTAATGATTGCCATTCTAACTGGTGTGAGATGGTATCTCATTGTGGTTTTGATTTGCATTTCTCTGATGGCCAGTGACGATGAGCATTTTTTCATGTGTTTTTTGGCTGCATAAATGTCTTCTTTTGAGAAGTGTCTGTTCATGACCTTCACCCACTTTTTGATGGGGTTGTTTGTTTTTTTCTTGTAAATTTGTTTGAGTTCATTGTAGATTCTGGATATTAGCCCTTTGTCAGATGAGTAGGTTGTGAAAATTTTCTCCCATTTTGTAGGTTGCCTGTTCACTCTGATGGTAGTTTCTTTTGTGTGCAGAAGCTCTTTAGTTTAATTAGATCCCATTTGTCAATTTTGGCTTTTGTTGCCATTGCTTTTGGTGTTTTGGACATGAAGTCCTTGCCCATGCTTATGTCCTGAATGGTAATGCCTAGGTTTTCTTCTAGGGTTTTTATGGTTTTAGGTCTAACGTTTAAGTCTTTAATCCATCTTGAATTGATTTTTGTATAAGGTGTAAGGAAGGGATCCAGTTTCAGCTTTCTACATATGGCTAGCCAGTTTTCCCAGCACCATTTATTAAACAGGGAATCCTTTCCCCATTGCTTGTTTTTCTCAGGTTTGTCAAAGATCAGATAGTTGTAGATATGCGGTGTTATTTCTTAGGGCTCTGTTCTGTTCCATTGATCTATATCTCTGTTTTGGTACCAGTACCATGCTGTTTTCGTTACTGTAGCCTTGTAGTACAGTTTGAAGTCAGGTAGTGTGATGCCTCCAGCTTTGTTCTTTTGGCTTAGGATTGCCTTGGCGATGCAGGCTCTTTTTTGGTTCCATATGAACTTTAAAGTAGTTTTTTCCAATTCTGTGAAGAAAGTCATTGGTAGCTTTATGGGGATGGCATTGAATCTGTAAATTACCTTGGGCAGTATGGCCATTTTCACGATATTGATTCTTCCTACCCATGAGCATGGAATGTTCTTCCATTTGTTTGTATCCTCTTTTATTTCCTTGAGCAGTGGTTTGTAGTTCTCCTTGAAGAGGTCCTTCACATCCCTTGTAAGTTGGATTCCTAGGTATTTTATTCTCTTGGAAGCAATTGTGAATGGGAGTTCACTCATGATTTGGCTCTCTGTTTGTCTGTTTTTGGTGTATAAGAATGCTTGTGATTTTTGTACATTGATTTTGTATCCTGAGACTTTGCTGAAGTTGCTTATCAGCTTAAGGAGATTTTGGGCTGAGACAATGGGGTTTTCTAGATATACAATCATGTCGTCTGCAAACAGGGACAATTTGACTTCCTCTTTTCCTAATTGAATACCCTTTATTTCCTTCTCCTGCCTAATTGCCCTGGCCAGAACTTCCAACACTATTGAATAGGAGTGGTGAGAGAGGGCATCCCTGTCTTGTGCCAGTTTTCAAAGGGAATGCTTCCAGTTTTTGCCCATTCAGTATGATATTGGCTGTGGGGTTGTCATAGATAGCTCTTATTATTTTGAAATACGTCCCATCAATACCTAATTTATTGAGAGTTTTTAGCGTGAAGCGTTGTTGAATTTTGTCAAAGGCTTTTTCTGCATCTATTGAGATAATCATGTGGTTTTTGTCTTTGGCTCTGTTTATATGCTGGATTACATTTACTGATTTGCGTATATTGAACCAGCCTTGCATCCCAGGGATGAAGCCCACTTGATCATGGTGGATAAGCTTTTTGATGTGCTGCTGGATTCGTTTTGCCAGTATTTTATTGAGGATTTTTGCATCAATGTTCATCAAGGATATTGGTCTAAAATTCTCTTTTTTTGGTTGTGTCTCTGCCTGGCTTTGATATCAGAATGATGCTGGCCTCATAAAATGAGTTAGGGAGGATTCCCTCTTTTTCTATTGATTGGAATAGTTTCAGAAGGAATGGTACCAGTTCCTCCTTGTACCTCTGGTAGAATTCGGCTGTGAATCCATCTGGTCCTGGACTCTTTTTGGTTGGTAAACTATTGATTATTGCCACAATTTCAGCTCCTGTTATTGGTCTATTCAGAGATTCAACTTCTTCCTGGTTTAGTCTTGGGAGAGTGTATGTGTCAAGGAATGTATCCATTTCTTCTAGATTTTCTAGTTTATTTGCATAGAGGTGTTTGTAGTATTCTCTGATGGTAGTTTGTATTTCTGTGGGATCGGTGGTGATATCCCCTTTATCATTTTTTATTGTGTCTATTTGATTCTTCTCTCTTTTTTTCTTTATTAGTCTTGCTAGCGGTCTATCAATTTTGTTGATCCTTTCAAAAACCAGCTCCTGGATTCATTAATTTGTTGAAGGGTTTTTTGTGTCTCTATTTCCTTCAGTTCTGCTCTGATTTTAGTTATTTCTTGCCTTCTGCTAGCTTTTGAATGTGTTTGCTCTTGCTTTTCTAGTTCTTTTAATTGTGATGTTAGGGTGTCAATTTTGGATCTTTCCTGCTTTCTCTTGTGGGCATTTAGTGCTATAAATTTCCCTCTACACACTGCTTTGAATGCGTCCCAGAGATTCTGGTATGTTGTGTCTTTGTTCTCGTTGGTTTCAAAGAACATCTTTATTTCTGCCTTCATTTCGTTATGTACCCAGTAGTCATTCAGGAGCAGGTTGTTCAGTTTCCATGTAGTTGAGCGGCTTTGAGTGAGATTCTTAATCCTGAGTTCTAGTTTGATTGCACTGTGGTCTGAGAGATAGTTTGTTATAATGTCTGTTCTTTTACATTTGCTGAGGAGAGCTTTACTTCCAAGTATGTGGTCAATTTTGGAATAGGTGTGGTGTGGTGCTGAAAAAAATGTATATTCTGTTGATTTGGGAGGGAGTTCTGTAGATATCTATTAGGTCCGCTTGGTGCAGAGCTGAGTTCAATTCCTGGGTATCCTTGTTGACTTTCTGTCTCGTTGATCTGTCTAATGTTGACAGTGGGGTGTTAAAGTCTCCCATTATTAATGTGTGGGAGTCTAAGTCTCTTTGTAGGTCACTCAGGACTTGCTTTATGAATCTGGGTGCTCCTGTATTGGGTGCATATATATTTAGGATAGTTAGCTCTTCTTATTGAATTGATCCCTTTACCATTATGTAATGGCCTTCTTTGTCTCTTTTGATCTTTGTTGGTTTAAAGTCTGTTTTATCAGAGACTAGGATTGCAACCCCTGCCTTTTTTTGTTTTCCATTTGCTTGGTAGATCTTCCTCCATCCTTTTATATTGAGCCTATGTGTGTCTCTGCACGTGAGATGGGATTCCTGAATACAGCACACTGATGGGTCTTGACTCTTTATCCAATTTGCCAGTCTGTGTCTTTTAATTGGAGCATTTAGCCCATTTACATTTAAAGTTAATATTGTTATGTGTGAATTTGATCCTGTCATTATGATGTTAGCTGGTGATTTTGCTTGTTAGTTGACGCAGTTTCTTCCTAGTCTTGATGGTCTTTACATTTTGGCTTGATTTTGCAGCGGCTGGTACCGGTTGTTCCTTTCCATGTTTAGCGCTTCCTTCAGGAGCTCTTTTAGGGCAGGCCTGGTGGTGACAAAATCTCTCAGCATTTGCTTGTCTGTAAAGTATTTTATTTCTCCTTCACTTATGAAGCTTAGTTTGGCTGGATATGAAATTCTGGGTTGAAAAGTCTTTTTTTTAAGAATGTTGAATATTGGCCCCCACTCTCTTCTGGCTTGTAGGGTTTCTGCCGAGAGATCCGCTGTTAGTCTGATGGGCTTCCCTTTGAGGGTAACCCGACCTTTCTCTCTGGCTGCCCTTAACATTTTTTCCTTCATTTCAACTTTGGTGAATCTGACAATTATGTGTCTTGGAGTTGCTCTTCTCGAGGAGTATCTTTGTGGCGTTCTCTGTATTTCCTGAATCTGAACGTTGGCCTGCCTTGCTAGATTGGGAAGTTCTCCTGGATAATATCCTGCAGAGTGTTTTCCAACTTGGTTCCATTCTCCCCATCACTTTCAGGTACACCAATCAGACGTAGATTTGGTCTTTTCACATAGTCCCATATTTCTTGGAGGCTTTGCTCATTTCTTTTTATTCTTTTTTCTCTAAACTTCCCTTCTCGCTTCATTTCATTCATTTCATCTTCCATCGCTGATACCCTTTCTTCTAGTTGATCGCATCGGCTCCTGAGGCTTCTGCATTCTTCACGTAGTTCTCAAGCCTTGGTTTTCAGCTCCATCAGCTCCTTTAAGCACTTCTCTGTATTGGTTATTCTAGTTATACATTCTTCTAAATTTTTTTCAAAGTTTTCAACTTCTTTGCCTTTGGTTTGAATGTCCTCCCGCAGCTCAGAGTAAT
This sequence comes from Homo sapiens, assembly GCF_000001405.40. Classification (NCBI taxonomy): domain Eukaryota; kingdom Metazoa; phylum Chordata; class Mammalia; order Primates; family Hominidae; genus Homo; species Homo sapiens. The sequence goes on from NC_000003.12 coordinate 174,264,653, forward strand.
TTGATCGTCTGAAGCCTTCTCCCCTCAGCTCGTCAAAGTCATTCTCCGTCCAGCTTTGTTCCGTTGCTGGTGAGGAGCTGCGTTCCTTTGGAGGAGGAGAGGCGCTCTGATTTTTAGAGTTTCCAGTTTTTCTGTTCTGTTTGTTCCCCATCTTTGTGGTTTTATCTACTTTTGGTCTTTGATGATGGTGATGTACAGATGGGTTTTTGGTGTGGATGTCCTTTCTGTTTGTTAGTTTTCCTTCTAACAGAGAGGACCCTCAGCTGCAGGTCTGTTGGAATACCCTGCTGTGTGAGGTGTCAGTGTGCCCCTGCTGGGGGGTGCCTCCCATTTAGGCTGCTCGGGGGTCAGGGGTCAGGGACCCACTTGAGGCAGTCTGCCCGTTCTCAGATCTCCAGCTGCGTGCTGGGAGAACCACTGCTCTCTTCAAAGCTGTCAGACAGGGACATTTAAGTCTGCAGAGGTTATTGCTGTCTTTTTGTTTGTCTGTGCCCTGCCCCCAGAGGTGGAGCCTACAGAGGCAGGCAGGCCTCCTTGAGCTGTGGTGGGCTCCACCTAGTTCGAGCTTCCCAGCTGCTTTGTTTACCTAAGCAAGCCTGGGCAATGGCGGGCGCCACTCCCCCAGCCTCGCTGCCGCCTTGCAGTTTGATCTCAGACTGCTGTGCTAGCAATCAGTGAGACTCCGTGGGCGTAGGACCCTCCGAGCCAGGTGCGGGATGTAATCTTGTGGTGCGCCGTTTTTTAAGCCGGTCCGAAAAGCACAATATTCGGATGGGAGTGACCCGATTTTCCAGGTGCGTCCGTCACCCCTTTCTTTGACTCGGAAAGGGAACTCCCTGACGCCTTGCGCTTCCCAAGTGAGGCAATGCCTCGCCCTGTTTCGGCTCGCACACGGTGCGCGCACCCACTGACCTGCGCCCACTGTCTGGCACTCCCTAGTGAGATGAACCCGGTACCTCAGATGGAAATGCAGAAATCACCCGTCTTCTGCATCACTCATGCTGGGAGCTGTAGACCGGAGCTGTTCCTATCCGGCCATCTTTTTTCCGAATTCCTTAAATTTGTTTATTGTATAACAAAATACTCTTACTCTACCTAAAACTAAGAAGGCTATATATATATATATATATGTATATATATATATATATAGCCAAAGTATTTTTATACAACATCTATATATATATGTTGTCCTCTTAGTTTTAGGTAAAGAGTATTTTGTTATAATATATATATACGTATATATGTATATATGTGTATATATGTATATATGTATATATGTGTATATATGTATATATGTGTATGTGTATATATGTGTATAAGTATATATATGTATATATGTATATATATATTGCCCTCAGTGCATATATATGTGTGTGTGTGTATATATATATATATTTTTTTTTTCTTTCCAACTTTTATTTTAGGTGCAGTGGCTATATGTGCAGGTTTGTTACATGGGTAAATTGCATGTCAAGGGGGTTTAATGTACAGATTATTTTGTGAGCAAGGTAATGAACATAGTATCTGATAGTTTTTTCAATCTTCACCCTCCCCCTAGCCTCCACCCTGAAGTAGGCCCTGGTGTCTATAGTTCCCTTCTTTGTGTCCATGTGTATTCAATATTTAACCTCCACTTACAGGTGAGAAGATGCAGTATTCTGTTTTCTGCTCTTGTGTTAATTTGCGTAGGATAATGGCTTCAAGCTCCATCCACGTTGCTGCAAAAGTCATGATTTTGTTCTTTTTTATGGCTGCATATATTTCCACAGTGCATATGTACGACATTTTCTTTATCCAATCCACCACTGATGGGTATCTATGTTGATTCCATGTCTTTGCTATTGTGAATAGTGCTGCAATGAACATACATGTGTATGTGTCTTCATGGCAAAACTATTTATATTCCTTTGAGTATATACCCGGTAGTGGGATTGCTAGGTCAAACGGTATTTCTATTTTAAGTTCTTCAAGAAATCTCTAAACTGCTTTCTACAGTAGCTGAACTAATATCATTCCACAAGTAGTGTATAAGCATTCCTTGTGATTCACAACCTTGCCAGCATGTTATTTTTTGAACATATGTATTTTGAGATGCTTTGCCAACTCTTTTCCATGGAATAGTTTAAAAATGTGGTAAATTTAACCCTATTTTGTATATTATAAATATTTAACTTTTTGTAATTTTTAAAAACTTTTTTCTTTTAATTCTTCTTGACTTCATTTTTTTCAGTAAAAATGGATAAGTGGTTTATTCTACTTAATGAAATAGGTGACAATAAAGAAAACGTCAAATTTGTTAGTTGATTATAGCCACAGTATTTTTATACAACATATATTAAGCCCCCTGCATACTAAAAACATTATCTCTTCTAATAATGATAATTTTATGGGGTGGGTACTATTACTGATATTGTCTATTAGGAAACCAAAACTCAGAGGGACTAACTAATTGACACAGTAATTTGCTCACAAACCTGTGTTAGTCTGTTTGTGTCGCTATAAAGGAATACGTAAGGCTGGATAATTTATAAAGCAAAAAGATTTATTTGGCTCATGGTTCTGCAGTTCTGTACAAGAAACATCACAGCAGCATCTACTTCTGGTGAGAGCCTCTGGCTTCCACTCATGGTGGGAGGCAAAGAGGAACCATTGTGTCATATGAGGAGTGGAACAAGCCATTCATGAAGGATCTGCTTCCATGACCCAAACTCCTCCTAATAGGCCCCACCTCCTACACTGGGGATCAATTTTCAACCTGAGATTGGGAGGAAACAGATATCCAAACTATACTAACATCCTGGTTATCCTAAGACTGGCTGTCTTTTTACCACACTAAATGTTGGGGGAATCTCAAGAGTCTCTCAAACTTTAGGACCTTGGCCTGTATTCTAGACCAGTATTCTGGGATAGCCTACTGGGCCACATGTCCTCTTATCTCATCTCGGATAAGCCCCACCCAGGATTGTCCTATTTTCCTCTCTTCAAAACTAATGCTACCCACACTGCATCTTAGAGTACTTTCCCTCAAGATTGGCTGCTGAGAGGGATTTTTCCTAAGTTCTCACTTCATTGCTGCCATCTAAGAAAGACACATAGACCTCTTTCATTTGAAAAGTTTAATTATTAGTCTTCATGTGTTAATAGAAAATTATAACATTAATGCTGTCCTTTATTCAGCAAACATGTATATAATGACTATCTGGGGACAATTACAGTGGATAGAGCTTCTAGTCCAGAAAAAAATGGAATATGAATTACATAAATAGTACATTACAAAGCACACACACACATAGTTTACAATGGGAACACTTAAGAGAGATAAAAATAAATATTGAACAGTTAGAAAATTGCAAAATTTGTATAGTTTTTATTGTTCCTGAAGCTACATAGTATAATTCTGAAGTATATAGTTCCTGAGGACCTTTCTTATATGATAGACATTGTCGTTTCTTCAATGTCATGCTTCGAAGTGCACTATGTCTTTAAATCACAAGACATATTCCCGCACAATCAAAGCAATTAGAAATGAAGAATATGATTTCCTTTGATTCAAAAGGCCTTTTAGAAGAGATATTCTTCTTTTTTCACTTCTTTGTGAAAGCAGTTATTCAAACTGCACAGGAACTTCGTGAACTTTGAATACCAGGTTTGTTGTCCAGATGCATATAGACAGGAAGTACACAATAGCCTAAATCAGGGAGTGCTGGATAAACTTTTCTTAAGATGCAGGCCCAGAAAACGCTAACAGCCTTAAATTGTGGTGAAGAATATGTGGTTGGTGATGGGGACTGGAGCTGGGGGTTACTTTCTCCCTAGTATCTTGGGGCATTCTTGAAATGGGAATGGTATTCATGATTCAGAGCTAAGTAAATTAGGGCCCTTTTTTCTAACCATTACAACCTAAATTGGGAAGAAATTTGGTTAAAATAAATACTTCGGTCTTATTTGGGGGAAAGAGTTACAAGATGTTAACATTGAGTGTAACATAGAAGGAACAATCTCACCTCTTTACCTTGTAGATGGTGAAAGTTTGGAATTTGGAAACTGCAAACCAAAGAAATAGCTATAGGTGTTTTCTTTCCAGGCATCTATTTACAGTCATCTTCTTCTTTCCCACTGTACTCCCCCGTGTCCAGCTGTCGGTAATCAGAAGCCATGACCAGCAACACAGTGTGTTATTTCTGAGACAAGTCATTAAAGAGCAAATTGTCTTAGAACAAATTGATAAATAGATTCACCAAAACATAAAATTTTGGAAATACCATCAAGTTGTTTGATGTTAAGATATTAACCTCATTTCAGAGCCAGGTTTTTTTTTTTCCAAAGGATACACATAAAAAGGAAAATATTTTTACTTTATCCTTCATTGCTTTCTAAGAAGAATTTAGACAGTAACCTTCAAGGGAACCCAATAGCAAGGAAGCCAGCTATATATGGTGAATAATTAAATGCTGTGTGTGTGTGCTTTACCCTCACACAGAACACAAGTTGTCCAATTTGGAGAATTTTTTTATTATTATAGTAAAAAAATTTAACATTAAATTTATCATTATTACCATTTTTACATATACTGTTCAGTAACTGTATTAATATATTAAGTATATTCACATTGTTTAGCAACAGATCTCTAGAACTTTTTCATACAACACTGAAACTCTATACTCATTAAATACTAATTCCCCCTTCCCCTTTCTCCACAGCTCTTGGTAACCACCTTTCTAATATCTGTTTCTATGATTGTGACTACTTTAGATATTTCATATGAGTAGAATCCTACAGTATTTGCTTTTTTTGTGACTGGCTTATTTCACATAGCACATTGTCTTCAGAGGCTCATCCATGTTGTAGCATGTAACAAGATTTGCTTCTTTTTTAAAGCTACACAATATTCCATCATATGTATATTTTCTTTATCTGTATTTTCTTTATACATTGATCTGTCAATGAACACTTGGGTTGCTTCCTCTTGGCTATTATAAATAGTACTTAGATGAACATGGACTTGCAAATTTCTCATTGGGATCCTGCTTTGAATTCTTTTGTATATATACCCAGAAGAACGATGCTGAATCATATACTAATCCTATGTTTAATTTTTTGAGGAATCTCCAAACTATTTTTGATAAGGGTTACATGTTTTACATTCCCACCAAAACAAGGGTTGCAAATCTTCTACATCCTTTCCTATTTTGTGATTGATAGTAGTCATCCTGTGGGTGTGAGGGGATATCACAGTGTGGGTTTGATTTGCATTTTTTAATGATTAGTGATGTTGAATATCTTTTCATGTGTTTATTGTCCATTTGTATATCATCTCTTTGAAGAAATATCTATTTAAGTGCTTTGCCCATTTTTTAATTAGGTTATTTGGGTTTTTTGTTGTTGTTGTTTAGTTGTAAAAATTTCTGGATATTAATACTTTATCAAATATATAATTTGCAATTGTTTTCTCCCATTCTGTTGGTTTCCTTTCTTTTTTTTTTTTTTTTGATGTGCAGATGTTTTGAAGTTTGATGTAGTCTTATTTGTTTATTTTTTTTTTTTTCCTGTGCTTTTGGTTTAATATCCAAGAAATCATTGCCACATCGAATTTCCTGAAATTCTTAATCTATATTTTATTTTAGGAGTTTAATAGTTTTGGGTTTTTTCATTTTGAGTTAATTTTTATATGGTGTATGCTAAGAGTCCAACTTCATTGTTCTATATCTGGATATCCAGTTTTCCCAGCATCATTTGTTGAAGAAACTGTTCTTTTGCCATTGCATAGTCTTGGCACCTTTGTCAAGAATCATTTGGCCATATATGCCTAATTGTGAGGATTTAAATACATTATATTTTAAACAATTTTGAATCAAACAGAAATAAAGAGAAACTAATCATATTCTAGCATGAGGATTTTATTTCTGTATAGCCATGTCACCCCATTAGAAGAGAATATTTTTCATAGGTGAGTAGTGACAGATAGAAGGGATACTTGCTTGCTGAAAGTTTGGAGGTTAATTGACTAATTAGAATGATGATTTCAAGGGTCTAAGAAGAAAAGAGGAGGACCTGGAATAAGTCCGTGACATGAAGTTTAAAGCAGGAGACAGAGGCAGAATGCAGAGGAAGACATGACTGAACATGGCAACTGAAAAGATAAGGAGAGTTAGCACATAGGATTTCGAGTTGGATTTTTACCTGGAAGAATTCAAGGTTTTATTTCCACAGTTTTAAATCCTTTTATGTTTAAGATGCAAAGTCCTTAATGAGCTATTTTTCCGATCCATATTCCCAAGTCCCTAGAAGGACGTCTCACTATCATTCAGAGTCTCATGTCTGCAAGGCTGGCTCTTTAATACTCAGTATGGTCTCTATTTTGAAATACTTAGCAATGTGACTCAAAGAACAAACCACAGTCATCTGTATCCAGGCAACAGCATTGATAAACACTGCAAATTTCTTTTCTACCTTATAGCTTGAGCTACATAATGTGGACTAAAAAGAATATTGTATTCTATTCAGTGTTTCTAGAAATTAACAACTATAAACATAGGCACTCAAATATGCTCCTACCTTAAAAAAGAAGGAAGCACAGCTACAGTACAGAATCACTGTCATCTTAAATTTCTGACATTCTAGATGTCATCTCAAATGTAAACAGTCTGCATTTTTTTTTTTAACATTCTAAAGATATTTGTACATGCTTGTTTGATTGTATTGTAAGAGACCTAAGTATAAATTGAGTCAACCAATAAACCGCAGGGCTACTGCCTGACAATTTAAATTAGCTCCTTTCACACTCCTTAGGGTCTGCCTGTCAGAGAGTTATCTGAGTTCCATATACAACAGTAGCCCAAGCCCATACCTTGATCACAGTAATTATCTGTTTTTATTTATTTTCCCCTTGTCCGGTTTATTTCAGGCCTGGTTATTTTTCCATTCCAAGAGCCTATGCACCCATGTTCAATTACCTGGTTTCTCTCTAGCACTTGAGACTAACTCTAGTTGCCAGATCAGGTAAACAGAAAATTCAAGCTAAGCCTGCTCAGTAGATGTAATCAACTAGTAGTTCCATGTAGGAACCACAAATGGACATGTTTTTTGATGATAGACTGAGTTTTTAAGTGGGAAGACTGGTATTAAATAAATTCTATTTGGACAAATAGGTGAATGACAATTGTAATAGACACGTGAATCAGTCAAATAATTTTTAGCATAATTGCAATTATGAATTTTGAGAGTTAGCCTTAACTCTAAAATTACTAATTGTTAAAGTTTTACATTCCTGAGTCAAGTAAATTAAGTAGTTGAATTTTTGGGGGGAAAATTTTGTGCATTTTTCTGAAAAGGAAAAGAGTTCGCTTTATAGTCATTATTGTTCTATTTTACAAAAATAATAATATGTCAATGTGTTACAATAATAATTAGTCACACATCCCAGGAACTTAAAATGAGTGTCAAGAAAAGTGAGATAAAATAGTGACTATCTGTTAAGAATGATTTAAGTGACATTAAAGGAAAAGCCTTCTTCTCCAAAGTAATCATGAAGTGAGGACTCTGCAAAATTGAGTTCCCCCAATGACTGGACTATAGTTGAGCACTTCAATGTAAAGTTTCGGCTAGGGTGATCTGAAATGGTTGTGCTGTTAAGGACATAACAGCTAAGTCAATTTAAAAAGAACTTTAAATGACTACTTCACTAGATAGCAAGGTATAGAATGCTGTCAATGTACATCACTTGAGTAATTAGCAAACTGTATCTCTTTTGAGACAGCAATTTATTTAACTTTCCTCATTTTGTGCCTTTAACTTACCCACAGGATGTTGTTTGAATATACCGTCAGTAATCAAAAAGTGTATGCAAGTATATATCTCTCTACCAGGTCTGAAGACATGTTATTTGCTTGGTCAGTTGGCCTTAATAAAGACAGCTGCTATCAGTTTTTCCTAATATAAAACCCAGCGTCGTCCTCTAAATTCACTCTAATGATCAGTTAGTTTCAGATGATGATATGGATGGATGGATGGATGGATAGATAGATAGATAGATAGATAGATAGATAGATAGATAGATATAGATAGATAGAAAGATAGATAGATGATAGATAACATACACATGAAATACACTAGAATCAGGAGTAAGAGAAATTCAGTGCTGAAGGGCAAAAATGGAGCTTGACTGAGTAATCTTGGACGTTTTGAGGCTACAGCACAATAACTTCTACCCAATGATTTACTCTACTTTCTATGCTGTGGTTTAATAATGACATTTTTGAACTGAATTTATTTTCTTTAAAACTCTTTCTTGAATATATTACAAGACTTCTTTAGACTGTATATAAAGTAGAAGTTACTTTTCAGAGGAACTTTTTTTTTTTTTACAGCACTGTTGTTATATAAACACAAAGCTATTTGACTAAAGAGTGCATCTATAACTGGAATTACAGTGGGGATACAATTTAGTTAATGTAGAAATAATTGTCTGATACCGTGGTTCTCTACATGCTACACATTGAATGATGATTATTTTATGAGTAAGTGAATTCTGTATGGATGTAAAGATTCATTTGAATGTAACTGGAGTAATTTGAATGTAACTGCAATTACTTTTGCACCAACCTCATAACAAGAGTATTATGTTCTTATTCTTTCATTCACTCTCTCTCTCTCTCACACGCACATATCCTTTTTCCTTCAAGAGTTTTTCTATCTAATGTACAGTAATGCTTCCATAATATTGTTTTCAGAGTTCATGCCAATAGTCTGTCTTTATAGACCAAAACATTTGTAAGAGAATCTTTCAGAAGTTTAAACTAATGACTCTGTCTTATACCAAAGTTCATGTGATAGCAAATAGAGTTAAAAGAATTCCTGCCATGCTTCTATTTTGTATTTTATTATCCTCTAATTTATATGAATATTGAGTATTTGCAAATACTTCTATCTAAGAAGATACCATAAAAATTTCCTTAAATTATTATGCAAATTCAAAGAGAATGGGTATGACCAGAAAAATTTGTTTATTTGAACTGTATTTTTTACAACTTTAGTCTTAAGGAAAGTTAACATTTTCAGGATTCCACAAACACAGACACACACACACAATGAGTTAGAGCTGCAGTTTTATTTCTTAGAATTTTTGATCTTGTAGGAAAAGAATAACTAAGCACTTTCATTTCTTCAAATTTTTCAAAATTATTCAGGAGAATTTGTCTTCATCTATTCTTTTCTACAATGATCCTAGAGAATTTCTTATCCATATATTCAGTTTGGTTATGGATTTATTTGCTAACCTGATAGGTAGTGTTATCATGGTTTTGTTTTCATAAATGTAATCGATGTCCTAGCTTATTTTATAAAGAGATATATTTCAAATTGAATAAAATAGTTGTTATCACAATCATTGACCCATTATGTTGAATTTCTATAAGTCTCCAATAAGAGAGAATGAATTTTTAAAAATTAGTTCTATAAACTTGTTGAAATTGGAAATTATATCCCTTAATATAATCAATTTATATCTAATAGGACTCTAAATATTTTCTACATAATATAAAATAGTCCATAAGATGGAGTATTTTATGAAACACTTTCTAAATTTTCATTTATATTAAATGCAAAAATATATTAGAGAATAGATGTTTGTTTTACAAGTTATAATAAACACACTAACTAACTATAAAAGCTATCAGGTCAGCTAAATGAGTGAATATGTTTAAGATATTGCTAAGTAATATGTTTGACTCTCCCTTCTACAACTTTCATATGTAAAACAGTTACTCAGATCTTAATGCCACAATATTTTTTCTATCCATCATCTTTTTTTCAATTGCCTTTGCCATTCTGTCAGTTCAGATCCTTAAACTCTCTCCCCTACCTCCGTTTTCTCTCCCCCTCATTTTCAGATTCACCTCATTTTCCTACTCATTTTCAGATTTACTACAAAGCAGAGCTTTGAGCATTCCAGAAATATATGTCTGAACTTTTCAAAAACCTTCAATTATTCTACACCATTTCCTAATTAATTGAGTAGCTCCCCTCAGTTTGGCATTTAAAGTAGTCCTAAATGTGGCCTCAAGTCATCTCTGACACAGTAATTCTTTCTTAATCATTGATCATCATTGATAAAAATGTACATATTCATATATATGCAGAGTTCTATATAATTTCATGGAGTTTACAAAATCTTTCTCTACAAGTCTTACAGAAATACCCGCCTGCTCTACACATGTCCATCCTGCCATTCTGCCACACATACATACCTAACATTCCAACCACATTTGACGACAAGCAACTTGAGGACAGACATGGTGTTTTCTGCAAGATACACGTTCACATGAACCCTATGATACTATCCAAATGTCTCCACTGAGTAGCTTGGCCCCTGGAATGTCTTCCCTGAGGTTTTCAGAATGTTTGCCTTCCCTTTATCTGTCCCTGTTATCTGTTACCTGGATAAGTTGGGAGGCATTTGGGGAAGATAAATGTCATTTTTCAGATTTCAGCCACTACTAACTATTCTTGCTAAAGTAAATTCTTTTGTTATAGTGGAAAATAATTTTTACTAATGAACTTGGACTGTCCCTACCTTGATTAATACAGGCTTCATTTGTGTTTAAATTTGATGTCTATTTGATTCACGTCAGCTCAAAACGTGTTTTCTAAATTTATATTTTTCAGGTTTCTTGAGTACAGGCGATCAGGCTGCAAAGGGGAACTATGGACTCCTTGATCTCATACAAGCTTTAAGATGGACTAGTGAAAACATTGGATTCTTTGGTGGTGACCCCTTAAGAATCACTGTTTTTGGATCTGGTGCTGGGGGTTCATGTGTCAACCTGCTGACTTTATCCCATTATTCTGAAGGTAACCGTTGGAGCAATTCAACCAAAGGTATTATGCAAGGTTGCAAATTTTGACAATTTTGGTGTCTGCATGCCACCACCATCAGTAGTATGTGATGCTCTGTATATTTCTCTGTTCAAACTGAGTGTTAGGTTGAACTCAATAGTTTAAAGCTTTGTTTCTTCAGTTTTTCTGTGCATGTTTAAATTTTCGTCAAACTCTTTTCTTTGTCTCCTGTGGAGCTTGGTAAGGATGCCCTTTCAAGCACACTTCAGAATAGTTAGCATTACAGTTACTCTTCTTTCCTTTAAAGGGTGATTTGAAGAAAAAATCAGACAAAGACGTTCTACAGTTTTGTCATCTTTGTTTATTCAGTGATCAAAATCAAAGATGAGACTTTTTACATGCAGGGATTGTATATAATCTATTTTCAAGACAATAGACATTTTAAACCCTTTATTAGTATGAAGCTAACGAAGCGGTCATAAGCTAGTTTGTCTGAAAACATGTGATTTCACTTGTTGTCTGAGTACAGAATGGATTGTTGATTATTTCGCATGCATGATCCAAAATTGTCAAAGCATCAAGGTCACTGGTAGAGCTTTTGATTAAAAAGAAAAATACATTTGATTCAGTGTTTTTTCTATTTTTAACTCCAAAAGCATTATTTTTCCCCCTAAACTTGGCAAGGCAGCATGGAGTATTGAGGCTGCTGAAATCCATGAAATATTTTTCTCGTTTCCATTTTCTGGCTTTGACATATTTTTTCCCAAGTGCCTGTCTGTCCAAGGCTTACCATGTTGTTCTTTATGAACTCCATCTCCATTTTACCATGCATAGAATCACCCATTCCAACTGCATTATTAATTTGAAATTTCACAAGAACAGAAGAGTATTGTTGGAGAAATTTGCAAAGCAAATACTTTTTCTGCATTATTTATGTATGATAGGAAGACAGATAATATATAAAAACGTACACCATCTTTCTTTTAATTTCTGATCTTTTATTGTCATTTTATATCCAAGAAAAAAGTATACACTGTCAAGTATAATTCATGAAGTGTTTTAATTTGTAAGGTTGAGTTTTGTGATAGGAGCACCAAACATATGGTATTTGTTTTCAGTATCAAAAACACATGAATGTTGAATTTCAAAAGAACAGCCAGTCATTAAATGAATCCATGTATTTGGAGAATCATATATAGACTCAATTTATTAACATAGTTTACATAACATTTCATTTATATTAGTAAAATTCTGATTCAAGGTGACAAAATAACACAGATGAACATTTCCAAGAGAGATTTCATCTGTAAAGAAATGGCTTCTTTTGAAATAATAAACTTAGTGTTTCTTTAATTAAACAGATTAGATTGTTCTAATCTCAGTATTTTTACTAATGCCACTATGTAGCTAAAGCAACACTAAGCCACCTCTATAGGTTTCTCAGGGTCGCTTGCTCAAAAATTGACGTGAAAGCCACCTTTAGCTAGTATCAAACGGGCATTGGTTTAAGAGATGAGTCAGTTAGTTCATCAGCTAACACTGCCAGTCATCAACTGATGGCATGGTAAACAGTAGGAAATGGTTATGCAAACAGTTGAAAATACAACATTTTATTATACACTTCAGGGAAATCTGTCTATCCCTGGAAAAAGACATCAACTTAGGTTTGGCCTAAACCTGTCTCCAAACTAAGCTGCCTGATTTTACCAGGAGATGCTGAAAAAAATCTCTTGAAATCATCAAGCTGATTCTGCCTCCAATGGAGCTATAAACTTTAAAGGCAATAAATCCCACAATGCTCAGGCCTGGATATACCATGAGTCAACCCCATCTTGCATCCACATAAGAGGCAATTTCACTAATATGATAAAACAAACATACATTTTTCCCATATTTTAGGAATCTAGGTGGCATATTTTAGGACATATTGGACATGATGTGCCTTTCCTTCTCAATCTTTTTCGGTATATTTAGTTAATGTTGAGTCCCTGAGATGGGAAATAATATTATAGAAATCACCAGGTGCATTTTAGTTACACAATTTTTATTTATTAAAATATTTTCCTGAGCAAATGTTGATAAACAGCTACATAATTTTAAAAATTATCTGTATTTGTATCATTTGCTCTAGCATACTTTGTTCTAGTAAACTAAAAAATACTTATAAAGATGTCAGAAAACCAAAACAAATGTATATTAATACTGTTAGATTTTTTTAATATCTTCAGAATTATATAGGAACATGTTACAGACATGTTGAATATATAGGCATATTAGGTTAAGAAAAATCTAAAACTTTCCTTCTAATTCAGACAGTGCTTCAACACCTTTGTGAAAAGAGTTTTTATCTCATTAATACATATGAATAATTAAGCATGTTTTTAAATAACTGAAGCACAAAGCTGTATTTGGAAATTGATAAAATTGATAATAAATTTAAATATGTAAAAGAAAATAAACTATATTTTTAAAACAGGAATTTTATCCGAAAAATACCTTAATGAGAAGATAAAGTGTGTTTGTAAATTTGAATGACATGCAGCACTTAACTGCATATGGAACCATCATTTACAATTCTTAAATGCAATTAAAAAGCAGTGGACCATGTGCTTTTCATCTTTTATGATAAAAACAGTAGTGTACATTCAACAGCGGCAAAAGTTAAATCACCCCACACTAAATCTTTCTGCTGATGGTTTTTTCTTTAACCTAGTGAAAACACTTCAAAGGTTATGTCTTCTTCTGAAAGATGAATATTCAGAATACTATGTCTGACATGAAGATCTGGAAAGAGTATGTCTAAAGTGATATTCTGTTTTGTGTGAATTCAGGGCCAACCCCAGGGTATAAACAAACAGCCAGCCCCAGTCATTGTATGAGCCTTCAAGAATTCTTTTTCAAATAACATCTGTTTAAAACAAATATAGAGAACCATTTTGAAGGAAGATGGACACAGCCAAACTGGAGGAAATATTCCAAACAGACAATGTAGAGTCTGTTGGAGAGTTAAATAGGAGAAGATTGGCCCCATCTGGTTAATGTTGATGATAATATACGTATTTACACACTCATTGAAGAACATATTTGGGACTTTTTACCACTACATCGTCTCCTTTTCTTCTTGCCTACTACCTCTTTGAGGCTTCTTGATCCCTAAAGCAGGTGCCACTCAAAGCACAAGACTTAGATCCACCTCTCTAATCCATTATACCCTGCGGTTGGCTTTGTGTACTTCCCTTAAGAAAAATATCTCTAACTCCCTGTTTCTTGAGCTGTATCTGGGTTTTTATATACATGTCTAAAATATCAGATGTTATTGTTTTACCACAACATTACCCAAAGATCATCTAAAATTCTTTGTTGATTTTCCCATAGGACTTTTTCAACGAGCAATAGCTCAAAGTGGAACAGCCCTTTCCAGCTGGGCTGTTAGTTTTCAACCTGCAAAATATGCTAGAATGTTGGCCACAAAAGTTGGTTGCAATGTTTCAGATACAGTAGAGTTAGTGGAATGCCTACAGAAGAAGCCTTACAAAGAACTTGTTGACCAAGATATTCAACCAGCTCGATACCACATAGCCTTTGGACCTGTGATTGATGGTGATGTAATACCAGACGACCCCCAGATATTGATGGAGCAAGGAGAGTTTCTCAACTATGATATAATGTTAGGAGTGAACCAAGGGGAAGGGTTAAAATTTGTTGAAAATATAGTAGATAGCGATGATGGTATATCAGCTAGTGATTTTGACTTTGCTGTTTCAAATTTTGTTGATAATTTATATGGATATCCTGAAGGCAAAGATGTTTTGAGAGAAACCATTAAGTTCATGTATACTGACTGGGCTGACCGTCATAACCCTGAAACCAGAAGAAAGACATTACTGGCTTTGTTTACGGACCATCAGTGGGTGGCACCAGCTGTAGCCACAGCGGATCTTCACTCAAACTTTGGTTCACCTACGTACTTCTATGCCTTTTACCATCATTGCCAAACAGATCAGGTTCCAGCTTGGGCTGATGCAGCCCACGGAGACGAGGTTCCCTATGTACTGGGAATCCCCATGATTGGCCCTACAGAGTTATTTCCTTGCAATTTCTCCAAAAATGATGTGATGCTGAGTGCAGTTGTAATGACATACTGGACAAATTTTGCTAAAACTGGGTATGTACCTAAGGAATGAAGTTTATTTTTAATAAAAATGTTATTTTAACCATTTTAAAATAATAGATATTTATGCCCAGATAATGTCATATTGGATTAATACCTGCAAGATATTACATTCCTTTATTCAAAATTAATTCTATATTATGGTGTTTTTAAAAGTCATTGCTTTATTATTTCTGGTGTTTTAGAAGCTTGTTAAGAAAGCACATATCTCAATTGCATTACTTAATTACATCTGCTTTTGGTTTTTGAATTATACAAGACTTGTTATTGTTCAGCAGTAATAAATATTATTTTATAGTGCTTTGTCATTCACAACACTCTTTAATCCTTCCAACTACCTTTCTGAATCTCGCAGATCAGGTACTATTAATCCCACTTTACAAGAAGGAGACCTGAGGCTCTGTGAGTGTCATAGAGATGTTCACATGTCTGGTATATAGCAGAGCCTAGGCTCAAACCTTCATCTGCTAATTTAAAATCAAAAATCCTTTCCACTATTCCATGTCATCTCTGCTAGCTTGCCTATGAGACAACTCATACGTATGTGAGTATTTAAATAATTCTTTAAAATCTTTGGGTAGATAGCAGCCCATCTCAGGATAAGCAGAGAGAACAAGAATGTGAGACTTACTTGCCTTCCATTATCACCCATCTAACAATATGCCTGCTAGGAGATTTATATTTCTAAATTGACCCAAATTAATGTTAAAACACAATCTAAAGCATTGCTGAGTCATCTATTTAATTATTAGATGTTAAAGTAGTGTGATTTTAAGTAAAAAATAAAATAGCTTTATTCTCATAATTTATCTTTTCCTTCTTAGTGACCCAAATCAACCAGTCCCTCAAGACACGAAATTCATTCATACCAAACCCAACCGTTTTGAAGAAGTAGCATGGACCAGATATTCCCAGAAAGACCAACTTTATCTCCATATTGGATTAAAACCAAGAGTTAAAGAACATTACAGAGCCAATAAGGTGAACCTCTGGTTGGAGTTGGTACCTCATCTGCATAATCTCAATGACATTTCTCAGTATACCTCTACAACAACTAAAGTGCCATCAACTGACATCACTTTCAGACCTACGAGAAAAAATTCTGTACCTGTCACGTCAGCCTTTCCCACTGCCAAGCAGGATGATCCCAAACAACAACCAAGTCCATTTTCAGTGGATCAAAGGGACTACTCAACAGAGCTGAGTGTCACTATTGCAGTTGGAGCATCACTGCTGTTTCTGAACATCTTGGCCTTTGCAGCCCTGTACTACAAAAAGGATAAGAGGAGACATGATGTTCACAGGAGATGCAGCCCTCAGCGCACTACTACCAATGATCTAACCCATGCACAAGAAGAGGAAATCATGTCCCTCCAAATGAAGCACACTGATTTGGATCATGAATGTGAGTCCATTCATCCACATGAGGTGGTTCTTCGGACCGCCTGTCCCCCAGATTACACACTAGCTATGAGGAGGTCACCTGATGATGTTCCCTTAATGACACCCAACACCATTACAATGATTCCCAACACTATACCAGGGATTCAGCCCTTACACACATTCAATACATTTACTGGAGGACAGAACAATACTCTGCCCCATCCCCATCCCCACCCCCATTCACATTCAACAACCAGGGTATAGCCAGATAAGAGAAACAAACTATTTTTTTTGATGGATTGCAGTAAACGATCACTGAAGATTCCTTGGCTTTCAACCTACAAGACTTACTATTTAAATAAGGAGGAATATTATGTGAATATACATATCAAGAACTTTGGGGGTTTTGAAAAAAATGAATTGTATATATACAAATCAACTTTAAAAACAAATTTCAATTGCTTGAAGCAATTGTTCTGAATGATACTTTTTCATTCACATTCAAGAATTAATTTTTTGAAGATTTAAGTTACATAATGGAATTAGGCATGTGGAACACCAAACAGGAAAGAACTATGTCTGAAATATAAAAAATAAAAATAAAAAAACAACTATGAATATGCACAAGGGACACACCAGTGGAATGTCAGATAATTTTCACCAGTTTTTATTTGGAGCCGTTTTATTGTGTAGACCATATTTACATATTTGGATAAGTACACAAAGCGTCAATGCTGTTAATGGCCTTAGCAAAGGCTCATGCTGAAATTTGCCAGTAAAACAAAGAAGTTTAAAGACTGGCAGGTACACCATTATCACATAAGTGCTGTCAGTATAAAGTTGTGGGGATAAAGGAAACTGGATATTTTTAGCACGATGTGCATGATAATTTATATGCTTGGTGGCTGTGCTGCTGATTAAGCCGTAATTAAAATTCTTCTCATCCCATTGGAGTTTTTAATAGAAGCTTCCTCCATCAATTGGCAGAACCTAAAGAAGATTTTAAGGGGCAAAAGTAATTACAATAAAATAATTCACAGTAGTTTCAATATAGAAGGAATTAGCTATTAAAGGTATTTGAAGAAACTATAGGTATAGTGGTGAATACTCGCTGATATGAATCCCAGAAAAAAATTTCCTGTTTTTAATGTTCTTTTCAATCCCATCTAGATAATTTATAGAAATATAACCCTAATTGGACATGTGGTACAGGATCTATAAGTTGCTGTGTTTTTTTGTTACTCTGTATTTTGTTCCTTTTGGTAAGGTGAAGTGTGTCCAAAGAGTTACTTGCAACAGTCTTTCATGATATGAGGATGCCCCCGTATTACCACTCTGATTATAGTTCTGAGTTCTTTGATTTACTCATGCTGCATGACAAAATGTTTACTAATAACAATTCATTATAAAGTTATATCCCTCTTTACATCACTTATCTTTCTCACTGAGGTTCATTCACTGGAATTTACTCACGCAATCTCAGTAGAGTACAACGTAGATACAGAACCTAGGAGAGTCAACATCTGGAGGATTTTAGTCTTTCTTACACATATGTGTGATTTTAAACGAATATTCTCAGACCACAGGAAACTCTTCATCCCCCTGTTGTTTACCAGTAACAGTATATCACAGACCTTTCCAAATGTTTGTATATGTAATCAGATGTACATTTATATTGAAAAACAAATGAGATGGACTTAAAGAGCACATCCTGATAAATACTTTCTCTCTCACCTGTACTATATTTCTATTAGACTAAAGTTATGTGATTTTTTTTTTACATTTTTTCAGATGACTAGCAATTTTGATAGTTTATAAGATAATGCAAAGAACTTTCTCTGACAAACTAACTGCAGTAACAGAAACCTTTCTTTTCAGTTACTCTTTTTCAAGAATGAAAGATTATTATACAAAAAATTGTATACTACTTGATGGAACCAACTTTGTACATCTTGGCCATGTCACTGGTCATTGTGTGAAATAAAGATAATCTGGATAATGACTATTAGTCCAATGCTAAGAAACATGATCTTTGCTCATTAAAGAGCTAAAATGTTTATTGCTGTTTTGTCTTTCTTTTTTCTAAAAAAAGAAAAAAAAGAAAAAAAGGAAAAGAAGAACAAAGAAACATGACTGTCTCAAAGAGTAATTTTTCTAGATTAGACCAGTCAGGTTTTTGAAGACATATAGGTAACTTCCACAGAAAACACAAACATGTATTTAAAGGCAAGTCTCATCTAAGATGAAACTCATAAAAATTATTTAATGTTTGTTATGAATTTAAAAGCTCCAGAAATCCATGAAAAAAAGAAAGATTAGCTTTGTGTTGTTAAATATCTCTTAGGTACAGATGTTGTAGAAATAAAGTGCCAATTGTTTTCAGTTAGTTAGAAAAACAAGTTCCAATTCTAGTCATCAAGGAAAAGGTCTATTGAAAAGAAATTTGCAATATTTCATGGAATACAAATAACTAGGTTCATAAAATGGGGGTGATTAAACTACCATAAAGTAATGAATAGAAAGTTGCCATGCTAAGAGAATGTAAAAGTGCTGAGCAAGATATTAAACTGACACTAAAAGATAAAAATCTATTTCAAGGAATTTATGTGATTATAATCCCCCCTCCCAATTATTATCTATCAAAGAAATGTAGGTATTCCTCCATAATTAAAAAAAAGTCTCTGTTAGAAGCAAAAGTCTTCAAAATCCAGAGTGATCTACATACAGCTTTTGACTGAGGTGGTTATGCTTTTCAACTGTGAACTGCCAGTGTACACAAATACAAATAATTGTTTAGCATCTGAAGTATTGTTCAATTGGAACACTGTATTTTACTGTATTAATTAAACAAAACACAAGAACAGAATAGAAATGACAACAAAATAAGATATGAATGAATACTTTCATATGCATTGCTTCATTTGGCAAAACCAAACATTCTATTAAATAGTATGTTTTAACGATGGCCATATTTATATCATCTACCTACCAATCTATTGCTCTGCATTTATCAATCTGCCTATATATAGCATAACTGTCACCCTCTTTATATTAATTTAGGAAAATGATTGAGGAAAACAAAGCATAGCCCTATTAATTATTTTCTCTAAATTAGGGTAGAATAACTTTATGGAAGATAAAGCAGCCTAGGTTTAATTGTTGTTCACCAGTCACGTGATAAAGTCATTGTGAATGAGTGTTAGTTGCTAGTTTTATAATTGCAGTCTCTAGTTTCTGAATGAAAAAGGATGCCCCACATTATACAGAACATTAAGAACTGTTTTTAAAGCTGAAACATAATCTTTATATGCAAGAAAAATAAATACTGTTACTCAATTTTAGCAAATATGTTTAAAATGTATTTATTTAGATAATTTTCTTTGAAAAACAATGTAAGTAACAAAATTAAAATAATATTTTTGGCATTATTTGTTAATTCAGATTTTCCTGCCTCCGATTAAAAATTAGGCAAAGCTGCTTATAATTTATACAAAGATTACACTAAAATGAACTTTATTTCATTGTTTTGCTGTTATATAAAATTTTTACCAAATGTTTACCAAGAGATTAATGTTTTAGAGTATGAGGATAGAAAAATAAAAGTGACAGATTTCATAGTTTTAAATCTCTACTGAACATGTTGACTATGAACAAAATCTAATTGGCTACCACAGATATATAACAAAGTTTATTACTAACTTTATGCAAATTGGAAAATAATTTGCTAAAGCATTAAAAATGTCAGATTTGTAGACGTCTTGCTGGCAACTCAAAGCAGAAAATCTGAGTATATATTATTTTATTCCTCATTTCAAATATAAAAGTTGACCAAAGTGATGCTTTATTTCCGACTTCCTGATCTGTATGTGAAAACAGCAACATTTTTTTAAAAATTATCAAGTATATATAATATTAAAAAGAGGAAAACAGATGGCACTAATTTTCTTACAGGAGTGAAGTGCTGAAACTAAATTGTTACATCTGTAACAACAGTTATTTCACCTCTTGCCACACTCATCCTGACATACGTATTAATATCAAAAAATGATACAAAGAATATGAGAAATGTGTTCCAGCATTAAAGACACTACTACATAGAAATTACTGGGATTCTTTTCTTTGGCGAGTTTCACTGAAATAGTTTCACAGGATGAAATGATGAATTGAATTCTTAAGAAGCTGTCAAATATGGCAGTCTTTTGATGTTAGTAATTTTGTTTTCTTCTGTGTTATTGGTTCAAAGTACTGGCCTTTTCCTTCATTTCCAGTAATTAGTTGTTATAGACTATCACTTTTTAATGTGAGTGGAAATTAGATGATTTGGTTATACTTGTGAAAACATGCTTCCAAATAAATTCAATTAATGGGCACTTCCCTGCTGAGATTTTGTTATCATTCATTTGATTATCTTGTCAAGCTTTACTGTTACGACAAATGTTTTAGCTTTCTGGTCAATAGACTAAGGGAATTTCTCCAGTAGCCTTATACCTCTCCTGCACTTGATCTGATAGCAACATACACTTCAAATTTCCATCAGAAGTCTCTAAAGAAATTTCCTACTGCTATGAAACATTTGGTGGCCAACTTGATTCTTTTTCATAAGCATTCTGATTTGATTTTATTCTGGCACGTTGCTGTATTTGGATGCAGGCCAGAAATCAATTCCATTTGATAAGGGTTGTGGAGAATACAGACTGGAATAACCGTGTGCAGGGCTTAAGTGCCTTTTCCTCCTGAGATTTTATTTATAAAACTTAGCTTTTTTAAATTTTCAGATTCAGATAATTCAATTTAAAGAGTACAATAGGATGACTATATTATAAATTACCAATAAAGAAAGTTTATTTGGACATTTTTACATTTAATTTGATTTTTAAAATAATATCAGATGCATCTAAATGGCTTCCGGGAAAGACTGAGGTAAATTTTTGAAAGTGACAATTATATAGGCATCTGACTTGATGGTACTTAAGAATAAAAATTTAAATCTCTAGCAAACTTTAAAAATTGTCCAAATAGTAAGTTTAATTTGAAAGAAGTCTGAAGCTATTAGAGAAAATCATGTACTAGATAGGTATATATTTTTTTCTAGTCAGCTATTACGTACACCACATAATATATATACCCTATATACTATATGGTTTATATAACATTTATAATGGCCCTTTCAGACCCATATACTTACAAATGACATTGTATAACTACCTACATATGTATTAATGTGACAGAATTTAGTCCTTTATGGAAAGTCAAACCAAATTGCTAGCAGTTTTGAGTTGAAATGAATGATAACAATTAAAGCTTTTAAGAAATTGGTAAAGGTACCGTAACAAAAACTCAGCAGATAAATTTAAAAGAGAGGGACCATTTTTGAATGCCATTTTCAGAGTTGACATCTAAACTAGATGGTGTGTTTAAAAGGATTTTAGTGGTTTTGATTCATCCTTTCTCTGCATTCATATCATTTAGCAAATTAATGGGACATATGTCATGGTTTTTGTAAAAAAGACCATTGGGTTGTCATGATTCAGTTTGTGTTTGGACATCTATGGCTTTCATTAAAAACGTGTTTATTATCATGAATAAATATTACCATGTTTTCCAAGTTGTGTTGACTATTTTTAAACTCAGAAATAATTTCTTCTCTATTTGTCTCACACAAAAAGGTTACTAAGATAAGTGTTTTCTTACAAAGTCTTTGTATTGCTTCCACACTGCTGACAGTTCTGACTTGATAGAAACAATGACATTTTATGATCTTTTCACCTCTTGGTGAATGCAGGGCAAGAATTTAGAGAATAGATTTGGGGAGCTGGACACAACTTTTCAGAAAAGAGAGAGGAAAGTGGGAGAAGGAAAAAGAAAAGAATGGAAAAAGGAGGAAGTGAGAGAGAACAAAAAGGAAGAAAAACTTCTCAATTTTAAATTAATGACTTTTTGCATCCAAATAGTGCTTTAAATAGAGATGTGTGACAGTTTTTTAAAAAGAAGGGCAAAGGAATTTAAATAAATCCCTTTAAATCATAAATCTATTATTCTTAGAGAACAAAATTAATAATATCTAGGAAGATATCTTAAATTTAATTCTTGATCCAAGTCTTGATCAAATCATGTCACTGGAAACAATTAAAAATAAAATCTATACTGAAATATTTATGGTTTTGTACTATCTAATCAATAATGATATTGGTAGGAAGACTATGGGAAGTAAGATAATCTCTCATCTGTATATAGCCCAAGATAAGAATACAGCAAAGAGGACATCATATAATTTCCTCATACATAGCCTAAAGATAAATGTTTCCAATGGCTGAATAAAAGAATTAGCATTGCTTTACAAGTCTCTGTGGTCACATATGGCCATGGGCACCTAATAAATTAAACAGTTAAAAAACATATTCTAACAATTTCACTTTCCATAAAAGGGTTTTGATGTTTTGTAAAATTTGGTGTTGTTTGATATGATTACTTTTTCACTAGTTTTGTATTTCCTTATGGTTTGTAGGATGTTATTTCTGAGTTCAAAAAAAGTTTCAAATATACTCGTGAATGTTCATGTGAAAGCAGTATTTTCTAATGGAATGCTATAATTTGAAGTACTGTCTCAATTTTGGAGAGTTGATTGACTATCTAGTTAAAACTTTTCTATCTCCCCTGAAAATACTCAACTTTGCTCTCAGAGCTGCCTTCCTCTGCACTACAGGGGATCTTCTTACCAGTCACTGTGGCTCCTGTTTCCATGGCCTATCCTATTACTAGTTATGACCTCTTCTCCAAGGGGGTAAAGTTGTGCTGAAAGTCTTAAAAGGTGATCTAACCAACTGGTGCCTTGGGAATTGGCTTCCTCTGCTCCTCAGGCAGGTTAGAAGCTAGTGAACATCAATCAAGCAATGAAAGAAATTAGTCATTTCTTCTTTCAACAAATGTTGTCTACTATGGGTTAGGCAACATAATGGGTGTTAAACACGTGGCCAATTCTATGACTTACTAACATACAACTATTGTCAAGTTTGGAATAGGTCCAAACACATGGACTGATTTAGACCACTTTCTATGCTATACTCTGTAGCAAATCACTGTACAATTCCTTGTTTTGTCTATTTCACATGTCTCAAAATAGTAAATACAAATCAATATTTCTTGAGTTCAAAAAAAATTAGTGAATTCTATTGAGCCAGTTCACCAGTTAAGGTATGTAGCAGACATCTTTCCAAATAATAAATACAGCCTATCTGAAGTCATGCTATAGTATGCCAATTCAAATTTCATGGAATATGAAATTTCCAGCATAAATCTCATCTGATCCAGCCCCATAAGTGGTTCCTTAATCCTTTGCCACAACCTCAACATGTAATTGTGAAGCCTATCATTGAACACTGCCATGGGTCTGAATTCTAAAACAGCTGGCTGCATTTTGGACTATTTGGGATGTCTTCTTTATATTGATTTCTTGCTCTTTTTTTTTCTTTTTATAGCCACACCGTCTTCATCGCCTGAATTGATCTCAAATATTTAAAGATGGCTTTCATATCTTCCATGAGTTATTTTCTCCTGAAAGCAAAAAATCCCACTTGAAATACAAAATAGTTCAGTCTTTTCACAATTCTAATCACTGTTCTCCAAATTTGCTCCCAAGCCTAAGTTTCTTAGAAAGTTTAATGTCTAGGATTGACCATAATAAACACTTACGTATAGTTCATCTCTGCCTAACAGAGCTCCACTATCAACTTCCTCATTACACAAAGTATATTTATTTTAATATAACTTGCAATACTATTACATTCTTTGTTGGCCATAGCATACTAGTAATTCAGATTGAGATGTACTTTCTACTAAAACTTTAAAAATTCTAAATGCACTATTGTTAAGCAAATTCTGTCTTTCTACTGCCCTTGATCATTTGAGTTTTATTGTATGTTCAGGATATTAAATACTATTAAATTCTACCTCATTAGGTACAGCACTACAGCCTATGGAGACCTATCTATCCACCTCAGAGTAAGGAAATCAACAAAGATGATAAACTTCTATCTTCATCCAAGTCACTAACAAAAACTACCATGCAGAATCAGGTTGAGGATAAATCTCCAGAATAATAGTAATAGAGACAGTGTGTAAAGTACTGACAAAAGCAAAAGATGACAATTACTAAGCCCTTTTATGTTCCAGATTCTGTATCACACTCCACAACAAACTCCCACATACCACCCTCGAAATATCTACTAATACTTGTTGATGTGCTTATTCACTAATTCGTTGTTTAAAAGATTATTATTAAGCATCTATTATATATGAGTTACTGAGCTACTTGTTAATGATAGAAAAGTGAATAAAATGTGGCTCCGTTTCTCACATTACTAGCAGCCAACTGATTACTCTTCCTCTTTTCTACACACACAGCACAAAAGACACAATCAGATGTATTTGCAGGATATATTTTTTTCCCATGTAAAACATTTGCCTGACATCATAGTCATCTTTAGTAAGAAAACTGGGATAATTACTCTAAACTTTCTATTTGGGAATTTCTGGGTTCCTGGTGCATTATATTAAATGTTAGAAGATATAGAAAAATAATTCTCACACCAATCACCTGTCATAATTAAGATGTGAATTTAGGCCAGTCAAGTGTTGTCTTAAAGTGGGATTCCTTGTATGAAAAAGTAATACATACATAAGATAAAACAAAATATTTTAAAGTGAAAAGTAAACATCTCTCTTACTACAGATTCTAATCCCTTAGTCTTTTTCCCCAGAGACATTGACTCTCACCAATTTGCATATAAATCTCTACAAATATGTCATTCATGTGTAAACATGTAAAAGTGTATTGTCTGTGTATGTACGTGGGGGCACTTTATATATATATATGTATGTATATATATGTGTATATATATATGTATGTATATATATGTGTATATATATATATGTATATATATATATATACATATATATTCTTTTTTTAAATTTATCTGGAAATGTTCCATGTGAGGATACTACATGTCAGCTCTGAGGAGAAAATAGAAGATAAAAGTAAGTTTCAAATTTCTCCTTAAATTCACGGCTATTCCAATCAAAATTTCAACACTGTTTGTTTGTTTACAGACTTTAGGTGAGTAAGGGTCAGGAATAGCCAAGATTATTTTGAATCAAAAGAATCAGCAGCAAAGACTTTGTCTACCGTATTTCATGAGTTACTATAAAGCTATTGTAATCAAAACAGTGTTATATCAATTCAGAGACAGACCAGTGTAGGATAACATTGAACCCATAAACAGATCTATGAAGAAAGGGGAACATGGCATATAAATGGAAATACAAATCAAGAGAAAAGAGAGATGCCTCAGCTAACAATATCCCTATGTCATACTAGACACAAAAATCAATCCCAGACAAATTAAAAATATAAACATAAAAGCACATTTTAAATGTCTCAGAATACATAGGAAAACATTGTCATGTCCTCGAAATAGGGAAGAATTTATTAACAAGACATAAAACAGCATAAACAATAAAGAAAACGAATAACAAGTTAAAATTAAAATGTTAATACATCAGATAATGAGTTTTTTTAAATGACTATAAGCACATATTGAAAGTAAGTATTTGCAACACATATAAGCAATGAAAGATTAATTAATATGAGTGGATAGAAAATTCCTGTAGTTTAAATAAGGAAAGGACAAATTCACAAGGAAAATAGAGCTGATTAAATACTGGGAATAAAGGACATGTCTGTTTTTTCCCTGTTGCTGATTCTCACAAAAATGTAAGGAGAGGACTGAAAAATATATAAACTTATCAGAACAAAAAGAATAGAAAAAGAGATAACAGGTAAGAAGTTCTGACAAGTTTTTGAGAGAGAGAAATTAGATAAACTAAAAAACCTTAAGAATATAATACAACCTATGAAATAGCAACATAAATCAGAATTAGAAAAGTTAAAAGATGCTTTAATAAAACTCAAGAAAGAATTATAAATAAAAGAAAAAATAATTTTTTAAATTAAGACTAAATTAAAGGAAATGCAGACCAAAGAATGCTTTAAGAGACATAGAAAAATTTTCAAAAAGAAATGGGAATAAATAGTAAAAAGTAGAAAAAATCTAAAAAGTTTCAAAAAAGAAGGAATAGGGGATGTGAGCTGAGGGGGAGAGGAAGGGAGAAATAAGAAAAAAAATCAAGCATAAGTGATAAGAAGATAGAAAAAGAAGACTCAATATGCATGTATATGGAACCTTCGAAAAAGAAAACCAAAACAAGGAAACACAACAAATACAATGAAAGCTGTAATTCAGGAAATCTTTTACAATACAACAGAAAAAAATTTGATGTCACATTTTCAAAAGGCACACTGAATATATGAAATAACTGATCAAAAATGACCAACATCAAGACATATGCTAATAAGTTTAATGACTATCAAAGAAATAATATAAGCATTCACATCTAGCTAAAATCACCAAATCTCTTAAAATGAAGACTCTTTTGTTATATAATTAGATCATCATCAGACTTCAAAGACAACGCTTTATGCCAGTAAAAATTAAAGTAACATACAAAAGATAAGACGTTAGAATGTAAGCAAGTTATTTTTATATTCAGCCATAAGCTAACTTTCCTACAAGTATGAAGGGCATGGACAAACTGTTATTGGCATTAAAGAACTCAGGGAATATTGTTACCATGAACGCCTCCTGAGAAATTTACCAGAAAAAGACCTGTAGACAAACAGAAGGGTGACATGGATATAAGGACTGATAATGGGCACTAAATACCAGAGAGCTAACACTAAATGAGGGCTATATGGTGGAGTACAGTATAAACTTGTTACATGTTCTGATAATGAAGACACGGTACAGCTATAAGAAATATGAAGGTAATAGAAAAATCATAGGTAAAAATTGTCATTACTTTCAATAATCATATTTACAGTGGTAGCAGTGCTGTTGCTACTCTGAAACTGCTTTATGTGTAACACAGAATACAGCAAAGAGGGATATTGTGATATGCTAATTGTATCATCTCCACCGTCTTTGAGAACCAGCACTCTTAATGTGGAAGAAAGGATATTCTGAATCAGAGTAGAAGAGGTTAAGTAAAAACCCACCTTATTGTTTCGATTTTAAAGTGTAACTATCAGAATGAACACTTTAAAAAAAGTTATGCAAACTATGATCAAGCTAGTAGCAATGAGCATCCTTAAGGACCAGATTGTGGTTTTAAAAGAACATTTCTTACTGTAAAAAATTCACCACGCACACAAACACACATAGAAATAGAGGTCTGGGGAACAAACCATAGAAGGTGAACCTGGAACATTTTGTCAAAGACTTCTAGGAATATATCTAAAGGACAGAGGAACCAATACAAAGATGATCTCACTATCTAAAGATACGACAGTGTGAGCATCAATAAGGATAATTTCAATTAATTGAAAATAAATCCAATTTAAATTCTAAAGTGAATAATAATTAAAAAGAAAACATCTACCACTTATGGCAGATAATTGGAATATAATTCATTGTTTTGAAAATTCATAAGTAAAAAGAACAGTTAAATATTTTGTCCTGCCATTCCTCCACCAACTATACAGCAAGGTAGCCAAATGGTAGATGAGAATTTACTCTTTGTAGAAGTTATTTCAGCTAATAAAAGAAGGAATTGTTGTATTATAATTTCAGTTGTCACTTGTTTTATTGCTCCCAATGAATCAGTGGATCTAGGTATTAAGCATCACAAAATTAGAAATAATGAGTTATCATGTGTCTCCTGGATAGATGTACACAAGATTACCTCAGAAAAGGCTTGCACCCAAAACCAAACCTGTGTATGATGGAAGTCTCTAGGTTCAACTGTCAGAAAATACATAGGTACAGGAAGTACATCAAAGAAGCATGTTAAATTATACCATGGATATGAAATCAGAAAAATTCACACGATTTAAAATTTTCCCAGTTTAATTTTCTTGTATCCTCAATAAATAAATTGCAAGAAAAAAAACACAGTGAGAAAATATGTAGATTTTTAAAAACTTACAAATACTTTTTAAAAAAGTTCTGCTTCAGGAAGAACGATTCAGTAATAAAATTATAAAGGACAGCAAGATGGGGTAACCTAAAATAGTGTTGATAGATCACAGAGGAAATAAGCTGTGACTGAGATGGTGCATGTGGAGGTTTTTTTTGCAGTGGCTTGCAAAGTGCTATCTCTTAATCTGGGTGTTTTTTACCTGAGCCTTTTCCTTATGATGATGTTTTAAACCAAACATTTACTTCATGATGTTTTTCTGTACCTGGATTATATTTTACAATAAAATAAATAGGATTGTAATAAAATTAATAATACACGACAATGTTGCAGACTTAAAGAACATGAGTTTATTAATTGAAAGGACCCGCCAACTGCCCAGTGTAATGGATGAAAAAAACACCTGTGAAAGCATACCATCACAAAATGTCATGACTTCAGAAAAAAGAAGAAAAGTTTCAAAGCTTCCTCAGAGGAACAAAAGGAATTCTCAACGTCAGCTCTGGAAGCTAGAAGAAATTGGATAATATTTTTGAGAAAGAATTATGATCAACCTATAGAATTTTATATTCAAACAAAATATAAGTTCACTGTATCAGTCCACAAAGGCATAGATTCAGGGGTGAGAGGAAATAAAAAACCAGGATTGCTGCTCAGGAGACTAGAGAACAGCTCAGAGTGTGAAGCTGGGGAGTTGTAGAAAGAATATCTATACAATAAAATTAAAACTGACGTATTTCATCATGTGGAAAAAAGTGTTATTTGTATAGATTTTACAATTTTTTTTGCTAAATTTGGAAAGAACATAGAAAACTACACAACAAAATCAAAACTATTAATGCAGAGAAAAAGAGAAAGTACTACAAGAAATGGAATGTAATCTTTGGATATATATTTGTGCACATGAATGTAAGTACAGATAATTCTTCCAAATAGAAAGTTTGGAAAAAGCATATTTTAAGGTTTTTATCTACCAATTTACTAATTGATTTAAAAAGATGTTATTCAAATTTACATTCCACAAACAGTGTATTAAAGTATCTATTTCCCTACCCTCTAACCAAAAATCAGTGTATCAATTTTTTATATTTTCCATTTCAATATAAATGTAATATCATTATTGTATTAATTTGCATGTTTAAATTGAGGTAAAACATCTTTTCTTATGCTTATAAGCCATTGTATTTCTTTTTATATTAGATGTATTCCTTTACTTTGTATATTTTTTCTATTCGTTTATTAATCTCTTCTTATGAAATTATAAGAGTTCTCTATAGACAAATAAAATCAGTACTTTTGGTCATGTGTGTTGTAAATAATTTTGCTCAACTTTTCTTTGAATTTTATGTTATTTTGTGCTAGGCAGAAAATTTTTTCTTGTGTTCAATTATTGAAATATATCAGTGTTTCCTTTGTGTTTTTTCTGAGTTTTGTTTCTTGCATACAAAGACCTTCCCCATTTCAATACTTATTTTAATTCATTCATTTTTTTTTCTGTATGGACAGCCTCATTGTTTATAGTTAAATCTTTGATCCACCTAAAAGGTACATTGAGATAACTAGTAAGAAGGGGATTGAGGTTTATTTTTTTCCCAGATAAGGTTTTAATACAATTCAGACCTGACTTAAGTGGATTGTGTTTTATTGTAAAGCTGAGGACTTTTTATTTTCAGCTACTGAAATCTGTAAGACTGTAGAAGAGCAGGATGCTAGCCAAGCCACATAAGGTTTATTACTACTTCTAACCATCTTCTTACATGCTTACAACTAAGACCTGCCCTCTTAGTATGTGACACCCAATTCCAAACACTATCCCAAAGAGTAAAATTATCCAGCCAGTGAAAGGAAGGCTCTCTGACTTACAAAAACAATCTGTACATATATTTACATCAACAGATCATATTTTTAAAAAAACTCAACACTAAAATAGCTTAAGAATAACAAGTTTTCTCGGCCCTATAATCAAAAGACAATCAATGGAAAGAAAATAACTATGATGGTAAGTGTATATTGATCTAGGTTGGAGTCAAAAAAGGGCAACAACAACAGAAGTATACCTTCACCTGCACCTGGACTCACAGACCTAAACCAAATGCCTCACAGATGCTGTCATAAGATTGCCAGTGATTTCCACCAAGTAACGTACATGAAAGACTACAGTAGTTGTCTTGGCATTTTAAAAATACCCTACTTGGTGGTCTTGGGTTGCTTCCCAGCTTGTATAGTAATAGAATAGGCAGTCCTCTGATTCTTTTTTTTTTTTTTTTTTGGTTGCTTAGAAAGTTCTAATTTAAGTGTTTGCATCATTTCTTCATCCGTTGTCCAAGATTTCTACTGCATCTGTGGTTTTCTGGTCATCATTTTTTGAGACAGGCTCTTGGGGCTTATACTCTGCTACATGAATTATTTATGTACATTTTTGCTCTAATCCTTAAAGGGCCTAGGAACAAGAAAAAAATGTTTAAAATGTAATAAAAGGCTCCACATTACAGTTGAATATTTTAACAGAAACTATTTTTGTTCAGATTCCTATGAAGGCTTTTAGCAAAGATAAATGAGCTTATGCCATAAAGCTATGCATGTTTTGAAAAGTGATAAAAGGTTAATTGGGTACCGTGTAAGCAAGAGTTTATATCGAGAAACCCTTTAGTTAGTTGGTGGTCAAGTATATTTAACAAATGTTTATATATCTTATGTCTATATCAAGTTGCCATTCTACACGAAGACTACACAGTGTTCTTAGAAACAAAACAAAAGAGCTTAGCAATGTGTGGACAGTTTTCAATAAAAAATTTGGGAGGAGTTGGGTGAGGGATGAGTTAGAAGGAGAGAACTGAGCTGTCTAGCAGACGTGAAAAGATGTGTTAAAGAAGACGATCTGTAAGTATTTTTGCCTCTGGCAAACAAAAGCTGCCTTCAATAATAAGCGCATATGTTTGTTTCAAGGACTATAAAACCATGAAAAAGATTAAGGGCCCTAGTAATTAGGGCTGAAGCTGAAAGAATTATTATTTGCAGAGAAAAACCTTAGGAGGGAAGAAGGAGTCCTGAAGATAACATTGATCAGTAAGAGTAAATCTTGACAATTTCCTCTGGAATTTTCCACAGTCCCAATCCCATGTTAAACTACATTTTCTTCTCACCAAATACCAAGAAATATAAAACTATAGATTTATATACATGTAGCATGGAGGGAACTACGCTCTCCTACCAGGAAATATACCCTTCGTTCTTTGCTATGTAGACCAGCAGTACGGTAAAGTGGAGTGGCAATTTGAAGTTCCTGAGATTTTTTATTCTCTTATAAGAATTCAGCCTTAAAGATCTTGGCCAAATCAAATAATCACACTTTTGTATATCAGAAAAGAAGATCTATCAAGTTGCATTTGCCCAACTAAGGTGACTTAATTACAAAGGCAACCTTCCACCTAGTTTTGTCTGCACTAGCCTCTATGCAAAAATAACATTTCACTGCAAATCCAGTGTTTCCTGTTTACCTTCATCACTTCTGCTCTCCACAGCCCCCAATCTTTCTTTTCTTACTTGCAAACTTTTCCTGTCCTTTCTCTTTGCATTCACCACCTAGCCTTTCTTAAGGTATAGCCTTTAGCTTTACTCCTGAGTGTGTTTTCATCACTGTTGAGTGTGTTTTCATCACTGTCCTCTGTAGCACTCATGAAAATTTCTTGTGGTAAAATCTCTCTCAATTAGACTAGATTTGAGGAATATCCTTCCCATGTGCCCCATATCTATTTCATATGGATTCTTCTCTTCATTAATCCCCACTGCCATTTCATACTTTCAAACCCTCATCCACTCTTACCTAGATGTTAAAATAGCCTCCTACCAGGTCTCAAAAATCCTGTATGACCCAGCTGCTGTTTGCACCCAATTCCTTATTCTCTTCCTATGTAGCCTGGACTCCAACAACAAAGAAACTGCCTAGAGTTCCTCAAATGCATTGTGATCTTGATCTCCCTGTTCTGGGTATATGCATGGATTTCTTTATTTTCCCTCTCTTTCCTTGGCCAACTCAAAGTAACCCCTCAGGACAGGACTCAGCTAAGATGACGTCTCTGCTTGGGTAGCCCTCTCTGCTTTTTGTGACTCCTAGGCTACATAAAATCTTGACTCTCTTTTTTTTCTGCCACAATATAAATCACATTTTATTTTAATTATCTGTTTCTCAGTACCCCCTCAAGGCTACAAACTCCTTGAAGTCAGGAACTATCTCATTTGCTGTTATTCTCTCTATGCCCACGGCTCAGTTCATATTTGGAGGAAAAAAGTGGCATGTAGAGTTTCTAAAAATATCTTGACTTTGCTACCCCCATGATTTTTCTCATGCTATTCTTTTTGCCTAAATTTTATCCTTTCCAATTTATTCTCTCCCCAGCCCTATGTGCATGCCTTAGTCTATTAAATCCTACTTATTTTTCCACCAGTTTCAGGTGTCTCTTCTATGAGAATTCCCTCATGATACCCACTAGAACCGATCTGAATTCCCACTCTTCTATATCCTAATCATGTAGCATGAATCACTCACTGCTTTGTAATATGCTCAATCTCTGTTTTTACTCCCACACTAGATGGATTGAAAACTAGAAACTATGTTTTAAAATCTTTGTATTTCTCATGTTATCTATCACAGTGTTTTGCAGAGTTGGTGGTTAATATATACCGAATGAATTATTGTGAAATAATTTCTCAAAGCTATGAACTTCTCTGTGTTTTATCAAGAAAATGTTCAGTCATAGCACGTTTTCCCCCTTGTGAATCTCTTCATCTTTCCTATTCCAACAAGGAAGTATATGATCTATTTCTACATATTTCCCTTGGAGCACTGCAGCAGAAATCTTTCTGAAGATGAGGTGGGAGCAATAGAGATGCGTGAATAATTCTGTTTGGTATAGGTGAAATTGTAATTGGAATTCACATCTCTTCTGCTGCTGTTTCAAAGTCTCAAAGATCTCCAGGAGGAACTCTTTTCTCCTCTACCTAATAGCAATGTGGAGATATATGTCATTTTTTACATTCTTTTCTCTCATCACCAACATGACCAAAGCCCTACCTCCCATCCTTAGAGACCTTAGCTCAAGTAAGACATTATTTGTGACGTCTTCTCTAGTTTCTCTAAGCTGAAAACATTCACTTCCAGCCCTGCATACACATAGTATTATATCTATATCTCTATGACAGTCAACTCTCTCGGCCTCATGTTTCAGTAAACATTTATGTCCAAGTCTTGTTCCCCT
Organism: Homo sapiens; assembly: GCF_000001405.40. NCBI lineage: Eukaryota > Metazoa > Chordata > Mammalia > Primates > Hominidae > Homo > Homo sapiens. The sequence continues at coordinate 174,298,325 of NC_000003.12, forward strand.
TCCAGAGTATAAGTTCCCAGAGGGCAAAATTTGTTCCTGGTTTCTCTATTTCCTTTTACCCATAGAAAAGTACATCCTTTTCTATGTACATATGTGTTCTCTCACTTATATATATGTTAAATGGTATACAACATATACATAAACAATATGTAGTCTGGGTGCAGTGGCTCATGCCTGTAACCCCAGTGCTTTGGGAGGCCGAGGAGGGAGGATTGCTTGAGGCCAGGGGTTCAAGACTAGCCTGGGTAACCTAGAAAGACCCTTCTTCTCCAAAAAAAAATTTTTTAATTAGCTGGGCTTGGTGAGGTGCGCCTGTAGTTCAGTCCTAGCTATTTGGGAGACTGAGGCAACAGGATTGCTTGAACCCAGGAGTCTGATGTTACCATGAGCTATATTCAGGCCACTGCGTGCCAACCTGGGCAGCAGAATGAGACCTTGCCTCTAAAGGCAAAAAGAGAGAATATGTATATAAATATGGTATATACATGTAGTACCCCTATTTATATCTTTGGAGTGGAACTAGTATCTATATTAAGCCAGTCTGTTCAACTGTAAAAGTGATAATATGAGATTGATTGATTGATGCTATTAGAGCCTAGATTATTGTACCAACTTATTTTAGTACCATTATCCTCCCTCCTAAATTGTAACAAAATGCTCAAATAGAATTTTGGTTCTATGTCTTAGATAGCCCTTCTTCCCAAAGACTTCCCTGATCCCTCAAGATTTTATATAGTTTTCATCATAATTTCAGAGCCATAATTATAGCATATTGTAGCTACTCACTTATTTGACTGCTTTGTCCTTGATTTCCTTGAGGGCATGGACTGCATCATAATATTGACTTTTGTGTTTACACTGCTTAGGAAGACAGCTATGGTAGACAGAATAATACCACCACTGCCCTTCAAAGATGTCCGCATTCTAAACCCTGGAACTTGTGCGTATATTATCTAACATGGAAGAAATGACTTCAGATGCCATTGTTAAGAATATTGAAATGGAGAAACTATCCTGGATTATCCAGGTGGGCCCTAAATGTAATCACAAGGGGTCTTATAAGTGAACGAGAAGCAAGAGAGTCAAAGTTGAAGAAGGTTATATAACTACAAAAGCACAGGTTGGAAGAATGTGTTGCTAGTTTTAAAGATGGAAGGGGTCTGGCATGGTGGCTCATGCCTGTAATCCCAGCACTTTGGGAGGCCAAGGTGGGTGGATCATGAGGTCAGGAGTTTGAGACCAGCCTGGCCAACAATGCTGAAACCCCGTTTCTACTAAAGATACAAAAAATTAGCTGGGCGTGATGGTGCGCACCTATAATCCCAGCTACTCGGGAGGCTGAAGCAGGAGAATCACTTGAACCCAGGAGGCAGAGGTTGCAGTGAGCCGAGATTGCGCCATTGCACTCCAGCCTGGGTGACAGGGCAAGACTCTGTCTCTAAATAAATAAATAAATAAGATGGAAGAGAGCTATAAGTCAATGAATGTGAGTAACACCTAGAAAGTGGAAAAGGCAAGAAAATGGAGTTCCCTCTTGAGCCTTCAGAAGGGAAGCAGCTCTGCCAGCACCTTGATTTTAACCAGTGAGATTCATTTTGGACTTCTGACCTCCAGAAGTGTAAGATAATAAATGTGTTGTTCTAATCTCATGGTAATATACCAGCAATAGAAAACTGACACAACCATCAACACATGGCATGTGCTCCATAAACATCTGTTCAATTAAAGAACCATTAGATATTAGGCCTGAAAAATATCTGATAGAATTAATGGTTGTATGTAACTATTGAGGGTGATCCTGAGGGAGAAGTACAGGTAAAGAAAAATTACATATTTCCTACCTGAAGGTGGGCCTGAAAAAAATGTGTAGGAAACACACACAGAGAGAGAGAGGGAGAATGAAAGAGAGAGAGAAACTCTAATTTTCTGGCTTAGATAATAGGAATGGATTTTTCTGGAATGGATAATAGGAAATATATAAAGAATATACTTATATACTCCTAATTTTGGACATGTTTGATAATAGGGTCTCTATGGAACAACTGGGTAGAGGCAATGTAGGAGACAATAGAAATTTTGACTCAGGAAATCAGGGGACATACAGTGTAACCCAGTAGCCTTGATATATGAGGTTAGAACAGAAAATAGCTGGAGATAAGACTAGAAAGGCAGTGTGATGTTTCTTAAATGCCAAGGGAAGCCAAACCCAATGCTTTAGAAAGAGGTTGAGAAGAAAATTGAGGGTATTTGAGCTGGAAAAAATGTAATCAAGCTGATGCTTTAAGATTAATCTGGCAACCTTAAATAAAATGGATTGGTAAAAAGGAGGACAAAGCCAGAAACACCATTTAGACTTTAGAGATTACTTTCAAAGACTATCTCGTTTGATCCTCACAGCAATTTCATGAGGCAGGTAAGACAAAGCATTATCAAAGCCTATTTTTGTATCATCATAATTCCACTTGTATCATATTGATGACTAGTTTAATCTACATTTAAAGCATTACATACAATTTGTAATAGACTTAACTTTTTACTGTTCTAATCAGTGTATTAAGATGCTTGGTCAAATTTCTTGCCCCTAGTGTTCAGAGATCATTTGTTAAAAGAAAATCAGGGCCGGGCGCGGTGGCTCACGCCTGTAATCCCAGCACTTTGGGAGGCCGAGGCGGGCGGATCACGAGGTCAGGAAATCGAGACCATCACGGCTAAAACGGTGAAACCCCGTCTCTACTAAAAATACAAAAAATTAGCTGGGCGTAGTGGCGGGCGCCTGTAGTCCCAGCTACTCTGGAGGCTGAGGCAGGAGAATGGCGTGAACCCGGGAGGCGGAGCTTGCAGTGAGCCGAGATCCCGCCACTGCACTCCAGCCTGGGCGACAGAGCGAGACTCCGTCTCAAAAAAAAAAAAAAAAAAAAAAAAAAGAAAATCAGGAGAAATGAAGAAAATAAATGGAATTTATTCATACAAATAGTTCAATCCTTGCATTACCAAATTGTCCTGAGAAGGGAAAAATAATATTTTATTATTATCAAATGGAATAAACATTATTTCTGTAAATTGAGTTTGATCAGATACTTTCATCAGAAATAGTCATTGTTATGATGGAGCCACATTTGTCCAAACTTATTAACCAATAAAAGGCATTTGGATAAACCACTGCCAACCTTCTGCAGAAGTTCTCTCACAAAGAACTTTGAGATTTCAATATTGAATCTAATATCCATCTGACAAGCCTTTAAAAGCACAGAGCTTAAAAATCATATACTATGATGAAAGAGTCCCTGGGGCTAAATTTAGGGGCCAGCAAATCACCAGGAATGATTTGGTCAGAACAAGAGAAAGATAACTGGGAGAGTAGTCAGGTAAATCAGGTTAGGAGCTCAAGATTTCTCACCATTACTATTCCCAATTTAATTCTCTCCCTTTGATTTATGGGAGGCTTCTCTGAAGCATTTATGTGAATAATTCAGCACTTAGAGACACGAGATACAACGTAGGTCTATCTTCATATAGATTAAAACTGGTTCTACAGCTGATGTCACTGATTTCAAGCTCATCTTGGGGTTCACTTTTGACTTAGTATTTGGTTTTCTAAATCACTAATCCAGGTAAGAACACTATTATTTTAGACAAGTTTATTATTGGCAATGTATTTTTTCAAAATATGAATATTAGCAATTATTTAGGGGATTTCAGTATTTTAGTAACCGAGAAATGGCCAATATGACTAAAACCTTATTGCTAAAAGCATGATTTGTGGACCAGCAGCGTCAGCAAACTGAAAGCTTATTGGAGAAGAAGAATGTACAGACCTCCCATGAACCTACTAAATCAGAATCTGCATTTTCACAAGATCCCCAGATGCACATTGCAACTTGAGAAGATTGGATCTGAATTACAAACATTTCAGAAATTGCTTTAATTTTACTTCTTCAAAACTCTCTCAGCCAACGTTTCTTTGACATCATAAAAGTTCCAAGCCTCTCCAAATTTCTTATTTATTTTCCTTCTTTGATCAGTTTTCACTATCCTAAATAGCCAATCATCTGAAGGGTTTTCAGGCTCCTCATGCTGGAACACAGTGATTGAATGCATGTGAGGGCTTATTCTTCTCACAAAACAAACTTCTTGCTTGACTATACACATGCCACATTGCCTTTATTCCAGCTTAGTTTGACTTTGTTTAAATTTATACAAATCTTAATAAAGAAGGGAGAGGGTGCACAGTTGACAGAAAGAATGAATTGGGATGAGTGAAATGCATTACAGCTCAGTATTTATTTCTCTCTGGTTCCACCTCATGGGTAATAATTTCAATTACCGTGTGTATGATTTTAACCAATTTATGTTAACTAGACATTCATTCATGGAAAACAGAGAAACTGTGCAATTTAATAAATCACTTTCAATTTAACTCTCTGAATTTTCTCACTCAGAGATGGCTTTGGTGTAGCATTTCCTCACAAGTAGAGAAGGGAAGCAGAAGTCTCTTCTGTAGTGATGTCTCTTTAAAAAAAAAAAAAAAAAAGGCCATCAGTTTGTTCTTCAGGGAGTGTAGGAAAGTTGGAGCTGGCATGGAATCTCCCTGAGGCCATCCCGCCCTGTCTACCTAGATTGTCCACTTGTCCTGATCCTGTTTGTTGCCTCCCACATCCACATCATTGACCTCTCCATCACCAGGTTACTCATTGAAATCATTCATGTCATCCATGTCCTGCATGTGCTCATCCTCCATTCTTTACTATCCTCCTCATCTTCATAGTCCTCCCCCTCATTCTCATGGTGCTTTGAGCCTGGCTCAGGCAACAGGTTGTTGTCTTTCTCTGTGAAGCTACAGGTCTCATGCTGCTGTTCCTGCTGCTGCAGCTCTGTCTCCTCTACACAGGTTCAATATAGATTTAAATCACAATGTATCAGTCACTTCTGAGGCAGGAGTGAGGGGAACAAGGTGGACATGGCTTCTAGATTATTGACTGAACTTGGCCAAGTCGCTTAACCTCTCCAAACCTGAGTTTCATCATCGTGCCGGGAGGCAGCAGCTTGCAGTAATATCTTAGGCTATGGAGTATGCATGGTAGCAGGATGACAATAGGAATGAGTTGTTTTCAGTTTCCTGCAAGGCTATTCACTCTCAGCCTAGATGTTAGACACAAGGGAACTGGTGTGTACATACATAGAGATTTAGGAGACCTCAGTTCCAGTCCTGGCTTTACTACCATTTGCAACCCTTTGCCAGCCACACGTTTTTAGATGATCATTTAGCTTATCTAAGCCTCTATTTCCTAGGTGAGAAGGGAATCTTCACTTATATTCAATGTCTAATATGTATCACATACTGATATGGTTAGGCTTTGTGTCCTTACCCAAATCTCCCCTTGAATTGTAATTCCCATAATCCCCACATGTCAAGGGAGAGACCAGGTGGAGGTAATTGAACCCTGGGGGTCACGGCCTTGTGAAGAAGGTGCCTTGCTTCCTCTTTGCCTTCTGCCATGATTGTAAGTTTCCTGAGCCCTACCCAGTCATGCTGAACTGTGAGTCAATTAAACCTCTTTCCTGTATAATTTACCCAGTCTCAAGCAGTTGTTTATAGCAGTATGAAAATGAGCTAATATACATACCTTTTCATGCTTATATCAGACATTCTTCCTGGCAATTCTATAGGACTAACATTTACTTTTTAATAATGAGAAAATTGGTGCTTATAGAGGTTAAAAAAAGTTTCCTAAGATCTCATAACCTGCAAGCAGTTGAGCAAGAATGCAAAGTCAGGTCTGTCTGGCTCCAAAGTCCTTTTATTTGTTTTTCCTCTAGACCAATGCAATCTGCTGTGTACTGAATGTCGTAAAGTTCCAAGGAATTAATGAATGTAAAATAACTGTTGATAAAAGCAAAACACTTGTTTTAGCCCCTTTGTGCTGTTACAATACTTCTAGCATGTGTCCTCAAGAGACACGGTCTGAGCCAAACCTGAGCCTGCTTGAACCATGGCTGAGGCAGCCAATGAGTGCTGCTCTGGCATGCAGGGAGAAGAGACTTAAGGTGGCCCAGGGCAGTGAGTGCTAAGATTTTAAGGTAGCCTGAGGTACACCTCCCTTAAAACTGTTCTGCTCTCAAGGCCCTAGCAGTCTGGGCCTGTGATGGGAGTGGAAACCTCAAATATCTCTGAATATTTGGGGTCATTCTTCCATTTTCTTGATGAATAACATCTGACCTCCCTCTATCCATACTAATCTATTCATTAAATGCTTGCTTGGCCACACCCTTGGCTTTCTCTACCAAGCAAGCTTTTTTATTTTTCAAATGTGAAGGCTGAGAATTTTCCAAATGTTTACATTCAGCTTTCTGTTTGATTACAAATTCTATCTTTAATTTGATTCTCTCTTCTCTCATTTTACTATAAGCAGTCAAAAGAAACCACATAGCACCCTGAACACTTTGCTTACAGATTTCTTCTGCAAATATCCTAGTTCACTACTTTTACGTTCTGCCTTCCACAAAGCTGTAAGACAGGCATGGACAAAATTCAGCCAAGTTCTTGTCACTTTGTATTAAGAATAGCCTTTCCTCCAGTTTCCAAGATAGTTCTCATTTCCATCTAAGACCTCATCAGAATGGCCTTTACTATTCATATCACTATCAGCATTCTATTTACAACTACTTAGATAATTACTTGGAAGATTTAGACTTTCTCTACATCTCTCCTCTTCTTCTAACCCCTCACCAGAATCACCCTTATTGCTCCATTTACTGTAATCTAGGCTTTTTCTAGCATGCACTTCCAAACTCTTCCAGCCTCTACCCATTACCCAGTTCTAAAGTGCTTCCACATTTTCAGGTATTTGTTATGGAAACACCTTCTTCTCTGGCATTATTGTTATTATCTTGAGAAGAAGTCTCACTCTGTGGCCCAGGCTAGAGTGCAGTGGCACGATCTCAACTTACTGCAACCTCTGCCTCCTGGGTTCAAGTGATTCTCCTGCCTCAGCCTCCCGAGTAGCTGGGATTACAGGCACATGCCACCATGCCTGGCTAAATATTCTATTTTTAGTAGAGATGGGATTTTGCCATGTTGGCCAAGCTGGTCTCGAACTACTGACCTCGGGTGATCTGCCTGCCTCGGCCTCCTGAAGTGCTGGGATTACAGGCGTAAGCCACCGCACCCAGCTCTGGTATTAATTTTTGTCTTAGTCAAAAGTAATTGTTATGTTTGTGCTGTTATGATAAAATACCACAGACTGGGTAATTTATAAAGAATAAAAATGCATTTCTCATAGTTCTGGAGGAATGAGAATTCCAAGATCAAGGCACTGACAGATTAGTCTCTGATGAAGGCCTGTTTCTCACGGATGCCACTATCTAGGTGTCCTCACATGGCAGAAAGGATGGAAGGGGGAAAGGGGACACAAACACATATTCTCCCATGGTGGAAGAGCAGAAGAGAGGAAACTCATTCCCTCCAGACCTTTTATAAGGATTTAGTCCATTCATGATGGCTGAGCTTTCATGAATTAATCACTTCCCAAAAGACTTTACCTCTTAATACCACCACAATGTGAATTCATTTTCAACACATGAATGCAGGGGACATTCATGTCACAGCAGGACTGGTTGCAATATTTTAATTAATGTATTTTTTTATGGAATTACATAAGCAAAAAGTCATAGATTTCTGTAAATGACCCGAAGATGCTCATAGTCTGGTTGTGACAACTCTTCATGAAACAGAAAATGAATAAACCGTATTGTGTATGTTCAATCCAATGACTTAAACATGTGATAACACTGGCTTGGATTTTATAGGAGATGCAAAGAGGAAGAAAATGGGCTCCTTCTCTCAAGGAAAGTGCATTATGATGAAGCTGATAGGTAAAGAACTTGCTGTAAAACAAGACAGAATGAAATGAGTGTTAAATAGTGATACAAGCAGCATATTGAGGAAATACAAAGATCAAAACCCTGAATTCTGACAGAGGGTATCAAGGAAGAGTGTACAGAGTATATCTCTTTTATGAGTCGTAATAGATGGACAGAGAATGTGAGAAAGTATTCCTGGTTGAGAAAAAAAATGGCAGGTAAAGGCACAGGAGCATGAAGGTGCACATGTGAAAAAGTGTTGAGTGGCAGTGGTTACATCTGGGAAGGAAATGTCCCTGGAGAGGAAAAATGGAAAGACTTGCCAGTTTAACCATAACTATTTGGCATTACTGAGTTTTTTTCCCACCTGCATTTAATGCCCTTTTGATTTTTTTTTCAATTTAAATGATGTCACATCTGAAGGAAAACAATGTGTTAGTTCGAGCAATGGGAAAAAAATTTTTCATTGTATCATGTGCTAATTACAGGTACCAACAGTAAAACTGGAGGCTAGAAAAGCAGAAGGTTCCCCAAAAACAGAAATGTGCACAAAGGAGATTTGAGTTGACCTTAAATGACAGCTAAGTGATAATTAGATAGAGAGGAGAGAGAATGGAAAGAGAACTAAAATGATTTGTTATGTCAATCATGTCTTTTTGTCTGACCCAGTTTGCCTGAGTGGAATTGTGCAAACAATCCTGGAACATCTCTGCCACCGTGAGTATATATTGCCTTGGTTAAGTTTAAAAACACATGAAATGAAGCATGCTACAAAGAAATGGAGTGTTTTTCAATTTGGTCTTTAAAGTTCCTCCTTAGCAATTTATATCTTCTCTCCAACAGCTTAGAACAAATTTAAGTTCATGGCACTTAAGTTCACTTCTTTCTTTCCTTTATCTCTCACATTTCAATGTGAACACTGAACTTCCTAAGAGTAGAAAATCTGGATACTTATATTTGAATTTTTTAAAGGATATTGTTATTGCATCATTAGTTTTTGACAAATACATACATGCACTTAAATAAAAAATAATAGTAAATCAATTCCTAAGTGACTGCTTAAAGATCACCCTGGAACAATAATGAAATGATCCAAAATATAAATCAACATTGGTTAAGTCTACGTTAAATACTACTAGCAGAACCTAGTGCATTTTCATGTTTCATCAAAAATTAAGTCGATTATATCAATAGGCAGCGCTATTTACATTTACCTTTTAAATAATGCTTCACTCGTTCAGAAAAATGATGAGAATTTTACTAGCTCTATTATTTTTAAGTCTCTGTTTTTCACCTCAATAATTGCATCTGTGAACCTGAATCCAAGTTTTTTAGGCCCTGGCACAGACCAATCCCTTTATTAGCAAGTGGGTCAGAATCTGCATATGGGCCTTACCATCTGCAAAAGGCAAACCATCTGGATGGAAAAGAAAGCTGACCTTAGAAAACCTGCTTTTCATTTAAAGTTAGACATCCTAGAAATAACTTTCCTGTGTTACTGAGGTCTAGGTCTTCTCCTAGATGCCACGAGGGATAGTAAGTATGGTTGTTCATTAGGAAAGCAACCCACACTCAGGTCCTGCTACTAAGCCAGTTGGAGAAAAGTTAGATACTCTGATGATTTCCCAAATATGCCTACTCAAAATTGAGAGACCAAAACGTAGTTAATGGAGTATAGAATATGCACACTCCTTGCCTAATGGTTCAAATGTGGACAATGAGTAAAAAAACATCTTCCTCTCTCAACATTCCATTCTGCCAAGAATCTTTTTCAGATCTCTCAACAAATCAAACAGCATCACCCTCTGTCTTATACCCCACATCTGAGATTCATCCCCATACATTATTTACTCAATCCTGGCTCCTGAGACCCCAGCAAGGTCTACAGCCCAAGTAAGTCAGATCTAATCAGAAAAACAGAATTCTCTCCAGGGATGTACTAGTCAGGGTTTTCTAGAGGGACAGAACTAATAGGATATATATATATATATATGAAAGGGAGTTTATCAGGGAGAATTGACTCACACAATCATAAGGTAATGTCCCACTATAGGCCATCTGCAAGTTGAGGAGCAAGGGAGTCAGTGGTGGATCAGTCTGAGTGCCAACACCTCAAAAGCAGGAAAGCCGACAGTGCAGTCTTCAGTATGTGGCTGAAGGCCCAAGAGCCCCTGGCAAACCTCTGGTGTAAGTCCAAGAGTCCAAAAGCTGAAGAACTTGGAATCTGATGTTCAAAGGCTGGAAGCATCCAGCGCAGGAGAAAGATGAAGGCCAGAAGACTCAGCAAGTCAAGTCCTTCCACCTTCTTCTGCTTGCTTTATTCTAGCTGTGCTGGCAGCTGATTAGATGGTGCCCACACAGATTGAGGGTGGGTCTGCCTCTCCTACTCCGCTACTCAAATGTTAATCTCTTTTGGCAACACCTCACAGACACACCCAGGAACAGTACTTTGTGTCCTTCAATCCAATCAAACTAACACTCAATATTAACCATCCCAAGGGAGTTCAAAAGATGACTTAAATACAGAGAACTAATTACAAAATTGTTGGAAGAGATGCAAAACCAGAAGGGGTGATGAGAGAATCCATGTTAGCAACAGCAGAAAGTCACTACCACCCTGGGGTTTCAGGAATAAAAAAAGGAACATGGAATTACTAGAATGCAGAAGACAGGGATGGCCAGTAGAACTGGAACCACAGAGAGAAGTACTGATGGGTAAGCTGGTTCTGCAAAAAGAAACACAGCCATTACCATAAATATCTCCCAAGTCAGAGAGCAAAAAGGGGAAGAAAATTCTGGCTTTTTGACTTCTCTACCTTGCATTCTCCTGCCAATTTCATGCATAGGCTGAACCAAATAGAAACCACCAGAGCCAACTCCTTGTGATCGAGGATAGAGCAGAAGTGTGAAGATGGATCTGAGCAAACACTAAATAACTGACCTAGTCTTGTTTTTACCCAGGACTAGAGATCAGACACTTATTTCACATCCTTCCCCCACAGGTCCTTCAGAAAGACATCTGAGGCCCACACACAAGAATACCCTAGAGTAATAGCTTTTATGAGTCTATATCTTCTTGAGTGAGTAATATTTTTCTCCCCAAACATCAATTGAGATTTGCTGCAGAGCCTAACATGTGGCAGCTGCTGAAGAGTTCCTCCACCTAATGATTTCAGCCAGGAACCACAATCTCATCACTGTTGTGGAGTCTACACCCTGGCTTTAGAACTTAGCAAGAACCCTTATCCCACCAGTGCATCTGAAGTCCCTGATGCCATTGTATTTGTGCAATGGACCTGCAGATGTTCCAGTTCTCCAAATCGTATTGCATTTGGTCAGGATAACCATCTCTAGCTGCCACCATAAAGATACACCAAATTCTCAGTGGCCTAACATGATAGAGGCTTATTCCTCACTTGCACAGTCTAGTGTGGGTCAGGATCTTCCCTCCACGTTGAAGCAAAGCCATTTGGGTCACATAGCCTATGCAGTAGCTCAGCAACGTCTTTTCTCCTACACCTAAAGATTCATCCCCAAGTATTGCCTTACCCAATTTTGGCTCTATACTCAAAAATCTATAATAAAATGGTCATTTATGCCATTATCAACTTTGACAGGAGGCAAGATCAGTGATCAAGAAAACTGTGCAGTTCTGGCACCTCACCCAGAAGCAAGAATGGAATAAAAGAGCAGATAAAGAGGACTGGAAACCCAGATTCACTGGCCCAAAGATTTGGAAATATCTGGCAGCATCATGGTCCAAACCTTGGTCAGTTAAGCCCGACTCTTTTATTGAAATTGTTATCCCCTACTTAGTCCTGCCACTTGGCCACTGCCCAAACTACTCAATGGTCCTGTGCCCTGACCTATGACCACACTAGCTCCTATAAGGCCGAAGCTCGCCATACTAGCACATACTGGTGCCATCTCTGCCAGCTGTCACCATTATTGCCTACATATCCTGCCCAACCAATCACCATAATCATATCACTTGCTAAATTTGTGCCAAGTCTCCAGACATATACTCTCTCTGCAAGGAAGGGTTTTCAGACAAAGAAATCAAACAGCTATGTCCTATAGTGAATAACGCTACCACGTAATCAATCAGTGCCTGAGTTCTGGTTTTCCCCAGAGAGTTTACTGCCTATTTGAAATGAAGGCTGAGGTCAGTATACTGATATAATCTTTGAGACACAAAGAAGCATCATCAGAGGATCTCCGTCCTCAGGGAACCTGGTGTTTTTTGTCAAACAAACAACATTTAAATAAAAATATAAACACCAGAATGGTGAGCTCTTCCACTCTCAATGGAGTAGCCGCCTGCATCCCTTTACCCATAAGGATTTTTTTCCTCAGATACCTTGTTGATCTCTGATCCCTTGAACCAGAACCAGTAATTATTAAACCAGTTTGCTAGGGCGCCTACAAGCTATCCAGGAAACTAAGGAATAGACAATAATCTTCTGGATGCGGCGAGTCAGTAAAAGCATTTAATGATGTCATTTGATCTGTGAAATGCCCAAGGTCACGTAATTCTTCATGTATAAATTACCTTGTAGTACTTCGTAAGAAAGGCTGAAATCAGTGACCATATAGATTGTTGCTCACTCTCCTGACCCCTTGATTCCCTGTATTTTATTTCTGACTTGCTCCCTGATATAGACATCACTCTTTTCCTGCAGTGATTGTGTTCTTCATCTAGATGGTGCACATTTTTTCCCTTATACATGTAGATAAAACTGTTCCAGCATGTTATCAATGAGCTTTTCTGACTCCATGAAGCGTCTGGCAATCTAATCTCCCAGTGTGTCTTTTTGCTTTTTTTCTCCTTTTAAAGTCAGTGTTTAGTTTTTGTCAAAGTTATACATTCACAGGCTTTAAAGACTCACATAATACTAAAAGTCATATAAGAAAAAACAGCAGCCAGCCACTATTATCAGATTTTTATCTCCAGAGACAACCAATTTCTACTTTTTTATTATTTTATGTGGTGTTTACCTTCATATTTATAAATATGCTTGCATTGTCTCTTTAACTCTCCAATTTTTTATTTTGAAAATTTTCAAATCCATAGAACTGAAAGAAGGGTATCTCTCCGAATTTCACCAATTGTTAACATTTTACCACACTTGTTTCTCTTTTCAATGACCTATTTAGATGTAAGTTGCAAATATTATGACATTTTACAGTAAAATACTTGAGCACATATTCACTAAAATAAGGGATTTCTTCTCTATAACATCTCCTGGCTTTTGATGACACAGGCTACATTAACAAAGCCCCAACTCATAAATCATAGAACAATGGCCTAGTGGAACATATCTACTGATCACAGAGGATCTTTATTCCTATAGTGCATAATAGTTCGTTTTTGGCCCATCTACTTTGATACCATAGAATTTGAATATACCTCCTTACATTCCACTACCTATGATATTCTTTCCCATAGAAATAATGAGCTTCATTTTCACTGCTTTCCTTCAACCCTAGTGCTACATATATACTCTACATCTATTAATAACTTCCAGGTAGTTTCTTTAACAAGTGACCTGGAAGGACCTCAAATATACTTTCAAGTGCACAGGAATGGTATTAAGCAGCACCAAGCCTTGGCTGTTAAGTGTTCTTTGGGCCTTCTTGTGTGATATCCACACTTACCTTCATGCTAAAAGCAGAAGAAACTGAGCATAATGGCAGCTATAAACCTTTTTCTTTCTAATTCTACTTTTCTCCCTTCAAGCATCTCCATGTCATCATTCATAAATGTACTGTAATTCAGACTCCAGAGGCCCTCTTGAGTAATGCAAGATGGGAAAACACCATATGTTGCACAGAAAATGGTGCTTTATCCCAACTTGTTTTTTCTAGAGGGACCAGTAGAAAACATCCTTCTTTTTCTGAAATTTGGAACATCTCTTAGAAGACTAGTTTAGTCGTCATTCCATGAAGACTAAAGCATTTCTCCATATCTGGGAAATGATGTGGGGAAGTAGTACATGAGTCAACCTAGAAACCCCGAGTTTCCTAGGGCAGGCAATCCAGGTGTCTCCTCTATCCTCCTTCCCCCGTCTACTCAGGACTTGAGGCAGGGGAGGAGACTTACAGACTCATGCTCCTGAGACCCTCAAGTTTATCCTCAATTGAAGGCATGAAACAATGACTTACCAGGATCTGATCAGAGGCCAGACAAGAGATCAAGTGAAGAACAAGAGATGGAATGTGCATTGCTGGAATATTTAGTAAAGTAAGTCTGAAAAATTAGGTATCTGGTCAGACGGCCCTTTCATTTGGAGTCCAGCATGGGCAGCCAGTACGAGGGCAAAATCTTGAGTATTTTATGGGCAAGAAGGTTGATCTTTGATTTTTGTTTTTCTTTTGGATGTTTGTTAACCATATATCTTTTCCTTTGGCCAATAAAAATTCAAATCATTTATAACAATGCATGCTTAGGGTGTTTTCAATGTCTATTTAACCTTCCTTGAACAGAGAAAGCTTTTGATTGTATCTCAAGTGAGAATCCGTAAGAGCTCACTGACAACTTATAAAAGGAGAAGTCATTAGCTCTCCTTCACAATGATCCTTCTACTCCAAGAATTTTGACCAAAGGTTAGCTTGGCATTTCAGTTTTCCCAGTCATCTTTTATTTTCCTACCTCTCTCTCCATAAGCTGAGTCAGAAAGAGTAACTAGAGCATCCCAAGCATTTCTCCACCAGAAGAATGATTTTTCTACCTGTTTTTTATCAGTAAGAGAAATTACTTTCTATATTTAGCTCCTGCTTATTTTTTCCCAAGAGAAACCCAAATTTATTCTTTCCAAAGAGCACATTAGCTGTGCATTTTACAAACTTCATGTACATGTAATACTTCCTATAGCAACTATTATACACAAGATCCAAAACAACTGCTTTCTAAAACCGTCACCTCCTTAAAGAGATGGTAAAACCTCAATTTATATAAAACATTCTAGATTTCATATAAATCAAACTTAAAAATGATTAAACGGAGAAGAAATGTGGAATCAGAATAAGGGAAAATGATAAATTAAGTCATATTGCTGAGTTCAAAATATATATTGTGGACATGGAAAAAAAAGCTTTAAAATTGGACTTCACATGAAACACATTTCCTTAACTTTACTGAGTTACTTTGAAACTCTGGTATGAATTTCTACAGTCCTATTTCTCAAAGTGTGCTCCACAGATCAACAATATCAATATTTCCATTATGCGTATGTATAACATCTGATTCCTACTCCAGATGGATGCCTGGTGATTCTCACCCAAACTAATGTTTGAGAACCATTATGAGGGAGAAAAAAAGTGGAATAATTATTTGAAAGAAATAATTTTATAAATATAAAATATCAAAGATGAGTAAAAAAATAACCATAAACATTTCTGTATTTGGAGATATATACTAAAACTTCATTTGCTGATGAAATGGCATAGCATCTACACAGGGCATCATTGGTCCTGAGTTCATTAATGTTGAAGTTGAATGATATAAACATGGGATCATTATATTATTCTATTTTTATTTACACTTAAATTTCCCATACTAAGAAGTCTTTCAACATGTTGTTACATAACATTCCCCAAATCAGGAAGAGACATCGGTCATAGAGTGGCTTATCTTTTTCCACATGATGAACTTAGAAAGCTAATCCAACATGCCCTGAAATCATTCGGTATGTGTCTGATATTTAATCTAATTGTGTCTGAGCTATACCTGATAATATAAATCTACAAGTTTATATTTGAAAGTATTTTTTCTTTTGAAATCAACATTCTACTTATAATAGTCGTTTAAAATTATGTTTTTTACCTTCGTGACATTTCTCAATGTTTCCAATAGCATTATTAATAATAACTACTCTGATGTAACATCACCTTTCATTTTCTGATCTTTGTCTTTTCTACATGACCCTGTCTCCCTTGAAAAATAAAACTCTTATTTTAGAAAAGCAACTTTAATATCTGGGATCAGTGGAAAGGGTCATGTCTCATTTATTAATATGTTTCAGTCTTTGTCCCTTTAGTCTTTTTTGATCTGAAGAAAAATAACTTCACTTTTTCTACCAGCCCCAAATACTCTGAGGCATTGAACTCTTAGCCTCTCTATGCCTGGCAGCTCCTTTTTAAAGGGCTAGACTCTTCTTAGATTGGTTCATACAAGTAAAACAACTTGAAGTACATCCATAAGATTTATGAAATCAATAGACTGGTCTACACAGGAGATGGCAGAATGGTTCTAAGAACTGTCCAAGCCACAACTTTCTTTTGAACAGCTCAACAGTCTTTATAGATATCAGTAAAACTGAACTAATCAATACCTCCTAGCTTCTGATAATCACACTGTTGTATAGACAAATGGCAGCTGGTTAGTTTAATCAAAATCATAGTTGGAAGAGTCTATAGTTATAAATATGGAAATAGTCCAAGACTTTAAAAAGGAAAGGCATTATTATGATTAATCTGTTTTAACACTTATTTCCAGTGACATTTTTAAAAAGGCAGGGAGAGAAAAAGGAAGAACCAAGAGGATAATAACTTAAGAAGGGAGGAAAAATATTATTTTAAAATCAGTTAGCTTCTTGTTAATAAAAATAGCTAGGCTGTTTGAGGGAACACATTTTGTCTCTCAGGGTATCTTTGGATCATAGTGACTGTGCTTGATCAATCCCAGTGGCGATGGCTTTGGCTTCGACATATGCTACATATTTTCTAGCCAAAAAAATATTGTCTTCATAAACAGGCATGACTAAATTCTATTCTTTAGGAGTGCATGCTTTGGCGTTAAAATTATAAAGCTAAACAAAGATGTAATCAACCTAGAGGCTGGGTTCACAGTCACTTGTAAGAGAGAGGCAGAATTGTAACTAGGAAGGTCCACAGAGGGTTTCCAGGATACTGACCACATTCTCTTTCTTAAACTGAGAAGTGGCTACACGGGTGTTATATTCATAGTGGTTCATTGAGCTATACATTTACGTTTTATGTGTTTTTGAATGTATCTTTTATAATATTAAAAAACATATAATATCTGTACTTGCAATTTTGCTATACACCTAAACCTGGTGTAAAAATAAAGTTTAAAAAAATAATTAAAATTTTAAATTAAAAGTTTTAAAAAATTTAATAAAAGAACTGCTCAAGAGACTATGATTAACATCTGGTTTGCTAACCATGGCTCTGACCAATAGGAAACAGGAGCCAAAGCCAAACAAGCATTTTCAAGAGAAGTTTTTCCACTGTTAAAAAATACCGTACATACAGAAACACTATGCACAGACACATTTTTCCACATTATGTTGCTGCTTCAGTAAAGATGTTGTACTTGAAGCAACATTTCCAGCACCTGGATAAATGTAAAGGAGCCCAATTTCAACTAGTATTTCCACCTGAACTCTTCGGTGCAATTACAATTATACTGTATATATTTTCCTCCGTTTTATTTTTTTGTTCACAATATGATTTTACATTTCCTAGTCCGCTCCTCTAATCTGTCTTCTGTAAGGTATCCCAATCAAATTACCAATGAAACTTGGTACTCTCTCACCAAATATGAGATAATACCACGTCCGATAGCTTCCTCAGGCATGCCCTGGTTCAGGCCATACTAGAGCCCTAACTAAAGTGCAGATGGTATTATTGATGTACACATAACTACAAAGCTAGAAGATACTTTTTCTTAAACCAAGAGTGGTGCTTGTACCATAATGCAACCTAAAATAAATCTTATTTGAATATCTAGCTAATTCATTTAATTCAAGGCTTTAGCTGTTGCTAATAATCTGTACCCATAAACTAAGTTCAATAGAATTATGAGAACTCTTAACAGTCTTAACTTTAGCCTAGATATTACAGGTAAGTCTTTATCCCATCAACATTGCACGAAATAAGGAATAAAGATGAAAACAGGAGTGAAAAAACTTTTGTATTTTGTGAAGAATACTACATTTGGAGTTGTGGTTGAAAGTAAAATGAAATTAAAGAAGATTTGTTTTGTTTTAGCATAGGACTGAACTAAACTCAGAGACACAAGTTACAACTTACTTACTACTAAATGTCTTAACATCATCTCCCAAACATCTAACGTAGACACTGTTTATATCATCTTCAAGCTTCTTACTGCCTCCTCAGGCTAAGTATCCCTACATCCCACCCCTTCTCATCTAGTCAACTTCCCTTTACTTTTTCCAATTTCATGCCCAGGACAATTTTATTCTAACTCCTAACATTGTTCAGTGTTATTTCATGCAAAGCTACCTCTGGACTAAAAGAATAAGATCCTTCTACAGGTTATACTCAATTCACCCAAGGAAATAGTGAAAATGTGGGCATTTTAGGGTAGAGAGTGTGTGTGAGCAGAGCAATAGATACCATTACTGCCCCAGTCCCATCAAGGAGGTGCTGCCTGATCTGTGGGTGTGGATGTGTGAGCTGGCCCTGAAGACAAACCTTGGCATGACACAACCTAGAATTCTTGCAAGCTAGACACTCAAGAAGTAGCCACAGTAGTACCCAAACTAATTTACATGTGCAAAAGTCCTTAGAGAAAAATCCTATTTCTCCAAAATAAGGTCACAGTGAACTGTTGTAAATAGTTTATTTGGAAAACAAAATATTTGTCTGAACCATCAGCAGAGGGATAAATTATAAAAAGTGTCCTTGGTGATAGAAGGTTGGAAACCACTGCTCAGGCAATAGGAATTTAGGCTATTTATATTCTACGCAATCTAACATGTGTAGAACTGATACATTAAAAGTGATTAACTAGCAGTCCTAAAAGAAATCATCGACACTATGCCATTACATGATGCTGCTACAAGTAGATTCTATATAATATCACTGAAACACTATAATACTACTCTGGTTTAAGCCTTATTAAATTTGGAGAAACTGAAGTACAAATTACCTTAGTGCTGGCAATAAAGTGTGTTTACGCAAGATATATTTGTTTGTTCTTGTTTGGAATTGGTTGATTTGTTCCAGGAAGTTGGGTACTTTTCCTTTTCTTCTCAAGGCTGAATGAGAGGTTTCATTAAATATACATTGAACAGACACTTTCCTAAGAAGTTGTCTGTAAAATATGCCCTTGGATGAACAGAGTTCAACTGGCAACTGGGTCACACTCTTAAGCTGAGGAATGGGGAAGTTCTCTAACTTTTCTGAACCTCTGATTCCTGATAATAATAATATAAAGTTAAAGATCAAACAAGCAAAAAATACACTGAAAGCAATTTTCCAACAAGGGCAAAGTTTTAACATATATAAATATGTATATATATAAACATAAATATAATATATTAAACCTAAATATAAATATGTATCTATTTTATTGGCTCTCTCTCACTGGAGAACCCTGACTAATACATATATAGGCACCTCCATATTAATAAGTTTACTATGGCTTAGCATATAAATATTAAATAAACGAAATATGCAAAAACTTTAAAATTACCATTAAAGCAAGTTATCTTTAAAATCTATTTGAATCAAATTAAAAAACAATATTACATATTGATTTTATTTTTTTTATTTTTTTGTTTTTATTTATTTGTTTATTTTTTTTTGAGACAGAGTCTCGCTCTGTCACCCAGGCTGGAGTGCAATAGCATGATCTTGGCTCACTGCAACCTCCGTCTCCCAGACTCAAGCAATTCTCTACCTCAGCCTCCTGAGTAGCTGGGATTACAGGCGTGTGCCACGATGCCTGGCTAATTTTTGTATTTTTAGTAGAGATAGGGTTTCACCATGTTGGCCAGGCTGGTTTCGAACTCCTGACCTCAGGTAATCCATCTGCCTCAGCCTCCCAAAGTGCTGGGATTACAGGCATGAGCCACTGCACCTGGCCTACATATTGATTTTATTACTTCAGACTTCCTTTAATTGCTGGAAGATGAGTGGTGTACAGTGAGCAATTAATATATATAATTTTTTTAGACTTCTCCTTTTTTGAATTAAAGATGCCCATAGGCTGAAAATGAAGGGATGGAAAAAAATATTTCTTATACATAGCAGCCAAAAGAAAGCAGAATTAAGAGAGAGAATTCTGGGAAGACGGTGGAGTAAGAAGCACCAGGAGTCATTCTCCCACCTAGACAATTTCACAGGCAGAATATGTCTGATGTAACCAATTTGGAATGCTGGGATTTATTCAAGGTTTGAAAATTCCAGAGAAAGGGTTGGACAATAAATTATAGTTAATTTTAGCCAATTTCAGCTCTTTAGACAATAGCAGTAACCTATTCTTCATCCCCAATCCTGTGGCAGGCAGATGTGCGTGTGTTCCTGACGTGACTTGCACACATCTTGCAGGAGCCAGGATAGGCAAATAGGACCTTGTACTCCAAATGTCAGTAATCTGCGGACAAATCCCTGAATACTGCTTCTGATTACAGGCATACAGACAAAGAGTCAGGTGGCTAATATTGTTGCATCTCCCCTCATTGTTGCAAACCCCTCCCTCTCTGACTGAAGTGACTTTCAAGGAATTTACAGGGCTAAAGTTCCTTCGTTCTCCTTCATTTTGCTATTTTTCCCCTTTTGGGAAATAGACATTAAACACTTGAACATTTCAAAACAACTGTATATGCAGAGAAATGAGAAGACAATTGTGCAGACTCAAAAAAGATCTAAACTGACCGTAAATTTATACCACTGGCTGATTGTTGGCACAGAGACAGCCTACAGCAATCAAAAAACAAAAGTAAAAAAATAAAAGTAATAACAAAAAACAGCAAAACCTGGGAAATTCGATGAATTTGAGTTACAGAGTTACCACATTGTTAGATGCAAATGCCCAGTTTAAAAAAAAAAATCATAAGGTATACAAAGAAAGAGGAAAATCTGGCCCATTCAAAGGAAAAAAAGTAAATCAACAGAAACTATTCCTGAAAAAGATCTGATGGCAGATCTACTTGACAAAGACTTCAAAATAACTGTCTTAAAGATGATCAAAGCACTCAAAGATGTGAAAAAAATCAGGATAACAGCACATGAACAAAATGGCAATATCAGTAAAAATATAAAAAACCTGGAAAGAAACCAAAAAGAAAACATGGAGCTCAAAAGTACAATAGCTGAAATAAACATTTTACTGAAGAGATTAAAGGCAGGCTTGAACAGACAGAAGAAAGAATCAGCAAGCTTGTAGACAGGACAATGAAAATGAAGTAGTCTAAGGAAAAAAAAGAAAAAAAGATGAAAAGAGTGAACAGTTTTATTTTGTTTTGTTTTGTTTCCCCACAGTAGCGGATTAGAGGTAGTGTTGGCCTGCCTCTCCCACTCAGAAAGACAGAATAATGTGTGGAGATTCACAGTGAGAACTATTTTTCAAGAAGCAGTACAGGAACTCAACGGGAAAACTGCAAGACTCCACAGACCCTTTGAAAGAAAGGAGAGGCCTGGTCCGTGAGACAGGTGAAAAACTGTAAATTCTCAGTGTAAGATGGGGAGAGATTACCTTCAGAATACATATCCCCACTGGGGAATCTGAAAATCCAGGCCACGGGAGAAGGCCTTAACCCTACCCAGAGGTGGAACTGATTTAGGGAGTGATGAGAAACATAAAAGTAAAAGCAGCCGTGGGAAGTCCCTTGCAGGCATTCCCAGAATACACATTCTTCTGAAGTGCAAATGAAACATTTTCCAGGATAGACCATATGGTAGGCCACAAATTAAATATCAATAGATTTTTCAATAGATATCATATAAAGTATTCTTCTACAACCACAATGGGATGAAGTTGGAAGGCAATAACAAAACTAATACTGGAAAGTTTATAAATTTGTGGAAATTAAGTTACCCTCTCTTTGCCAACTCTTCTGAGACTCTTTCAAAATATAGAAGAAGAAGGATCACTTCCAAACTCATTTTATGAGACCAGCACCACCCAGATACAGAAACCTGACAAAGATAACACAAGAAAACTGCAAGCCAATATCCCTAATGAACACAGATACAAAAGTACCAAATAAAATACGAGCTTATCAAACTTAACAATACATTAAAAGAATCATACACCATGACTAACAGGGATTTATCTCAGGGATGCAAGGGTGGCTCAATATATGCAAGTCAATCAACATTATACAACAAGTTAACAATACGAAGGAGAAAAAAGCACATAATCATCTCAATTAACACAGAAAGCATTTGACAAAGTTCAAACTCCATTGATGATTAAAACTCCCAACAAAATAATTATAGCAGGATCTTACTTCAATCCAAAAAGGGCTATATATGAAAAGCCCACAGCTCACATCATAATCAACAGGGGAAAACTGAAGGCATTCTCTCCAAGATCTGGTACAAGACAATAACGCCTAGTCTCATGACCTCTTTTCAATATAGTACTGGAAGTCCAAGCCGGGGCCATTAGGCAAAAGAAGAAAATGAAAGGTATTCAAACCACAAAGAAAGAGTAAAATTTTCTCTGTCTGCAAATGTCATGCTCATATACACAGAAAAACCTTAAAGATTCAATGACAACAAAACTGTTAGAACCAATATAAAAATTCAGTAAAGTGCAAGATACAAAATCAATATGCAAAAATCCAGCATGTTTCTATACACAAACCATGAGCTATTCAAAAAGAAAATTAGAAAAACGATCTCATTCACAATCAAGACAAAGATAATAAAATACTTAGGAATAAACTTAACAAAAGAAGTGAAAGGCTTGTACACTAAAAATTATAAAACATTGACAGAAGAAATCTAAGAAGACACAGATAAATGGAAAGACATCCTATGTTCTTAGACCGAAAAAATTAACGTCATGAAAATATCCATACTAACAAAAGTGATCGACAGATTTTCAATGAAATCTCTATAAAAATCTAATGTCATTCTTTACAGAAATAGAAAAAAATCTAAAATTTATCTAGAACTACAAAAGATTCCAAATAGCCAAATAAATCTTGAGTAAGAAGAGCAAAGCTAGAAGAATCACACTGCCTGATTGTAAAATATATTACAAATCTACAGTAATCAAAACAGTACGGCACTGGCACAAAGGCAAACACATAGACCAATGAAACAGAACAGAGAGAGAGAAGAAATAAATCCATGCAGCTATAGTCAACTGAGCTTAAACAAGGGGGCTATGAACACAAAATGGGGAAAGAATAGTCTCTTTGATAAATGCTGCTAAGAAAACTAGATGTCCACAACCAGAAGTGGACCTTACCTAACAACATATATAAAAATTTACTCAAAATAGGTCAAAGACCTAAATATAAGGCCTAAAACTAGAAAAATCCTAGAAGATAACATAGACAGAAATTTCATGACATCAGATTTGGCAATTTCTTGGTTATGACAGCAAAGACATAGACAATGAAAGCAAAAATCATCAAATGTGATTATATCAAACTAAAAATCTTCTGTAAAACCAGGGAAACAATCATCAAAGTGAAGAGACAACGTTTAAAATGGGAGAAATTATTTGCAAACCATATATGTGATAAGGGATTTTTAGCTAAAGTGCATCAGGAAATCAACTTGATAGCAAAAAAATAAATAATGTGATTTTAAAATGGGTAAAGGAGCTGAATAGGCATTTTTCAAAAGAAGACATATAAATTACCAACAGATACATGAAAAGGGGCTCAATATTACTAATCAGTGAAATACAAATCAAAGCCAAAATGAGATATAATTTCACATCTGGTACAATAGCTATTGTCAAAAAGATGAATGATAACAAGTGTTGGTGAGAATGTAGAGAAAAGGGAGCACTGCTACACTATTAATGGGAATGTTAATTGCTACAGCCATTGTGGAAAATGGTATAAAAATTCCTCATACAATTAAAGTTAAAAGATATACCAGAATTACTATAAAGTTAAAAGATATACCAGAATTACTAGAAGGATGATACAGCAAACTAGAAGCTGTGATATTTGATGTAGCATGGCCACACATGTAGGTAATAAAGTACTTGCAGTGATGGAATAATTTGAAGTGAAAGAAAAAATGTGTTTCATGTATCCAAAGCTTAATTAAATGTTGGGAATAGCCAAGAGTTGATCAATGATAGCCATGAGGCAGGATAAAGAGTGGCATGTGCCTCAAATAAGTGAGAATTTCCATACCAAGACAAGGGAATAGTGGTTTCTAAGTGGCAGTGATGTGCAGGATGGGCTAGAGAAATGACTGAATGTAGGGAGTCCAGGGTGGGGGGAGGGGGGAGGGATAGCATTAGGAGATATACCTAATGCTAAATGACGAGTTAATGGGTGCAGCACACCAGCATGGCACATGTATACATACGTAACTAACCTGCACATTGTGCACATGTACCCTAAAACTTAAAGTATAATAATAATAAAATAAAATAAAAAAGTCTATTGCAATAGTCCATGCAAAAATCAATAAACCTTTTATTCAATTCAATTCAACAAATATTTATTGAGCACTGACTATATGTCAAGTACTATGCTCAGGCTAAAATAGTGAACAATACAATCTAACATTCCTGCCTTCTTATATTCTAGTAATTGAGGGCAAAAACAATAAGAGAGAAGACTATTGCAGCATGAGAGATTACAGAGATTGAATTGTCAGGTTCTATCCTCACATGGTTGGTTAAAAGAGGAAGCATTTCTAAAAAATTCTATGGGCTTAAATTTAAGTAACAGGTAAAAGAGAAAGGTCATTGATAGAGAGCAGGCAAGTTATTCATTCAACATATGTTGAATGTTTCCCAATGCCAAGACCTAGAAACATAAAGATGAATAATACAGGAAGAAGCACCAGATTGGAAAAGTGACTGGTTGACGTGATAATGATGGCAATTACAGACAAGCTGAAATTTTGATTGAGGCAGGACATTCTTGTGAAATGTTCAACACAGTTGAAAGGGTAGTTTTGAAATTCAGGAGAGAAGTTAGGCTAAGAGAAGTCTAATCTGCCTTTCAATTCATTTAGGAATGATTTTGGAGGATATAAATTTTTTGAAAAAAATGAAAGTTATTTCCCGGAAAAAAAATTCATATGAAAAAGTTGTGTTAAAAAAAACCCCACAAATACAATATATGCCAAATTTTTAACTATATTAACCACATTACTATTCTAGAAATCACTTGCTTTAGTAGCAATCATATATTATCATTACATATATTTGTATTAATCTTGGTAACAACAATATTAAATTTTTTAATATCAAAGAAATTCTGCTTTCAGAAAACCAAGATTTTTATCTAACAGGAGAATTAGTAGGTATGGAAATGTGACAAATTTGTATTATACTTGTTTATGTGAATGGGTAAGTAGAAGTGAAGCTGGATATTTAGATGTACTTATTACGGTGATCACCGTTACTGATGGCAATGGAAAATCAGATTTCTTTGCATTTCCCCAGGTAAGACAAGGTAAGCAGTTTATATGTATTATAATTTTTAAAGACAGTACCTGAATTTGTATCTACTATGTTGTTTTTCAGAGTGTCATGATCACGAGGGAAATTCACTACATGCCTGCTTGCAAATGATTTAGTTGAAATGTACAATTTCTTCTTTAAAGTATTTAATACTTCCCAGAGACAAATCAATTTTAATTTAGTGATGAGCTGAAAGGGCTGGAAAATAAACTACAAATAAGCTGAAATCATCAGAATTAAGAAAAAATGAAACAACCTTGTGCTCAGAGTAACTCAAAAAAGTTGTTGTCTAAAAAAAGCATTTTTGTTTTAGTGTGCCCCTTATTATTGTGGTATTCTTCATCTTTTATTCATCATTTCTGTTCATAAATCAAGCCGCCTTTGGTTCTATGTTTAAACTGCATCTAAAATATATACAACAATTTGTATGTATTCCATCATGATTGCAGAATCTACAGCACATTTTTCATGTTTTGTTCCGCGATCATCATTACATGTGAATAAAAGACAAATGTAGCCAAATATTTTTGATATTTCTCTCAATGAAGAATGCCTAATGTAAATCTAACAAAATACAGCCCATTTTTTAAATGACATTTTTTTAATGATGACACTCAAAGAAGCGCATTCAAACTCTGAGAAAAGTGATTATTTTGTAATGTGCACCTTTTTTTTTCTGCTTTATGTTTCACATCCAAAGTTGCCTTACATTAGAATAGTTTGGCATTTTCAAGAAGTAAATAAAGTAGATCTCAAGTTTAGTTCTCGAATATTTTCAGAAATCCTACAATTTTCATTTGAACAATAATGCTATGAATACCAGGCTATGAGAAGTTTATGTGGCCACACTAGACTGCCAGATCAATACACAGATTTGGAAGTAGTGGTGTTTCTTGAACTGTGTTCTGCTGATTGCATATGTCAGAATCACTGTTACAATGCATATTCCTCGGTTTTCTCTGAGACTTTTTGAGCTAAATTTTTTTTAGGTATGGTACCCAGAAATCTACAAACAACATTTTCCCCAGGATACTTGTGCAAAAACCACTGCTTAATACTGGGTTGGCTTAATATTGTGTTTGGCAATTTTCATGGTTATGGAGGGAGCAGGCAATGATGGATAACTGAAAACAGGTTGAAAACTGTTGAAAAATGACGTCTTCTTTTGAAACCTAGACCACCGTATATTTGGCCACCTACATTTAGGTCGAAGAAATATAGTGTCCTGCTCTACAGTAAGCAGAATTCTAAGATGACTGCCCAAGAAGCCCACTAGCAGGTATCTACATCCTGCATTATCTCTAAGACTGTGAGTATAATGGACCTTACCCCCGTGATTAGGTTATACATATGGGACAGCTGATCTTAAGAAAAATTATCCTGGGTGAGCCTACATAACCACATGAACCCTTAAAGGGGACCGCAGTCTCCCTAAAGTCAGAGATCAAAACATCAGAGAGATTTGACAAGATTCTCCATTGCTGGATTTGAAGATGAAAGGGACCATGTGGTGAGGTACACAGGCAGCCTTAATGAGTGAAGAGCAGCCCTCAGCTGATAGGAAGCAAAGAAACAGGGACAGCAGTCATATGTCCATAAGGAACTAAATTCAGCCATACACCTCAATGAAATGTGGAAGCAAATGTTTTCCCAGAGACCCCAACTGAGAGTGCAGGTGGCCAATAACTTGATTTAAGCCTCAGAAGACTGTAAGCAGAGAACCCAGTCTCATTCCATGCCTGGACTTCTGACCTGAAATCTGTAAGGTAATAAATGTGGCTATTTTTTTAACCTGTCAAGTTTATGGTGATTTGTTATGCAGAAACAGCAAACTAATCTGTACCCAGATTACGCAAAAGCAACTCTGCCTATAGTAATTAGAGTTATACCAACAGAGCTGCTCTTATGTATACTTTGATTTCCCTGAGTCGTGTATATAAATGACATTGGAAACTCTCGGTGTTATGAACCAGCAGATTTTACATATCAGAGTTAAGTTCATAGAGTCACCAAGATCTGTTGTGACCAGGTTGAACAATTCATTAGGAAATCATTAGTAGGAAGAGCAGAGCCCCAAAATAGTCCAAAATTTCTCAGTCTGAAGTGTTTTTAAAGAACTTTATCCAAGATCATATGTTACAATCAACATTATAAGGTAGATTAATATTTTAATTGCTATTACCAAAGAGGTATAAGAATTTAATTGGAGAAGATGGTCCAAGATTGTGCACTAAAGCTGCCAGCTTATGGTAATAAGACCTCATTCTCAGAACAATTATTTTCCTCAACAAAGAGAATCTCATGATTCCATCTATTTAGCCAAAATAAATCAAGTTTTTATTTTTATGTGTCCATGAGCAACATTCACTTTCCATTACTTCTTGTGGTCACACAAGCATTTCATTGAATATTTCTATAAATAGTTTCCACATGCTCATGCCTCCTTTAATGACTTTGCAATTCTAATAAAGTGATTAGAACTCCTCATCCCTGCTGTGACCTCTGCTAAACGATGTGAAAATACCCCTCCTGCTGGGGTTATCCCGCCAGCAAAATCCAAATGACCCACCAAAAAGTACATCTGTTGTAATTTGACTTTCTTTGCCCTTGTTACTTTTTCCTGCCATTCTATAAGATCTTTAATTTTTCCCTTGGGGCTCTAAATTTCTTTTTAATTTTTTATTCGTGGAGAAGCTCTTGTACAGATAAAATCAGGCTGACTGGTCTAGTTTTCCTCTAACTATTGGAGCTGTAATGTGTCACTCTCTGAAACTTCACAGCTTCCTAATTAATATTCTGCTCAAACACGACAGGGTTATATGATTTCGTCTTAGACATTCATTAAGTGTTCCATTATGGGTCCCAAATATGCTAATTAACAAGTGTACAATTGTGATCTCACTGAGAGAAAATGTTGCAAGGAGTCTCTGAAACAGTCAATAAGATTTTGGCAAGTAGTTTTGTCAAACCCAGGAGGTAATTTATAGTGGAAGAACATTGAAATACAAATTGCTAAATGTTTTGTAAGTCTTCGAGAAATGTTAAAAACCAAGCTGGGTTTGGAGGCAGGCTCTTTTTGAACTCTCTGACTTATGGGCTCCACACGGGTAAGAAAGGAAATTTAGTGCCTTGCTGATTTTGCCTTTAGCCTTGGCCACTGGTAGAAGCACCTGATCCTACTTTGGGAAGTCAGTCATTTCCCAGTCGGCATATGGAACATAATACTGAAACTACCTCCTGACTCCAGGATATACTGGTGGCCCACTCCTAGCTAACAGAGGCCACATAGCACTGACCATGTGGGGACACATCACCATTTAGGGCCAGCAATAGTCCAAGGACTTTCATAAAACCATTGGGAAAGAAAAACTCTCTTTTTCCTCTGGGATTTCCCCAAGGATTGAAAAACACTTTAAGATGCTATTGACCCAATTTGCTCTAGGGAGTCCTTGCTCAAGAATTATAATAACCTAAGGGAAAGCAGTACTGAGAAGAAAGAGAGTGAGTGAGTGACCATTTCTTTATTCCATCCTTTGAGGCCCTACACCTAATCATTCATGAAGCTATACCACTCCCAGCCTTTTCAATTACTTGAGCCAATCAATTTCCTTTAATAGTTAAGTTCCTTTGGGCTGGATTTTCAAACTTGCAACTGAAAGGATCTCACTTTATAAAAAGTCTCTCTCACAAAAATTAATTCAAGACACTACTCTTTGAATTTAGTAAAAGTAACATTATAAACTAATTTACTAACTTAATAATTTTTGAATGGAATACAATCAAACTCCCAAAATATTCCTTTGGTGGTCATATTAAAGTTAAACCATTTACACAATTTAATTTTTTTTTTTTTTTAGTATTTAAAGATATTTAATGATACAGTCTCATTCATTCTTACAATGTCATTTTGAGCTAGCCAGGGGACAGGTATGCTTATCTAATAATATAATAGATTTCTCTTGAACTTCATGAAACATTTCAGTGAAGGTTAAATAACAAAGCCCCAGGTCAGCTGTGTAAGCACCTAGAGAACACAGTAATTATTTCCCTAATGGTGTAGGTAGTATATCACTGTGGACATCAGAATAAAGATTACAGCATAAATTTGTCACCTTTGAGCAACCATGTGGCCAATGAGAACTTTTGATAAATATAAAATGTACGTGATGCATGTTATATATACTATGTAGATATTTAATGAACACAGTTTAATAAAAGTCCTTCTACTTGTATTTTATTATATGTATATTACACAAAGGCATATAATTTATTAATACAGTTATTAAGTGGTTTCTGTGTATATATAATTATAAAATGAATATATAAAGTATATATGAAAATATTAATATAAAGTTAAAATATGCTAACAGTAAATTTAAGTATTCCCATTATATTTTTTTCTCATTATATAAAAAGTTTTTTTTTCCCCGCTGTCAATTAAATAGCAGCTTTTCAGACTCCTTAGTAAAGTAGGACTGGGGTAGATTTTCCCATATTGTTAAATATTTTTCTCATTAAGAACAAAATTATATCTTAATATTTTAATAAAATTTTTTTCTAAAATGTATTATACACCCTTACCAATTTAACTTGCTCTTGATGACTCATTGGCCTTCTAATAAGCATCCAAGTTATAAAATTTTAAATGCTTCTTCTACTGAAGTATGTAGAGCTGTTTAAACATGAAATGCTATACTTTCTGAGTTTATGTGTCCCCTTTTGATAGTTTCCTATTTTTTATTCCTTGGAGTTTGTGCAGCTTTGATAAACTCCTTTTTACTTGAGTGACTTTGAGTTTCTATTCCTCACTAAATATTGTAGGGGTGTTTACAGGATACATTTTAATATGTAGCCTTAAAAAACAACTACACGACCCAGAAATTTCATTCCTAGATATAATCCCAACTGAAATAAGTATAAATATGCCTACTGTAAGATATGTCCAAAAATATTCAGTGAAGAACCATTCATGATAGCTCAAAATGGGAGATAACCTCAATGCCTATAGTAAAATTGGCAAATAAATTGTGGTATATTCATACAATGGAATAGTACACAGTCATGAGAACGAATTAACGGCACAAAATAATAAGGATAAAACGTCCCAACAACATGTTGAGTCAACAAAATTGGACACAAAAGAGTTTGATGGGTGGAGGTTTGCAGTGACTGGAACAAGAAGAGAAACTCTGAGGTACTGGATACCAGTCATATGGTGTTCCTCAATCTTGGTCTTGGCTACAAAAGTGTGTACATGTTTTGAAAAGTCATTGAACTGTGCTATATTTTCTGCATATATTTTATACTTTAGTAAAAGTTTGCTAAAAAAGAAGATAAAAATTAATATAATGTATGCCTTTATTGTACACCACTTTCAAAGCACATGCATTATCTTTCAAAAAGCATGTTATCTCATTTTAGTCATCCATTTATTTACTTGTTTCTTTTTTTCTTTTTGGTCATGATCTAGCCATCAGGCAAGGGACTAGGAATATTGAGCACATATTAAGTTAGACATAATCCTACTTGCATTGAGTTTATAGCCACTTCTATTTCATGCCCATAGCATTTCTGCAAGGTAAGTAGAGAATGTTTGAAGGTATGGTCTTTTGTGTCATATTTGTTTGTTTGTTTAAATGGAAGACAACTAAGCATGTTTATACACTTCAGAGAAAAATCCATTTGAGAGGCAGCAGATGTACTATGTGAGAGTGAAGAAAAGATTTAAAAGTGAAACCTCTGAGGAGGACAGAGAAAAGAACCCAAAGCGCAGGATAAAGGAAGAAACACTCCAAACTGGAAATTATCAGAGGCCATATGCTGTTCATTAGCAGGTCATGGACTAAAGTCCAACAGCTTGACATCCCACCTACATCAAATCAAATTTTTCTGCATTTTTGCCATTTCTAGAATGCCAACGAATCATTCACACACCCTTTAAATAACAACTTTTGGTGCCAGATGCATAGTTCACTATTATCTGTTGGTGATTCATTATATGACTCTCAAATGAAGAGGCATTCAGGCCAACTTGCATGTTCTAAAACTATGATAGAAGTTTTTGCTTTTTCTGACAGCTTGGAGAACTGCAGCGGAAGAGATGGACAAATTAGTAGTGTAGAGGATCAGAAAAGAGAATAATGGCACTAGTTTAAAAAATGGAAGGAAATGGCTGGGTGCAGTGGCTCACGCCTGTAGTCCCAGCATTTTGGGAGGCCAAGGCAGGTGGATTACCTGAGGTCAGGAGTTCGAGACCAGCCTGGTCAATATGGCGAAACCCCATCTCTACTCAAAGTACAAAAATTATCTAGGCATGGTGGCGCACACCTATAATCCCAGCTACTCAGGTGGCTAAGGCAGGATAATAGCTTGAACCCCAGAGGCAAAGGTGGCAGTGAATTGAGGTCATGCTACTGCACTCCAACCTTAGCGACAGAGTGAGACTCTGTCTCAAAAAAAAAAAAAAAAACAAATGGAGGAAATTTCTCTTCAGAACCCATTGGTTTGGATAGTGAATTTCTGAATATGTTGGAATTTGTGATCAAAATCCTTCCTAAGATGGAGACACCTCTTGGGCCCTGGGATGAGTTTCTTTCATTTGCTAGTCCAGTCGTGAAGAAGCACAAGCCAAGATAGAATTAAACATCTAAAATATTTCTAAGGAGGAGTGCCTAGGAGGAAGCTAAGGGAGATTGGAAGAATCAAGAAACTTTAACGCAAGTCTGACTCTTGTAAAAGAGATAAGAAAAGAGTGAAAGTAGTGTGGACAAGTCTTGGACTAGTGCACAATTCTAAAAAAGTTTAGTAATGTTGATGGGGAGTCCTCAAACTAAAGTTGTCCATCATATTAGTCCAACATCCCCCAGTAATGAGCCTGCCTTAGTGTTCCTGATGCACTCAGTCATCTTCTGGGAACAGCTCCAGGAAATTTTGCATTGTCAGGAATGCAGTGTGGAATTCCAGAGTGCAGCAGCTGGGGTAATATTTGAATTATCTTCTCCCCAGTTGGAGATCAGAGAGAGGCATTATCATGGCCACCACACCTCACATACCATGAAATTGCCATTTTACAGTTAAATGGAGCATTACTCATCTTGATGATAATAGAGACTGGGGATTTTTTAATACTGTATATCTTCATCTGGACTGCAGATACGATGCCAGATAGACAGATACATAGATAGATAGATATCAATTTTTACTTTATAGATGTACAAGTACCTATCTCAGCAGAAGAGGTGGTTACTGTCAAAAGTTGTTTCTCCCATTATTCATTCAGAAATATTTGTTGATCATCTATTGTATGCGTGGTACTACTATAGGCTCTAGGAATAGAGCAGATAAATAGCCATCTATCATAGAGTTTAAGTGCTATGTAGTGATAGGACTATAAAGAAAAATAAATCTGGATACGAAAAGCAAGAATGATAGTGGCAGAAAGATGTTATTTTAGAGAGAGTGGTCACGACAGTTGTCTCTGATAGGTGATGTTGGGTAGTGATATGAGCAAGTAATACACTTCCAGGCAAAAAGAACAGTAAATGCAAAGGTTATGAGGAGGGGTAGTGCTTGTCTTGCTTCAGGAATAACAAGAAAGCCAGTTGAGAGGGAAAGAGGAAGAGCAAGAACGCTACTTTAGAGTAAGCAAGATGGAGAGTAGAAGGAAATGAGGTCAGTAAGTTAGAGGACCTGATCATAGGACTTGGTTGCCATGGAAGAAGCTGTATATTTCTTCTTCCTCTTTTTTTTTTTTTTCTAAGAGTTTCGCTTTGTTGCCCAATGTGGAGTGCAATGATGGGATCTCGGCTCACTGCAACCTCTGCTTCCTGAGTTCCAGTGATTTTCATGCCTCAGCCTCTTGAGTAGGTGAAACTACAGGCACATGCCACCACCTGGCTAATTTTTGTATTTTTAGTAGAGATAGTTTTTTGCCATATTGGTCAGGCTGGTCTTGAACTACTGGGCTCAAGTGATCCACCCACCTCAGCTTCCCAAAGTACTGTGATTACAGGCGTGAGCCACTACACCCGGTCAAAGTTGTAGATTTCATTCTGAATAACATGGGAAGTCCCTGAAGAGCTTGGGGATAGGGAAGTGATAGGAGCCGACACATG
Source organism: Homo sapiens (assembly GCF_000001405.40). NCBI lineage: Eukaryota > Metazoa > Chordata > Mammalia > Primates > Hominidae > Homo > Homo sapiens. The sequence continues at coordinate 174,331,688 of NC_000003.12, forward strand.
TTACTAAAGAAATAACACTGGTACCTGTGTGAAAAGCCACTGCTTTTTGAAATTTTGAAATCATGTTTTTTCAGCTTTTCAATATCTATCTCCCTATGTCAATTATTGTCTCAATCCTATATGTGCTGCCTTTCTCATGGGCTTCTTCTCAACAGGTCACACATTCAAATGGGGTAACTGAAGAATATTTAATGAAGGAATTGTATGTAAGAACATGAGCAGAGTAAAGGAAAACCAACAAAAGAAAGAAATACTCCCTGGTCCCCACCCATAGGCATGAAAGAATAAATAAATGGGACTATGCAAACTCACAAGCTTCTGCATAGCAAAGGAAGCAATTAACAGAGTGAAAAGACAACCTACAGAACAGGAGAAAATATTTGCAAGCTAGTCATCTGACAGGGGATTAATATCCAGAATATACAAAGAACTCAAACATCTCTACAGCAAAAAACAAACAAACAAACAAACAAAAAAGTAAAACACCCAAACAATCCAATTTAAAAATGGCCAAATGATCTGAACTGATATTTCTCAAAAGAAGACATACATCAGGCCAAAAAATGCATTTAAAAATGTTCAGTATCACTCATCATCAGGGAACTGCAAATCAACACAACAATGTGGTATCATCTTACCCCATTTAGGATGGCAATTATCAAAAATAAAATAAAATAACCACAGGGGCTTGTGCCTTAGTCCCAGCTACTCAGGAGGCTGAAGCTGGAGGATTGCTGGAGCTCAGGGGCTCAAGGCTGCAGTGAGCCATGATCATGCTACTGCAGTCCAGCCTGGGTGACAGAGCAAGATTCTGTCTCTAAAAATACAAATAAAAAAGACAGAAAATAACAAAGGCTGATGACGAGGATGTGGAGAAAATGAAACTCTTGTACACTATTGGTGGAATATAAGTTGTTACAGCCACTATGGAGAACAGTGTGAAGGTTCCTCAAAAACTACAAATAGAACTACCATATGACCCAGCAATGCAACTACTGGACATCTATTCAAAGGAAAGAAAATCGGTATATTAAAGAGAAATCTGCACCCCTATGTTTATTGCAGCACTACTCACAGTAGCCAAGATATGAAATCAACATAGATGTCCAACAACAGATGAATTAAGAAAGAATATTTGGTATATACAAACAATAGAATACTATTCAGCCATAAACAAAAAAAATCTTGTCATTTGCGGCAACATGGATGGAACTGGAGATCACTACCTTAAGGGAAATAAGCCAGGAACCAAAAATTAAATACTTCATATTCTCACTCACATGTGGAAGAAAAAAAAAAAAAAACAAAACTAAAAAACAATACCCACCGGTCTCATAGAAATGAAAAGTAGAGCAAAGAACACTAGAGGGATACAGAGAGATTTATAAAAAGATACAAAATTATAGCTAGATAAAAGGAATAACTTCTAGTGTTCTACGCAACTTTAGGATGCATATAGTTAACAATAATATAGTTTTGAATATTTAGAAGGAGGATATTGAATGTTCCTAACACAAAGAAGTGATAAATATTTAAAATGATGGATATGCTATTTACCCTAATCTGATTACTACACATTGCATGTATTGAAACATCACTATGTATCCTCAAAATATGTACAATTATTAGGCATCAATTAAAAATAAAGTATAAAAATTAAAAAAATAAATCTCTCTACTCAATTCCCTGAATCTCTCAAATCAATCCTTCTTACCATCCCTATAAATATTGCTTTGATTTATGTCATTTTCTAATAGCAGCCTTTATATATTAAATACTACATTAATCTCTTTTAAGTAATTATGTTATCTCACTTAATCCTCATAAAAGGTATGTGACAGGGTCTTCATTTAGATTTTAAAATAGAGAATGTGAAAGGTCTTATGTCAAAAGAAGTGAGGTAATGGGGCAGAAAAGCCAATGCCAATATCCTGGTTGATCCTACAGGCAACAGACGCTGGTATATTGGAGAAATCAACAGAATGCATCCAAGAAGTGCCCATCTGAAATATAAGAGTTTGAGATGTTTATTTATAGCTGCCGTCCCCATTGTTAGACAGTTGGCCCTGGACCATATTTTCATTTGTTGAGAGGCACCCATGGCCCAGGGACAGAAGGAGAAAAGATACACAGCACACACTTGAATTGGAACAATGCCTGAGAAAGGTGAGTCTAAGCTTACTTGGAATTATTCACCACAGCTGCAACTAAATCCAATGTAAACCAAGAAGAGATGACACAGAGCACCAAAGACATCTGCTACTGTTAAAAAAAAGTAAAGCTTTGAGAGGTAACACAGGTTGCAAAGTAACCAAGCTAGAATTTAAATCTAGGTCTGTCTGACTCCAAAGCCTATACTTTTAATTACTATGTGCAAGAAGTTTCAGCCAAGTATAAAATTAGAGGACACAGTTCCCAAGACTGCCCCGAATTTTGACACCAACTATAAGTTGAGGAGGGGACTGGGATGGGTAGCATTCACAAAACCCTGTTCAGTTTCAATATTTCTCTGAAAAGACTCATAAAACTCTCCGAAACCTGTTATACTCATGGTTATGATTCATTACAGGAAAAGGATATAGATTAAAATCAGCTAAAGGAAGAGAGGCATAGGGCAGAGTCAAGGTAAGTTCCAAATGTGACCTGTCATTGTCCTCTTCCGATGGAGTCAGGATGCATTGCTCTCCTGGCATCAGTGTATGACAAAATGCATGAAGCACTGCCAACCAGGGAAACTCACCCAAGTCTTAGCATGCAGAATTCTTACTAGAGCACCATCACTAAGGCATTTTTGATTGATTGATTGATTGATTGATTGCCCATTTGGTTAATCTTAGCCTCCAGGTTGACTGATATCACATAACCCAAAACTCCTACCCAAAATGATAGGGTTGGTCTTTCTTACAAAGCCAATCACTACCCTAAGACTATTGGGCGTGTCTGGCCCCACCCTAAGATCTGGTGAGCTAGTCCCCACCCTGAAAAATGGGCGTTAGAGAGTTGGCCCTGGGCCATTTTTGCATGATAATCCTGAACAAAGATAATCCTACCAGGTTTGACATGTATTACCTCCCAGAAGCTGAAGACAAGATCTCTCTGTGGGCAAGACCAAATTCTTTGCTATACACTACTAAATATAACATGAAGCATGGCATTATATAATATAGATCTGATTGTGTCTCTCCCCTCCTTGAATATCTTCAATGCTTCCCATCACATTTATGGTGAGATCCCTTCTTTTGGTATGGCATCCTTGGCAGCTCAGGATAGTCTCCTGTCTATATTTCCAATCCCATACTTTGCAATCCTGTTTGTATCCTACAGTCCTGCCAAGCCACTGGCACTTCCACAATTACCCTTCCCTGCTGTCATCAGGGAAATAAAAATATGTGACAACACTTTCTCTACCAAAAAAATAGTTATTCTTTTTTCCTTTTAGTAGGCAAATAGATTAAGACAAGGTCCTGGGACCTATGGGTGTATGTGTGGATGAGTTGTTCCTTGATGAAACTGTCATTTGAAGAGGAAAGTAAATGTGATAGAATAGGAGAGAAGGAGGGATATACTGCAATTAGCCAGGTGAGTAGCAGAAGTAAGATTAAGGCTCATCATCTCTTCCTTCATTTGGAGCAGAGGTGGAATGCTCAAAACTCCATCAAAACCCATGCATGGCCCTTTCTTGCCTCAGGACTTCTACACATGCAGTAAGTTCTTCCAAGAGAGTAAATGTGCGTGTACACACACACATACACACACACACACACACAGCCATGTTTCAAGACCCAACACAGAATGTCTTTCTTGACAATTATTGTTCCCCTCCCTCCTTTCCCTGTTTATTGCACAATACTCCCAAACAGTTATTGAGGTGCATTATTACTGTTTATTTGTGTATTCTTCCCATGGTTATAAGCTCTATGAGAAAAATAAATCATACTTATACCTTTGTATCTTTATCATCTACTACAGGGCCCAACAACATTGAGATAAAAATCTATAGACTAGATGGGCAAATGAAGGAAGAAAGGGAGAGAGACAGGAAAGAACAAAAAAAATGGGAGGGAGAGATGGAGGGAGGGACGTTCAAGTTCACTTGGTTTTAGATATGCTGAGGAGGAGTTAATGCCAAGTTTAATAAAATACTACACCTAAAACCCCCAATTCTCATCCCCCAAGCAGCAACTCTGTTTCTGATGGCAGAGTTTAGTTAGCTCAAGGATAACACACAGCATAAGCTGAATGACATTAAACTGCTCATGGGTTCATGCCCACACCAATTCCCTCTGCAGGGAGATAACATTTCTGTAGTCTTCTACAGTACTTTTAGAATCTCTCTAGGCTATGGCAGCAACAGATTTAGTAGACAAGTGGGAACTAGAAGCACATCACATGAACTGAACTGGAAAATGTCCTGGCCAATTAACAGCCAATGTCTCTGGCAATTAACAAACAGCCTGGGAACAAAGACTATCTCTGTTGTTATGCTCAGTCTTGGAATGTTTATTGTCTCTTCATGTCTTGGTTTTATAGTTTCAACATTTGAAAGATGTATATTCCACTTTTTCAGTAGTTTGTAAGCTCCCTTGAGGATCCAAACTCATTGAATATGCTTTTTTATTCACACAACACCTAGCATAGTATTTGACTCAAAGTAATAATGCTGTAAATATTTTAAAATAAATTTAAAAACTTTATTCCAAGCCTGACGCTACAGATTAAGTCTCCAGCTACCAGGGTTCCACAGCATGACATGGGTGTACAAATTAAATAGTGTAGTTAGGCAATTCTATATACTTTTTAGTTGCATTTATCAAAATAAAAACTGTTAATGTTAGGTTTGTATTAGGAAAGGGTGTTGGGAAATAATTTCATTCAATTCTCTCCTTTTCAGATAGGAAACCTGTTATATTGTCTTGTGTAACATGCTAGTTAGAAATATGACAAGACTATAATCAGAAGCCAGCTCTATAGACTCTTAGTCTAGTGCTCCCTTTATTAATAGCAAGTCTTCTCTCATTACTTCTTTCTAGTAACAAAGACAACAGAGTGTTTTTATTATAATATTTATAAAACATAAAGTACTTTGGTATATTTTGGTAGCATTCTCACTAACACACATCGAGCAGCCTAAATGTGTGTTAACTGAGATTCAAGAGCCATTTTTGATGGTTTGTCTTCAATCAACCCCTCCATTCTATCCTCTTGAAAGAAGAGAGACCATCAGCCACGGTCACTCTTTACTTCTGATTCCCTGTCTGCACACTTGCCCACATCCATGGGCAGCAGGATTGTTTCCTCTTTGTTAGCCTTAGAGAAGGAGGTGTTTCCCCCTTTTCAAGGCCAAGCCTTCGTCATGGCACATTTTTCAATTCTCATCAATATTCTGGAGATTTGCTCCATAGTCTACTCTCTTTCTCTCCTGAATCTTAGACCTCTTTCTAGCTACTATCGTCATAAGCAGATTCAAGTGTCTTCCATCTAAAGCCTCCCAACCCAATGTATTTGAATAAGTGCTTCCAAATTCTATTCTCCCTTTCTTGTTCAAATATCTTGAAAGAATATGCTCAGTCTCAATTTGTTAGATTCAATCATTTCTTGTCTCATTGCAATCTGCCCTCTAAGCAAGGTTTCAAATTGCTTCCTAATTATGAAATGCAAGAGAAATTTCCACTCTAATGTTTCTCTCTCACTTCCTTTTCAAAACAACTCCTATTCTTTCAGTTTCCATGACTCTGCACTCATTTGATCTTGTGAAATATTTCTGCTTATATTTTCTGTTTTCTGTGCGGGTTCCTCTTCTGCTTACTCTATAAAATGTCAGTTACCGAAGGAAGTATAATCGTGGTTTCAAGTACCAATATATACCGATGGCCAAAAAATCTGTTTTTGCAGCTCAAATAGCTCTGGCATTCAGATACATATGTTTATGTTCCTTTTCATGGGTTCCATCTCCATAGCTGATAAGTGCCATAAATTCAATATCAAAACTCAATTCCACATCTTTGACCTGATTCTCCAACTACACATAGAACCACCAAAATACTATATGTTGGATTGAAAGAATTCTATCAGCTAAAATTCGAGGTCATATTGTTACAAGGTGAATTTAAAAGTCATGTTATAAAATTGCAATAGGCACAAAAATAAAGATAGTGAAAAATATAGTGAACCATACCCTGACTGTGAAAGCCTCAAATAATCACAAGGCACTCACTTCCCGACTACTCCCTGCTCCGTGTTCTTCCTCCCATTTGGTTCCTCCCTCAGTCTTTCTCTGATTAACATTTGGGTCTCAGAGGAAGATTGGAAGCAATCACAAATACCATTATTTCCAAATTTGTGCCAGGGAGCAATTTTACTGAGTTTTCTATCTTACCTAATAGAACTGTCATGAACATGATCACTTAGACTAAAAATTTAGGATTGATTCTTAAACCCTCCTTCCATTACCCTCTATATCCAACTAATCACCAGGTCTTGAAAATTGTGATTCTTAAAAATTCCTTGAACTTACACAGTGTCTCCATGTTACTTAATCCAGACTTTAATTTCTTTCTGGGCTACCCAAACAACTTTTTGTCAGGTCACTGTACTTCCAGGCTTGTCCCATTCCAACTTTAGAAATGAGATTGCAGAGGAATTTTAAGGTGCTGCGCCACATCCCACAATGTCCCTTGTGATTTCAAAATATGCCAGTATTGTTCATGTCTCTGCTATTTGTTACTGCAGCTTCCTCTGCTTAGAGTCCTCTACTAACTCATGGTCTGCCTGGCAGTCACCCATTAATCTGTTTGGCTTCAGCTCTAATTTCATCTATGAAGATATCTCTGTCCTGTCCCTTCTGTTTTTTCCCCAACAAATTTAATTGACCATGCCCTGTTTTTTTAAATTATACTTTATATGTATGCATGTGTCTTTTATTTATTTACTTATTTATTTTTATTTATTTATTTTTTTTTGTAGAGACAGGGTCTCACTATCTTGTCTAGGCTGGTCTCAAATTCCCAATCTTGAGCAATCTTCTTGCTTTGGCCTCCCAAAATGCTGGGATTACAGGCATGAGCCACTGTGACCAGAAGCATACTTTTTAAAGTACCTGTAACATTTTATTATACCTAATCACTTATTTCTTTTTCCAAATAAACAGTAAATTTATTGAGGAATGGGGCTAGATGTGATTGAGCACTGAGCCTAAATGGTGGATATAAGGTGTTTATAATTATTTTTTAAACTAAGGTATCTTTTTTTTTAAAAAAAAAAGGAAAAATAAAAGAGGTTACACAGAGCTAAAAGATCATCTGAAAGGCAGCAGTCAAATTTAAAAAAATTAGATAGGAGAAGGGAAGCTATGGTAGACAATCTTAGGTAAGGTAAAGAGACTATGTTTGCTATCTGTCACTTTCCAAATTATGACTCCCTTTTCGAAGTCAATCTTTTGTCTTGTTTCCTATTCTTTTTTTCCATCTAATAAGTGAGAGAAAACCTTCACTGGCTGCAATCACATACGAGCACTCATCACTCTAACTCAACATACAGATCAGAAACTAGTACAATCATGAAGTAAAACAGAGAATTTCCCCAAAATATAAGTTTATAAAACTCCCTAAAATTACTTAAAATGAGTATTATTATTAGATACAAATGTTCTTACCCATTCTTTTATTCTCCTTTTTTTTTGAGATGGAGTCTCTCTCTGTTGGCCAGGCTGGAGTTTGAGATGGAGTCTCTCTCTGTCAGCTATGCTGGAGTTTGAGATGGAGTCTCTCTCTGTCGGCCAGGCTGGAGTGCAGTGGCAAGATCTCAGCTCATTGCAACCTCTCCCTCCTGGGCTCAAGCAATTCTCGTGCCTCAGCCTCCAGAGCAGCTGGGACTAACAGGTGCTCACCACCACACCCAGTTAATTTTTGTGTTTTTAGTAGAGACAGGTTTTCACCATGTTAGCCAGGCTGATCTCAAACTCCTGACCTCAAGTGATTCACCTGCCTTGGCCTCCCAAAGTGCTGAGATTACAGGTGTGAGCCACTATGCCTGGCCCCTTTTATTCTCTTTCAATAATTTTCATTCCAGACCTCTCAGAGACATAACAGATTTCTGACGTTACCTTTTCATCATAATTTAAATCACGGATTTTCATAAATGAGAACTATCCAAGCTTGTTATTTCTCTCATTCGCTACAAGTACTTATATGAAGAACTAGAAAGTCTTTATAGGAGTAGGTATTCCAATGGAAATAATGTAACCAGTGGCAACTTGAGAACTTCTGTATAGAAAAGACATGGGAGTTAATACTTTGGCTGAAATCAGGATCTAAGAGACTTGTCTAGGAGATGTGTTCACCGTGTATGCTCACCATTTTATTGGAGTGTATTTTTGTTTTATGAAAACTTGAGAGGGGTGTGGCTGATAGAGTGTGACAGAGATAAATCATCTTAAGTCATCTATGTGTGCTAAAACCGAACACCACATATAACTGGGTTCTTGAGATCTGGGGTTTTGTTTTTCATTTTACAAACGCACCAAAAATATTAAAGCCAAGATATGGGGATTAAAATTTCTGAAAATTGACCTGAGTGATCATAGTTATATCTATTTCTGAACAGGCAAAGCAAAAAATAAATAAAAATGACAATGGTGGAAATCAAGTGTAAAAATGTTCTTCATATTATATATAAAGGCACAGAGAAATTAGTACGAGAGCCCTGCTTTCATCTCCATTTATGTTAAATCTTTCTGTATAATGATGGAGCAAATCTCTCACTTCATATCACTTTAGTTGAATAATCGACATTGGTGCATGTATTGCCTGATGAAACATTAAATTGTGGGATTCAATTGTTCCAAATTTCATCTAAGGAACAATAGAATGGTGGAATCTCTTACTTAGCTTTCGTAAACAGAATTTGAAGTATGTGCCATCAGACAACCACACATTTTCTCTAAACAATAGTTTTTATCCCCTAAACTCTTTTTAGTTGTAGGTTGGCATAATGTGACAGTAAGTGTCTCCAAGTACTAGTTGAACCAAATTACACTCTTGAGCATGTGCGTGCTCTGCCTGTTGATGGCAATGTCCCTGTTTCCAATGTCCTTCCTCATCAACTGCCTTGCTAAAGTGTGCAGTGAGTAATGACTACAGGGTGATATTTAATGAAAAGGCTACCCATGACTCTGAGCCAAATGTGACCCCTACTATTCCTTTACTATTAAAGACTAATTATCTACTCCCCATGCAATTATAATCGCGGGTGGCAGAGATCTTGAGTTGCTGAAATATGCCAGTAAACTATTCAACTTTTTAAATTTCTTAATATCCAAAGTGCTAATATTGATATAGAAATGTATGAGAAGTAAAAAGTCTGGCACTTGGGAAAATTAAATATAAATAACCTTGCTTTCACTAATTTGGGTGAGAGTTGCAACATCTTTTTTAACTAGCTTTTATATAGGAGATGAAATAAAGATGCCAAAGATTAATGCTGTCAATTTCAATGGCCAGCATGTACCCAAAAGGCAAACATATAAATCTAAAGCAAATAGAAGTGCATTACTTAATTTCTGCTTATCATTCATTATACAATTGCCAGGAAGTTAACCATTACATTTTGCAAATCCATCACTTCTTAAATTCATCTTGGAAAAGCTCCTTCTTCTATTACTGTATTGGGCTTTTATGGATATTTGATGGCTCTTGTAATCAGCACTGTAGGAGTCACAAGATGAATGTGTACTAAGTTCTGAGAGAAAGAAGATGAGTATATTCCACAGAATTCACTAATTGTTTTCAGGGCCTCAGAACTAAGGACATGAGCTCTGGGCATGTGATTATTTGCTTTCAATGACCATAATGCTAATGAGAAAAAAATAAGTTTGGGGTTTCTAGTCACTTGTTTATCAATATACACAAAGTAGTAAACCAATTATAATTTTTCATAAAGCCCAAAGCAAAATGTCCTTAGCATTGAAAGAAGTGATTTTGCATCATTTAAAAAGTAAGTCTGTTTTGTTATAAATAAATTTTCTGGCTTATATAAGCTTTTTATATTCTCTTATATTTATTATTCAATACTTTATTCAGTTCAATCATTCAATTAACAGACTTTTTTTTGATACTGAGCTAAATAACACAGCTAACAGAATATAGAAACATTTCTCACAGTTAAGACATTTGTATTCTAATAGACCAGACAAGCATAAATGAATATAGATACACAAAAAAATCATACTTGTAATAATAGAATAGAGTACAGAAATAATAGAAGTATAATGAAGCAAATGGTCAATTTGGGAAAGGGTAAGAGGTAAGGTGAAATATGAACATGGTCCAAAGCCTTCATAAGAGAGACGACTGTAGACAGGAGTCTCAAAATATGATAATAGGTATTTGCTCTGTGCACATGGTGGTTTGAAAATATGTTCATACATTCTTTGACATTCCACCCATAGAAAAGTGGAATCTAATTCCCCCTTCTTGAACATAAATCGACCTTAGCAACTCCTTTCTAATAAATAAAATGCAGCAGAAGTGACATTGCAAGCCTTTTTAGACTAGCCGTGGAAGATGATATGGCTTCCACCTGACTCTTGTTCTATTAAGACAAGCATTTTAAACCTCTGAGCCATCGTGTAAGTAGTCTGACTCTGCTGAAGCTATCATGCTGGAGAGAACATATCAAAAGACCACAGAGAGAGGAATATCCAAAGAGCCCAGCTGTTCTAGATTTCAGCTGTCTGAGTCTTTCAAGTCCAGGTACAAGACATGTGAGTTAGCAAGTCCCAGACAATTACAGTTTTAGCCACCAACTGACTGCATTCCCATGAGTGACTCCACTGAGTAAGGACCACCTAGCTAAGCTCTGTCAACTCCCAGGACCACCAGTAAGTGTTAGTATGATGTATTACCCAGCAGTAGATAACTAGAACAATAGATAAGAGAAGTTGCTCATGAAAAGCTATGGAGGCTGAAATCCTGATGTTTTCGAGCAAGAACAAGTAGCTCAGTATGATCAAAGGATAGAATTTGAGTCAGGGCAAAGCAAGAGATGAGTGTGAAGAGGGCATCAGAGGCCAGGCCATGGAGGTCCTATGCCATCGAGTTTGATTTTTATCCTGAAGCTAATAGATATTCATCTATATTTTGAGACCTGCTTATTTATAAATATTAGTTTATTACTTGTGGAAATTTTATCAGCATATTATATATTAATTACTTTGTGAATAGACAAACATATTCACTCACTCTCTCACATGCACACACACACAGACACACACATACACACACACACTGTATTGGCCGTTTGACAAATAAATGCTCTGTAAGTGTGCTCATTTTGTTGGTATGCATCCTCTTTAGTCTCTGGAAACTCTGAAAAACTAACTGCTTAGATTAGCACTTCACTTTACTGAAATCAAAGCAACCCCTCCTGGATAATGGCTTGTCCAGACGTATTATCAGTCAGGGGTTATTTTCTACTCAACAGCTCCGATGGCTCTGGCTTTATTTAGAAGGATTTCAGTGCTTGGTTCAAATGGTTCATCTAAGCACTATGTGGATGGTTAACCTCTTGTGGCTATAAAGATTACTTAGTAAGAGTCTTTAATTATAGGAACCCTGAGTGGAAAAGAGGTTAACATATTTCTCAAGTTCACACAGCTACATAGCATTAAAGCCAAAATAAGACCCACACCTTTTTCCAATTAACAGTTCTTTGCAGAATGCTTTTGACTGGCCAACTAGTGGCCATGTTAAAGCAATAAAGCCTTCAATGCTTGCTTGAAAATATTTCCAAAGAAATCTTGAGTTTGGCAAATGCTGACATTTGGCAATCTATAGCTGAAAGTTAGCATTATATTTGTAGCAGAAAACATATCTTATGTTTGTAAAAGACAACAGAGGTAGAAACAAATTTTACAATATAAAGTCTTCTCACTTTATAGATTAATATACATGTTTTGTCATAATAAACTTCTAAAGATGTGAAGAATGGAGTAGATTTACCTAAGGTGAATTTTCAGAAGCAGTATGTTATAGGCAAAAGACTATGAAATTTAAAAACAAAACAACAAAGTGTTAAATGAGGCTTATTCTATTATTTCTGAATTTCAGCCAACACCCCAAGACTAAGGAAAATAGATTATATATACTCCCTACATTCTAAAGGAAAGTGTTAGACACAACCATGTTGGACTAACTTAAGACAGCAAAATTAATCCAGCAACTTACTCAACATAGCTATATAAAAGAAAGCTGTTTCATCAAAGAAGCTAATTGGGGTGTAAGGTTATCAGCCCTACTGATGTATATATCATTCTCCACCTCAAGGTAAGTGAGAAGACTGCTGACAGAATTGACATAAATATTAGGAATGTCTGAAAGGGGACTCTAGCATCTCACTCCCCAGCTGGCTATTTGGGAGGACCTGACATGTGTTGCAGGGCATGTGTAAACATGGAAGCTGGTCCCTGCCTCTCACCTGGAGAATGCTCAAGGTGCAAGGATGGCTAAATTGATTTAAATGGCAAGACAAGTAGAGAGCACAGCAGCAGGGATCAGACTGCACTTGTATATATGGCCAGTCAAAGATGTCTGAACTCCCTTATGCCGAATTGATTCCTCAGAAGGTAGGGTTAAAAACATACTGATGGGCCCTGCCAAAGGACATCCTATAGGAAAAGCTGAAAACATGCCTCACAGTGGAGGAAGTGAAGTTTAAAGAAGTCAGTCAGAAAGTGAATCCCCTGTGTCAGCCAGCATTTGGAAACTTCATTGAAAGGGGCACTGACAGACAGACTACTGCAAGGAAGATATTGCTTTTTCCTCCTACTTCCATCCCTCTCCAGCCTCCCCTGACTCTGAAGTAGCCAACTGCTGAGTAAGTGGAGAGGAATAGTGGAAAAGCCTAGAAAACACAAGAAAATGACATTTCCCTGGCTTTACCCCTTCAAATCTCTGATGCTCAGCTGAGGTCTCAGTTGGAGCATGGGGAAAACTTTGAGTTGACAAGCGTTTGAAGATTTGCTTTAAGAAAGATTGGACTTGGTAATACTTGAAAATGAAAAATGTCCTTAAGTTAAAAGCAACTCAAAATTTGTGCAATCTCCTCAACAGACGGGGAGACACAAGGGAGCATTTTGGAATGCAAACGTAGAAGAAAAATAAAGCTGTGTCCTGATTATAAACTATTAGGATATGATTCATTCAATAAACTGGTTAGATATTGAGAAGTCTGAATGTCAACCTTGTCACTTCAGATCTGTTTGAACCCAGCTTCCTGATTTATCAAAATGGGATCATAAGACCTATGTCATAACCTGTTGGGAGGAATAACTAATATAATGCATGTACAACCACATAATACATAAAAAAGTTCTGTTTCTTCTTGTGTCTTTTCTTAGTTACCATTTTTATAATAGAGAGTTAAGGCTTCTTCTAATTAGGCTGCTTAAATAGAAATTGAGAATCAAAGTAATATGAAGGCGTGAGCGGCATAACAGGTTTGTTACTGTGATTAGGTCTTATATTTGAATTTGCTGGAGGCCAGAACAAAATAGGTACAAAATTCTTATTACCTGATTAAAGGAAACTTATTCTTCAAGAAAGAAAGTCTTCTTGGGTATGAAATTCTAAAAACAAAAAATTATCATTTAAAACATTATCCAGAGAACTTTTATTTATCTTGTCCAGAGATTCTAAAATGTATACATTAATTATAATATAATGGTTTATTATATTTTGTCTGTAATTTGAAAGTCAGAAAGATGTTATAGGCCAGCCCATAAAAGCTGTTTAAGTCACTTATAGCTCTTCCTTATGGTGGTATTAGTATTTCCTGAGTTCTTTGTCCTAATGGTACAGAAATCTTTTGTTTTTCCAGATGGAGTCTTCTTCTGTGGCCCAGCTGGAGTGCAGTGGTGAGATCTCAGCTCACTGCAACCTCCGCCTCCCAGGTTCAAGCGATTCTTGTGCCTCATCCTCCCGAGTAGCTGGGATTACAGGCATGTGCCACCACGCCTGGCTAGTTTTTGTATTTTTTTTTTAGTAGAGATGGGGTTTCACCATGTTGGCCAGGCTTGTCTTGAATTCCTGACCTCAAGTGATCTATCCTCTTCAGCCTCCCAAAGTGCTGGGATTACAGGTGTGAGCCACCATGCCCGGCCCAGAAATCTTTAATATAACCTCTCTGTGTGTGCGTGTGTGTATGCACATGTGAGTACATACATGTGCCTGCGATGAGGACAAAGATAGTTTTGTTTTCTAAAAATTTCTTTTCTTGAAATAGATCAGTGCCCTTTCCTGTCTCACCACGTGACCCATCCAGGCCTAGTCTACAACAACATGTTCTGTGTTTTCACATTATTTGATTTCTTCTCTCCAAACAAATTCATATTGTCAAGGCCCTTGCTGAGTTTAGAAGGCAAACAATCTGATTAAATTAATTCATACTAACATGTAAATGCCTACATACCATTTAACATTCCCAGAAATGTTTGCAATTTTATTCGGTATTTTTTAGCCTGGATATTTTAATTATAGAAATGTCAGGTAGCATAACAAAATGAAATGAAAAACATCAACTGCCAAAACCCAATCAACATGCCCTATTCCCTTAAAGCCCTGAGTCTTTGTATAGCACTTTGTATAGTAATTTCTTATGCTGAGAGAATGGAACAGCCGGGATAACAGCCAATTTATGCATGGGCTATGTATGAAGTAGGCTTTTCTAATTCAAAGACTGACTTCCTTTATTACAAAATCTCATTCAAAATATACAGCTCATCTATACTGTATTTTTAATTATATTGGATCATTTGAAATATTTCTAAATGTCTCTAAGTTACTAATAGTCAAACTAAATGAGAAAAAAAGTCTACAAAAGAATAATCTCTCTGAAAAAAAAAAATCTATTTGACTTGTCAAATGGGGATAAGCTATGAATTATCGAAAGCAGAGGCCAAGTAGGCCTTAAACTGCTGAGGCCCACTCAGCAAAGACATGACATTCTTCAAAGAAAGTTTGTGTTCCTGTTCTTATCCAAGATTTTTAGTGTTTTGTAAATAACAATCTGGCTGTTCATTTATGTGTGATGAATGATTTTCTGAGCAGCTCAACACTAAATTTACAGACTTTGAAAGGAGTGAATTGTCCCTTTGACCAACAATACTGAACAGGCTCCAGGGAGCAAAACAGTAGAAGGAGCAAGGAAATATTTGTCAGCCACCCTGAAACCCTATGGTTTTCCCTGTGAATTATGGTGCTTTGTTTAATAAATGCTGATGTTTACTTGATTGGAGCAAAGCATTGTTAAAATGGTTTTAAAACAGAAAGAACTTTCTTAAATGTCCCTAATCTCTGCTCATTTTTTTAGAGGCTGACTGACTGGTATGATGGCCTGCAAGACAGTAGTCTGAATTCAAATGTTAGATCTGATAGTAAACCCTTGACTTGACTTTGGACTGTTTACTTAATCAATGAAGTTCTCATTTTCCTTTATATCTAAAATATGATGGTTAATGCTATATTGTATATGATCTTTTTCATGAAACTGGCTGTCTCCTTAAGCTTAACTACAGACCAATGTGCCACAACTACCCCATAATGCCCACTCCTGATTCAAGCAATATTTTCAAGCTTTGCCTTCAGCATCCCAGCTTAATACTCCCAGTAAATTAGCAATGAAGTCTTGGCCTTTTTACCTTTATATCTTATCTTCCTACTCATCTCACCTTGCCACTTTGAGATGTGGTAATAACATAGTTTACAACTGATTCAGAAATCCTGATGTTTGTTAGTGTTTGCTAGTTGCTCCCCTTGTCCCACAAGCCCCATACCTTGCATTCATAGTAAGAAAAATTCATAGTATATAATTTTCTGGTATTTAGTACAAGCAACCTGTAAACTATAGGGCAAGAGCTTCCTGCTCCATCCAGAGCATAAGAAAGAGTATCTATGAGCTCTAACATACTATGCCTCTTTATCTTAATGGAAGTACTAATTCCATTATCTTCTACATCCTCTGAATTCAGTGCCTTGGGTGATTTTTTATTCTTTAATAGCTAGAGCCTATAAATCTACTTTGTAATCACATGTATTGACTGTTCTTTCATAATCTGTCAAAAAATATCCTTTTATTTTTATTACCCAGAATATCCGCTTTTTCTTCTTAAAGTAGTCCAGCTTTCCTTTGTATGATTCATTTAGATTTCAGATTCAACAGCACATTAATGGGAGCTGCAGCCCTGGTAATGGATGAGATCACTCAGTAGAAACACAGATTGAGAAGGCTAGAGAGAGCAAACCAATGCTTTAGGGTCAGGCAAGTGAGAAGGCATCAAAAAAAAAAAAAAGAGAGAGAGAGAGATCAAAAACATTAACAGTGAAAAAGCTTAGTAGAAAAAGAGAAGTAGAAAAAAAAAAAAATAGAACGCTATCTAAGAGGCCAAGAAAAAGAAGCCATCTCATGTGGAAAGGAGATGGGGTATGTACACAGAACAGAGTTCATGTCAAAAAACAATTTAAAGAGATTTGACAATATGAAGATAGTAATGATTCAAAGAGTTGCAAATGTCAGCTTGCAGAGGGTGGAAACATGAATGGTAAATGAGTAAGGTTTTGCCATGTTTATAAGAAAATGGGATGACAGTTACAAGGTAATAGAAAGAAGGGACAAGATTCAAAAGAAGATGGTGTTTGAACAAAAATTACTTTAGAATGTTTGTAGGAAAAGGGTCTGGCAGAGAGAAAGAGACAGAAGATAGAAGAAAAAGGGGCCTGGCCTGGTGTGATTCCTCACACCTGTAATCACAACAGTTTGTGTTGTGTTGAGGCCAAGGTGGGAGAATCACTTGAGGCTAGGAGGTCGAGACCAGCTTGGGAAATGTAGTGAGACCCTGTGTCTAAAAGAAAGAGAGGGAAAAGAGAAAAGGAAGGAAGGAAGAAAGGAAGGAGGAAAGGGAGGAAGGAAGGAAGGAAGGAAAGAAGGAAGGAAGGAAAAGAGAGAGAGGAAGGAAGGAAGGCAGGAAGGCAGGAGAAAAGAAGAAAAGAAAAGAGATAAAGGATATCTGAGGCAAACATCTAAAAGTGGCAAGAGAGAACGAAATTTGGAATCTGATAACAATTTAAGGAAAAGTGAGTCAGTGAGTGTCTTTTTCCCCAATTAACTTTTCAGTTATGCTATTATTGTGTTCCTTCCACTCCAGATACTTAAACCAACCCCTGCTAAAATTTGAAGTTCTATTTTGCCTAGTCTACACCAAAATGATAGCAGTACAATGACCCTTTGCCATTCTAGTGTATCACAATGTTTACTATTATTCATCAATAAATATTTAAAAGGGGCCTGCCTTAAATGTAAATATTTAGGTTTTATGTAAGTGCTCCACAGATTAATCTGGTATTTTTATCTTGTTCTCTTAAGATTCCAAGGTAATAAATGAGAAAAGATGTCCCCAAGTGATAACACTCTTTAAAAAGCACAATTATATTCAAAGAAATGTATTTCCATGGAAATAAAACACACAATAACAGAAGTTTGATGACAGGAAGGACATACTTTGAGAAAATTTATTTCTCAAAGTATCTGCTAAAGCTTTGAAAGGGAAATTGCTAAAGCTATCTTAAATTAAATAATACCCTACTGACAAACACCAAAAGGGCAATGTTCAGTTTTAAGTAGAGTTTATTTGATACCTGACAAAATGATTGGATCTAAGACAACCATTGAAATCCTAGGCTACTAAATTACATAGTGAAGAGTGTATGGGGCTTGGTCTTTTAACACAAGGAAAAGGAACCTCAGTAAACTTGCCAATCACCTCCTTAGATATAGCTTCCCATTTTGGATAAAATGTTACAAGTTAATAAAAGTGTTGCAAATTGAGCAGCAGCTTTGCTCACAGAAACAGCACTCAAATGACTATTAAAACATAATACAATTTAAATGTGACAACGGATGGAAACAGTTACACAGGGCACCAACACAAGCACCTGTATTTGTAGCCTCATTCCGAAACAAACCCAGGTCAGATTCTAGGGAGACCCCATGATGAGTTAAATGACAAAGACCCACACAGCCTAGAGCAGGGAGTCTGTAGTGTTTCTTCCCCACTTGAAACAAATTAGCCCTCCCAGTTTTAATCCTCAATGGGGGTGGACATAGAATGGTTTTCTATTTAGATCTAATGTTGTGTAAGCAACCCCACTGGTGCTCTGAGCTCTTCGTAAGGAAGTGAACACTGTTGGGTGCCAACTGACCCCTTCCAGTGCCATCTTGCAGCTTTGTTCTGTGACTTCAGTAGAGTAGAAAGTAAAACCAATCATCATTAGAAAGTTCAGAGTAATGCTGCTAGTTGATGAAAATACTTGTGTTTCAATCCATAAGCAAGCTATTCTAAATAGATCTATAACCCCTTTGGCTTATAGATGAAGGTGTGTGAGCAGCTAGAGATAGGCAGAGGTTTATGACCAGAACAGGATGCAATAGTATTAAAATGGAAGTTTAATGCTAATAGCTGGGATCTTAACCATTCCTTAAATACATGTGTGTAAAACCAATGATAGGGGAAATCTGTATTTTTAAGAATTCAATATTTTACTTATCATGAAAAAGTCAATATTATTAAAAAAAAAAAATTTGAAGTAAATTTAAACATTTTAATTTTGCCAGTTTCTGTCACCTAGGATTTCAAGAATCATGACTTAAAAAAAAAACCTCCTCTTTTAGAGACAAGTAATAATTTCAGGTTTTATATAAATATAGATTATATAGTACCTATAAGCATTATCCTGTTCATGTGTCATAAGAAATTAACTAAACAAACTTCTTATTAATTATGCCATATTGAAAGGTGTTATTACATCGTTATCTATTATAAAGATGTTGTTGAGTGTAAAACTAAAGAAACGTCTCTTGAATCTCATTTTCAAGAGAAATTGACCTTCTTCTGACTTCTGAACAAGTACTTTCTTTTTGTTTTGAGATATACATATGCTGAGAACCTTGTGACCTACTTAATTATCGGCTTTGTCTGCTAGGACACTCAGAAAAGAATATTCAGTCCATCTATAAAAACATTAGAAATATTATAAAATTTTTGTATGAACCTTGCCCTGGGCTTTATTATATTTATTCTTTTACCCCAAATTCTTCATCTATTTACTTTTTAAAAAGTTATTTCAATATGAACTGACATACTTATTTTATACTTTTATAATTCAATAGTACTTTACTTATTGTAGTGATTAATTGTTCCACTTTGGGTCATTGAGCACTCTTTCCCTCGGCTCCTGTGTTACACTGGCATACTCTTGTACATTATTGTGGGTTTTAATTTCTCTTTTTTCTTTTTTTTTAACACTTCCTTGCTTTCTGGTAGTACTAGATTCTCCGGAATAATCTTGTATATTTTCTGCACCATCTGCTCCTCAAATCAAATATTTCTCCAAGCAGCCCTGGGTCCTTTTATTGGAAAATATTATCAGAAACAAATATCTGAGTTCCAGCTATGTCATTGCTTCTAGGTCCTCTCAGCTGACAGAACAAGGAAATATTTTTATATACTAACCGTTTGTATATGTATAGCTGTAAATATTTCTATATGTAGCCATCTATATCTGTATTACTTAAATATAAGTTTATACTGTTGTCTCTAATCCATTACCAATTACAGAGATCATTCTAACCGCCTCCCTCTGCTCTTCTGTAAACTCCTACTTTAACAGAGAAATCTGGCTCCCACCATATAGCACCCATTTACTTTATTGTTCAATTCCAATATATATGTATAGAAGTTTCAGAATTATTAACCAGTTCCCTCATGGGAAACAACTTTATCAAATAGATTACAGTGCTTATGTGCAATTCCTTTTGCTGTTAGTCTTATAGACTTCACTTATTTTCAAAGGTGCTAAGGTCAGTACCTACCCTCCCACCCAATTCAGTGAGGTTATTTCATTCATTTATGATACAGTTAAATTATGTTGTCGCAGTGTGCCATCCTTCCTGGGAACTACCAGCCTCCTAATTTTTTAAAATTAAATTTGTATACATTAAAGTTCACTTCTGTGCTGTAAAATTCTATGGGTTTTGAAAAATGCATAGTGTCATGTGTCTACCATTAAAGTCTCATACCGAATAGCTTCACCACCCTAAAATTATCTTCTGCGATTAATGCTTCCCTACCAAACCCCTGGAAAGCCACTAACATTTTACTATTGCTATAGTTTTTGCCTTTCTTAAAATGTCATATAACAGGAATTGTATGGTATGTATCCTTTTCAGATGAACTGCTTCAACTTAGAAATATACAGTTAAGGCCAGGCATGGTGGCTCATGCCTGTAATCCCAGCACTTTGGGAGTCCGAGACGGGTGGATCATTTGAGGTCAGGAGTTTGAGAGCAGCCTGGCCAACATGATGAAACCCCAAGTCTACTAAAAATGCAGGCATGGTGAGGCACGCCTGTAGTCCCAGCTACCAGGGAGGCTGAGGCACAAGAATCACTTAAACCAGGGAGGTGGAGATTGCAGTGAGCCAAGATTGTGCCACTGCACTCTAGCCTGGGTAACAGAGCAAGCAAGCAAGCAAGCAAGCAAGCAAGCAAGAAAGAAAGAAAGAAAGAAAGAAACAAACAAACAAAGAAACAGAGAAGGAAAGAGGAAGGAAGGAAGGAGGGAGGGAGAGAGGGAGGGAGGAAAGGAAGGATAAATGAAAGGGAAGGAAAGGAAAGGAGGGAAGGAAAGGAAAGGAGGAAAGGAAAGGAAAGGAAAGGGAGAAAAGAAAAGAAAGTTAAGATTCATCTGTGTCTTTTTTGTGGAATGGTAGTTGTTTCTTTTTATTGCTGAATAATATTCCATTATATGAATATGCCATAATTTGTTTTTTTCATTCATCTATTTAAAGACACCTTGGTTGTTTCCAGTTTCAGGTGATTATGAATAATGCTACTACCACTATTCAATTGCAGCTTTTGTGTGTATATACTCAGCCTCCAGCAAGTCATTAAAATTATCATTTGAATATTCCTTCCAGCTTATGGCTCCACTTGCTTCTACTCCAGATAAAGAGATCTCTGTTATGACTCTGGATTTGCCTGTCTCTACAGATTTCTGAGTGTCAGTTTGCTCTGTAACCTCTGTTCCCTGAGAGATTCAAGAAAACTTGTTGATTTTCCATTTGCTTAGCTTTTTCTTGCTGTAAGAAAATGAAGATTTCCAAGTGTGTTACATGTCAGAGATGAACCCAGAAATTTTATTTACTTTTTATCAATTTATCAAAGCAATATCTGCCCATGTAATAAAAGTTTTAGTGGAGAAACACATAGAGATATACAGGAAAAATATCAACTGATAATGCCATCACTTAGAGCCACAGTTCCTTTAAGTTTAATTTGTATTAAACTTTTTAATGTTAATATATTTTCCATTGTCAATAATTACTCCCAAATACTGTTTCATGGTTATATGGCTATGCTTTATCTTAAGTAATAAATATGCTAAGTTCTATTTCTGATTTTGTGGAATGTAGAGTCAAACATGCATTGTCACTTTCCTTTTCTTTAACTTTGCAACTAGTAGAAATTCCTCAGGCACTGTCATATACAGTAAAGGATTTTTGCCAAGTTCCATAAATAGCAACCAGATTTACCAGAAAATGTCCTTTAATCCATAAAACTTACCAATACTCCCAGTACATGAACTCTCATGTCCAGTAGGCTATCAGCTCCAGCCATTTGAGACATATAATTTCATAAACTAGTGAAGCATAAATATGTTATATGAGTGCAAAATAAATAAAAGTATCTCTATGAAGATTAATTTGTAGAGATACTAACTTTTATAGTTGAATGCTTTGAGAAGACTTGGAAGAAAATTCCTAAAAATGTAAGAGCCTGCAAGTTATTATTTAACTGAAAAAAAAACTATAAAAAGCAACTGATAAACAGTGTTTCATATAATGTCTATGCAAGAAATTTGACTTGGAATCCCAGTCATATGAACATATTCCATAATAACAGCTAACCTTAAGGTTCACACATATAAGCATTGTTCTTTAATCCTTTAATTAATTGTTTTTTAAACTTTTAATCTTTACAATAACTACGAAATAAGTTTGATTTGTGTCCTCATTTCATCAGAGAAGAAATGGATGTACAGGCCATAAGAAACTTAGCCCATGCTGCATAATTTATAAAAGTTGTGTAGTTGTTCTTTATTTTTTATTTATAAAAAATATAAATTTTTTTTATATTTTTTTATTTATAAAAATATAATATTTTTTATTTTATTTTTTATTTTTTATTTATTAAAGTGTAGTTGTTTTTCCCTCATGTTTGTGTAAGTCAAAAGCCTAGTTCTGAAGAAAACAATATGGCAGTTTTATAAAAATGTATATATAAGTATACCATACAACTCAACAATTTCACTTCTAAAATCCTACCCCAGAGAAATAAAAGCTCATGTCCTTATAGACTTGCATATGAATGTTAATAGCAGAATTATTCCTAATATACAAAATGTAGGAAAACAATCCATGTCCATGAGTGAGTGGATACAGCTCTGTTTACAGGAACAGCACTCAAGTGACTATTAAAACATAATACAATTTAAATGTGACAACTGATGGAAACAGTTGCACCGGGCACCACACATTGGCACTCATTTTATAAAAATGTGTATATAAGTTTATCATACAACTCAATAATTTCACTTCTAAAATCCTACCCCAGAGAAATAAAAGCTCATGTCCATATAGACTTGCATGTGAATATTAATAGCAGAATTATTCCTAATATACAAAATGTAGAAAAAAATCCATGTCCACGAGTGAGTGGATAAAAATCCATGTCCATGAGTGAATGGATAATCCAAATCCATGGGTGAGTGGATAAAATATATTATAACTATACAATGGAATTTTATTCAACAATAAACAGGAATTAAATACTACAACATAGATAAACCTCAAAAATATTATGAAAAGTGAAAGACGCCAAAAACAAAAGATCACATATTATGATTCCATACATGCAAAATGTCAAGAAAGGCAAATCTAAGAAGATAGACAGTTGTTAGATGTTCCCTGGCTTTTGAAGTGAAATGGAGATTAAATCTAAATGGATACAAAGAATCTTACTGGGGAGATGGAAGTGTTCTACAAACTGGATTGTGGTGATGGTTGCATAACTGTAAATTAACAAAAATATTTCAATTGTGCATTTTATATGGGGTAATTTTATGCAATGTTAATTATACCTCAATAAAGTTGTTTTTAAAATTATGGAGAGAAACTAGATCAAAGTGATGGTTGCACAACATTTGAATGTACTAAATGCCACTGAATTGTACACTTTAAAATGATTAATTTTGTGTTCTGTAAATGTTACCTAAATTTATAAAAGGCACTAAAAAGTTATGGACATTTTCAGAATGTGTGTATTTTTAAGTTTGTTTTATGATGTTTTTATTCAGGTATTTATATGTATAATAAGCAGAAAATTAAAAAGAAAAGAGATTTTTCTTAAAATTGTTCATTATTCTACCACCTAGGAATAACAGTGAACTTGTGGGCATATATCCTGTGATTATTTTTTCTGTGTTTTTACCAAACATATAATCATACCATATACACTGTTGTGTAATATGCTTTTGCAGCCTAACAATACATATAAATATCATACTATGTCAATGAGATGACATGGTTTTGAAATTTGAAAATCAAATACCCACCTCACTTAATGATGAAATCCATTCTTTGGAAGATACAATGGCCAATCCATGCAGTGCACACTGAATAATTAACCGCCATTGTCTGTATGTCAAATGCTATGGACTAAATTATGTCCCTTCAAAATTCATATATTGAAGTTCTAACCCCCAGGTGACTGTATTTGGAGATAGGGCCTATAAGGAGATAATTAAGGTTAAATGAGGTCATAAGGGCAAGGCTTCGACCAAGTAGGATTAGTGTGCTGATAAGAAGAGACACCAGAGGGCTCACTCTCTCTTTTTTCTGCCATATGAGGACATGGCCAGAAGGAAAGCTGTTTTGCAAGCCAGGAAGAGAAATCTCACCAGGAAACTAATTGGACAAGATCTTGATCTTGGACTTTCCAGCTTCTAGAGCTGTGAGAAATACATTTCTGTTGTTTATTCTACCTAATCTATGGTATTCTGTTATGGCAGCCCAAGTAGATAAATACTCCATATCTTCCAAGCTAACCTACCTCCTGGACTAATCAAGAAAGCATGTAATAGCATTTCTTGAGTGTGAATTATTATATTTCAAGTTTTGTTACTAGATTGTTTGTTTTGTTTTGAGATGGAGTCTCACTCTGTTCCCCAGGCTGGAGTGCAGTGGCACAATCTCTGTTCACTGCAACCTCTGCCTCCCAGGTTCAAGCAACTCTCCTGCCTCAGCCTCCCGAGTAGCTGGGATTATAGGCATGCACCACCATACCTGGCTAATTTTTGTATTTTTATTAGAGAAGGGGTTTCACCATGTTGGCCACGCTGCTCTCGAACCCCTGACCTCAAATGATCTGCCCGCCTCAGCTTCCCGAAGTGCTCGGATTGCAGGTGTGAGCCACCACACCCACCCAATGTACTAGACACTTTAAATATGTTAGTTTATTTTTAGAACCTTCATTTCTAAAATTACTTCACAAATGAAGAAGCCAGGATCCAGGAAACCAGAAAAGAAAACTAACTTACTCAAACTCATGCAGCTACTTACCTGCCAGAGCTTGAATTTGAACTTATATATGTTTGACTGCAGGGGCTATGTGCCTGCCATAACAATGTGCTGCACACTGTATCCCAGGAGGACAAGAGACTGCTACAGCTAAGAAACTTTGCTAGGAATTAATAGTGCAGATATATTTTCGAAATGAATTTTCACCTAGATACAGTTTTATGCATAATCTACTATGTGCTAAATATCATTTATGAAGGCAATAAATGCCAGGCTGTAGAGTTTTTATTTTATGTTGCAGTCCAGAAGTCAGCTAAACTTTTTTTCTATAAAGCATAAGATGGTGACTAGTTTAGGCTTTGTGGGGCATACTATCTCTGAGGAAACTACTTAACTCTGCCTTTGTAGGACAAAAGTAGCCTTAGGCAATAAGTAAATGAACAAGCATGTCTGTGTTCCAATAAATTTTGTTTATGAAAACAGGGAGCAGATTGGATTTGGCCTACATGCCGTAGATTGCCAACCCCTGCTGTAGTCTATAGTATGTGATTGATTGAAGGTGCTTGAGAAGGATTTAACTGAGGATATGTTTTTATTTAGATGATAGTAGTAATATACATGATGATTTGGAGGAGGGAGAAAACAGGCAGAGAAGGTTTGTGAAGACTAAAACTCAAGACTCGGTATAAAGCATGAAGACAAAAGGGAAATCTATAACAAATAGGATTATGTCAGGTTTTTAGATCATATGTTGATCTCTTTTAGAATTCAAACTTAGACCTTTCCCTTTGGAAAACTCACAAGAATAGGTTATTTGTTAAAGTCAATAATCAATTTTTTATTTCTATTTTTTTCTTGGAAAAAGTTTCGACAACTAAAGAACTTGAAGACTTACTATAAAGCATGAAGACTAAAAAGAAATCTATAACAAATATGAATATGTCAGATTTTTAGATTATATATTGGTCCCTTTTAGAACCCAAACTTAGAAGTTTCTCTTTGGAAGACTCACAAGAATAACCTATGTGTTAAAGTCAATAATTTATTTTTTAATCTATGTTTTTCTTGACAAAAAGTTTCAATAACTAAAGAACTTGAAGATATTCAAAAGTGAATATCTTATTCTCTCTCTCTATATATATATATATATATCTTTTCTTCCCCTCTTCATGTGTGTGTACATGTGTGTTTATGTCCAAGGAACCACAGGAACAAAAGGACCACAGAATATCCATCAAGTGTCTTATTTGTAATTTTTGTAATCATGTTACTTGGTAAATGTGAATGTGAAATTAAGGAAGATGAGGAGGAGTTCCAGGCCACACAAATTGCCATAACTAACACAAAGTTGGATTGATGAATAAGAATAAAACCATTCATTCATAGAATCTTCCTTAAGCAGAGATAGGAACTAAGCCACTTGGCCTTTCGTTTCTCTCCAGGAAGTCGTCTTTTACAAAAGTGTTGGCATGACAATTTTCTTGTGAGGCAGTGAGCAGGCCGACTTGACTATACTTTTTAGCAGATGGAGAGGAGAAGACCCAGGGAGATTTTAATTTACTTGGTCAATATCATCCAGTTAAAAACTGCTTTATCTGAGAACAAGACAAAACACTATGAATTTCTATCTACATGCTCTTACAGCCACAAACTAGAAAGGGAACAATTCAATTAATGAGCCATTTTTGTCTATGTCATGATAAAACATTGATTTCACTCATATTGCTTTTAAATTAACCAACTGTTTAGGTAACATGGTGCAAAACAACTGGCATTCCAAACCACTCATTACTTCTTATTAAGCTATATTGCCTTATAACTGTTAGCAAAAGATCATTCACTCATTTGTTCATGCATTGTTTACTGGTTACACAATTAGTGAGCACCAGCTGTTTCCCAGTGCAGGACATTATGCTAAATAATAGAGAAAATAACAGAAATGAGTGAGACACAACCTCTGCCTATGAAGAGCTTACAATCTCACAGGGAACATAAGCCAACAAAAATAAATATTGATAAGTAAGTAGCAAAATGTGATGTGTCATATGTTGACAAAAAGTCAGGTGCTTACACTCTACAGGGCTTCTCTCTGAGGAAAGAGCATTTAATGCCAGTCTGCTCTATTGGATTCAGATCCTTGTGCCACCACTAGCTAGCTGTTTACGATTTGCTTAGTCACAACTTTTCTAGGCCTCAGTATCTTCACCTATGAAAGGACATACAGTAAATGTTTTTTAATATTCCTTCTACCAATACTACCCTAAGTTTCAATATTTTAAGTTGGGGAAGGAGATAAATCAAAGTACATTTCAAGTAATAAGGAAGCCATGATTAAAAAAGAATAGAAATATAGATGTTCTTGAAGATCCTCTTGAATACAGTAGTTCTTAATTGATGCCGATGGCACACTCTTTAAATAAGGGTACAGTGTAAGCCAGCTTCATAGGTAAGAAAGCATAGCAATGACAATACCTACATTTGTGAGGTAAACATCTGGAAACAGGACCTGCTCATTAAATTGGATGGGGGTGTCAGGCCAAAAGCAGATAGAAATGTTGATGGACAGTATTTGGTCAGAAAAGAAAAATGATTTTTTGAGTTATCCCCCAGCCCCCTTTTCTGAGTAGACAGCTGCAGGAGGAGAAGGAAGGTATGGAAGTGGAAAAGACTATTCAGTGCAGGAGGTGACATCCTAGCACATCAGTCCTGGGTACCGAGAAGCTGCAATAGCACCAGTAGCAAAATGAAGCATCCTCACTCTCACAGCAGAGGACTAGTACAAAGAGGCAGATAAATCTACCAGAATTCAGTCTCCCTACTAGATGTGTTATGGATGGCTAGGGCCACTTATGGAAATTTCTAGGACTATAACCTATTAGGTCAAAGTCAACTAAATGAGTGAAAATGATAGGGATCTAGAAATTTAATTCACAACAACACTGGCCAGAAGGGAAAGATCTTCAGTTCAACCTTGGTGCTGGAAAAGCTGTGGTAAAGGGTAATCGAGAAAAGAAAATAATTAAAATTAGCAAATCAATCTCATTTTGAGCAGCAACACAGGCATTCTCAAACTTAAAATTCAGAAGCTTAAGAGTGCATGAGACACTTGGAGAACTGACCCCTTTCTCTCATTTCTCCCAAATAATAAATATTACCCCAGAGAAAGCAAAAGCAGCAACGTTAGAAGCTTGTGGGACCAAGTATAAGAACTAGTAGCTGTGTCCCAGCACAGTCCTTGATGGGTGGCATTGCTGTGGATATAGACCTGGAATCAAGTCTACGGCATAGAAACTTTTGTAAGTATGTGTGGCCTGATGGTTTTTCCTCTCCCCATAGTACTACTTGATTTTCTTTATTTCCCTCCACCCCAATAAAAAAAAAGAAAGAAACAAGACTTAGTCAGTCACTCTGAACTTTTCTTTCCACTAGAGATGTAGGGAAATTCCAGTGAAGTCTGCATCATCTGTAATGCTAGGGAATCTACCCTCTTATAATCAGGAATAAGAGGAACTGGAGATTACAATGGGAATATCAAAAAGTTACCTTAGGAGTATAACAGTGGAAAATCCCTGCCTCTCCTAAAAATAGGCTCAACCTAAATCTGTTGCCTTTACCCTCGGGAACTATAGACCATCCCAGAAATTAAATGGGAAGAAAGGTCATGCCATATAAAACTGGATAAATACGATGTCTATGTACTTTTACAGTTAACATCTGATCTACCAAAATTGAGTTTGGGTAAAATAAGCTTGTCCTAACAGGAACATTATTATGGTACTAAAATCCCCTAAAGAGATTGTAAAGTCCTATCCAGGAAGCAGTTATGTGATATGTCCTATATACCAGATTTGGTGGTAGTGAAAGGATAACTCTCTTTTCATCTTGTAGCACACCATGGCCGCCACTAAGAGATATTTAGTCACACCAAACATGTCTAATGTATAATGCCTAATCAAATATGGAGAAAAAAAAAAGAAAATAATCCCTAAAAACACCCATGTCCTAGAAACACCCATGACCTGAGCCTAGTATTCTTGCATTTTGTGATTTCTTTAGCATCTGAGCAGACAAAGAGGTTAACATGAAAACTGAAGTCAATCCCTACATGCCTGGCTTGTGGGATGTGCCCAAGGGGAGCAGCATACCATCATGTTAAATGGCTCAAGGGCATTTCTGGAACAATCTAGGAGGATTGCTTTTTGTGGCAGATTAATGACCTAAGGGATCGTCTTGAGGAACTGTTGGTTAATAGGATCATTACTGAATCATAGCCCATATGCTTCTCCAATTGCGATAGTGAGAAAGGAGACTAGAAAAAATTGAAAGTATGTGCATTATTATACCATTAATTGTTGAATTAGGAGTGATCAATAGCTGTTTGTAAAAACACCTAGAGTTCACCTTGCTAGATTTGCAGAATGGCTATTGCCAGATAGCAGTTACAGCTGATGAGGATAAAGATAAGTGAGCTTTTTTTTATCTGACCAGCAAGATTTCATCTACTTGAGATTATACATCAGGGTCCCTAAGGAGGCCCTCCTGTCAACCCACAGTGGAAAAGGTTGTTTGTGACAGAAGCTAGTTCAAGGATACTCTCCCCTTCATCTGAAACACCTACAGTTTCTTGAGGGGATAGGTGAATTGCTTCTCACCTGTGTGTTAATAAAGGCCCTGCCACTCAGGTAACAGATGATGTCCATGTCTCACCCATATCTTCTCAGGGTTCACCTCTAAGCTGAAGACTGGTCACTATGAATAAACACAATTCTCTACTGGATGTTTTTATTTTGTTTTGTTTTGCTTTGTTTTTGGCTTGGTAGCACAATAGCCATGCTACCAAGGCAAGACAAAAGTGATAGGAGTTAATGTGTCTAGAGGCAGGCCTCAACTGATAAAGGATCCTCACCTTTTTTTGAGATACTTCTAAGATAGGGTCTATCCAGACAGCAGAGTTCTCTGATAGCATTGAGCTCCAGTTCCTCACAGTCAGAACTTGCTTGATAATTTGCCCTCTATTGGCCGTTTTTTTTTTTTTTTTTTTTTTTTTTGCCTTTCTTACATCACTTCTTATGGACCATCTCCTCCCCAAAATGCGTATGTTGAAACTCTATCTTCCAATATGATGGCATTAGGAAGTGGGGCCTTTGGGAATTAGTTAGGATTAGCTGAGATCATGAGGAAGATGCCCTCAAGGATGGTATTATTGCCCTTATAAGAGTCCCAAGACAACTTGCTTCTCTCTTCTCTCCATGATGTGAGGATACAATGAGAAATCAGCAGTCTGCAACAAGGAAAAGGACCCTCACCAGAGCCCGACCATGCTGCCATTTTGATCTTGGATTTCTAGCCTATAGATATGTAAAAAATAAATTTCTATTGTTTATAAACTACTCAGTCCGTAGTATTTTTCCAATAGCAGCCTGAGATGAGTAAGGCACTTCCCTACACTCCTACTAGGATCACCTTCCTCCTTCCTCTACCTTGTCTTATCATCATCTTTTTCCCTAACTATGGGAAAAGGGGGAATAGGAGCTCAAATCTATAGCCCGTGGGCCCATTAAAAACTTGTTACTCGGGCCGGGTGTGGTGGCTGACGCCTGCAATCCCAGCACTTTGGGGGGCCGAGGCGGGTGGATCATGAGGTCAGGAGATCGAGACCATCCTGGCTAACACAGTGCAACCCCATCATTTTGTAACAATACAAAAAAAAAAAAAAATTAGCCGGTCGTGGTGGCAGACGCCCGTAGTCCCAACTACTTGGGAGGCTGAGGCAGGAGAACCCAGGAGGCAGAGCTTGCAGTGAGCAGAGATCGCACCACTGTACTCCAGCCTGGGCGACAGAGTGAGACTCTGTCTCAAAAACAAACAAACAAACAAACAAAAACACTTGTTACTCTAAGTTTGGTCCTTAACATCACCTGAGAGCTTGTTAGAAAAGCAGAATCTCAGGCCAGGCGCGATGACCTACGCCTGTAATCCCAGCACTTTGGGAGGTCAAGGCGGGTGGATCACCTGAGGTCAGGAATTCGAGACCAGCCTGGACAACATGGTGAAACCCCGCCTACTAAAAAAATACAAAAATTAGCCAGGCGTGGTTGTGCACGCCTGTAATCCTAGCTACTCAGGAGGCTGAGACAGGAAAATCGCTTGAACCCAGGAAAGGGAGGGTGCAGTGAGCTGAGATCACGCCACTGCACTCCAGCCTGGGTGACAGAGCAAGACTCTGTCTCAAAAAAAAAAAAAAGAGAAAAAAAACAGAATCTCAGACCCCACCCAGACATACTGAATAGAGGCCTGCATTGTTTAAAGCCAGATTGCCAGGTAATTCACATGCATGTTACTAGTTGAGTGTTACTGTCGTCAGAACACAGGGCTGTGTTCTTTTGGAGGAGAAGGAAGCTTTATTTCTATTAGCGGATCTTAGCAGCTGCAGCTGTCTGCATGATTGTACAGTGTATACTGCTATGTCAAGTAACCCAAAGAGAAGCCCCAGAATTTCCCTTTATTGAGGTTGTCTGGGGGTAAGTGAAATGTTATCAGTTGCCAGCAGATATAATATGCTGTCAATGCCTTCCAGCCAAAGACCATCAGGAACAAATGTAGTTGAACAAGTTGGGCTTATTACTCATTGCCTCGAGAGAATGTACATCATGGGGACTCCTTGGTATCTCAGTAAAAGACTTAAAGGATTTGGGCTATGGTTGAGAGATTTTTGAGGAGGGTCTAGTGAAGTAGGGCTTTCCTATGAATTAGGAGCTTTAACAACGCAGGGATAATTTTATAATTGGGTATCTCAATAAATCTTGTTTATAGAGAAGGCAGAGTGAACTGAGGCTAAAACTATAATTGGAAAAAAACACACACACATGCACAGTGGTCATTCATATTAGTCAAAGAGAGATACTTAGTATTTTGTGGCTTGGACAATGTTCATGCTTTGTGTCCAGACATAATTTTAGAACTGTCTTTGTTTTGATCAATTATGGTCACAGAATGGTCTTATCATATGTTGAGGTTCTATGAAATTGTTTCTGTTCACAAGAGGACGTAAGTCCTAGATGTGAGTGACAAACCAGCTGGTAACACCATCAAGAGCTTGCTGAAGAGAGTCTTATTTATCGTGCAAAAAAAAAAGTCTAAGGTTAAAAAAATACCAAAGTTGATTATTGGACATTCCTGAGCTTCAGCCAAGCAGAACAAGTCGAATATTCAGCTAGATTAGAGAAGAGATTTTGAAATTTAGCTACTGCAAAAAAAGTGGGGGGGTTCCTGTGACTGGATTATGAAAATCTAAAATCATTCTAATTTATGGTTAAAACTTCATAAATGGAAGTTTCAATCAAACTTGATGGAATATATTCAGGATAATGCAGGCAAACCTAAAGGGCCAGTTGAAGCCAATATGTGGGACGCCTGGTATAAACTCACTCCTCCACTAGAGATTATAGTACTATGTGCACCCTCATTTTTTTTCAGTGTTCTGAATATTAATATCCCATATATCTCTGCTCATTTATTGGTGAAAATAATTGATATCTGAGTATGACTCTATAACAATTAATCTCAGGAAGAAGAAGAGGACACATTCCAATGGAAATGCTCTAGTACTTAGTAATTAAAAACAAAACATTTAAAAATAAAGCTTAGATGAGAAATCTGATGATTGTAGAGGTTAGAGGAAGAACCAAATTTTATAGTCAAATTTTGGCATCTCAATAAGCCAAGTAGATGCAAAGCTACCTCTTATCTAAAGTTGTTCCAACTGTACATGGATTGAGGCCTAGGATTCACTGTCCTAGGCCTCAACCCATGCACAGTAGCTTTTGAACTTGCCACCCCTGCCTCATCAGGTTCTAAAGTAACCTGAGGACCCAAAAGAATCAAAGTTCTTGTTTCTTAATTTGAAAAGTATTGAATACTCTCTTTGTAAGGAAGAACCAACTTTTTAAGAAGGTGGTGGGTTGAAACCCGGCCTGTTTGTCAGTTCCCTAGTAATGTCCGTGGTGCAACTTAGAATGAAAAACTTAGGAAATTTTGGGGGGATTAATATCATATATAAATAGAATATATTCTAATTCCCATATACATTTTCAGAAGAGAGAGAATTAGTTTAGATAGTGGGATCAGTTTTGTCTACCATTCCTGTCAGTAAACATATGCCACAGAGTAACAGTGAAGCAGAAGACAGGAATCTGCTTTTTACTCTCTGGGTTTCAGATTCTTTATGCCACAGTTTATCACCCTTAATTTGAGTCTGGAATTTAAAAACACATACTGTTTGTACAACATAGACTCTAAATTCAAGCCAATGACTTCTTTAATATTCAACACAAGAACAGTGACATGTTCTACGGTGAAAAAAGAAACATTTTGTGTTGAACTTACTGCAAAATGATATCATTTAGTCATTTATTGAAAAAGTTTTACTGTGTTGCTACTATGTACCACATAGCATTTTCTCATTGTCTAAAGATACAGATAATATCCTGACTCCCACAGAGCTTGTACATAGTGACGAGGGAAAGACAGTAAACAAATAAATATGATAAAAATTCAGATAGTAAAAGTGCTAGGCCGGGCATGGTAGTTCATGCCTATAATCCCAGCACTTTGGGAGACCATGGTGGGCAGATCACTTGAGCCCAGGAGTGTAAGACCAGCCTGGACAACATGGTAAAACCCCATCTCTACAAAAATACAAAAATTAGCTGTGCCTGTACTCCCAGCTACTTGGGAGGCTGAGATGGGAAAATTACCACCTGAGTCTGGGGAGGTGGAGGCTGCAGTGAGCCATATTGGGCCACAGTACTCTAGCCTGGGCAACAGAGTGAGACCCTGACTCAAAAAAGTACATTAAAAAAAAGTGCTATGAATAAAATGAAACAGAGTAGTGGAATAGTAGGATAGAGAAATATGGAGAAAGGGCCTACCTTAGGTCTTTAGTAGGGAAGGCCCCTCTGAGGGCAAGACATTAGAGCTGAGACCTGAATGATGAGAAGGAGCCAGTCATGTACAGATTTGAGGCAAGAGTATTTGAGACAGAAAGAGCAGATAGTGCCAAGGCCCTGAATATGGAACAAGATTGGTGTTTTCTAGCAAAAGAAAGAAGGCCAGTATGGGAGGAATGTAAAGAACTATGAGGAGAATGGCACAAAAATAGGTTAGAAGGTAGAGAGAGTAGGTCTACAATTAACGAACCTGTCAAGTTTGACATGGCTAATACAGTTGGTAGTTGGATGTTTGAGCTTGGGGTTTGAGTGAAAAAGTTCAAGAGATGTAAATTTGGGGTTCAGCAGCTATATTATTGCTCTGCTGTTTAATCCTGAATTCTGCTTAGGATATATCTTCAGTACATAAATTCCACAGGAACCAGGTATAACAGCTCTTAGGTAAAGATAGATAAAAATAATAGGAAAGTATGATCTAAGCTAATATCTTTGGAATAGGTGAAAATTTCAATATTTACTCCTCACCCCTTACTGAGAACCAGAAACAAATATACAGTATCAAGATTTTCATCAGCAACAACCCAGAACTCAAATATGCAGATGAGGTATTTCACAGGTCCTAGCCAGCCTTTCCACATTGTAAGGACTTTGAAATGTTCTGCAGGTAAAATTGGGAAAGGGTGATCTCAACAAGGAGAAAACAATCCTGAAGAGCCAGATCCTTGAGTAGAATCTGCTCATTGATCTCCAGGTTGAATGGAGAGCGGCTCAAAAAAGGAGAAGAGACATGTTTGTAGCATGCAGCAGAAATGAGAAAAATGAAAAGAGTGAAAAGGAGAGGACTCAGATATTATAAGGCAGGAAACTAAACTACACTCACGGACTGAAAGAGAGATTAACCACATGTAATACAAACTTTACAAGAGACAATATTGTTGAGTAAAGATTAAAACAAATGGCCTTTAAAGTGACAGAAAGATTATAGGAGTCTTCATATTGAGGACTTTGCTTATGTTATCTCATTAATGTGTTTCATCATTTCTCTTTTTGATGTTTATGTTAGCTGGGACTTAGTCTTCCTGGACTGATACTTTAATGCTCTTTCTTTTTTTGTGTGCTTTTTATCTCCTTTTTAAATAATTGTTTTCTTAAAATAATTTAGAGCACATTTAAGCAATGTGTGGCACTTTTTCAGATTTTATACATAAACAAGAAACTCTAAGCAAATGGTTAAAGTAAGTATGTAGCAGTGTGCATTCTGTATATTTTGCCACGTGCATGGATATTTTATTTCACTTAAAACATTTTTAAGTGAATTATAGAGACTGTAAAGTGCCTATGATAAGAAATAGATATGGAGTTCTTACTATTTGGCCAAAAAATTTCATTTTAAGGAAAAAATTTAAAGAAATAATTGGAAATATACATAGAATTTTATGTAAAGATACTCAATATGGGAGTTCCAATTTTTAAAAGGTGGCATAAGCCAGGTGCCATGGCTCACGCCTGTAATCCCACCACTTTGGGAGCCCGAGGCAGGTGGATCACAAGGTCAGGAGTTTGAAACTAGCCTGGTCAATATGGTGAAACCCAGTCCCTACTAATAATACAAAAATTAGCCGAGCTTGGTGGCGCACGCCTGTAGTCCCAGCTGCTTGGGAGACTGAGGCAGAATTGCTTGAACTCAGGAGGCAGAGGCTGCAGTGAGCCAAGATGATACCATTGCACTCCAGCCTGGGCGACAGAGCAAGACTCCATCTCAAAAATAAATAAATAAATAAATAAATAAATAAATAAATAAATAAGGTGGCAAAGAAGCAAGCTTTACTCCCCACTCCCTACTGAAAACCAAAAACAAATATATAGTATGGGGATTTTCATCAGCAACAATCCAGAACTCAAATATGCAGATGAGGCAGATCCCAGGGCCACAGACAGGTGAAGAAACTCCACGCAGATGGTAGGAGAATCAAACTTATATATCTGGGAGGCCCTACGTCACTTTCTCTGCCAAACAACAAGCATTAGGAACATCTTTCCCAACTCACAGATTCTACACTGGAAAAGGTGAGACTGAGTTGGTCAACCAGCTTTCCCACCATCTTGGGTTCCCTGCTAGGAGACCTGTTGCCATAACCCATGGGAACATCGTGACCTCCTGAAGGGAGAAATATCCCTGAGGACAGGCAGAGAGAAAGAGGGTAGGTAGAAATAACATCCTCAGCCACAGAAACTCTGCTCTGTAAGTTGGCCAAAGGAAATGCTAAATCAAGAGTGGCTGCTCAGCAGCAGCACCACACTATTGACTATTTGGCCAAGAAGTTAACCTTTAAGGAAAAAAAAAAAGAAAAAGAAAACCTTAAAGAAATAATCAAAAGTATACACAGAATTTTATATAAAGATACTCAATATGGGAGTTCTAGTTTTAAAAAGGTGGCATAGAAGCAAGCTTCACTCCCCACCCCCTACTGAAAACAAAAAACAAATATACAGTATGAAGATTTTCATCAGCAACAACCCAGAACTCAAAATATGCAGATGAGGTGTTTCATAGGTCTAACCAGCCTTTCCATACTGTTAGGATAATCTCTTTGGGACCTCTCCCATTCAGGATAGACAGCTCTCTAATCATTTAATAGAGCCAAGGCAAACCTGGGCTTAAGGGACCACCTGCAGCAGTAAAAAGGCAGTGACCTAGCAGTAAATATTTGCTAAATCAATTTGTCCAATAAAAATCAAAACAAGCCAGATAGAGAAAACTAGAATACATTTTTCAATGCAAAAACAGAAACATATAGCCACAAGAAACACCAGCAAACAGGGAGCCATGACCTCCTAAAAAAAAAAAAAAAAAAAAAAAAAAAAAGCAAATATCCAGCGAACAACCCTAATGAGATGGTGATTTGTAAGCACTCTTCCCAAAAAGTGAAAATAACAGTTTTAAGAAAAATCAGTGATCTCCAAGATAGCACAGAAAAGCAATTCAGAAAGTTATCAGAGAAATTTAACAAAGAGGTTTAGATAATAATAATAAAATAAATAATAATAAAATAAATAATAATAATATTTATTATTATAGATAATAAAAACTCAAACAGAAATATTGGAACTGAGAAATACATTTGCTGAACAGAAGAACTCATTAGAGGCTCTCAACAGCAGAATGAACTAAGCAGAGGGGAAAAAAAAATCACTGAGCTCAAATACCATCTATTTGGAAATATAGTCAGAGGAGAAAAAAGAAAAATCAAAAGGAATGAAGACCACCTATAAGATAGAAAATTAACTTAAAAGTCCAAATGTAAGAATTATTAGTGTTCAAAAGAGAACTGAGCAAGAGCAACAGGTAGAAAGCTTATTCGGAGAAATTACAACAGAAAATTATACATCTGGGTACACGAAGGTCTGAGAACACCAAATTGAGTTAACCCAAATAAGATTACCACATGGCATAGATTAATGGAACTCTCAATGTCAAGGACAAAGAGATGATCTTAAAAGTAGAAAGATAAAGGAGGAAAATAACATGTAATGGAGCTCCAATTCATCTAGGAACAGTCTCTTCAACAGAAACTGTACAGGTCAGGAGAAAGTGGAATGACATTTTCAAAGTGCTCAAAGAAAAAAACTACTATCCAAGAGTACTGTACTCAGAATATTATTTTTCAGATATGAAGGAGAAATAAATCTTTTCCAGATAAGAAAAATTGAAAGAATTCAACACTACCAGACCTGTCTTCCAAAAGAAGTTCTTGAATCTAAAAGAAAAAAAAACCAAACTAATATCCAAAAACCAAAGAAAAGAAAAAAGTTTTCAAGGTAAAACACCCATTGGTAAAATTAAGTACATGAACAAACCCAGAATACTCTATTTTTGCAATTGTGATGTGCATTCCATTCAGAACTCTAAGCGCAAAAGACAAATCTATCAAAAACAATAATAGCTCCAGACACCTGTTAAGAGATAGGTAATATAAAAATGGGTAATTTGAGATATAGAAAAGTTAAAATGAGGGAAATGGAGTTAAAGTGTGTAATTTTTTTTCTTTGTTGCCTTTGTTTCATTTATTTTATTTGTGATTTAAGAAAAATTGCCACCTTTTAAAATAACTTGTTATTTTTTTTGTAAGCCTCATAGTAACCACAGCACAAAAAAACTATAATTGAGTCATGAAAAATAAAAAGTGACAAATTAAAACATACTATGTGATATGGTTTGGCTGTGTCCCCACCCAAATCTCATCTTGAATTGGAGGTCCCATAATTCCCACATGTTGTGGAAAGAACCTGGTGGGAGATAATTGAATCATGGTGGCAGTTTCCCCCATACTGTTCTCGTGGTAGTGATTAAGTCTCACAAGATCTGATGGTTTTATGAGGGGTCTCCCCTTTTGCTTGGGTCTCATTCTCTCTTGCCTGCTGCCATGTAAAATGTGCCTTTTGCCTTCCCCCATGATTGTGAGGCCTCCCCAGCCATGTGGAACTGTGAGTCAATTAAACCTCTCTTTCTTTATAAATTCCCCAGTCCTGGGTATGTCTATATTAGCAGCGTGAGAACAAACCAATACAGTACCAGAGCAAAACCACTTAACAACAAAGGAAGACAGTACGAAAGGAAGCAAGAAAGAAAAGAGTCACAAAACAACTAGACAGGCAATAAGATGGCAGCAGTAAGTACTTACTCATCAATAATAACACTGAATATAAACGATCTCGATTCTCCAATTAAAAGACAAAAAGTGGCCGAATGGATAAATAAACAAGACTCAACAATATTCAACATACCTACTTCACCCATAAAGACACATACAGAATGAAAATGAAGAGGTGGATAAAGGTATTCCATGGAATTGAATACTAAAAAAAAAAAAAAAAAAAAGAGTAGTGATACTTACATCAGACAAAATCAACAACAAATCTAAGATTGCAAAGAGACAAAGAAGGTCAACATACAACCATAAAGGAGTCAATTCAGCAACAAGATACAACAATTATATGTGTGTATATATATATGCACCCAACATTGGAGCTCACAAGTATATAAACCAAATGTTAGTAAATCTAAAGGGAGAGATGGACTGCAGTACAATAATAGTAAGGGACTTTATACCCCACTCTCAGTAATGGACAGATCATCCAGACAGAAAATCAACAACAACAAAACAGCAGAGTTAAACTACACACTAGATCTGATAGGCCTAACTGATATTTACATAACATTTCACTCAGCTGCTACAGAATACACATTCTTTCCATCTGTACATAAAACATCCTCCAGAATAAAACATGTCTTAGGCATGGTCTTTATAAAACAAAACTGAACAAATTCAAAAAATTGGAAATCATTTCAAGTATCTTTGCTAAACACAATGGAATAAAAGTAGAAAACAATAAGAAGAAATATGAAAAATTATCAAACACACAGAAATTAAAAACATGCTTTTGAATGACTGATAAACCATGAAGAAATTAGGAAGAAAATTTTAATATGTCTTGAAACAAATAAAAATGGAAATACAACATACCAAAATCTATGAGATATGGCAAAAGCAGTACTAAGACTGATGTTTATAGCAAGAAACACCTATATCAAAAAAGTGGAAAAATTCAAATAAACAACCTTATGATGCACACAATGGAACTAGAAAAGCAAGAATAAACGGAAACAAAAGTTTGTCAAAGGAAAGAAATAACAATCAGAGCAGAAATAAATGGACACTAAAACAAAATCAATGAAACAGTAAGTTGGGTTTTTTAAAGATAAACAGAATCAACGAACCTTTAGCACGACTAATAAAAAAGAGAAAAGACATCAATAAATAAAATCAGAAGGAAAAAAGGAGACATAATAACTGAGACCTCAGAAATAAAAAGAATCATCAGATGCTATCGTGAACAACTATATGCCAACAAATTGGAAAACTTAGAAAAAAATGGATAAATTTCTGGACACATACAACCTACCAAGATTGAACCATGAAGAAATAGAAAACCTCAATAAACCAATAATCAGTCACAAGATTGAAGCCATAATAAAAAGTCTTTCAACAGAGAAAAGCCCATGACCTGATGTCTTCACTACTGGATTCTACCAAACATTTAAACGAGAACCAATACCAATCCTACTCAAACTGTTCAAAAAAATGAAGAGGAAGGAATATTTCCAAACTGATTGTAGAAGGCCAGCATTACCCTGAAACCAAAACCAGACAAGGATACAACAAAAAAAGAAAACCACAGGCCAATATCACGGATGAACATAATGCAAAAATCCTCAAAAAAATACTAGCAAACCGAATTTGACAGCACATTAAAAAGATCATTCAACATGATCAAGTGGGATTCATCCCGGGGATGTAAGAATGATTCAACATACACTAATCAATAAACAGGCTACATCACATTAATAGAACCAAGAACAAAAACCACATGATTATGTCAATTGATATTGAAAAAGCACTTGATAAAATTTAACATCCTTTTATGATAAAAACTCTCATCAAAATGGCTGTAGAAGGAACATACCTCAAAATAATATAGGTCATGTATGACAAACTCATAGCTAACATTGCAATAAATGGGGAAAAAAATTGAAAACTGTTTCTCTAAAGACTAAAACAAGACAAGGATGCCAACTTTTAACACTTTTATTCAACATAACACTGAAAGTCCTGGCCAAAGTAAATAGGCAAGAAAAAGAAATAAAGGGCATTCAGAATGGAAAGAAAGAAGTAAAATTAGCCTTATTAGAAAATGATATGATTTTATACCTAGAAAAAACCTAGACTTCACCAACAGCCTGTTAGAACTGATAAATTCAGTAAAGTTGCAGGATACCAAATCAACATACAAAAATCAGTAGCATTTATATATGCCAACAGTGAACAATCTGAAAAAGAAATCAAGAAAGAAATCCCATTTACGATGGCTACAAAAAATGTGAAATATCTAGGAATCAATCTAACCAGAGAGGTGGAAGATCTATACAAGAAAAACTATAAAACTCTAATGAAAAAAAATTGAAGAGAACACAAAAACATGGAAAGATATTCCATGAACTGGAATAATTATGAACTGGAAGAATTAATATTGTTAAAATGACAGCACTGTCCAAAATAATTTACAGATTCAATTCAATCTCTATCAAAATGCCAATGACATTCTTCACAGAAATAGAAAAAAAAATCCTCAAATGTACATGGAACCACACAAAAAAACCAAATAGCCAAAATAATTCTGAGCAAAAAGAAAAAAGCTGGAGACATCACAGGTACATCAAAATTTACTGCAAAACAGAATGGTACTGGCATAAAAATAGACACATAGACCAATGGAACAGAATAGAGAACACCAATATAAATCCATGCATTTATAGCAAATCATTTTCTTTTCTTTTCTTTTCTTTTTTTTTTTGAGACAGAGTCTCGCACTGTTGCCCAGGCTGGAGTGCAGTGGCACGATCTCGGCTCACTGCAAGCTCCGCCTCCCAGGTTCATGCCATTCTCCTGCCTCAGCCTCCCCAGTAGCTGGGACTACAGGCGCCCGCCACCATGCCCGGCTCATTTTTTGTATTTTTTTTAGCAGAGACGGGTTTCACCGTGTTAGCCAGGATGGTTTCTATCTCCTGACCTCTTGATCCGCCCACCTCGGCCTACCAAAGTGCTGGGATTACAGGCGTGAACCACTGCGCCCGGCCATAGCCAACTTATTTTCAACAAATATACCAAGAACATACAATGAAGGAAAGGACAGTCTTTTTAATAAACAGTGTTGGGAAAACCGTATAACTCAACACTGAAGAAGGAAACTAGATCCCTGTCTCTCACCACACTCAAAAATCAATTCAAAATAAATTAAAGCCTTAAATCTAAGACATGAAACTACTAGAAGAAAACATTGGGTAAGTGTTTCAGGACGTTGATCTGGGCAACATTTTTTTTTGTATAAAACCCAAAAAGTGCAGACAACATAAGAGAAAATAGACAAATGGGATTACATGGAGCTAAAAAGCTTCTGTACAGTAAGAGGAACAATTATCAAAATGAAAAGACAACCTACAGAATGGGAGAAAATATTTGCAAACTATCTAAAAATAAATTTAATAACCAGAATATAGAAGAAGCTTAAACAACTCAATAGCAGAAAAAAAATACAATCTGATTTAAAAATCAGCAAGAGATCTGAATAGACATTTCTTGAAAAAAGACAAATGGCCAACAGATTATAAAAATAATGTTCAACATCACTAATCATCAGAGAAATGCTAATTAAAACCACAATGAGATATCAACTCATCCCAATTAAAATGTCTCGTATCAAAAACACAGGTAACAACAGAGGCTGGCAAAGATGTGAAGAAAAGGGAATGCTTGTACCCTGTGGGTGGGAATGTAAATTTATACAGCCACTGTGGAGAACAGTATGGGGGTTCCTCAAAAAACTACAAATAGAACTACCATATGATCCAGAAAATCCACTGCTGGGTATATACCCAAAAGAAAGGAAATCAATATATTGAAGAGATATCTGCA
The DNA here is from genome assembly GCF_000001405.40 of Homo sapiens. NCBI lineage: Eukaryota > Metazoa > Chordata > Mammalia > Primates > Hominidae > Homo > Homo sapiens. The sequence goes on from NC_000003.12 coordinate 174,373,850, forward strand.
CGCTCATATGTATTACAGCACTCTTCACAGTAGTCAAAATAGGTAATCAACCTAAATGCCTATCAAAAAAGTTATATATATGTATATATATATATACACACATATATACACACACAATGAAATATTATTTATCCATAAAAAAATGAATTCCTGTCATTTGCAATAACATGGATGGAACTGGAGATCATTATGTTAAGGGAAATAAGCCAAACACAGAAAAATGATTATCACATTACTTACTCATATGTGGGAGCTAAAAAGTGTATCTCATGAAGATAGACAGTAAATTGGTGGTAACCAGAGGCCAGGAAGGGTAGAAAAAGAAGGGGGGGATGAAGAGGAAGAAAATAATATAAATGTTTTTATTACCACTGAACTGTAAAGATGGTAAAATTTGTATGTATATTTTAACTCAAAAAATATTAAGACAATGTTAAATATTACTTTATTTATTTATTTGACAAATTCTGCAAGATTTTTCTCATTTGCCTAACTTTTAAATGCTATTTTAAGCTGGAATCATGGCATAGAAAAAGTCTCTATCCTCATTAACATTACATTCTTATCTAATTAGATGAAGTAAAACTGTGGAAACAGCCTTAATTTCCTATAAGGTAGAAATGATTAGGTACATTATATGCATGTGATGAAATGCTAAGTAACTATTAAACATCGTTTACCTACATATATTAACTTGGAAAGTTCACCAAGATTTACTGTGAAGGATCTGTATTGCTCTCCAGTGTGTAGCATATGGCTCCCCAAAAGACAGTAACTGGCATACAAATGAATAATTTATAATGTTAATATTTGTCCAATTATCTTTGGGTAATTAGAATATAGTAATTTATTTTCTTAGTTATATGTTCCATATTTTCAGATTGTTTACCATTACCGTGTATTATGTCTACCCCTAATAAATATGTTAGTAAATGTTGACAATGTCACTTAATAATATTAGATACTATTACTAGTATTTTAATAACTATGACTTATTTTTAGGTATAAATAAAAAGCCTAATATTAACCTGGAAAAGCAATAATTTTGGAGATAATAAATTGGAGAGAACTTCACTGAAGCATATAAGCCCTTTTTTTCTAGGCCTTCTTTCTTTGTCGGCTTACCAAGAATCATCCTTCAAAGATAAATGGGTGTGTGTGTGTGTGTGTGAATATTTGTTCATATTCTCCCAGTTAAAGGATTTTGTTCTATATCAAAAAGAAAATTTCAAAATATTTTCATTTTTCACGTGGAACTGTTTTTAACCCTTTATTTTAAAAGGATACAGAAAGAAAAGAATAAAAATTTCTACCATCTCACATAGAATCAACTACACAATTTATTATAGTTTGACACATAAAATTTGGAGAAAATACAGACTTCAATATGATAGGGACAATGAGAACACTGCAATAATAATCTTCATTTCAATAATTGCTAACATGAATTAAGATCTTAATATATTCTAGGACTCATGCTTTATACATAACATGCATTATTATCTCATTAATCCTTCAAGAAATGTTTTATGTAAAAACAACTATGTTCCCCCATTCCACAGATTTATAAAAAGGGTACAGTGGTTTCATCTATAGCTAGTGAGTAGAAGAACCCATGTACAAATAAAAGTCTGTCATGCTCCAAAGCCAATTATTGTAATCTCTGCTTTTTTGCACATATGAGGTATTTCAGAGTTCAAATTTTTGAGGTTGTTAATCTTTGTTAAAAAATGATAAGACTCTTCAGACAAGAAAGGGCATATGTCTCCCCTCCTGCCTATTTACCTAAAGATGTTTTCCCCTACCTTTCCTGGCCTCTGGTTACCACCAGTTTACCCTCTTTCTTCCTGAGACCTATTTTTAGCGCCCACGTACAAGTGAGAACATGTGATATTCATTTTTCTGTGTTTGGCTTATTTCCCTTAACATAATGGTCTCCAGTTCCACCTACGTTATAGAAGACTGTCACTATACATCCTGCCCACTTGAGTAGGTTCAGTATCTAGAAGACTTATCAGCATTCGGTCCCAGTATATGCAGAGCTGGTATCCAGCACAAGGAAAAAGAGGAGGCAAGACCAAGTAGAAGAAATAGGGAGCAGGCAATTCTCTTGAACAAGGAGTCAAGGAGCCTAGTCACAGGCTCGAGGAAAGCAGGTAACATTTATTGTTATTTATTTATTCTCCCAGTTGTTGTTTAAAAGAATTTGTGGAATATAATATGTAGGTAGATATACACACATACATATTAATGCACACTGTGTAAATTGCTTTCTAGCATTGTTACTTAACCTCTATACATGTCCACCTTCCTATCTGTTAAATGGCAAAGATAACTACCTTAAAGTTGTATCATGTATATTGTAAGAGATAATTAATTCAACATGCTTAAATGGTACCCAGTATTATATATGTACTTGATATTTGAAGAAACTTCTTCAGTCCCAGAAACATTCATATCTATGGGTATTTAGTCTTTTGCACTAATGAAGCTAAAAATTTGATTAAAAATATAAAATAGTAGAAGATTTTATTTGAACAATGGTGCAAACAAGTCATTTATCTTTCTATGTTGGATTGCTATGGCTGTCATAATTAAATTATTTAGTTGTACTACACAATCTTAAAAAATGCAAACAACAGTGACTCAGACTTAGTTAACATAAGAATCTACCACAAACTTTGTTCAACTGATAAGGTCTTAGGGAGGGTGCAGAAGTCTTCATTTTGAGATGCAATAGCACAAAGTCTTATTCTCTTATAATGAACTACAGAACAGTGAATAAATGTAATTGTTCTACTTGAACTGATGCTTTCTCTCTTTTGTTAAATAGCTTGGAGCTAATAAAATGACATTTCTTCACATTCTATAATTCAGTGCTTTCAGGAATTTAGATAGATCTTGACAAATAGTATTAATTAGTGAAGTTTTACTATTGGTTCATATTCTGTGCTATTACCTTCAATATTTAAAAACTAACTTTGAGGGGTTTGAACTATACTTGCAGTTTAAATAGTAGAATTGCTTTATATGGTTTGAACTATACTTGTAGTTTAAATAGTAGAATTGTTTTATATAACTGATGTATTAGTAATTTTAAAAGGTCATATTTGGCTGGACACAGTGGTTCACGCCTGTAATCCCAGCACTTTGGGAGGCCGAGGCGGCCGGATCACAATGTCAGGAGTTCAAGACCAGCCTGGCCAAGATGGTAAAACCCCGTCTCTACTAAAAATACAAAAAAATTAGCCAGGCGTGGTGGCGGGCGCTTGTAATCCCAGCTACTCAGGAGGCTGAGGCAGAGAACTGCTTGAACCCTGGAGGTGGAGGTTACAGTGAGACCGAAATATCATATTCGGTCTTTAGGCCGCGCTTGTGAGCAGGACCCGTCGCCATGGGCCTCATGGTCTGTGGACAGCGGAAGGGCGCCGGGGCTGCGTTTCCCGCGCAGGTGAAGCACCGTCAGGGCACAGCGCGCCTGCGCGCTGTGGACTGCCCCCAGCGGCTACAAGAGCACCGTGAAGGGCGCTATCCACTACCCGGGCTGCGGCGCGCCCCTCGCCAAGGTGGTCTTCCGGAATGCACCGGTTTAAGAAGTGGACGCAGCTGTTCATTGCCGCTGAGGGTATTCACATGGGTCAGTTTGTGTATTGCGGCAAGAAGGTCCAGCTCAACATTGGCAGTGTTCTCTCTGTGGACACCATGCCTGAGAGTACGACCGTGTGCTGCTTGAAGGAGAAGCCTGAAGACCGTGGCAAGCTGGCCCGGGCATCAGGGAACGGTGCCACCGTTATCTCCCACAACCCTGAGACTCAGAAGACCCATGAAGCTGCCCTCCTGCGCCAACAAGGTTATTTCCTCAGCCAACAGAGCTGTGGGTGGTGTAGTGGCCAGAGGTGGCCGAAATGACAAAGCCATCTTGAAGGCTGGCCGGGCCCACCACAAATATAAGGCAAAGAGGAACTGCTGGCCACGAGTACGGGGTGTGGCCATGAACCTTGTGGAGCATCCTTTCGGAGGTGGCAACCACCAGCACATCGGCAAGCCCTCCACCATCCGCAGAGATGCCCCCGCTGACCGCAAAGTGGGTCTCATTGCTGTCCGCCAGACTGGACGTCTCCGGGGAGCCAAGACTGTGCAGGAGAAAGAGAACTAGTGATGAGGGGCTCAGTAAAGTTTGTCCTTCTGCCACCAAAAAATAAATAAATAAATACAAATAAAAGATAATATTCATTCCCAACTCTCTTAAATGTTTTTCCACAGTCGAAACAGATGTATTATGAGTTTTTTGTTACATAAATATAGGATTATTGTAAAAGAGTTGAGTGGTACATAAAAGTGTAAAGAAGAGATTATATATCACCTAAAACCCCACCAGCCTGAGATAAAAAACATTAGTCATTTAGTAACCATATGTTCGTGCATTTCTCTATCAATATAAATCTACACGCACATACGTAGTTGTGTGTGTATATATACATACATATACATAATTTTATATTAAAAATCAATCACATTGTATATGTTGTTTTACTTTGAATTTTTATAAGTGCTGTCTTTTGTGGGGTTTTTGCTTGTCTCTCTTCTTCCTCTAGTTCCCCACTCTATCTCTATACATTCCCAATATTACATCTCCCTCCCTCACTGTGTAACCAATTCATGAAGTGGTATTTATCTTTCTCATAAGCACATATATCAATTTACCATTGTTTATTTTACAAAAACGTAATCATCTTACGTACAACTCTCACATCTTTCTTTTTTCATATATAAATTTATATATATATTCATATATATTTCATATATTATATATATATATATATAATTCATTCTTTGGAATCCCAACTCATCACTTAGTAGCAGTGACTTGGGCAAATTGTTTTGTTTCTGAGTTTGTATCTGTAATATGGGGATAATTATTGTAACTATTTCCTTGGGTTGTTATTAAGCACAATATATTAGTCCATATAAAGTGCTTAGAACCACACCTTACTCAAGTGCCATGGAAGCATTAGCTATTATTTATAATAGGTGCAGAATATTTTTTCATGGTAGAGATGTAAAAAATATATTCAACCAGAAAGCCCCTAATTAAATAATGGATCTAAGTAATGATCATCAATGGATACTAAACTCTTTGGATGAACAGTAGCGGGGGGTGGAGGGGTTGATTAGACAGACAACACCTGAATTCATTCAATAATGTTAAAGAAAAAAGTGGGACAACTAGATATTATTTGCTTACAGAGGTGATAAAATGGGAAGTATTTAGCACCATCTATGAAACATTATTGTCCAAGAGTCACAGAAACTTCTTTAATCTTATAATCTCCTCATGTGTAAAAGCTAGCATTCTTCAAGTCTTGGAATTAGAAAGGAACTTTATCACCTGTTTGGCTATTTCTGCTGGAGAAGGAGACAAGCATATTTTTCTAGGAACACTCATTTTCCTCCTGGATATTTGTGGATCTCTGTAGGGCAAGCTGCCTTCAGGATTCACAGAATTTTTATCAGCACCTCATAGTTCTCCATTACTGGTCCCCGAAGGCATCCCTAAGAGCAGAAGGGGAAAAGGTCTTGCATTTCTCTTCATCTGTTCTTGGAAGAACCAAGGCCTAGCTCCTACCCTCTAGACCCCCTGTGAGCTGGTCCAACAGCTGCTTGGCTCAGGAAAGACAGTTTGTCATTGATTCGGACGGGGGGAAATATTCAAGCCACCATCTTCAAAAATGAAAGCCTTCACTATTGGCTAGGTCCAGTCGCTCACACCTGTAATTTCAGCACTTTGGGAAGTCAGGGCAGGAGGATCACTTGAGTCCAGGAGTTCGAGACCAGCCTGGGCATCATAGCAAGACCCCATCTCTACTAAAAATCAGAAAAATTAGCTGAGTGTGGTAGTGCATGCTACAATGTAGCTGTAGTCCCAGCTACAAAGGAGGCTGAGGCAAGAGGATCACTTAATCTCAGGAGTCTGAGGCTGCAGTGAGCTGTGATTGCACCACTGAACTCCAGCTTGGGTAACAGAGCAAGACACTGTCTCAAAACAAACAAAACCCACCACAAATAACAACAACAACAAAAAAGGCTTTACTATATGTTTCAAAAAACAAAGTGATTTTCATAAATTACACAGATTTTAAGCAGAAAAAGGAAGGTAAAGCTCAGATGAAATTACATCATTGAGCCATAAAGGAAAAGAGTTATCATCCCATTAGAGGAAACTCGCATTGACTGAAGAAGGACAAGATGATATTTTATACTTTGGGAACCTGAACAACTAAAAAGGAAAAGAGAAATAAATATAAGTAATTAAAAATTAAAAAGTGCAGAATCGCCATACTTTTTGTCTTTCTTCTATGGGAAGATTCTAACATTATTGAGTATGCAGGTAAAAGAGAATGGAGTTGGCACCTTGAGTTTTTCCTTCTATGCCCTCTGAGGAGTGTGGCATTATATATGTACCTTGCCATGAAATAAATATCACCATAAAAGAGGAAGTCAAACATAAATGCTCTGCAAATTCTAGCAGACCTGCTTTATGTCTGTTCATTTCTGGAGCTGTCCAGATACAACTTATATGGTATTTTTTTTTTCTAAAAAATCAGAGCTATATTTTTAGAATTTATAATAACTAGTTGAGCAACAATGATACATTTTCCGTAAGAACCATTTTTACTCCGTTTTAATAAGGTTGGTATACATGGAGTGCAGGGCAGCAGAGCAGCCGCAGGCAGAATACATGGGACTGCTATGAAGCAGGAAAAGTTTCCCTTAGGAAAAAACTATGCCTTTAACGGTGTGACCTAGTTGAAGAGCTCCAGACATAAAAATTCAGCCTTCCCAAAGCATGAAGCTTTCATTCTTCTGTAACTGCCATGGTAAGAATAACTCCAGAGAGACTGTAAAAGAATAGTGCTGTTGTCATTATCATTCTTGTGTAAAGAAAAAAATATGTATGTCTAAAGGTGTTTCTTTTTCCATTTTATCAAGGTTCTTTGTTTGGAAACTTTTAAATATGATCTTACAACTCTGCTTCTAAATAATATACCTGCTATAAGATAGTAAATACTCAATTTGTGTTACTCAATTCAGCTCTACTTAAATTATTTTCTTATAAAAGTTCAGAAGATCATCTACTTATGACTTGATAGTACCTGTAGGATGCTATGACACGTGTGAACCAATAGCAATGCAGTAAAATTTCATGAAACAATGATTAATAAACTCGGCCCTGATGAGTACTCACATGCTAAGTGACATTTCGCCTACTATGTTGGGGATATAGTTGTTAGACTTTAGATCTGAAGAAATCTCCAGAGACTATCAGGTTTATACCCTTCTCTTCAAATATTTGAATACCATTCAAGACTGACAGTTGCTTGCTTTCTTCATAAAGATGTTGCAGGACAGAGATTCCATAATTTTCAAGATTTTTAACATTCCACTTACAAAATTGCCTGCAGTTATCCCTCTAAAAATTTTATATTAATAATATTATTTCAAAACTGTGGGATTTTTATATTCTGGAAGAACTGGGACGTAAAATGAAGAAGCTGAATCCTTAAAAGAGTGAGTAGGATTAAAATTCCATCTTCTCATTGCTAACTGATTCTTTCCTGTATAATATGCTACCTCAAAAGTGAACAAAAATTTTACAATAGTATTTTAAAATATCTTCATCCATTACTAGTCAGAGTGACTTTGTCTTTTAATTTTTATATCCTTACTTCTATCACCTTGTAGGCACAATATAAGAAAGGAATGATAAAAACCCATGTAAACATAACACAATTTTTTAAAAAGAAATACTGTAATTGGTTAATAAATTCTCACAAGTTAAGAGAAATTTGTTTAAGCCAGACCATTTTACTCATAGGCAAAATGAAGAAATTAAACTAGAGGATTTGTAAGATACCTTTCTATTAAAAGGGTTCAGAACATGTCTCGCCAAAATATACCACTTTGGGGTATTATTTTGAGCTAATAGAAATTGAGGACCAACAAACACAGTTGCTAAATCAAGTTTAGCCTAAAGCTGCCTGCTTACCTATTTTAGGTTCAGCCTAAAGACTTCTCTGTAGGTAGGTAACTATAGCTTAAATGGGGGTGTAAACAGACTGTAATGTACTTTTGTGCCAATCGCCAAGTTTTGACCAATCAACAGGGGCCAATTGTTCAAAACATGTTCAAATAAGGCAAACACCAAGTTGTAACCAATTTGGCTGTTTCTATACCTTACTTCTGCGATCTGTACCTTGCTTTCCTTTTTCCCTCTAAAAATTTTCTTCCACCACGTGGCTGAACCGGAGTCTCTCTGAACCTACTTTGACTAGAAAGGCTTTCCGATTTGCGATTTCTTTGCTCAATTAAACTGTTAAATTTAATTTGTCTAAGGTTTTTCTTTTAACACAAGAAAAGCTCTTTACTTGCCCCTCAACTTACCGAAGTATAAACTTCCCCTTTTGTAAAAATAAATTTAGTTTATAGAGGAAATTTTCATCAGTGAAGGAAATTTTCATTAGTAAATCTGTACCAGGAAGAGAGCTACTCATAAGCTGAGAGATTTTTATCTGCCTAACAAGGCAATCTTCATTCACCCTATATTTCCTCCCTCCCCTCACCTTCCCATAATTTATCTCCCCACTCCCCTGTTATAAAAGTCTCAGTCATCTGCACTTCCTTAAGTCTCATATTTCTGTAGGACTCCTGTGCATACATACATAATTAAAATTGCTTTTTCCTGTTAAATTGTTTTATGCCAATTTAATCCAGAGACCAGCCAAGAACTCAGAAGAATAGAAGAAATCAATTTTTTTTCTCCCTTGCACCATTTTAACACTGCTTGAATCAATTCAATTTTGTTTTATGAAAGCTTTCCTTGTGCTTTCCATGCTAACGTTATCACGGTATTCACCATGAAAGCATGTAGGACTTCGGGGTGGAACTGAAAGGAAAAAAGAATAATTTTCTCTCTACCCTTTATTGTTCTTAATGAGGACAGACCTCTGTAATGAAGGACAGATTAATAAGGGAAAAACAGTTTATTAACATGTATACCTCATATAGACATAGGAGATACTCAGAGAAATGAGTAAATCTCAAAAAGACAGCTTTGAAATCAGGCTTAAATGCCATCTTTAGTTAGAACAGAGACCAGTTATGAGGAGGTGACCAGGAAAAGCACAGTAAACAATGGTAAGGTTTGTTATACAGATTTCAGTCCATGCCTTCTCCATTGGTAACAGTCTCTAATGACTTAGAGTCATCCTTCTCTTCCTGGAACTGAGAGGGAAACACCCTTACAAATGGAGATTTCCAGTATAGAAGTAAACGTTTCTTACAAAAGGATAAATCCTATTCTGTTTTTAGAGCTTCTCTTGTGGCTGCTGTTTCTCAAAATAATCCTGATGCCAAAGAGGCACATTTTGGAGTGGCATATTCTGGTCCCTTAAAGTATGTACCTTTATATAAGAAAATTGACATAAATTTTACAATTTAATGGAGTGTCATTCATAGAAAAAGTATTTCTGAACCCAGCCTCTATTTCATTAACGTTATGGATTTAAGGTTTGAAGTTATGGATTTAAGGTTTGAAGTTATGATCTTACCTTTTGTTTTCCAGTTCTTTTTTGAGTTCCTAAAGAATTTGTGAGAAATCAAAATTCATCCATCCATTAGAGTTGAGTATGACAATCATCTGCAAATTAAAATTTCTTTATATATTTTAAAGTTCTTCTCCCACCATCAGGAATGCATTATAATTTCAAAGACATATTCTTTATAAACAGAACACAAAAATAAATGGGATTTGGAGAATGGGTAAGAATTGGTCTTTGTAAAATAAGAAGCTCTCAAGTTGCACATTCTTATGATAATCTACACTGAATCAATACTATTGTAGGTCTCTTGCATCTTGTAGCAAGATTTCTGTCTGCTAAACTTAAATCTAACTGAAAATAGGATGGTACTTTATCCCTATGGTAGGTACAAGGACAAAAATTAGAAATAAATGTAAAAATCATCACAACCTCCTTCAATTTTTCCACTCTCCTCAAGCTTTCGACTTCATGTCACTCCATTCATGCCCTGGCTGCCAACAGATGGTATAATTTTATAATGTTGCTGTAATAGGGTCTCCTGATTATAGTTTCTTCAACTTCCATTTCTGCCTGAAAATTTCTATCATCATGGATTCTACTTTCGACATTGTACAGAAGCAGCAGCTAGGGCTTAATAGACAAATGTGTCCAGTTGCATTATTTACCAGCTAAGCACCTTGTGCAAGTTATTTATCTCTCTGATCCTCAGTTTCATTAAAATGATAATAATAATACTTCCCCCAGAGGATGTCATAAGGATTAGAGATACCTCTCTGTAGAGAAGTGTACACTAAGTGTGCTTAGTACATTGGCTCTAGTTGGCACATCAAATGTGCTGAATACATCATCATTGTCATGTCTGAGAAAGTGTCTTTCCTCACCAAAGGTAATTTCTCTTATCTTCTCTAAAACCATCAAATGTCCTACACTCTTGCTCAGCTTTTAATAATTCACAACGGGCTCCTCCTGGGCTTACCAACAGGTACAGATTTTTTTTTTTTTTGCTGTACAGTACTATGACTTTTGACAAATGTACACTGTTATGTAACCACCACTGCAAAAATAAATAAATACATAAAAATTCAATCACTACCACCCCAACCTGCCCAAAATTCTTCTGCATCTTCCCTCATTCCCAGCTCCTGAAAATTGCTAATTTGTTTTCTGTTCCTATAGTTTTGCCTTTGCAAATGATACATATAAATAGAATCATACACTATATAACCTTTAAAGCCTGACTTCTTTTATTTAATAAAATGCATTTGCGATGCATCCATGTTGTTGCATGTATCAGTTGTTCTTTTTAGTAGTGTTCCACTGAACAGGATGGAATGTATTTACTCACTCTCCAGTTGAGGAGCATTTGAGTTATTTCCAGTCCTTGGTATTTACAAATAAACTAATGCTGAGTTTTAAACCACTTTTGTTGTTCAAATTATTTTTCAACTTTATCTTTAACTATTAGAGGTTTACAGTTGCTGCTTCTATCCCTAAAAATTCAAAAATTCAGATTCTCTCTATTATAGTCCGTTTCATCCCTGCTTGAGCTAACCTTCTTGTAAATATTATTTCTGGACTCAGGCTATGTCTCCAAAAGCATGCTGCCATCATTCTATTTTGCAGTTTTTTTTCTCCTAGTACAAAAAGTTCATTAGATACATCATCATCCATCCACATCATTGACAGCAACAGTTTTACTAAAAGTTTTCTACTACAGAGAACAGAGAAATAGTCTGACCTTCAATATTTTCTTCCCCCCTGCTTCCCAGAGTCCATTTTTTAATGCGAAAAAATTTGGTTTTTTATTGCAATATCCCTCACATTCTAGATACCAATTTTCACATTAGTTGAGTAATGCTGGGGTTGCAAAATCTAGTGTCCTACCACAATAAACACTTTTTATTTCTGTGTGAAAGTGATAACTGCCACATATGTTTGTATCTCATTGGGCAAAACAAGAACCAAGGCCACATCTAACTTCAAAGGTGGTGAGGAAATACAGTCATACTATGTGCCCCAAAACAGAGAGCTAAAAGTATATGATGGACAGCACTAATGATCACCACGGGGTCTAATTTGTCCCTAAGCACTTAGCCAACTTTTCTAACACCATTTTTTAAAGATTATGCCTGTTGCCCAGTTATTTTAAATGTCACCTTTACTATCTACCAAAATCTCATATGTAATGAGTCTGTTACCAGTCTGTATTCTATTCCATTTAGTTTTTTGTTGCTTCCTGTAATTGTACCTCAAATTTATCATTACCATAGCTGTATAAAATATTTTGATAATGGTAGGGCAAATCTTTCTTCACTAGTCTTCTATTTCAAAATTTGTGTCAGCTAGTCCCTGTATTTATTCTTCATTAGGCTTATTTTATCTATTCTGAACACACAAGTAATATAGGAATAAAAATCATAAAACACACTTAAATAAAGCATAAATGTCCCTCTTTAATCCCTTTTTTCATTTCCATTTTCCTGTAAAGAAGTGATCTTTGATCTATATTCTGTCAGTTCTTTTTATATATATGTGCATACACACTTTTGTATACTTAAAATGTATTGGTGTCTTCATCTGTTTGGGTTGCTAAAACAAAACACCACAAACTGAGTGGCTTATAAAACAGAAATTTATTTCTCATAGTTCTGGAAGCTAAGAAGTCTAACATCAAGGCACCAACAGATTCAGCATCTAGTGAGAGGCCATTCCCTGTTTCATAGATAAAAAGATGTCTTCTCGCAGAGTTTCCATATGGTAGAAGAGGTAAGGGATTTATAGTAGTCCATTTTCATGCTGCTAATAAAGACATACCTGAGACTGGGCAATTTACAAAAGAAAGAGGTTTATTGGACTTAGAGTTCCACCTGGCTGGGGAGGCCTCACAATCATGGCAGAAGGTGAAAGGCACATCTCACATGGCAGCAGACAAGAGAAAAGAGCTTGTGCAGGGACACCCCTGTTTTTAAAAACATCAGATCTCATAAGACTTATTCACTATCATGAGAACAGCACAGGAAAGACCTGCCCCCATGATTCAATTACCTCTAACTGGGTTCCTCCCATAACACATGGGAATTCAAGATGAGATTTGAGTGGGGACACAGCCAAACCATATCAGGATTTATCTGGGGCCTTTTTAAATAAAGGGACTAATTACCTTTATAAAACCTCTGCTTTTATCACCTAATTACCTCCCAAACCCTCATGTCCTAATACCATCACCTTGGGGGTTAAAATTTCAACCTATGAATTTTGGGGAGACACAAACATTTAGATCATAGCAATTGGTTTGCTGGATTAATAATATTTAACATACATAGAATCTTACCATAAATATTGATTTGCTATTTATATTACTAATTTAATTTGGTTATAGACAGCGTATATGATTCCAAACTTTGAAATTTGTTAATATTTGTTTTGTGGTTCAGCACATAGTTTACTGCATGTTTCATGTACTCTTGAAAGGAATGTGTATTCCACAGTTGTTGGAATAGTGTTTTATAAGCATAAATTAGATCAAGTTGATTGATATGTTGGTTTAAATTGTCTATGATAATTTGTACTGACATTTTGTCTACTTGTTCTACCAATTACTAAGAGAAGTATTACAATCTCTAGCTTTGGGGATTTATTTATTTTTCCCTTTAATTTTATTCATTTTTGCTTCATGTATTTTAAAGTATTGTTATTAGGTGTATTCAACTTAGGATTGTTATGTATTCTTGATGAATTGACCCTTTGGGATTATAAAATGACCCTCTTTATGTCTGGTAATACTCCTTGTCTTGAAGTCAGTTTCATCTGACATTGACATAGCACAATAGCTTTCATTTGCTTTGTGTTTGCCTTGGTGTACCTTTTTCTATAACTTCACGTTCAACCTGTCTTTCCCAATATATTTAGAGTGGATCTCTTGTAGGCAGCAAATAGTTGGGTTTTGCTTTCTTATGCAGTCTGATAAACTCTGAATTTAAATTATTGATATAAGTGAGATTGGGTCTATAATAGTGTCATTTGCTATTTATTCGCTCTTTGTTTCTTTGTTCTTCCTTTTCTGTCTTCTTTGTGGTTAATAAAAATTTTAATATCTCAAATTATCTTCTGCATTGGCTGCTTAGCTAATACAGTTTTTGGGGGGTTATTGTTTCCTCTGTGGAATACAATGTATATCCTCAATTAATCACAGACTTCTTGAATTCATATTACGCCTCTTTATGTAAAAACTGGTAAATTTCAATTTTCACTGCTCATATTCTTTGTAATATTATACTATATACGCTACGTCTACACATTATAAACCTCACAAAGCTTTTACTTTTGTTTTAAATAGTCTATGGCTTAAATAATTTTAAAAATAAAAGATAATGTTTTATATTTACCTATATGTTTAATATTCCTAGTATTCTACATGCCTTCCTGTATATCTGAATTCCCATCTGGTATCAATTTTCACAGTGTGAAGACATTCCTTTAGCATTTCTTTACAGTGGCAAATTCTTACAGTTGGCAACAAATTCATTTTTCTGAAAACATTTTGCTTTCATTTTCAGAAGATATTTTTGCTGGATCTAGATTTCTAGGTGAGACTTCCACTTGTTTCCATGAAAAAATAAGATAATCTTGAATTAGCTCTGGCTGTCAATTAGAAAATAAAAAATTTACTGGTGGGTTTATTAGTCTGTTCTTACATTGCTAGAAGGAAATACCTGAGACTGGGTAATTTATAAAAAAAGAGGTTCAATTGGCTCATGGTTCTGTAGGCTGTATAGCAAACATGATGTGGGCATATGATTGGTTTCTAGGAAGGCCTCAGGAAACTTACAATCATGGCAGAAGACAAAAGGAGAGCAGATACCACCCATGGCCAGAGCAAGAAAAAAAGGGAATGAGCCAAGCCAAGTGCTGCACTTTTAAATAGCCAGACCTTACAAGTATTCACTCACTATCATGAGGACATCACCAAGGAATGGTGCTAAACCATTCATGAGAAATTTACCCCCATGATCTAATCACCTCTCACCAGGCCCCACCTCCAACATTGGGGATTACAATTCAACATGGGTGGGAACACAACCCTATATCATTCCACCCCCAGGCCCTTCCAAATCTCATGTCCTTCTCACATTGTAACATACAACCATGCCTTCCCAACAGTCTCCCAAAGTCTTAACTCACTGCAGCACCAGCTCAAAAGTCTGAAGTGCAACGTCACATCTGAGACAATGCAAATTCCTGCCACCTACGGGCCTATACAATCAAAAACAAATTATTTAATTCCAAGGTAATGTATTAGTTCATTTTCATGCTGCTGTAAAGAACTGCCTGAGACTGGGTAATTTACAAAGAAAAGAAGTATAATTGACTCACAGTCTAGGATGGCCAGGGAGGTCCCAGGAAATTTATAATCATGGCAGAAGGCAAAGGGGAAGCAAGGCACCTTCTTCACAAGGCAGCAGGAAGAAGTGCCAAGAAACAGGGGAAGAGCCCTTTATAAAACCATTAGATTTCATGAGAACTCACTCACTATCACAAGAACAACATGGGGAAACTACCCCCATGATTCAATTACCTCCACCTGGTCTCTCCCTTAACATGTGAAGATTATGGGAGTTATGGGGATTACAATTCAAGATGAGATTTGGGTGGGGACACAGAGCCTAACCATATCAGATACAATGGGGCTACAAGCAATTGGGTAAATATTCCTGTTCCAAAAGGGAGAAATTGACCAAAAGAAAGGGGCTACAGGCCCCATGCAAATCCAAATCCCAGCAGCACAGTCATTAAATCTCACAGCTCCAAAGTAATCTCCTTTGACTCCATGTCCCACAACCAGAGTACACTGGTGTGAGGGGTGGGGTCCCAAGGCCTTGGGCAGCTCTGCCCCTGTGTCTTTGCAGGGTACAGCCTATGCAGCTCTTCTCATAGGCTGGCATTGTGTGTCTGTGGCTTTTGAGGTATAGGGTCAAGCTGTCAGTGAATCTACCACTCTGAGATCTTGAGGATTGTGGCCCTCTTCTCACAGCTCAAATAGGCAGTGTCCCAGTGGGGACTTTAACCTCACATTTCCCCTCTGCCCTAGTTGAGGTTCTCCATGAGGGCAGCGCACATGCAGCAGACTTCTGCCTGGACATACAGGCTTTTCCATACATCCTCTGATATCTAGGCAGAGGCCCCAAGCATAAACTCTTGCAATCTGTGCACCCACAGGCCCAACACCACGTGGAAACAACCAAAGATTATAAGTTGCACTCTCCAAAGCAGCTGCCCAAGCTCTACCTGGGCCCCTTTGAGATAAGGCTGGAGCTGGAGTGGCCAGGATGCAGGGAGCAGTGTCCTGAAACTGTGCAGGACAGCAGGGTCCTGTGCCTGTTACACAAAACCATTCTTCCCTCCTAGGCCTTAGGACCTGTGATGAAAGGAACTGCAGCAAAATTCCCTGAAATTCCTTCAAAGTCTTTTTCCCATTGTCTTGGCTATCAGTACTTGCCTCCTTTTTGTTTATGCAAATTTCTCTAGCAAGTGGTTGCCGAGCAGCCCACTTGAATTCTTCTCCTGAAAATGGAATTTTGTTTTCTACTACATGGCTAGGCTGCAAATTTTCCAAACTCTTATGCCCTGCTTCCCTTTTAAATAAAATTTCCAACTTATTTATTTGCTTCCACATCTGAGCATAGGTTGTTAGAAGCAGCCACATGGCATCTTGAACACTTTGCTGCTTAGAAATTTCTTCTGCCAGATATCCTAGGTCATCACTCTCAAGTTCAAAATTCCACATATTAATAGGGCATGGACACAATCTAGCCAAACTCTGGGCTAAGGTATAGCACATGTGACCTTTGCTTCAGTTCCCAGTGAGTTCCTCATTACCATCTGAGACCTTGTCAGCCTGGCCTTCACTATCCATATCACTATGAGAATTTTGGTCACAACCATTTTTTTACCAGTCTCTAAGAAGTTCCCAACTTTCCCTCATTTTCCTGACTTATTTTGAGTCCTCCAAACCCTTCCAATCTCTGCCTGTTTCAAAGCTGCTTCTTCATTTTCAGGTATCTTTATAACAATGCCCCATTCTTCAGTATCAATGTTCTGTTTGCATTCTCACATTGCTATAAAGAAATACATGAGGCTGGGTAATTTCTAAAGAAAAGAGGTTTAATTGGCTCACAGTTCTGCAGGCTGTACAGGAAGCATGATGCTGGCATCTGCTCAGCTTCTGGGGAGGCTTCAGGAAACTTACAATCATTGTGGAAGCCAAAGGAAGAGCAGGTGTATCACATGGCCAGAGTAGGAACAAAAGGGAGCAAGCAAGGTGTCACACACTTTTAAACAACCAGATTTCATGAAAACTCACTCACTATTGTGAGGACAGCACCAACGGAATGGCGCTAAAGCAGTCATGAGAAATCAACCCACATGATCCAATCACCTCTCACCATGACCCACCTCCAACAATGGCGATTACAATTCAACATGAGATCTGGATGAAGACACACATGCAAACTATATCAATGGACACAGGACTCTGATCTCTGAGAAACTGTAAACACATGAGGTGAGTCCTATCATTGCTGTCGCTTTCTGAGTGGAAGCTATTCCCAGATTTTGGCACAGGGAAGGCAGACCAAAAAAATAGTCCAACAATCTCATGGAATTGAGAAAACATAGACTGGAAGCCAACGTGGCTGCAGTTTTCAGAGTTCAGAGAAAGAGCTACCCAGAGAGAAGTTTTCATAATCTGAATGGGGTCTCCTTCCTCCAAAGTTCAAATCCTTCCAGTTTCTGTTTTATTTTGATTGCCTTTAAATAGGCCTGTTTTGAATATTTTCCCCAGAATTTATAATTGTTATCAGCAGGAGGATGAGTCTGATAATCCTTTATTAAAATAAGCCAGAATTCCTATATTTGTTTCTTAACTACAATGTTTCAGAGTTTTTTTTTTTTTTTTTTTTTTTGAGATGGAGTCTTGCTGTGTCACCCAGGCTGGGGTGCAATGGATCAATCTCAGCTCACTGCAACCTCTGCCTCTGGGGTTCAAGCAATTCTCCTGCCTCAGCCTCCCAAGTAGCTGGGATTACAGGTGAGCACCACTACACCTGGCTAATTTTTGTATATTTAGTAGAGATGGGGTTTCACCATCTTGGCCAAGCTGGTCTCAAACTCCTGACCTCATGGTCCATCCTCCTCAGCTTCCCAAAGTTCTGGGATTTCAGGTATGAGCCACTGTGCCTGGCCTCAGAGATCTTTTTCAGCAATGTTGCCTATCACAGCTCATTCTTTAGTACCTGCAGTGTTTCATAACATAAACATAATGTGATTTATGTAACCATTTTTTCAAGAAAAATGATTATTTATAAAATTTTACTATTAGAAATAATGTTATAGTAAATATTAAATAAATAATATACTATAAATATGACATTTTTTCTTTTCGAACAGTTTTGTACATTTGACTCTCAGAGATGAAATTGCTGTGCCAAAGGGTCTAAACATTTAAAATTTGTATAGATATTTACAAATAGCCTTTACCAAATTCAACTTTACAGAATATATTGTCCTGTTTCATTTACTCTTCAAGATTAAGTTTAAAATCAACTTACCAAACTCAGTTTTAAAATGCTATTAGAATTAAATTCAAAATATTATTTTCTTACTTTATTTATATGTTTTATATTTTTTTAATTTTGTTTTATATTTTTAGCACATTTGAATTTTCTTGGTGGTGCTGTTGGTAGTTGATCCTGCTGTTAATACATTTGGCTTTACATTTCTAGCATAAATTGATAAAACATTATTTAGGAAAGATTTGAAAAACACAAAAGAAAAAATTTTCTTTTTCTTAAAATCTCAGGACATTTTATTTTAATCTTTTTTCGTATGCAAAATTTTTGGTTTTAAATAATTTGATCATACTTTATATAAACTATTATACTTTTCTATTTAATGCAATTTGAGAGGCATTTTCTTTCTTGTTAAACATTCATGTTCTTTTCAGTTTTATTTACTTTAAACACCTCTGCAGTGATTTTGTACTTCTAGCTTCCTTTGGAAGTAGAATTGTTAGGGAAACAAGAACCTAGGAGAGCCAGAATAAGGCCATTTTAAGTTCAGCTCCATCTTGAGACAAATCAGGCACATTCCTTTAGTCACAACCCATGGTCATAAGATGTTTATAGCTGAGAAAACAGCCTAAGTATACCTACAAGGACACACTCTTACATCAACAGAATCCAGATATCCAAATACCCATTACAATATGTTTATTTTATATAATTTGTTATGTTTTGATGTACTCACACAGTACAATGTCAAGGACAGTATTCTTTAAATCAATAGAACAATAAATTTTCTCATGTTGTCAGCTCACCTGCACATAGTCACAGCTTAGTCTTTACATAGACAAGACTCTATATAAGAAAAACTTAAAACAAAGATAGTGCATTTCTTCCCTTGCTTTCTGAGGACACTCTACTCTGTAATGATGTAGCTAGCTTTCACTAAATGGTCTCTTCTCACTGAGAGGCACTCCTCTGCTTGCTTTCTGAGGATGCCCTACTCCGTAACAGAATACTTTTCAATAAGCTTGCTTCTTTCACTGCACTTTGCAACTTTCCTTGCATTCCTTCCTGCAGGAGATCCAAGAACCCTCTTTGGGGGTCTGGACTGAGACTCTTTTTTCTGGTAACAGAATTATCTGGTCAAATATACACATTTAATAAATATAGCTGAATTGCTTTCCAAAATGTTTTGATACTTTACATTCACATTATTGAGTGTATGTTTCTTTATACCTATGAAAATACTTTTTAAAAAACTCTGCTAATTTCATGGACAAAATAAATGGTTTCTCATTTTTTTCAATTTAGTTATTGAGCTAAATTTAATTTCTATTTAATTAAATTGAACAAATTTCAATTTAGGTCTTGAGCTAAATTTAAATTTTTAATTTAGTTACTAGCTCACTAACTATAAAATTGGACATTGTTTTATAGGTTTATTAATCAATTAATTTTCTTCTATTGAAAATTATTAGTGTCTTTCATTTCCTTTTGGTCCTAACCACCACTATTCCCATCTACTAACATCCTGATAACTGTTTCTAATTAAGTAATGGCTTTGTGAAATTATTTAGGCTTTCTTAATTTCTGCAATTATTCTGGTTATCTATCAATGTCTATCTAATATCTTTGCCTCTCATTCTATTGACTTCCTTTCTTCCATAGACTTCTACTTCCACTTCATTTTTCTCAGCCTCTCCTACCTCAGCCATCATTACAAATAGTCTGAAGACTTAAATTTCCAACACCTGTCTGACCTTTTCTCACGATCCCAGCTCTCCTACTTCATTATTACCGTAATACCTTGTCTTTACCTAATTGCCAAGTACTTAAGAAATATCAACCTCTCTCTGCCAAAAGCTATATATAATTTGTCTATAAAACACCTTTTCAGAGCTACATCGATTTCATGAAATACTTTGATAATCCTTCAGATTAGGCCCTTATCTCTTGTCATATATATATGATAATATATATATATAAAACCAACAACATATATATATGATATGTATATATGTATATATGATATGTATATGTATATGTATATATGTATATATGATATGTATATATGTATATATGACATGTATATGTATATATGTATTTATGATATGTATATATATTGGTTATATATGTCTGTGTGTGTCTGTGTGCATTTGTGTGTATAAATTCTAAAAACAAACAGCTCAATTCACCAATTCTGCTTCTCTCTGACTAAACTTTGCTTAATGAGCACTGATGATGATTTGCACCATTACAAATTCCAGGTCTTTTGCCTCCACTGAGACTTCAATGTGCCTCAGAAATCCTGTGTATTTCTTCTGGTTACTTTCTCTTTGTCTTACTCTAATTCTCAACAATTACTAACAGAAACTTTCTTTATTTTCTCTAAACTACCAAGATACCTCTTCCGACATCGCTTTCAGAACGTGATCTCAATCATCACTTCCCCAAACCTTCCTCAGCCTCCCACCATGCTACTTTCATTTTACACTCCTTCGTTCTTTCTTCCTTCTTCCCTGACACAATTAGTAAGGGGTTGTCTCTCTTAACTGAATGGAAAATGGCTTCTATCTTTGTGTTTATCTCTCTCTGCTCCACCAAAATCACTCTAGTTCTCACGTCTTCTCCCATGATCAAGTTTCTTGTCAGCATTTAATTTTACTTAGGTTACTCCATGTTAAGGAGAGACAGAGGAAAGAGAGTGGGAAGGAAGGAAAGAAGAAAAGAAGGGTGTCAGAGAGGGTGAGAGGAGAAAGAAACTTCATTTGGGATGCCACTAGTTAATATGCCTGGCAGATAAGAGGTTATGATAAACATTTATGAAATAAATATTGAAGAGCATTATGTTTCAGTGTGATAAACCTTGACTTACGAGCTTCATGATGTCAAAGAAGAAAACAGTATGATCTTTCAAGAACTGTAAATGTGAATGCAAATAATGCCTTAAAGGACATACTTGACATGAATCATCCACCTGTTCTTTGCTTGTTTGTTTGTTTGTTTTTTGACAGCAAAGATCAGAGAAAAACCACAAAATGGAATGGACATACATTTTTCCTAATCATATATTGTCATTAAAAAAAGTTTATCTCTTTCAACAGAGGTAGAAAATTTACAAAGGAACAGAGAGCTCCGTTAGTTGAATTCCAAAGAATTCCAATATATAAATTTGTTTTACTTTCTTGTTACCTTAAAAACATACAGTTTATATTTCATTTTGTTCAGATTTCATTGGGTTAGTTTTGTTTTAGTATTTTTTTTTTTTTTTTTTTTTAGAGACATGGGTCTCACTGTGTTACCCAGGTTTGTCTCAAGCTCATGAATTTAAGCAATCCTCGCCTCTCAGTCTCCCAAAGTGCTAGGATTATAGGCATGAGCTACTACACCTGGCCCACTAGGTTACTTTAGAATGCAAATGTTGTATTTCACAATCCTAAAAATCTTTCAATATGTGACAACTTTAAGTGTAGTGATTTGCAGTACAAAAATTGTCATTAGCGCACATCACAATAGCATTTCTTCTGTTAATCTTGTCTAATTACTTGGTTTTATCTATTACTTATGAACTTCCCAAATGTGATGGTTAATACTGAGTGTCAACTTGATTGGATTGAAGGATGAAAAGTATTGATCCTGGGTGTGTCTGTGAGGGTGTTGCCAAAGGAGATTAACGTTTGAGTCAGTGGGCTGGGGAAGGTAGACCTACTTTTAATCGTGTGGGCACCATATAATCAGTTGTTGGTGCAGCTAGAATATAAAGCAAGCAGAAAAATGTGAAAATACTAGACTGGCTTAGCCTCCCAGCCTACATCTTTCTCCCAGCCTACATCTTTCTCCTGTGCTGGATGCTTCCTGCCCTTGAACATCTGACTCCAAGTTCTTCCGTTTTAGGACTCAGACTGGCTTTCCTTGCTCCTCAGCTTGCAGGCAGTCTATTGTGGGACCTTGTGATTGTCTGAGTTAATACTTAATAAACTCCCCTTTATATATATATACCCTTACTGTCCTACCTCAGGGGTATATCAATTCTCTGGCTTTGTGTCATAATCTTATTCAGAGAGACCTTGATTGCTTTTTGCCTCTGCAAGATATCACACTGGTGCATTACATTGATGACATTATGATGATGGCATCCAGTGAGCAAGAAGTAGCAAACACACTGGACTTATTGGTGAGACATTTGCATGCCAGAGGATGAGAAATAAATCTGACTGAAACTCTGGGATCTTCTCCCTCAGTAAAATTTCTAGGGGTCCAGTGGTGTGGGGCTTATCAAGATATTCTTTCTAAGGTGAAGGATAAGTTGCTGCATTTGGTCCTTCCCACAACCAAGAAAGAGGCCCTAGTGGGCCTATTTGGATTTTGGAGACAACACATTCCTCATTGGAGTGTGTTACTCCAGCCCATCTATCTAGTAACCCAAAAGGCTGCCAGTTTTGAGTGTGGTCCAGAACAGGAGAAGGCTCAGCAACAGGTCCAGGCTGCTGTGCAAGCTGCTCTGCCACTTGAGCCACATGACCCAGCAGATCCAGCGGTGCTTGAGATGTCAGTGGCAGATAGGGATTCTTTTGGAGCCTTTGGCAGGCCCCCATAGGAGAATCACAGTAAAGGCCTCCACAATGGAGGTAGGGAAGAGTATGCATGGAATACAGGGGATCCATTAGGGTGTCTCTTAGTATTATCATGCCATGTGATTAAGGTAAATGGGAAACTACAACAGCCCAATCCAGGCAGAACTACAAATGACCCAGACCCTTCATGAATGAAGGTTTGGGTCACTCCACCAGGAGAAAAACCATGACCTGCTGAGGTGCTTGCTGAAGGCGAAGGGAATACAGAATGGATAGTAGAAGAAGGTAGTCATCAATACCAGCTATAATCACATGACCAGCTGCAGAAATGAGGACTGTAATTGTCATGAGTATTTCCTCCTTCTTTTGTTAAAAACATGTTTGTACATGCATACACTTGGACTAAGAAAATATATTTTATTTCCTTTTTCCTTTGTCATGTTAATAAGATTATTGACTTCATATCAGCATTTAAGTATTATTAACTTTATGTAATAACATTTGGGTTGGGGATTGGTGCGTTTCTGGTTGTATGAAGGATAGTTGTGTTATGTTGCCATAATTATGACATTATTGCCTTTACTTAAAGATTATGTATGATCTCAGGAGATGTGTATGGGTTCAAGTTGATAAGGAGTGGACTTGGGATGGTTAATACTGAGTGTCAACTTGGTTGGATTGAAGGATGCAAAGTACTGATTCTGGGTGTGTCTGTGAAGGTGTTGCCAAAGGAGATTAACATTTGAGTCAGTGGGCTGGGGAAGGTAGACCCACCCTTAATCTGTGTGGGCACCATCTAATCAGCTGCCAGCACAGCTAGAATATAAAGCAGGCAGAAAAATG
This sequence comes from Homo sapiens, assembly GCF_000001405.40. NCBI lineage: Eukaryota > Metazoa > Chordata > Mammalia > Primates > Hominidae > Homo > Homo sapiens. The sequence continues at coordinate 174,397,427 of NC_000003.12, forward strand.
TGAAAAGACTAGACTGGCCTAGCTGTCAGCCTACATCTTTGTCCTGTGCTGGATGCTTCCTGTCCTCAAACATTGGACTCCAAGTTCTTCAGTTTTGAGACTCGAACTGGCTTTACTTGCTCCTCAGCTTGCAGATGGCCTGTTGTGTGACCTTGTGATTGGCGTGAGTTGATACTTACTAAACTCCCCTTTATATCTATTATCTATCTATCTATCTATCTATCTATCTATCTATCCATCCTATTAGTTCTGTCCCTCTAAAGAACCCTGACTCATACACCAAATTCTGGGCTGGGTGCAGTGGCTCACACCTGTAATCCTAGCACTTTGGGAAGCCAAGGCAGGTGGATTGCTTGAGACTAGGAGTTTGAGACCAGCCTGGGCAACATAGCAAAACCCTGTCTCTATAAATGTAAAAAGATTTAAAATTCCCAAATTCTTTATGTGTTCAAAGTGAAAAAAAATTAGATTAATTTTAATAGTAGAAACAGAACTATAAACTCATTCTATGTATGGATTCTTATAACACCCAGACTACCTTTAAGAGTAGATTCCTTAAATTTCAAACATACACTAAGACCTGAAATTTATTATTTCATACACCAGATGTCACTGTCTCTCCATGCTAGTAAAATGAACCAACAAATTTTGGCAGGTAAAAAAAACAAAAAGCCAGCATGATGGTATGCCACTGTAGTCACAGTTATTTGGGAGGCTGAGATAAGAGGATCATTTGAGTCCAGCCTGGGCAACATGGCAAGACCCTATCTCTAAAAAATATTTTAGAAAAGCCTAATTTACCCTCCATTACCATTTTTAAGTGTATACTGAATGGAAATGTGTAAATTTGTAAACCAAAAAACAAGACCAAAAATGTTCATAGTGGCAGTACTTGTAATATCCCAAACTGGAAGCTACCCAAATGCCAGCCAATCAAAAGTAGAATGAATAAATACATTGGGTGTATGTATAGACAGTGGTATACTATGCAGCAAGAAAATGAAAAAAAAAATACAACTACACACAACAAATCCCAGAAACATGTTGAGCAGAAGTCACTTACAATACAGTATGTATTTTATGATTCCATGAGTTTTATAAAGTTCAAAAACATGCAAAACTAATATATGGGTTAGCAGTCAGGTTAGTGATTGTCCTTGGTGGCGGGGGGTTGAGACTAGGATTGGGCAAGAGGAAACTTCTGGGGTACTGGTAGCATTCTGTCTCTTGACCGTTTGTTCAGTTTCTAAAAATAAAATGAGCTGTACTTTTATGATTCCTGCTATTTTATTTATATGTGATAAAATTAAATGTTCAATTAAATCAATTCAAGTATAAAGAGTTACTTGAAACTATGTTAGTAAACCTACTGAAGATCTACTCAAAATATAATTCAAATTTGATGATTACATGTGTTGGAAATTCCCAAGTTTTTCCTTCAGTTGATTTCAAATTCCTAAATAGTTTTGTTTGATTCCCATGGCTGCTCCCTTTTGTGATTCAAGGAAATTTTCTTCATCATGGCTTCTTATCTCATCATACTGTGTGTCCAAGGAATGTACTCTTCAATGATGAGCTCAATTCTGCATTATCTCAATTATTTCCTTTCGCTGATTCTTTCCCCTTAGCATATAAACATGTCTACATTTTGCCATCTTCAAAAACAAAATATACTTCTCTGCTTCTTAGCTCTCACTAGCTAGTATGCTATTATTTTTCCACTTTTCACAGCCCGGCTTGCTTGGCTCCATATCTTCATCTCCCAACAACATCTCCCATGGCAACACATAACTCCATGAAAATTGTGCTCCCTAAAGTCACAGGAAGCCTCTATACAGTAATTCGCCTTTGTGTTATTCCTTGGAACATTTCAACTTTTAATAACTATTTCTTGGGGGGAGCTGAGGTGTATGAAACAAAAGTCCTAACCTAATGTGTAATGGTAAAAGGAAATCAGTCCAATACAGTAACTTTAGTCCTATATAATAATTTAAACAATATCATTAGGTCTCATTTTTTATAGGTAAAATTTCTAGCTTCTCAGACATTTGTTACCATTCCAAATACCTCTCCAAGACAATGTCTATGTACAAAGTACAGTGTTTCTTATTGTTTCTTCTTCGTAGTGAGGGAAAATGGTGATCAGAGATTTATTAATCCACATTATATACTTGTGCTATTTTAGCACTTTTCTCTTCTCTTGATGATATATCTTTTCTATCTAATTACTACTGCTCTTAATGGCATTCGTGGATAAAATCAGTGGTTTTTCATGAAAGCAGTACTGCCATCTAGGGAATGTTTTTGAACTTTGGGGGAAGTGGCAGAGGAAGTAGTTTGTCCCATAATTTGTAGAAGTTACCAGTATTCATTGGTTCAAAGTCAGGGCTGTAAGGTGTCCTACACAACCAAGAATTGTCCCACATTGTTAGATTTGTGTATATTTATATTTATATTTCATTTATATTTATTTTATGTAAATGAAATCTATATAAGATAATTTATATAAATGTATATTTCTTTGGGCATATACCCAGTAATAGGATTTATATTTCTTTGGATATATACCCAGTAATGGGATTGCTGGGTCAAATGGTATTTCTGTCTCTATATCTTTAAGGAATTGCCACACTGTCTTCCACAATGATTGCACTAATTTACACTCCCACCAACAGTGTAAAAGCATTCCTTTTTCTCCACAACCTTGCCAGCATCTGTTGTTTTTTGGCTTTTTAATAATTGCCATTCTGACTGGTGTCAGATCATATCTCACTGTGGTTTTGATTTTCATTTCTCTAATGATTGGTGATGTTGAGCCTTTTTTTCATGTGTTTGTTGGCTGCATGTATGTCTTCTTTTGAGATGTGTCTGCTTCTGTCCTTTCCCCACTTTATAACGGGATTGTTTGCTTTTTTCTTGTAAGTTTGCTTAAGTTTGCTTGTAGATTCTGGGTACTAGAACTTTTTCAGACACATAGATTGCAAAAATTTTCTCCCATTCTATAGTTTGTTCACTGTTGTGATAGTTTCTTTCACTGTACAGAAGCTCTTTAGTTTAGGATCCCATTTGTCAACTTTTGCTTATGTTGCAATTGCTTTTGGTGTTTTCATCATGAAATCTTAGCCTGTGACCATGGCCTCAATAAAATTGCCTAGATTTTCTTCTAGTTTTTTATACTTTTGTTTTTACATTAAACCCTTTAATCCATAATCCATCTTAAGTTGACTTTTGTATATGGTGTAAGGAAGGGGTCCCATTTCAATTTTCTACATATGGCTAGCCAGTTCTCCCAGCACCATTTATGAAATAGGAAATCCTCTCCCCATTGCTTGTTTTTGTCAGGTTTGTCAAAGATCAGATGGGTTTAGCTGTGTGATCTTATTTCTGGGTTCCCTATTATGTTCCATTGGTCTATGTATCTATTATTGTACCAGTACCATGCTGTTTTGGTTACTATAGCCTTGTAGTATAGTTTGAAGTTATGTAGTGTGATGCTTCCAGGTTTGTTTTTCTTCTTTTTGTTTAAGATCATCTTGGCTATTTGAACTCTTTGTTGGTTCCATATGAATTTTAAAGTAGTTTTTTCTAATTCTGTGAAGAGTGTCAATGGTAGTTTAATGAGAATAGCATTGAATCTATAAAATGCTTTGGGCAGTATGGCCATTTTCACAATATTGATTCTTCCTATCCATGAAAATGGAATGTTTTTCCATTTGTTTATGTCATCTCTGATAAAACAAACTTTAAACCAACAAAATCAAAATAGACAGAGAAGGGCATTGCATAGTGGTAAAGCGTTCAATTCAACAAGAAGACCTAACTATCCTAAATATATTTGCACTCAATATAGGAGCACCCAGATTCATAAATAAAGTTCTTAGGGACCATCAAACAGACTTGGACACACAATAATAGAGGGAGACTTTAACACTCCACTGACAGTATTAGACAGATCATCAAGAGAGAAAATTGACAAAGATATTTAGGACCTGAACTCAGCTCTGGATCAAGCAGACCTGATATATATCTACAGAACTCTCCACCCAAAAACAACAGAATATACACTCTTCTCATCACCACATGGCACTTACTCTAAAATTGATCACATAATCGGAAGTAAAACTCTCCTCAGCAAATGCAAAAGAACTGGAATTATAACAAACAGCCTCTCAGACCACAACACAATCAATTAGAGTTCAAGATTAAGAAAATCACTCAGAACCACACAAGTACATGGAAATTAAACAACCTGCTCCTGAATGACTCTTGGGTAAATAATGAAACTAAGGCAGAAACCAAGAAGTTATTTGGAACTAAGGAGAACAAAGATACAATGTGCTAGAATCTCTAGGACACAACTAACACAGTGTTAAGAGGGAAACTTATAGCACTAACTGCCCACATCAAAAAGCTAGAAAGATCTTAAATTAACAACCTAACATCACAACTAAAAGAACTAAAGAACCAAGAGCAAATAAACCCTAAATCTAGCAGAAGACAAGAAATAACCAAGATCGCACCTGAACGGAAGGAGATAGAGACATAAAAAACCTTTCAAAAAATCAACGAATTCAGGAGCTGCTTTTTAAATTATTAACAAAATAGATAGACCACCAGCTAGACTAATAAAGAAAAAAAGAGAGAATATTCAAATAAACACAATCAGAAATGATAAGGGGGATATCACCACTGACCCCACAGAAACACAAACAACCATGAAGAGAATCCCACACACATCTCTATGCACATAAACTAGGAAATCTAGAAGACGTAGATACATTCCTACTATGTACACACTCCCAAAATTAAGTTAGGAAGAAATTGAATCCCTAATACACCAATAATAATGAGTTCTGAAATTGAGGCAGTAATAAATAGCCTACCAACCCAAAAAAGCCCATGACCAGACAAATTCACAGCTGAATTCTACCAGAGGTACAAAGAAGAACTGGTACCATTTCTACTGAAATTATGCCAAACAATTGACAAGTAGGGACTCCTCTCTAACTCATTGTATGAAGCCAGCATCATACTGATACCAAAACCTGGCAGAGGTACAACAATAAAAGAAAACTTCAAGCCAATATCCTTGATGAACATTGATGCAAAAATCCTCAATAAAATACGGCAAGCCAAATCCAGCAGCACATCAAAAAGCTTATCCACCACCATCAAGTAGGCTTCATCCTCAGGATGCAAGCTTGGTTCAACATACGCAAATCAATAATGTGATTCATCACATTAACAGAACTAAAGACAAAAATCACATGATTATCTCAACAGATGCAGAAAAGGCCTTCGATAAAATTCAACATCCCTTCATGTTAAAAACTCTCAATAAACTAGGTATTGAAGGAACGGAAGTCAAAATAATAAGTCATATATGAAAAACCACAGTCAATATCATACTGAATGGGCAAGAGCTGGAAGCATTCCCCTTGAAAACCAGCACAACATAAGGTTGCCCTCTCTCACCACTCTATCCAACATAGAATTGGAAGTTCTGGCCAGGGCAATCAGGCAAGAGAAAGAAATAAAGTGTATTCAGATAGGAAGAGAGGAAGTCAAACTATCTTTGCTTGCAGATAATATGATCCTATATCTAGAAAACCCCATCGTCTCAGCCCAAAAGCTTCTTAAATGGATAAGCAACTTGAGCAAAGTCTCAGGATACAAAATCAATGCCCCAAAATTATGAGCATTCCTATATGCCAACAACAGACAAGCCTACAGCCAAATCATGAATGAATTCCCATTTGCGATTGCCACAGAAATAATAAAATATCTAGTAATACAGCTAACAAGGGAAGTGAAGGACCTCTTCAAGGAAAACTAGGAAAAACGGTTTTTAAAAATGGTATACACCCCCTAAAAAATTACTTTTTTTTTTGGCACTCTTCTACCATTCTATCAAATTTTCTTTCTCTCCTTTGGCAGATACAATAAACCTTAGTTCACTGCATTTAGGTACAAACTATACTTGCTTTTGAATATTTTATTGTTACTTTTATTAACTTGTTTAATTGACATGCTTTTGGTTTTTTCTTTTTCTTTTTTTTTTTTTTTTTTTTTTTTTTTTTGAGACGAAGTCTCGCTCTGTCACCAGGCTGGAGTGCTATGGCGCAATCTCAGCTCACGGCAACTTCTGACTCCCTGTTTCAAGCAATTCTCCTGCCTCAGCCTCCCAAGTAGCTAGGATTACAGGCACACACCACCATGCCCAGCTAATTTTTGTATTTTTAGGAGAGACGGGTTTTCACAATGTTGGCCAGGATAGTCTCAATCTCCTGACCTCATGATCTGCCCACCTTGGCCTCCCGAAGTGCAGGGATTACAGGTGTCAGCCACAGTGCCCAGCTTACATCCTTTTCTATTTGTGAGCATCTTTGGTTACCTTAGGATGAGATGGAACACATAATAAATTTTCCCATTTAAACTAAAGGAAAAATTGTTTAATATGGGAGTTTTCATGTTACAGTTTTCATGAAATATCATTGTTATGCAAATTATAGATGTAATTATCCTTGACTTCTAAACACACAGTCAGATTGTTTCCTACCCTTCCAGAGCTGTGGGTACAAAGCCACCATTGTACAACAGGAATTCTTAGGGAGGTGCTTCTGTTGTGACCTAGGACTGCAATTGCTGTTTAGTCCTTTGTTCCCATCAAGAGAACAGAAAGTGAAAAAAAGATTCACTGTAAGTATGATATTTCAATTGAAAATATTTTCTCTTGTTATCCAAGAATCACAGGAATTCCTGGTAACATTTTGTAGTTTGTATCATAGTGAATTATTTGATAAATTAAGGAGAGGATAGATTTGGAAATTTAAATACAAATTAATATTTTCACCGATAAATTTTACTTGTATTTGCTAATGAAAGTGAAGAGTAAAAGTATTCCAACAGATACAGAGAATGAGAACACAAAAGCGTACCTAATTTCTCCTCCATGGCTTTTCTTTCATCCTTACCTACCACACATTCCCCAGTTTTCATTATGGAATAAAAACATCAAGGGAAAATTAATAGCATACCAGTGTACACGTGTATAAAAGTATATTAACTTGATAAAAACACTGTTAAGTTAAACATTTGACTAGATTCCCCAGTTTACAGAATGCAAAATTATTCTGACTTAAAAATCGTCAGTGCACAAATATATTAAATTTTCAGCCAAACATTGTTTTATTATAACTTTATCCATTTATTTTTCTTTAAATTTAGACATTGTTTTTACATCATTGGAAACAAAATAATTCTATTTTATATGGGAAAACACTGCCTTTTATATCTGTTCAACTACAGTTTAACTAGGAACTCCCTCAAACTTCACCTGTCACCCTATTCTGTTTTGCGTAACTTGTCTAGTCCTGCAAATTTAATAATAATGTATTAGATTAACAGGCAAAATTAATCCTTTTTGTCCCTGATCTAAGAAAAATGGATTGATATAGTATGAACTCACGTGAGGCAATGGCCTATCTTATTACAAAACCATAAACAAAGTTATTGAGCCTCTGGGCCTGGCATGATGATGAACACTGAGTATTGAGAAGAGAACAAAAATGATGACAGGCTCTCTGCCATGCAGATCTTAAACCTAGTGGGAGAGAGAGACAATAACCAAGAAAATAAATGAGTACACAATTACTAATGGTGATGAGTGCTATGAAGCAGACAGGGTGTAGGAAAAGAAGACAATGAAGAGGATGGTTAGGGGAAGTTCCCCTAAAGCCAAGGTGTGAAACTCAAGAAATAGTCCACCACTTTAACAGAGTGAATAAGCAAAGAAGGAACTTGAAAGAGACAGAATAGTATGTTCAAAGACTCTCAGGCAGAAAAAAGTTGAGCACACTCACAGAGCTGGTTAAGCTTCTCCTTTCCCTTTTCTCCCAAGTATGAGAGTGGAGGATTTGAAATATATGAGCCCAGGCCGGGCGTGGTGGCTAACGCCTGTAATCCCAGCACTTTGGGAGGCCGAGGCGGGCGGATCACGAGGTCAGGAGATCGAGACCATCCTGGCTAACACGGTGAAACCCTGTCTCTACTAAAAATTCAAAAAATTAGCCGGGCGAGGTGGCGGGCGCCTGTAGTCCCAGCTACTCAGGAGGCTGAGGCAGGAGAATGGCGTGAACCCCGGGGGGCGGAGCCTGCAGTGAGCCGAGATCGCGCCACTGCACTCCAGCCTGGGCGACAGCGAGACTCCATCTCAAAAAAAAAAAAAAAAAAAAAAAAAAAAAATATATATATATATATATATATATATATATATATATATATATATATATATATATGTATATAAGCCCTGTTACTGAAGTTTTTCCTAAGCATCCTGTATCTTAGGTAAAAACTAGGGTAACTGTCTACCTCCTGTCAGGAATCCTAGAATAGCAACAATAACAGTTTGTGTAGCAGCTCATAATTCAAAAATCTGTATCTTTTCTATAATTCATCTTTTAATTAGAACTTTCTGCCACCTGGTTGACAGAAATGTTATAACAATTAATTTGGGGCTCTCCCTTTCCTCAAGGTATAGACAAAGTACTAGGTAACATTATGGCAATAATAGTAATTGCAGCTGTGTAGGAAAACTATTGTGCAAATGTTGATTTGCAGGCCTGCCTTGCTCTAACCCTGTACATTCCCAAAAATCTTTTCAAGACTGGCCCTTGGCCAACTCCTGGTAAATGAACTCTGACCCCTGGAAATATTCTTCCTAATAAAAGACGTTTTGTATATCTTAGGCATTTAGCAATACAGTACCAGTTTGATGAGATAGCTTATGCTAAAAATGAGATTTATGGTAAATGCCCCTTTTTGTTCTGGGATGTTGTAATCTAACTCAGTATCTGTGGTTGGTCACTTAGGTACTGCATCCATACATGACTGATTTCCAATAGAAATCCTGGACATCACGGTTCTGGTGAGATTCCCTGGTTGGAAATACTTTGCATGTGTCTTAGTTTGTTTCTTATTGCTATATCAGAACACCATAGACTGGGAAATTTGTAAGGAAAACAAGTTTACTTGATTCACAGCTCTGGAGACTGAGAAGTCCAACAGCATGGTGCTAGTATCTGGTAAGGGTCTTCTTGTTTATTATTCCATGATGAAAGAGCAGAAGAGCAAGAGAATATGTGAGAGAGCTTATATTTATAACAAAGCCACTCCCATGATAATGATTAATCCATTCATGAGGGTAGAGCCCCCATGACTTATCACTCTTAAAAACCCTGCCTCTTAATACTGTTACAATGACAATTAAAGTTCAACATGAGTTCTGAAAAGGGCATTCAAATCATAGCAATATGTATTGTCATACATCATTTCTGAGATAATTAAGTATATCCATGCAATTCCACTGGGAGAGGGCACCTGAAAATTTGTACTTAGTTTCGCCTAGACCTTATCCTAGGCACCTTTTTCTTTTGTTGATTTTAATGTTTCCTTTTGCTATAATAAACTGTAAATCTGTAGATAACAGCTTTTCTGAGTCTTGAGGGTAGTCTTTGGGACCCCTAACATAGTACCAAACATTTATATGGTGCTTACTACATTCCAGCCACAGTTCTAAGCATTTTAGCTATATTTACCCTTTTAATCTTTGTCTTAGTCTATTTTATGCTTCTACAATAGAATACCACAGATTGGGTAATTTGAAATGAACAGAAATATATTTGGCTCATGGTTCTGGAGGCTGAAAAGCCCAGATCAAGGGGACACATCTAGCGAGAGTCTTCTTGCTGTGTTATCACATGGCAAGAGATAGCAAAAGAGGCCAAGATGAGGTGAAACCTACTTTTATAAAAAACCCACTCCCACAGTAACAACCCACTCCCAAGATAACAACGTTAACTCATGCATGAGGGTGGAGCCCTCATGACCCAAATACCTACCACAAATACCTAGCATTAGGCTCCACCTTACAATTTTGTGGCATTGGAGATTAAGTTTCCAACACATGAAATTTGGATTTTGTGTTCAAAATTCCAAAATATTAGAACCATAGAGATCCTGAAAATCATTCTTTGAAGTAGGGAATGTGTTTAATTCTATTTAAAAAATCAGGAAACTGAGGTACAAGGGGAATAAATTATTTGTCTAAGGTCACAGAACCAATAAATGACAAAGTCCAAATCCAAACCCAGGCAATCTACCTCTAGAAGTTCGATGGATACCTGACACATTCAAATGCTGGGTTAAAGCACAGAAGCAGGGATGGAAAGCCCAAAGTGTTTTTGAATAATGTATCCATGCCGGTATTCACCAAAGTGTCATCACCCTGTCGTTCTCAGGTCATTCATACTCTCTATTTCTGTCCTTGACTTTCTCAGGTCATTCATACTCTCTATTTCTCTGCCTTGTTGGAAATCCTGGAAACTATGTATGTGTCTTTGTCACTGTGGGTCAAGTTTACCTCCTAAGTACCTATTCAGCCACAAACAGCAGACAAGCCCTCAAGCATTCTTGTTCAGAAAGCAGAATATGCCTATACTCTACCCCTTTACTTTTCTCTTTACTCTCACCTAGTTCTCTAGTTAGAGGGCAAGATTGGAGAAAAGCTCACTCTCCACCACTTGGAGTTCTCACCATTCCCCAGGGCATATATATTCATGAGGTAAATAAGGTTTAAAACGGCTAACTTATTTTTTCCATCCAAATGTACATATCTAATAAGTTGTAGAAATGGAATTGGAACCCAGTCAGTTTGAGTCCATAACCGGTACTGGTTAACATTTGCCATCCAGCTCTTTAATGCAGATAGCTAAGCTGTTCTTTAAAGAGATAGGCATTGGAGAGAATGAGGATAGAATTGCATCCATGGAAAAGGGAATTACTATAATACTGATTGTACTGTATACCCCTTACCTGATTTTAGAACATGTCTTCAAAAAGTGCTGGTGGGTGAAAGTGTATCTCAGTGGAACGCCAATCAAAAGAGAAAATTTTAAACCAGAAACGAAAGAGGTTGGGGGTAGAAAGAGGGAAGAAGCTGGGCCTCAGGCAGTAGAGCCAAATACTGGTAACAGAGCAGTGAGTGACTCACAAATGGAATGTTTTGGCAACAGAGGAAACCCTAGGACCTGGAGAGCTAACAAGAAGAGAGAGATCAGGCCGGAGCGGTGGCTCACGCCTGTAATCCCCACTCTTTGGGAGGCCGAGGTGGGCGGATCAACTGAAGTCGGAGTTCAAGACCAGCCTGACCAACATGGAGAAACCCCGTCTCTACTAAAAGTACAAAAATTAGCCGGGCGTGGTGGCGCGCGCCTATAATCCCAGCTACTCGGGAGGCTGAGGCAGGAGAATCGCTTGAACCATGGAGGCGGAGCTTGTGGTGAGCCTCGATCGTGCCACTGTGCTCCAGCCTGGGCAACAAGAGCAAAACTCCGTCTCAAAAAAAAAAAAAAAAAAAAAAAAGAGAGAGAGAGAGATCCTGCAAGCACTGACTCCAGAGTAATCTTGGAGTAGGAAACTTCTAGTTACCACGATAAATGCCACTGCTCAGCTGCAAGAAGAAACATGAGGGAAAAAGCCCAATCTCATTCATGGGCAAATAAAAGAAATACACCTAGTCCCAAATATTTGGATCTACTGATATATTGAAATGAATATTAACTTTAATAGATTAGAGCCAAAAATAAATACTATAGAAATAAGACAGTTATAATAGCTGATTTATTAACCATTTGCAGGCACTATTTTTTATTTTGTTCATGTCACTGAATATTATTTTATTTGCTTACAAAAATATAATTTTCTTGCGAGGAGGAAATTTTCTGTCTTGTTGACTGCTGTGTGTTCATTAACCAGAAGAAGAGTTGACACAGAATAGTGGCTCAATAAATAAATATTTGTTAGGTGACTAAGTGAATAATTAAATAAATGGTGGAGAAGTATTCCAGGGATTTGTCCTGAGCCTTAAGGGAGGGAGATTAAAATAGAAGGTGACAGGAATGAGAGAAAAGTAAAAATATTCCAACTCCAAAAAGAGAAAAGGCAGCCTCATCTTTGCCATGGCATTTGGATGAAGATGGGTGTTAACAGTCTCGTCTCACAGCGCTGAGAAAAATCATTACATGGCTTGGTCACAGTTCAGTGGCTTGAACTGATTGACTAGCCTGAGGGGAGAATGGCTGTATCTTGAGCCTGAAACACACAGTGGCTCAGTGTAACACTCATTGATAGCATCAGCCACTTTAAGAGAGAAACCCTACATTCAAAGAAAAGGATGGAGTTAAGGTGAGGATAAACAGAGATGTGATCATATTTGAGTCACTCACACAGAGAAAAAGAAGTTTGTACTGAAGCTATAGTAAGGACAAAAATGGTAGCATATTAGAAAAGGAAGTGATTTGAGCAATACTACAATTCTTGAAATTATTTACTGAAGGCTTCAGCCAGAAATAATTGTGCATTTCTATTGTTTTCCTTTTTGCTGCATTATTGATTTCTTTTTTATGTCTTTAGGCTGATGGACTGTGGAAGTATAGTTATTAAATTGTTCGTTCCCTAATGAGATGGGCTCTAGGTCACTGATTCAAATATCATTAACAGCTTTAAAGATAATTTTTACTTAATATGGGGAGTATTACTCATTTTCTTCCTTCTTTTTCTTCCCGTATCTTTTAGGTACATATGTAACATAGCACCTCAGGGTATAGAAAACCAGAAACCTCTGGCATTTTTTGTTAAATAACTGATATATCCAATTGTTTCTTCCAAAGAGGTGGGTATAACCTTCCTCTCCTTTCCATTTCAAAATTAGCTGCACATTCTTGGGACCATGTAAAATATTGACCCTAGCTGTGTTATGAAATAAATACCTTGAGAGGAAATTTGAAACCAGGAAAGAATTTTAGCCAACAGTTTGACATTGCCTTTGACTAGCTCAGGGCTCAGTTACTACATGAAGTCATTGTACCATTCAGATACAAAGGCATTTCCCACCAAGCTCTAAGGACATAATATCTGCAGGGTCCATGCTACCTGTTCTTAGACCTAGCATTGTCCAAGATAACTTTAGCTAAACTTGAGTGGTTGTAAATCAGATACTTTTATTCATGCTTTTTTATCTACCCAAAATGCAGACTTTCCTGGCATATTACTCGGTTCTTTCATTTGAAAATCTATTCTGCTCATTCCAAGCTATCTTTCCTCTTCTTGTTGACTGCCTTCCAAACCCTTCTTCTTTGTTCTCTGGGGTCACCATTCCACTGTCAATTTTTTTTTTCTGCATATTCGTTCTCTTCAGAGAAAATTCTCTCCACGTTCTTATTTTAAAGTAGTGTTTCCCAAAGATGATTTCAGACTATCCATGTATAAATATTTAAATTTTAATACTTGCATTTTATTTTAATGTATATTCAAAAAATATATATCCATCATGTCTGCACATACATATATTGTCATGTAAGAAATTAAAGGAAGTATTTTGATTAAAGAAAGAAGGGAGGAAGGTAGAAATTGACTTAAAGAGAAACAATGAGAAATCAGTAGTATACATAGAAAGTAGAAATGACAAAAATCTTGAATGACTCAAGTTTCAAAACTGCTATCTTAAGTAAAACTAATTTTCTATTGAAAACTCCAATTTCACTGTAACTTCTCCAGTGTATGTTCTACTTTCTCATATCCCAGCTACCACAGGGCCAGGAGGTGACAAGGTATCAACTGTATTCTCTCTCATTATTCTTTCCACATCTTGACTTTGTCTGCCTTCATTTGAAACTGGTCTTCTTTGAAGCTCACATCTTCAAACCGTAACACTCTATAAGTCCCATTTTTTTCTCTGTAGACCATTGTCCTTCAGATCAGTCTCTTATAGTCATAAAAAGCTTGAGCATCCATCTCACAACCTTATACTTTTGTGGTTAGTGTGTATATGTGTGTGTATACTGTTAATAAAAGTGATACACATCCATTTTTGAATACTTTGCATATACAGAAATTACTACTGTTAATATTGTTGAGGACCAGAAAAATGATACCCCAAAGTATGGCACTTTGGCATGCTGAGCACTTTGAACTACAGAAAATGAAAAGGTTTCAGAAGCATCATCAGAACCAAGGATTTTCTGACCTCCTGCTTCTCTCCCTAAGTGAAGGCTGAAACTCTCTCTGAAGTTCCCTTATCTGAAGCTTCTTCAGAAGGAAAAAAATTGCCTTCAATCGCCTCCTGAAATTTCATTAACCAGGGAAGATTAAAATCATATGGCAGGAAGGAAGACTGAGGAGTGTCACCACACCTAAACAGACTTTGTCACAAGCTATTGTCCGTTTATAGGTCCCATACAATTTCCTAAAAGAATCATTGACACACTATTGTCTGTTCTTTTTTTGGGCCCATTCATCTTTCTAAAATTCATTTAGACTCCTCAAAATTGCCTATATTCTGCCATCTTCCTCTCCCCTATGCAAAAGGGCATATAAGTTTCTCAACCTTGGACTCATTGGGAAATCACTTCCCTGTGATTTCCCTGTGCATATAATAAACTTGCTTTTTTTTTCTCCTGTTAGTCTATTGACAGTTTATTTCAGCAGACTCACATGTAAACCAAAAATAAAATTCTAAGCACCCCCAACCAACTGAATAAACTCCTCCTCTTAGCCAAGGGCATTCTGAAGTTAACCTGAAACACTAGTTCAGGCCATGAGAGTAATGAGTTGTCAGACATGCCTCATTCTACCTTCCTCCCTTTGGAATTCAGGCAGAGCTGACTAGCATTAACATTAAAACATAGACCATGAGAATGACAATAACAGACTCTTTGTAGCAATAAGATACCAACATGACAGTAGGCCCTAAAAGAAATTATTTTGCCCCAAAATACGGTTTTTTGACACATTTTGAAATGACCCTGCAAAGCTGTCTCTTGCAAAGAAAATATACATTTTATACAGAATCCTCTTCCTTTTCCAGATATTTGTGCTGATCCAGGAGAGAACAACTGATTCAGGCACCTTTTTAAGTCTGATAAGAAACATTTACAATCTATTCTCTCTGAAGCCTGCTACCTGGAGGTTTCATCTAAGCAATAAGAACCTTGGTCTCCACAATTCCTTACCTTAACTTAAACACTCCCTTCTGTCTATTCTAAGTCTTTAGATAAACTCTCTCAACCAATTGCCAATCAGAAAATCTTTGAATCCACCTATGACCTGCACACAACCCCCTCCACCCACCCCTGCCTTGAGTTGTCCCATCTTTCCGAACCAAACAAATACATAATACATCTTACATGTATTAACTGATGTCTTGTATCTCCCTAAAATGTATAAATTCAAGCCCAATCACCTTGGACCCATGTTCTTAGGATCTCCTACGGCTGTGTCATGGGCCATGGTCACTCATATTTGGCTCAGAATAAATTTCACAGAGTTTGAGTCTTTCCATCAACATGCACCTTAAAAGGAGAAGGGAAAATTCCCTTCACCCCTACAACATTATTAATGTTTTGTCATTTTTGTTCAGTTTTTTTGTACTTTATCATTTAACAGTACATCCCCAAAACTTTTAGATGTTATTAAAATGTCTTTATAGTATAATATAACTAATCCTTAATAGCCTAATATAAATATGCACCACCATTTATCCATCCATTTGTTGAATGTTTGTGTGATAATATATTTTCATGATTATATAATTTTTGCAATAAACATTTTTATGCATTACTCATTGTACCAGTTTGAATTACTCCATTAGGCTGTATTCCCAAGATAAGAGGTCAAATGTCATGAAAAAATTTGCCTGTAACAGGATAAACTGAGGGCTCCCAGGGGTATTTATAAAGAACAATAGGTGGTTAGAATGTTGCTAACAACCCTGGATTTAGCACTTTTGTTATCTAAAGCTATTTCGTCAGCTCTCAGGCTTTTATTATGCTGAATGGGCCATGGGAACTGAATGAACTTTTTGAGAAGTCCAAAGTTAGAAATGCTGGGAATAGTAGGAGCAAAAGTAGGAAAGGAAAAAGATGTAAATAGTACCGGGGTAGTGAAATTTTGTGAGAAATTTGTTTAAAGGGAATATAATAGGATTTAGGAAAAATCTTTTACATGGAACCTACATTCTCTTTTACAAAAAGCTTGTAATGTTTGTTCACACTCTGTCTTCAAGAAGTTCAGACAGGTCACATGGAAATTTACTAAGGCTGGTACACAAAGGCTTATAAATGCAAACTTCAAAAGAATATCTGCAAAGCTTGCATGCTATGAATCTATAAAGTAGGTATGTGGGTTAAGGATATAAGCTTTTGGAACACAAAAAGCCATAAAAGAGGCTTTTAGCTACTGCCTGGTGGTTTTAAATTTGGGAGGAGGAGGTAGAGGGTGGGACTTATGGAGAGGCCTGTAATGATAGTTTCCAAGTTTAGATCTTGAGAAGAACTGGATACAAATATATGCAATTTTCAACAACACCCACTTTCCTGTAAAAAAGGGTTTGATAATTTCTAATGAGGCAGTTTAAGTCTAACATTTTGTTTAAGACCATAGACTCAAGCACCATGCTACCTGGGTTCAAATACAAAATAATGAAAGGTAAAAAATGAATAAAAATGGTTTACCTATATAAGCAAAGAGAAAATAGGAAAAACAACCCAGTTTTGAATTCAGAATCATGTAAATGTCACACATATTTTCAAAAAAATAATAAGTCCAAAGGATGACAGAACAAACCATCCCCAAAATTTGAAAACAAAGTGAAACAAATAAACCTAAGTAGGCTGGGTGTGGTGGCTCATGCCTGTAATGCCAGCATTTTGGGAGGCCGAGGCGGGTGGATCACTTGAGGTCAGGAATTTGAGACCAGCCTGGCCAACATGGTGAAAACCCGTCTCTACTAAAAATACAAAAATTAGCTGGGCATGGTGGCTCATGCCTCTAATCCCAGCTACCAGGGAGGCTGAGGCAGGAGAATGGCTAGAACCAGGAGGCGGAGATTGCAGTGAGCCTAGATAGCCCACTGCACTCCAGCCTGGGAAACAGAGTGAGACTCCATCTCAAAATAATAAATAAATAAATAAATAAATAAATAAATAAATAAATAAAATAAACCTAAGTATATATTGGTTGGTACCATAACTGCATGGACAAGAATTATTTCAAATACCTTTCAAACATGTTAGTTTGACTCTGCATCCCAAAGCATAATATCCTGACTCTACATTCTTGTATCCTCAGAAAAACTAACTGAAAAAACACTGAAATTGTATTCAGTGGTATTACGCTAGTAGTAATGTTGGTGTCGTTATTTCAGTATTTGGTATGTTGGTATTATTATTGTTAATGGAAAAATCAACCTCTGTAAAATATTTTAGAGAGGCTTATTCTAAGCCAGTATGAGTGACCATGGCCTCTTGAAACTGTGTTTCAAGAGGTCCTGAGAAAATGTGCCTTAGGTGGTCGGTTTGGTTTTATACATTTCAGGTAAACAGGAATTGTAGACAAAGACATAAATCAATACATGGAAGGTATACATTAGTTTGGTCTGAAAAAGTGGGATATTTTGAAGCAGGGGCTTATAGGTTATAGATAGATTCAGAAATTCTTCAATTTGGAATTGGGTAAAGAAGTAAAGCTTTGTCTTAAAATTTGGAGTTAGCAGAAAGGTATTTTTATGATAAGAAAGTCTGTTAACCAATTGACTGGGTCAGAGTGACCTGTAAGTGTGTGTGACTTAACCCTTGTCCGGCATGGCCTCAGGTCCTGTTTATAATTGGGTATCTTATTGTCACAAAAAGTCCATTTTGTTAGTCTTATGATCTCTGTTTTAACATTAATGCTGGTTGGTGGTTTTGCCTAAATTCCAAAAGGGAATGGGTATAATTATGCATATCTGACCTCCCTTCCTGTCTTAGACAGGAATTCTGTTTTTAAGGTTTTTCTGGGGTCCTCTTGGCCGAAAAGGGATCCTTTTAGTTGGTGACGGCTTAAGATTTCTAATTTATAAATGCAAACTTATTTTGAAATTTTCATGTACATTATTATATACCTTATGTACACACATACTTATGGTAGGATAAAGCAAATGAATAATATACTTATGTCATTATAAAATAAGGATTTTCAAAGAAACAGAAAAGAGATACAAATATGAAATCAAATAAATTATGAAATAAACCAAAACTTAAGATTTTCAATGTATTTTTTCTAAAAAAAAGTTTATTTCCTAACATCATTTGCCAAACGTGAAACAAATAGTGTAATAAAAGATGACAGCAATAGATCAAAATATATATCTTGATATAGATATACAGATATAGATATATGTTAACATCATAATAATATTCATAAAGAAACTTCTTAACTTCATAATGATATTCAAAAGGAAATTCATATATTGGCTTTGATGATTAATAAGACAAGAACTCATTATTATAATAATAAAAGAAGAAAAGATAACATTTATTCTGTCTTTCCTATTAAGACCGTATTTCAGAATACTCAAAAAATGTATGAAATTTCCTCTTTAGAAAAGAATAACAACTAGTAAATTCAGGAGTAATATTAGAATTGAAACATCACCACTTTGCACCTTGAATTAAATAATAAATGCTAAAACTATTAGATGAAAGATTGATGGGAAAAATTTTTAATGGATAGATGGCAACACTTGATCCATCTTAACCTAAATAAAAATAAGAGAATACATTATGTTCTTCCTGATGCAATAGGAAGTTCAGATTATATCACCTCTCTATGGTCTGTTATTGCCAAAAAAAGAAAAAAGCAAAGATGAATCTAATCAAATCTGGATCTACTGCCAAATTATTGCAAAAACATGGGTGTGGAGAAACATGTTAATTAATACTACATTCATATAATCAGTCCAGTGAAAAATATAAAAGATTCTGCAGTATAAATGATTTGGCAGATATAGTGAGAAATGGCATAAAAGGGGGTGGGGAGAGTTAGCATGCAATACAAACATGCTCACACCACGTGCCCACTCCCATAGGTCTAAATACATGCTTCTTTTCTAGTCCTACTTGATCCCAATCTTCCAATCTTACTCCTTTCTGACTTCTCACCAGAGAGCTAAACCATTAACTATTGCCTAAGAGTTCACGTATACCCTTAGTTTGGACGACTTTTCTTATTATACAAATGAATGACCAAATGAACTGACAGATACTCTGCCTAAGGGATTTTCCTCACAACTGTCTGTCAGGGACATTCCCAAGTAAGGGGTATAGTAAAATAGCAGTTCATTTTCCACCGGTAACCATGTATCAAGCCAACCTATCCATGGATCAAACTCAAACTGTCTTTCTCTATCAGCTGGTAATGGAGAATTCCTCCCATGAGGCTAAGGGAGTGTTGTTAATGCAACATTTTCAGGTGACATGGAGGTCCAAGCCGTCTTTCTTGAAGCTTACTTAAGCTCTCTGGACTTAATTGAGCCCAAAACTTTAAATATAACACTTCCATTTTACAACAGATCGCTGCTGAGGTTGCCTAATGTTATGACTTGTTAACTAATGGTCTAACTCAGTTCAAGATAGATTATTTTATTATGTGGTCATTTGATGTTCTAGGTTCAGAAGATTGGTTTCTATGTGAGTCCAGTAGTATACCAAAAGCTGTTTTTCTTTTTCTTTTATTTGTTTCTTTATTTTAGAGACAGGATCTTGCTGTATTGCCCAGGCTGGTCTCCACCTCCTGGCCCCAAGTGATCCTCCTGCCTCAGCCTTTCGAGTTGCCAGGGTTACAGGAGTTAGCCACCACACCTTGCAAAAAAGCTCTTTTTCAAATGGTGTATAGTTCTCTCATGCAAATGGTTTATCAGTCTGAGTCCTATCAAAAGAAAAGCAATACAGTAATTTAAACACGAAAAGTTTAATATAAAAAATTAGCAACAATAAGGGATTAGAATATAAAGAGACTAGATAGTAAGAAGTAAGAAAATTTAACAGAATATAGGAGGATCAAATAAAGGAACAGTCATTATTCCTAGGGCTGAGATTAAACACCCAGAGGAGTCTCACCCTCCACCCAGAGATGAGATCTAGACCTCATGTCAGGAACTGAGAAGGGTCTGATATTTGTCCTCCTTGACAACTAACCAGTTAGTCTGCAACAGATTTGTAGATGCTGGCAGAAAACATGAGATGCTAGAGTCAAAGACAAATAACTTCATTACTCAAGGCATAGAATAGGAAGGTGTCTTAATGAAGGCAATTTACCACAAACTCCCACTATGAGAGGTTCTGGGGGTAGCTGCTGACCGTTGGGTGATGATGGCCAATGTGCACTGAAGGAGTCCAGCACTGGAGAAATTACAAGTGTTGCAAGAGCTTGGTGCTAGAGAAGCTTTGTATGCTGCAGCAGTATAGGGGAAGTTTTGTGCGCTGCAGGAGCGTTCAGAAACCAACCATGCATTGGGAAATAGGAAGCAAAACCATTTTGTCCTTGCAATGTCTCTCCAATGCCCTCAGCTAAGAAATCAGTGCCAACTTTCAAAAGGAAAATATATGTATGTATGTGTGTGTACACACACACACATATTTTTTGTAGGGGGCTGGGCAGTGGGGACGGAGTTTTGCTCTGTCACCCAGGCTGAAGTGCAGTGGTGCGATCTTGGCTCACAGCAACCTCCGCTGCCCAGGTTCAAGTGATTCTCCCTCTTCACCCTGCCAAGTAGCTGGGATTACAGGCATCCACTGCCATGTCCAGCTACTTTTTTATATTTTTAGTAGAGACGGGATTTTGCCATGTTGGCCAGGCTGGTCTCGAACTCTGGACCTCAGATGATCCGCCAGCCTCAGCCTCCCAAAGTGCTGGGATTACAGGCATGAGCCACCACTCCCGGTCCCCAAAGGAAAATATTTAAATATTTAAAGGACTTAGCTCCATTAATGCAGAGCAGGCAAATACAAAAATTTGAAGCTAAAAATAAATCAACTGGTAGCCAGTACAGGTGGCATGCCCTTGCTCTGGAATGTAAGAGTGTACACTTTGACTCTGCTTTTCACTTTTGCTAGAGGCTCGAGAGAGCATCTTTCTCTAATACCTTCGTATATGATGGGTTATATGGTCCAAGCAGATCTACCTATACCACAGTCAGAACATGTCAGAGCCCACAGTCAGAGCCCTTACTTACTCTGAGTTTGCACTCAAAACTAGCAGACTCCCAAACCATCCAACAGAAGGTTTTGGGCAGCATTTCAGGTGCAAAATATGCTACTTCTAAAATCCAAATGAACTCACTAAGATTTGTACTTATTCCGTATTGGTGAGTAGTGCGATAAATTGTTGTTTACTTTGGAAGAGATGCCCTGGATGACAAGATCACTAAAAACTTCAGCGAAGTATCATGTCCTTGAAACTTTATAGAGTTTATCTCCCACCTCTTGAAACATATATTTTAACAAGGTACCCAGAGTATTTTCCATCTATTGCTCATCAGTTTCCGTTAATAAGATGTCATAAATCTAGTGTACCAATACATTATTTTGTAATATGTCCACATGATCAAGGTTCTTTTAGACCATAATGACAAAGAACAGGAGAGTTAACATAGCACTGAGGAAAGACCAACAACATATACTGTTGTTTATTCAATGAATGCATACTGCATTTGATCCCCACCACCTTCTTATGTAGAATAAATTGTACATAGGGCCTCACCATACTGCGTCTTTTTTCTTTTCATTTCTTAATAAAAAATTTTTCTTTTGCTTTCTAAAGCCATTCCTTAGCTCCATAACTTTGGGCAAGTTAATTAGCTTCTCTGCAGATCAGTTGCACCATCTGTAAAATGCAGACGACAATATAAATATCTCAAAAGGGTTATTTTTAGAAATAAGTGAGTTAACACATGTAAAGTAGTTGGAATAGTTCCTGATGTGCAACAAGCATACAATGTTATTATTGCTGCTTTTAAAAAAATCTGTCCCACACATACATTTGTCCTATTAGTAGAGCTGTAGACTAGTCTGGTGATCCGGAAGAAGTTCTTAAGCCACTGTCTGCATGTCCTAGGTATGCAGTCCATCAAGTTCTAGCATTCATAGCTGTCTAGAAAATCTGCCTCTTAACCTAGAGAGAAGTGCTTTGGACATCTGGTGATTATGTACCATCTTTTGAACTTGGGTCTATTGAGTACTTAAGGATGATATGAGAAGGTAAAAAGAAGCACTATGTGACTTCACTCAAACTTTCCATTTCTTTATATTTGTATATTTATAAGGTCTATAACAATTCTAAGGGGCATCAAAAGATTAGTTTGAGAGTTTTTCTTGCCTTCCCCAAGCCAAAAACTTTATAGAAAGTTTTGTATTGTGACTGTAATGTAATTCTCATCAGTGCATTTTTTACTAATGCATTTGTACTTAAATTTGTTGGGGTTTTGGCTTAGCAAGACTATGCTGCAACTGTCTTCAATGCAGGCGCAGGGCAAAATTGACATATAGGCCCAGTTATAGGTAAGTGTTTACATAAATTTCTCAATCCAGATTGCCATATTACTACCAGAAAAATAGATGACTTATATTCTCAACAACAATGTGTAAGATTCTAGTTTAAAATACCTTCACCAGCACTGAGAACTATTCATTTTTATTTTTGTTCATTTGATAAGCAGATAACTCTGCCCTCCTTTTTATGAGAAAAAGAAACATCATTTGTGCATAAATTCCTTACATTCTATTTCGTTTTCTTAGCTACAAGGATATCTACAATTATGCCCATCTTCATCTCTTTCCCTTAATTAAGTCTTAGAGGATGCTGGCATCCCACCTTCTCTTAGAGGTTAGCCTACTACTTGTAATCTGATTCCTATACACATGCATTTTCTTCTGGGACTTGCTACATTAACTGTATTCTTGTTGGTACCTTCAGCGCTTCCTTCTCTATTTACTACTTCCTCTCTACCTGAAACATGAGTGAGTCTCGATCACTTTAAAATTATTTTTTCTTGATCCTGCATCATCTCTTTTCTTTATTTTGCCACCCCTTTTCTTTCTCTCCTTATCCTTATTTCTATTCCTATCTTGAAAGAGTGGTCGATGTTTTTTCATTTCTCATATCCATTTAAAGTCATTCAAAGAAGATTTTCATATATAACTTTTCAATATAATTATTTTGGAAATGATTTCCAATAATCCCTCTAGTTCATAATTCTAATGGCTACTTCTAGTTCATATAGTATTTTACCTCTTTAAGTTATTTGGCCTCATTGGCACTTTTCTTCTTTTTCCGAAATCCTTTCCTCTATTGGCTTTTGTGCTAGATTTTTTTTTTCAGTAAACATTCATCCTCACTCCTTTCTACTCTCTTCTAATTATTGTTGGAGCTAGAAACACCAGGAATTAAAATTTTCAAATTCCTTTCCCACCAGAATTTTGCAGTAATTTACATTCTAACAATGAGAACTTGCTTGAGATTTGAAAGAGAGGAAGCAAAAATCAATTATTTTTCTGGAATCAATGGGCACCAGTAACGGCTTCTGCAAACATGTAGTCAGCTGCGATTATTAACAGCAATTGTCCAAATTTCTAATAAGTTATAACAAATCTTTCTGATTAAAATAATTAGAGGTGTTTATGCTTATGTTTTTCTGATGAAAGCCTTACTAGTCAGCTTCCATGAAAAATACTCTGGTTTTTATTCTGATCCTTCTACAACTCAGTCCGCTCTTTATCAGTGTCCTTTGCAGCATCTAGTTCCTCTCTGCACTCCTTAAATGTTGGTGATTGTTGATGCTCCTGTTTTCTCATCCTACTACATCCCCTCCCTAGTCAATATCACTCATTCTTATACATTATTCTTAAGTTCCAGATTCATGTACAATAATAATGATTATATTAGTCAGATTGGATTTGAGGTAAAGGATAATTCCACAATTTTAGTGGCTTACACAAACAAATGTTTATGAGTTACTTGCATTTCATATCAACTGAGGGTCACTGTGAGTAGGATGTGGGGCTGAGCCCCTATTTGGGACACACTGTTATTACATGGTTCTCAAAACTCCTGCTTGGATGTGGCACATATCACCCGCATGATCAAGCATAGCATGAATAGTATAGGTATGTATATTGTTCACATGGGGAAGCACTGCAACTCACCTAGCAATTGGCATGGATATATACCCCTCCTTCAGGGATAAGGAAGTGCATATCTGTGGATGACAATTTAATCTAACACAATATTGATACCACTAATATCAGTAATTTAAAACTGTTACAATATAAGTATTCCTACTTCTAAAAATCTTTAGGATGCTTTTTATTATTTCATAAAATACCTACAATAGAGATAAACAGAAAATGTAAGAAACATAATGACCTACCTGCCATTTTCTTTCCCTCCAATTCTTACACTTCAAGTCTGAAGCAACTGATATTAACAGGCAAGTGAGTGCTGGTAAAGCCTCTGGCTCTGTTGAGATTTGTAGCTGATTGCTAGTTGTCTGTTACTATCCATTCTCTTCTTTCCATATAATAGAGTAGAAAGTAGTCACATATCTTCCCAGCTAAAGTTTATAATCTCCAGATATCTTACAGTTAAGGGTAACCACATCACAAAGCTTTGCTCAAAGGGATGTAAAAAACCAAAAAGTACTGTGTACCACTCTGAGACTTGAACAGCTAAAAATGATTGGGAATAGGCCATTCTTTCCCTTGATGGGTGGATGAGAATCATTGGAGGATCTTTCCAGAGTTGCACAGGAAGGTCACAGCTATAAGTTGAGTATGGCAGAGATGACTACAAGGACAAGTTTGCCTACTTATCTCTAAGTTATTACATGGATAAGGATAAACTTCTTCTTGTTGAAGTTTCTTGGTCCCTTTGTTATAGTAGCATACCTTGCAGCCTACATAATACAAGGCCCTGGTGGAGAAACACCAGTCTGATTTATTTCCTTTCCCCTTTTCCCATTCCATTTCACCTTGTTGGTAGACATTTCTGGAACAGAGCCTGGGAGTGAGGACCAGAAATCTCTGGATCCGGTTAAGAGACTGGCATTCAGATCCTCATGGACCCATGAGGGAAAGGTTGACACTGGCCACACAAAAGCATGTCAGGTCTCTAAATTAGTTCCCAAGAAGACTCTCATTTCCCTTTATCCTGCTTTATTTTGTTACATAACTTATCACTATATGAAATACTAGATAATTAGTTAAATTAAAATGTCTGAACTTTTGTGTCCAAGATAAAGCCAGAAAATAGGCTCTCTGAATGGGGGGTTTGCTGGGGTAATGACACCCAGTTACAATATTGGGTCCTAAGAGAGATCATACAACGGCTTGAGGTAATTCTAGACTTCCACAACAGACACAGAGATGTTTGGGGCTGAGGAGGGAGGAAGGACACTGCTGACCAGGAATGATTTAAACTAAAGACCTCCATTTCCAGATTGAAGTTACCCTTATTAAGGAAATTATCTTGGGAAATGATGCTCTCTGTCCACACGTTTGAAAAGAATCTTGCCTCTGAGCAAGTGCAATCCAGGCATAGAGTTAGCTAGCCATCAGCTCTTCCAATGAAGGCAACTGTAAACAAAGAAACAGCCCAATGGAAATTTTAAAAAGCACCTTTTGATAGATAACCCAGGTTCAAGAACCTCCCATTCAGAGCCTTCTAGTAGAACTTGGGCTGGAAAACAGCATCCTAGGTGTAGCAGGTGCTCTTGGTGCCTCAATCACATCCCCTCTGCAGGCACTTACCTTTTGGTTTCATTTTGATGACTTTTTACTGCAAGTTCTTGCAACTTTTGCCTTTCTCATAGGAGTGTTCTTAACCTATTCACAGGGTAGGTTAGGAGGACCAGGGAGTAACCCCCCTATAGTCACAGTGGAACTGAGCACCAGTTGCCCAATGAAGGAATCTTGTCATCAACACACTTGTTTTGGCATCCTCTGCTTTGTCCTCTTATTTCTCCATTCCCTTCCTGCTGCTTCCTGTGATCACTTCATTCTAGGAAAACTAACTCTGAAACTCTAGGACTTGAGGTCTTCTCTACTACTTACAATTTTTAAACTTTTGCAAGAATTTCCCAAAGTAAGTGGATTAGTCCATTTTCACACTTCTATAAAAATGCTACCTAAGACTGGGTAATTTATAAAGGAAAGAAGTTTAATTGGACTCACAGTTATGCATGGCTGGAGAGGCCTCAGGAAATTTACAATTATGGTAGAAGGCAAAGGAGAAGCAAGGACCTTCTTCACAAGGTGACAGGAAAGAAAGAAAAGCCCAGGGAAAACTGCCATTTATAAAACCATCAGATTTTGGGAGAACTCCTTCACTATCATGAGAACAGCATGGGGGGAATCACCTTCCACGATCCAATCCCCTCCTACCATGTCCCTCCCTCGACACATGGGAATTATGAGGATTACAATTCGAGATGAGATTTGGATAAGGACACAGCCAAACCATATCAGTAAGAGAAGCTTGTATTAATGCAGGCTTGGCTTTACATTTTCCAAAGTCTTTAGAAATGTTAATAAATAAAAACAGGAGTAAACTTTGTAAAAATGCATCTGACTATAAATATGACCCATTTAATCTTAGAAGAACAATTGATAACAGAGCTATTCTTTTTATTTAGTTGCTGGGAATTCCAATGTTCATATTATCAGGAAGTCCAAGATCTCCTTCTGAAGGCTCATCTCTTTATGTACTGTCCAAAACCTTAGGCAGAGAAAGAAACGGAAACTGTGACCAGTCCCCTAAGAGGGCTTACATCAGGCTTGCCATTGTTCCCACTGCTGCCAGTTAAAACTTGCTGTATAAACTTTGTATTGCCTAAACTGAAGCATCCCTGCCCTCTCTTGTTGCCCTCAGTTACCCAGTTTCCAGCACAGGCTTCAGAAGGGCACCATACTCAAGATTCCAGGATGATACTCCCAGGCTTTGCCATTGTGACCAATGTGCACAAACAAATGGGTCCGTGTAGAGATAATATCATCTGCTCTAAGGAGATTTTTCTGCATTTACATCGGCCAGTGGAAAATTAGAAGCATCTTTTAATGATACATAAGTGAATTAATGCTTTCAATATTTTTGAAAAACTCAGGGAAGGATAGATGTCAGAATATATGTCATCATATCCACATGTTGAAATTATGGTTGATTTTTAGTTTTCTTTTTGTTTCTATATACTCCAAATATCTTTAATGCAAATGAATTACTTTTGTAATTATATTTTTAATGCTATAATTTTTGGGAAAAAAATTTTTTTAAATGTGACTTAGGGAGTTAGACACATCAGAGAATGGAGAAGAGCACAAGGCAAACCACCACCTTGTAAACTTTAGAGTCAGGTACATCCAGAGACATAAAGCCACCAAGATCTGTTTCTCTGAAGCAGAAACCACTGGACTCCAAAGCAGGAGTAAAAACATTTAGATAACATTTTTAGTGAATTGCTGGAGGCTTAGTGCATGCTGGTATAACAATGTAGGGCTTTCAAGAGTCATAGTCATAAGACAGCCCCTTACATACTTGGATTTTTCCTCAGGAAAACCACCAGATTTTTACAGGTGGTCTCTGAGAAAGACCCGTCATGGAATTGCCAGGGAGAAAGAAAGAGTATTCATTGTGAAGCCCTCCCAGAATTTTCTCCATGACAAAGGGCAACTCTTACCCAATCCAGCCCTGTCCATCCTGCCTGTCTCTCCTGGAGGGCAAGGGTTGGGGGGAAACACCATAATCAATAAGGGAGGGAGGCTTACAGAAAACAGTCTGGGAATGCCATACCCAGAGCAGATTGGAGTATTGGAGTGGGAGGTGACAGAAGACAGGCAGGGGAGAAAGTCTAGAACAAGTCATGTGGTACTGGATAAGAAATCAGTGCTCTGTACCCTGCAAGGGCCTAAAAGCTATGATACCCAGTATGGGTAAGCACAGCCAACATTGCTTTGTAATACCGAACAATAACTTGACCTCACTCTTTCCTATTTGGGGATTAATGAAAATACTTTTTATCTTAGACTTGTATAAAGACGTTATGCATGATTTTTTTTTTCTTTCTCTAATTGCTACATTTATTTTTGTGATTCCTTCATCATATTTTTTAATATTATAAAATTAATTTAAAAGACATCTCATCAAGATAAGCAGTGAAAGGTGGTACATGAGGGCTCTAATTTCAGAACTTTTGGTTGCAAAAGACAGGAATCCACTTAAGAAAAACAGGATGTATATGATTCACTTATCTGAGAGGTCTAAGCGTGTAGACACAGGTGGCAGCTAATACCGTGTCATCAGAACATTTTCTGTCTTGGTTCTGTTTTCCTCAAGAGACTCTACATGAAGTGAGGAACCTGGCTGTCAGCAGCTCTAGGCCTAGAGCCTGTACAGCGTTATAAATAATTGCAACTCTCTTTCCCCTAAATATGGTATTGGGGCTGGGTGCAGTGGCTCAAGCCTGTAATCCCAGCACTTTGGGAGGCCGAGGCAGGTGGATCACTTGAGGTCAGGAGTTCGAGACCAGCCTGGCCAACATGTTGAAACCCCGTCTCTACTAAAAATACAAAAATTAGCCGGGCATAATGGCAGGAGCCTGTAATCCCAGCTACTCAGGAGACTGACGCAGGAGAATGACTAGAACCTGTGAGGTGGAGGTGGCAGTGAGCCAAGATTGCACCACTGCACTCCAGCCTGGGTGACAGAGTGAGACTGTCTAAAAAAAAAAAAAAATACATATATATATATAGTATAGGGGCTTTGAGATCACAAATTTGCCTCTGTGGTGATAGAGAGTAGGGTCCTTTTCTAGATAGTCCTATCACATTCATATGGGGTAGAGAAAACCATTTCCCCAAGGCGAGGACATATTGCAGAGAAAAAGAGATGTAACAGATATATATTACACAGACTGTTTGTCAGGATGGACGAGCTGAAAGTTACATTAATAGACACAATTTTATACTTAATGTAGAAAATCATGAAAGTGGTGAACTGAAGAAACCTCAAACATATACACTATATAAAGAAAGTTGAAAAAAATTATGTAATATTTGGGATAGATTATTTTGCCTTTGTTTACACAAGGCTTAATATATAATTTCTATGGTTTGAATGTTTGTCCCCTCTGAAACTCATGTTGAAACTTAATCCCCAATGTAAAAGTACTTTTACATCCTAAAGTAGTGCCTTTAAGAAGTGATTGGAAGCTGGGCACGGTGGCTCACGCCTGTAATACCAGTACTTTGGGAGGCCGAGGTGGGTGGATCACTTGAGGTCAGGAGATGGAGACGAGCCTGGCCAACATGGTGAAACCCTGTCTCTAATAAAAATATAAAAAATTAGCCGGTTGTGGCGTAATCCCAGCTACTCGGGAGGCTGGGGCAGGAGAATCACTCAAACCCAGAAAGCGGAGGTTGCAGTGAGCTGAGATCATGCCATTGCACTCCAGCCTGGGCAACAAAAGCAAAACTCTATCTCAAAAATAAATTAAATAAATAAATAAAATAAATTTTTTAAAAAAGTGATTGGGTCATGAGGACTCTGGTCCCATAAGCGGATTAATGGTTTACTAGATTAATGTATTATTCCAGAAGTGGGTCTGTATAAAACCCAATTTGGCTCTCTCTCGCGTGTCCCTCCTGCTCTGTGATGCCTCCTACCATGGTATGATACAGCATGAGGCCCTCACCAGAAGGTGACCACATGTGGCCCCTCAGTTTTGGACTTCCCAGATTCCAGAGCTGTAACAAATAAATTTATTTTCTTTATGAATTACCTAGTCTCTGGTATTCTGTTACATCCATACAAAGCAGACTAAGACAGTCATTAAAACCATTCTGTATTCTAGTAGTCATCTTTCTTTTTAATCATTAGACAATCATTGTATTTTCGATATCAAAGTGGATTCTAAATCATATTTAGGAATGCTTTGCTGTAGTTATTTAAGATACCCTTTAGTATGAAAAATCCTCACAGATATTCATGCTAAGTCATCCATTCAATAAACAGAGCTTGGGCTGCACATACCATTTAATATTTTTTCCCGGTTCATTTGGTATATTGACAGGGCAGGGAGAGAGAAATTCTCAAGTCTCGTTTCCACCTTATAGTCTGGCCTTGTATCAGTAATTTTTGTAAAAAATAGATTTTCAAGATGTGATCATATTTTAAAAGCTTTGTAACATGACGAAAAAGAAAATTGGCAATCACACAGTTCATCCTTTTAGTAAATAAACCATTTAGGAAGATCAGAAACACAAGGGAGAAAGAAGAAAATTATACCCCACATAAGAAAAAAATGAGGAATGGAGGCAAAAAAACACTTCACTTTTAATTTTTTGAGTAATTAAGATTTTAATTTCATGAATAGTTCTCTAATTTTTAAAAAATCAAACATGTCTTTTGGACAGAGAGGGGGATATTCTTTGAACTACTTGAAATTTAAAAAACATATATCCATCAATCATACCAACAGTAATTGTAGTAATAAAAATTTTAAATTATCCTCATTATTTCAGACATGGAAGTTCATTTCTGAATGAACATACAAAATGTGGTCAGGCACGATGGTAGCTATTGTCTGTAATCCCAGCACTTTGGGAGGCTGAGGTGGGAGGATTGCTTGAGCCCAGGATCAAGACCGGCCTGGGCAACACAGCGAGACCTTATCTCTATTTTAAAAAGGAAATAAATTTAAAAAACAACATTCAATGCATAGCTCTAACATGAAAATATGTGTATTTTAAATATTACATTAAAGAAATGAAGATTTTGTATGTAAAAACTGTTAAGTCTTTAACACTTTCATAGATCTTCAGAATTCTTTAATTTTGTATTGAAGGGAAATTTCAAATTTCCTGCTTGAAATAGTCAGACTAAGCTAAAAGATGTTATAAACAGCACCAAAATATCAGTGGCTTAATGTAATAAACATTTATTTCTCATACCCAAAGTCCAAAACAGATGTTCTAGGTTCAGTGGCTCTCCTAGTGTCTCACCTCTAAGGAAGAACTCAAGGACCCACGCTCTTCTCATCTAGTTTCTCCTCCACAGAGAGGTCAGAGATTTGAACTCACAAAAATGCACAGTTGTTCTGGATATGAATTTGCTTTACTTGTCAGCAATGCTTTGGCCACCACCACCATTCATAGACTTCCAACATGCCAAAATTTATTACCTTGAAGTCCCACTCAACACTGTATTATGACAAAAATAGTGTTTCCCCCATGTCACACGTCTTTCCCCCTATGTCACTGACTTAGATTATCTGCTATAGCATACAATATATGTTTTGAACACATACGGTGCTATTTCTCCCAAAGCCAAAATTCATGGCTCTGAGAGTCAAGAGGCAGAAATAAAAGTGGCTTCCCTTACTGTTAAACCTAATTATCCATTTACAAAAGTTTGGTTTCCATCCCTGAAACTTTGGACCCTGCTAACTTAGTAACCTCAGTTCCCAAAGGAACTAAGAATAATTTCACCGTGAGACACAACCCCTGTTCCATCAAATTGGATGTCGAGACTACCACATAGCTATGTTGGGTTTTTCATAAACTTTTAATGAATTAACTGTCAAAGAAGGGGATACTTTATTGGCTGAAGTGATTGACTCTGATTTTCAGAGAAAAATTAGGCTCCTACTACATAATGGGCACAGAGAGGATAACAAGTGGACTCTCTGAGTTACCTTTTAGCATGGATGTATTCAACAGTAAAAATTAAAGGGAAAACAACAGAAGTCCAATAAAGACAAAATGACTGAGTCATTAGATCTTCAGAAATAAATATTTGATGTTACTCTACCAGGTTAATAAATACGACCAGCAGAGACACTGGCCGAGGTCAATGGAACATGTCGTGGATAGTGGGAGAAGTTACAATTATCACATTTCTTGGCTGGGCACGGTGGCTCATGCCTGTAATCCCAGCACTTTGGGAGGCCGAGGCGGGTGGATCACCTGACATCAGCAGTTCGAGACCAGCCTGGCCAACATGGTGAGACCTCATCTTTACTGAAAATACAAAAATTAGCTTGGCGTGGTGACACGTGCCTATAATCTCAACTACCTGGGGGGCTGAGGCAGGAGAATCACTGAAACCAGGGAGGTGGAGGCTGTAATGAGCTGAGATGGCACCACTGCACTCCAGCCTGACCAACAGACTGAGATTCCATCTCAAAAAGAAAAAAAAAAAGAAAAAAAAATTCTTCTGATTAGTTACAGAAACAAGGACTAGCAACTTTGCACATAGTATTTTCCCTCTTCTCTACGTAATTAATTTAGATAAGGATTAGTGGTGATGATTAGCATTTTTACTTTGTTGCTCAGTTATAGAGTATCTGAGGTAGTTATGACTGAACCAGTAGAGGGACTAAGCTAACTGATAGATCAAGAAGGTGATGTTAACATTCTTATCTGTATTTCCCCTTTTAGGGTAGAGGGTAAAAGTATTTTTGTCTGAATAAATGCAAAATCATGAGATTGTTGCTAAAGAATTTAAAAATTAGAAAGGAGGGTCGGGTGTGGTGGCTCACGCCTGTAATCCCAGCACTTTGTGAGGCTGAGACAGGTGGATCACCTGAGGTCAGGAGTTCAAAACCAGTCTAGACAATATGGTGAAACCCCATCTCTACTAAAATACAAAAATTAGCTGGGTGTGGTGGTGCGCACCTGTGATCTCAGCTACTAGGGTGGCTGAGGCAGGAGAATTGCTTGAACCTGGGAGGCGGAGGTTGCAGTGAGCCGAGATTGTGCCACTGCACTCCAGCCTGGGCAACAAAAAGAGACCTTGTCTCAAAAAAAAAAAAAAAAAAAAAAAATGAAAGGAGATGTGCACAGATGCTGAGATAACAGAGGTAAGGAGTGTACTGGTTTTTTGCCCATTGACTTTGCTTCAAATCTATGCTTCCATAGTGTTTTCTGTAGTGCTAGTGTATACCTGGAGCACAGGTGTACATTTCTGAGACATCTATTAATTTCTGCTAATAGGTGTTTGTCACTAAAGGGATTTTGGAAGGTGGAAAAGAAAAGAAGGACTTCCTTTTTTCCTGTCAGCATGGTTTGAGCAGAAGCAGTTAGATTCCATCTTAATTGTGTTTTACTATTCTCAGAACTGGTCATACAGTCTCTCAGAGGGATCAGCTGCAGCCAATTGTGTTCTGTGTTAAGAGGTCAGAGCACCATCTCCTGGGGTCTCTCCTCTGCACTCCTGAAGTACAGAAAGTAGCTAGGAGACACCCTGTAATAGAGTCTGACTTCATTTTTTTACGTTTGACTTTTAACTTATTTTAGCCTCACCTCCCCCTTCCCATTTGGCCCCACATCTGAACATGCCGATAAGAAAGCCTGTGTGCCTCCTCCTTTGGCACTGGTGGAAAATTCAAATCTTGCAAGTAGCCAGCCTATGGATAGGAACTTTTCCCCCTTCCCACTCCCTAGCCATCATTATGGTTTAACCCACTCCTTCTGCCTGACTTAAATCAGCATGAACCTGCTTGTGCCTGTGTAAGGATCACAGTGCTTTGGTAAAGAATAGGCAGAGGTAAATATCCAGAGTGTCTCAGTGAGTTTAGAGTGCAGATGTGTAACTCCACTTATTATCATAGCCATGTAGCCATAACATGGGAAGGCCATCACTTAGCTCTAAGCCACTATTGTCTGTTAAAGGTATAATTGCCCTGCTGACACTGTGTGGGGTACACTTGTGCCCAGAAAGAGAGCCAGAGCTGTCTGTCTTGCAGACAAACAAGGGGAAGTCAGGATACAGCTCAGCTCACTAGTGCCAAGAAAGAGAAAGAGTTAAGCTGCTGACCCTGAAGGCAAGGGAAAGCCGGCTGTGCAGCTGTGCATGGGAGCAGCTGGCTCAAGCAGCCAAGACAGAGAGGACAGTGTAAGAGAGCTGCTGATGAGAGAGCCGCTGAATAAAGCCATGTCTCATTTACCTGCTGTCTCTGGGTGTTCTTCTAGCTCCATGCCCCACATCTACCTACACCCCTTGGACCTCAGCTGGAGCTTGACCCTAACCCTGAGCATAACAGCCTGTTCTTATTGCCTTAGGAGTTGCTGTGTGAGTAATAAACTTTTTCTCAAGTTTATCTGGTGTGTGGAATGTCCGCAGCCTCTACCTCATATCTATAATAGGAAGGGGATCCATACCACCTTTAAGGGTGACAATAATATATAGCCCTTTCTCAGAGGACTGACCAAATAATTTATGATTAATTATTTTCTGAGTTCCTAAGTTTTCGTAACCCACCTGTTCCCTTTTGCTTCCCTGATGTATTTATTATTATTGGTGCATAACAAATTACCCAAAATTTAGTGTCTTAAAGCAAATGTTTATTATTTCAGTTTCTGAGGGTTGGGAATGTAGACATAGCTTAGATAGATGCCCCTGGTTCAAAATTTCTTATGGAGCTGTATTAGAATTGTTGGCAGAGGCTGTGGACTCATCTGAAGGCTTGACTGGTAGAGGAGAAATCAGCTTCAAAGCTCTCTCACATGGTTGTTGGCAGGCTTTAGCCCCTTGTCGCATAAGCTCTCTCCCTGCTAGACTGCTTCGTAATATGTCAGCTGGCTTTCCCCAGGGTGAGTCATCCAACAAAGAGTGAAAGAGAACATGCCAAGACAGAATCCATAGTATTTTTATATCCTAATATTTAAACTGGTCTCTGATTATGTCTGCTTAGTTCTGTTCATTAGAAGCTTCATTAGGTCCAGCCTATCCT
The DNA here is from genome assembly GCF_000001405.40 of Homo sapiens. Classification (NCBI taxonomy): domain Eukaryota; kingdom Metazoa; phylum Chordata; class Mammalia; order Primates; family Hominidae; genus Homo; species Homo sapiens. Next base: position 174,432,078 of record NC_000003.12, read on the forward strand.
TGAGGGGAGGGTCATGTATGAATGGAGGACATGAGTATCAGGAAGTGGGGGTTTTGGATACCATTGAATAAGCTCTCTATTACACCCAGCCCTAGGGTAGTAGCTGTTTCCTGCTATTATCTCAGAACTAAAAAGTAACTTTGTGCTTCTTCATCTTCACTGATTACACACCTGTGTAATCAATGTTCTGATATTAAATCTCCTTTCTTTGAATAAAAAGCATGATTTATTTTTCCTGACTTGACTGTAAAAAACACAATACATAGGATCCTATGCTGGAGTTTTTCCACATCTAATTCACAAATAAAGAGAGCATGGGATACTTTTGTCCACATCTCATTGGCCAGAACTCAATCACATGACTAATATAACTGCAAAGGTGGCTGAGAAATGTATGGAATACCCAGATATTAGTGAAAATAATAGTGTCTGCATGCTGATTATTTTTCAAGAAGTCATACACACACTGTCAATACTTCCTAAGTACTACTTTCTAAGCTAAATAACTTTCTTTACAAAAACATTTTTTTCAAAAAACTCAAAACACTGCAAGCATGATGATTCTAATTTATGGATTTTTTTCCCCATTGGATTCTTCATGAGGAAATTTATTTCCCAAAAATGTGCTGAAAGTAGTGGAAGCTTCATGTAGTCAATAATTTGAGTCTGTGATTCAAAGGTAATTTAATAATTTTTTCAGTTATTATAGAATTAAAATATTAATAGTTGTTATCATACAGTTTTCAGCAAAAATAGTAACTTTTAGAAACTGTACAATATATTAGCATAAAATGCACTATATGCACAAATTTCTGTTTTTCTGAACTTTAAAATCATTAGAAATGAAAACGAATCTTGTCTATGTGTGAGGGCTTATCTGCTATTTTCAAATACTATGTATCTTTATAGTCAAAACAGATGTAGATAGAATCCATGGTTTAATTACTAAGAAAGAATTCTTAACAGTGAACTTCCGTACTTTCAGAGTATGACAGGGAGATTACTCAACTTCAAAATAAGTTTTCCAATTTTATCTGCTTATGTTTTATGAATACTTGGGGTACACTATTTATAAAGATGTAATTTCATAACATCGAAAACAAAAAAAGGTAGGCCTAGATCTAAAGTAGCTCTAAAGGACCACAACTTCAATATCTTATTGAAGTTAAGCTGGTGTAAATTCAAGTAAGATTATTATAACTTTAGAATGTTAACTATACTCCCCCAATGTAAGCACAAAGAAAGTAGATATAGAATATACACATAAAAATATGAGAAAGGAAGGTAAATGTTTCACTAGAAACAATCAACTCAACAAAATGAAGACAGTATTACAGGAAATGAAATATGAAAAGGTATAAAGCATATAGAAAAAAATAGCAAAATGACAGAAACAAGTTCCTCCTTATCAATAATTAAACATAAATGAATTAAACTTTCCAATCAAAAGATGGAGATTAGCAGAATGAATAAAAAACAGGACCCAACTACAGTCATGCTCTGCTTAACAACCAGGATATGTCCTGAATAATGTATCATTAGGCAATTTTATCATTGTGAGCATTATAGAGTGTACTTACACAAACCTAGATGGTCTAGTGTACACACACCTAGGTGATAAGGTATAGCCTATGGCTTCTAGGCTGCAAACCTGTACAGCATATTACTGTACTGAATACCATAGGCAATTATATCACAATGATAGGTATTTTTTAAATCTAAACATATCCAAACATAACAAAGTTATAGTAAAAATAAAGTATTGTAATTGTATGGGACCACCATCATATCTTTAGTCCACTGTTGACCAAAATATTATTACATGGCATACGACTGTATATGCATCTACAAAAGAGTCATTTTAGATTCAAAGACGGAAATAGATTGAAAGTGAAAAGATGGAAAAATATGTTTCCTGCAAATATTAATAGTAACCAAAAGAGAGCAAGGGTGGTTATACTAAAATCAGACAAAATAGACTTTACATCAAAAAGTTTTACAACATAAAGGATAATCCATATTAGTAAAAAGTTTAATACAACAAGATATAACAATGATTAATATTTACACACCTATATAAGACCATCAAATGTTGGAGGCAAAACCAGACAGAATTGAAAGGAGAAATAGGCAATTCCACAACAGTTGGAGATTTCAATATCCTATTCTCAATAATGGACAGTACAATTCAATGGAATAAGACAATAGAAGACTTAAACAACACAATATACCAACTAGATCCACTAGATATGTACCTTACAGTCTATCCAATAACAGAATACACATTCTTCCCTAGAGTACATGAGACATTTTCATAGACCATGTTAGATCACAAATTAGGTCTCAATAGAATTAAAAAGACAAACAGCATACAGAGTATATTCTCCAACTCCAATTAGTTGTAGTTAGAAAACAGTAACAGCAGGAGAAATTCACAAATTTGAGGAAATTAAACAGTCTTACACAACCACTGGATCAAAGAAGAAATCACAGGAAAATGATCTAAACTTAGAAATAAATGAAAATGGAAACACAGCACCAAAACTCATGGCACTAGTGAAAGCAGTGCTAAGGATCAAATTCACAGTCATAAACGTTTAGATCAAGAGCCAAGAAAGTTCTCAAATCAACAACTTTATAGCTTAACAAACTTGAAAAACAAGAATAAGCTAAATGCAAAACTACTAGAAGGAAGGAAATAATAAAGATTAGAGCATAGATCAACAAAATAGAAATAAAAAATAGAGAAAATTAATGGAACCAAAAGTTGGTTCTTTGAAAAGATCAACAAAATTGACAAACTTTAGCAAGATGAACAAAGAAAAAACGAAGATTCAAATTACTAAAATCAAAAATGAAAGTGAGGACATTATTATTGATTCTACAGAAATAAAAAAAGATTATGAGAGTACTATACACAATTGTATGCCAACAAATTGGATAACCTAAATGATATAAATAAATTCCTAGAAATGCAAAACCCATGGAAACTAAATCACAAAGAAATACAAAAATCTGAGTAGACCTATAGCTACTAACAAAACTGAATCAGTATAAGATATACAGGGGGAAAAAAAAGGATATTTTGCCTTTTCTTATACATTCAATACTACAGAGAATACTTCACCTCTAATCACTAAGATACGTGGGAATTTCTCCCCACACATGAAGCAAACAATCAATTCAGCAACTGACACCAGCTGGCTGTCCTATAATTCAACTCAATTTGCAACTATCTAACTGGTAATAGTGTCAGATCCCACAGGCTGAGGGCTCAGTTCCACATGGGTGTTCCCCACTTCAGATGCCAGTCAGTTGCAACCACAAGTTATGATCTGTGCTTCTGATCAACTAGCTATTAATCAGCGTTCCCACAACTCTCAGGTTTAAGTAATTTGCTAGAATGGCTTGCAGAACTCAGGGAAACAGTTATTTATGTGTACCTATTTATTATTTTAAAATATTACGGAGGATACAGATGTATGGCCAGATGGAAAAGATACAGAGGGTAAGGTGTGTGGGAAAAAGCACAGAACTTCCATGCCCTCCCTAGGTTCACCATCCTCCAGGAAACTCTGTGTTCAGCTATCCAGAAGCTCTCCAAATCCTGTCCTTTGGGGTTTTTATGGAGGCTTTATTATGTAGACATGGTTGATTACATCAATGGTCATTGGTGATCAAATTAATCTTCAGCCCCTCTCCTCTCCCAAAGTGGGGTGTGTGTGACTAAAAGTCCCAATCCTCTACTTTTTTTGGTCCAATCACATTTCTACGTGTCTGTAGATCACAGATTGTATCTTTTTTGTCTAATCGCAATTCTACATGGCTACCCATTCTTCATCAAACTTAAGCCTAAAAATAGTCTTCCCTAGGTCTTTGGTCTTCATTTCTGAAGACTCCTGTGTCATGTAAAACTTCAATTAAACAAATTTGTTATGCTTTTGTCTTGTTACTTTTCTTTTGTTACAGGAATCTTGGCCATAACCTTTATGATGAATGAGGAAAAGTATCACATCTATCCATCCCTACACACCCATTAGGATGGCTACAATCAGAAAAACACAAAATAAAAAGTGTTGGTGAGGATATAGTTTAAACTCTTTGCACTGTTGGTGGGAATGTAAAATGGTGCAGCCACTGTGGAAAACACTACGGTAGTTCCACAAAAATAAAAACAGAATTGCCATATGATCTAGCAATCCCAATTCCTGGTTATCGATCCAAAATAAGTGAAAATAGAGTCTCAAAAACATATTTGTACACCCATGCTCACAGCTGCATTATTTATAATAGCTAAAACATAGAAGCAATCCAAGTGTCCATCAAAGTGTTAAAGTATGCTACTGGCTGACAGATAAAATGAATTCCCTGTGGCTGAGGCACTCTATGTTAAAATAGAGCAAGGTGACCATAGCTGGGTGAAGGAATAGCCATGTACTCTGTGTTCTCAGAAAGAGACTGTAAAAATGTCACAGAGCCTTTCTTTTTGCAGTCAAGCCAAACTAGTTCCTGTTATTGGAACCGAGATAGACTGCAGCTGGAAATTTTCAAACTGACCACAAACAGATCACCTGAGGCCAGCCAATAAAGAGACACTTGTGAGGTCTTGCTTAAACTTTATCCAGTCCAAACCCCACAACCCCACACCTGATTTCCACCCCACCCTCATCCTGCAGTTTTTGCCTTTATAATCTCCTACTCTCTGACCTCTCCTCGAGGGACACTTTCATTCTACACCAGAGACTACATCTTCCCAATCTACAGATTGCTTTTAGAAAATAAATTTCTCCTTTTGCTTCCACAGATCTCATTGGTCTTTTGTTAATAGAAGGATGAATGGATAATCAATATGGGTGGCACATGGGGAGCTAATTGTTTACTGGGTACAGAGTTTCAGTTTTATCAGATGAAAAGAGTTCTAAAGATAGATGCTGGTGATGTATGCACAATAATTATGAATATTTAATACCACTGAACTATATACTTAAAAATTGTTGATGATAAATTTTGTCATATTTTACCAAAAAAAAAAATGGAAAAAAGGACTTGCAAAAATAATTTTTAACTAAGAATGTCTAGTTGTTTCCAAAAACTAAAAACATAGGGTGACCACTCTTAAACCTACCTCAAATATCTAAAAAGTTTAGAGTGCTATGGATTTGAATAGTTTCAAGTAGACCACTTCTAAAATATGTACATCAGTTTTCATAAACACATATATATGGTTGACAGGAAAAAACAAGAATCTGCATCTTTTGTTTGTTTTTTGTTTTTGGTGAGTCCTATCTTCCCTATTACTATTTTTATTTTTTAGTTTTTTAATTTTAAACATTTTAAAAATTTCAATAGTTTTATGGATACAAGTGGTTTTTGATTACATGGATGAATTGCATAGTGCTGAAGTTTAGGATTTTAGTGCACCTGTCACTCAAGGAGTGTACATTGTACCCAACAGATAATTTTTCATGGCTCACCCTCCTTCTTCTCTCCCCTCTCTGAGTGTCCAATATCCATTATATCACTCGGTATGCCTTTGCTTATCCATAGCTTAGGTCCAACTTATAAGTGAGAACATAGGATATCTGGTTTTCAATTCCCGAGTTACTTCACTTAGAATAATGGCCTCCAGTTCCATTCAAGTTGCTGCAAAAGACAATGTTTCACTCTTTTTTACAGCTGAGTAGTATCCCATGGAGTGTGTGTGTGTCTGTGTGTGTATACATACATATATACACACATGTATATGTATATATGTGTGTTTGTGTATACATCATATATATATATATATATATATATATATATATATATATATAACTTATCACATTTCTCTATCCATTCATTGGTTGGCAGTTAGGTTGAAGAGTCTGCATCTTTTAAGACCGTCCCCTCTTAATAAGCTGGGTTATTAAGTAATCTTGCAACACACTGTTGTCAGCTAAAGCTCAAATTTGGCTTGGCAACCACACTTCAGTTTTGACACAGTCTTTCGAGGAATTCCTGAAATTAGTTTCCAAAACTGTAAATTTGCTGAGGCTATTTGGCTGTTTAACTATTGCTTCTTTTTATGCAGTGATTTAGCAACAGGTAATGTAACAATGCGGCAGGAAATCCTCACTACCCTGAGGTTTTATATTAGAGAGAAAAATATCTTTTGAAATCCAAACAATCTTTTCCAATATAATCGTCTATGAAATGTTAAATGGAAATCAAATTAGCACACTAAGGCTAAATTCAATTGTATATATAAATTCACTTGTAATATCATCAAATTCACATATTTATAGCTTATATTCTATCTATAAAACACCTGGAAAAGCCAATCACTATTTAATAAAATATTAACTTAAATTATTAACATAATGAGTGATGGATTTAAGTGATTTAAAAGCAAACACTTACTACTCACAATCCACCTCTGGATAAATTCACATGATCAAAACCTGAGTCAAGGTTCAGTTTAAAGAATGCCAAGTCCATCAAAAAATTGCACCCAAGGGATTCAGGTGATGGAGGTGTTTTATGAGCACACACAAAACAAGTGATACACGTTTTTGTCTCCACTTAAGATGAAAGGAATTTTCTTCTTTGACCACAGTGTTTCACACAAGGTAAGCTTTTTATCTGATCTGAGGAGATCTTCTTAGTTCCCAGCTTTAGTTTATATTGCCTATTTGTTTAAGGCAAGTCACAGACATTCATTTTACAGCCCACAGTTCAAAGGTTCCCCTTAGAAAGGCTTCCTAATCCCTTTCTCTATTTTCTGGGCCTTGGTTTGTTTTCTTGCTCCTTTTAGGTTAAGGGCTTCGCAGCATTTAAGATTTTATCTTTTTTTGGTTTCACATTAATAAAGGTTTAATGATAATCTGTTTGCCTCAGCCTGAAGGCTTAGCAAAATTGAAACAAAGGAAAAGGGATTCTTATCTTACTAATAGTTTTTTGCTTGAGCAAAAATTATCCCTTCAGAAATTTTGCTTCTACAAAAGTATTTCGTCAGAAGTTGCCGAAAGAAGCACTTTCACGTCTTTTACCCTGAAGAAGTTCTCCTAAGAAAAAGCAAATCATTACAAGAATCTAATAGAGGTTTTTAATTTTTATTTTTTCCTTTTTTGAAGGTCTGGCTGGTGGAGGGAGGCCCCCATTTTTCTTTATAGAATAGGAAAAACTTTCCTCCAGTCTTTGGTTCTTACGGTAATTAAGGAATAGAACTGTTTCTGATTTCTAGTCCATTCCCTTTCACTCGAGTCGTATTATTTTCTTGTCTGAAAAAACTTCTGATTTCACATCTGCCAACTACTCTTATTCTCATTAAAACTTCAGCTAAAAAACCTTTCTTTCACAAAGCTTTACCCTCTTAGAGAGGCCTAGCTGAAATTCCTTCCATTCTTTCGTATTAATTAAAAGCACCTTTCCCGTAGGCGGTTCCACTGTAAAAAATCATATTATAAAAATGGATAAAAAGCAATACGGTGAAAGTAGAAACAAAGGGGAGGGAAAATGAAAGTGGGAGAAACGGTTGCTTGTTTTGGAATCTGTAACTGTAAGCTCCTGGTGGGTGGATACTCGTACATTAAGTAACTAGTTTGGCTTTTAAGTTCACTTCTCAAATCTTTATTCACACTCTTTTCTTCTAAAATTGACAGAAGTACAGAAGGGAACATCACACAGTAAAACTAACCAGAATGCGTCCATCTGGCATGCCTTTCAGGAATCCAGCCCACTAATATTTGCTGTGGGTTTCATGACTCAACCCTTCAAGATGCCGCACAAGGAAGAATTTCCTCATTTTGCAGAACTGCCAAATCTCATTCACTGGAGCAAAGGCTCCTCATTTGGGGCTCATTTTTAGACAGTTGTTTCTCTGTTTATACATTGTAAAAATCTCCCTCAGCGGATGGAGTTTGTCATGCATTTCTAAATAGTGAGTAAACATATTCCTCCACTCCCTCCCGGCAGGACACACTTCAGCATTTTGGCCACTGAGCCTAGTTGAATTTCTCTCTCCTTCCTTCCTCCCCTCTTCCCACGCAGCCTAGCTTTATTCTTGCTTCCTTGGTTTTATTTCTTCCTCTCTTCCTCCCTTTTTCTTCCTTCCCTACCTTCAGCCACATCTTTCAGCCTCGTTTGTTCCTTGGAGGCTTTTATTCACCCCTCTTCCTCTCTTCTTTCCTCCTTCCCCCTTCTTCCTTCCCTCGCTTCAGCTACTTCTCTTAGCCCCGTTTGTTCCTTCCAGGCTCCACTTTCTTCTCTTCCATTGGTAATTTGTCTAATTTACTCCACTTGAAAAAAGAAAAATCTTGATTTATATTCGTATCTTCTTCCATTCAAAACTGTTATCTAAGTTCCTCTTTATTATCTCCTCCCTCCTATTTTAAAATAACAATTAACATTTAGCGAGTGCTAAGTGCAGGCAGGATGCCAAGCTCTCTCGCAGTCTCTCTTGAGGGAGGTACCTTTATTATCCTGTTTCATGGATGAAAAACAAAAGCACAGAATTCAAGTAACTTGCGTAAGTCACGAAGCTATAACCAGGAATTTGGCTCTGCAAGCAATGGGCTTTAAAAATTCTTTTAAAAGTTTTATTAGATTCAAAGACTATGTATAAAATATATGCAAATTATAAACGAAACATATCTTTTGATGGGCACCATGGGGGCAAGTTTCCAGTTTTGCCCATTAAAAAAAAAATCCTTCCCAATTTTTGAGGCTTGTGCCATTGAACACTGCTGCCCGCGGCTCTTCTTCCCACTTGGCTCGACAAACGCGTCTTTTATTATGACTCAGCCCAGCCCGTTCCTTGCCAAGCGGCTGACGCTCGCGGCGGAGGCGCCGGGGCCGCCGCTCGGGGGCGAGGGTTCGCGCCGCGGCTCGCGCCCGCTTCTCCCGCTTTACGGCTGCTGAAAATCCGGCCTGGCCCGGCAGCCGTACCGCAGACGAGCCCGCGCCCGCGCCGCTCAGGTAATCGGAGTCCTTTTCTTTTCAAAGTTTTGCCAAAACAAGCTCCGCGCTCTGAGGCGGCGCGGCCTCGGCCGAGCGGTCCGTGTCTCCTTGCTCCTCCGTCCTACCCAAGCTGGCGCGACTGAGCTGTGGGCCGCACCCCTGCGCGGGGCCCGGGGCGCCGACCCGGCGTGAAGTACGGGGGCCGAGGGGCGCCCGGCCGGCGGCGGGTTCTGAGCGACTCCGCGGGGTGGCGCGCGGGGCACCTGGCTCTGGCAGTCCGCGAGGCGCGCTGGCCAAAGGAGCTCCCAACCCGCTCCAAGGCCCCCGCCCACCTCCCGAAGCCGCTTGTCTTAGGAGAGGAGCGTAGCAGCTCCGAGTCCCCGCTTCTGACACGTTCACACACGTATGCAGTGCACGCCGGCCAGGCAGCCCGACACGGCGCGCTAGCGGGGCGCAGGTAAAGAGCGGCGCCGCGGGCCCGCGCGTTCGAAATGGCGCGCAGCACAGTTCCGCCCCCGCGCGTGGAATGCCGCTCCAGTGGACGCCCAGGATGGCTTTCTTAAGGAAGTTTATGAGAAGCCATGGAAAGAGCAGCCTGGGATCAGAGCCTGCGCTGCTGGTTCTACCCTAACGTCTGGCTTACTACCACATTTGCCCTACAGTTGCATTGCTTCATAGCTCGTCCTCCCTATTTTCCCCCACATTCTTTGCTTTTTTTTTTTTTTCATTTTTCCTTTGTATTGCGTCTCTTGGTGCCTTGTGTTCTTTTCCCCCTCACTTTTAGAATAGCAATTGAATAGCATACAGTAGCCTTTACATTTCAACCTATGGTCCTTAAGCTGTCTTTATTTACTAGGGCTTGCATCCTGAGGAGTGTAAAGGATTAATTAACTGTGGATTAAGTTGCTGGACTGAAAGTTGTGTTGCAGTTATCCCTGCGGAACAGAAAAGATAGACTTTTTTTTTAACCACCCGAGAACCTTAAGATAATGGTGTTGCTTCTGTTGAAGGAATACATCTTGACAAACATTAAAAATTATGTCATAGGATCCTGTAGTATCCACTCCAGTGAGTTCGATTTGGTAACGGTTCTTTGTCATCTGTGAGTTAGATTCTGTGCTGACTGGTGACAGGTTAACAGAGAAGAGATTCCGTTCCTGTCCTCAGGAGAAGGGACCATGGTGAGCACTGGCTTAATCCTACGAAGTGCTCTGGGAGAATGGGGGAGGAAAAGCTTAAAAGGAAGAGTTGGGTTTAAAACTGGATTCTTGGTATTTTAAGTACGATTTTCACCATTTTTTCCCACACCCCAAGAATTCTTAATGGAAAGGGGAATTATTTTAACAATACTTTCACCTTTAATTTTTTAGAGATTTTTTTTCTCCTTTACAATCGGCAGTAATGTCTGATCTCAAGACTTATGGGAAATGTAAAAGTAACTCCTCTTAATAAGGATGACGTAATGCATTCCTGATAACATAAAAAGAGTATTAAAGACCTTTAATGTAGGACGACTAACAAGAATGAAATGTAATTTATTAATTGCTTACATAAAGCATTATTATATTTAGGTAGAACACTCAATACTTATTAGTCAACAATTGTTTGTTGATTGCTTACTGCGTGCCAAGCAGTGTTCTTGACACTGGAATAAAGCAAAGAAGAAACTTCTGGCTTCTTGGAATATACATTCTAGTGGAGGGAGACAGTATATGTAGTACATAAGAAAAATATAAGGTGAAACCGTAATAAGTGCTATGGACTTATTACATAAAGCAGGAAAAAGAGTGTGTGTTTAGTAATTTAAAATAGGATTTTACCGGAAGTCCTCTGGAGAAGGTGACATTTCAGTAGACTTGAAGCAGTTGAGGGAGTAAGCCATATATTTGGGGCAAGAGTTTCCGGGCGCAGAGAAATAGCAAGTGCAGAGGCCGGGCACATTGCTGTGTTCAGGGATCAGCAAAGAAGCTTGTGTAGCTGAAGTGGAATGGAGGATAGAGGAGAAGTAGGATATGGGATTTTAAATGTCATAGGGGCCAGATAGTACTACATGGTCTGCTAAGCTATTGTAATGATAACCTTTACTTGAAGCCATTTGGAGGCCATTGGAGCCTTTTGACAAGAGGAATGACATGATCTAACACATCTGTTTGATACCATTACTCTGCCTACTGTATTGAGAACAGACTGAAGAAAGCAAGAATAGAAGCAGGGATAACAGTTAGGCTATCATAATTTATGTGACAGATCATGGTGGCTTAGACCCGGATGATAGCAGTGGAAGTGGTGAGTAGTTCATATTCTGTATATATATTTTGAGGGTGTATTCCTCAGGGTTTGCTGAGAGATAGGATATGGAATGTGAGAGCAAAAGAAATTAAGGAGAATGTAATTGCCTAAGCAACTGGAAAGATAAGAGTTTCTGTTAACTGAGATTGGAAAGAACAGGAAGAAGATGTAATTGGGATTAAGAATCTGGATTTGGATATGTTAGGTGTTAGATGGGTTTTAGATATCCAAATGGAAATGTCAAGCATGCAGTTAGCTGGAAGACCAAGCTAATGGCATACATTTAGGACTCTTCATCATATAGCGGGTTGTAAAAGCGAAGAGATTGAATGCATCAAAAGTGTGTGAGTTTAGAATATTGAAGATGACCAGGGACCAGACTTTACGTCATAAAATCTGGTACATAATGGTGTACGTCAGCATTATGAGATGAGGAGAAACCAAAAAGGAGTCTGAAAAAGAGCTGCATTCCATGTAAAAGGGAAAGCAGGAGAATATGGAATCCTGGAAGTGTTTCAAGAAGTAGAGGGCTGATCAGTTGTTTTAAAGATGAGGATTGAGAATTAATCTAGCAAAGGAAATCATTGATGACCATGATGTTGCCAGTTTTCATGGAGGAAGTAGACATGAAAGCTTGTTTGTAATGTGTTTGACAGAGTAGAAAGACATTGAAGAAGGTGATGGTATACATCACTTGAATATTTTTATTGAAAAGGGAGGGAGGAAATGGAGCGTTAGTTGTAGGACCAGATGATGTAAAGAGAGTTTTTTAAAGTGTACAAAACAATGGCATGTTGTGATACTAATGAGAAGGAGCCAATAGAGAACAAAAAATTGATGATGCAGGAGACAGAGGGGAATGCTGTTCACGAGGAGGTGAGAAAGGATACATGCATACAACAAGAGAGACTATCTGTTGCTAGGGTTATGAGCTATTTACCTAGAACAAATGAGAGAAGGAAAAGTGTGGGGGCACAGATGGAGGTGGGGAATGTGGATGTTCTATTTGGATCCCTTCTCTTTTCTCATTGTTTATGAGATCCAGGTGTGGTACATGAGAAATTTGTAGGAATCATTACCATTTTTTCCATTTGGTCAGGAATATTTGATGAAAGAATACTTTGAGATTCTAAGAATTGCTTGAAACAGAAAACTTTGTGCATTGTTGAGGACAGAAGGGGGATTTCTGCCTTGAGCTTTGCTTAGGAGAAGACTTAAAGAGAAAGTGGAGATTACAAGATAAAAGGGGAAAAGGAGGAAATAAGGCAAGCTAAATCATATGATGAAATCCCTGAGAAGGGATCTGATGAGGAAGTTAGCAACATTGAGTCTCACCTCCCGTGGAGCTTATAACTACAGTAACGTTCTAAGAATATTACCGTTATTATCAAACAAACTCTTTTCTGTTTAAGTACCAAGTGTGATCAAATGGAGAACAGTGTTGTCACCAGTGGTCAGTCTAATTATAGAATGGTGGTATTAAATCTTGGAAGAGATGTTAGTTAGGATTAGATTTCAGATTGGATTTTGAAAATGTGAAAAACAGCGATTGGCAACAAATATCATTTGAAAATGATGTGAAAAAGACTGGATTGGCAACATAGGTTGTAGATGTATGGTAGAATTTTGACAACATTACTCATAGATATTGAGCAGTTTGACAAGATGGAGAGAATTGATAGAGTTGGAAATGGAACCTTGTTTGAGATTTTTTTTTTTTTTTCAGTTATTTAGGGACCATTTGTTTCTTGAATTCTTACTATAAAACAGGGTTCTGCGTAAAGTCTTGGCAGGGGATGGTGATAACCACTATGTAAATGACATCATCTCTGCCCTCAATTTACCATTTTTAGTAGAGTGAGGAGAAGGGAATATATGTAAATATTGCAATACAATTGATAAATGCCTTATGAAGAGTACTGAATGCTTTTAGGTTGTTAGGTTTCCAAACATATTTCTTTTATTATGTAAATTATCAGACACGCAAAGGTAGAATAGTATAATGAACCCCAGTATATTCAGGAGTACGTCTCATTAGTCTATTTCATAATTCATACAAAAGATTAGGAGTTAGGGGCCTATAATTATAGTCCCAGTTATGTCCCCAGGTAGTTTTGTGCCCATGTCTTTCCTGGCCTTCAGTTTTTTACTGAAAAATGAGGAGGCAGCTCAAGATCATTTTTAAGGCTTCCTACAGTTCAAAAATATTTTGATTGTATAGTTTTTTACGTGGTACATTCAAAGAAATAGATGAGACAGCTATACAGGAGAACTAGGTTTGTTAAGGGAAAAATTAAGCTCCCCTTCTACCTCTCTTTCCTCACACATATATAACTATTAGATGTCGGCATGCACATATGATGTAACTATAAAGTTGATGTGATTTATATGTGGTTTATTAAAATCTATAGTGATATTTGGTATATAGGAGTAAAATATATGACCTTATGTTTGTGTGTTTTCTATTTGTGTAACAGAATAGATATTTTTTCCCTTTGAGCCAAAAAACATGCGATTATATGAGAAGTGAGTCTTGATGAAGTCCTTGACCTCTCTGATCTGCTCTGACCTGCATTGTGCCTAATTTTTTGTTTGTTTTACCAAACAAAATTTGATTCATTGCTTAATTTGTTTGCCAGTTAAAAGCAAACAGTATTCCTGAAATCAAGGTTTTCTGTTTTGCACTGTTGCATGGGATATTGATGTCAGACAAAATTGTAATTTAATTGTTTTGACATTTTGATCTGAGCAGTTCAGATAAGAAAGGTGATTTATCTTGCCCAGAAACCTCATATTTTGAGCTCAGCATGAATTTTCCCTAACTGCTTGTTTATAAATGTGGTTTCTAAAAAATTAGACTTTCATCATATTGGGAATTTATGCTCTGGGTATTAATTACCAAGGTACAATTTGATAGGAATATAGTAGAGATATTTTAATTTTTAGATGGTCAGTCATGAAAAACTTCAGAAGTGCTATGAATCCTTTAAAAGAAAGTGAAACTTTCATACTTTCAAACTTATATTCTTTGTATATAATATCACATGTGAATTTTTAAAGTAGTACAAATGGCTTTTTGCTCTTTTACAATCTTGGTATATAAAATTACTCATGAAATTCTTTAGTTTTAGGATTTTAGCTATTATATTGGTCAAACCTTATACTTTGCATAGTCTGTGCTTTTGTACTCCTGTTCATCAAGTACAATTATCATTGGTGATAAAGTCACTTCAAATAATGCATCCCTAAGTGATCATGCTATCTCTTTAAATAGTATGTGTGTGTGTATGTGTGTATTTTCATTTCAGTTTAATATGGTACTCAGTAATTTGACAGTTTCTTGGGGCATCCAGTTCTAACAAGCCCTGTATCCTAGTCTCCACCTGGGGGCAGGGGGATTCATGTTTTTGGAATCAAACCTGTAACATATTTCCTGCATGGTTATAGAACTCTCAGAGTACTCAAACCAAAGTAAACATCTTCTGGGGCAGTATAACACTTTTTTGAAATGCTGGTTGTAGAAGCCAGCTTGAAATTTTTGATCACCTTCAGGTGATAAAAGCCTTTTTCCCTATCTTCTTGGATGGAGGGATCTGATGAGAAGATGAAGATAGGAGCAACCTTAAGAAACCTTGTGGTTCTGGACCCCTTTTTTGCATTTAATTTTGCTAGAGTTTTGGAAAACTTTAAAAATAATAACAAGGTATCTTCAAGTAAAATGGCTACTAATTATGCAGGAAACCTACTCTTGCCTTTATATGTGTGTGAAAATACTTGTGTTACTGGCACTTGTTGAGATAAGACAATGTGAGAGATACATCCTAGAGAGGCTCTGTTTACAGGAGTTACATAATTCCTACATCAGCCCTTTTGTAATATGTCATAGTTTGAATATAGAGTGCCAGCAGTCATCTATCTTCTAAGAATTTTTCCAAAGAGACCCTAGTCTCTAGGGGATTAATGGCTCCCTCAGAATAGGCCAGTCTGAATGATTTGTAAATTAACACTTAGGAGCTGGAAAACAAGATGATGCTTCTCTAACTGGGGTACTCTGAGCTTTGTTAGAGGGCTCCGAGCCATAGATAAATATGGCCATCTTCTTTTGTAAAACTTATTGCTATATTTTGGAGAAAGTAGTTAAATAATTTAACGGGTAAGTTAAATATTCAGAACCACTATTGAATGTGAATATGACATCCAGTGCAAAATACATGATTTTAAAAATAAAATTTGGCCGGGCGAGGTGGCTAACGCCTGTAATCCCAGCACTTTGGGTGGCCGAGGTGGGCGGATCACGAGGTCAGGAGATTGAGACCATTCTGGCTAACACGGTGAAACCTCGTCTCTACTAAAAATACAAAAATAGCCGGGTGTGGTGGTGGGTGCCTGTAGTCCCAGCTACTCGGGAGGCTGAGGCAGGAGAATGGCGTGAACCTGGAAGGCGGAGCTTTCAGTGAGCCGAGATCACACCACTGCACTCCAGCCGGGGCAACAGAGCGAGACTCTGTCTCAAAAAAATTAAAATAAAATAAAAATAAAAAATAAAATTCAAAGTAGCTTCTTACTTGTAGTAGGTCTCCATAGACTATATTTTCTGACCCCAGGAAAGGATATAGGTTGGCATAAAGGTAGATAGTTTGTTAAACTTAACATTCATCAAAATACTTATTATTGCTGTTATCTATCTGCTTTGGTTTGATTTGCTTTCCTGGTGTTTACCCACACTGATCTTTTAGATTTGTGGGAAAACTTTCCTTCTTTATTTTCCTCTGGCATTGAGATATGATTTCTGTGAGGTGCTCCATTTCCCTCTTCTCATTTTTTGCTTTTTATTTTGAAATTATTGACATACAGGAATTTGCCAGAATGGTATGAAAAGGTACTGTGTTACTCTTTAACCAGTTTCTCCCACTGGCTACATCTTCCTAACCACAGTACAATATAAAAACCAGGAAATTGACATTGATACAATGTGTGTGTATAGTTCTGTGTCATTTCATCTCATATGTAGATTCATGTAATCGTCACCATAATCAAGATATAAAGCTATTTCATCACCACAAATATCCCTCTTACAGTACCCTCCAAAAGAGGCACTGAAAGAATCAGAGGTATTTAATTTAGCAAAGGGATTATGCACTTTCTTCTAAGTTTTGTAGTTTTTATGCAAATGGTAGATCTTTTTGTATTTTGAATCATGAAGGAGAAAGATGAAATACTGTATTATTTTTAGAATGGAGGAGAATGTTACCAAAATGCCAGGGGTTCAGTCTAGATTCTATTGCTCACTGCACAGAAAGCCAATCAATGAGATGAGTATTGCCAGGGAAGAAGGCTTTAATCAGGTGCTGCACCTGAGGAGATGGGATATCAGTATCAAATATCTTCCCTGACTAAAATAGCAGGAAAGAAATGTAACTATGTGTGGGAAAACAGGAATTAGGGAGGAGTAAGGAAGAGAAGTTGGTCAGCAGGAAGCAGGTAGTCCGTTCAGGCAATCATGATGAGTGAGAGGTCTGGTGTCTTATTGCCCAGATGTAGTGATGTGGTAAGTTTTGGTTTTTCTTGCTACTGTCTGGGAAGCCTGGGGGTTGGTTTCCTGAGAAAGGAACTAAGATAAGACAAATGTAACTTTCTCAAGTTTTAAGACGGGGTGGATCAATATCTATGTTAATTCAAAGAAACCATAAACATCAGTTCTATAGGATAATTGGACTGGTTTCAAGAGCTTAAATAGTTGTTATAACAGATAGTGTCATCTGTGAAATAAGTTCTTGAAGGCTCAGTTTCAAATTATCAAGAACTTTGATAATTCGAGGTTAGACATTCATGTGCTTGAAGAATGGAACCAGTTGATATGGTGCAGTCTCATCCATCTGTGTGACTAATCTTTGTGTATGTGCTGGATTTAGCCAAATAAAACTTTAAAGAGAAAATGGTGGAGCAAATAGAGGGGTCTTGTTGAACTTCCTAAGTACCCACACAGCCTTCTAGCTTCTTGTGAAACCTAGAATTGGAGGAAGAAAAAACAAAAAACATTTCAGCACTAAAACTAAAAAACAAAAAACAAAAGCACTATTAATGATATTGTGCCACATTTAATTTTATAGGTGTTAATGTCTTTAACACCTACATTAAGATGATTTATTTTATTTAACCAATATGTCATGAGGATAATTAGTAGTGTCTGAGAAATCCTTCTTGATAGATTTTTCTCAGAACTATTTCCAGACAATCACGATCCAAGATTTTAGTCTCATATATTACATAAACAGTATAAATGTATTGTCAAAGCACAGTGTACATGCATCTTAGTTTTAATAGTTTACAAGATATCTTTAGGTTTATTTATTTGAAAATTATGATTTATGTATATATGAAATAGGTATCTTCTGTCTTTTATTTTTGCTGTGCAAGCAATGCATTAAAGTCTGTTTGAAAGTTTGGAGATAATGTTGAAATTTTATACTATAATAGTCATAGCCACTTTTTCATTAGTCCTTCTCTATTCTTTTTAGGTTACCTGAATTAAGCAAAGAATTCCTGCCTCTCTTTTCAGTTTTTTTCTGTTACCTAAATGTTCCACATGATATTGTTATTGTAATGATATTTAAACATTAATTCCAGATCATTGTCATCTTCATTGTATATGTCTTACCAATTTTTGAAAGTTAAAGCATATATATACACACACATATATATACACAACACATACATACACACACACACACACACACACACACATATAGTTTCTTTCATTTGCTATACTTATTTTGAGTTGAGTACATAACAAGGCAAGGCAGAGAGTGAGTGTGTTTATGTTTTCAGATTTATTTGATCCCACCACTTGAAAAAAATGTGAATTTGTTACCAAAACACCAAGCGTTTGGTCTAGGTCCTGCTGCTTGCCACACAGAAAGCCAGTCACTGAGACAATGAGTTTTGTCAGCAGAAAGGCTTTAATTGGGTGCTGCGCCTGAGGATAGAGATCAGTCTTAAATCCTCACTGACCAACTAAAATTAGGGGTTTATATAGCAGAGAAGAAATGTAACCACGCATGGGAAAATAGGGAGGCGCAAGGAAGAGGATTTGGTTAATAGGAAGCAGGTGGTTGCCTAGGCAGTTATGGTAGGTGAGTGGTCTGACATCTCATTGTCCAGATACAGTGATCTGGTAAGTTTCAGATTCTTGCTACTCTTTGGAAGGCTTGATGGTTGGTTTCTTGAGAAAGGAACTCAGATAGAACAAATGTAATTTTCTCAAGTTTCAAGACTGAGAGAGTCCAGGCTGGGCGCGGTGGCTATTGCCTGTAATCCCAGCACTTTGGGAGGCCAAGGCAGGTGGATCATGAGATCAGGAGTTCAAGACCAGCCTGGCCAACATGGTGAAACCCCGTCTCCACTAAAACTACAAAAATTAGCCAGGTGTGGTGGCAGGCACCTGTAATCCCAGCTACTCGGGAGGCTGAGGCAGGAGAATTGCTTGAACCTGGGTGGCAGGGGTTGTAGTGAGCCGAGATCATGCCACTGCACTCCAGCCTGGGCAACAGAATGAGACTCTGTCTCAAAAAAAAAAAAAAAAAAAAAAAAGAAAGAAAGAAAAAGACTGGGAGGGTCAGTTTTTATGTTTACTCTGCAGAAACCATAAACATCAGTTCTATGAGACAACTGAGTCAATTTTAAATGTTTTTTCAAAATTTTTAATTTTACTTAGAATGAGAAAATAAATTTATTTTAATGGTTATTCGATCTTGGACATTTTTAAGAGTAACACAAAAACTGCAATTGTGTTTGTACAGAAAGGGTTGTCTGGTTTTTACTTTCAACGAGAATAACATGGTATGATGACATATGTCTCTATCCTCTGTATGAACCTCAATTTGAGGATATGTCTGTGGATCCTGTAAGTACTGAGGGTTTAATTTATTGCTAATATTAGAGACAATGACAGTGATATTCCAGTGACTTACCATTACCGATTCTTTCCTGGAATGGAGAAATTTGCTCTTGATTTCATTGCTGCCTGATTTATATCTTTTAAGAAGGTGGCTGTTCTTTTAGTTGCTCAGTATCAAATATAAAAATCTAATTGTGTGGGTTTTCATGTAATTGTTATCAAGAATTCAATTTTAAAGCAAGGAGAAAACTACATAACAGAAACTTGATATGTTTGTATTATAATCTAGGCATTTTCTTAGCATGTATCCAATTTGAACACCTCTAAGCATTTTTATAATAAAAAACACCCATCACATTGTGTTCAGGACAAAATAGTTACAAAACCTGTAAATTACTGTTTGGTTAAAAAAGGATTTGCCATTATACTAGTCTATATCTCTGATTATTTAAAGACATTGCTCTTATTCATGTGCCTTCTTTTCGGTTTACATATTTTTTGGAGGTAGTGAAAAAGAATCCTTTACTCATTTTTACAAAACACATTTTGACTACATAGCTCTTCCTTCACTTTGACATAAAGACAAAAATAATCAAAATCAATAAAACATTGTTAATTAATGTAGTGCTAAGGATAGTGGGAGTTTTTTTTTTTTTTTTTTTTTTTTTTTTTGAGTCTGTCACCCAAGTTGGAGTGCAGTGGCACAATCTTGGCTTACTGCAACCTCCGCCTCTCGGGTTCAAGAGATTCTCGTGCCTCAGCCTCCCGAGTAGCTGGGATTACAAGTGTGTGCCACCATGCCTGGCTAATTTTTTTTTTTAAACTAGAGGTGGGGTTTTGCTATGTTGGTCAGGCTGGTCTCGAACTCCTGGCCTCGAGTGATCTGCCTGCCTTGGCCTCCCAAAGTGCTGGAATTATAGGCATGAGCCACTAGGCCTGGCCGATAGTGGGAGTGTTAAAGAAGACAGACTAACAGACACCTGTTACTTTGGTGTCTGCATTTTAGTAGCTTTCTTTTAAGCAGTTGTAAACTGTGCTAGGGCATGTGCTTTATCTTTGTCTTGCACCTCATCTCTTCCTTGACCCACTTGTTATATGTATGACCACCTTTAAGAATTTTAATTTTGTGTGCTGCCTCCGTCACTGCTGTGAACACCCACATGGAGTCAGGCACCCACCCACCCTGGCACCTGCTAGCACCCTGCTGCACCTAACAAGTGTATACCCTGCTGCATTGCTGCTGCTTCTGGTATGTGTGAATGAGGACAGATCTTGTTGCTGTCACCTTACAAAATGCTTTATCTGGCACCACCCATCGGTGTATAGTGACTGGTGGTCTGAGAGTACCTTAGCCCCAACCCCCGCCCACACAGTGGGTTCCTAATTTCGAGGAGCCAGAGAACAAAATTGAGGCCCGATACAAGTTCCCCAGAGTTAGAACACACAGTCCAGGAATTGAGAGCTAGTCTCAGCCCCTTAAAATCCTCCAGAAGCCAAACCAGTTGACTGAATCCACCTTATTACACAGTCAAATCCTCAAGGTCATCAAATAGCATAAAAGAAAAAAAAAAAACTCATTCAAAGGACAGCAACTTTAAAAATCGAAGGAACATCAGCCCACAAGGATGAGAAAGAACCAGTGCAAGAATTCCTACAACTCAAAAAGCTAGAGTATCTTCTTTTCTCCATATGATCACACTAGCTCTCCAGCAAGCGTTCTGAACTGGGACTGAGATGACTGACGTGACAGAAATAGAATTCAGACTATAGATAGGAATGAAGATTATTGAGATATAGGAGTATGTTGAAACCTAATCCAAGAAAGCTAAGAATCACAATAAAATAATACAGGGGCTGACAGACAAAATAGCCAGTATTGAAAAGAATGTAACTGACCTGATATAGCTGAAAAACACACTATAAGAATTTTGTAATGCAATCACAAGTATTAATAGCATAATAGAAAACTGAGGAAAGAGTCTCAGAGCTTGAAGACTGGCTTTCTGAAATAAGACAGTCAAATAAGAATAGATTAAAAAGAATGAAAAAGAACAAAAAAACCCTCTGAGAAATATGGGATTACATAAAGAGACCAAATCTACAACTTATTTGTGTCCTTGAAAGAGATGGGGAGTATGGAAGCAACTTGGAAATCACATTTTGGGATATCCTCCATCTAGATAGAGAGGCCAACATTCAAATTCAGGAAATGCAGAGAACCCAGTAAAATACTTCACAAGAAGATCATCCCCAAAGTACTTAATCATCAGATTCTCCAAGGTCAAAATGAAAGAAAAAGTGTTAAAGGCAGCTAGAGAGAAAGGTCAGGTCACCCAAAGGGAAGCCCATCAGCTAACAATGGACATTTCTGTAGAAACCCCACAAGCCATAAGTTATTGGGGGCCAATATTCAACATTCTTAAAATAAATTCCAACAAAGAATTTCATATCAGGTCCTACTAAGCTGCATAAGCAAAGGAGAAATAAGATCCTTTTCATAGAAGCAAATACTGAGGGCATTCATTATTGTCAGACCTGCTTTACAAGAGCTCCTAAAGGAAGCACTACATGCAGAAAGGAGAGACCATTACCAGCCGCTACAAAAACACTTAAGGACACAAACCAACAACACTATAAAACAGCCACACAAACAAGTCTGCATGATAACCAGCTAACACCATGATGACAGTATCAAATTTCCTCATATCAATACTAACCTTGAATGTAAGTGAACTAAATGCCTCAATTAAAAGGCACAGAGTTGCAAGCTGGATAAAGACCGAATTATATGCTGTCTTCGGAAGACCTATCTCAAATGCAATGACACCCACAGGCTTAAAATAAAGGGATGGAGAGAAATCTTCAAGCAAATGAAAACCAGAAAGGAGAGGTTACCACACTAATTTTAGACAAAAGACTATAAGCCAACAAAGATCAAAAAAGACAAGGGCATTACGTAATGATAAAGGGTTCAATTCAACGGGAAGATCTAACTTTCCTAAATATATATGCACTCAACACAGGAGTACCCAGATTCATAAAGCAAATTCTTAGAGACCTTCAGAGACTTAGACTCCCACACAATAATAAGGGGAGACATCAACATCTCACTCACAGTATTATATAGATCATCGAGGGAGAAAATTAACGATATTCAGGACCTAAACTCAGCACTGGATCAAATGGACCTGGTAGACATCTACAGAACTCTCCACGCTGGAAAAACAGAATATACATTCTTCTCATCACCACATTACACATACTCTAAAGTCGACCACATAATCAGCCCCAAAACACTACTCAGCAAATGCAAAAGAATTGAAATCGTAAGAACCACTCTCTCAGACAACAGCAGCAGAAAATTAGAAATCATGATTAAGAAATTTGCTCAAAACCGTACTATTACATGGAAATTGAATAACCTGCTCCTGATTGACTTTTGTGTCAATAATGAAATTAAGGCAGAAATCAAGTTCTTTGAAACTAATGAGAACAAAGATACATACCAAAATCTCTGGGACACAGTTAAAGCAATGTTAAGAGGGAAATGTATAATATTAAACACTCACATTAAAAAGTTAGAAAGATCTCAATTTAACAACCTAACATCACACAACTAACAGAACTGGAGAACCAAGAGCAAACCAACCCCAGTGCTAGCAGAAGACAAGAAATAACCAAAATCAGAGCTGAACTGAAGGAGACTGAGACATAGAAAAGCACTCAAAAGATCAATGAATCCAGGAGTTGTTTTTTTTTTTTGAAAAATATTACTAAAATAGGCCCCTAGCTATACTAATAAGAGAGAAGATACAAATAAAGGCTATTTAGAAATGACAGAGGGGATATTACTGCTGACCCCACAGAAATACAAATAACCACCAGAGAATATTTTGAACACCTCTGTGCATACAAACTAAAAAATCCAGAAGAAATGGATAAATTCCTGGATATACACACCCTCCCAAGACTACCAGAAAGAAAGTGAATCCCTGAACAGACCAATAACAAGCTCTGAAAGTGTATCAGTAATAAGTAGCCTACCAAACAAACAAAAATTCCAGGAACAGACAGATTCACAGCTGAATTCTACCAGATGTACAAAGAAGAGCTGGTACCATTCCTACTGAGACTCTTACAAAAAACTGAAAAGGAGGGACTCCTCTCTAACTCATTCCATGAGACCAGCATCATCCTGATATCAAAACTTGGCAGAGACACACACAGAAAAGCCTTTAGGCCAACATCCTTGATGCACATCAATGCAAAAATCCTCAGCAAAATACTGACAGAGTATAGCAGTACATCAAAAACATATCCAGTATGATCAAGTAGGCATTATCCCTAGGGTGCAGAGTTGGTTCAACATACAGAAATCAGTAAGTGTGATTCATCACATAAACAGAACTAAAGACAAAACCATATGATCATCTCAATAGATTCAGAAAAGGCTTTTGATAAAATTCAACACCCCTTCATGTTAAAAGCTCTCTATAAACTAGGTATTGAAGGAACATACATCAAAATAATAGGAGCCATCTATGAGAAACCCACAGTCAACATCATACTGAATGAGCAAAAGCAGTAAGCATTCCCCTTGAAAACCAAGACAAGACAAGGATGTTCTCTCTCACCACTCCTATTCAACATAGTATTGGAAGTCCTGGCCAGAGCAGTCAGGCAAGAGAAAGAAAAAAAGGGCATCCAAATAAGGATCAAACTATTCCTGTGTGCAGACATTATTCAATATGTAGAAAACCCCATAGTCTCAGCCCAAAAGCTCCTTAAGCTGATAAACAACTTAAGTGAAGTCTCAAGATACAAAGTCAGTGTACAAAAACCACTGGCATTCCTATACACCAACAACTGTCAAGCCAAGAGGCAAATCAGGAATACAATCCCATTCACAGTTGCCACAAAAAGAATAAAATACTTAGGAATACAGCTAACCAGGGAGGTGAAAGATCTCTGTAATGAGAACTACAAAACACTGCTCAGAGAAATCAGAGATGACACAAACAATAGAAGAACATTCCATGCTTATGGATAGGAAGAATCAATGTTGTTAAAATGACCATACTGCCCAAAGCAATTTATAGATTCAATGCTATTTCTATCAAACTACCAATGACATTCTTCACACAACTAGAAAACTGTTTTAAAATTCCTATGGATCCAAAAAGAGAATCAACAGCCAAGGCAATCCTAAGCAAAAAAAAAAAAAAAAAAAAAAAATCAGGAAGCATCACTCTACCTGACTTCAAACTATACCACAGGACAACAGTAACCAAAACAGCATGGCACTGGTACAAACCCAGACACATAGACTGATGGAACAAAATAGCCCAGAAATAAGGCCACATACCTACAATCACCTGATCTTCAACAAACCTGACAAAGATAAGCAATGGGGAAAGGACTCCCTATTCATTTGGGAAAGGTGCTGGGATAACTGGGTAGCCATATGCATAAGATTGAAACTGGACCCCTTCCTTATACCATATAAAAAAAATCAACTCAAGATGGATCAAAGACTTAAATGTAAAACCCAAAACTATAAAAACCCTGGAACACAACCTAGGCAATACCATTCTGGACACAGGAATGGGCAAAGATTTCAAGATGAAGACACCAAAAGCAATTGCAGCAAAAGCAAAAAAGTGACAAAAGGAAACTAAAGAGCTTCTATACAGCAAAAGAAACTATCAACAGAGTAAACAGAAAACCTATAGAATGGGAGAAAATGTTTGCAAACTGTGCATCTGACACAGGACTAATATCAAGCATCTACAGGGAACTTAAACAAATTTACAAGAAAAAATAATCCCATTAAAATGTGGGCAAAGGACATAAACACTTTTCAAAAGATAGGATACATATGGTCAATAAGAATATGAAAAAAAGCTCAACATCTCTGATCATTAGAGAAATGCAAATAAAAACTACAATGAGATACCATCTCCTACCTGTCAAAATGGCTATTACTAAAAAGTAAAAAAATAACAGGTGCTGGTGAAGTTGTGGAGGAAAAGGAACACTTAGACACTGTTGTTGGGTGTGTAAATTAGTTCAACCATTGTAGAAAACAGTGTGGTGATTCCTCAAAGGCTTAAAAACAGAAGTACCATTCCTTCCAGCAACCCCATTACTGTTTATGTACCCAAAGTAATATACATCATTCTATAATAAAGACACATGCATGTGTCAATTGCAGCAGTGTTTACAATAGCAAAGCCATGGAATTGACCTAAATGCCCCTTAGTGGTGGACTGGATAAAGAAAATGTGGTAAATACTCACCATGGAATACAATGCAGCCATACAGCCATAGAAAGAGTGAGATCATCCGGGCACGGAGGCTCATGCCTGTAGTCCTAGCACTTTGGGAGGCTGAGGTGGGCAGATCATGAGGTCAGGAGTTTAAGACCAGCCTGGCCAATGTGGTGAAACCCATCTCTGCTAAAGATACAAAAAATTTACTGGGTGTGGTGGTGTGCACCTGTAATCTCAGCTACTCAGGAGATTTGCTTGAATCCGGGAGGTGGAGGTTGTAGTGAGCTAAGATCGTGCCATTGCACTTCAGCCTGGGTGACAGGGTGAGACTCCGTCTCAAAAAAACAAAAAAAAAAAGAGGTCATGTCTTTTGCAGGAACATAGAGGCCTTTATCTTTAGCAAACTAACAGAGGAACAGAAAACCAAGTACCACACGTTCTCACTTATAAGTGGGAGCTAAATAATGAGAACACGTGGACACATAGAGGTGAATGACAGACACGTGGGCCTATTGGAGGGTAGAAGGTGGGAAGAGGGAGAGGATCAGAAAAAATAACTAATGGGTACCAAGCTTGATACCTGGGTGGAGAAATAATCTGTACAACAGACCCCCTTGATACAATTTACCTATATAACAAACCTGCACATACACCCTTGAACTTAAAAGTGAAAAATGAATTTTTTTAATTTATAAAGTATTATTAATAGTTCACTATATAAGGGTTATTGTAAGAAAAAGATAGCATGTGGGAAACTGCATTATCCTACATTACATTGAGTGTCTCTGGAGTTAGTCAAGTCTGTGTTTAAATGGCAGTTTTCTACCTCAGTGTTGTATTTCTCTGTGATTCCTGACAACTTGACTCACCTGTATTTTCCTCTCTCTAAAATGGGAATGATTTTTCCTATTTCACAAACTTATTTTGAAGTTACATTATGTATATAAAGCACCTGTTGTATTGCTTGGTATCCAATACTTAATAAATGTTATTTTCCTTTTCTTTCCCTCTCCCTTTTCATCATTTTCTTGTTCTCCACAGTTTTCTGAAAGAAAAGATCAGTAAGATCAGTTATGGGCTATGATGAAACCATTTTAAGTCTCTGTTCTTTGCCAAGCTCCAAGGTAGGTCAAGGGAATCAATAATGTAGGATTGTGAAGTCTTTGTCCAGGTTACTCACAGAATTTTCTTGTGAGTGAAAGACTTGGGAGATTTTAGAAGTTACCATCTATCAACAGTTTTCTGATATCTGCTCATCTAATACTGTTACACTTTTGTTTAATCTGTTGTGGCTGCTTCACTGCCTTATGGATGAAACCAAACCTAATAGCCCAATGAATAAGGCTGATTGCAATTAGCCTTTTATTAGACTATAGCCTCATCTCCTGTCCCTCAGGATTGCTTCCTAATTTAGTTAATATTTTTTCTTCAAGCCTCTATTATGTTTCCTGGGGTTACTAACATGATCAAAGTAGCAAGCTAGCCTTCTTCTAGGGTGGAGGTTGGGCAAGAGAGTAGGGGGAGGTGAGTTGGAGAAAAGGGATGATCCAGAAGTGTGGTTCCCAGGTTCTTTAGGAAATTTTCACTGGTCTTTGACAAAATGGGAAAATAAAGATTATGCAGTGAGCTTTTTCATTATCTTTTATTCTGATTATATCTGTTCTACTCTTTTATATATTAAGAACATTATTGACAGAATAAAAAGTTGGTAGTCCTTTTATGTCTTTTCATTTTTTTTGTTTGTTTTGCTTTGTTTTTAACTTTACAGGTCCATGAAATCTGATGGTGTAGGAAATGCTCATCCAGTATCTGCAGTGCTGTTTAAAGAGAAAAGGCCCAGGTGAAGCCTGTTACTAGAAGACTGAGTGATATGAGGGACTAGCTGTCTGGGATGAGAGAGAACCCGAGACTAGTATGTCTTACAATGGAGGAGATGTCCGCTTTGAGGATAGTGGGAAAGTAGGGAAATGAAATGAAGGCTGTTTATTTAGTTGGCTTTCTCAGTGTCAGTGAGGTTTGCATGTGAACATGCACTGGACACTGACTTGAGGGAATGCTTATTTGGAATTCTGGAAGTCTGCACTGGATTTATTCAGTAATTTTAGCTCGATTGTAGAATTGCTGAGTTCTTCACCCTCAAAATGGGGATAGAAATGCTGATTTTTAAAGCACTTTAGGATCCTTAAATGTAGTATACCACTGTAAGCTTCAAAGATAGTTTCTTCACTTGGTTGCAGTCTTTGAAATGGGATTCAACTGAAGCTTTACAAAGTAGTATTAGAACTCCCAATGACAGACACCAGTCTTGCCTTTTGTTCATGTTTTTAAAACTACCTGGATGTTATATTGTATGTGCTGTATAATTATGAAATGATGTGAAAAAGTTATTTAAGTTTTTGGAAAGTTGTCTTAACATGTTAATAGGAAACATTAGCTGGAAACATTCCTGAGATTAAAAGGAAACCTACTTTATAGATTATATGACTTTATGAGAACATAAATACATGCTGCTAATTCAAAATGAAAAAGCAAGCTAAACCCAAAACAGTCTTCTCTTCTTCAATACATCCAATAAATAATTCTCAGCAAGAGGATTATGATAGAGTACATTAAGAGTCATGGCATCTGGAATTAAACATGTAGACTAAAGCATACTAAGATTTTTTAGCAATCTACTTCTGTCTAAAGTAGTAGTAGTATTTTTTTCTTTTCATATCATATAAACCCTAAATGTGTTTTGTTCTTGGATCAGAATGGGAAAGAATTCAAATATGAGTTTTATATTTGGTTAGTTTGTTCATGTATTAAAACAGTATGGGAAAAATTGAAGCATTTAGCATTTATTCCTATTTGAAGGACTTTAGATAGAACCAAGTGATACAGGTCTTGCATATTTAAGACGTTTATTGTGTCATTTTTTGATAGAAAAGTACAACTATTTAAAAATAAAGTATTCTATTTTGAAAAAAACATGTTTGTAAACATTTTTCTAATCACAATAATGGTCACTATAGATTCAGAAAGCTTAGAAGCATATAAAGAAATAGAAAAACAAAACACCTATAATTTACTACCTAGAGCAGCAATGTTAAGTCTTGGCATTTTTTTCCTTCTTTTTTCTTTTTTTTTCTTACGGTTTTGAAACAATAAAAGAAATGGTAATATTCTGCTTTTTCAACATATAGAGAACAGCTTAAGTATTATTTTAAACTTTATAAACGTAATTTTTTTTGACTTTATACTACATCATCTGGCTGGGCCATAATAAACCTACCCATTTCTCTGTTGTTGAACACTTGTTTGCAAAAATATTAAAATTTTAAATTAGTGTGAGTTTGTTTTGTTGAGGCTTTCCTCTTCAATTGAGTAAGCTTATTTAAAAGACTTTACTTAAGATTAGATTTTTCTTTCCTCCTTCCATCCCCCCAGTTAGATGCTGGCTAATTCCTGGAATTTTTCCCTCCCTATTCTTTGTAATCTGAAAAACCCCTTGTTCCGTACTACTAGTATGACAGCTTCAGCTTACTTGTAATGGATGCTCTGCAATTATGCAAAGTATATATAGCTCATTCCATCAAGTTACAATGAACTTCAACAGAAGGTCCTTATGCAGCTTGAGGGCCATAAGTATGCTTTGAGATAATATATGTGAAGATCTAAATAGAATGTAGGGAATGAAATAGTACTCATTCAGTGTACAGTTTAATTTTTTTCTAGTATGAAGCATTTTACCTGAGTTGTATGCAAAATGAATGTTTTATGCCAATGTTAATACTGATGACTGCAGGAATTAAGTATTGATATTTTATGTATAATTTATTTGTTTTATTAGTCTCAAGAATATAACAGCAGTTTTTCATAAACATTCTATTGGCTATGTGTGTCATATCTAGATTTAATAATCATATTCTTTTCAATAAAGTTTATCAGTTTGTAGGAAACGATGGGTAGTATTGTGGGTAAGACTGTGGAACAAAATGCTTGCACCTTTATCCCCCTTGAATGCTTTGCGGATTTTTCCTTGGTTTAAGATTTTTTTTACTCATACTGGAAAAATACTGTTACTTTAGATAGAAGTAGATTGCTATTCAAAATTACATGTGTTTCTTTTGAAAACTTTCCTTTTGTCAACATTCGTTTTTACAAACTTTGTAGTAACTTATATTACAACTGAATGTGAAATAAAATTTAATGTTGTAGTTATTTCTGAAAATAGCCATGAAATATGATCATTAACCAAGGTCTGCACTTAACATGATGCTCTTGATAGCTTTGGAATTTCTATACTATAGTGCCCTTATATACTTTAAAGAACTTCTAAGACAACAGTACTCTTTCTCTTTATTCCCTCCCACACTGTGTGTGTGTATGCATGTGAATGTGTGTGAGTTTATTGTTCTTCAAATATCTGTATGTGAAAATCACTTTTAAACACAAGTAACTTATCATCTATATACTAGGAATTTCATATCTCATTAAAATAGCAATTTGAGATGGATATTGTGTGTTCTTATGGTTGTATTCTACTTAGACTATTTTAGGAATTTGTCTTATAATAAGATGATTTATTCTTCCTCAGGTTTTTAAAAATATTTCTTATTTTTAATATTTGAAAATATTCTGTCATTTAATATATTTTTAATACAGAAAGAATGAGAAGATTAGTAGTTTGCTTATATGAGAATTCTGATTTTTGTTTTTAAATATTTTTTCTTAAATATTTCTTTTTCAATGTTATCCCGTATTTCCACAAAGGTATGGTTATTGGAACGTTTGTCCTTGGTTGTTGCAAAATCCTTCAGAACTCAACACAAAAACAGCTTCATTGTGTATAATGATGTAGCCACCTTCTTTCCAAATGGAAATCAAATCAGAATACATAACCATTAGTTTTCACAAATCTGTTGAAATCAGAATTAGAGTTTCTCCTCTCTATGATTATTTTAAAGTTGATTTAATAGTAGAGCAATTCTCAAAATATATAATATTTGTTGCAGATACTATGTATTTTTATAAAGAAATTTTTAGGGACATAAGACGAAGTGGAAAAATCTTCAGTATCATAGTTATCCCTCTGTAAAATGGCTGATACTCTGAAAAATAAAGATAGATCCGGATTCAAAATTGCCAAGAATTAATTTAGAGAATTAAGTCAGTGTTGTTAGAGAGGTGTCAAGATATGCGTCTTTGAATTTGAGATAATAGCTCTCATGGCACTTTCTTGAAGTGAAAGTAGGAAAAGTTGAAAGGACCATTTAAACAAGTATTAGCATGCAGCGACTAGCTAAAGTAAGCCAATTCATGTTAATAAGAGTTAGAATTGGGAAGGGTCTTACAACATTATGGTTTTAATTGTTTGTGTTTTAATTGATAGACTGATTATAAAATAAAGGCGCTAGTAGACTTTATAAAAATGATAATTCAGTAATCCTCTTTGCTTCATTGTCAGAGTTCTGTCATATCATTATAAAGCAATTTATGAGCAGTCTGTATATCTCTGGGCTTTAATTAGCCATGGGAACATGCAGAGTTTAAAAGTAAAAGTAATTGCATAGCCTCTGATAACCAGTGTGCAGTGAATCACCTTCTTTAGAAGAATGCTATGTAAAACAAACCATTGTACAG
Source organism: Homo sapiens (assembly GCF_000001405.40). Classification (NCBI taxonomy): domain Eukaryota; kingdom Metazoa; phylum Chordata; class Mammalia; order Primates; family Hominidae; genus Homo; species Homo sapiens. The sequence goes on from NC_000003.12 coordinate 174,463,098, forward strand.
AGTAGACAGTTAAGAAAATACAGTTTTGTTACTGAATCTGCAGGGGAGGTTTGCAGATTTTGTGAGATCCTGCAGAGAATCAAGCAAAATCTGCATTATAGTACATTATATCCTGTGGGGAAGAACCAGCAGGACTGCTTATGGTCCTCAACTATCTCTGCTCAGTATACTTTTGTCCTGCTATGTAGAAAGCCTTCCACTTGTTGGAAACAGTAATAATGTTGGAACAGTGAGAGAAAATGATAAAAGAACCATGAAAAATAACATCTACATGAGAAGGACCTTTATAGTCAAGCTTCACAAGAAGACTGGGAATCAAGTTGAAGGGTTGTTAGATAAATGAATATGAATTTTCTTAAATTATTTGTTTAAGAAATAGCTATCAAATTGCAAGGAAGGAAAGCCATAGGTTGAATGAAGAATACCTGATTTGTAGGCATATCTCAAGTTCTTTTGTGAGAATCCTAAATACTACATTTAATGCTATACCCTAAAGATTATCTTTTTTTTTTTTTTTTTTTGAGACGGAGTCTCGCTCTGTCACCCAGGCTAGAGTGCAGTGTTGCAATTTTGGCTCACTTCAAGCTCTGCCTCCCGAGTTCACGCCATTCTCCTGCCTCAGCCTCCCGAGTAGCTGGGACTACAGGCGCCCACCACCACGCCTGGCTAATTTTTTGTATTTTTAGTAGAGACGCGATTTCACCGTGTTAGCCAGGATGGTCTTGATCTCGACCTTGTGATCCGCCTGCCTCGGCCTCCCAAAATGCTGGGATTACAGGTGTGAGCCACCGGGCCCGGCCAAGATTATCTTTTTTCTATTTTTCTTTTGTATTCAGATTTTTAAATTTGCTTTCTCTCTTAAGTGCCTGTTTAAAAAGAAGTGATTGAAGAACATGAAGTAAAGTAAGAAATACACTGAATCACTGGAAGTTAAAGGTAAACTTAGGAAGCTGATAAACATATTGGTCAGGAAAATAAGGAATTCCAGAAAACCATCTCATTTTTGAGCTATAGTATTTCTTGATTTCAACCTTTATTATTATTATTTTTAAATATTGGCCTTATTTTCTTTGGTTTGGAAACTGATTTCACGAACTAATGTTTAAGTCCCCTTAAAAGTGTTTTATGTTTTAAAAAATAATACACATGAGACTGCAGTATTCTAACCTTATTCCAATCTGTATCTAATTTTTTAAGCATAAACAGTAGTAGTTTTTATAGCACAAAAACTTTGCCGTAAGTTTAACTCTGAAATGATCATTTTTTAAAGTTGTTGGATTCATTTTTTTTTTTTTTGGTGCAATTTTACCTAATTTGTTAATAGTAACTTCTGGGGGGTCGGGGGATGGGAAAGTGGTCTTATCATTAAACTATTTACATTTACCTAAATAAAATAGAAACTTATTTCTCCATCACATAACAGTGGTGGGATAGTCCAGTGGTAGAGTAGTTTGTAAGCTTTAAATTGGTTATTAAAATGAATAAGGTTGTTATAATTATGTTTTTATTTGGCAGAAACTAGCTGTCTAGTATAACAACTAGTTTCTCCAGGATTTGAATGCATTAAAATTAATTAAAACTAATAAAATGTTTGATTTTTGACAATATTTTAATTGAATGTTAGATTAACATGCAATACATATAGTAATTTATATTTTATTAGATTAAATATTTATCATTTTCAGGTAGATAACAGTACTCTAAGATGTCCTATTAGGATTCACTCTTCAGGTAAAAATGTTAATGGAAATATAATGTCCAAGTGTTAGACCATATTTTCCTTCCTCTAATAATTAGAATAAATTCATTCAGAATAGAAAGGAAGCAGTTAGTGGCCATGCTGTTATTTTTAAACATTTTACCATCTTTGTCAAGCAGATGGTTTATATATAAAGGCCTAAAAACTTTGGTATCTTACTTCAGGAACAATGCTTTAATGACTAAAGTATATTGGTAATTTTAAAGTATATGTAATGTGAATATTTATTATATTAATGTTTTTTAAATTTTAAAACTTTTTTATGCACAATGAAAACTTTTTTTTGAATGATCCTTAAAGAGATTGAGTATATAGTTATGATTCTCTGTGTGTGTGTTCATTTGCATGTGTGTGTTAAGAATAATTGAGTAATTGGTATTGAAAAAAGGTAATTTTGATAAAATTGAACTGAAAAGTTTTATCTGTATATATCAGCACAATTAATGAAATTTGCTAGTGATTGTCTCCCAAGCCGGGACTGTTTTTATTCACCTTTGTATCCCAAAGGCCAGCCCGGTATCTGTCTAATACAGAGTTCGTATTCACTTATGTTTACTGAATGAATTTCAACATCTTTTCTTATAAATTCTTATCTGTTACTATTTAGTTCAAGCTAAGATACCAAATTTGTTATATAAATCACTGAAAGTTTAAATGAATTTAAATGTTTCCAAATAGTTGTTAGGTTTGAATTATTCTGATTTTCTGCTGTGATAAGTAACCATTTGAATAAAAAATAAGATGTTTGAATTACAGCATAAAAATAAGATGTTTGAACTACAGCATAGTTTTTCTTTTAATACTTTTGTAATGTTATGTCCATTTTCTGAGCATAGAAAATATATTAATCTTCTATTTTAGTCAGCTTTCAAATATTTTGTTAATGTATTTGTACTCATCTTTATTTTTTACTTGTGGTCTTACACCCTCATAACTAAAGATATACACACTTTTTTTTTAGTATTACTAAAAAAGTTTCTAATACCTCCATTTTCTTAATACCTCCATTAGCCAGTTTTCAGTGTGTTTCTGTGTGTTTGTGTGTGTCTGTTCCTGTTTGCAGAACCAAAATTGCCATACCAAAGAGACCCAACAGTTACACTGGCTTAAATGAGGTAGAAGCTTATTTCTCCTTCACACAGTGGTGGTAGAGTAGTCCAGACTGTCAAAGTGGTTAACTTCAAACAAGGTTACCAGGTCTCAAGTTCTTTCTGCTCTGCATTCTCCTATGATCCAAATTTAAGAAAGGGAGGAAAGAACAGAAGTAATTTCCATTTCAGCACATAGTCAGTAGTTACACATTTTCACATTCCATTGGTTAGAACAAACTTGTCCAACCTGTGGCCCACATGCAGCCCAAGACGGCTTTGAATGTGGCCCAAGACAAATTCATAAAGTTTCTTAAAACATTATGAGATTTTTTTTTTTTTTTTTTGCTCATCAGCTATCCTTGATGCCAGTGTATTTTATGTGTGGCCCAAGACAATTCTTCTTCTTCCAGTGTGTCCCAGGGAAGCCAAAAGATTGGACCCCCCCTGGGTTAGAACTTTGTCCCATGGCTACCTATGGCTGCAAGGGAAGCCAGAAATGCAATCTCTCTATGAGTGGCCACTCATTCAGCTAAAACTCTTACTGTGAAGCAGGGGAAAATGGATTTCAGGTGACCACTAGTAGTTGCTATGACACATTTAAATTGTATCATGTTGTTTGATAGTACTGTCTCATTTGTACTAGGAGACAATTAAAGGATTAAGGGAAAGATGTAGTATTCCTGTTTTCCTGGAATGCACCTCCTGTGACAACCCTAATTAGGACCCCCAGTGAGAACATTGAATTGTAGGAAATGATAGTTGTGCTCAAGGCCCGGGTGACTCCTGCCCCATATGAGGACTTTCTCTTCATTATCAACCTTAACAAACTTCGGGTTGGAGGGGTTTATTAAAGAGAGATCAGGTTTCATACACGAGACATTTGTTTACCCATATTTAAACACATAGTTCTTTATATAAATGTTACTGTTATAGGTTGCTTCATTTTTCCTTTTAACAGCACTTTGGTGAAGTTATGATTCCTTTTGGTGAAGTCATGATGATACTTTTAGAATATTGTCCACTGTCTGCACTGTCTTAGATTAATGAAAGCAGGACGCATTAGAAGTTGTTTTTTTTTATGGTTTATGTAGTCTATCTTGAAATGAGAGTCTTTTCAGATTGAACATTGTGGAACTCTGTATTTTCCAAACACTGAGAAACTTCAAGTACTCATATATTGCTAATGGGAGTAAAAAGTATCAGTTCTTTGGAAAGCAGTTTATTAATAGTTATGAAAATTACTCTCATATATACACCCTTTAACATGACATTTTCATTTCAGCAGATATTTTTATATGTGAGATATGATGGATTTATAATATTACTTTTGCAACATTGTAATAGCAAGGATTAGAAACAACCTGAGGCCGGGTGTGGTGGCTCACGCCTGTAATCCCAACACTCTGGGAGGCCAAGGCGGGTGGATCACAAGATCAGGAATTTGAGACCAGCCTGGCCAACATGGTGAAACCCCGTGGCTACTAAAAATACAAAAATTAGCCGGGTGTGGTGGCGGATGCCTATAATCCCAGCTACTCGGGAAGCTGAACCAGGAGAATTGCTTGAACCCGGGAGGCAGAGGTTGCAGTGAGCTGAGGTTGCACCATTGCACTCCAGCTTGGGTGACAGAGCAAGACTCCATCTCAGTTAAAAAAAAAAAAAAAAAAAAAAAAAAAGAACCTGAATAACGACTAAGAATTGGTTAAATAAACAATTATACTTCCATAAAATGGAATACTATATAGCTATATAAAATGATGATAAAACTGTTTACTGAACTGAAAACTCTCTAAGATTTATTCTTATGTGAAAAAAGCAAACTGCAAAACAATATGTATAAGATGCCCTGTGTATAAAAAGAAGGGAATAAAATATATTCATGTTTATATCACATAAAATATCTCTAACAGAATTATTAATAAATATGGCTGAACAAAATTTTTTTTTTAGGAATAATGCTCTAAACTCCCTCTTAGGAATTTCAGTGTTATCCTTATTAATGTTATGTATATTTTGATATGGTAAAGGTTAAGACAAAAATTGTGGGATGTTTATTTTAGAAAAATACATTATTGCTTAGTCCAATTCTCTCTTAAGCAAAAGCTGTCTTCTACAGTATCCCCACAAATTGGATATTTCTCATGTCTGAACACTGCTATTGATAGGGACTTGATTAACTTATCAGGTAGGCGGTTTTGTTCATTTAATTCCAAAAAGAAAGCCCAAAGAAAATCTGTCTAAGGTAGGACACAATCTGGTAACTGGATATTACTAGCCTAGAGGTACTCAAAATTCAAATTGCTTCCTTGAAATAAGGGGTCAGATTGTTATGAGGAATGTGAGTGTGAAGAGAGTTCATGTTCCTACTTGAGCCAGTGTATTCCGTTGCTAAGTAGTGTTAGAATTCATTTTCATTTTCTTTCTTTCTTTCTTTTTCTTTTTTTTTTTTTTTTGAGACAGAGTCTCACTCTTGCCCAGGCTGGAGTGCAGTGGCAAGATCTTGGCTCAGTGGAACCTCTGCCTCCTGGATTCAAGCAATTCTTGTGTCCCAGCCTCCCAAGTAGCTGGGACTACGGGCACCTGCCACCATGTCTGGCTAATTTTTTTACTTTTAGTAGAGATGGGGTTTCACCATTTTGGCCAGGCTGATCTCGAACTCCTGACCTCAGGTGATCTGCCCCTCTTGGCCTCCCAAAGTGCTGGGATTACAGGTGTGAGCCACTGTGCCTGGTCAGAATTCATTTTCATATAAGGCTAAAATATACCCAGATTTACCTCTTCCCTGACTTATATGTATTGGATCATAACTATATTCTTTTTTTTTTTTTTTTTGAGACGGAGTCTCACTCTTGTCACCCAGGCTGGAGTGCAGTGGCGCGATCTAGGCTCACTGCAGTCTCCGCCTCCCGGGTTCAAGCTGTTCTCCTGCCTTAGCCTTCCGAGTAGCTGGGATTACAGGCACCCACCACCATGCCTGGCTAAATTTTGTACTTGTAGTAGTGACGGGGTTTCACCATGTTGGCCAGGCTGGTTTCGAAGTCCTGATCTCAGGTGATCCGCCCGCCCTGGCCTCCCAAAGTGCTGGGATTACAGGCGTGAGCCACCGTGCCCGGCCTAACTATATTCTGTGACCATTATTTAAATAAAAGCCTTTAAGTTATTTGAGAAAGAGACAGGATAAAGGTTCTTTGTTCTTTTGGCTATCCTTCATAGGATATAATTTCCTTTATAATACTGCTTGATCATACTACTTCTCCTCTGGACATCATTTATTAGAAATGTGGTATGTAGAAGCAAACACCAGTCTCCAGACAGGGTCTTTTTTTTTTTGAGACAGTCTCGCTCTGTCGCCCAGGCTGTAGTGCAGTGGTGTGATCTCGGCTCACTGCAACCTCAGCCTCCCGGGTTCAAGCGGTTCTTCTGCGTCAGCCTCCGGAATAACTGGGACTACAGGCGTGTGCCACCACGGCTGGCTAATTTTTTTTTTTTTCTTTTTTTTGAGATGGAGTCTCGCTCTGTCTCCCAGACTGGAGTGCAGTGGCGGGATCTCAGCTCACTGCTAGCTCTGCCTCCTGGGTTCACGCCATTCTCCTGCCTCAGCCTCCCGAGTAGCTGGGACTACAGGTACCCGCCACCAAGTCCAGTTAATTTTTTCTGTTTTTTCAGTAGAGACGGGGTTTCACCGTGTTAGCCAGGATGGTCTCTATCTCTTGACGTCGTGATCCGCCCGCCTTGGCCCCACAAAATGCTGGGATTACAGGCATGAGCCACCGTGCCTGGCCCTGAATATTTTAAGGATAGTGAAGCTCTCACCTGGTTTGTGTTAAATGGAGGTTTGTGTATGTGTGTGTGTGTTTTAATTCTAAGACATATCAGTTCCTTTGGTATCTAAGACACATTGTTGTCTCATTTTGAATTTGAGGTTCATCAGAGTATGTAGATATTTTTCATATGAACCACTATTTTTTTTACACAAACTGCTATTATATTGTCTCTACAATTACCATCTTTATAGTACTTTGAAAGTTTTTTTTTAAAGTATTCTTGTATTTCTCATTTACTTAACACCGAAAAATTAAATTTTTTAAAAGCAGAAAGAAAATTCTAAATTGTACTCAGTTAGTTACAGTGTTCTTAACACTACTATATATCCATACAGGAATTTCCACCAACAGTGTATAATTCCCTTTTCTCCACAACCTTGCCAGCATCTGTTATTTTCTCACTTTTAAGAATAACCATTCTGAGTGGTGTGAGATGGTATCTCATTGTGGGTTTGATTTGCATCTCTTTGATGATTAGTGATATGGAGCACTTTTTCATATGTGTGTTGGCTATTTCTATATCTTCTTTTGAGAAGTTCCTCTTCACGTTCTTTGCCTACTTTTTTAATGGGGTTATTTGGTTTTTGCTTGTTGATTTGTTAATATTCCTGAGAGATTCTGGATAATTGTCCTTTGTCGCATGCATAGCTTGAAAATATTTTCTCCCATTCTGTAGGTTGTCTGTTTACTCCATTGATAGTTTCTTTTATTGTGCAGAAGCTGTCAATTTTTGTTTTAGTTGCATTTGCTTTTGAAGTCTTAGTCATAAATTCTTTGACTAGATCAATGTCTAGAATGGTATTTCCTAGGTCTCCTTCTGGGACTTTTATAGTTTGAGATCTTACATTTAAGTCTCTAATCCTTCCTCAGTTAGTTTTTGTATATCTTAACTGGTAGGAGTCCAGTTTCATTCTTCTGCAGCCAGTTTTCCCATCACCGTTTATTGAATAGGGTATCCTTTTCCTATTGTTTATTTTTGTCAACTTAATTGAAGACCAGTTGGTTGTAGGTGTGCAGCTTTATTTCAGGGATCTCTGAATTTATTTCAGGGTGTCTGCATTTTAAATGAAAAGTATTCTACTGTATAGATGCTCCATCATTAATTGATTCTGTAATTTGTTTTAATGCTTCCTTTTTGTTGGACATTTTGGTTGTTTTCAATTTGGGCTATTATAAATAAGTCAGAGGAATGCTTTCATACATCCTTAGTTATTTTTATTTTTTTTCTTATGAAGAATTCCTAGAAGTAGGATTGGTAGGTCAAAGGGCAGGTATATTTTAAAATCTTTTCAGAGAAAGTTCCCAAGTGCCCTCCAGCAGTGCTCCTATCTGCAGTGTCTATTAATTTGATGGTTAAAACATGATAGGTTATTATTTTTCATTTCTGTTTTCAAAATTGACTTTTATAATTGTAACTTAAGGTTAAAACCTTACTTTTTTTTTTTATATTTCAACCTATAAATATAAGTTTTTCTGTAAATCCCTTTGGGTCCTTTAAAATTACTCTGTCTTCTAAAAGAAACATTGTAACTCCAAGATGTATGCAGTTTGTAAGCCTATGTAGTTATAAGCCTCCTATGTCCTCATCCAGTTCATTGATAACAATGTTATAAACAGTTTGAGTCCAAATATAGAATCCTCACGCATGGTACTAGAAACAGTTACTCCACATTGATAAAGATCTTCTAATAAATTAGAGTCTTGGGCAACTGTTTAGTCTGTTTTGAAACTACCTGATTGAGAGGTGATCCAGCCTATTGTTTTCTATTTTTTTCTACAAAAATTCCATGAGACTATCAATTTTTTTTAAGAGATTTTATATTAATTGGTATGCATAGTGGTTATAAAAATAAGGCCTCTGCAAATAGAGAGTACTGGGTTTGAATCCTAGCCCCATAATTGACTAACCCCATAAACTTGGGCAGGTTGCTTTAACTTTGTATGCCCCAGTATCCTCATCTTTAAAATTCCAATAATATTTTTTCTCATAACATTATTATGAGGATTAAATAAAAAATATGTAATTCTTGGCATAAAGTTGTGTTCAATGAGTGTTGGCTATTCCTGTCAATAACTTTGGGTGTCCAAATGTTACAGGTTAGTAATTTTAATAAAAAATTAAATTAAAATATGGCATGACCTTTTAATGAACTGATGATAGCTGTATCAGTGCTTCCTTTTATATGATCTCACAAATCATCTAAATAATAATTTTTAAAAGAATGTGTTCTACAGATTTTCTAGGAAATTACATGACTGTCTCCATTCTCTATTTTCTATACTCCTTGAGAAGCAAGATTTATTTTTCCATGTCATCCTTCTGTCATAGTCAGTGATCATATCTGTACTTCATCAGAAAATTCTGGGTTATAATTTGTCTAGGACTGAGGAGTTATAATTATTCATGTAAGACAGACATGTACACTTTCTTTCCATCTATCTTAGGCTTCAGTTGGCTCTTAGCTATGTTTACTATACCTTTTCCAGTTTAAGGATCATTCTCCTTGATAGAACTAAATAGGAATTGAGTAGTTCCACTTTCTCTGTCATTTGGTTCTATTCATTCAGCAAGCATTTATTGAACAGCTAAGTTTATGGCACTGCCATGAGTGCTTGAAGAAAGATGGCCCTGGGAACAGTACTTGTCTTCAGAAAGTACCAATATGAGTGTGAGTGTATGTGTGTTGGTGACAGTGTGTAGGGGGAATTGGTGAGTGTCAACAAAAGAGGGAGGGATCACAAAATTCCATTTACAACATTTCCCTTTGTTTTAAAATACCAAGATCACTTTGTGTCTTTGCTTTACTATGTTATTTCATCAAGTGTGAGGACAAAATTATTGCTCTCAAATTTGTTTCCTGATTAATTACTATTACTGTAATTTTATTTTTTTGTTGTCATTGTCATACATATTTTTTTCATCATCTGGAATTTTAATTTTACAGTCAAATTTGAGTATTAAATTACTTTGCTAGTATCTTGCTGGCTGTAATAGTCTCAGTCCACACCACTAGGCCTAAGTTGCCTCTCACTGTGGACTGAATCCCAAGTGTTGTTCAGAACCACATGTTGCACTTTGTAGAAACATGTCACAACCAGCTTTTTCTTTGCCATATTTGTGTTTATTGTGCAGTATCATTACGTTCAATGAGTAGGAGATACGAAAATATCACCTAGGTTATATTATCCTATAATTTTCTATATATGACTTCGTAGATTTCTTCTGACAGAAGCATTTGTTGATGTGGTATAGTAAAGAGGGAATAATGTTTGGAAGAAGATAAATTTGTGTTTAAACCCTGATACGTCTTCCAGTTACCAGTGTAATTTTTCCTGTTCCTTGAAAATCTTCAAACCAAAATTTTCATATTTGTAAGATGGGCTAATAATACTTGTCTCAGTGAATGTTAGTTATCTCTTTTTTATCCCCAACTCCTCCCTGCCCTCCCTGCCAACCTGGATCAATAGACCTGGTTACTGTTTGAGGATTATTAAGTTTTGAAAACCTCTGTGACAATCATAGATGATCTGCTCCAAGAAAATACGACTTTTTGCTTAACTACATCAACCCTACAAAGGATCGTGTATCTCCATACTCACTTTTCAGTGTCAAGAGCCACCATCACATTTTCATCTTCCTCTGGCTAATAATAGGAATCACCTGACCTTAAAAACTTCCTTCCTGTGAATGCCCCTTATTTTTCTATGTTAATGGAATTTGGTTTCAAACTTGAAAGACTTGCCTTTCCCTTTCATGATTACTGTTTACTTGTCAACCAGTTGTTCTTATTAAAAAGATATAATATGCCTAAACATATTTAAGAGTCTTATATATTAAATTCATAATCAAGAGATTGCCTTACCTATTGAGAATATGAAAGTTGGAAGGTCTTTTTTTTCATAGGGAGAGGAAGAGGAGAGAGATGGTGACAATATTGACTTTGGACTAAAAAATATATGTTCATTTGTTATGGATTTCACTATTTGATTAGATGTTATTTGAAATGAAGAATGTTTTCCTGATAAATTCGTATTTTGAGGCTGTATTAGTCCATTCTTGCGCTGCTATGAAGAAATACCCAGGACTGGTTAATTTATAAAGAAAAGAGGTTTAACTGATTCACAGTTCTGTGTGGCTGGGGAGGCCTCAGGAAACTTATAATCATGGTGAAAGGCACCTCGTCACAGGGTGGCAGGAGAGAGAATGAGTGCCAGCAGGGGAAATGCCAGATGCTTATGAAACCATCAGATCTTGTGAGAACTCACTCTGATTCAGTTACCTCTTATGGGGTTCCTCCCATGACACGTGGGGATTATGGTATTACAATTCAAGATAAGATTTGGATGGGGTCACAAAGCCAAACCATATCAGAGGCCAATATAAAATAGCATCTCATCTTTTCACTATTCAGCTTAATGAAAATTACACATGCTCTCTAAATAATGCCTTACTGAATTTAACATATTTCTACTGAAAATTTCCTCAGGCCATCGATTCACAAATTTTGATGAACAAAGTTGAAATTAAGATTCCTTTGAAAACACTGAATGTAGTCATAATGTTTCGGAGTTTGAAATTTAGGGTCTCCAATTTTCATTTATGAATGAAACATTCTCATGTCATAATAGAGATGAGAGTTTTTCAATGAAGAACTAAGTATGTGTTAGTTAATGAAGAATGAGAATTAAAGTATATTTTGTCAGTGTGATTTTTGTCATTACTGAAAGTGTAAACTAACCTTAACTATAAGGGGAGTTACTTGAAAATCAGTAATATTTACATAGTAATTGGTAAGAAGAGAGTTTATGAAATCTGTACTTTTTTGTTGTGTGTTTCTTGTAAAATTCTCCTGTTACCACTTAACTTTTCTCATTACTTGGAAGAACCTTCCACCTTCTTGTGTTTAAAACGTCTTTCTTCTCATGGGGCTTTCTGTTAGCCTTGCCATAATTTAGTTCATTTTAGTAAATGCTTTTTGAGCTTAGTGTTAGACACTGTGCTAACCATGTGGGATATGCAGTATATTTAAATCTCAGAGCAGGTAAAGCAATTGAGAATTTTGTTATTAGAAAGAAATTATTAAGTGCCTAGCAGTTTATTCCATCATATTGGTGCAACACAGAGTGTTAACAGGCAAATTCTCTTGTTAGTCATTCTTAATCTGATATAGACATTGCCCTTAGGATAGATAAGATGTGATTATATATAATAATATAAAGCTATTTTCAAGGAGACAACTCAGATTTGTGAGGAGGGAGATAATCTTTGATAAATGGTGTCTGGAATTTTTCTTAGGCAGAAGAAAATCATTTAGATTCTTACCTAAATGATTAGAGAAAAATAGGTCCCAACTGGAAATAGTAAAATAAAAAATCAAGCCACTGGTAAATTAGAAAAAAAAATTGATATTACCAAATATATGGAAAGAAAAGGAATTTCAAAGTCTAAAAGAAAGGGAACCGGTCATTAAGGAAAAGATGAACTGACTTGATTAAATAAAAATAATTCTTTACGTAAAATAATTAAAAGTGAAAGAAAAAACTATTTGTAGAAAACAAAATGGACAATACTGATGTTGCATCATACTTAGAATACATTTCAGAGAAGATATTAGATTACTCAATGATTAAGATGTATAAGGGATGACCATAAAAATAATGAGTTTAATTTTATATAATTGTGTAATTTTTTTTTTAGTTTCATAGAAATATATTCATAGGAACTAAAGTTAGAATAGTTTATGAAAACACTAAATTTCTAATTAATCTTGCAAACTGTAACGTGTAAGAATCACATACTCTGAAATTCCACCATTAATCAAGCACTCATTCATTCTGCAGATATTATTTGAAGATTTAATATATATCAGACACAGTAGTAACTGCTAAAATGATGACTGTGAATAATAAAAGAGCTTTTTCTCAAGGGATTCAAGTTTAGGAATAAAACACGACTTCTTCCTTTGTCCTCTTCGCTTCTTTTGGTGAGTCTAGTCCACCAATATATGGTGTGTCTGTCCATACAAAACACATTTAATGAGTTCCTAGAATGTATTGGGCCTTGTGGTAGTTGTGGGGATATTAAGAAAAAAAATGAAATTCTGTCATTAAGGAATTCAGTCAAGGAGATGAACAAAGGAAACTGTAGTTAAAAGATACAAGGGATAAGTGCCATTCAGAGAATAGATATCTCTAGATTTATGAGGGGAAAACATAACACTGTATTAGATCTTAAAAATTAACACTAAAATATTAATGCATTTTATTCAAACTTTACATTCTAAACACAACTTAAAATGTTGTTGTTGTTTCCAAATGTAATATCTAATGAATGAAATAATCAGAGAATCAAATATTTGTGAGAATAACATCATAACTTGTCAAAGACCCCATGAAAATTTATTAATGTGTAATCAGATTTTGCTAAATATCTGTCCTTGTAATTTGTTAATGGTTATTTAAAGGCTGAAAACAGAGCAGTAGTCTTTTTTTTTTTTTCATTTTGACGGACAGAATTGTTATTGATAGAATAAAGTGTTTGCAGGGGAGAGGAATAAACTATCAAAGAACTTTATAGATCAGTTATGATATGTTCCTGTGTTGTGCTGTTATTTTTGTTTGACAGTGTTATTTATTTGTCCTGTGGTGTTTTACTCTTCTCGTTTTCAGCCTTCCTCTCTTTTCTTTAGTTTTCTAGTTAATTTGATCTCTCCTCTTATATTTCCTTATAGTGTCCAAATTTTTTCAATGCTTATTCAAATGGCTTATTCATTTTTGCACTTAAAATAATTTTTCCTAAGTATATGTAAATACTCAGAAATAGGTACAATTCTTACAGTACACTTGTGTGCTATATAAACTTTGAAATACTGTATACATCTTTCATGTTATAGAAATGCTAAGGTTAATTTTTAAATGATAGCTAAAAATGCTCAGAAATGGATTAATTCTAATAAAGTCCCTACCTACCCGTCAGTGTCGATGTTTATCCATTACATTTATTTTTTCTTTCTTATCAGAGGATATGTAGTTATGCATTGGCTTAAGTGATTTCAGGCACTATATCCAATTGAACTTTTGTGCAACAAATCAAAGTATTTTAAATGAGAATTTCTGAGGACTTATGGAGAAAACTCTAAATATCTAAGGGAAGTGCGAAAGATTCAGGGACTAGACATTTTTTGAGGTAGGTCTCTAAATGTTTCCTGTTGAAATTGACCCCTAATGACTTGTAATTACTATTAAAATCTATGAAAATTAAAGAAAAGCCAGGTGAGATCGCACCATTGCACTCCAGCCTGGGCAACAAGTGTGAAACTCTGTCTCAAAAAAAAAGAAAATTAAAGGAAAAAAATAAACAGAAAAATCATCTATACACATTAGATTTGTTTTGAAATGTGCATAAAATCTTGAATTTATGAAATAGTTTTCCTTGTGACCATTTTGTCCTATAACTAGAGTTTAGGCCAAATATCATTTGCTATAGAGCTAGGGTTAGAATCTCATTCTTATGATTCCTAGTCCTGAGTTCTTTCCACACTTTTATCCAATTCTGTTTTTAATAGTATGAAAGCATAAAACTGGATGGAATAAAACCACGTGGCAGAGGTAGGAAATGAAAATAAAATCCATACCTAACATATGCATCCCAGTGGAGCTTGTGTAGGAACTTTGAGTCACTTTAAACAGCCACTTGCTATAGGTGTACACTTAGAGACTGACAACTTAGAATCACAAAACATCATGTTGGGTGAAAGTAAGGGGCAGTGATTTGCATTAAGTTGCTGCCTAAATTGGTTAATTGGCGTTCTACAGAACTCCCTTGTTTAATTTGTTTTTGAAATAATAACACACCATTAAAAATCATGCTTCTGGAGTAGGAATTTGCATGCTGTAGCTTAGCTGTTCAGTTCTTATTATCAGGAATAAATCTGCAAGTGCCCTAGGGCAAAAATTACCCACACATAGATTTCCTCTGGGGAAGGATTAAAACTGGGAAGTCAGTGAGTTAAGCAGAATTAGCTTCTTGGTTTACAGATATCATACATAGGTGAATAATTGTCCTAAGCAACTATACAAGTACTATTCTTTCAATGTTAGCCATGAGTATTTCTATGGGAACTGTTAACAACTGTAGTGCAAAGAGTGAAAACAAAAAGTTGTTTCATAGATTAATGGAGAAAAGTCATTGGTTGTATCCATGAAGGAAGAGTATAATAGGGAATTGAGTGGCACTACATTTAGTCAAAAAGAAAAATACCAATACTCAGTTGTTGGTTTTTTAAGGTAACATATGGCTTATCATTTTCCATTTTACGTGTGATCCAATTATGATACAAAATTTAAAATTACTTTTAACAATATATTTTACAAATACTGACTGGTTGTGTTTTTAGAAACTTACGACTGATTTAGAAGGAAATATTTGTCTCATATTTTGGTTGTATCTTCTGCTATGTTTTTGTTTATAGGAATATATAGTTGTAAGATTTATGGTAGTTTAAATTTACCATCTAGATAACAAGACTTTCACCTAGTGACAGCCTCTAACAATGTTTCTGAGAGTTTAAGAATTACAAGACAGTGCTATCTTACATATTGTGCAAATACACAAATACCTAGAAACTATTTGCTATTTATATGCATGATGTATATATAGATAAAATAATGTTTATGATATAACTTGTTTAAACTATGGAAAATGAGTCAGTATTAGAAATCAGATTTAATTTTGGAATTTCTCCCCCTAATTCTATAAAAATATAGTACTCATTGATAGCCTCAATAGAATATATTAACAGATATGTACTAGATATCAGTTGGAAAATATATTCAATGGCAGTATTTATGGGTAATTAACAATGAATATATTTTTCTATATTTTAAAACATATTTTGATATTTTTTACCTAGATACCATGTTTTTTGTATGTCCAGTTTTTGTTTTGTTTTGTTTTTTGAGACAGAACCTTGTTCTGTCACCCAGGCTAGAGTGCAGTGGCAGGATCTTGGCTCACTTCAATCTCTGCCTTCTCTGCTCAAGTGATTCTTGTGCCTCAGCCTCCTGAGAAACTGGGATTACAAGTTTGTGCCACCACACCCAGCTAATTTGTGTTTTAGTAGAGACAAGGTTTTGCCATGCTGGCTAGGCTGGTCTTGAACTCCTGACCTCAAGCAATCCACCTGCCTCAACCTCCCAAAGTGTTGGGATCACAGGCGTGAGCCACCATGCCCAGCCTCAAATTCTTTATGTACTGCGTTCCTCAGCTTTCCAGGCTTTACTGCCTTACATACTCTCTACACTTGTACTGAAAAATATTTTATAAAGATATTTATACTAAGATGAAACAAATTTATGATACATTTCGTCATCTTATAGTCATATTTTGAATGCTCATACATGTGGGGTGATAGAAGTATTGAGATAGTACAAAGTTGACTAAGATTTAATCGAAGTTTAATGTTTTATTCCCTCCTAGCCTCAACTCTAAATGAATGACTAATTCTCAAACATTTTGACAATAATATTTACTGAGTACTTAATTTGAGTCAAGTAATATGCTAAGTATTATCCTATTTATTCACTAAAATAGGGTTATAAGAGAACATCATTATCACTATTTTTCATATAAGAAAACTGAAGCTTAGGGGGTTGAGTACATTTACTGAAGATCTCATAAATGAGCTTGAAAGTCAGAATTTGGCCAGGCAGTTTGACTCTATAATCCATACCTCTTATCCATTATGCACAACAGCTTTAGAAAATCTTTTTGAGGGGCAGGCGGGTGCAGGTTGGGGATAAGGATGGTCTATCTAACACTTCCTAAATGCCTCATTAAGTCTACTGACTAGTATATGCGATTGTATTTTCTAGCATAAAGTTATTTAGTTCTAGTAACCAAGTGTAAGCTAGCTGGTTCCTTTCTTTCCGGCTCTGTAGATTATGGTGGTTAAACAGTTTTTCCATTAACTGCCTACTATGTGTTTACCTTTGTGTTATTTATTGTGGAAGATATAGGTATGTAGAAGAATCAGGTGTTTTTTTTTCTCAAATAGTTTATAAAATTAAAAACGATGAAACATGATAGTACATTGGTGAATTATCTTGAGAATGGTTTATCTTGGGAATGGTGAATTATCTTGGGAATCAAAGAAGTTTATGACAGAATTTTTAAAAATGACATTTTAATAGAATGAGATAAGACATGGTAATATGTGAGTTTTGAAAAGAAATTCACTCACTAATTAATTTTTGTAACAACATAAAACCAGTTAGTAAAGAACTGAGTCTAAATAGAAATAAAGGCGTGTGGCTTGCCTTTACAGATTTAGGGTTTATTGTTTCTTCCTATTCTTCACCTAAAAAATAGCAAGGAAGAGAGGATGAGAGAATGAGGTCCAAGGTAAGGGAGAAACAAGCAAACGCTAAACAGAGCCTCTGCCATTGAAAAATACATTTGTCTGCCTGAGCATGAAGTGATATCAGAGAAGACTCCTCATGGGAGTTGGTGGTAGAAATCTGCTGTAGAATTGCCTTGATGTGCGTTTCTTGAGACCATTATGTTGAGTATAGCTATGAATTGGGATATCAATAGACAGATATTTAGCTTTAAGTGGCAGTTCTTTTTCACTCTTGGAATGGTCCCACCCTACCCACCTGCTTCAAAAGGCTACTCTTTCTTCCTTTTTCTGTTTTTTTGGTGTCCCTGCCTTTATAGAAGCTTTTATTTAATACTATATATGATTTTACTCTAGGAATATGTACATCTCCAAAATATACTTAGAATATATTTATGTTAGTATCCCCTGTCATCTCTGATGGTTTCTCACATCTCTCTCCACTATCACCTTACATTTTTATTAATCATATACATTCTTAATATGTTATTCCTTACTCTTCACAGTTAATAATCTAAACCTATTATCAGCTAAGAAAATGTGGATTGTTGATAGTAAAAGTGAGAGGAGCAAACAGAATTTTTATAGTGGGGCTTTACATGGTGGTAGAATAGAAGAGGTTCCAGTTAGGTATCAGGATTGTGAGAGCCAGGCAATTCCAACTAAAGTAGATGCCCATTATTTGAATCTTGAAGTTGAGTAGATAAGGACTCCTTGTACATACAGGTCCGACAGGTCATAAATTAATGCCAGAAGGAGGTCAGGGTCTGAGATGGGCAGATAGGAGAGTCAATATTGATCATCAGCTATAAGGACACTAGAAGATGATACCAATCCTGGGTCCAGATTATTCTCCAGCCAGTGAGCCTATAAGAAAATCAGTTAATTAATTACAACTTGTTTGGAGATTGACTTATCGCATAAAATTGAAGGTAGATTCTGGCTAGCATGAGCAAAAGGCAGATAGAAGGAAGAGATTATAGGGAAGTTTAGTAGGTAAACTTGGCTGGAGTGGAGAAATGGTGTTCAGGAGTAGAGGAGTGCAATAGCATTAGCACTATAATTCTAACTGCTAGAGATAATTGGATGTTAAGATTCTTGGATAGGTAATGTGAAGCCGCCATATATTCCTGAGGTGAGAAAGAGTAACATGAGGGGCATTCATAAAGGTGAATAAGAGTGAAGACATCCTAAGCCAACTTGGAGGTTGTGTCACATATGGTTCTAAGTTGCAAGCAACAGAAATCACTTCTGACTGATTTAAGGGGAAGAGTGTTTACATAAGAAATGCTAGATAGCTCACAAAATTGCCACGAGGTTTAGAGGCAACAGATTCAAGTCTACACAGCCAAATTACACTACCTAAATGGACTGTGGAAGATACCACTGCCATTGATGCCTGCGTTGGGGGCCCCTAAGACCACACCCAGTTTTGATGACTTGCTAGGAGGAATTACAGGACTCAACATATAGTTGTATTCATGGCTATGATTTATTATAGTGGAAGGATACCAAACAAAATCAGCAAAGGGAAAAGGTACATGGAACAATGATTGGGAGAAACCCAGTGCAAGTTTCCAAGAGTCTTCCACTAGTGAAGTCACAGATGGTGCTTTTAATTTCTCTTATAATGAGTTTTGACAATAGAGGTGAAATGTTATCTACCAAGGAAGATCATTAGAGACTCAGTACCCAGGTTTTTATTGGGGGCTGGTCATGTCAGCATCCTCTGGCCAGGTGCATCCCAAAATTCCAGACTCTTAGAAGGAAAACGGGTATTTAGCATAAATTATGTTGTGTGTACACACAATGTAGGTACAGTGAGTTATTAGGGAATGGGGGAACCCTTCCAAGATCTGTGTTCCTAGATACCAGCCAAGGTCTGACTTCATAGGCAGACCTTTTTAAGGGTATCAGTCTCATACCTGCTATATTAACTCTTTTCTGTCCAACACCTAATGCAGTTCTTATTCTGTGAACACAGATGGCATTGCTGCTGTTACCCCAGAAACTTTATTTCCTGACCTCTCTGCTGCCAACAGTGTTCCTGGTTGGGCCCCCTAATTCTGGGAAAATGTGTCTGATTGATGAAGCTTAGGTTATGTGCCACACCCTTACTGCAGAAAGGCCCAGCAAGTGAGTTCCTGACATTTTCGGCTTGAGAAAAAGGTGAATTCTGCTCTCGCCAAGACTCATGAGAGAAGAGTTTCCTAATCAGAGGAAGGGGGTTCAGGTGCTGAGCACTGAAAATATTATGAATGCCCACTGCAGAGGCTCTTGCTGCTGCACAGTTAGAAAGAAGTAAAGTACTGCTTCATTTTACTTTTAATTATTGATGCTAAAGAACTTAATTCAAGCATAATATGAACATGTTCCTTATTGAGCCAGCAGTCCAGATCTGGTTTATAGATTTTTGTTTCATTTTTCCAGTATTTAAAACACAAACAAAACTGGATTTAAAGTCTTGAACTAGCACATGCACTGTTCATTTCACCACTCTCCCCTCCCAACCCCTCTGTCTTATTCCTTTTGCCAAGAGCTTCATAGATACCACAGCTCCATCTGGCCCTGGATATATTTGAATTGATTATCCTTTGACTAAACCAATCATTTTCAACTTTGATTGTCTGAGACATATGTGACATATAACACTCATATATGGAACACATGTTCATGCTCGCCTTCAGATTAATGGCTGTAGCATTATAAGATAAGCTTTGTGTTATGCTAGTCATATCACTACCTCTTTCTTTCCCACTCAAGAAATCATAAGGCGTGATCAAGAGTGATGTGTTAAAGTGATAATTTGTCAACCATTTAAAATATTTGTGCTTTATTATTAGCAACATTAGATTGTGTTACTCCTTGTGACTGGTGGAGATACATCCAGTGTTTCTCCAACCCCTCCTTGAGTAAAAACAACTGGTCTGACTTTAGGCCACAGTTACCAGTTACCCTGGTAACTAAGGGTAGAAGGTTAGTGGCAATGAAAATAATTATATATGTGTATTAGTCCATTTTAACAATGCTATGAAGAAATACCCAACACGGGGTAACTTACAAAGGAAAGAGGCTTAATTGACTCACAGTTCCACATTGCTAGGGAGGCCTCAGGAAACTTACAATCATGGTGAAAGGTGAAGAGTAGCAAGTCACCTTCTTCACAAGGTGACAGGAAGGAGAAGTGCTGAGTGAAGGGGGAAAGAGTCCCTTATAAGACCATCACATCTCGTGAGAATTCACTATTATGAGAACAGCATGGGGAAACCACTCCCAGGATTCAGTTACCTCCATCTGTTCTCTCCCTTGACACATGAGGATTATGGGGATTATGGGGATTATGAGGTTTACAATTCAAGATGAGATTTGGATGGGGACACAAAGCCTAACCATATCATTGTGCAAAGTAAGTATCCCTTAAATATAAAATCACAAAAGTAAGGAATAAAGTATAATCAGAATGTAAAGTAACTTCCAGATAACTAAGGATCAGCCTTCTTTGGCAGCCTCAACCATCTGAAATAATGTAAATCTTAACTCGAATACTTAAGTTGGAATTTAAAAAGGAGAATGAGGAGAAAAGTGAATGAAGCAAAAGGCTCTGAGCAAAAAATACATGAAAATAGATGGACTGATTTGTTCATCAAAAGACAAGAAGCACTTTCTGTTTAGGCAGAGGCTATAAAAGCCCAGGTGTAGTAGTATAAAAGCAAAAAATATCAGTAAAAATAATAGGACAAGAAGGTACCTGAGACTAGAAAAAAACAATAAAGACATTTTTGGTAATAGAGCTATGTACCTCAGAGATAATAGCCAGTAGAACAGGCTACAGATGTTTGGCATGGCATGATTTCTCTGAGCCTCAGTTTTCTATTCTTACAAAGAGAGTAACGATTGTCACAGACTGCAAAGAGAAAAATACATGAGATGACGGATTTAATGTGTCGAGTGTGATTTACATTATGGTATAGCTCCTATAGGCAGTATTTGCTGACGGATTTAATGTGTCGAGTGTGATTTACATTATGGTATAGCTCCTATAGGCAGTATTTGCTGACGGATTTAATGTGTCGAGTGTGATTTACATTATGGTATAGCTCCTATAGGCAGTATTTGCTGACGGATTTAATGTGTCGAGTGTGTTTTGCATTATGGTATAGCTCCTATAGGCAGTATTTGCTGACGGATTTAATGTGTCGAGTGTGATTTACATTATGGTATAGCTCCTATAGGCAGTATTTGCTGACGGATTTAATGTGTCGAGTGTGATTTGCATTATGGTATAGCTCCTATAGGCAGTATTTGCTGACGGATTTAATGTGTCGAGTGTGATTTGCATTATGGTATAGCTCCTATAGGCAGTATTTGCTGACGGATTTAATGTGTCGAGTGTGATTTGCATTATGGTATAGCTCCTATAGGCAGTATTTGCTGACGGATTTAATGTGTCGAGTGTGATTTACATTATGGTATAGCTCCTATAGGCAGTATTTGCTGACGGATTTAATGTGTCGAGTGTGATTTACATTATGGTATAGCTCCTATAGGCAGTATTTGCTGACGGATTTAATGTGTCGAGTGTGATTTACATTATGGTATAGCTCCTATAGGCAGTATTTGCTGATGGATTTAATGTGTCGAGTGTGATTTACATTATGGTATAGCTCCTATAGGCAGTATTTGCTGACGGATTTAATGTGTCGAGTGTGATTTACATTATGGTATAGCTCCTATAGGCAGTATTTGCTTAGCCGGTAGTTGTGTCATTTATTATTGTAAAGAGTAGAAATGAATATTCTAACATTAGGACATTGCAATGGAGCCGTAAATAATTGGGGTCCCAAAAATATAGAACACAGTTCTCCATTATAATATACCCTTTCATATTTAAAGAATTAATCAAGTATACAATTGGCCTTCCATAGCCACAGGTTCTGCATCTTTGTATTCATTCAATAGTGAATCAAAAATATTCAGAGGAAAAATAATAAAAAATAATATAAACCTAAAAATGAAGTATAGCAACTATTCACTTAGCATTTACATTGCATGAGGTATTATAAGTAATCTACTGATGATTTAAAGTATATGGGAGGATGTGCATAGGTTCTATGCAAATACTATGCAAGTTTTTAAAAACCTTCAAGTTTAGGGGTACATGTACAGGTTTGTTATATAGGTAAACTTGTGTCATGGGGGTTTGTTTTACAGATTATTTTGTCACCCAGGTATTAAGCCTAGTACCCATTATTTTTTTTTTCGAATCTTCCTCCTCCACCCACCCCCCTCTCTCTGATAGGCCCCAGTGTGTGTTGTTTCCCTCTATGTGTTCATATGTTCTCATCATTTAGTTCCCACTTATAAATGAGAATATGAGATATTTGGTTTTCTGTTCCTGCATTAGTTTGTTAAAGATAATGATCTCCAGCTCCATTCATTTTCCTGCAAAGGACATGATCTTGTTATTTTTCATGGCTGCATAGCATTTCATGGTGTATATATACTACATTTTATTTATCCAGTCTACCATTGGTGGTCACTTATTTTGATTCTATGTCTTTTGCTATTGTGAATAGTGCTGTAGTGAACAAATGCATGCATGTGTTCATGAAATAATGCTGTAATAAACATATGCATGCCCGTTCCTGTGTCTAGAATGGTATTGCCTAGGTCGTCTTCCAGGGTTTTATAGTTTTGGGTTTTATATTTAAGTCTTTGATCCATCTTGAGTTGATTTTTGTATATGATTTAAGGAAGGTGTCCAGTTTGAATCTTCTGCATATGGCTAGCCAATTATCCCAGCACCATTTATTGAATAGGGGTGATTACTCAAAGACCTAAAAACAGAACTACCATTCAACTCAGCAGTCCCATTACTGGGTATGTACCCAAGTGCTTCTCAGTTCCTCCCACTTCCTCTTAAGTGGGATAGGATGCCTGGAGACACCTGGAATTGAGTATTTCCCTTTTCCCACATGGAGGGCTACAGGGTACTGAAAGTGGTTATTTCCCTTCTCCCAGGTCAGTTAGGCTCTGATAAAACCTCAGAGGTTAGGCTCTGGTTAAATAGTTTCTCCTAAGGATATACATTGTTGAGAAGAGCAGAATGCTCTATCTAGCGTATTTCAAAATCATTCCTTTTCTTCTCCCTCTTGGAGCATGAGCAGGTTTTTCTTCAGTTTTCACTGTGAGACCCTGATAGAGCTCCATTAAAATGTATGGGGCCCCTCGATGGCTGGGTCCCCCTAGTGCTTTTAAAACCTCAAACTTGTCCACATTGACCCTCTTAAAATTTGTCAATTACGCTTTAGGTTTTCCTACTCCACTAGTTCTTGGGGAAGTTTCTGCGTGTGAATTTCCACTCTGGTAAATTGCGGTTTTCCATATGTACCTGTCTTTCTCTCCGCTTTTGGGGGCAGAATTTTGCCATGCATGTGATGTCACTTCTCTGATGGATCTAAGAGGAGTTGTTGATTTTTCAGTTTGTTCTGCTTTTTACTCTTTGTTAGGATGGAGTGGTGACTTCTAAGCTCCTTACATGCTGGGTAAGAAATTAGAAGTCCCCTTTCCTTTTTTCTTTTTAAACTTGACTATACAATAGTTAATTAGTTATATCACTGAAATTTTTAGCCACTTGTGGTGGACATTAGATGTTCTGTCCATATAATACTCCTTCTCTCATTTTCTGAGAAAACCAGCACTCCAAAAACCACATACATATGAATACCTAGGTTTATCCATGTGGCCTAAACAAGAGCTGCCACCTTCTTATGCCCAACTTTTGGCCATAGTCATTAATTCATGATCCAAGCTGTGTCTATCAGAGGCCTTTTTTGGTGTTTTTTTAAACAGGTGCTAGGGAATGGTAGATGTTGCAAATTTCTCTCTGGTCCTGATGCTTAGACGATGGAAGCTGATAAGCTGTTGGTGGCTGTGTCTCTGGTAGCATAGACAAAATCAGTATGTAATAGTTACAAATAGTACCAACCCAAAGGAGAAACATAGAAAGTCCTGGCAGTATTTGTGTCATTCTGGAGGCTAGCTCTATCATTCTTTTCCATAGTTTGTTCATATGAGCCAAAGCCAATTCTTTGTCTAAGCTAGATGGATCATATGTCATTTGCAACCTAGATGTCTCTAATTAATACATCACTGTACTTATTTGACTTCAATAATTTAGTTCAATAATTATTATTAATGCCCATTATTTCAAAGAATCTCCTAGGTATTCATGGAATTCAGAGAAAAGTAATACTTGGGCTTTGGTCTAATAGAGCATGAAGTCTAGAAGAGGAGATTAGTTGAGTCCACAAACCTAGAATACTTTGATGTCACGTGAAGTATACAAGAAAAATTATAAAATAGTTAACAGAGAGAGCAACTATGTTGAGGAAAGTGGGATAGTTTTCATGGAAGAAGTGGCATTTGATATGGATTGGATTTCAGCAGGTAGATGAGGGAGGCATTCCAGTCCCAGAGAAAATAATTAATAAAGGCATTAAGTTTAGAAAGCATGGAGTAAGAGTGTTTTTTTTTTTTTTAACAATAGTAAGTAGTACAGATTGCTTGTAGGCAGGTAGACGTGTCTATGCTAGAATGGGAAGCAATGGCTATATTGTGGAGGTGCTGGAATGCAAAGGCCAATTAGATGTATTTGATTTGGTGACATAAATAGAGAGATTATCTGTTTTTGAGCATAGAGATGCCATGATCAGAGCTGCATTTCGGGATAGTTTTGCAGTAGTCACCAGGATTTACGTAGCAAGAGCCAATATATAAAAAGATTAGTTTGGAAGACATTAAAATTGTCAAGTTTATGAGTAATGATGAACTGAAATAGATCTGTGAGAGTTAAATGGAAATGAGATGGATGTCAGGTAGAGACGATACATTGGGAGAAGAATAAATTGGAGATAGCTCAGAAGTTTAGTAATATTAATAATCACTGAAGATTAGAAATATTATCATTCTCCTGCCTTTAGCACCAAAGTCATATACTGCTTATATATTACTTTACATAAAACACTAAGCTTGGTCCTAATGCAGTTTTCTTCATCACTGCTGTAATCAAAGACCACATAATTTGAAGTCAGCTTGATCTGGTTTTAAATCCAGATTCAGCTGTTTTATTTAACTGCTTGGATAAGATATTTAACTTTTTTAGATCTCAGTTTTGTCACCTCTAATAAGAATATGATAGGATTAACCTCTTATGGTGTTCATGAAAATTAAGTGAAATAATATATATAAAGCAACTGAGATAATGCCTAGGATAGAGTGCCTGAGCACAAGGTTTCAGTTAATACTTCTTAGTTGTAGGCACTGATGCTTTTAATGTGCTGTACAAGACTTCACAAATCCATAAACTAGTCCTTACTAAGGATGCAGTATGTAAAAACTCTCTTTTTAACCAAGAAAGGAAGACTTCTCAATTTCATATCTTGGCTATCTGGGATAAGTTCTTAGTTGACTGTTTTTTTTCACAATCTCATGGAATTCCTCCAAATTTTGTCATATTCACTTTGTCTGCATGACTTGGCTTCCACCTTCATTCCTTGTTTCACAACCTCTATTGGATCTAAACCCTGTACTAAATCAGCCTACTAAATAAGCGGTTCTCATATCCTGCTTAATTCCTGCCATTCACAGCCACAGACACCCCCCCTAACCTTTGGAAGCTACTCCTCATACATTTTTAAACTAGATCATCTAAAATCTTTCCATAGCCACCTATTTGAGCTTTGGTCATAAAACGGCTTATAAACACATGATACCATTGCCCAGTTGTGAGATTGCAGCATACTCCCCTTTCTAACATGTTATCACCATTGGTATTGATATCGATGTGGATAAAGTGTGCATTTCATTGCCACATTGTATCTGTACTCTGGATATTGGTCAGCCATTTCTCTACCTCATTGCTGGTTGCTGGCTAAATCTTATCAGATTATGATAATATGATATCTTGGAAATTTTTCAGGCAATATTTTTTTCTTAAATTCTATATTATTAAACTCAGATTTATGGTGAGTTGCTTTTTGACAATGGTGCCAAAACAATTTAATGAGGAAAGAAGAGTCTTTTTAGCTAATGGTGCTGAGGCAAGTAGATATCAACATGCAGAGAATGAAGTTTTATTCTTACTTCCTACTATATACAAAAACGAACTCAAAATGGACCATAAGCCTGAATATAAGAGCTAAAGCTATAAAACCTCTTAGAAGAAAATTTATGAATATATCTTCATGACCTTGGGCTCTGTGATGGTTTCTTAAATATGACATCAATAGCACAAACAACAAAAGAGAGAATAGATAAATTAGAGTTCATCAAAATAAACATGTTTTGTTTTGCAAATTATACAATAAAAAATGTGGAGGTGACCCATAGCATGAGATAAAATGTTAGCAAATTATATCTTTAAGAAGGGACTTGTATCTAAAATATATTAAGGACTCTTAGAACTCAGACTAAAATGAAATAAAAAAAAGAATCAGAGTAGACATTTCTCAGAAGAAGAAGACATGCATATGGCTAATAAGCACATGAAAAGGTGCTTAACATCATTACACATCAGGGAATTGCATATCAAAGCCACAGTGAGAGACTACACCCACTGGGGTGGCAAAAAGTCAGATAATATTGGTGAAGTTGTAGAGAAATGGGAATCCTTATATGTAGCAAGTATCGTACCCTTATATGTAACCCTTATAAGTAACCCTTATATGCATCAGCAAGTATTGGTGAAGTTGTAGAGAAATGGGAACGCTTCTATGTAGAGAGGGGAATATAAACTGGTCCAGCTGTTTTGGAAAACAGTTGGGCAATTTCTCAAATCGTTAAAAAGACATACCATATGAACCTGATATTCCATTGCTAGCTATATATGAAAAAAGAAATGAAAACATATGTCCTCACAAAGTCTTGTACATGAACATTCATAGCAGCATTATTAATAATAGCCAAAAGATGAAAACAACACAATTGTCCATCAACTGATGAATGCAAGGATAAATAAAATAGTGGTATATCTGTACAATGGAATATTACTTGGCAATAAAAAATGAAGTATTGATACGTATTACAACACAAATGAACCTTAAAAACATGGTACCTGGAAAAAATAGCCACAAAAGATTACATGTTGTGTGATTTCCATTTATATAAAATGTCCAGAATTGGTAAATGTACAGAGACAGAAAGTAGATTATTGATTTCCTAGGGGAAGGAGAAAGGAGAATGGGAATGACTGTTAATGGGCATGGGGTTTCTTTTTGAAAGAATGAAAATGTTTTAAAATTGTGATGATTTTTGCAACCATGTGAATATACTAAAAACCACTGAATCATAGACTTTTAATGGGTGAATTGTGTTGTATGTGAATTAGATCTCAATAAAGATCTTTTTTTAAAAAGTCAAGAACTCCTGGTTTCAATTTTAAATGAAAGCGGCAGTGTATAGCTTTCAAAACAAATGGAGCGTGTAGAGGAGAAAAATCTTAGATGAATTGAAAACAATGGAATGAAGTAAACAAGTAGGGGTGATTTCATTTCCTCTTAGGTGGGAAGAGCCTTTCTATTCAAAGAGCGCTCCTTTGAAAGCCTTTGGGTATTTTATTGGGTGAAGGAGAAGTTGGTGGGTTTCTATTTCATGACTAGCAAGATAAGCTGGCCAGTTGATCTCTTTGTATTTAGACTCATGCTTATAAAATATTTAGTACCACCATCAATTTTAATTAAAACTTATAACGGGGTTTGAATTATGGGATGAAAATGAGAGATAACATACTTTAAGAGTATTTTATATGTGTATAAAATACTTATCCAGAGCTATTGTCAGCAAGAATGAGTAAACCATTCTCTGGGAGAACTTAGCCATAAGTGAATCACCATATGAGAGAGAACATTGGGACACAATCCTTCAAGAAATTACTTAAATGGAAGAATTACTTTATCAATTTGGGGTGAACACTATGCTCTCTGAAAGTACACTATGAACCTCAGATCACCATGACCTGTATTAATATTGCTGGTGTTCTCTATTCAATCCTGTATCATTTTTACCATTATATAAATTACTGAATCTTATAACTGCAGGCCATGATTATATAGCCATCTTCCTCATAATCCACAGTGTCTTTTGACCATCCAGAAAAGCAGTAGTCTGAGCAAAAATTGTAGTTCATGGAAGTGTTGAGTAGTCAAAGCTTCCACTTACTCTCAAGCTGTTCATTTACATAGTTATTTTTTTAAACAAATCGTGTTTAATACTCTTTGGAAGTATTTTATATTGATAGTACTCTGTGAATAATTTATCTTTATTATTGCCAAGTGTTTGATGTCAGCTTACTTGTGCTCCATTGTCAACTCTATGTTTAAATAAATTAATTCAATTTAGTATATAGCTAGTTTCCTCAAGAATTAGTCTCAGCTGGTAATTTAAAATGGATGAGCCATCAAAGGAATTCGTTATGTCTTAAATTATCTTCTGAAATATTGCCATTTTTTTCCAACATTGATGTCGCATCAAATTTTCCTAACATATCATATCATATAGTCTTATGTTCTAATATTTCATGATTACTTCTCAAAGGAAGTGCTTATATGAATCATTGTCTATCAACGTTTTCCCAAAACTTTTGTTTATTACATCCTGTAGTTAAATGATAAAACCACTTTTGTCAAGAGAAATGAACTTTTTCAAATGAATGTTTATTTTTTCTCTATCAATAAAGATGATTTTATTGTCTTGATTCTCTTGCTCTTGATGTATTTAAAAAATAGATACAGTGATGTGTGACTTTAAAATTGATTAGTTCAGGCCAGGCACGGTGGCTCATGCCTGTAATCCCAGCACTTTAGGAGGCCAAGGTGGGTGGATCACCTGAGGTAAGGAGTTCAAGACCAGCCTGGCCAACATGGTGAAACTCTGTCACTATTAAAAATACAAAAATTAGCCGGGTGTGGTGGCGGGTGCCTGTAATCTCAGCTGCTTGGGAGGCTGAGGCAGGAGAATTGCTGGAACCCAGTTGATGGAGGTTGCGGTGAGCCAAGATCGCATCATTGCACTCTAGCCCAGGCAACAACAGCAAGACTCCGTCTCAAAAAAAAAAAAGAAAAAAAGAAAAACAAATTGATTAGTTCAGAGAATCTGGACACCATTTACTGGGTGCACAATTAGATGCTTTGAATTATAGAATTCAATGAGAATTTTTATAAATTAACACATAAATCCTATAACCTGTTGTGATCGGTTTTTTCTAGCACTAAATTTTTGGAAAACAAAGACTGCTGGAATATTTAACCTTGATGAATATAATTTTGGAGTAGCATAAGATACTGCCATGAGGGACACCTACTATAGGTATTTTGTGTGTGTGTGTGTGCTGAAAGCAACATCCACATGCATTTACAACTCCAAAAACAGTGTCTTCAGAGAGTGGATGAAATTTATTTAAGAGTCTGGAAGGTCTATGGTTTTCAGCTGTGTAAACATTTCCAAATGCAACAGAATGTATATTAATTTCTTCATTTAAATAAATGCTCTTGTATTATTTCTAGATCACTTCCAACAGTGCTCATTACTAAGACAAAATAAGACAACATAGAATCAGAGATTTTGATCTTATGAAATTGCAGAGGGAGTCAGTCTGACCACTTTCCTTTTCAAGTGAAGAACTGAAGCACCAGTTATTTAACCATTGTGCCCAGGGCAAATTCAAAGGTTAATGCCTGAGCCTGGACTAAAATCAATTCAGTTATTCTTCTTTAGCTCCATTTCTTACTGCTGACTGTAGTGCAAGGATTGGGTTTCAAAACCACTGTTAGAGACTTTAAGGATTTTTTCTTATACAGTGTTTTATAGGTAATAGAAAATATTCTGAAAAATCTGGATCATTATGTAGAAACATTCTGAAAACTTTCAAAAACATAACTAGAACCCAGCTTTTTTATTTGAGTGAGGATAGGTGTTATGGGCTGGATTATGTTCTCTCCCAAAAAATTCATGTCGAAATCTTGATATCCAGTACTTCAGAATGTAACCCGATTTGGATACAAGGTATTTTTAGAAGTGATAATGTTAAAATGATGTCATTAGAGTGGACACTAATCTAATATGACTGGTGTTCTTACTGAAAGAATAAATTTGCATATAGACACAGACATAGGCATGATTATATAAAGATACAGGAAGAAGACAGCCATCTAGTCAAGGAGAGAAACCTGAATTTATATTAATTTCTTCATTTTAAATAAATGCTCATGTTATTTCTGTAACAAATTCAATGTAAGTTATTCCCCATAGTCCTCAGAAGGAACCACGCTGATAATAGACTTCTAAATTCCATTATGAGAAAATAAATTTCTGTTTTTTAAGCCACACAGTCTGTGGTAGTTTGTTATGGCAGCCCTGGCAAATTAATACAATGAATTTTCTTTAAATGGATCTAGAGTAGTTAGGAACAAATATATTCTGAAAGGCCTAGAAAGTAAAAGGGAAAAAAATTCATGTGATTGAACCAATTACATATACAACAGAAGAGGGAACCTAGCTCTTACATATCTTTTCATTCATTCATTTCCTTATTTTCTCAATCAATATGTTTATTATGTATTAAGTATTTTGTTAGGTGCTATGGGCACAAAAATAAATTTAATGTAGTCTATGCCCTTGAAGAGATCAGATTCTAATGATAGAGATGAACAACTAAACAGATAATTAAAATATTGTTTGAAAAGTGCTGTGATAGAGATACGAACAAGGTGTGCCGGATTAGAGATCAAACAGTCAACTTCATATGTGTCTGACAAAAAGTTTTTTTGCAGCCTTTGAAGTGCTTTTAAGCCTTGCAGGAAGGTTATCTTCTATGCCAGGTGGAGAAAGTATTAGGGAGAGTATTTCATGGATTGGGTAGAGTATGTGCTCAAATTTAAGGGAATAATAAAATCAGGTTGCACTTGGGGAAACTTTAAGACTTTAAGGCAGGAGGTTTAAGGAGCCTGTTGGGAAATGTTAGGTGTCGCTTGGAGATGAGAACCAAAAGACTCTTATTTTAAAGGGAAAATAAGGGTTTACTTGAATGCAGTAGGAAGTCACTGACAGGTTTTAAGCAGGAGGTGAGAAATAATCAGATTTGCTTTTTACAACATTGATTCTAATGTCATATTAAGGAAAAACTGTAATGGGGGAGCAGCTAGAAGTAGGGGGAGTTTTCAAACACCGCATGTTCTCACTCATAGGTGGGAATTGAACAATGAGAACACTTGGACACGGGATGGGGAACATCACACACCGGGGCCTGTCCTGGGGTGGGGGGAGGGAGGAGGGATAGCATTAGGAGATATAAGTAATGTAAGTGACAAGTTAATGAGTGCAGCACACCAGCATGGCACATGTATACATATGTAACAAACCTGCACGTTGTGCACATGTACCCTAGAACTTAAAGTATTAAAAAAAAAAAAGAAGTAGGGAGTTTTTAGTTCAGGCAGAAGGTGACAAGGGCTTATAGCAAGGTAATAGCCATAAGAAAAAGAGGAAGGTATGAGTTGGTATTTATGAGATATATTTAATTTGATTGAATTATTCATTGGATGTTTTAGGCAATGGAGAGGACAGTTCAATAAGCTTTTTACGTTGGAGGGATAGATTTTAATGCTGCTAATCACAATAGGCAATATGGGAAAAGAAGCAGGGTTTGCAGGAGAAAGCACTTTATTTAGATTGGGGCATGATCAGTTTGAGGTAATTATGGAATTTTCAGATGGAGAATTTGCTTTGTGCAAATTTATATTCAGTCCAGTGGCAGCTTGCCCAAGTCAGCAATATGTTATTATACCCCAAAGACCACTGTTAAACCATCTGAAAGTGAATGTAATAGTGTTATTAATTTGATGAGAGATTCTTATTCATTAGCCAAAATATCTACTGGAGAAATTTTTTTAAATAACAGCAACACTGAGAGAAAGTCTCCATTATTTATTGAGCATATAAAAGTCCTGCCATCTATTTGTAAATTCAGAGCCATTTTAGAATAAATGAAGGATTCAGCAATATGTGTAGAGTTGCTTAAGGAAAGCTTATATTAACAAACCAAAAAAAAAAAAAAAAAACAGCCTTACTGCATTCATAAGGGAGGCAATTCTTGAGCAACAATTCTTCCTCATTTGGGAATGATTTGTTAGACGGCTTATATACCAGTTCAATTCAGTTCAAAAAACATTTAATGGGCATCAAGTATTTACTAGGCTCTGTAAGTAACTACATAGCCCTGTTCTTGAACACGTTTATTCCCAAACCTTTTTATGTCCTCTCATTTCTCCCTGAGTATTGTGGCAGACTACTTTTGGTTTCTCACATACCACAAGGGCATGAGCTACTTGTTTTGGATATTGTTTCAATTACAAGGCTGCCAGAACACATATATCACACAGGTTATGTTGGAACTTTCCCAACGAAGGGCAATGTAAATGGACTCGTGGAGAGAGCTTTTTGAGAGGTTCACAGGGGATACTGAATCCAGCTGTATGTCTTTTTCTGTTGCAGTTAAAATTTTTAGTACTTAATAGACTTCTTGGTGTGATAGCAAAAATGAAAAAAATAGCTGAGACTCAAAAGATTCTACTTCTAATTTAGTACTATTGAGCTGTAATTCAATTTCAGTGGAACTGTTTCCCCATCCATTAAATGAATGACAGGATTAGATCAGTAGTTCTTATGCATGCATACAGAAAACTTTGTATATAATTTCAGGATGTTCATACAGCCATTGAAATGCAGCAGCAACCTATGGATCTGTATACACTGAACTCTATGACCTCCTAGGCCTTTCCAGCTAAAATTTTTTGATTGTATGACTGTGCTCTTGAACTTCAGCACAGCTGAAGTTTGGTTTGGCAGCTGTGCTAGGTGGGGCACCTCTGGCTCTTCCAGGGTGGCTAGTGAACAGTCAGTAGGGCAGCTGTGTTGATTTGTTCTGTGACCTCATTGAGCATCCGTCACTATTTCCCAGCTCAGTCTGTGCACATACTATCTCTATTGCCTTGAAATTGTTTTTGTTTGATTTACTATGAATACCCTAGACATGTCTTAAAGCACTGAATATGCTAAGGAGAAAATGTAACTTCCATTAGTATTTTGGCTATCTTTG
This sequence comes from Homo sapiens, assembly GCF_000001405.40. NCBI lineage: Eukaryota > Metazoa > Chordata > Mammalia > Primates > Hominidae > Homo > Homo sapiens. Next base: position 174,496,319 of record NC_000003.12, read on the forward strand.
TGTTGACATTAGATGTTGGTAATATTTTTGGCTCATTTCTTAGATACTTTTGTGGTCATAACTCTAGGGGTTCACTTTTCCTTTGCCCAGATTATAGGACAGTGAATTCTTTCTGAATGTTAAAGATATGTATTCATTGATGCCAGCTTATGGTGTGTGTCTGTGTCTATATGTATGTATATATTTATATATTATATATATATATATATATATGTAAGAATTGGATAAAGAGAAGGATTTGGCCATATATATGTTACTATCTGTTTAGTACTCAAGGGGTTGGAATTATTACTCTTTTAAGAACCCTCAGTTAAGAGTGTTTTAAAATCTAAAGTTTCCATCTTACTGCTACCCTTGACCTTGATGAGATGACCAACAGCTTATTATTCTGATGGGTACTGAAATAATAGAATAATTAAATAACAGTGAACTCAAGTTGTGTTAGAACAGTTACAAAACTATTTATTTACCTTTATAACCTCCGTAATTTTTGTGGAACTCCTTGTGGGGTATAACACTCCAACAAGTTAAACACGAACGTATCAGCAATAAGATCTAGACTGAATGTGTTCATTAATGCATAATTCATTGTAAGTGATAAAAATAATAACACAGCCAGCATCCTGATACCTTCTCTGTCCTAACCCCATAATTTACTTGTTCCATTACTTGCTTATCAGTAAAAATGTGTAATTACATTTAAAGCTCATTACAAAAACCTTTACCTTTAAATTCCTAACTAGAGTCTTGTAGCATTTGCCCATCAGTTATTTTGCCAAAACATTTTAATATCTTGGAGGCGTAGATGATATGCAAATAGGTAATACTTTTCAGAATCATTTCTTTTTTTTATTTCTACAGGGGTATCATTCTTATATATTCACCTTCATATTCATATTAAAATTTGTGTAGTCCTGGAACTTGTGTCACTGGGGTCAGAGGAAGAACTTGTTGTCTTCCTGATATTATAATATTGCTACTTACTTTATACTTAGCTTAGAAGATTTTCCTCTGGAAAACTTTCACAGCTGGGTGCAGTGGCTCAAACCTATAATTCCAGCACTTTGGGAGGCCAAGGATTAAACTCCTGGCTTGAACCCAGGAGTTTAAAACCAGCCTGGGCAACATAGCAAGATATGATCTCTATTTAAAAAGAAGAAGCGAAAAGAAACCTTTCATTACTTATCCTTTATTGTATTTCTTGCCCCAGATTCATTAGGTATACTTCCTCCATGGTCATGTTATGCCTGAAAACACTTCTACGTTTATCTATTATTGCAATTGCCACATCTTTTGAAAATTATCTTCATAAATGTCTGTCTTCCCTAGTAGAGCATGACTTCTTGATGGTGGAGACTCAGTCTTATTTATCTTTTTATCTTTTGAAGCTGGCGCAGACTGACTTAATAAATATCTTTTGAATGAATAAATGGTAGTTCAATTTATTGTTAATTGCTTGTGATAATTTTGAATTAGAGGACTTAGACTAAAATATGTGACAATATATTTAATTCTAATGCTTGTCAGTACTAGAGTTGTTAATGTAAAAAACTGAAAGATATACCTGATAAGTGATATCTTTGGAATTCAAATTAGCAAAATATTTTCAGTACAAACATGGTTCAGGTTAAATAGTTAAATGGTTCAAGTGAAAATTAGTGAATCCTAACATTTTAGAATGCTTATTTCTGTTTTTTCAATTTTTAACAGCTTTAATGAAGTATAATTGATATACAGGAAAGGGCATATATTTAAAGTATACAATTTATGAAGTTTTGACATATGTTTATATGTGTGATATTATCACCACAATCAATATAGTAAACATGTACCTCATCCCCAAGAGTTTCCTGATGCCTCTTTGTAGTCCTTACCTCTTGCCCTTCCCCTAGTTCCTAGGCAACCAGTGATCTGCTTTCTTTCATTATATATTAGTTTTCGTTTCTGTGATTTTATATAAATTAAATCATTTGGTATATGCTCTTTATGGCTTCTTTAATCACAGTTTTGAGATTCATGCATATCATTGTGTATTAATCATTTATGTTTAAAAATATTTTTGTGGAGTAGTATTCCATTGTATAGATAAGCTTTAGTAAGCTTCAATTTGTTAATTCTTTTTCCTTGTTAATAAACATTTGAGATTTTCCAGTTTTTGGCTCTTACAAATAAAGCTGCTACGAACATTCATGTATAAGACTGTGTATAGACCTGTGCTTTTATTTCTCTTGAGAAAATAAGGGGAATGGCAGGATTGCATAATATGTATATATTATAGTTTCTTTAAAAGATAAACTATATATAAACATATATATATAATATATATGTTTATCTTTTAAATGAACTATCAAACTATTTTCCAAAGTGGATGTGCATTTACATCCCGGTCTGCAGTGTATGAGAGTTCTACATTCTTCACATCTTGCTAACACTTCCTATGGTGTGGTTATATTTAGCTATTCTAATAGAAGCATAGTGGTATCCCTTTGTGGTTTTAATGTGCATTTCCCTAATGATTACTGATGTCGAACATGTTTACATTTGCTTATTTGCCATCTGTTTACAATTGTCCACCCTTATCCTCACTTTCACTTTCCATGGTTTTAGTAACCTGCAGTAAACAAAAAATAGGGTAAGTCCAGAACAGTAAGTTATTCTGAGAGAGAGAGAATACACTCATAGAACTATTATTAAAGTATATTATTACAATTAATCTTTTTTATGTTATAATTGTTAATCTCTGACTGTGTCTAATTTATAAATTAAACTTTATTATAGGCATGTATATATAGGAAAATGTATATGTAGGATTTGGTACTATTTGTGGTTTTAGGCATTCACTGAGGATCTTGGAACATGTGCTCCCTGGATAAGGGGAACTATTGCATCTTCTTTGATGAAATGTCTGTTTAAATCTGTTATCAGATTTTCAATTGGGTTTTTGTTAAGTTTTGAAAGTTCTTTATGTTGTTGAGATATAAGGGTTCCTCCTACATTTTGGATACAAGTTATCAGATACATAATTTGCAAATATATTCTCCTATCCTGTGACTTGTCTTTTCATTGTTTTAACAGTGTCATTTAAATAGCAGAAGTATTTAATTTTGATGCAATTCAGTTTTCCACTTTGTTCTTTTATAGAGTGTTCCTTTATGGTATTATACTAAGACAGCTCTGCCTATCCCTATCCCAAGCACACAAAGCTTTTCTTGTATGTATTATTCTAAAAGTTTTACAGTTTTAAGTTTAGATCTGTGATCCATTTTGAATATTTTTTATGTATTAAATTATGGGTCAACTTGCCTTTTCTTTTTGTGTATGGATTTTTAATTGTTTCAGCATCAGTTATTGAAAAGACTATACATTTTCCACTAAATTGTCTTTTTTTTAATTGGTAAAGAAATCAGTTGTTCCTGTATATGTGGGTCTTTCGTTGGAATCTCTCTTTTGTTACATTGATCTATTTGGCTATCTCTAAGCTGACACTGTACTTTCTTGACTACAATAACTTTATAGTAAGTCTTTTAATCAGGTAGAGTTAGCCCAACTGCAAATTTGTTCTTCGTTTTCAGTTATTTTGGCTAGTCTAGGTTATTTGGATTTCTGCGTGAATTTTAGAATAAGTTTTTAAATTTCTGTAAAAATCCTTCTGGGATTTTTTTCAGGATATGTTGAATATATACATCAATTTGGGGAGAATTGTCATTTTAATGCTATTGAGTCTTCTGACCCTTGAAAAAAGGTGTGCCTCTCTGTTTACATGTATCTTTTTTATTTCTCTTGGCAATGTTTTATTTTCAGTTTATAGGTCTTCTACACCTTTTGTCAAATTTATCGTTAAATATTTCATAATTTTGATGTGATTTCAGATGACTTTTTTTTCTAAATTCGAATTTCTGATTATTTGTTGCCAGCATATAGAAATATAGTTTTATGTGTTATACGTGGATCTTGGATCCTACCACCTTACTAAAATCATTTATTTGTAATAGCCATTTTTTGTAAATTCTTCTGGATTATCTGTAATAGATGATCATGTCCTATATGATCATTTATAAACACAGTTTTGGCTCTTCCTTCCCAATCTGAATGTCTTTTATTTTTTTCCCCCTCCTCCCACTCCCCAAACACACATGCACACAATTCTCTGGCTAGAACCTCCAGTGTAATGTTATATCAAAGTTGGAAGATCAAACAACCTGTGTTCTTCCTGATTTTGGGAGGAAAACATTTACTCTTTCTCTATTAATTATGATGTTAAATGGACATTGTTTTTTTAAAATGCCTTTGTCATGTTGAGGAAGTTTCCCTCTATTCCTATCCTTCTATTCCTAGTAGGCTGAGAAATTTTATCGTGAATGGATATGGGATTTTGTAAACAATTTTCCTGCATGCATTGAAATGATCATGTTTTTTCTTTATCAGTCTGTTATTATGGTGAATTATATTGATTACTTTTTAAATGTTAAGCTAGCCTTGCGTCCCTGGGATAAATGGATAAATCCACCTTGGTCATTATATTTTTGGATTCCATTGGATAATTTTTTTTTTTTTTTGATATGGAGTCTGGCTCTGTCACCCAGGCTGGACTGCAGTGGCAAAGTCTCAGCTCACTGCAACCTCCTCTGCCCAGGTTCAAACAATTCTCGAGCCTCAGCCTTCCGAGTAGCTGGGATTATAGGCGCCCGCCACCATGCCCGGCCTGTATTGGATAAAATTTTAATTTTTACATTTACTTACATAGGCATATAGGTCTCAATTTTTTTTTTTTTTTTTTTGAGACGGAGTCTCGCTCTGTCACTCAGGCTGGAGTGCAGTGGCGGGATCTCGGCTCACTGCAAGCTCCGCCTCCCGGGTTCACGCCATTCTCCTGCCTCAGCCTCCCAAGTAGCTGGGACTACAGGCGCCCGCCACTACGCCCGGCTAATTTTTTGTATTTTTAGTAGAGACGGGGTTTCACCGTTTTAGCCGGGATGGTCTCGATCTCCTGACCTCGTGATCCGCCCGCCTCGGCCTTCCAAAGTGCTGGGATTACAGGCGTGAGCCACCGCGCCCGGCCTTTTTTTTCTTATACTAAGATAGTAGTAGGTTAATGCTGGCCACATAGAATGTTGGGAAATATTCCTTCCTCTCAGTTTTCTGGTAGATTTTTGAGACTTTGCTTTTTAAGTGTTTAGGAATTTTCTCCAGTGAAGCCATCTGGGTCTGGATTTTTATTTGTGGGAAGAGTTTTAACTACAAATTCAATTTCTTTAAAAGGTATAGGACAACAAATGGCTATGTATTTATTCTTGAATGAGCTTTGGCAGTTTGTGTCTTTAAAGGAATTTTTTTCCATTTCATCTAAGTTGTAGAATGTATTGGCTTAAAATTTTTCATAATATTCTCTTAATATTATAATAGCTGTAGCATTTGGAGTGATGCCTTATTTCTGATTTCTTATATTGGTAATTTATATCTTTTTTCTTTTTTTGCTCTCATTAATCTGGCTAGAAGTTTATTGTTCTCCACGTAATTCTTTCAAAGAATCAATTTTTGATATCATTGAATTTTCCACTGTTCTCTATTTTTTGTTTCATTAATTTTTAATATATTCTCTCATTTCTTTTACTTGTTTATAATTTTCTGTTCTTTTTCTCTTTTTTAACAGTAGTTTATTATAGTTTTGAATTAAAGGTTGCATAGGTAAGAGCTATTTTTTGATCATGTTGAGTTTATTTTTCTTGGATTAGTTTTTTATTTTATAGGTTAAGAAGGAAAATAGAGAAGCTTAAGTGAAAGTTACTCTTTTCTCCTCTGGAGCAGAAATAGAAGACTTTAATGCATGCTTGAAGACCAGTGTTTTCCCTCCCATTATTTTCCCATGATAGCCTGAAAGCAGTCATCTGTTAAATAAGACATACTGTCTGATTTGCAAAGTATACATTTTCTTAATTTCAGGTTAACCATGCTTAAAAAGCATTGCTCTAAATGAATTTTTTTGTTGTTGTTAGAAAATATAACAGTTATAGTTCACTTCAAATTTACATTCGTGTGATACTTTTTAATTCTTTTAACTGCACAAAATTTCTTCTGCTATCCTAACTACCTGCAGTACTTCTACTCTTGAAAGGCATCATTCTCATTTAATAGCTCTGTTGCAATGGCCTAATAAATACTGATATAGCATTATGACACACATTATTTATGGTCATTAAATTACCTCAAATCTTTTATTTTTTAAAGTGTAATTTTTATTAGTCAGTTATTTTCATTTGAATATTTATGTATTATTCAGATATATGTATATAAACCTCATTATTTTGAATAAGGGAACCTGTTAATAGGGGAGAGTAATAATTTTTCCAAATTTTCAGCAACATTATACTTTTCTAACTGTTGTGTTTCCAAGGTGTTATGTAGCAAGCTTGATATGAATAAAAAATAATCTTGCCAGGCACAGTGGCTGATGCCTGTAATCCCAGCAATTTGGGAGGCCGAGGTGGGTGGATCATGAGGTCAGAAGTTCGAGACCAGCCTGGCCAACATGGTGAAACCCCGTCTCTACTAAAAATATAAAAATTATCCAGGCGTGGTGGTGCGCGCCTGTAGTCTCAGCTACTCAGGAGGCAGAGGCAAGAGAGTTGCTTGAACCTGGGAGTGGAGGTTGCAGTGAGCTGAGATCACGCCACTGCACTCCATCCTGGGTGACAGAGTGATACTCCATCTGAAAAAAAAAAAAACCTCTTATCTTTCATATTACTACTTTCAGAAAACTTTGACAACGTAAAAGGAATGAGGTATTCAATTTGGAAACAAGGCAAATTGGAATGAGCTATTTGGCTATGCTTAGATTTCTGATAGTTGAAGATAAAATTTGTAAGGCATCAAGGGACATATAGGACATGAGACAGTATCTGGCACCTCCCAGGTAGTATGCCTGAGTACTCTAATGTAGAAAATGTCTGCCATGTTTCTGAATTTACATAAGTCTTTTCCAGTTGCTACAAAGAGTCCATGATATGTTTTTCTTAAGAAAACCTAACCATAACTTAACCATTTATGTTTTTCATCTTATTATGCTTATGCCAGTCAGTAATTAAAACAACACAAAAATTTTTTTAAAAAAGGAGTTAATCAAAATTAGCATTTTCTTAAGGTACAGATAATATTTATTTTTGGAGATCTGACTTAATGTACTTTACAGATAAAAATATAATTGTCCAAACTCTATTTTTTATGAGAAGATTTATGGCTTTTCAAAAATAATTAAAAATATTAGTTTAATTATTTGACTACTTAAGACTAAAATAGCTCATTGAGATTTGTGCTTATTTCACTTAATACTAGAAATGCTATGCATGCAATTTATTCTAAAAAATTCTAAAAGCCTGCAATTTAGAACAAAGGAAATGATCTGGAGTTGGTAGACATTTCACTTGGTTGTCTTCTAATATAAGAAGAACAATATAGACTTCCTTTAAACATTTAATAATTTTACAGATACAAAAAGATTTCCAAATTTGGGTCAGAATTTTTCTTTTATTGAAATATAATGAACCCTTCTTTCAAAATTCTTCTAATAAAATTCACAGATTAATAGAGAAAATGAATATATTCGATACTAGATTTTTACCAGTTGTTTTTAAAATGCATTTAGACTAGAGGCCCAGCTTCACCTGGATGTATGGTTAATTTCATTTTTGCATATTATTCTAGAACTTTAGTTAAAACAAAATGTTACTATAAGCTGTTCTACAAAAGCATATGATCTGTTAAATTCTCAGGTATTGTAGGCACTCAAAGGGGAGTGCTTAACTATGCAGCTATTCTGTCAGTTTATATATTTTGCCAGTGGTTGGACAAATAAAGATCAGGTAAAAGATTCATTTGTATCTAAATTGTATTGTGAAGGCATCATAATATTCTATGGTAAAATAATATATAAATTTTTAGAGGAACAGAATATTTATTCTACAGTTAGAGCCAATACCCCAATGCAAATGTTTGTGGGGGAGAATAGCAATTTAGTTTCCTTATTAAGGAATATGGAGTGATACACTGGGGATATTAAATGGTTTTTCTAGGAAGTACTTGTTTCTAGTTTGGTATTCAAACCAGACATGGCTCTACATGCAATTAGATGCTATTGGTAGAATTGAGATAAGAGAATTGGAGACTTAAGTGGGCATTTCTTAGTTTATGCAGAGTAGAAGAGACTTGTCTCTAGGCCTCCATCCTAACTGTTTAAACATTGTCTTCTGTTTCAGAGAATCATTCTTGATTTTTAAAGGAATTTTCTACTCTCTCTTACTTAAAGGAATGAGAGTTTACATCTATTTACTGCCTATTATATGCTGGTCAGGAGTAAGTAGCATCCTGAAAGGAGATTCTGAAAGAATATAGGTATAGATACATGTCACCAGACCTGACTACTGGCATTGGAACTGGTCTTATGAAAATAAAGAAGGAGAAAGCATGCACAAAACATAGTTGCCACCTGTTTAAGATGAGCTCTTCTTCATTAGTAGTAGTACAAGTTTATTTTCAAGCCATGTCACTAGACATCTCGTATAGAGAAGTGTTTTCTGTTTTTACAGTCATTTTCTTTAACTCCAGCATACTATCTCATGAAGGCATGAAGATGTCAAAAGGATAATCAGCCTAAACCATCTCCACTAATGGAAATGTTTCCAAGTACACAAATTGGTCATAACATCAACTCTCGAAATAGAATGCAGCACTTTTAAAAAACTTAAAATATACTGTAGATCATTACTGTTATCTTAACAGTCTGATTATGTATCTTCAGCTGATAAGTTGTCTCAAATAGAGATCCATTTTGTAACCTAATATTATGAAATGAGGGGAAAATCCCATTGTAAAAATTCTTCACCACTATCTCCATAATCTCTACTTCACTGAGTTTCATCCAGGTGCAAAAATGAAAAATTATAACCTGCCAAGCATCAGTGGCAGAGTGAAATGAAAAAATTGTGAGTTAATAATAGTGATGCCTCAAAAAAATTTCCTGACCAATTTAACATTGCTTCATCCAAGGTCACTTCTAAGCGCTGATTATTTTTAGTAATTTGCAGATGAGACCATTCTACCTTGGTCATGGTTAGTGAAGATCAAGAAAATGCCAGAGAAGGTTTAAGATTCAAGGTTATCTTTCTCAAATAAGCCACAAACCACAGTTTCATTCTATTTTCTTAAGACCTAGCTGAGAAATAATTTTAAATGAAATGAAACTTAAAGTCTGTGCTATCTTTTATTGGGAGCTATAAAGTCATCATAACATAAAGCATGAGGGATAAGGGTAGTGGAAGGACACTGTTTAGTAGGTCCTTAAGTAGCATTTCATGTGGGAAAGAACTCAAGGCATTTTTCTAGTATTTTATTCTGACACTTTAAAAAATCATCATAGATTGTACTTTATGTAAACTTTGATTATGATGACCAGCTACAGCTCATTTTTTAATTTCTAGAAAATTTCCAAATTACTTTCTCTTGCCCAATTTGAAATTTGAACTTACAAATGGTCTGTAAAAATCTTTTTTATTACACGTAAATAATTTAGATAATATAGACAACTACAAAGAGGAAAATGAAACTTTTCCTAATTTTACCACTCATGGATAACTTGTATTGGTCTTTTAGTGTATACTTTCCAGACCCTTGGGTGTATCTCTGCGTGTGCAAGCATGTGTGTGTCTATGTGTGTGCACGTATGTGTGTTTAGAGAGGGGAGGAGATGAGATCATCATTGAGATGAGTAGGATGATAGATTTTTTTCAATAAGTTTACTCTGAAGATATAATCATATTTTATCTAGCAACTTGCTTCGTACATCTTTCTATGTCAATAATTATTGGTTTATATCTTTTTTTTTTTTTTTGACACAGGGTCTCATTCTATTTCCCAGGCTGGAGTGCAGTGGTGTGATCTTGGCTCACTGCAACCTCCACCTCCCAGGCTCAAGTGATTCTCCTGTCTCAGCCTCCCGAGTAGCTGGGATTACAGGCACCCACCACCATACCCGCCTAATTTTTGTATTTTTAGAAGAGACAGGGTTTAACCATGTTGGCCAGGCTGGTCTCAAACTCCTGACCTCAAATAATCCACCTGCCTCCGCCTCCCAAAGTGCTAGGATTACAGGCGTGAACCACTACCTCCGGTCTATGTCTTCATTTTTAACGGCTTTGCATTAAAAATGCTGTCTGTGGCATCTGATATTGATAAACATTTAGAATATCTAGTTTTTCACCATATAAATAATTCTGAAATGGCTTTTAATGTCTATCTGATTATAGAATAAATTTTAAAATTAAAAATGATAAAATTTTAGACATTTGATATTTATTACAAAATCCTTGCTAGAAAGATGTAAGTTTACTCTTCTATCAGCAGTATTTGAAAGTGCACCTTTATCACACTCTTACAAGTAACTAGGTGTGTGAAATTTGGTATGTCAGCATTGTTTTATTTATTGACGTTGAATACATTTTGAAATTTTTAGTAGCCATTGCACTTCTTTTGTGAATATCTTGGTTATATCTTTTTCTTATTTTTTTATTAGTGTGGGCCTCTTTTTCTTATTTCTAAGTAATAACTCCTTGTATTTATTAAGGATATTAATAATTTGTCTCATTTATATTTTAGCCTTTTCCCCTAAATTGTCAATTTTAATTTTATTTTTATTTCCTCTCAATATCTGTTTATCTTGTCCTTATTTCTGGTTTCTGGCTGTGGAGCTATGCTTACAAAAGCTTTTCCTATATAAAGTTATAAGATTAATTATTTAAATTTTTCTTCAGCTACTTTTTGAAGTTTGATTCTTATGTTTAATTCTATAAGGAATTTATTCTTATATATGATTTAAGGCAAAAGTTTAATGTTTTATTTCCAATGGCTAGTACCCTTAATGAATTGCACAGCCTTCCTTATTGATTTAAAATGCTTCACTTACAAAAGATGTTTTCAAGCTATGCTCTGAGGAAGTTTAGGTATTCTATGTTGGGGATGTTGTTCAAGAGCTACAAACTAAGTGAATGGTGTTTTCTTCTTACCTTCCTTCCATCTCCAGTGAAATACCTATGAGTTTTTCTCACTGATTTTTTTAATACATTTCAATACAGTTTCTTCTTATTTTTGTAATCACCCTTATTGAAGTACAGTTTGTATACATGCATTAATAGGTATATAGCCGACTACATTCAATAGAGAATATTTCCTTCTCCACAATTTTTCTTACATCTCTGTGCAGTCAGTCCTCCTCCTCTATTGCTGAACTCTGGCAACTATTGATCTGCTTTCTACACAACAGTTTTTAGGTTTTACATAAAAGACTACAGCAGATAGTCTTTTATGTCTGGCTTTTTTCACTCAGGATAATGCTTGTGAGATTCATCTATGTTGTTCATGTTCAAGTAGTTTGTTCTTTTTATTGCTGAGCAGTGTTATGGCTATCCCACAACTTGTTTATCCACATATGAACATTTAGGTATCATGAGTTAAGCTGAGTTTTTGTCTTTTATGAATAAAGCTGTTATGAACATTCTCATACAGGTCCATGCATGGATATAAGTTTTTATTTTCCTAGGGTAAATTAAAAAGAAGTGAGATTGATGAGTTGAAGTAAGTATATGTTTACATATATAACTTTATAAAATAAAAAACTGCCAACTTGTTTTATAAATGTCTGAACCATTTTGCATTTCTGCTAGCAATGTATGAGAATTCTAGGTGTTTCACATGCTTGCCAACACTTAGTATGGCCAGTTTTTTAAATTTTAGCTATTGGATATCTAGTGGTTTTTTTTTTTTTTTTTGAGACGAAGTCTTGCTCTGTTGCCCAGGCTGGACTGCAGTGGCACGATTTCGGCTCACTGCAAGCTCCGCCTCCCGGGTTCATGCCATTCTCCTGCCTCAGCCTCCCGAGTAGCTAGGACTACAGGCGCCTGCCACCATGCCCGGCTAATTTTTTGTATTTTTAGTGGAGATGGGGTTTCACTGTGTTAGCCAGGATGGTCTCGATCTCCTGACCTTGTGATCCGCCCGTCTCGGCCTCCCAAAGTGCCAGGAATAGAGGCGTGTGCCACCGCACCCGGTCCCTGGGTGTATAGTAGTTTAACTTGCATTTCCTTAATGACTAATGTCCTTTGTATTTCCACATAAAGTATAAGAAAAATATGCCAACATCTACAAAAAAGCCTGCTGAAATTTTAATTTCGATTTTGTTGGTCAATAGAACAATTTGGGGAGAATTGACATTGTAACAATATTGAGTATTTCATAAACTGAAAGACTCAGTTGTTGTCTTTTCACTTATTGATGTCATTTTTAACTTGTGTCAGCAAAGTTTTGTCATTTGCAGGGCACAAGACTTGCATATATTTAAAACATTCCTAAACATTTCATATTTTGGTGTCATTTGAAGTGGCACTTAAAAAATTTTTAATTTCTGGCTGGGCGCAGTGGCTCACGCCTGTAATCCTAGCACTTTGGGAGGCCGAGGTGGACGGATGTCTTTGAGCTCCCGAGTTTAACACCAGCATGGGTAATGTGGCAAACACATCTCAAAAAGTATATAATAACAATTAATTTCTAATTTTTGTTGTTATTATATAGAAATGTCACTTTTGATTTTTCTATGTAGACTTTGTATCCTGTGTACCTGGTAAGCTCATTTATTAGTTATAGTATCTTCGTGTGGATTCCTCAGCGTTTTCTGCATGGACAATTATGGACAATTTTTCTTTCCTGAAAATATATTTTTTTCCTTTGTTTTCAAACTGTATGCCTTTTTTTTTTCTTTTTCCTGCCTTCTTTTACTGGCTTATGTGTCCAGTACAATATTGAATATATAAGTGGCAATAGCAGACATCCTTTTTTGTTTCTTAGAGAGAAAGCATTCAGTGCTTTCAGTATTTCACCATATAAAGAAGGATGTTAGCTGTAGGCTTTTCAGAGATGCTTTATTAGTCTTCTCAGGCTGCTATAAAAGAATATCACTAACAGGGTGGCTTAAATAATGGCAATTTATTTTCTCATAGTGGGTGGAGAGAGAGAGAGAGCGAGCTCTGGTGTCTCTTCCTTTCTTTCTTTTTTTTTTTTTTTTGAGACGGAGTCTTGCTCTGTTGCCAGGCTAGAGTGCAGTGGCATGGTATCTGCTCACTGCAACCTCCGCCTCCTGAGTTCAAGCGATTCTCCTGCCTCAGCCTCCTAAGTAACTGGGATTACAGGCTCCCGCCACCACACCCAGCTAATTTTTTTTTTTTTTTTTTTTTTTTTTTTTTTGTATTTTTAGTAGAGACGGGGTTTCACCATGTTGGCTAGGATGGTCTTGATCTCCTGACCTCGTAATCCGCCCACCTCGGGCTCCCAAAGTGCTGGGATTACAGGCGTGAGCCACCGAGCACAGCTGTCTCTTCCTTTCTAATTAGGGCTATCTTCCTATCAGATCAGGGCTCCACCCTTGCTACCTTATTTTACCTTGATTATGCCCTTAAAGACCCTATCTCCAAATACAGTCAGATTGAGGGTTAGAGATTCAACATACGAATTTTGGGGGGATGCAGTGCAGTCCTTAACAGATGCCATGTATAAGATTGAGAAGTTCCCTTCTACTTTGCCTAAAATATTTATCATGAATAGGTGTCAAATTCTCTGAAATGCCTTTTGACATCTGTTGAGATGATCATTTTTTTTTGCTTTTCTTTTTTAGTTTGTTATGGGGAATTACATAATATATTTTTTGAATCATAAGTCCATCTTGCATTCACTTAGTCATGTTTTATTATGTGTTTTATATATTGGGAAATTAAATTTGCTAAAATATTGTTAAGGACTTATTTTTATGTCTGTGATCATAAGAGATACTGATTTGTAGTTTTCCTTTCTTGTAATGTTTTTGGTTTTGAATTAGTATAATGTTGGCTTCATCATACGAGTTGGGAAATGTCCTTCCTCTTGGATTTTCTGAAAAAAGTTTATGTTGAATCAATTTATTTTTATTTTTATTTTTTTTGCTTAAACGTTTGATACAGTTCTCCAGTGAGGCTATGATAGGCTTGAAATTTTGTTTTGAGAAGGTTTTTAAACTTAAGTTTAACATCTTTCTTTGAGAATGGTTATTTGTATTATCTATTTCATGTTGACTCACATCTTTCAAGGATTTTTTTTGTTTCATCTAAGTTATTGAATATATTGGCATTTGTTGTTCATAATATTTTCTCCTTATGCTTTTGATGCATGTATAATCTGAGTGATGTCTTCTCTCATTTCTTTTTCTTGATAAATCTGGTTAGAGGGTTACCAATTGTATTGATTCTTTTAAATAACCAGCTTTTGGTTTTTTTGATTTTCTGTATTGTTTGTCCATTTTCTATTTCATAGATTTCTGCTTTCACCTTTATTATTTTCTTCTTTCTGTTTATTTTAGGGTTCAATTTTTTTACTTTTTTTTAACTTCCTTAAGGTGGAAGCTTAAGCAAGATGATTTAAGAGTTTTTTTTCTTTTTCTAACATGAGCATTTAAGCCTATTTACTTCTAAGCACTGACTTAATTGCTTTCCATAAATTGTGACATGACGTGTGTTCATTTTCTTTCAATCAAAACGTTTTCTAATTTCTATTATAATTCTGTTGATCCATGTGTCATTTGAAAGAATTTTGGGATTCTAATATTTGGGATTTTCCATATATATTTCTGTTACTGATTTATAATTTAATTCTGTTATGGTGAGAAAAACATACTTTGTATAATTTTAATCTTTTAAATTTATTAAGATTTTTTTATGACCCAGAACGTGATCCATCTTGGTGATTGTTCCACATGGACTTTATAAATACGGAATGGGCTACAAATGTTAATTAGATCAAGTCAGTTAATGGTATTAAGTCTTCTGTATATGTACTGATTTTTTTTCTCCACTTGTTTTATCAATTGCTGAGAAAGACATGTTGAAGTCTCTAATTTACATATTTTCTAGTTCTCTTTAAGTTCTGTAAGCTTTTATTTCATGTATTTTAAAGATATTTATTAAATGCATGAACTTTTAGGACTATTATGTTCTCCTGATGAATTGACCCCTTTATCACTGTGTAACTCTCTTCTTTGTATTAATATTACTCATTGCTCTCAGAACTTCTTTTCTGATTTAATATGGAAATTCCAGCTTTCTTTTGGTTAGTGATTGCGTATTATTCATCTTTCAGCCTTTACTTTTAATCTATTTTTTTTCATATTTCAAGTAGTTTTTCTGGTTAGATGGTAAATAGTTTTTTTTAATTCAATTTGACAAGCTCTGCCTTTTAATTAGAGTATTTAGACCATTTAATTTCCATGTAATTATTTCTATGTGTAGGCTTAAATCTATCTTGGTGTTTGTTTTCTATTTCTCTTATCTGTTTTTTTTTCTTGTTACTGTCACCCTGTTTTTTCTTTCTTTTAGATAAAATGGACATATTTTATGATATTTTGTTTCCACTCGTCTCAGCATGTGCGTCTTTTTGTTTATTTGTTTAGTGTTTACTCCAAAGTTGACAACATGATGTTTAACTTTTCAGAGTTTACCACCGAATAATGTTATTTCACTTCATGTAAAAGTATAAGAATCTTCAGATAGTATACTTCCATTTTTCTTCCTCTTGCCTGTTTTCTTACTTTTATAAGTTTACTAAACCCTACAATAATTTTTGCCTTAAACAATTATTTTTAAAGTGTTTAAACTGAGAATCCTTATATGCTTTATCATACATTTGTCATTTTTATAACTTTGTATACATGCAAATTTCTATTTATATAATTTTACATCTACCTTAAGAACTTGGTTTATCATTTCTGATGTAGTAGCAATAATTTTTCGAGTTTTTGTCTGAAAAACGTATTTAATTATTAAAAGATATTTTTATTGGGCTTAGATTGGTAAATTGATGATTTCACTGTCTTCTTTTAGTGCTTTAAAGTATGCTCCATTGTCTTTGATAGTTTCTGATGAAAAGTTGGCTGTAATTCTCATCTTTGTTCTCTTGTAGATGATATGTCTTTTTTTCTCCAGCTGCACTCACTAAAGCATGACTCTCTGGGGTCTCTTCTGAATGTCCCCAGTGTTCTTGGGTGTCTCTTCATTATAAATGGTGGAAATCTGTCTTCTGAACTGTTGAGAACTCTGAAAATTGTTTGCTCTACAATTTTCCAGTGATTCTTTTTCTGGTCTTAAGTGATTTCTACTCACACGTCGGCAGATCAATTGTGAGTTAATATCTGGAATGGATCTCCATGCAGATCTTTAGAGATCTATTTTTGGATAGCCTTAGTATCTCAGTATTGTTTCCCACAAATTTTAGCTGCCTTGGCCTCCCCAAACGGATCTCTGTCTCCTCAACTCAGTGAGATAGCAAAGCTCTGTGTGGCTTCCTTCTTTCTCTGCTACCTCTTGGAGACTGCATGGGGATTGATCTTCTTGTTTCCCTTCTCTCAGAGTCATAGTTCAGTGTTCTTGTTCATTGCCTGAAAACAGTGTTTTTATATAGTTACTCTGGTTTTCTTAATAAGATGGGCACATAAAGCCTGGTATCTGTTACTTCACCTTGATTTAAGTGGAAACCTATAGTTTCTTTTGAACAAAGATGACCAGTGCCACCAAATAAGCTTGATTTTTTTTTTTTTTTTCTGGGAGACAGAGTCTCTCCCTGTTGCCCAGGCTGGAGTGCAATGGCGTGATCTTGGCTCACTGCAACCTCTGCCTCCCGGGTTCAAGCGATTCTCCTGCTTCAGCCTCCTGAGTAGCTGGGATTACAAGCGTGTGCCACCACGCCTGGCTAACTTTTGTATTTTTGGTAGAGACAGGGTTCCTCCATGTTGGTCCGGCTGGTCTTGAACTCCTGATCTCCTGATCTACCTGCCTTGGCCTCCTGAAGTGCTGGGATTACACTTCCCTGGGTGTGGCGTGAGCCACCACACCCAGCCATAAGCTTGAATTTCAATGACATGCTGGTATTGTATATATCTCCATCTAGATAATTTATTCTAAGTATCTACTTCTCTTAATGATTTATTTTTTCACCAGTACATACCAATTTAATTATCTTATCTATTTTTAATGAATATCAATATTTAAATTATAGTTAATTATATAACTGGCATCTTTCTAATTTCATGTAAATTTCAAATATTCCTTAGACTGTATCTGTTTGTTTCCAAAGATTGGTAAGATCCACTGGACTCTTATTTCATTTGGAATTACAAAATCCTTTGCAGAGGTAAGGTAAAAGAGGAATTTCATATTGTCAATATTGCTGCTTTCTGTGAGCTCTTGCTTTTACTGAATAAATTCGGTTTAGAGATCTTTTTGTCATGTATGCTTGCTGAATGTTTTTCCATTGTGTTGTTCCAGATTTGAAATTCATCTTCATTTACAAAATCTACCCACAAAAGACATAAAAAATTACACCTTATTATAAATATCTGGATTTGGAGGGACAGCACTTCATTGTAGGACTAACAAAGAATTTCACATGAAATATGAGACATCTGTTCTTGAAAGTCCTTTTGTTACTCTAACACCAGATTTTAATTTTGCCACTTCCTTCAGCGTCATGTCTTGCCTTTGTTTAATTCAGTATTGCTGATGTCTTCTTTTTCTCTCTCTCTTCCCCTTGTCAGCCCTCTTCTCTGTACCCACCTATCCTTACATTTTTGATCATTTATGATGCAAAGCAAATTAGCTATCCTTATTTATATACTGGAACCTAACATAGCAGGCTCTTTGATCCTATTTTCACCCCAAGTGAATTATCAATGTTTTTTTTCTAAATTAATTCCCTCTGTAAGAATGATTCTGTTGCTCACTGTTAAGATAATGAATTTTCCACCCAGTACCTTTGTAAAAATGATGCTCCATATTTTGCCCTTTAATTTTATATTTTAATGTTTTAAAATTGTGAATGTGTATTGTTCCTAGCTTTAACGGCTGTGGTCGCACTTCACATGCCACTCGCTGCCTTAAACATAGTCTGAGGCAAGAGCAACAACAAAGTCTCTATGTATATGTTTCATAAGAAAAAATGATTATATAAAAAGCCATATGAAAAATATCTATAATAGAAAACCAGTTGCTATATAAAATTCCCAATTCAAGACATAAAATATGAAATGCTTATATTCAGTTATATCCATGAATCTAATCAAGGATTATGTATGTTTTTATTTGTTTCACTATCAAGAGAGTTGACTAATTACTAAACAGTTATTAAGTAGTCTTTTCTATAGGGAAATGAAAATATTTGTATACATGAATAGATGAAGTTGTACATTGTAGATCCTATTTCACATTTGGGCTCTTTTTTCATAGGAGTATATTTGCTTTTATGTTATTGTTTATTCTTTCCTCAAAATTTTATAAATTTTTTTCTATTTTTCTTTGATCTAATGTATGATGTTTTATTATCAACCTCTGGAGAGTATAACTAAAGACAATTTAGAAAATAACAGTACTGCTTTTTACTCAGTAAAAACTCTTTCATCATTGATTTGTGCTCCCCCAAGAATTACTTTTATGTCACCATTAGTAAATTACTACACTGGGTACCCGAGGCTGGTCAAAAGAAATACTGGCTTGCTACCTACTTCCAAGTGTGATAATACCTAGTTGAGGTCATAGAATACTCACCTGTGAAATTACTTATAAAGAATGTTTACAAATGAGTTCAAATTTAATACTCTAAATATATTTCAGAAACGAAACAAAGATTCTGAGGGAGCAATTATAGTGAAGCAATATTATCAGGAAGGAATCATGAGGTGAGTTTGGAGCAAGTTCTAAAGGAGAGAAAAATAGTATTTCAGAAAAGGCATTCAGGTTGGGAGATGCATGTATATAGGAGGATATGAATATAGTATAAACACAGGATAGCCCTTTTCTATTGGGCTCATACTTTGTTATTCTTTTAAGACTTGTAACTGTTAAGCCCCTAGGTTTGGAATTAATAAAATCTTGCTTTAAATTCTCTTTTGCCATGCACTGGCTATGTGTCCTTGAACAATCTCCATTTCTCATTTTTAAAAATGGGGCAAAATCCTCTTCCTTGAGGATAAAACGAAATGGTGTCTTGAAAAGTCTTTAACATGGAGTTGGGCAAATGGTAACTGCTAGTTAATTACATTATAGCTTTCAGTATGTGTTTTCATTATAAACTACTTAGCACATTTTACAGGGCTTGTCACTCTTGCTAGGCTATATACTGTTAAAGGGGCAGCTTTTAGTATATCAGGTACTATATTAATAAATATTATAGATGTGTGATCAAGTTTTATAGAACAAATATTTGGTTGAACTAGAGAATCTTTTAGGAAAAGTAGTTGAAATCAGAGAACTGACAATTGGAAAAAAAAAAAAACCCCTTAAAGGCTGAGTAAAGTTGAGATAATATATAATTGGATTGAATCATGGAATTATGTTTGGCAACATTATTGACAACAGTGATTCAAGGTTATCTCAGGCCAGTTTAGACATTTTCTCAATACAGTGCCTAGAAAAAGGAAAGGACCCTTTAGATGAATGATAATAGCAGTCTTAGATAAAAACAGACATTAAACATAGGCAAAAGGGAAAAGAAATGATAAGAAGTTGTAGATTAGGAGGAAAGAGCAAAAGCAGTAACAAAACATGAATAGAGAAAAAATGGCAGGTTGACCCAAGTGCTTGGCTTCTTTTGCTACCAGAATGCCATAAAGTATTTATTGTTGATTTTCATACTGTTGTACAACTGCATTGGCAAACAAAAACTTGTTTATATTTCATGGTCTTCATACTGCCTCCCTTTGTTTTCTCTTAGTGGAGTTGTAAATGTTGTGTTCCCAGAGCAAGCACTTCTAAAATATTAATAGCACGTTTTTTCCTCATTGCATCTTTTCAGTATTCTGAGAGCAATTTCATTTGTTAATGACATTAGTCATTATATCTTTAAAATCTTCGTTGTTCAGATATCAGTTATGCATCTCCTCATTTGACCCACTGCTGTATATGTGAAAGGAAATACTATCTACTTAATGAGACCTTTGTTTTTTCCTCCTGTCTTGGGGGAGTAAGGAGTTTACTACTTTGACATCGGTACACACAGTAACTCACCTTCTATTTGTAGACGTTCCACTTCTGCCTGGTAATTCTACTTTACTAACCTAGAGTTGGGTTTAGAAGAGCTCACAGGGCCTTTAGAAGTTGACTGGACTTGGCAATTCATTTCTTACAGTTGCCCTAGGAAAATCAGCTTATTTAATATGTATCTTGGTATTCATTTGAATGAATTTGAAAGGCTTTCTATGAAATTATTCATTTAACAAAGATGATAAAAATTGATCTGTATACTCTTGTCTAATACAAGTTTTTCATTTTTATATTACTTTTGCTTAAAATCATAAGTTAGTTGTGGAACAACTCTCTGATATATAGTACTGTTTTTACTAAATTTTTATTTTTCACTTAAAAGAAAATTACAAATGACATGTCTTTATGCTAAATGGTAAAAAAATCACACAAGTCATTTCTGTAAATGTTGTTATATATACAAAGAATAGTGATTTTGAAATTTGAAAAAATAAAGAATTTTGGAAAAAATAAATGACTTTCAAAGTCTAATATTTGTCAGTATTATAATTTAAATTATTCTTTAGGTTTTAAAAACATATTTTAAAATGTAATATTAGCCAGGAATAAATTGCGAAAAGCTCCCTTGCTATAATTACTTTTAATATTAATTTTTAAAATGAATTAGATGTTCATATAGTAAAACGTATGGTTACAACGTAGGTTGTGATGTGAAGATTATTTTTTGTTTTATTTTCTATAAGAGAAAATTAACACAGTTTTATATTCTGATTAAGATTTATATTATAGAGGTTTTGGGGGTTGTTGCTATTTGCATTTTGTCTACAGATTATTAAATGTTACAGAAGTCACTGCTTGTCTGTGCCACTGGATCATTCTTTTGCCAAAATAAAGCATTATGTATTTTCATCTTTAATTGGAGTGCTTTCAGAACAATTATCTTAGCAGTTCCTTTTCATATCCTTGGAATTATATTTGCTTATTAGATTTAATTGAAAATAGTGTTGGTACAAATATTAGAATACTTTTCTGGTAAGGTAATCTAAAATGGCAAGTGTTTCTGCTTTTACTTTTGGTATTCTGTTCTTTCTCTTTTTTAATCACTTTAAAAATAATTTTATCTGAAGAAAATCTAGATGAGGTAGTTAGCTAATGAACAGCTGATTGTGTATTTGGTTCATTTTGAGAAGTTTTAAATCCAAGTTGAACTTTTAAAATGTACTTTTTCTTTTTTGGAGAGAAGAGATTTGAGTTGTTATGAGACCAAAGTGACACCAAGTGATATGTGGTACCAAGTTAAATAAAGACCTGTGATTACTCCTACATTGATGATACAAGGAATTATTCTGTTAACTTTCTCATGTCCTTGTACATGTTTCTTTCAGAAATCTCTAGTATATTGTGTTTCTGTCACTCACTGATTTCCTCCTAAAAACAGAATGTCATTTTAAAATGTCATTTTAAATGACAGAATGTCATTTTTAAAAATTAAGTAAAGTATTTACATATTCTTTTATACACAAGTCCCAATCTCAAATGCCTGTAGAGGCAATGTAGGTGAAATAGACGACTGAAGTGTAGAGGTGATCAATGGTAATTAACAGATGGTATCCATGCTGATAAGTAAAAAATTGCACAGACTCGAAAAAACTGGAGAATGTATGCCCTATTTAAGATGAGTAATCACTAACCAGCTGTAGTCAATTTTTACTATGTGGGAATGATGGCCCAGGTTACAACATCTTCCTGTTACCTAGAGAGGCTACAAATCTGGATGTATGTGCCTGTGTGTATGTAATTTCCTGATTTTTAAAGTTTGGCAAATTTTTTTAAAATACTGTCTGGACCAACATTGGCCATCAGCTACATACAAGCAAACTGCTCTAGGATCTATCATTTAACGATTTGTCTTTAATACTTTCTGTTTAATACTTTCTGTCCAGTAATGGGAGGCTTAGGGATAGTTTTTTACATAAAATAATTTTAAATACGTTTTTGATTCCCAACTTTTTAAACTCATCTTTTAGCTGATTAATGCCACTGCTTCCTAACTGATCTCTTTGCTTGTAGTGTTTCCAAGTCCATTATCACATTTGAGATAGAGAAATGATCTTACTATAAAGTAAATCACAACCCTGCTTCACATCTTTCAAAGATTCTTCATTAACCTCAGAATAAAATTTAATCACCTTAACATGACCTGTAAGACCCTTATTATCTGGCCTATTTAACTTCATCTCTTGCCATTCCTCTTTATATTCCATGTTTTAGCCAGATTGAATTCGTTCAATAGTTAGTTAGGTTTTCTCTTGTTTATAAGCCTCTTTCCCTACCCATTTGACTTGATGTGTGAAAAAGAAGATAGGTAAACCATTAAAAAGTTTAGATATATTCTAATTGTATTGAGCACATGGTTATCTCAGTTGCCCTTTCAAAGACCATAAGCCTGGTCAACCTTTTGAGAAAGCAGAAGTAGTTGCACTCACATGATAAATCTCTTTGTATTCTGCATTTTTTTAAGGCAAAAGCTCAATGATTTGAATTATTCAGAGTAGAAAAATCTCTGATGACATTATAAAAATTTGTTAGAATATCTCTGAGTTAACAAGGTATCTCTCTGTATTTCTTTATCTCTCTTTCTCTGTCTCCATCACCTACCACCTGCAAGACAAACACATTCAACATATAAAAGATATTAATGAGAGTTTTATTAGAAGCAATAATAATGGTTCAAATCAATATTTGGTAAGTATGCTCAATATACAGATTTTATGTTCTTAAACATGGGGATAACATTGTCAAAGGAAATAATTTTCTCAGAGATCTTTGAAACACAAGATAATTTAAAAGCTTCAATATTAAGATTAAGATTAGCCCTCAGCAAAGTTTTTGAAACAAGTGAATGAATGAAGATTTCCTTTTTTTTTTTTTTTTTTGAGACAGAGTTTCACTCTTTTTTGCCCAGGCTGGAGTGCAGTGGTGTGATCTTGGCTCACAGCAATCTCTGCTTCCTGGGTTCAAGTGATTCTACTGCCTCAGCATCACGAATAGCTGGGATTATTATATGCATGCGACACCACACCCAGCTAATTTTGTATTTTTAGTAGAGACAGGGTTTCTCCATCTTGGTCAGTCTGGTCTCGAACTCCCGACCTCAGGTGATCCACCCATTTCGGCCTCTCAAAGTGCTGGGATTACAGATGTGAGCCACTACGCCTGGCCAGGGTTTTTTTTAATGCTCCCTATTTTTCATGTATTACCCTTCTCTTACCCTTCTGTTTTCAATATCTCTTTCAAAATGCCTTGTACTAACCAGAATTAAAAGCAAAAATCTTATGATCATCTCAGTAGATCAGAAAAAACATTCAATAAAATCTAGCATCCTTTCATGATAAAAACCCTTAACGAACTATGCATCAAAAGGAATATACCTCAAAATAAGGAGAGCCACCTATGACAAACCCACAGCCAACATCATACTGAATGGGAAAAAGTTGAAAGCATTTAACATTTAAGCTGAGAACCAAATCAAGAACACAATGCCATTTACAGTAGCCACACACACAGAAAGTAAAATGCCTAGGAATACATTTATCCAAGGAAGTGAAAGATCTGTACAAGGAGAACTACAAAACACTGATGAAAGAAATTGTGGATGATATAAACAAATGAAAAAACATTCCTTGCTCATGAATTGGAAGAATCAATATTGTTAAAGTGACCATACTGCCTAAAGTAATCTACAGATGCAATGCAATTCCTGGCAAATTACCAATGTCATTTTTCACAGAATTAGAAAAAACAATCCTAAAGTTCGTATGGAATCAAGAAAGAGCCCGAATAGCCAAAGCAGTCCTAAGCAAAAGGAACAAAGCTGGAGCCCTCACATTACGACTTCAAACTTTACTACAAGGCTATAGTAACTAAAAGAGAATAGTACTGGTACAAAAATAGGATCAGATCAATGTAACAGAGTAGAGAACCCAGCAATAAAGCCATGTGCCTGCAACCAACTGATCTTTGATAAAGTTGAGAAAAATAAACAATGAAGAAAAGACACTGTATTCAATAAATGTTGCTAGGAAAATTGGCTAGCCATATACAGAAAAATGAAACTGAACCCGTATCTCTCACTTTATACAAAAATTAAGTTGGATTAAAGACTTAAATGTAAAACCTGATACTATAAAAATTATAGAAGAAAACCCAGGAAAAGCTCTTCTGGACACTGGCCTAGGCAAAGAATTTATGACTAAGTCATCAAAAGCATATGTAACAAAAAGAAAAATAGACAAATAGGATTTCATCAAACTTAAAATGCTTCTGCACGACAAACGAAATAACCAACAGAGGTAAAAGACAATTTACAGAATGTGAGAAATTATTAGCAAATTATGCCACCAACAAAGGACTAACATCCAGAATCTACAAGGAACTCAACAAGAAAAACAACCCCATTGCAAAGTGGATAAAGGACATACAAGCAGCCAAGAAACATGAAAAAATGCTCAACATTAGTAATCATCAAAGAAATACAAACTAAAACCACAATAAGACATCATCTCACACCATTTAGAATGGCTACTATTAAAAAATAAAAAAAACAGGTGTTGGCAAGTATGCAGAGAAAAGGGAACACAAACACTGTTGGTGGGAATGTAAATTAGTACAACCTCTGTGCAAAACAGTGTGGAGATGTCTCAAAGAACTAAAAATGGAATTATTTAATTCAGCAATCCCACTACTGTTTATCTACTTAGAAGAAATCATTATACAAAAAAAGACACATGCTCTTGAATGTTTATTGCAACACTATTCACGATAGCAAAGGCATGGAATCAACCTAAGTGTCCATCAACAGTTGCATGGATAAATGAAACTGAATACAATTTGGTCATAAAAAAGAATAAAATGTTCGGGGCCGAGGCAGGCGGATCACTTGAGGTCAGGAGTTCAAGACCAGCCTGGCCAACATGGTGAAACTCCGTCTATACCAAAAATACAAAAATTAGCCGGGCGTGGTGATGCATGCCTGTAGTACCAGCTACTCAGAAGGGTGAGGCACAAGAATCGCTTGGGCTTGAGCCTGGGAGACCGAGGTTGCAATGAGCCAAGATCGTGCCACTGCACTCCAGCCTGGGCGACAGGGCTAGACCCTGTCTCAAAAAAAAAAAAAAAAAAAAAAAAAGAAAAGAAAAGAAATACTGTCTTTTGCAGAAACACATATAGAACTGGAGGCCTATAGGTAATTATCCTCAGTGAAATAACTCAGAAACAGAAAATCAAATACCACATGTTCTTGCTTGTAAGTGGGAGCTAAATGATGAGTACACATAGACATAAAGATTGAATTCATAGACAATGGGACTTCAAAAGGGTGTAGAAGGAGAGGGGAATGAGGGTTGAAAAATTATCTGCTGGATACATTGTTTATTATTTGGGTGATGGGTACACTAGAAGCCCAAACCTCACCATTACACAATGTATGCATGTAACAAATCTGCACATATGGTCTCTGAATCTAAAATTATATTAAAAAAAATAGCCAGGCGTGGTGGCATGCACCTGTCATCCCAGCTACTTGGGAGGCTGAAGCAGGAGGATCACTGGAGCCCAGCAGTTCCAAGCTGCAGTGAGCCCTGATTGCACCACTACACTCCAGCCTGGGCAACAGAGTGAGACTCTGTCTCAAAAGAAAAAAATAAAGCCATGCACAATGGCATTCTGTTAATACACGTCTCATAGAGTATAGTGGGATATTTTTCTTATATTTCCTCTGCTTTGTTCTGGTATTAACATAGCCAAAAATTGAATTGACTTGCAATGGACTGAGTGTTTTATGTCTCTCTTGGTTTCATACATTGTAATCCTAACCCCTAAGGTGATGGTATTAGGAGATGGAGCCTTTGGGAGGTGATTAGGTCATGAAGGAAGAGTATTCGTGAATGAGACTAGTGTCCTATAAAAGAGACTGCAAGGGCTGAGCTTCTTGGCTCAATCTCAGCACTTTGGGAAGCTGAGGTGGGGGGATTGCTTGAGGCCAGTAGTTTGAGACCAGCTTGGATAACATAGACTTCATCTCTCCAAAAAAAAGAAAAAAAATTACATGGGCATAGTGGTGTGCACCTGTAGTCCCAGTTACATGGGAGGCTGAGGTGGGAGTGAGGTTACAGTGAGCCATGATCACACCATTGCAGTCCAGCCTGGGCGACAGACCAAGACCGTGTCTTAAAACAACAAGAAAGGCCGGGTGCAGTGGCTCACACCTGTAATCCCAGCACTTTGAGAGGCTGAGGCGGGTGGATCACGAGGTCAGGAGATCGAGACCATCCTGGCTAACACGGTGAAACCCCGTCTCTACTAAAAAATACAAAAATTAGCCGGGTGCGGTGGCGGGCGCCTGTAGTCCCAGCTACTCGGGAGGCTGAGGCAGGAGAATGGCGTGAACCCGGGAGGCGGAGCTTGCAGTGAGCCGAGATCTCGCCACTGCACTCCAGCTTGGGCGAAAGAGCGAGACTCTGTCTCAAAAAAAAAAAAAAAAAAAAAAAAGAAAAAAAACAACAACAAGGAAAAGAAACTCTAGAGATGTCTTGCACCTTCCACCATGTGAGGACACAGCAAGAAAGCACTGCCTGTAAAACAGGAAATGGGCCCTCACCAGATACCAGGTCTGCTGGTACCTTGCTCTTAGACATTTTAGCCTCCAGAACTGTGAGAAACAAATGTCTTGTTAGTCTATAGTATTTTGTTATGTTATAGCAGCTTGAGTGAACTGAGACAATTGTTTTGGTAATCATCATTAACTTGTAGACACCTAAACTTGTTAGGTGATGAGACTGCAGTTTAAGAAACTCATTTGTTTTGCTTAACATACTTAAATAATAGCAGTACCATTAGAACTAAAGTAGACTCTCCTATAAAGAAAACAATCTATATATGTATATTCTGGTTATACTTAATGAATTCAAAGTTTTATATTCATAACTCTTTTCCCATTATTTTAGTGTAATTTCGGCTTATTTTACATCAAAAATCACCTCCATCAAAGCAGAGATCAATGATGGTTAACATGAATATTCTGAAGTTTGTATCTACATCTCTTACACAAATGCATTTCGTTTAAGCTTTCCTGTAATAAAGGTATGTAATAGGTTGGTTTAAATTTGAAAACAGAACCTAACACATAGTGGCAACAATGGAATTACATGAAAAATAATTGCTTAGTACTACCTGGATGAATAGAAAACAGTTGAAATTTGCTGTCTGCTGGAATTAATCTCACTAACTTTAACCTACCTGAGGCTTTCTGCTGCCTACCTCATCCATGGGGATATGTCTTTTTCCTTATTTATGACTTTACTACTCCTAAATTGCCAGGTCATTGCCAATTTGTGTTTAAATATTGCAACGTAATTATGTGTCTTATTATTTTAGTCATCATAATCATATGGTTGTATAACATTATTTTGCTTTTTTCCTTTTTTTAAAATTCAGGTTGTGAATGGGGTTCAGCAAGTATGATGTGTGCCCCATTATCTCTCTTAGAGAAAATTAGAAAATTAAAACAATTTTATGAATATACTTGGTCTCTTTATTTCTTCTTTTTTTTTGCTTGTATCTATGTCTTTCTATAGTTCTTTTGGTCTTCTGAATTAACAACAACTCCTTGAAATATTATCTGTGTTTTATGATTGTGCATAATGTCATATAATTAATATATCATGTATTAAAAATTTTTACTGAAGTATAATTTAGCTACATTAAAGTATGATTGCCACTACCTCTTTATTTAATGACTAATGTATCAGATGGCATCCAGTAATACAATTCTTTCCTATCTTTGATATATCAAGGCTCACATAGAAAATAATGAAATGATAATATTTATGTAGCGCATTGGGGAAAATAGATGTGGGTGTTGCTTTAAACTGAAAGTGAGCAGATGAGAGTGGGGTGGCGGGTGGATGTTCAGCCTGTCCTAGTCCTGTAAGGCTTGCCCAGGCTTGAAGGTATCTTCACAATATACTGTAGCCACAGACAAGGCAGGAAGCTCTATGAATTCAAATAATGTCTTAATACACCTTATGTAACAATGTTTCATTCAGCAAGGGACCACATATATTTAGGTGGTCCCATAAAATATATTGTTTTTTTGTGACAGAGTCCGGCTCTGTTGTTCAGGCTGGAGTGCAGTGGCATCATTATAGCTCACTGCAGCCTTGACCTCCTGGGCTTAAGCCATCCTCCCACCTCAGCCTCCTACTGGGCAGCTGGGACCACAGGTACCTGCCACCATGCCCAACAAATTAAAAAAAAAAAAAAGAAGAAAACATTTGTCGAGGTTGGGTCTCACCATGTTGCTCAGGCTGATCTCTCCTGCCTCAGCCTCCCAAAGTCCTGGGATTACAAGTGTGAGCCACCATGCGCGGCCTATAAGATTATAATAGAACTAAAAAGTTCCTATTGCCTAGTAAAGTTATAGCCATCCTAACATTGTAGCACAAAGCATTACCTTTTCTGTGTTTAGATATGTTTAGATGTACAAACACTTAGCATTGCATTACAGTTGCCTAGAGTATTCAGTAGAGTAATACTGTATAGGTTTGTTGCCTGGAACAATAGGCCCTACCATATAGTCTGTGTGTACAGTCGTCTGTACAGTCTAGATGTAAATACCACCTATCTTGTTTGCACAAAGACAAAATCACCTAACAGTGCATTTCTCAGAACATATCCTTGTCATTAAGCAACACATGACTGTAATTGGATAGATGTAGTTGTTTCAGATGAAAACTCGAGACAGTCTTCTAGAGAATTTGTCTTTATGACTGTGCTAGTCCATTCTTGTGTCACTATAAAGGAATGCCTGAAGCTAGGTAATTTATAAAGAAAAGAGGTTTAGTTGGCTCACCATTCTGCAGGCTGTACGGGAAGCATGATGCTGAATCTACTTCTGGCGAGGCCTCAGGGAGCTTACAATCATGACAGAATGTCAGATGGCGAGAGCAATAGCAAGAGCAAGAGAAGGGGGATGTCTCAGACTTGTAAACAACCAGATCTTGTGTGAACCGAGTGAGAACTCACTTATTACCAAGGGGATGGTGTGAAACCATTTATGAGGGATTCACCCCCATGATCCAGTCACCCCCCAACCAGGTCCCACCTCCAACATTGAGAGTCACATTTTACAGTAAGATTTGGAGGGGCACAAACATCCATAGCAATGATTAATCATAGCTGTATTTTTAATGATGTTTTTAGATAATCCATAAATTATGTGAAATCAAAAATTCA
This sequence comes from Homo sapiens, assembly GCF_000001405.40. Taxonomy (NCBI): domain Eukaryota; kingdom Metazoa; phylum Chordata; class Mammalia; order Primates; family Hominidae; genus Homo; species Homo sapiens. The sequence goes on from NC_000003.12 coordinate 174,525,703, forward strand.
TATAGACAAGTCTTTCAGATGTTTGGATGGATTTTCAACTTTATTCAGATTCTAGCATCTCTTCAACTTGTTATCATAGCAATGCTTTCATTTCTGTACTTAAAAGTGAACAAACAAAACTTTGACTAGTAAGAGATACCATTTTGGGGGGCACCCACTATGTTCTGGTCCCCCATGAGCATTTCTAATCCCCATAATAATGGGGGAGCATGGATTATTGTTCTGATCTTATACAAGAGTAGTCTGAGTTTCATAGATTTTAATTAGTCAAAAAACTAGCTAGTAAGTAGTGGAACTAGTATCTAAATATAGGCTAATCTGATCCTAAAGCCTGAAATAAATGTGTTTGCCATGTCTATAAGGAGGATTTACTGACTTACAGCATTTGTTGAATAATGACTTTTGGGTCCTTAGGTATAAATTTTCAGGTGCTTCTCCCTCACTTACCAGTTGAGGCTTATATTTTTCTGTATTCACCTCCCACTTTCGTTTCATCATCCCTCTTGCCAATGGTGATATTTTGCAGGCATAGTGTAGGGCATACTGGCAATTCAGTGGACTAGCATTTCTGTGTAAACAGTCATGGCTTTGGCCTCATTAGCATTGGGAACCTAGACCACCAGCTTTCGAATTCTAGCTCTGCTACTTACTAGCTGTGTGACTTTGGCATGCTTTACAACCTCTTTATAGCCCGGTTTTCTCATCATGGTATAATGAGAGTAATAATAGTACCTACATTATAAAGAATTGCTTTGACTAGTAAATAGTTAAATAAATGTCTAACACTTTACATATTGCCTGGCATATAATATATATTGACTATTATTTGTGGTAAATGGATCATGATAATTGATGAATCACTTTCATAATTTTTCCATGGGAAAGAATATTAGAGAAGTATTAGTACATTAATTTAAAAAATAGCCAGCTAACTTAATAATTGTATTTGGTAACACTGAAATTGTTTTTCTTTTTCTTTTTTTTTTTTTTTGAGATGGAGTCTCATTCTGTCACCCAGGCTGGAGTGCAGTGGTGTGATCTGTGCTTACTGCACCCTCTGTCACCCCAGATTCAAGTGATTCTCTTGCCTCAACCTCCCGAGTAACTGGGATTACAGGCATGTGCCCCCACACCCAGCTAATTTTTGTATTTTTATTGGAGACGGGATTTTACTATGTTGGCCAGGCTGGTCTCAAACTCCTGACCTTAAGTGATCCATCTGTCTCGCCTCCTGAAGTGCTGGGATTACAGGCATGAGCCACCGTGCCTGGCCTGAAATTTTTTATTAGTAGTTTATCACTAAAATAACTTAGGGTCATACTGCAGCTACTAACATTATCTGTTCACAATTTTGAATGTGTTGTGATATATCTACACAGTAGAGGGTGGAGTGAAAAGTCATAATGTTTAAGTTGTGGTGAAGATGCACTTATTCAATAGTTTGTTCTGCTCTACTTTCTAATGTAGCAAAATATTTGGATTTCTAGGAAAGAGTTAAGAAAACAGACATATATCAGTGATAGAAAAGAAGGTCTTGGCTGGGCGCAGTGGGTCAGGCCTGCAATCCCAGCACTTTGGGAGGCTGAGGCAGGTGGATCACAAGGTCAGGAGTTAGAGAACAGCCTGGCCAACATGGTGAAACTCTGTCTCTACTAAAAATACAAAAATTAGCTAGGTGTGGTGGCACATGACTGTAATCCCAGCTACTCGGGAGGCTGAGGTAGGAGAATCATTTGAATCTGGGAGGCAGAGGTTGCAATGAGCTGAGATTGCGCCATTGCACTCTAGCCTGGGCAACAAGAGTGAAACTCCATCTCAAAAAAAAAAAAAAAGAAAGTCTTTTATTTTTCTTTTTAAGTGTAAGTAAGCTTTTAATTACCCAAATTTGATGTCTAGACTTTTGTCAAAGCCATCTCAATTGCCAAGGAAATTTAATGACAGGGAGCTTAGGAAGAGATTTGTCTAGTTGGGAAAGTCTAAAGAATCTGTCTAATGGAGGCAGAAATTTACATGGATAATATAAAACAATATATTAATAAAACATCCATCACATTTGCTTGAAATTATATTCAAACATAAGTGTTTCTTATGTTCTGGGATTTCAGGGGTTATCTACAAAAATTCTACCTGGCCTTGGTCCCTTTCTTGCTATTTCGTATTGGAAAGGGGATGTATCCCTTTGAAAGTGATGAACTAGACCGGGGCTGGCAAATTATGGTCCCCAGGCCGAATCTGGCTCAACACCAGTTTTGGTTAATAAAGTTTTACTGGAATACAGCCATGCACATTCATTTACATATTGTCAGTAACAGCTTCATATTCCGACAGCAGACTGAATAGTTGCAACAGGTGCCGTGTGGCCAGAAAAGCCAAAAATATTTACTATTAATATATTTTATTATAAAAAGCTTGTGAATCTAAATTCACACATAGGAGCTTTCTTCCACTTTGTGTTATGTACTATCTCTTTTGAGAATATTTTCTCCTCTAGATTTAATCAAAGCAGCAATAGTACTGAATAAAAATGCCTATTGTTTCATATATGTTAGTCTTTTCCATTTCATTTAGATTATAAACTTTCATAGTGTGCATAGCATTATAGGAGTATCCTTCTTATATAAAATATAAAATATTACAAATGTAGTCACCAGGCATAGTGGCTCATACCTGTAAGCCCAGCACTTTGAGAGGCCAAGGCATGTAGATCACCTGAGGTCAGGAGTTTGAGACCAGTCTGGCCAACATGGTGAAACCTAGTCTCTAGTAAAAATACAAAAAACTTGGGTGTGACGGCATGCACTTGTAGTCCCAACTACTCAGGAGGCTGAGGTACAAGAGTTGCTTGAACCTGAGGTGGAGGTTGCAGTGAGCTGAGATAGTGCCACTGCACTCCAGCCTGGGTGTATTAGTTTTCACACTGCTGATAAAGACATTCCTGACACTGCGCAATTTACAAAAGAAAGAGGTTTATTGGACTTACAGTTCCACATGGCTGGCGAGACCTCACAATCAAGGTGGAAGGTGAAAGGCACGTCTCACATGGTGGCAGATAAGAGAAGAGAGCTTGTGCAGAGAAACTCCCATTTTTAAAACCATCATATCTCATGAGAATTATTCACTCTCATGAGAACAGCATGGGAAAGATTTGCCTGCAAGATTAATTACCTCGCACTGGGTCCCTCCCACAATACATAGGAATTCAAGATGACATTTGGGTGGGGACACAGTCAAACCTTATCATTCTGCCCCTGGCCCCTCACAAATCTCACGTCCCCACATTTCAAAAGTAGTCATGCCTTCCCAACAGTCCCCCAAAATCTTAACTCATTTCAGCATTAACTCAAAAGTCCACAGTCCAAAGTCTCATCTGAGACAAGGCTAGTCCCTTCTGCCTTTGTGCCTGTAAAATCAAAAGCAAATTAATTACTTCCTAGATACAATAGGAGTATAAGAATGAGGTAAATACACCTATTCTTAATGGGAGACACTGTCCAAAACAGAGGGGCTACAGGCCCCATGCAAGTCCGAAATCCACTGGGGCAACCAAATTTTAAAGCTCCAAAATGATCTTTGACTCCATGTCTCACATCCAGGTTGCACTGATGCAAGAGGTGGGTTCCCATGGTCTTGGGCTGCTCTGCCCCTGTGGCTCTGCAGGGTAAAGCCTCCTTCCCTGCTGCTTTCATGGACTTGCTGAGTGTCTGCAGCTTTTCCAGTGCAGTGTGCAAGCTGTCAGTGGATCTACCATTCTGAGGTCTGGAGGATGGTGGCCCTCTTCTCACAGCTCCACTAGGTGGTGCCCCTGTGGGGACTCTGTGTGGGGGTTCTGACCGCACGTTTCCCTTTAGCACTGCCCTAGCAGAGGTTCTCCATGAGAGCCCTGCCCCTGCAGCAAACTCTGCCTGAACATCCAGGCATTTTCGAACATCCAGGCATTTTCATACATCCTTTGAAATCTAGGCTGAGGTTCCCACACTGCAGTTCTTGACCTCTGTGCACTGGCAGGCTGACACCATGTGGAAGCTGCCAAGGCTTGAAGCTTGCACCCTCTGAAGCCACAACCCAGGCTCTATGTTGGCCCCTTTCAGCCACGGCTAGAGCAGCAGGGACACGGCATCAAATCCCTAAACTGCACACAGCACAGAGACCCTGGGCCCGGCTCACAAAACCACTTTTTCTTCCCCAACTTCCAGGCCTGTGATGGGAAGGTCTGCTGCAAAGGTCTCTGACCTGCCTTGGAGACATTTTCCCCATTGTCTTGGTGATTAACATTTGGTTCCTCATTACTTAACACAAATTTCTGCAGCCGGCTTGAATTTCTTCTCAGAAAGTGGGATTTTCTTTTCTATCGCATTGTCAGGCTGCAAATGTTCCATACTTTTATGGTTTGTTTCTCTTTTAAAACAGAATGCCTTTAACAACACACAAGTCACCTCTTCAGTGCTTTGCTGCCTAGAAATTTCTTCTACCAGATACTCTAAATTATCTCTCTCAAGTTCAAAGTTCCACAAATCTCTAGGATAGAGGCAAAATGCACCAGTCTCTTTGCTAAAACATACGAAGAGTCACCTTTGCTCCAGTTCCCAACAAGTTCCTCTTCTCCATCTGAGAACACCTTAGCCTGGATTTCATTGTCTATATCATTATCAGCATTTTGGTCAAAGCCATTCAAGTCTCTAGGGAGCTCCCAACTTTCCCAAATTTTCCTATCTTCTTCTGAACCCTGCAAACTGTTCCAACCGCTTCCACATTTTCGGATATCTTTTCAGCAGCACCCCACTCTGCTAGTACGAATTTACTGTGTTAGTCCGTTTTCATGCTGCTGATAAAGACATACTCGAGACTGGGCAATTTACAAAAGAAAGAGGTTTATTGGACTTACAGTTCCACCTGGCTGGGGAGGCCTCACAATCACAGCAGAAGGTGAAAGGCATGTCTCATATGGCAGCAGATAAGAGAAGAGAGCTTGTGTAGGGAAACTCCCAATTTTAAAACCATCAGATCTCATGAGACTTATTCACCCACTGAATGGGTGAATACTTACCCCCCACCGGGTCCCTCCCACAACACGTGGGAATTCAAGTTGAGATATGGGTGGGGACACAGCCAAACTATATCACTGGGTGACAAAGGAGACTCCATCTCAAAACAAAACGAAAAACCTACACACACAGAAAGTAGGAAGTGTGACTTAAAATATTGAAAGGAACAATAATTCATCTCTTGTATGATCAGTTTATTTTGTGAAACTATGAACAAATTTGTTGAAGCAATTTATTGAGGTAAAGCACACTGACCTACAGTTCATATGACTTCTGAAGAAGACAAATACAGTCTTAAAGCATTAGGACAAATATACAAGCTATAATGAACATCATCTAGTTAGCCCAAATTTAGTGTAATTAAAAAGCCTAGTTATTGATACTGACATTTTCATTTATTTGGCCCCGTGTTTCTATGCATGGTGTATGTTTCTATTTCTTTTATTTTTAATCAACTTTTATCACATTTTCTTTCACATTTGCTCATTTTTAGTCCTTTTAGTCATTATTTCCATGGCTCTGCATTTTTTTTTTTATTCTTTTGGTTCTGTCTTAGCTTGGAGTCAAAAATTGAGATCAGCACTCAAGTAGAGCACTCATCGGTGCAAGAGTGATAGTGGGATTACCTTTTAACTCATGTAATCTTGTGAAGAGGCACTGTGCATCATCATTATCATCAGCAAATAAAATCCACGTAAAGGCCATCTCTCCAAAGTCTGCTTTCTCTTTTTAAAACTAAATTTGAATAAACATTGTGGGTAGAATTTATCAGGAGCAAAGTTCACTGAGAGTCAATCTTTTGTGAGGATTTTCGAACTTTCTATCATTCATTTACAGGTAAGTGTAGTTTACCTGCTCTGGGGAAATGATGTTTATTATTTAAAAATCAGAAATGAAAGAAGAAACCCCAAAGTAAGATGATTTATTTGCTTTTTGGTAAACTCGATTCTGTTTTGTAACATTTGAAACATGGATTTTATGAGTGAGTCTATTAAAATGTATACTCCCTCTAGTGTGTGTTAATCATTATTTCTCTGCTGGGCCTACGGATTACCTGTCTGCATTGTAATGCAACATTCCTTAATATTTACAATAGAAATACCAGTGGTTCATAAGACATCTCATATTTCTGTGAACAAAATGAGATTTACAAGAAATAAGGACTTGTCTGTAGAAATACATTTCAAAATATTAAAGTCCTCATAAAAATTCCTAGATTTATTTAAATCAGTATTGATTTAGACTAATGAAATAAAATATCTGACCCCAGTGATTGTACTTTGATGCTCCAAAAGGTAGATGAAATCATTGCAAGTACAGTTTTAGTATAAATATAAACAGAGCAAAAAATAGGTACTTCATTTATAATTGTGTTCAATGCATCAGACATTTATTAAGTCTCTACTTTGTGAAGGTCCTTTTCAGTTTCTGGGGGAAGGAGAAGGGGAAGGGATGTAGAGATGAAGTCAGATCCCTGTCCTTGGGTGAGGAGGACTGAGACAGACATGAGCACCTGTAACTATTTTTTTAGAGTGTGAAGATCCATTACTATAACATAAAAGCAGTAAGTGATCCCGAAATAAGGAGATGATGCCAAACCAAACTCAGGCCATGAGATTTCTAGCTCTGCCAAGTTCTTATCACTATTGAGAGGTCAGTCTTATAAATATTTGAGTAGAGAAGGAAAGGGGGAGGGTATGGAAATTGCCTAAATTTAGGAGTAAGAGGGACAAAGGCCCTTTTAGGAGGAACTGTCCTACTGGAGTCAAATTTAATCATTGAATCCTATATGGAACTCAGAGTACTGTTCAAAGAGTACTGTTCTTGGGTGCTTATAGAATAGTGAGGGAGAAAAAAATATAACTGGTTTCCCAAGCTACACTGAAGGAAAATTCGGTTGAGCCCCTGTTTCACTACCTGATCTATTCTGGATGGAATGTGCTCTAAGAATTTCCACGTTTCTTTTTTTCAGCATCCTTTTCTTTACTGAACGTTCTTAGCTTCAGCCTTTCTACTCACTTCTCAACTTCACCAAACTGTATCCCCTGTTGACTTTTGCAGGAAATCTATCACATTAAGTTATATATTTATTGAGGATTTGGAGGGTCATGGCTGTGGGATATGATGAGGTTTCTCTTTAAATAACCTGATCAATCTTTTATTCTTTAATTCATAGTACCCCCCTCCTTTTCTCCTTTTCTCCTTTTTGCCTTTGTTAGATGCCAGGCATGCCACAGTACCAGGTATAATCAGTACCAGCTCACATTCCTTTCCTTATTTGGAAAGAGGACTAACTTTCTAGCTCATTACAGACACCCCTTACCCTTTCCTCTCCACTTTCTTTTACGTGCCCACCTTATCTAAAAAAAGCAAATGTTTAGCCAACCGGGATTAGTTTAGGTTGTATGACCCAACCCCAGCCAATGGGGAAGGGGTACAGGGGCAGGACTTGCGTCAGGAATAAAGGCTCTCGTGCCCCCTTGTTCAGGTGTGCTCTCATGGCGACTGGCCAAGGAGGCACCCCTCTGCATAGAAGTAAAATTGTTTGCTAAGAATCCTTTGTTCGAGTGTTCAATTTCCTTGGGAATTTTGAGCATTATTCCTAACATAGGAAAAGAGATCATACCATTGAGCCCTCTTATCAGCCTCAACTCCTGTTTTCTCTTCTCTGTTAATCTCTATTGGCTCTCAAAAGCTACAGCTCCTAATACATGTTGCTCTCTGACTCACCTAACAAATCCCATCCAGCAAGGGTAGTCTAGTCTTCTTCTCCACAAAAATGCTGGTGAATATTTCTGAAATTATTCTTATTGTTAAATAAACAATACAGGAACCACAGAGGAGGTGGAGAGAGGAAGAAGCAACACAAAGGAAATTAGTTGGAAAAAAAAAAAAAAACCCACAGATTTAAAGTGTCTAATTGGAGCATAGCGATTACAGTGTATGTCACTTAAAGCTCCATAATAGATCTTACAGCAAAATTCTGATTAATCTCATTCCAACTGTGTAGTTGACAATAAAGCATCATTCCAAAGTATCCTCATTATTTCCTGGTCCAGGAAAGTATTGCTTAAAGAAAAGAGAGGACATTTCAGAAACAAAACTGTAGTCTTGACATTTGAGAATAAGACATACAACTGGCAAGAAATGCAAGCTATCTATAGAATCAATTAAAAACAAGATTATTAGGAAGTCATGCAATTGTTGTGGTTGGATATTAAAAAACTCATTTTTCTCTACTTTATAAACATGACAATAATTTTTTAAAAAGCAAATGCACATATTTATATATGTGGGAGGTAGAAAATATATTTTAATATTGCACATTATGTGTATATAAAAATTGGAACAAATTAGTACTTACAAAAAAGTATTTAAAGGGCAGAATCTACTATTACATTTCTTATGTCTGTGTACATACTACACAATATTTCTTAGTAAAATGTGCTATGAAACCATTTAAATAAAACTAGGACATTGTTTAATATCTAAGGAAAAGTAACACATTTTTACCAGATGGTTTAATTCATAAATATTTCACAATATAAACAAAAAAAATGTTTAACCTAAAGTTAGTCTTGGGATCTAGTCCATTTTTTCATTTGTTTGGAATGCTATTTAAATTCAAAATGCTTTGATGTTACCTGAATTTATTTTACATAATTCCAGATATTGGGCAAATTATTTGAGCAGCTGAATGACATTATCACAGATTCTGTTTCTATCATTCTTCTCTGCCATCCTCACGATGTTGGCTTTGGCCTTAGACTAACTTCCTCCCTGCTCCCAAGATGTCCAGAGCAGTCCTAGCCATCACATCTGTATACAACAACAGGAAACAAAGGATTTTTTCAGAAGGGTGGAAAACTTAGAAGCCCCAAGAACACCTTTCCTACCATCTGACTGGCTAGCTATGGCTAACATATATACCCCTAAATCAATCCCTGGCAAAAGTAATGGCGCCATTATGTTTGAGTCTAATCAGGATCGTCTTAAACCTGTGCATACAGTCACCCTCTCCAGAGTTGCTTGGAAAGAAAAAAGACATGGAAGGTGAATCGGTCTTGTAAAGAAGAGAAAAAAAGTGATTTGTTTGGGAAGCCGACAGTGTTTTTTGGAGAAAAATTGTATCAGACTTTAGGCCAGTGGTTCTCAATCTTAGCTGCACATTAGAATCATCTGAGGAATGTTAAAAAATATATTGATTTAACTGGTCTGGAGTTACACTATAGCTATTGGCAATAAACACATCCTTCTGGTAATTTTAATATGTAAGTTTGAGAGCTACTGCTCTAGGTAAATTAAAAATAGAATAAAGAGACAAAAACCTTCATCAATCTGCACACATTTAGCTTCTCAAGCAGTTTTGTTTATGAGCTCTACTGAACATTACCTGAAAATTAACCATTGACTAGCAGGGCAGAATTTCCAACACAAGATCTTAGACCACAGTTAATTTGCCAGACTGAAATGGTGCTCACTGCCATATTCATGGTACTTATTACAACAATGTATGACAGTAGGGTACTTAAAGTACCCAGATGACTTTTATGGTCAACCTGAGTTCTAGTTTTATGTAAATATAGGAATACAGTATTAGTCCCATTTTTGTGAGAAAAACTGATTTGCAAAGTGGCTCTTAGTGGAAGAGACAGAACCAAAGCTAATAGTATTATCCTAACAGACAGGGTTCCCTCATTCTACTGTTGTTAGTAATTTTGTTATTGTATTTGAGAAATATCATTTGTTTTGGCTAAAGCAAAGCTTTATAATAGCTACTATTTATTGACAATTTGCTATGAACCGGGAGCCGTACTAGGTGATTTATTCCTGCCCCAACTTTTATTTTATCCTCATGACACTCTTATAAAGTAAATATTACTTTACAGATAAGGAAATTGGAACCCAGAGAGTTCATTATTCCTCCAGTGTCTCTTATTAGTTCATTTCTCTGGGATCTGTATATGCCCATAATGCTGTGGGTTACATTGCCATATATAATTTGTTGAGTTTATCAGTTCAACAAATACCTATTGGTTGACTTATAGCTGATAGGTGCTGGGCTAGGCTCTGGATTGGATTGCATTTTCCCTCTACATTATAATTTACTTTTTTTTTCTTTCTTTAAGAAGTAGGTTTACAGCAGTTGATTTGCAGTTGCACCAAACACTTAACATCTGATCAAAGAACGATTGAATGAAAAAATGAATTCAATATTTAGATTGTGATAGTTTGTAGTTGCTCATATTACAAAGACTAATGAAATTTTACCTTGCCAACAATTTGCTATTCCTTAGGAACATCAAATATAAAAATAAAAACATTTTTAAAATGCAGCTTAAAGTATACTCCCAGATAGTTTCAAGCAAATACTGAGTTTCTAGTATGTATGTCTTGAGTTGTTCTGACACTCCATATTACTGTTTTTAATAAAAACAGCATTCTTATTGAGAACAGATAATTGGTCTGAACAGCTGACATTTATTTAGATACTTGATTTAGAATGTTTTCTACTGATTGAAAGATAAGGGGAAAATAAACTGGGCCATGGCTATTCAGGACTGGCTAGTTTAGTTTTTCATAGAGATAACATTTTCCAAATTACTGAGATACGATATTGAAAATGAAGGGCAACCTTCTTGTTGGGTGAAAGTGTTAGAATAGCCCTAATGCAGAATCTCATTAAAGCAACTGTCAAGATTCCTCTATTTTGCCATCACCTCCCCTATTCTGTAAGAAGCAACTGTCGTTTTGAGTGAGTGTACTGCCAAAGAGGCATTTACAAATAAATGAAAAAAGTCACAATTGATTTCACTCCTTTTAGAATACTGTGTGTCAGCTTTGTCACAAACTGTCTTTGCTACTCTCTGTTTTAGATCTCCCAGCTGGACGTTCAAAATAGCTTTTGATGTCTTAGGGCGTCTTTTATTCAACCCTAGGTAAGCCCTCTATTGGTGACCTTTTATAAATATTTGTAAAGCTGTTTGAAGTGTTAGAGAAAATGAAAACCCTTTCTCTCTGTAACTGCTGTTTTTGTAAAATAGCATCCAGATGTCAATTGTTTACATACATATTTTGTCACCTGGGGGAATTGTTTCCATTACAAAACATTGTAAAATTTTATAATAATATTTCACATTCTCTTCCCCAATACAATGGTTTGTTATTATGCTTAATTTAACAATAATGCAAATAACAATATTACTTGTAAATAAGACATGGCAAAGTTCTTCCTGTATTTTGAAAGAACTGAACAAGTGTCTAAATTTATCTTGAATAAATAAGTCATATGATTTATATGTAATATCAATGATACACATTCATTGTTGCCATCACTATAAACCAGTCCACCAACACTACTGCCATCATACTAATGTTATTGAAGACTTACACTGAGCCATATGCTTTGCTAAGCAATTCTATGTATTGTAGAAATGTATCACAAGGGTGTTTGAATCCTAAATTAATATGGATTTGGAAAAAAGACAACTAATTAGAAATTGCTAGCAATTGTTTTTTATTATGGATATTAAATTAAAGGGAAGCAAATCTTCATATAATTATACTGTAAGAGATTTTAATCAGTATAATTAATTATAGATCATGCTATCATTTGTGATTATTTAGCTTGCTACCGTTGACTTGAAAGATCATGGAATGGACCAATTAACAATATTCTATTTCTCTTTGAAATAGCGTTTTAAGCAGTTCATTCATTCAACAAATATTTATTGAGCACTATTAAGTGCCAGGTAGTTTACATTGAAGACATGATTGCGAAGAATATGTACCTACTCTTGAGGAGTTTAAAGTCTAGTGAGAGTCAGGAAAACATACAAGTACAACATAGTGTGATAAGTGGAACAATAGCGACAGCATGGAATACAGTACGAGAAATGATGTGGGCACCTAAGCCAGGCTAGGTATGGCTACTCAGGGAGTGATATGGCAGTAGAATGTGGAAGAATAATTAAATTTTGCAGAAAGGGACAGATTGTGAATGTCCTCATAAGCCATATTTAAGAATTCAGATATAATCATGTACAGTGGCAGTTAAACTGGAAAGATTCATATAATATTGTACAAAGTCAGGCTGGTGATATTCTCACAGAGCCATCTGACCATGTTTAATAACTAGGAAAGCAGCCTATTCTTCCTCTTTCACAGCTATATAAATGGAATATATTTCCTAGAATATAAGAGCTTTGTGAGCAAGAACCTGGTCTAATTTCCTTGATTCCCCAGGATCTATTGCAGTACTTTACACAGAGGCTCTTAGTATTTATAGTGTGGAATGATACAGTTAAATGTAGACATCTAGAAAATTGATAGGTTGCCCCAGCAGAGGCTCCCTCAGAGGTTGACTATTTATAACTATATACTCTTTTTATCACTGATCAGTTGTCACAAATGGCAAAATTCCTTTCCACATCTCCTTTTTACTTTTAGATTCACAATGAGAGTCTTGTAAACCAAAAATAAAATTCTAAGTCCCCAGCCAATTGAATGGGCCCCTCCTGTTGGCCCACGGCATTCCTAAGTTAACCGTAAAAATTAGTTCCAGCCAGGATGGGAAGTGGAGGTTGGACCTGCCTCATTATATTATCCAGGTTTTGGAATTTAGGCACAGCTGGCCAGCATTTAACATTCAAGCAGAGAACTCGAGACTGACAATGCAGACTCTTTGTAGCAATAAGATACCAACATGACAGCTGGTCCTAAAAGAAATTGAAGTATTTTACCCAAAATAAATTTACTTGACATATTTTGAAATGACTCTGCAAAGCTGTCCCTAATGGGACAGAAGGGGAAAGGAAAAAAGACCTTCCCTTTCTAGGTGTCTTTCCTGAACGAGGAGAGAATTAACTAAGATTCTGGCATTTTTTTAAGTTGGATAAGAAGCATTTACAATCTATTCTCTCTGAAGCCTGCTACCTGGAGGCTTCATCTGCATAATAAAAACCTTGGTCTCTATAACCCCTTATCTTAATCCAGACCTTCCCTTCTATTGATTCCAGGTCTTTGGATAAACTCTTTCAACCAATTACCAATCAGGAAATCTTTGAATCCATCTTTGACATGGAAGGGCCCATTTTGAGTTGTCCTGCCTTTATGGACTGCACCAATGTACATCTTAGATACATTGATTGATGCCTTATGTCTCCCTAAAATGTATGAAACCAAGCTGGAGCCTGACTACGTTGGGCTCATGACCTTTTGAGGTTGTGTCACAGCCATGTCCTTAACCTTGGCAAAACAAACTTCTAAATTTATTGAGATCTGTCTTAGATACCTTTTTGTTTGCAGTCTTCATCAAAGAAAATCAACATAAAATGCAATTTTTCAAATAAACAATCTAATAATATGTGTCAGTAAAATCTATGTAAACAAACTAAAGAATTGAATAAAACTAAGACTAAGTAAAGACAATAATTTTCAGCAAAAGCAATAACCAGTATGTCCAATATTTATTTAACTCTAGAAAATATATACTCAAATACATTACAAAAGCTTTCTTTTACACACACAGAGATGAAATGATAGCTATCATTAAATTAATCATATATTAGAAGATAATGTACCAAGGAGATAAATTTGATTTGTTTTATAATAAATTGTTCAATGAGGAGCCTTTAAAAATTATGGTACTATAATTCACAAATCACAAAATTATTTATTTTAATAGTATATATCATTTTATAGTGTGGACACTTTTGGTTTAGTTTAACCCAGTGTGGATTCTGTCTTTCTTGCCTTTGTTAAGTTCTTCATTCTAGAGACTTACTTATGACCTGCCTTTCTGGCGTTATTTCTTTAAAATGTGCTATCTTATGGTCACCTTACTGACAGATTTGTCCTTGAAAGCAGTAGAACATTTCTGCGAATTTATTTTTGTTGTGGCCACATCAAATTCTGAAAGGACCGTCAATACTCATCCAAGGCACAGAATAGTATATCAGCTCTCATTTTTTTAAATTGGTCTAAGGATCACAAACTAATAGTTTCAATAAATCCAATAATTTTGGTAGGTCACTTAAAGCATTGTTTTCCAAAATGAAAATTTCTTTAAAAATTAAAAACCTAGCTATATAGAATATTCAAGCAATAAAGAAAACATGAACAAAGATGCCAAGAGACATAGAGCATCTGTCAACCTCAGAGTTACTGATGATTGCCCTGTTGTCCACAGGGTAATTGTAACATTTTGCCAAGAGAGAATTAGGAAGTTCTGGAAAAAAAAAAAAAAAAAAAAAAAAAAAAAAGCTGCCTGATGTTTTGAAACAATGGGCATTTATCTATCTTGCTATCAGTTAAAATACAGGGTAAGAATGGTCAAATATTAAAAAGACTAATGGAGGAGTACAAAAGTGGCAGAAGCAAGTAATAGAACTGGGAAGTGTTGAACCAAAAGTTCACAAAATAGAATTTATTCTAGTAAGAGGGGGAAAAAAAGCAGATGAGGCCAGGTCTGCCAGTAGGATGTGTAAACATCTGTGAGCTAGGCGTCAGTGAAGGGCTGGCTTCTGGCTAGCTTCTTGCTGGGCCAGGTGGTGGTAACTGTATGCAGCAGAGACTCCCTTGTTTTGGGGTCATTTCCTGTGCTTATTCTCTCTGTTGGTTTCCTTCTTTTGCTTCCACCTCCTCATTCTGACAGCACCTGTTCTATAATATTACTTTGGCAGGCAGCCTTAATGTACATTTTAACAAATTCTCTGTGCCAAGTTTTCTCTTTAAGTTACTAAAGGTAATTGTTAAAAAACTTTCAAAGCAAGTGGGATAAAACAAAACTGTGCTATGAAGGCTATAACAGTCAACTATACTACTAGCCGGAAGACTTCTTACGAATTTTACACACTACATTAGAAGCTGGCTTGTTGACAAGAAGAACTTTAATAGTTTTTTATTGTCTCTACAATGGGGCATAAATTTACCTCACTTCATGCTAACATGCCCTATTTGACTTCTGTTTTCCTTTAATAAAGCTATGCAGATTTCCAGGGACTGGGACAAAAGCAGTTGATTTGCATTAGGACAAAGCATTTTCCCAATGATACAATGTGACTCTTGACAACCTGTTGCCTTGGAGACTAAGAACTTTACATGTGAGTTTTCCTAATGATAGGTATTTTTAAATTTATCTATATAAGATTCAGTAGGATTTTCTTATCTTAATAGCTACTGCGCAACTATGTACCTTTTGCCATATGGAGGTAGAAGGGGAGAATTAAAACGCTCCTCAAAACAGGGATGGCACAGTTCCTGTTTGGAACATATTAGATCTACTGGAAGTAAGGTTTTGCATCCAGTAGAAACAGAGCTTTTCTCACATTATTTCCTCTTACCATGTTGCTCTTCTTTAACTCCAAACTCTTAAACTGAATATTTATCCCTGAAATATTAAAATTCAGGTAACATTAATTTCAAAGAAACCTTTTCTGAAGCCCCTTTCTCTCAATACCTATTATGCCACACTTCACATTCAATTTAATTTTAATTGGGAATGAAGTGAGATATGAGTTATCAAGAGAATTTTCTCACAAATTCTGTTAACAGATTTTTTTGATTGCCATATATCTGAATGACGTTTCTAAAAATTTTTACATTCCAATTTATGTTCTTCTAAATTAGAAAATTGGAATGTGTGACAACATAGCTTGATATATGCTAAAAGCACAGGTGTCAGAAAGATGAAAGGTGATGGTTAAATAACATGAAGGTTAATAGTCAAGGAATTTGATAGCTTTATAAGTAACACATATTGAATAAATTGAACGTGGGTTAATCAATCATTCAACATATTCTAAGTGTGTAGTATGTGCATGAAAATACACTGGATGCTATGAAACATTTTTTTAAAAGCAGTTAATCAAAAAGCATTAACTTGGCTCCATTTATGATTTTTATCATTGTGAAATGTAGAATTCAGTATGTTTCTTCCTACACAACTCTTTCCAACTACAGGAAAACAAAATAGGCAGTAAAAAATAAAATAGGCAATGATTAGGTACATACTTAAGTATTTAATATTTGCTAATTGTGAGATAAAGACACTGCTGATGATGCAGGGCAGATGAGCACCAAAATTGGGGCTTAGTCTGGGAGGATTCTTGGCTTCACTCAGGAAACAATTCAAGAGTGAGTCAGTGGTGGAAGAAAGCATGTCCATTGAAGCAGCAGCAGCGTACAGCAGAGTGACTACTTCTTGCAGAGCAGGGCTAACCCATAGGCAGTGTGCCCAAAGTATAGGCTGTGTATAGGCTGTTGGCCAACAATAATTATACCCATTTTTAATTCTGTGCAAATTAAGGGATGGGTTATTCAGAATTCTCTAGAAAAGAAACAGCAACTTCCAGGTGTTGCCGTGGCATTTGTAAACTCTCATGGTGCTGGTGGGAGTGTCTTATGCTGATACACATCAGGGAAACTAGAAATTGCTTTCAGAGCAATTTGCCACTTCTGGCTGTTTTCTTCATTTTATCCTGTCAGGACCAAGAAAGAAGTCCTACTAATCTACCTCATTCACCCCTCAGAGAATATACACTCCTCCTTAAGTTTAAGGGAGTTGCAAAGGGCAGAGGTCTCTCTTCTGTTACTGTTTCCTGCTGATCTTATGGGCATGGACTCTGCTTAGTGTTGGAAGAGCAAACATCTCTGGATGCCTGATCTAAGGGGCCTAAAGGCAAGATGTCTTTATTTCCTGGGTCAGAAGATGGGATGAGTTGGAAGTCTGGTGCCAGCATCTTCTTTATATGGAAACTTTACCATCTGGAAGACACAAACTATAGTGAGAGGTTAAACAAGCAAGGGACAAAAATTAACAGTAACAAGTTAGGTATCAAAGGTCCCAGGAAAGGTAAAAGCCAGATAAGACTTCAGAGGGTGCTTTTGATAGTCAACCAGAAAGTTGGGGTCAATTCCCTGGTTATAGCTATGTAACCAGGTAGCTTGTCAACATACAGATGTTGACATTTCATTTGTAAACTGTCATGGCACTGATGGGAATGTCTTATGCTGATGAACAGCAAGGGCAACTACATATTGCCTTCAGCACCATTTGCTGGCTCTGGCCAGTTTCTTCATTTCATCCTGTTGGGACTGGGAAAGATGTCCTGCTGGTCTCCTGCCTCATTATGAGAATAATTAGAGAAGGGCTAAATATGCGTGCTGTGGAATTTTCAGAGAGGGCATTTTAGAGGTGATATGACTTGAGCTGGACTATGACAGATGGGGAGAATTTGGGTGGCTGAGCAGTAAATAGAAAAATTTGTGGGATTACCCATCAGCATGAACCATAGGGGTGGTACTTTAGCAGGTAACGTCAGGGAGATTGATAGTGCAAGAAGGAGACATTAGTGACTTGAGCAGAGGATTTGTCCTGGAAAGTTATTAGATGTGAGAAGCAGGTACAGCTTTAAACCTAGGCGATGGACTGTTGCAAGTTCTTGAGCTGGAAGTGCCATTATAATAATATCATCTTCTGAGGAATTAACTTGAGCTGGGATTAGAGGCAAGATGATTGGCTAGGGGAGAGTTGTGGGTGTTATGCAGTAGATGAAGTCGGCTGAATGGGAGTGGTAATGGGGGAGTGAATGAAGAAATACAGTCTAAGTAATTAAGCTATATTTCACTGATACTTATTCCTTATTTACAAATATATTACAACAATTAACTCATTCCAGAGACAGTAATTAGCAATCAGGTTAAATTACTTTGATTACCTCTTTTACATTTAATTAACAGCATTTTAAGAAAACTGCTTTCTAAGATGTTTTATAGTCTATGTCGTTTCTTTTTTGCTTTTCCTTTCTTCTTTCCCTCTCCCTCTCCCTACTTCAGCCCATTTACTCTATCCCACTCTTTCCTACCTTCCCTTCTAAAAGGACAAAATTTTAGGGTGTATTTTACTAAAGTAAAATGAATCAAAATAATCATGATTTTATGGAAGTATTATGTAAGCATAATTTAAAAGTCACATAGGCTGGCCAGGTGCTGTGGCTCACACCTGTAATCCCAGCACTTTGGGAGGCCTAGGTGGGTGGATCACTTGAGGCCAGGCGTTTGAGACCAGCCTGGCCAACATGACAAAACCCTGTCTCTACTAAAAATATAAAAATGTGCCGAGCGTGGTGGCGTGCACCTGTAATCCCAGCTACCTGGTTGGCTGAGACATGAGAATCACTAGAGCCCAGGGGGCAGAGGTTGCAGTGAGCTGAGATCATGCCAAAGCACTCCAGCCTGGGTGACAAGAGTGAGACTCTGTCTCCAAAAAAAAAAAAAGAAAAGAAAGGCTTAAAATGAAACAAAACAAAACAAAAAACCCCAGCAACCCTCCAATACTTCTCTCATTCTTCCCACCCCAATCCAGTCCTTCTTCTAAGAGGCAACCATTTCCAACTGTTCCAGTTTTTTCTTTTGATAGCTCTATGCTTATAAAGTTATTTCTTGATTTTTAAATGGTTTATATTACCCACTGACTTCTTGTTTTATTGGTTGAGAATTTGTTTTTCTAGCTCTGACATCCAGCAATCTCAAATATTTTTCCTTCATTTTAATTAGAAGGTTATATCACATGTGTTTGTTAAATTAGTGGTTTTTACATTTATAACTATGTGAATATTTATAATAACTATGTGAATATTGTTTGAACCAAAACATATGATTTTTTTTCTTTCTCATACATTAAAAAAGTCCTAGAATTCTTTCCTTTTTTGTTTAGGTTTTAGTAAATCTTTCACTATTTGCTCCCAAATGTTCCATCACAGATATACTAAATGGCTATCAATAATCTTTTAATTTTCTTTGTTTCCTTTTTTTTTGTTTTCTTTTTTTTTTTTTTTTTTGAGACAGAGTCTCACTCCATTGCCAGGCTGGAGTGCAGTGGTGCAATCTTGGCTCACTCACTGCAACCTCCGTCTCCAGGGTTCCAGCGATTCTCCTGCCTCAGCCTCCCGAGTAGCTGGGATTACAGGCACGCGTCACCACACCCAGCTAATTTTTGTATTTTTAGTAGAGATGGAGTTTCACCGTGTTGGCCAGGAGAGTCTCGATCTCCTGACATTCTTATCTGCCTGCCTCAGCCTCCGAAAGTGCTGGGATTACAGATGTGAGCCACCACACCTAGCCTCAATTTTTATTTATTTATTTATTTGAGACAGAGTCTAGCTCCGTTGCCCAGGCTGAAGTGCAGTGGTATGAACATGGCCCACTGCAGCCTTGATCTCCTAGGCTCAAGTGATCTTCTCACCTCAGCCTCCCATGTTTCCAGGACCACAGGGATGCATCATCATGCCTGACTAATTTTTAAAAAACTTTTTGGAGAGACAAGGTCTTGCCATGTTGTCCAGTCTGGTCTTGAAATCCTGGGCTCAAATGATCCTCGTGTCTTGGCCTCCTAAATGTTGGGATTACAGGCACGAGCCACTGTGCCTTGCCTCAATAACCTTTTTAAATGGTCGAATTCATAAAATAACCCTTTAGCTTCACTAAACTTTTTTGTTTTTGTTTTGGGCCTGATAATGTTCCTGTTGTATCCCTTTATTCTCTTGCATCAATTTTAACTGTCATTTCTAGGCCAGGTAACTGTCGTCCTGGAACTTTTCTTTTACACTTTTATGTATTAGGATTCTGTGTTACCTGCATCCAGTACCTTCCTAGGAAAGGGTGCCTGGGAAAGTTTTTTGACTTCTTACATGCCTGAAATGTCTTTATTCTACTCTCCTGTGTGATTGATCGTTTGATTTAACATAGGCAGCTGCTTCTCAGAACTTCAAAGCCTTTGTTATCTTGTGGTATTTCTTTTGACAAATCGGAGTCCATGCTGATGGTTGGTGCTTCTTTACTCAGAAAATTTTGTGATCACTTTGTTGGATATCTATATGCCTTTTCAAACTGGTCTTTCAGCTTGGTATTTTTTTTGTTTTATTTTTATTGTTACTATTGTGATATTCTTTCCTGTGATTTCTGTCTTCATTTCTGAAACTTCTATTGGAAAAATGCTGGCCATCCTGTACTGATTCTCTGATATTCTCTCTATATCTTGTGATTTCCCATTTCCTTTTGTTTCTGATGAGTTCCTTAGTTTTATTTTTTATTATTTTTTCATAATTTTTAGGAAATCTTTATTCTGTGATTATTCCTATTGTATGGTATTCTGTTTTTGTTTTATTAATTATATATTTTATATATTTATATTTTGTTGAAATCTTACTCTCTGCATTGTCTCTGTTTCTTCCTGTTTTCCTTTTTTTCTGCTTGTTTTTTTTGGTCTTTTTCATGTTGAGGCATTTCTCATGTATTTAATAATTGTTAAATACTAATTTTAAGAATGAAACACTAAGAGTTGATAACTATATGCTACCTGTTAGGTAGGATTTGTTTTTTGGTGGGTTTCACTATGAAATGATGAGGAGAGGCCTTTCCATTTTTAGTTATCTGGTGATATTTTCTCAAGGGGTAGAAGGAATTGATTGAAGGTAGATCTGGGACAGGAAGAGTATGAAATTCCCACAAGTCAGTATGTAAACTTTACCTAATTCCCTTGTTTTAACTTTGCACTTGGTATTCCCAAGTTTGAGATATTCTGGTTCAGCCTTTCTAGGACATGTACCTCTGCTCTTTTGTTTGGAGGAGGTGAGAAGAGGGACCAGTCTTCTGGTTCTACAGTCAGAGAAGAAGACCTTATTCAGACATTCAAGGAGTCCTATTCTTAACTGCTGCAGTTTTCCCTTGATTTTCATAATACCTGGTAATGCCACTTGCTGAACCCCCCCAGGGGTTCTGTGATACAAACTGACATTTCTTATTGATGGCTTCCTCTGCAGACTCTTACGTTGTACCATGTGCTCTGCTAATTCAGATACACTTCTTTTACCCTTTTTCTGTCTTGTGACAGGTGTTTTTTGTTGTTTGTTTTTATTTTTGTTTTGTTTTGTAGACAGAGTTTTGCTCTGTTGTTCATGCTTGAGCGCAGTGGAGCGATCTTGGCTTACTACATCCTCGACCTCCTAGGCTCAAGCAATCCTCCCGCCTCAGCCTCTGGAGTAGCTGAGACTACAGGTGTGTGCCAACACACCTGGCAAATTTTTAAATTTTTTGTTGAGATGGGGTTTCACTATGTTGTCTAGGTTGGTTTACAGGTATGTAAATCTCTTGAATATTGTATCTTGTTTCCTGTTCTCTTTGCCTTCATGTGTAGTACTTTTTTTGAAATTTCCCAGTTCTTATTTTAGTTGGATTTGGGGATGGAGAAGAGGTAAAGATGTATTTAACTAGAAATTAACTCTTTATTTTCAAAGAGAAGAGTAAGGCATTATATTATTCATTAGATTGATTAGTTTTTGTTGGTTCACAAACTTAATTTTATAATGTGGGACTCAAAAGTGTATATTTTCTTTCTATAAGTTTTCTCTAGATCATGTTGGCCCAATTAGAATAGCAGTAACATAATCATGAAATGATAATAAGCATAAATGAGTACCAACTATGTGGCATTCACTGTCACATAAATTGTCCTGCATATACACTCTGATTAGCAGTAGTGACAAGTAGATTTTTAAGGGGAATGAAGAGGCAGTTTCTGGGTTGATTACCAGTAATTTACATTAAAATAATATAAGGTATTGATTGCTTATACATTGTTAAGCTCTAGGATGTGGATTATAGTGTCCTGTGTGGGATTAGTAGGTTAATTTATAGCTACTTGTGGCAATAGCAAGAAGTTTCAAGAGATGAAGGTGGTGAGCAGGACATGATTACTCTCTCATTTCAATGCCTCTTTGGGCCTAATAATGTGAATCCCAATAATAAGGAATAATAATAATAATGTGAATCCTAATAATAAGGATTCACATTCTACACATAAAAGTCATTTTCCTTTCTCAGCATTCTGTTTTATTCCTTAGGTCCATATGACCAAATCCTACATTCTTCCTAAGATATCATTTTTCTATATATATTTTTATCTTTGTTTTATCCTCCTAGAGCAATAGTTCTGAGTCAAGTGACATTGGGACATAGTTTGGTGAGAAGAGTTATAGCTCTTTAAACTTCAGATTAAAGAAAAGTTAACATAATTGTGAGCATATTTTGATGTGTTCTCTGAAGCCTTTCAACTTATGGCATTTCACAAAATGTTGAAATAGTAAATTACAAAAGAATTAAAATGTTTCACCAATTTGTACCTCATTGATGTCATCATGTTCTTGCAGCATAAAGCTAGAGGTGAAAAGGAACCACCTTTATAAATTGCTGAATGAAATGTAAATATGTGCAATCTTTTTGGAAAGCAATTTGGAGTATGTATCAACAGCTTTTAAAAAGTTCCTGCCTTCTGATCTAGACATCTAATTTTAGAGTTCTCTCCAAAGAAGGAAACCAGATGTTAAAACCACATTTAGTTCATTACGAACTGTGTAAACATAAAATTGGAAACAGCCTAAATTCATACAGTCGGAGAACTTTAAATAAATTTTGGTGAAACTGTATGATGGAGTATTATATAGCTCTTAAACATTATGTTTTTAAAGGGTACATAACACACCATATGGAATTTCTGATGTGTTAAGTGAAAAAACAGAATGCAGAATTGGACTCACAGTACAGTATAAAGTGGGTTCAAATTAATGTACATATGCACAGAAAAAAAACTAGAAAAAAATAAACCAAGCTGCAGATAGTTTTGTCTCTGCATTATTGAATTATAGACAATTTAAATGTTCTCACTAATGCTTATCTACAATTTCTAGATTTTCTAAAGTATGTATTACTTTAAAAATACAAAAAGCATATGGTCTTTAAAAACAGACAGAAAAACAGAAAAAAAAATCTCATCAGTTTGCTGGTGACAATAAGTAAGGCTAAGTGTTGTTTGGTTCTTCCCTACCTTCATATCATCATCTGTGAACGGTGCTAACAGGATAGAATTGCTCTGTTTACTGCACTGGATTGTTATTAACAATTTTCTAATTTAGGAAAAGGCACTGACTCCTATCATTTTTATTGCCTCCTTTCTTCAGTTACCTGAGTCGACTCTCCCATCTTCTATACCTTAAACACGACTATGAACTGTCATATGATTTAAGTTGCTAATATATATTTTATTATTATTATTATTTGAAACAAGATCTCACTCTGTTGCCCAAGCTAGAGTGCAGTGGCACGATCACAGCTCACTGCAGCCCCAATCTCTCTGGGCTCAGCTGATCCTTCCACCTCAGCCTCCCGAGTAGCTGGGATTACAGTCATGCAGCACCATGCCCGGCTAATTTGTGTATTTTTTGTAGAGACAGGGTTTCAACATGTTGCCCAGTGGGGCCTCCAATGCCTGGGCTCAAATGTTTCACCTGCTTTAGCCTGTCAAAGTGCTAGGATTACAGGTGTGAGCCACCACGTCTGGCTTGCTAATGCATGTTTTAAACTTATGTATTTTTATTTACAATGCAACTTTAAAGAAAATGGAACTGTTTTCTGACATGTTTTTAAAACATTTGTTAAAGGTTTCCTAGTACTACAGAGCAGATCTGACATATATTAAGAGCTGGAGTAGCTGAGATGGAGTTGTTATAAGATATGTGAAATCACTTAGAAAATAAAATCAAATGCAGATAGTTTAGCAGGATGACCAAGCCAGATGTAGACTCCTTGGCCTATGGCAAAGTTCTGTGCCAATGATTTTATCTGGAGTCTGGGAACTGATAGCTTGATATAAAATCACCTGGTGTCAATTAAATATGCAAATCTATCCTTTTTAATAAATAGAATGAATCTTTCTCATTTGTTTATTCAATAATTGTAACTTACTATGTCAGATACTAAATTAACATCCTTAGGGAGGTCACAATCTAGGAGGAACATGGGCAAACAGTTACTTATTTTATGGCATACACTAACTCTGAAAGTTCAGTAATGATGTTTTAAAATGTTACTTTTTGTGAAGTAAGGGAAAAGCAATTTTAGGTAATCATTGGCTTTTAAAAACCGAAATGTCATTGACAACCGGGATTAGAATAGAAGTATCCCCAAACTGGAGGAATCCCCTCCCCATCCAGGTCACATAGCCAATCTCTCAGGAACCCCTCTTACTGCAAAACCCAGCCTCTACTCAAACAGTTCCGGTGATGGGGAGCATTTATTCCATAACAGTGGTTTTTTGTTTTTTTTTTCCAATGTCTCTTTTAAAGAAAAAAATACTTTCTTTGGGTCTAAATTGTGAAAATACCCAAAACATTTGATAGAAATTGAACTCTGTCAACAGTGTTATTTATACTAAGATCAGGACAATTTCTTGAGATCATATTGTTTTATTACTAAGTTTGGCCTTTGTTTTACAAATGTAATGTTCATATTTATTTGAATTTTCAGATTGGTTAAATGTTAATGAAAAGCAATCCAATTGTTAATTTTTAGTAGTGCCTTTTCTGTGTATACCTTAATTTTATTTTATATTAATAATTCAAGTTATGCACCAAAATGAAGATTTTTTCCAAAATAAAAATAAAAAAGGTTTCCTAGTGACAAATGTTATATATGAGAAAAGTTAGAGGTGTGTAACTGGGTTTTATGAATAAAAAATATGGGGAAAAATCATCCTGATTACCTGTAATTAATATTGGTATAGTATCTAGACTTTTTTTAAGTAAAGTCATTTTTATGTAACTTAATTACTAATTACAGTGATTTTAACATAGTTAAAAGATTCTGCAACATAATTATTCTGCAACGTAGTTAAAAGAGGTGATTAAATTAAAGCCACAGACTTGTTTTCTTTAGGCTAGAATATTTCACCTTTGTTAAATAAGCAATTTTTTTTCCTTTTTTGTTTTTTAGGAGGCTGAGGGAAGAAAAGAATAATTTAAATGAAATTTAGTTTCTATAAAGAAAACGATTAAAAACAAGGTAGGTTTTTATCTTAGATATTTTATCCAGGATAAAGGCAGAGATTCAACCAAGTCTTTAATTATAATTAGTTATAGGAAATGTTTAAAGTATGCTTACAATATGTGCAACTGAGTATTCTGTTTCAGAAAGGAAAGTTTATTGAGTTGTTTATCTTTTGGGGGCAGTTGTTTACTTATTTTCCTTTTAAAATAAATAATCTAATAATTTTATAGCATTTTAAATAATCATAAAATGTATGTGATAAAGTGACTGCTATATGTTCTCTATATTTTTATCTATTAACTATGGATTGCTTCTAAAAACATGCCTTGAATAGTAAAGGATTCCATAGTGTATGTGCATTTTATTTTATTTTATTTTATTATTATTATACTTTAAGTTTTAGGGTACATGTGCACAATGTGCAGGGTAGTTACATATGTATACATGTGCCATGCTGGTGTGCTGCACCCATTAACTCGTCATTTAGCATCAGGTATATCTTCTAAAGCTATCCCTGTGCATTTTAAACATTATATGCTTTCTTTGTTTTTGATGAGATAGCAGTCTAAATTTTTTCACTCTGCTCTTGTGTTTAAATGCAAATAAGTTCATTCAGTTTTCTGTTGGTGCTTTATTTGATACTACCAAGTTTTTGTTTGCTAATGTAGCACATATAAGGCATCCCCTGTAAAAACATCCCCCAAGCTACTCTATGGTTAGTGTATGGCTAATATATTACCAGATATTGTGGACTTTGTACATATTCCTCACATAAGTTATTCAGATAATTGTTTATATTAGAAAAATGTTATTTATTTAAACCCATCACATCATTTTAAATAAAATGGTTCATGAGAAAGAGCTGGATATAGTTGTTAGAATGTTAGAATCAGGTGTAGCCTTACTAAAAGGCATGTTTCAGACTGACAAAAGTCATGTGCTTCTTGAGTGTAGTGGAGGCTAAGAGAGCACATGCTACTGCATCCAGATCAACTGTTAACTACTATATTATTTCGTGATCAGAAAGCAATGTTTTAAGCAGTTTACTAATAACTAATATCCTAATAAGGTAGTTTGCCACTTAAGAGTTTTAATGTGTTTTATGAAATCAATTGCATATTGAGGTTAATGTGTAACACATACTAATATTTTCCATTTAATATAACAGGAAATAGAAAACTGGTTAGCTTTTTCATGCTGAGTTTTATTGATATTCAGTGGAAGATACCTGAAATCTATTTTGAAAGGCTGATGTGGTGGAAGGAACATTGGCTTTGGTATCCACGGTCCTCGGGTCAAATTCTGCCACTGCTACATTTATGTATACTTGGAGAAGTTTCTTAAGTGTTTGAGCTTCAGTTTTTTTCTATGTAGAATGAGAATAATATTCCTCTTTTACAGTTGTTTTGAAGATTCATAAAAATATACATACAACATTCTAGTGCCTTGTGGATACTAATCGTATTAGTGAAGGCTATTATGAATACCAATAATCTATAATAATTAACTATGTAAGACAATAATAATAGCAAATTTTCTATATTGTCTTCCAATCGTTGGAACACTTTCAAATATAACGTATATAATCTTTCCGAAAGCTCAGAGAAGGATCTTATTATTGTTGGCATCTCCTATATACAATTCAGGAAGGTAATGCTCAGGGAGATTAATTGACATGACTAGTAAATGATGAAGTAGAAATGTGAACCTAATTGTCTAGTATTAGAATTTCTGCTCTTTATACAAGAAATATCAGTTTTTCATTAATAGTTTTTAATTTCACATTCTTAATGACAAACATATCTATTTGGCCTAAAATTTTTAGTTAGATTGACAAATAAATTCCTAGAAACCAGGTATTAATTTAGTTTTTACTACAAATCAATAATAGGCCGGGTGTGGTGGCTTATGCCTTTAGTCTCAGCACTTTGGGAGGCTGAGGCAGGCCTATTGCCTGAGTGCAGGAGTTTGAGACCAGCCTGGGAAACATGGCGAAATCCTGTCTCTGCAAAAAAATACCAAAATTAGCTGGATGTGGTGGCACAGGCCTGTAGTCCCAGCTACTCGGAAGGCTGAGGTGGGAGGATCATTTGAGCCCTGAAGGTTGAGGCTGCAGTGAGGTGAGATCGTGCCACTGAGCTCCAGCATGGGCAGCAGAGTGAGACCCTGCCTCAAAAAAAAAAAAAAAAAAAAAAAAAAAAATCAATAATGTATGGAGTTAGCACCGAATAATTCCTTGTAATTGCACAGTGATTTATAGTTTCCTGAGTGTTTTTTAACATGCTTTAATTAGTTGAGGCACCAGTGGGGGCAAGATAGGTGACTATAGACATATGTTACACGTTATAAACTTTAAGTCCAAAGAGGTTGTGTTTTGCTAAAGATGATGAGATTAATAAATGGTGGACTTTTGTGTCTCCACTGTTGTTTTTGACTATGGGTTTTATATATCAGGTTTTACCTAAGTGAACTAAATTCTATTTCATTCAGCACTTATAGGAAAAGTTTTATGTTTAAAAGTAGATGTTGTTGGAAATGCAAAATTAGCAAGACAAATTCCTTGCTTTTATAGATTTTAAACTTGGGAGTAGGAGAGATAAAAATGTATTAAATGGCAAATGTTATAATAATTAGAAGCATAAGTGCAATGACATGTGTAAGAAAGCAAAACCAAACAAATCTGGATTTGTATATTTGGTCAATTAAACTCCTAAAAGGTGTTAATAGTTTATGCGGAAGAAAACTGGAAGTGACCATAGGTTTCTTATAAGCTTAAGCTATGCAAAACTGCATTTTTGTTCTTAAAGGAATTATGGACTATAATGAGTTCTCAACAATGTGCTAAAATTTATTATAAGAAAAAATAATTAAGCAAGATAATGTTGCTTTATATTGATGCTTAATGTAAATGCATGTGCGTTCATTAAATTTAGACAGTGAAAAACTTAGTTCCATGTCTTAATTCATTCCACTTATGTTTAGGTGGGAATTAGATTTAATGAGTTATAATCATCTTTAACATTTGATGTATATATCTTCATCTAGGACACTTAGCTGCATGGTACTTCAAGTAGCACATTAAGAAGAAAAATTCTTCCCTTGATTTCATCTGGGAATGAAAAAATTCTTGAAAAAGTTGAGTATATGTGGTTTGGAGTTAGAGTCGTTTTCCATTTCTTGTGATTAATTCAGGAAATGAACAGTCTGGGCTTTCCATTGTACATTCATTTTAGTAATGGGTAATTTTTTGTTTTACATTTAAAGGTGCTGCTTTCAGATGAGTGTTAGGTAATTCTATCTTGAAGCATAATATAAACTGTTAGCTAAATGTGGTCATTTTAATCTAGCTAATAATGTTCTCCATGTCATAGTTTCTAGGTAAAGTAGAAATTTCTGTTTTAAAGAAGTCAGAACTGACATTGTTGATGAAATTATACAATCGGATGTGACTACTAGCCTTTTGTCTTTGGATAATGCTCACATTATATTTTATAAATATCTTTTAAAATATTTATATTTTGTCTAGAAAACAAAAGAAAAAAATGAAAAATTAACCATTCTTCCACCACCCATTATGTGTACTTAGCCTTTAATAAAAGCTTTATACATAAACAAAATAGTATCATATCTTTAATGGTTTTGTAACTTGATTTTTTAAAGGTAGTAATAGATCATGAATATTTTTCAATATTATTAAATATTCATTTATAACAGTTTAATGGTGAAATTTAATAAATATACTGTGAAATGAATTATACAATTTATCTAAGTGCTTATTGTTGAACATCGACACCCCTTTCTCTTTTTCTTCCCTTCCCTTCTCTTCACTGCCCTCCCCTTCCCTGCCTTTTCTTTACTCTTTCTCCTTCCTTTTCTCCCCTCCTTCCTTTCTTCTTTCCCACCTTTTAATGTTTCCTCCATTGTTAAAATGTGACAGTTTTTAAAAAAAATCTATGAAGCATGTCATTTATTATTCATTTAAAATAATTTCATAGAAATAGTACTGATAAATTAAAAAATATGTACATTTGTGAGGGTGTTTTAAAGTATTGTTGTACTTTTCTCCATAAAAGATTGTACCAGTTCACACTTCTGTATTTATGGTATGCAATTCAAAAAATTTTTTGTAGTCATATATACCAATAATTTTTTTCCTTTATGTTGTAGGGAATTGTCTTAGTAAATTTGGGGCAAAATATTTTAGACTGGGCAATTTATAAACAATCGAAATTTTTACTCACAGTTCTAGAGGCTGGGAAGGTCCAGATCAAGTAGCCAGAAGATTCTGTGTCTTGTGAAGTCCCATTTCTCATAGATGGTGTTCTTCTATGTTTCTTCACATAGTGGAAGGGGCAAACAATCTCCTTTGAGTTTCTTTTTACAAGGGTATAATCCCATTCATTAGGGCTCTGCCCTCATGACCTAGTCACCTACTAAAGGCCCAGCTCTTATTATTGTTGCACTGGAGATTAGCTTTCTACATATGAATTTTGGGAGGACGCAAATATTCAGACCATAGCAGGGAGAAAAAATAGTATCTTTTCCTTACTCATTGCAAGTTTCATGGCTGATACCTCTATAAGGAAACACAGAGCAAAAAGAGAAAAGCATAACAAATTTATTTAATATAAGTTTTATGAGACACTGAAATCTTCAGACAGACCCAAAGCCACGGGGAAATTATTATTATTTTTTTGAGAGAGTCTCACTCTTGTCGCCCAGCCTGGAGTGCAATGGCGCGATCTTGGCCCACTGCAACCTCCGCCTCCTGGATTCAAGCGATTCTCCTGCCTCAGTCTCCCGAGTAGCCGGGATTACAGGCGCCCACCACCACACCCCACTAATTTTTGTATTTTTAGTAGAGAAGGGGTTTCGCCATGTTGGCCAGGCTGATTTCCAACTCCTGACCTCTGGTGGTCCGCCGGCCTTGGCCTCCCAAAGTGCTGGGATTACAGGCATGAGCCTCCGCGCCTGGCCAAAAATTCAGTTTTTTGAACAGTTGTGCAGAAGTATGATTGGAGGACAAAAGGGTGTGATCTGATGGTAATAAACTGGGGAGGAACTGAGCAAGACCTCTTTGTTCAGATTCTTCTTGGCCTTTCTATAAGCCATTCCATCCTTCTGGGTATAGGGGATGACTTCTCTAGAATGAGGATCTTACTACCTACTTTCAGGTCAGATAATTCTTTTACGGCCAGTTCTCAGAGGAAAAGTGTGAGAGGTCATAGTGTGACCTTCCTGTTTCCGCTATTTTCTCAATTTCTGACGTGCTGTATTTGGGGGTTGTGTTTTCCACCACCCCATCGATGTTATTTGCTTTTGGTATATGCTTAGAGAGAAGCCTTATCCTCCGTGTGTGTGTGTGTGTGTGTGTGTGTGTGTGTGTGCGCGCACGTGAGTGTGTTTCTTCTAGTACTATCTATAATGGTTAGAATTCATACATACAGATATAGATGTTGGTGTAAAACCATAACTTTTCTTTTAATATCACACGAATTTAAAGTGCTGGGTGATTACATTCAGTTTAGATGTCAGGAAAAGGAATCTTTGTGTGAACTGAGCCCTAACCTCAAACTGCTCATTATTCTATTCCCTGTCGTGGGCCATGATGGGAAGTGGAATGATTTGCCACCTAAATGAGTTTACTATCTACTCTTGTTTTATCCTTATATGAGTAAAGATCCTGGATATCTAGGAGACTGATGCTGAATTTTTACACATCTTTAGCAAGTATGTGTAGCAGTTCTGTTCTTTTGCCTTAGATTTTCGACGTATTAATCTTTCCCATTTGAATATTTAATATCATCAGAAAAAGAGGTAACTTTTTTTTTTCTTTTGCTTGCTTCCTTTCATTGTGAAAAACATTTTGACGTGTTTCTTAAGAAGAAAAGAATGCATTCTCTTGGTTTAAAAAAAAATAAACAACGTTGGAAAATATTGATCTGGCTTTAAAATCTAGCAGTTGTCCTTCTTAATACACAACTTATAGAATTGTGTATTATTTCCCTCAGGAAATAATTTACATTAAGGAGAGCAAGCTGTGAAGCTCAGTTTTTAAGAATATGTGTTCTTGAAATGCAAAGAGTCAGACATTGGATAATTTTAGTAGATTTTAAAATACATTTTTTTTTTTCTAGAAACAGAGTCTTGCTTTGTCACCCAGGTTGGAGTGCAGTGGCACAATCATGGCTTACTGCAGCCTCAAACTCCTGGGCTCAAGCAATCCTCCCACCTCAGCCTTCTGTGTAGCTAGGACTACAGGTACACATAATCATGCTTCACCAATTTCTTTTTAATGTTTTATAGAGATGCGGTCTCACCATGAATTGTTCAGGCTTGTCTTGATCTCCTTGCTTCAAGCAGTCCTCCCTCCTTGGCCTCCCAAAGTGCTGGGATTACAGGCTTGAGCCACCGTGCCCAGCTACATTTTTACAGAAATATATTTTTATTATATGACAACATGTAATTGCTATACAAAAACAACATTTAAAGCTGTGTATTTTTATATTTGTTAGAATATTAATAATGATTAAAACATGTTACAAATTATGCATTCTGTTTCGGCCTTTTTACTCTAATAATAAAAACTCGATTTTCTTAATCATTGACCTACACGAAATAGTTGACCTACATGCCACAAAAACCTTGACTTAAAAAAATACAACTTTATTTTTAAACTACTATGAATATTATATAGCACTGTGAACATAAAAATTTAGCTGCTTTTTAGTCATTTCATCTCATGAAATATCTTTTGTAAAAACTTTTTTAATATCTCAGGGGTCTGTTACACTTTTGATGTGTTTTATTAATATCATAAATATCTGTTAATATTTGAGGTATCTTTTTAAACTCTGGGGATCATTTTCTTGAATTCTTTTTTTGCAATGGAAAATTTTTAATATAATAGACTCCTTTAAGAGGTACAGCTGTATTAGGATTTCAGTAAATATGCAACTAGTTTTTCTTGTTTGTTAATCTGCTCATGGAGAAATATTTTCATCCAGTTACTACTGTTCCTAGCTGATTTTTAACATCATGAGGTAGTCGTCTGGAGGAGTCTGCACTACTAGAACTGTTTTTTTTTGTTCTTCTTTAAATGTATCTTTGTCAGGAGGGCCCCAATAACACCCCGAAGTTTGATGATTTGCTAGGTGGACTCACCAGACCCAGCATATAGTCATCCTCATGTTATGAGCCATTACAGTGAAAAGAAAGGGTGTATGGGGAAACCAGGCACAAACTTCCAGAGCCTTCTAGCGGAGTCAAACAGGAAGCACTTAATTCCTCCAGCAATGATTTGTGACATCAAATGTGAAATGTTAACCAGTGAAACTTCTTAGAGGCTCTGCACCCAAGATTTTTACTGGGGAGTGGTCAGGGAGGCACCCTCTGCCTGGCATGTACCAAAATTCCAGACTCTCAGAAGAAAAGCAAGTATTCAGCATAAACTATATTGTTTATGCAATCAGTTTAGGCACAGTGAGCCCACTCCTTCAAGTTCTAAGAATAATGGGAACACTTCTGATATCCAAGTTTCCAGATGCCAGTCAAGGGCCAAAGTTGTAAGCAGGCTTTTCAAGGGATAGCAATTAGGCCTGCTGGGTAATTCTTTCCTGCAGTCTCCTAATTTCTACTGCGCTTGTTTCCTCTAGCACAGTGGTCCCCAACCTTTTTGTGACCAGGGACTAGTTTTGTGGAAGACAGTTTTTCCACAGACTGGGTACGGGGGGGATGGTTTTAGGATGATTCAAGTGCATTCCTATTATTATTACATTGTAATATATAATGAAATAATTTTACAACTCATCATAATGTACAATCAGTGGGAGCCCTGAGCTTGTTTTCCTGCAACTAGACGGTCCCATCTGGGGGTGATGGGAGACAATGACAGATTATCAGGCACTAGATTCTCATGAAGGGCACACAATCTAGATCTCTCACATGTGCAGTTCACAATAGGGTTCGTGCTCCCCTGAAAATCTAACGCTGCCGCTGATCTGGCAGGGGGAGAAGCTCAGGCCATAATGCCAGCGATGGGGAGGGGCTGTAAATACAGATGAAGCTTTGCTCACTTAGCTGCTGTTCA
Source organism: Homo sapiens (assembly GCF_000001405.40). NCBI lineage: Eukaryota > Metazoa > Chordata > Mammalia > Primates > Hominidae > Homo > Homo sapiens. The sequence continues at coordinate 174,558,712 of NC_000003.12, forward strand.
CCTCCTGCTGTGTGGCTTTTTCCTAACAGGCCATGGACTGATCCTGGTCCATGGCCTGAGGGTTGGGGATTTCTGCTAGAACGCAATTTCATCAGTTTATCAAACATTTTGCCAACATGTACCTTCCCCAAATTCCTGAAAATTTGTGACTTTTGGAGAATATGCTGAAAGAAGCAGCTGCTTCCCCTCCACTTGCTGCAGTTCTGTATACATGAAAATATGACATAAAATAGAGTTGCCTTTCAAATCTGATCAATTAGAAGTGGCTCCCTGGGACATTCAGTTCAGAATGATTGCTACATAAAGCTTGGGTTCATGTAACCCAAGGGAAAGATTAGTGACTTTTATCTTGGATTTGAAAGTGGCTATGACAGACCATTTGCTTGTTATCCCTGGAAAGGGTGCTAAATCAGATATCAGGAGACCCTGTGTATTTCACGGTGAGCAGGTCTATGCAAACTTAATCCCAAAGAGGAAACTGAGAGGCCAAAGAAAAAGGCTGACAAATCTAGTTTCTCAAACAATTAATAGGGACTTACAAACAGAAGCCATACCTTGGTGTTGGCAAGACAAGATGGTGAATCCCTGCACCATTACCACCCCCTACCCCCACCATACCATTGTGAAAGATTATATATGCTTCAGAAGGAATTTGCAAGACAATTGAAGTAATTTGCTTAAGGGCAGGATTTATGGTAAGTACTGCTCTTAACAGTAGATAAAGTAGAAATTTTAGAGGCATTCCTGAAACTGGGGTTAATCAGAAGTCAGCATGGCAGATTATCGTGCAAGATGGAGTTGCTTTAGCCTCCACGCTGTGCCTTAGTCAGCTTGGGCTGCTATAACAAAATACTATAGACTGGGTGACCTATCAGCAACAGAAATTTATTTCTCACAGTTCTGGAGGCTAGAAGTCTGAAATTAGGTTGCCAGCATAATTAGCTTCTGGTGAGGGCCCTCTTCTTTGTTAAAGACTGACATTTTCTTGTTTTATGCTTGTTGTATGATGGAAAGAAGGCAGGAGGGTCCCTTTTATAAGGGTGGTAATTCCATTTATGAGGGCTCCACCCTTATGTCCTAATTCCCTCCCAAAGGCCCTACCTACTAATACTGTCACATTGAGGATTAAGATTTCAAGGAATGAATTTTGAGGAAGACACAACATTCAATCCATTGCACTACCTTGTAATGCATTGTACACGGAATCAGCTCCGACTCTACCACTGACACGTTGTGTCTTTGAGCAGATCATTTTTACCTTTCCAAAATTGAGTTTTCTTCTTTCTTACATCTTAAATAGGAAGATGTACTATATAATTTCAGAAATAATTTTTAATTATCTAGTTATTAGAATTTTAAGTTTTAGATAGATGTTTCCTGGTCTGTGTGGATCAATGAGGTTCTTTTTAATTACTTTTGTCTCTAGCCTTCAACAGTGATACATTATAGATGAGATGTAGAGACTGTTACTGCCCTTAGGATACTTACCTTTTGATTTTTCCTGCTTTTACAATGTTCACATCCAAATATAAAGTTGTATCTTAATTAAAAATCCAAAAGGAGAAATTAAGTCATGGACTGCATAGCCTTAATGACAATAGGTACAAAAGATGACAGGGCAAGTACTTAATTCCCATTGAACAGACTAGGACTTGATAATTTAGAGAAAATGAGTAACTTGTAAATGTCTGCACAGCTAATGCAAAGTAGAGCCTAAAAAGAATGTAGTTGTTTTAGTCACTCAACAGAAAGTTCTTTGAGGGCAGATACTGACTTTTTCTTCATGCTTTATCTTCAGTGACTGGAATACAGGAGTAGCTAAAAAAATTTTAGATGGATAATAGTTTTATAAACTTGCAAACCTTTTTGAGAGCTTAGCTGTGAAAAATTCTTTATTTTAATATTCTACTGTATTTTGATTGATGGTTTTTGTAATTACCTTTAGTGTTTCCAGTTCACCTGGGACCTGGCTTTGGCTGTTAGAGACTTTATTTATTTCTCTGGAACTTTACCGTGTGCCTTTTTTCTAGCAATTTATGTCCTCTCCCTCTCATACTGAAGGTTATCTGGTAAATTGTGATTTTTTATTTGGTATCTTAGTCTGCTTTCAGGTGCTGTTCTGGTCTAGAACACTGAAAAATCTCTCTTTGACCCTGTGCAACCATCACTGAGATAAAAGCTCTCAAACAGCACCATTTCAAAGAAATCCTGTAATAGACTAACATAAAGCAATTTACCATTGTTAAGGAAACAACTTTTAAGTAACACCTGTTAAAGCACAGGAGGCTTAATTCAGGACAATGGTGATAGGTATAGGAACAACTATAGCAGGGTCTTGTAGTGGGGAAGAGAGATTAGGCTTAACTTTGAATACAGAATGGGTAAGCGGTAAATTTATAACCCAAGAGCAGGGTGATCAGTGGATGGAAAATTACTAAGAGGAAATATGGAAGTAAGAGGGATTCTAGCTAAACTGACTAATAGGATTCCTTTTTTTTTTTTTTTTTTGGAAAGAGTCTCGCTCTGTCACCAGGCTGGAGTGCAGTGGTGCGATCTTGGCTCACTGCAACCTCTGACGCCCTGGTTCAAGCTATTCTCCTATCTCAGCCCTCCGAGTAGCTGGGATTACAGGCATGTGCCACCATGCCCAGCTAATTTTTTTGTATTTTTAGTAGAAACAGGGTTTCACCATATTGGTCAGAATGGTCTCGATCTCCTGACCTTGTGATCCACCCTCCTCGGCCTCCCAAAGTGCTGAGATTACCGCCATGAGCCACCATGCCGGGCCACAGGATTCTTACTTAACTCAGGCCAGGGTGGTCACACATCACCTAAGGAGTGATGAAGGATGAGGAACCTGATCAAGTAGAGAGGATAATCAGATATTGAGGGTAGAAGATTCTTGCTAAACTGACTTAGCAAAGTTGTTTGCTGCAACTGGATTTGGAAGGAAGTGCAGAGATGGGCCTAGCAGAAGAATCAGAAGCCTGACTAGAGATGCCAAGCAGAGAATCTTTCTCACCATTTGCACTGAAGATCAGTGGTCACACTGGTAGAAAATGTGTTCAATTACTTTTACAAATCAAAGAGAATTATGATGCTGTCACATTATTTTAAAAAATGCTTTATATATATCCTGTGCTGACATTTTCTCTTTAATAAGTTGGACTTAAAGTATAGCTCTTCAAGTGCATTTCGGAAATTTTATTTTTGTAAAAATGTTCTTTGTCAATTCTGGAAAATTCTTCCATAATCCTATTTTCAAAATATTTTTCTACAGCTATGTGAAAAATAATCACTATAACTAAATTTTTAATATTAAAAGAACCTACTAAATTATTTTTAAAAGATGCATTTTAGTGAATACAGAAATATTATTTCATGCTTAAAATATTGTGTGTTGACAGCAGGATTCTATCATTTCAAATTATATCTTTGTAATTTCAGTACTATATTTAACTAATTACATTTATAATTTTCTACTTAACTCAACTATTAGGCATTATAGGAAGAAGGCATTTTAAAGCACCAAGTAATTTGGAGTTTTATGATTAAACCTATTCATACAAGTTTGATGCTTTGAGATTGTGAAAGAAAATGTTAATTAGTTTGTAATTTAAAATACCAGTAGCCTTAAAGGTGTGCTATTGATATGGTAATATTTTTAGATCACTTAAAGAGATTTTTGAAGCACTGATTTAAAACAGAGGGGATAGAAAAAGAATAATATGTGAAAAATAAGAAAAATTTTTTTGTGGAGCTGTAGAAATGACAAAGTGGTAGAGTAAGATATCCAGACTACGGTAGAACTGTAATTTTAAATTTTTGTTTATATCTGTGTGCTTTAATTTTATTAATTTTTGAATCAGTCATATATTAGCATTCTTTTTGCATAGTTGTATATGAGCAGGACCACAATATTGCCACCTCGCTGGACCCCATTTCTTATTGTAGTCTATGTAAATATTGTCTACTGGAACTACGCAAGGAGAAGCAATTATGACAGGAGCATACAATTTTGTTTGGCATCTTGTGATGCCAAACAAAATCATGATATTCTGTCACGAGACCTTCTGTAAAAGTTGATATGTATGTAAACATTATATTTAGTAATAATAATATGGAAGTTGTTTTATTGTGCTCACTATAAAGATTCACCATTTGACCTTTCTGAAAATAGTTGGGAATTAAAAGTAACTCTTTAAAGTATTTATCTTCAGATCTAGCTAAATTTCACACATGAACACAAAGTTATATTTCTGGATGACTCAGTAATAAATACTTTAAGATGTAACAACAATTTAGTTTTTTGTGACATAGCAGTTTTCAAAGCAGATTTAAGTAGTCATTTAAGCAATATATTGTTTTGGCTGAAATGATTTTGTTAATTTTCTTCATTTTCCACTGGATTTTCCACATGAAAGAGTATCTATAAAATTAAGATTTTTTTCTTTTATTTGAAGATGAGTTTCTTGTTTATAAATGCTTAACCTACAAAATTTCATGATGCTGTCTATTAAATATATCTTTAGCATGTTTATTTCTTCTCCAGATATTTATAAGTATATGCTATAAACCTTTTGGTGATATCAAAAATATTTTAAAAGAAAAATTTCAGGAACAAAGAAGTTTAGAAATTTCTTTGAACTCTTAGAAATTTTATGAGATAAAAATTAAAATATATTAATATGATTTCATAAACCATCAATAACTATAAAACTCAAATCATACTCTTAAAAATGTGGGAATTTTTATTGTGAAGAGTAGAAAGATTTATTTGGATTAATTTATTCAGAGGCACCTAGATAAAACTTAAGACTAATATAGCATTTAAACTTACAATGTCATTCTAGATACTAAGTTAATGATGTTTTACAAGTTATTATTTGTAGTATTCTTATTATTATTTGCTTCTAAGTATTTTAAAATTTCCATTATGATTAATTTATTTTCTGATCCCTAAGTTATTTAACTATGTGTTTTTAAAATGTATGTTTGTAGGTTTGTTTGTGTTTACAAACTTGTGATTTAATTACATTCTGATCAGAGAAGGTGATCTGTCTTCATATGTTTTGAAATTTTTCAAGACTTACTTTTTGGCCTAGAATACGGTCAATATTCATTCATATTATGTTTGCTTTTTCTCTTTGACAAAACCCGTCGTAAGAGTCACCTTAAGATTGGCTGCAAGAGAGTTCCTGCAAAGTACTGCTTTAAACCTTCCGTAGATGGGGCTGGTTGGAATTCCAAAGAAATAAGCACTGAACACTAGGGTGATCTGTCTAAAGCACAGGGAAACTTACAGCGTGCTGCACAGTCCTCCAGTCAGATAGCAAGGCAAAGATGTTCTACCTAGGTATGCCTGACCAAAGTTAGGGAGTTGGTAATGGGGTAATGGAGTTCATATAAGATTCATATGAGTTTAAGGATTTTGGCTCAGTAGCCGGGGGGCTAGTTGGGTTGGAGGGGTACTTTTACGTATTTAGCAAGATTTTAATCTCTTAGTGTTTTTGAGCCTCAACCTGAATAGCTTTATCAGTGCCTGGGAATGTTCAAGGCTCTGGATTGGTTTACATCCTTTGGGAAAAAACATGCGGCTGGCAAGGTCACAGAGTAATCAAGGCATTTAATCTTTCTAAGTTAGGACACAGAATAAAAGGAGGAGGATGTCAGTGAGGGTAACAAGGTAGGGATGGAGACCTGGAGGACCTAGTGGGCGTGGAAACCCGGGGAACCCTACAGTGCTTGAAAAGAATGTGTATTCTCTAATTAGTGATTGTATGGTTTAGTGATGTACATGAAATTAATTTTGTTAAATTTATTGTTATACATTTCTATAACTGTTAATTTTGTCTAAGTAACCTAATAGTATTTCAAAGTGGTGTGTCAGTCTCTTTTAATGGTTTTGATTTATTAATTTTTCTATTTTTCTCAGCTTGTTCTTTATATATTTTGGGACTTTTAAATTATGCACATACAATTGAGAATTGTTATATATTCCTAATGAATTTAGTGATTTATTATAACAAAATTGTCCTTCTAATCTCTAGTAGCAATTTAATTATATCTTGTCTGAAATGTATTTGGGTATTTCAGATTTCCTTTGGTTTGTGTTTGCTTTATATATCTTTTTTTTTCCATTTCTCTACAGACTTTCAAAAGTGTATGTTTTACATTTGTATTGAGTCTCTATAGGTGAATTTTTGGTATTAAAAATGTCATATTTATTTATTTTTACAGTTTTTTTAGAAAATTGATAGACTTTTTTGAGCAGTTATAGAGGGTATATGCAAATTCCAATTTCTTCTGAATTTTCCAATTTTACAGGACAATTCAGAAGAAAATACAGGGTTTGCATATACACCCTCACCACCATCCCCCCTTGTTTGCCCTATTATTAACATCTTGTATTAGTATGATATATTTGTTACAATTGATGAGCCAATATTGATTCAGTATTATTAATCTTAACTAAAGTCTATAGATTACATTAGGATTTTCTTTGTATTGTACATTCTATGGGTTTTGAAACATGTATAATGACATGTAGCCACCATTGCAATACCACACAGTATAGTTTTGATGTCCTAAAAATCTCCTGTGCTTTACATTTCATTCTTGCCTCCCTTCCCCCAAATCCTTGGCAATCACTGATTTTTTTACCGTCCATAGTTTTGCCTTTTCTAGAACATCATGTAGTTGAAATCATCGGAATGTAGCCTTTTAAGATTGTCTTCTTTCATTTAGATATATGTACTTAAGTTTTCTCCATGTCGTTTTATGGTTTAATAGCTCATCTATCTTTATTTCTGAACAGTATTACATTTTATAAGTGTTCCAGTTTGTTTATCCACTCACTTACTGAAGGATTTCTTCGTTGCTTTTAAGTTTTGGTAATTGTTAATAAAGCTGCTAAAAAACATTCATGTGCAGGTTTTTGTGTGAATATGAGTTTTCAACTCATTTGGGGTGAATGCTAAAGATTGGGATTGCTGGATTTGTTAAGATTTTGTTTAGTTTTGTAAGAAACTGCTAAATTGTCTTCTGAGGTGTCTGTACCATTTTGTATTTCTACCACCAATGAGTGAAAGTTTCTGTTAATTCACATCCTCAGCAGCATTTGGTGATGTCAATTTGGATTTTAGTATAACTAGAGTCTAAAAAATATCCCATCAGACATTTCCTTTTGTATAGCTGAAGAATTACTACATCCATATTTATTTTGACTATTGTTATTTGTCTATGTCTTGTTTATCTGTCTATATGCCCTACTTTTTTGTGTCTTTTTTCTTCATTTTGAATTGACCAAATTTTGCATGTCTTGTTTTTTATTCCATTTTCTCCATCTTCTGTTTTGGAATTTATGCCCTTTATAATTTTAGTGGTTATTCTTGAAATGTATCATATATAGTTGAAGTCTAAAGTTAAACTGTAGTACTAGGATCTTAGAACACTTGGATCTTATCACTCTTGTGACTTAATTTTTTAATTTTCATTTTTCAATAAAATCCCTACCATTTAGAAATTATTATTATTAAATACAGATATTTTTGTAGATTTAACTTTCATTCTAGAAATACAGTTTATTCAGACACAATTTTTCAGCACTTTGAGGACAATATTTTGTAGTTTTCTGAGTTCTATTACTGATGTGAAGGGGTTTGTTACCAGTGAGGTGAGGCTTTATTTGTAGAGGATCTGGCTTTTTTCCTCTAAGCTGCTTTTCACCTCCTCTTTTTACCTGGTTATCTGCAGTTTTACCATGATGTGCCTAAGCATGTATTCTTTTAATTGCTTTCACCAGTTGGACATTTTTTAGTCATTTCTCTTCATATATAGACTGTTTTTCCTTTTTTTCACACTCCACTTCTCGTTCTCTGTTTAAAGTTATCTTAGCTTCCCTCATTCCATATTTTATGTCTTTAATTTTTTCCCTTATTTTTCTATCTTGTTTATGATCTGTGCTCCAACTACTTAATTTCTTCACTCTGTTTCTCTTCACTGATTCTTTCTTCAGTTCTGTTTAATCTGTTTTTAAAAGTTTTCCTCTTGTTTCATTTTCAATTTTTTTTTTTTATTTCTAAAAGTTCTGTTTATTTTTTCTTTTCAAATCGCTGGTGTTTGGGGAGTCTGTTGTAGCATTTGAGTGGTCCATGATTAACTTTTTTAAGAAAACCACAAAACAAAAGGTATGTTTTATTGATGATAGATTTTTTTTCCAACTTTAAATTCTGCTTGGATAAGTATATATCAAAGATGCTGAAACTGTTGTGGCCATTTCAATAGTCATCTAATTTTTAAATTGAAAAATTGGGCTTATCATACTACTATGCACATAATGTCTTAGGTTCTCATTCTAGAATGCAAGAGAGACATAGCAGAAATAATCCATATCAGGGAGAGGTTATGACACAATTCAATATTTTAGCTACATCTTCAGAGATGATAATAGATATTCTGGTTGGACATGAGTTATGACATTTCATGTTATTAAAATTTTTATTATGTTTTACATTTAATAAAATTGGAAATATAATGTGTACATATATACATATTTTAAGTAATTTTAAATAATAGTTCATATCTTTAAAATCAATATTGGATTTATTTGCATAACATATTTAATTTTTAATACGCAGCAGTTTAAAAGTAGATATAGACTTTTTGTTTATAAAATAAACAAATTTTTTCAATATAATTTTTTTCAATTATATCTAAACATTAGGCACTGAACTTCTAATTAGAGCATTTTCCCTAGTCATATTATTTATACCTACCTGACTTGCAAATTTTAGTGCATATTAAGTATCATCATACCTGTAATTGTTTTGAGAATGTTACCTATTTAATTCAATAATACAAAATGAGTTACAAATTTTATGATAGTATCAGAAGGCAATCTGTTATAGTCAAATGACTCAGGCCTAGTTTTAAATCATACTTCCTTTTAAAAATAGATAAGTCGATATGATCATAGGTCAGTTGTTTAGTGTTTCTGAATATCAGTTTTGTCATTTATAAGATGAAGATAATAGTGTTAATGTAAGTATTAAATGGAAAGAAAAGAATCTTGTGTAGTACCTGGTACCCAGTAGTCTCCCAAAAAATGAAATAGTGATAGTTATTATTATCATTATTACTAATACAGAGATAATTGCAAGATTTTATCTTTTGAATGTTTTCATTAGAAGGTCGTAGAGACTCTACCACAGAAAGCAAAGCATAAAATAAAAATTACCACCTCTCTATTTGTTCAATATTATTTCTATGTGTTGGAGATGAGTATTTATAGCTATTTTCAGGCATAAATCCATAAAACAGTAGAATTATGATGTAGGTAGTGTCTACCTGTGAGGATATTTTAAGTATTCATGTCGTTTGTGAGCCACAGTTTATTTCTTCTTTGGGAAAAACAAATAGATTTGTTTGGATTTATTGTTCGCAGACATACTAATCTATTTTTCTGTCCTCTATCAACACTTTCTATTTATTGATATCACAAATTAATAACTTAATTAAGTACATACATATTGATTGAATACATACTTTGTAAAGATCACCATTACAGGTGATCTCATTATTATGAGACGTAATTTTTAGAAGTAAAAGAAAGTTTTGTTAGTGGAATAGCAACTCAGTTTAGAATTAGAATTGTTATTTCTGAATCTGTTTCAGAAAGTCTTTTCACCACACCGTATTGCTTGCCCATGAAATATGGTTCCTGTCCTGAAGAAAGAGAATAACACATACGTATATGAAAAGCTATATTGAATTAAGTGCTTTAGTATCAGTACAAATAAAAAAGGAAGGACAACTGGGAAAGGGCTGTAAGAAGGCAATGCATGATTAATTGCTGAATGAGCCACACAGAAAATCATGCTTTAACTATTCAGTGAATGAAGCTGTATCTTTTTTTGTGATTTTATTAGTACTGATGTATGTATATATATCTGGGATATGTCTGTTTTTTATCGGTCTTATCAGCCACTGAGACTGTAAGTCCATATGGGGAGGAACCAATATTTTTATTTTTCTGAATCCCCATGCCATATAACCTTAGGTACAATTGCTGAAGGTGTTTGTGGATTTATTCCACGTTCATTATTATTATTATTCTTTTTTTAAAATTATTATTCTTTTTTTAAGAATATTTTAGAATTTTAGAATATTTTCGAAAATATAACTGAATTTATCTTAATACAGAATATTCTTTAAATTATACCATTATACCACGTTTCCAGGTTCCTAACATTTTACCCATATAAAAGCTAAGTTGTCCAATGCATGCTATACCTTCTCAATATATATATGATTATATTGTATCTCTATGGCCTAATAATGAATTTTTCAAAATTTCAGCCATCAAAATATGTCGTACTTGTTTGATCATATTATAGCTTTCATTAATGTTATGAATTATATTTTAAAATGAAAAGATTGTAAGATTAGCTAACAAAAGTTGCAGAAGAGAGTGTATTACATGTACACTATACTTTGGAAGAGTAATAACGTTTGTATATCATTTTCTATAAGAAATAATGCTTTTAATAAGGAGACTCGATCCAAGGACATTATTAAATTTATAAAATTAATAATGTAAGAATAGTATAGAAATTAAAAACTTAAGCATTATATTAAATAAAGTACCCAGTTAAAGATTAATTTTCATATGAAAAGCACCCCTCCTATGTGTACAGTTCAATGAATTTTGACAAATATGTGTACCCATTAGCACTACATATTTACAACAGCTGTTTTACAATCTTTATCTACTGTTGCCATCCTCTCTGTCATTTTAGGATCTCTTTCTATTGTCTGAGTTTTCTCTTGGTAATGAGTGTCATTTCCCTGCTTCTTTGCATGTCTAATAACTTTGATCAGGTGTTTGAGTGTTAAAATACTGAGTGCCTGAGTTTTTTATTTTAAAGTTTGTTGAATTTTGTTTTAGCAGGGAGTTAAATTATGATCAGCTATGTTAGGTTTAAAATACAGTTTATTCTAGGCTAGTTTAGCTGTACTGCTATGAGATGACACTTTTGGGTTAACACGCAAATGCTTTAAGTATTCAAGGATGTCTCTACATCCTGGCTATAGTTTTGGGAATTGTTTAGCCTACAGCTTCCCTTGCTTGTTTTTGCTCAGCCTCATAGTTTCACCATATATATGAACTACTTATTATTAGGCAAACAACTCAGGGCCTGCACTGTGAAGCTTCCTCTAGCTCTTTCTCTGTAAGGCTTCATCAACTGTGGTACTCTCTCCTGCAAATTTTAGCTTCCCAAACTTCCCCTAGTGCTATCTCTTTTTCTTCAACTCTGTGAGACTTCTTGCTTTGCATCTGGAAAGCACTTCCAGTCAGAATGCAACAATGATTTTAGGATCACATGTGTATATTTGTTTTCTTCCAGGGATCATAGTGTTGCACTGCTTGTTTTCATGTCTGAAAACAAGTTTTTTTGTATCTCTGTTCCAGTACATTTATTGATTTATTTATTTATGCTTTGTTTTATACCCATGGGAGGGCAAGCCTGGTCTCATTTATTTTTTTTTTCAGGTCTTGCAGCAAAAGCTTAGCATTAGATTTTTATAAAATTTAAACATATATTTTCTACATAAATGAGTGTTATTAACATTTGTATAGCTACCTGAAATATGGATTAAATTGAGCTCATAATTAAGTAAGAAATAAATAGGACATTACAGGTTGATTTGTATTTCAAATAAACAATTTATTAGATTGTTGTATTTTAAAATCATAAAAGTTTTAATATAATCGTGGCATCTTTACAGTCCTTTCTCAAATAATGTAGTGAGAGAAGTAGACATGTAAGCCAATCTAAGGCGCGCTAGGGGATTCAACAGTAGGAAGTATCTTTTATTTAAATGTACACAGGGTTCTTTCAGGGCCTTAAAACCTTTGTGTATTCTAGCTTAAGGGTCACAACTTTAAGTAGGATCCCTTGTATTTTCCTTTTCCCATTTGGTATGGCATGGCTGTTCAAATCTGCTGTAAAGATAACTTTTAGGCCCTGATTCTAGAAATTATATTTCCATCCTAACTAGCATTGTGATTTTATGGTGCATTTTGGATAATACTAATTCTGTAACATTTTCTTCTCAGAAATGTTAGGTGGTCCTGGTAAGCCCCATAGTAAAGAAATTATTAAACTTCCTTTAACTCAGCATTTTCCTAATATATTTGATCATGAATCCTTATTTAATCAATGCTTACTTATAATCGAGTGCATCTAATGATCTATAACTGCGATTCTCCAAATTTAATTACTTATAAACCAGTTGGTGATCTTGTTAATCATGAATTCTGATTCTGTAGGTCTTGGGTTGGACCTGAGATCTTGCCTTTCGGATAAGCTTCCAGGTGATGCTGGTGCTGCTAGTCTGTAGACATCTCTGAATAGCAAGGAACTATACAATACTTTTGGAAAATATGGGTGAAGTCTTTTGTACGTGGCAAAAAATACACCTGCAGGAAGTGAAACAACTTGTTAATATTATCTGATTTTAGGCTAAAAATTGGGGTAAACTAAAAAACAGAAAAATCTTTCGTTTTTTTAGTGAGACTATTGTAACCTTAATAGCAAAACAGGGCAATGACAGTAGTATAAATAAACATATAGATCAAATTCACTAATGCATGCATGTAAATTCTTTTTTTTTCTTTGAGACAGAGTTTCGCTCTTTTTGCCCAGGCTGGAGTGTAATGGCGTGATCTGTGCCCACCAAAAACTCCGCCTCCTGGGTTTAAGCTTAGATTTTCCTGCCTCAGCCTCCCGAGTAGCTGGGATTACAGGCATGTGCCACCACACCCGGCTAATTTTGTATTTTTAGTAGAGACGAGGTTTCTCCATGTTGGTCAGGCTGGTCTCGAGCTCCCGACCTCCAGTGATCTGCCTGCCTCGGCCTCCCAAAGTGCTGGGATTACAGGTGTGAGCCACCACTACTGACCCATATCTTTAATTAAACAGGGTGATGAAGTCTGGCTTTACTTGCTTACCTACTGAGAAGCAAAGATAAGGTTATACAAGCACAAATAAAACACTTTATATGTTTTATAAGGAGCTGGGTGGGTAGGGAATGACTCAAGAAAAAAAATATGTCTGATTTGACCCAGAAACATTGAATAAATTGAATTACTCAATAAAAACTACATAAAGTATTAGATCCCAATATTTCTTCAGACTTGTTTTACCAAACCTTCAAAGAATGGATAACCCCATTGCCTGCAAACTTTTTAGAAAATAAAAATGAAGAAAGCTACCCTGTTCTTTTTATGATACCGCAGGTAGAATAACCTTGATAGCAAAACCGGACAAGGAAAATATTACAGGCCAAATTCACTAGTGAACATATATGGATAATTCTTCTTCCTTTTCCTCTTTCTCTTCTTCTTCCTTCTTCTTTCTTCTTAGTTATTGAGACAGAGTCCTGCTCTGCTGTCCAGGCTGGAGTGCAGTGGTGTGATCTTGGCTCACTGCAACCTCTGCCTCCCAGGGATCAAGTGATCACTTCAGTTTCCCAAGTAACCAGGACAGGAGGTGCATGCTGCCACACCTGGCTAAAATATTGTAGTTGCTATGGAGGTTGAAAAAAAATTGATTGCATTAAATAACATTTTATAGTAAAATATCTTAGAAAGTTATGACAGAATGCAACTTCCTTTAATTTTGTAAAATGTATTTGCCAAAATCATATAGTAAGCATCACTGTTAATGATGAACTTGAGAAGCATTTATTTCACTGTTAGAAACAAGACGAAGATGCAGTAATCATTTCTTTTGGCCAAAGCAATAAAAAAGAAAATAAATGAGGTATAAAAATTTGCAAAAATGAAATATTGTTATTCAAAAAGGATATTATTTGTTACACAAAAATTAAGGAAGATCTACCTATAAACCATTGTGTCTAATGAAAAAGTTCAGCAATCTTGAAGGACTCAAGATCAATATAAACAAATCAATAGCATTTCTATATAGCACAACAACCAATTAGAAAATGTAACTTTAAAAATGTTATTCCTGGTAGCAATACAGACCTAAAGTGTAGGACTAAATCTTTAATAGTGCAAGTCCATATTCAAATAATAACAACAGTGATAATTACTAGAATGTTTGGAATGCAAGGAACTTTTCTGTGTATATTATCTCATTTAAATCTTTAAAACAACTCTATGAGGTAGGTAATGGTATGATCCTAATTTCCCACATAAGAATAAGAGACCCAGAGAAGTTAAGTAACTTGATCAAGGTCACACACCTAGTAAAGGCAGAAGCAGGATTCAAATTCAGATATTATGGCTCCATAATCTACTCTCTTAACCAACAGCTCATCACAGATTACCACCGCATCACTACCTACTGTATGTATGTATATCACATGGACCTCTTAAAAAGTTAGATTCAATTATTTGAATTCATGTTATTTTATACTCCCTTAACATGGCTTAGACAGTGGGGTGCTGGTAAATGTCTCACAGCTGGCAGTCTGGGGAAGAAAGTCTTGAACTGTAACATTTGCTGATTTCTTTCCTTTTCTTCTTATTTTTGTTAATTTTTAGAGATATGGTCTTACTCTGTTGCCCAGGCTGGAGTACAGTGGCACAGTCATAGCTCACTGCAGCCTTGACATCCTGAGCTCAAGAGAGCCTTCTGCCTCAGTCTCCTGAGTAGCTGAGACTAAAGGTGTCCACCATCACACCTGGCCAAAATTTGCTGATCGCATGGTGTAAATATTCCTACTGTCTCAGTCCATTTTTGTGTTGCTGTAAAGGAATATCTAAGGCTGGGTAATTTATAATGGAAAAAAGTTTATTCGACTCATGGTTCTGCAGGCTTTACAAGTAGCATGGCACCATCATCTGCTTCTGGTGAGGGCCTCAGACTGCTATTGCAGAAAGTGAACAAGAGCAGGTTTGTGCAGAGATGACATGGTGATAGAACAGAAGCAGGGGGCAAGGTGAGGGGGAGGGAAGGTGCCACACTTTTTTTAGCAATTAATTCTAGCAGGATCTAACTGAGAACTCACTCACACTCATGAGAATGGCATCAATTCATTCATGAGGGTTCCATACTCATGATCCAAACACTCCCAGCAGGCCCCACCTCCAACAATGGGGATCAGATTTCAACATGAGACTTGGTGAAACTAAATGTACCATATCTAAACCATAGCACCCGCCATAGCTAATTTCAAGCTACCAGTGTGACATCATTTAGCATAGGGAAGAGATGTACACGTTTAGTTCTTGTGAACCAGTGCAAGCTGGCCCCACTAGACTTAGAATTTACAACAGTTAATTCCCTTGTGAATTAAAGCATCCCTTTAAAGAATGTATATTCACCTGTGAATTTTAAATTTTGAATAGTTTTCTGTGTTTACTTAGGTAGTTTCTGCTATATAACTTCTACTCATCTTCAAACTAATTTGGGTCAATTGATATAGTTTTCTGAATTCCAGTAGACATATTCTAAACACGCTTTTAAAAGAAAATTCAAGAAGAGGGAATTTTTGACTTTTTTTTTGTAGATTTTGATAAAATTTTTACTACTTTCATAATGTGTGTTGAAACTTTCTAACTTATACTGTGTTTTCACATACATTATATTTTTGAACTTGTGAACATTTCAACATTGCCTCAGCTGCTCTTTCTGGAAAATTAGATAGTTCTGTTTTTTTAAAGCAGAGTAAGTAGTAATTAATGTTTTATTTTTCCCTAAGTATAATATAGATAAAAAGTATGTTATGAACATGATATGTTATATTTGATGTCATGATATAAAAATTTCTGATCATGCAGTAATGATGCTCTGTTAAGCAATTATCTGAATAACAATTTTTAAGTGAACTATACTTTATAGTTATAGTGAAATACTCAAATATTATGCATATCCATCATTCAGATTGATTAGTACATGTCAATCAATATATGAACATTTTCCTCACTTCATTAAGTTTTCTTGTTCCTTCTTCAGTCGATATTCCCTATAGAAGCAAATATCTATCACAAGTTCATTTGGTCTCTTCTAGAATTCAAATAAATAGAATCAGACATTATGTACTGATTGGCTACCTTCACTCAGTGTAATTTTTTTTGAGATTTATCTATGATGTTGCTTGTATCAATAAACTGGTGTATTTTATTTTCTGATACAATTTATAAAAGCAAAACGAGTTTATCCATTCTTCTCTTGATAAATATCTATATTATTTCCAGTTTCGGGCTGTTATGAATGAAGCTGCTATAAACATTTTTATACAAGACTCTTTGTAGATACATATTTGTATTCCTTTGGAAAATAAAATAGAATGTAATGGCTGTGTCATAGGGTAGCTGCATATTTAACTTTTTAAGAAACTGACAATGGTTTTAACAAAGTGATTGTACCATTTTGGTTAATTTTTTAAAAAAAATTTAAATAATTTGGTATTAGAAGTACTCATATTTCTCTTGATCAACTCTCCACTGCAGGATATAATGAATAAATGAGAATCAAGTAGTATTTTTATGAATAACTTACTAATTTTATATTGTAGACAACAAAATTAAGTCTCTGGCAAAATTATGACAGCAGTAAACACTTAAAAGATTTCTACCTAAAATATACATTGCTGACTTTCTCCTTAGTTATTCAGCATCTTCAGTGGACTTGGTACTTTGTGAGCAATTCTTTACCATTTGACTATGTGACTACTCAGTTTAAAGCCCAAACATTTCCTAGTTAGTGATGAATTTGCCTAAAAATTCTTAGGTTATCAATGATGATAATTATTATAAATATGTTATTCCTTGGTCTAATTTTAAAGCATTCACGAATATTGTCAAGAGATATGTAAATTGGTGATTTTGTGTAACAGTGGCCAGAAACTATGAGGAAAAACTTGGTTATAAATCTTAAGGAATATTCCATTGTGAAATTTCTAAATTTAGTGACAGTCACCGAAGTTACATATACTTTGTATGATCAAAATTCTATAGTAAGTTTATTTGGAAGAGGAATGTGTAAGAAAAAATGTAGGTATGCATTTCAGCTGTACATTTATTGTTAATTTAGTCATTCACTTACTCTATCCATATTTATTAGATGCCTATTGTGCCCCAGACACTGAGCCAGGCATTGAGTATATATAGTTTGTTTGTTTGTTTATTTATTTTGAGATGTAATTTTGCTCTTGTTGCCCAGGCTGGAGTGCAATGTGCGATCTCGGCTCACAGCAACCTCCACTTCCCGGGTTAAAGCGATGATCCTGCCTCAGACTCCTGAGTAGCTGGGATTACAGGCATGCACCACCATGCCTGGCTAATTTTGTATTTTTAGTAGAGACAGGGCTTTGCCATGTTGGTCAGGCTGGTCTCGAACTCCTGGCCTCAGGTGATCCACTCACCTCGGCTTCACAAAGTGCCGAGATTACAGATGTGAGCCACCGTGCCCAGCCTGGGTATATATTGTTTAACAAAATAGATATGGTTCCTAAACTCTAGGAGCCAAATGGAAAATAGAATAAACAGAAATTAAAGTAGACATACAGACAAAAAATTATAAAAACTTGAAATAAATGTTAAGAAGGAAAATTACATGAGAGTACTGTGGTTAAAGGATACTTTTGATTTGTATGGAATGTATGTAGATATACTTTTGGGTTAAATCACTATGAGGGGACTATAGATATATTTCCTTCACATTTGTGTGAAGTTTTCTTATAAATGATAGAATTGTTTTGAGCTTTATAAGAATTAAAATATAAACATGTGAAATGGAAGTAATATCTAATATTTCTATTTAGATATTAACTTTGCACACTACATACACAATTTGAAGTAGTTTTGCATTATATGTATTTACTGCTGAATGGATGACAGTGATGTTGAACATTTCTTACTCGATTACATTATATTTCTTTACTGTTCTTATGTGCTTTAAATTTAAACAAACCCTTAGGGAACACAGCCATTCTGTGTTGGGGTTGAGAGCTTAATAGCCTTGCTGCCACTCTTTCAAGGGAACTTGTTGCATGTAATACACTGAAGTAAGGTTTAAATGATAGCTTCCTTCATATTTTAAGAGAAGTAAAAAATAATTATGTTCTCATTTCATTGGTATGCCATTTCCTTTATTATGACAGTCAATTGCATTCTGCAATGTGATAGAGTAAAATATACATTATACACTTCTTAATCTGGAAGTGTATAATGTATATTTATAATCTTAATATATACGCTTCTTAATCTGGAGAGACTGATTTTTTTTCTAAACGAGAGATATTTTCAATGCCTGTTATAAAGAAAGTAGAAAAACATTTTAGCAGATATTAAACGTTACAGAGAGCTTCAGGATAAATGCTTAAGTTCCTCTTGGTGACTTATATTAGCCCATGATTCAACAATCAACTGTCTAGATGAAAAATAAAAATTCAAGAGTTTAGATGCCTACATATATAACACATTTGATGCAAACAATCTGAATAATGGGACATTTCAAAAATAATTTTCTCCTCTGTTATTATGTTCTCTTAAAAAAACCAAATATCTGATTAAATAACATTATTTTAGAGGGATATTTGAGAAATGTTAAAATGTTATAAACAAATGTTGGAACTTTACTGATACTGTTATAGAAGAGTATATTGATTAACCTGCCAGCAGATGTCAAATATAAATAAAAGCAAGTATTGGAAAGATTGTACAGTGACCAGAAGTAGACAGAAACTGGGGATACTTGCATTTGTGTGGTTTGCCACCCAATGATGCATAGTGCAGGATGGCTGAAATGTAATAAGAAATGTGTAAATTCTGCCAAATCCTTTTTTGACCTCTGGACTATGAAAAATGACAGCTGAATATTAAAAGGACTTTGCAGAGATTTTAACTGCTGCCCAATATTAGGAAGATAAGAATTTTAATTTAGCCAAGTTAACTATCTACTAGAATGCAAATCAACCTCTTCAGAGGATGATAATAGAATCCAGAGTTTTTGCCAGGTATCCTCCACAATTTAGATTACCCAATCAAAATTTTCTAGACATGTGAGGTAACAGAAGAATATTAATCATAATTAAGAAAAAAAGGTCAGCATAAATTTACTCAGACGAATCAGATCTTGAAACTATCTGACAAGAACATTAATACAGTGCTTTTATTATAGAAGGACTTAAAGAAAAACATGGTTCTGATTAGTGAAAAGATGGAGAATCAGAGCAGAGAAATAGAAACTATATGTTAAAAATGGAAATTTTAGAACCAGAAAGTACAAAATTTAAAAGAAAAATTTCAGTGGATGGGCTTAACAGCAAGTTAGGAATGACAGAAGAAATGTTTAATGAAGGCGAAGAGAAATCAATAGGAATTATTCAATTTGAAGAACAAAGAGAAAAAAGGTTTTAAAAAGTTAACGTATTATCACTGACCTGTGGAACAATGCTATGAGTCTAGCATATCTGTATTTGCTATTTCAGAAAAAGAGGAGAGAAATAATGGAGCAGAAAATAATTTGAAAATATACTTGCCAAAAAATTCTCATTTTTGTGACAATAATTGATTTTTATATCCACAAATTTTAGGAAAACAAAACACGATAAATATAAAGAATACCATACCTAGGCATATCGTAAGCTAACTCCTGAAAAGCAAATGTAAAGAGAAAATATTGAAAATCATTACATTATATATAGAGAAAAGATGATAGAAGTTATCACTGACTTTTTATCAGAAACAAAGGAGATCAGCAGACAATGGGACAACACATTTAAAGTGATTTAAGAAAAAAACAGTCAACCTCAAATTCTGCATCCATTAAAATTATTCTTCAACTTTAAGCTGAAAGCAAGATATGTTTACTTAAAAGAGACTGAATGAATTTTGGAAGGGTAGATTTATAGTACAAGAAATGTTAAAGGAAATTCTTCATGCTGAGGGAAATTGACAACAGATGGTAACTTTGATGTACGGGAAGGAACAGAGAGTGGCAGAAATGGTACCTGTGCAAGTAATTATATAAAAATTTCTTAATTTCTTTAACAGTCATATAAAAACATAGGAGGATTCTATTCATAATTTGGGTATACTCAGGAAACTCCATCAATATAAATTATATGAATTAAACTTCATCAAAACTAAATATAAAGTCCCAATTTAGAATGTGATAAGCCACAAACTGGGCAAAATATTTATAAAATATAGATTTCACAAAGGCTTCATCATCTTACGAAAGAAAAAATATAGCTAAAAATATCAGCAAAAGATTTGATTGTACATTTCACAAAGAAAAATATGCACATATAAGTAAGTAAAATCAATTGTCAGGGAAATAAGAATAAAAATCACACAGAGACCACTAACACCTTGAATGATGGAAATGAAGAGTGACAACACCAAATGTTGGTTGTTGATCGAAGGATAACATGGTACAATTACTTTCAAAAAAGTCTCAGCATTTTCTTATAAAGTTAAACAAACACCCACCCAATGGCCTAGCAATTGCTAAGCAGTTACTCAATAAAAATAAAAATATATTTCTCCCTAAAGCCTTGTATGTGAATCTTCATAGCAGCTTTACCAATAATGGACCTAAAATGGAACCAACAGAGATATCTATAAAGAGGAGAATGGATAAACAATTTGTGCCATATTCATTCACTGGAATACCCCTCAGAAATAAAAATAAATATACTAACACAAGTAACACGTAGGTGAATGTCAGAAACATGATGTTGAGGAAAAGAAGCTAGACTCCCAAGAGTATATATTGTCTACTTCCATTTATTTGAAATTATAGAATGTGCAGAGCTAATCTGTGGTGAAGTCTACAAATAAATAATTGCACAGAGAAATGGGAGTGAGGAATACATGAGTGGGCATGAGGAAACTTTATGGAGAGATGAATGTGTTCCTATCTTGATACATTTGTTAATTATACACATAAATATGTTTGTCAAAACTTATTGATTTATACACTTATGATTTTTGTATTTCACTGTAAACTTTACATTAAAAAATGCAAACAAACTAAAAGAATGTTGAGCACCCTTCTAGATATGGCATTAAAATGTGATTGCTACAGAATTGTCACAGTGACTGGGGATACATGTATGACTATTTTAAACCCACTTGTATGTTGGATGGTAGCCTTAGCTCACATTCTCAGGTGGCTTCATCAACTGTGCTTATGTAGACATAGTATTTACTTTGTGTGGAGCCTGGAGATTTCATATACCTTGTTCTACTTTGTGATCATATGCCCAGTGAGAGGGAAAAAAAATAAGAAATTGCTATTTTTTTAAGTCATCAAGTGAATAAATGAGACTTTAAACTTTAAAATTATTGGACTTTTAAAATTTGCTTGTTTAAGAAACTGATGGGGTTTTAACATTGTTTTTTTCCTGAAAAAAAATAAGGAAAAATGTGTAAGGATATAAATACAAGTATTTAATCTTGCAGAAATATATAACAGAAAAGGGTCATTTGACATAAAACATTTTATGAAGCTGTTGAGTAGTCATGGTAACAAAAAGTTACACACTTTTGAACATTTGTACGTTTTTTCATGTGGAAAGGCTATTAGTTCTTAATAATTGCTGTTGCTCTCATAATTATGTCAAAAATATTTTCAAAGTGAGAAACAAACGTATGGCTAAGTTTAATAATTTATGTTAGAAAATCCTCTCATCTTTTTATAAACAAATTTATTGGGAAATACTTGACATATAATAAACTGAACATATTTAAAGTGTACAATTGTGCAGTTTTTACTCATGTATATACATTTGAAATTCTCACTAAAATGAAGATGTTGAACATGTTCATAACTCCTTTTAATCCCTTTCTCCCATCACTTCCTGTGCCACCTTTTGTTTCCAGGCAGCCATTAATCTGTTTTGTGTCACTGTAGACACTTTCTAGAATTTGATATCAATTGATTCATATAGTATTCTCTCTCTCTCTATGTAATATATATCAATACTTCATTCCTTCTTATTTATAAGTAGTATTAAATTGTATGTATACCACAATTTGTTTATCTATTTACCTGTTGAAGGAAATTTGGCTTATTTTCAGCTTTGGGCTATGAACATTTGAGTGCAAAATTTTTTACAGACATACACTTCCATTTCTCTCAGGGAGATACCTAAGAGTGGAATGGTTGGATCATAATGTTAAGTA
The DNA here is from genome assembly GCF_000001405.40 of Homo sapiens. NCBI lineage: Eukaryota > Metazoa > Chordata > Mammalia > Primates > Hominidae > Homo > Homo sapiens. Next base: position 174,580,883 of record NC_000003.12, read on the forward strand.
TATTTTGATTTTTTAAGGAATTGACAAAATGTTTTCCGAAGTGGTTGTGCCATTTTACATTCCCATCAGCAGTGTACAGTATATAAATTCCATTTCCTCCACATTCTCACCAACACTTGTTATGGTTAGTGTTTTTAATTTTGGCTATTATAGTAATGACAGTGTGCCTCATTGTGGCTTTGCATAGAATGATGGCATGGGAAGCAAATGTAGAAATTGTTTCAAAAAATAAGTTATCTAATAATAGGTTAAGTGACAGAGAAATCAGCCAGGATTCAATCATTACACTGTTTTTGAGTTTATGATTTAATCTCAAGTGCCAAGAATCTAAATTGGAAACAATATATTCTCTGAATTCATTGTTTACAGTCCAGTGGGGAGACAAGGGCAAATTATTCAAAATGTATTTATATTAAGGCAGGGAAAGTATATGCAAAACATGAAATAAAATCTGGGTGGGGTCAGGGAAGACTTCAGAGGAAAGGTGTATTTTGAGATAAAACTGGAAGTATAAATAGTTTCCTAATACCAGAGAAGCAGATTAATAATATGTATAAAATGTCCATGCGTTCAAGAGCATGCCATTTTCTAAAAAAAAGTGCAAGCAACTTATTATCACTGGAACACAAATACTGAGTGTTGGGGATAAAAAGAATTGGGAAGGGAAGAGATCAGAGAGAAAGGAGAATTGATACGTAGGATAATATATTTCATCTTGTCTTAGTAAAGAGGTTTGAAAAATTCTGAGCAGTGATGTGTTGCAATTTGAACTATCTACCGCATTTTTAGAGACTCTCCTAATTCTCTTGCCAGGCATATGATAGGATTATACTTCCTGATCCTCCTGGTTAGGTAGTCACATGACTAGTTCTGGCCAGTGAGTCGTGCGAGGACTGATGCATGTCATCTCTGGCCTGGTGCTGATGCAAGATTCTGCAGAGCTTTCTGTTCCCTCTGGCACAGTGATAGGCAAAAGTCAGTATGGTGGATACTCCATCACTTGCTTCTTTGAATAACTGTTATCTCTATTGTGTTAAGCCATGACGATTTGGAAGTTGTTTGTTTCTGTAGCACAATTAATTCTTTTTTGGCTGAGACAGATACTGCATAGCACAATATTCTATTGATTTGATTGGCTTAAGCAATAAAAGAATGGCTGAGATAGATAGATAGTAAGGCAATCGAATCAGTAGCATATTGTGATTTACCAACAGTACAAAGAGGGAGAGAGAGAAATCTAGACTAATGAGTTGTATAAAAGATTATCCTTTGGACTTAGTAGTTAGGTTGCCACTTGTGATCTTCAAGAAATCTTGAAGGTTTTCGTGGAATACTGGAGAACCAAAGTACATAGAATGGACTATAGAATAAATGGGGTTGAAGAAGTGGAGACAACTAATGTTGAAATCAATAGCATGAATTAGACTGGCTGGCTATGGAATATCTTATGCTGCAAAATATAAACATACTTGCTTCTATTTTCTTTTACAAAATTTGCACACTGTATTACCGGAAAGTGAAGTAAATACAACAAACAAACAAATAAAAAACCTGTGACTGCATTTAATAGTTTGAATATACCAACAATCTTGGGAAATGAAGGATTCTTATTGGATAATATAGAAACTGTAGTTTCTGATTTTCTTTACAAATTCTATCTTTAATTTATATGACAGAAATTCATCATTTATTTCTAGACTTCATTTCTTTTTTTTTGGAAATGGAGTCTCACTTTGTTGCCCAGGCTGGAATGCAGTGGTGTGATCTCGGCTCACTGCAACCTCTACCTTCTGGGTTCAAGCAATTCTTCTGCCTCAGCCTCCCGAGTAGCTGGGATTACAGGCACACGCCACCATGCCTGACTAATTTTTATATTTTTTTAGTAGAGATGGGGTTTCACCATGTTGGCCAGACTGGCCTTGAACTCCTGACCTCAAGTGATCCATCTGCCTTGGCCTCCCAAAGTGCTGGAATTATAGGCGTGAGCCACTGCACCCAGCCCAGACTTCATTTTTTTTTGATACTTTTCAGAACATTTGTAGTTTTTTAAACTTGATATTTTAAGAGATGAAAAAGGAAATGTCTAAGTTCATCTGGCATGCAAATGTAATTCAAACTGCAGGATAGACACAACGTCCATTATAGTTGTACTGCAAAGGCAAGGAAAGCCATATTTGCCTTTTTTATTGCCACCTGTCAATGAAACAGAATAACTTAATACAAGGTTACTAAATAGCAACCAGCTGAGATAACACTAATGCAAAATGATGGCAAAGTCCAGTGTAAATCTATAATATGGTAAGTGCTGCCAATTATACTATTTCATTCTGAATCATATATAACCTATCAAACTGTACCTGTCTGCACTTTTAAACATGCTGCTCCCTGAATAATTTTTTTCCATTAAGTTCTTTAAATTTTGAATAATCACTAAAGTACCATGCCATTTTTAGTTTATGGTATATGTAGTCTTAAAGATTCTGGAAGGCCATACAGACTTGGAAGAAGGAAGCAAGATATTTTAGTTAACCCAAAAAGTAACATGGGATGGTTCAATCTGGCTTATTTATTACACATACAGTGACAGTGTCAAATTTGCTATTGTGGAATTGTATGAATATAGAACCTATCCAAGGTTAAGCATTTACAGTAAGTGTTTTATTACAGCAAACACTGAACAGTACTCCTTAGGGTCAATTCTACAGGCATTTAATTTCAGCAATTGCCATAATAGAGGCATTATGATAATGTCTCAGTCTCTTGGGTACACAAGAGGTTCAATGCTATTACGTTGTTTCTTTTCCTCTCCTTTAAAGCTTTTGTCTATAATGCATACACTGATTGGAAAAGCAAGAATTTATATCCCTCTTTATTTGAATGTTTGGAATTTCATTTCAAAGGTTGAAATGAACATAGTCTGAGAGAAAAAACAGTGGGATATTACAAAAAGCGGAATAATTTTCCATATGTTTTAGATCTTTAGACACAAGGGACTCATCACAAGAACCACATGTACTTTTTCTGAGTCCCACCTTCAAAATTAATGAACAGCAAAATGTTTTATATTTCCCATAGGAAAGCTTCAACTCAGTTATTCTGTCACACCATTTTGTTCATTGATTTGTTATCATTATCTAAAAAGGGCATATTTTAATAAAGTGATAGTCCTTTATCTGATAAATTAATAGGCACAATTACTGTCAGCTGGATGCTAACAGGCTAAGATATAAAGTATAATTCATAAGAGAAACCTGAGAAAGACTGAGAAAGAATGACTGGTAAAGGGGTTGAAGAATCAGGCATGTGTGGGTTCATAGATGGAAGAATATGTTCAAGAAGGAGGTAATCAGAGAAATTTTACTTTATCCAGAAAACGTATGTCGAAGTGAAACAAAAGCAAGTAATCAGATACACATAAACGTATAAGGTCACTGGGTGTAGGGTGTAGAGCAAATACTAGCAGATGCAGTGCATGTTTTAAAGATTAAGTATGTGTACACTTCAACCTTCTACAAGTGAAATCCCAGAAAATTATTTTCAAATTTAGTTTTTAGTACATCAGATTTATTTTTCTTTTTATCATGTATATGTTAAAGATTTGGTATGTGTGCTTCAACTTTCTACACATAGACGAACAAAAAATTATTTTCAAATGTTGCTTTTATGTGAAAATTTATTTTTCTTTTTATCAGTATTGATTCAAAAAATTATGGTCAGATTCCCTAGGTCTAACTTTTAAGTACAAATCTCCATAATGCATGATAGCTAATTATCCTGGGGAAGGATATCATAAATTTTTATTTAGTACCATCTCAAGTATTTAATCCGGTTTGCTACTGTGAGTTTTGCTGGTCCTTTGTGAATTTTTACTAAATCCTGGATTCTGTTGTGTATAAATTGAAGCTCTATTATTTATCAAGCCAATATGATTTCCCTTAGAACACAGTTCCAGTTTGATCAATGAGACTGATTATTCACTGCGAATGCACTCTCTTGATCAACTTCACAATCTTCCTTTATCAGATTTTGGTTTTGCACTTATCGTTTTACCCTCATGCTCTTTTATAAATCTAATATTTCAGTCAGACATGATAATGTATATTTAGTAACTCATTCTTAATATTCATGTATATTTTCCCATTTTAAATGAAAGCACAAAGCTCTTTTTATCTGTATATATAAGAATAACACATATTCTGAAATTGGCTGTTACTCAGTTGCAGTTACCAATACTGTGACTCTGACCCCTGAAATATTACAAGTAAGGTCAGAGCTGTACTGTAATAGACATACTGCAGAAACTCTCAGCGTAGGATATGCATCATAATCATTTGTGGAGTTTTGAAAAAAATCCAGTAGCCAAGGTTGAGAACCACTGCATTGGGCTGTATTGTAGGAGTACCGTCTGAGCTCACTGTATCATAGAAATCTCCTAAAATATTGATTCTAATCTTCTGCTAGTGAAAGGCAGGGCTGAAGCATAAAACCTTTGTGTTAACCTTAAAGAAAAAAAATAGTTATCAGTAACATGACTTCACATGGACGAGAGCAAGAGAACAATGTTGATGGATTAGAACAGTATTTTTCTTCTACCCTGTAAGATATCAAGGTTCAGAAGAACTCATTGCCTAAATTCATTTTCAATTTGAATACATCCAAAGATGTGGAGCTGTGAAATATCAGAATTTCTACCCTGGATCTGTGCTAGTAGTTCTCAGTCATAAGCTTCATAGCGTTCTTGTCTCCAGCTCATTGTGGAATCAAAAGATAGTTTTTTTTGTTTTTTTTTTACTTAAAGAATGACACATTAATTCACATTTATTGTAGAAAAAGGAGAAAAAATTGATAAGCAAAAGCAATATTAATAATAACGATCTGATAACCAGAAACAACCACACTGTCTTCATGTTGAATAGTCTTCCAGACAAGTGCATTTTCTGGTTAAGAGCACAGACTCTGGAGATATATTGCCTACTTTTAAATGTTGGCCTTGCTAGTGATGAACTCCATAACTTTGGGCAAGTTATTTACCTGCCCTATGCTTCTATTTTCTGGTCTGTACAATGGGACTAATAATACTATATTCTGCATAGGACTGTTATAAGCATTAAATGCATTAATATATGAAAAGTTTCTAGAATAGTGGCTTGTACATAGCAAGCTCTTTACAGGTATTAGCAAAATTATTATATGTGTAAACAAATATACGGTTAACAAATACTGGATAAAATCACTTCAGGCAACTTATTACTGAAAATTTCAACGGATATTTGTTCATCTATGGACCAAGCAATCATTTATTTAGCACTGTTTGTGTGCTAGGCACCATACATTTAAATTAACTTCTTTAGAGATGGTATTCAGTTGTACAGGTTGTAATGCATTTTATTTAGCCTCCCTAGTGGTATACATTATTTTTTTTATTTTTAAAAATACGATAAATAAGGCCACAATGAATATTCTTACAGGTAATTATGTGTGCACATTCATTACAAATTTCTAGAAGTTTCCAGGTCAAAGGTGTTGTGCTGGACTCCTGCTAACTTCAGTATGGATGGCACCGGGTTCAACAGACTGACGAAGAGACCCAGAACCAGCGACGAGACCACAGGGTTTACTAAGAACTTACATACAGTGGTCCAGTGGCAGTTGGCTGGATAGCAGAACTGCTGATGCCTTCAGGAAACATGTAATTTATGTAGCACTTTCACTTAACATCCTCCCGCATCAGCCTCCACTTGGCAACCTTCATTTAACCCGAACATTCTGTGGGTTGGGCCAGGGGCTCACATGTTCCTCATAGATAAGGAATGAATCTCTGAGTTGGCCATACTTGAAACTCTGAACACGTATTCAGATGTTTCTGCCATATAGGGTCATTTCTCAAGGTATGCTTATGTTATTGCTGTGAGCTGCATCTACTATATAAAAAGGTATGCAACTTTCAGAGATTTTTTTTTTATTATTATACTTTAAGTTATAGGGTACATGTGCACAACATGCAGGTTTGTTACATATGTATACATGAGCCATGTTGGTGTGCTGCACCCGTTAACTCTTCATTTACATTAGGTATATCTCCTAATGCTATCCCTTGCCCCTCCCCCCACCCCACGACAGGCCCTGGTGTGTGATGTACTCCACCCCGTGTCCAAGTGTTCTCATTGTTCACTTCTCACCTATGAGTGAGGACATGCGGAGTTTGGTTTTCTGTCCTTGCCATAGTTTGCTGAGAATGATGGTTTCCAGCTTCATCCATGTCCCTACAAAGGACATGAACTTATCCTTTTTTATGGCTGCATAGTATTCCATGGTGAATATGTGCCACATTTTCTTAATCCAGTCTATCATTGATGGACATTTGGGTTGGTTCCAAGTCTTTGCTATTGTGAATAGTGCTGCAATAAACATACATGTGCACACTGATGGGTCTCGACTCTTTATCCAGTTTTCCAGTCTGTGTCTTTTAATTGGAGCATTTAGCCCATTTACATTTAAGGTTAATATTGTTATGTGTGAATTTGATCCTGTCATTATGATATTAGCTGTTTATTTTGCTCATTAGTTGATGCAGTTTCTTCCTAGCATCAATGGTCTTTACAATTTGGCATGTTTTTGCAGTGGCTGGTACCTGTTGTTCCTTTCCATGTTTAGTGCTTCCTTCAGGAGCTCTCATAAGGCCTGTCTGGTGGTGACAAAATCTCTCAGCATTTGCTTCTCTGTAAAGGATTTTATTTCTCCTTCACTTATGAAGCTTAGTTTGGCTGGATATGAAATTCTGGATTGAAAATTCTTTTCTTTAAGAATGTTGAGTATTGGCCCCCACTCTCTTCTGGCTTGTAGAGTTTCTGCCGAGAGATCCACTGTTAGACAAATGGGCTTCCCTTTGTGGGTAACCTGTCCTTTTTTTCTGGCTGCCCTTAACATTTTTTCCTTCATTTCAACTCTGGTGAATCTGACAATTATGTGTCTTGGAGTTGCTCTTCTTGAGGAGTATCTTTGTGGCGTTCTCTGTATTTCCTGAATTTGAATGTTGGCCTGCCTTCCTAGGTTGGGGAAGTTCTCCTGGATAATATCCTGAGTTTTCCAACTTGGTTCAATTCCCCCTGTCACTTTCAGGTACACCAATCAGATGTAGATTTGTTCTTTTCACATAGTCCCATATTTCTTGGAGGCTTTGTTTGTTTCTTTTTACTCTTTTTTCTGTAAACTTCTCTTCTCACTTCATTTCATTCATTTGATCTTCAAACACTCATACCCTTTCTTTTACTTGATCGTATCAGATACTGAAGCTTATGCATGCGTCACGTAGTTCTCGTGCCATGGTTTTCAGCTCCATCAGGTCATTAAGGTGTTCTCTATGCTGTTTATTCTAGTTAGCCATTCCTCTAATTTTTTCAAGGTTTTTAGCTTCTTTGTGATGGGTTCGAACATCCTCCTTTAGCTCGGAGAAGTTTGTTATTACCGATCGTCTGAAGCCTTTTTCTCTCAACTCATCAAAGTCATTTTCCATCCAGCTTTGTTCCGTTGCTGGTGAGGAGCTGCGTTCCTTTGGAGGAGAAGAGGCGCTCTGATTTTTAGAATTTTCAGCTTTTCTGCTCTGGTTTTTCCCCATCTTCATTGTTTTATCTACCTTTGGTCTTTGATGATGGTGACATACAGATGGGGTTTTGGTGTGGATGTCCTTTCTGTTTGTTAGTTTTCCTTCTAACTGTCAGGACCCTCAGCTGCAGGTCTGTGGGAGTTTGCTGGAGGTCCACTCCAGACCCTGTTTGCCTGGGTATCAGCAGCAGAGGCTGCAGAACAGCAAATATTGCAGAATGGCAAATGTTGCTTCCTGATCCTTCCTCTGGAAGCTTCGTCTCAGAGGGGCACCTGGCCATATGAAGTGTCAATCGGCCCCTACTGGGGGGTGCCTCCCAGTTAGGCTACTCAGGGGTCAGGGACCCACTTGAGGAGGCAGTCTGTCTGTTCTCAGATCTCAAACTCCATGCTATGAGGACCACTACTCTCTTCAAGACTGCCAGACAGGGATGTTTAATTCTGCAGAAGTTTCTGCTGCCTTTTTTTCAGCTATGCCCTGCCCCCAGAGGTGGAGTCTACAGAGGCAGGCAGGCCTCCTTGAGCTGCGGTGGGTTCCATCCAGTTCCAGCTTCCCAGCCACTTTGTTTACCTACTTAAGCCTCAGCAATGGCGGACACCCCTCCCCCAGCCTCGCTGCCACCTTGCAGTTCGATCTCAGACTACTGTGCTAGCAGCGAGCGAGGCTCCTTGGGCGTGGGACCCTCTGAGCCAGGTGCGGGATATAATCTCCTAGTGTGCTGTTTGCTAAGACTGTTGGAAAAGTGCAGTATTAGGGTGGGAGTGTCCCAATTTTCCAGGTACCATCTGTCACGGCTTCCCTTGGCTAGGAAAGGGAATTCCCCGACCCCTTGTGCTTCCCGGCTGAGGCGATGCCCTGCCTTGCTTCAGCTCACGCTCTGTGGGCTGCACCCACTGTCTGACAAGCCCCAGTGAGACCAACCCGGTACCTCAGTTGGAAATGCAGAAATCACCCATCTTCTGCGTCGCTTATGCTGGGAGCTGTAGACTGGAGCTGTTCCTATTCGGCCATCTTAGAACCAAGTCTGAGTTTCTGTTTGTTTACTGGCAAATTACCATTCATTGAGACTGTGCCATTTATGGTCACACCAACAGTGAATGAGAATGGAAGGCAAAGATCTTGAGCAAATTTAGTTGACTGAAACATTAGTAATTTCAGAATAACTTGAAGATTTTATACCAAGCTGTAGTATTCATTAGGTAGGGAGAGCCAATAAACAGCTGTCAATCAAAACACTTTTGAAAATTTTTGATTACTAAGTTATATTAACTTTTGGTAAACTTTCAGGAAGTGGAATACTAGAATATTAAATACTCAAGCCCATGATGTTTTTTAAACCCTTATTAGTAATAGGGTTGTTGTTGTTGCTGTGTTTTTTTTTTTTGAAAAAAGTCATATATATATTTGAAAATGCCATAAATAAAACATCCTGTTATTTCTTTCATTTAAAGGTGTGTTCTTTATATCTTTACATATTAATTATCAAGGGCCAAAACTTCTTGTTTTAGGTCCATGCTAGATTTTCCCACTGTACCTGAGAGGGTAGCATTAAGGAGGAAAAGCAGAATTCTTTTTTTAGAAATGAGGCTTATTTTCTAAAGTTTCCCACTGATTATAAGACTTATCTCACCCTTTTTCTCTTTTTCGTGGTCCTTCTCAATTGATCAGTCAGAACCATAGATTTTTTTTTTCTGTACAGTTATATGCAAAGTTTTATAAGGATATCTTGGTAATCAGCTCAACTAGATCCTTCTTGTCCCATCCTAAACATGAAAAAACTATGCAGTTAATTCTTTATTTGAACCATATAGAAGTACATAGCTATAACTCTGCCTTTTATCCTGGTATTTAAAATAATGTAGTATTTAGCATCTATGCAATACATAATATTTTAAAAGATACTGTATAAGGCTTGCATGGATTTTTTTTGACTTAGAGTAAAATTATGAATCCAAGTATAAATATAAATAATCTAAATGTTTTAAAAGCTATCTTGAAAAGATAATTAAATTTTATTTTTTACTGATAGATTTTGTCCCTCTTATTATATTAAATTTTAAAGTATAAGAGTGGCCTTATTGAATGTCAACAAAACACTATCCACAGTTTCATAAGTGAATAGAGCAGTGAGTATAGTCCTTTCAGTAGTAAAACATTAAGCTCTTAAGTTCTTGGTGCAGATTTTAACTCCACTATTTTCTTGCACAAGCCATATAACTTATCTAAACCTCAATGTCTTAATCAGTAAAACAGGCACAGTAACAGTACTAATCTCATAGTTCTTTAGTTTGTTGTTGTTGTTGGTATGAGGATTAATTGAGATAATGCATGGAAACTTTTGTTACTATTTGACTAGAAATAGACATTCAATAAATACTAGCTATTTCGGTGAAATGAAAGGAAAAAAAAAAACTTAAAGAGAGGCTTCCATTAGTATCACATGTTTCCTTTCTCCACAGTTGCTGCTGATACTGAATCCAGAGAGGTGAACAGATTTCCCCTTCCTAATAATACAACCACAGCAACAGCAGCTGTGACTGAGGAGAAACCAGAACTAACATCTCTTCAAGAGGGGACCCCCTGATTCAACAGGCATTATTCATTATCTGAAGGCTGGGAAGGAGACTGATAGACTAAGAACCTTGGCTGATCCTCTGGAGACAGACTGCTCCTTAATCTTGAGATGGACAAATCTCCATAAGCCTTCCAATGGTCTTCTGACAATACGGCCTTGAATTATATTCTTTTCTAACCTGGCCTTCCATATGTATTTTTCTAGGCCCCTAAGGAGGAGAAGGGCAAATAGGGAATTATGTTTGGATTGGCTGGACAAATAGAAAAGAACGGTGCATGTTAGATAAAATCACAGTAGACTACAAAAATATTTCTGAATTCATCATTCTACAGTAATGTGTTAGTATGAGCATTCAATATAACCATCTGCTATGGCATAATGAGTTCAGAGGGCATCTCTATTGATGCGGGTAAAGGAAAACTTGTCATTTGAAGTTGGTAGCACGCCTGATGGATGGAGCATGAAATGAAAACTTCCCATCATCTTTCTTATAAGGGAAGCTGATGCTTGCTTGGATTAGTTAAAATGGACCTAAACAGAAATACAAAGTTCACCTTGCACACTTAAAGGCCATTGCAGAAATTTTTGATACTATCTAAAGACTTGCCATAATAAAATACATGTTGTGCCTTTTCTCTCTTAGAGAAATTTCAGTCTTTTTATAGTTGTGAATTTCCGATTCTAAAGTTAGAATGAAATTATAGTATACAAGGCACAGACATCTATAAAGAGTATCTCTCTTTTGTTTTTGTTTATTTAGTTGGTTTGTTGGTTTATGAGTTTTGCTGTTTTGGATTTTTGTTTATTTTTATAGTTTCATTAGTAAGGTTTTTGTTTGTTTGTTTGCCATAATACCCTATCTGACATAGGTCTGTGTATTTTTCACCAATTTTCAAGATTTTTATTTTCTTGGCAGAAATGACTTATAAACTTTTATTGTTGCTTTAATAACAGGCTTAAGAAGTGTCATACGTGTGTGAGTTTTTTTTAAATGACATTTCAGCATGAAATAGGTATAATAGAACAATTCCCAAGGTAAACTGACTGATTGAGAGATGTTATTCAGTAATTTATTGTGAAGAAAGATGGCCTAGTATTTTATGTCATACAGGCTGATGGAACTATAATTTTGGAATGGAGTATTTCTTTTTATTTATTTATTTATTTTTGAAACAATTTTTCTTTTTTTATTTTGTTATTATTATACTTTAAGTTTTAGGGTGCATGTGCACAATGTGCAGGTTAGTTACATATGTATCTAAACATGTGTATGTCTCAAAAACAGCCATGCTGGTGTGCTGCACCCATTAACTCATCATTTAGCATTAGGTATATCTCAAAGATGAGATAGTAGGCTTTAGTTTTAGGCCATCCTGAAGGAGCAATACCTGAGAAAGTAATTAGAATCAGTAGTTAGGTAAGGATTGGGACCTGTGCTCAGGAATGATCTACATAATTTGGATATTATAGGACTTTCCCTTAGAATCTTTTTCATCTTTAGATGATCAATTAGATATTTAAAGTAAATACATTTACTTGATCCCATCTAGAGACAATGTTTAAAATTACAACATATGAAGAAATCGTTTTAGAACTGCAAAGTTGTTGTCTAATTTGGCTCCTCACTAGCAGAAATATTTACTTCAGATAAATTCTTGTTTCCATTATTAATCTGTGTAACAATGCCCCTACAACAATTTCCTTAAGCCCTGATAACTAAATCTAATCCCCCACATAGGATCTATTATGACCTAGACCTACTTTTTTTTTTGCAAGGATAAATTGTTTAGCAACAGATTTGAATTTAATGTGTTGAAGTTTGACTTTATTTGCTATACAAGGTATGTGTGTGTGTGAGAGAGAGGGAGAAGAGAAAGAAAGAGGAAGAAAGGAAGAGGTAGAGAGAGAGTGAGAAAGAGACAGAGGTTTTCAGCTTTCCTAGCTATCACTTTTCCTAAATCCAACTAACCAATCAGATAATGAGCATGGAGACTATTCAGACTCACTGTAATCGAGGTTTTCAAATTTTCTTGTAGGACAATCAGAATTGTCAAATATATTCTTTACATCTTGGATGGTAGCTAATTATAATACAGAGAAATTTCCATATTAACCTTCCTAATGAATTAGTTTAACTCTAAATTGCTAAATAAGTTATTCTTACTATCAGCATAAACTGTGTAACTCAAATATGGTATAGATTCAGGGACAGAGTTGAAATGTATAACAGAGTAACTATTAGCGAATATTTTCTTGTGGTTAGTACATGTCAGACACCGTTGCAAGTGTTTTATGAGTTTTAGTTAATTCAGTGTTCACTTTTGAGGAAGGCACTGCTATTCATATCTTTACTTGGAAGGTGGGGAAATTGAGGCACAAAGAGGTTTTTGTATATTTGCCTAAGATCTCACAGCTGTTAAATGACATGGCTGGAATTCAAAGTCAGTATGGTTTCAGAACCTACTCTCTTAACAAGTGTGGCTACATTGCTTTCCTAAAAACAAGGGAGAAAGCTGATTTTTATATAGTAAGTAATGCTTCTTATTTAGAGATGTAAGTTAAAATGACCACATACTTTACTCTCAGATGGTTAATTATAACACTCAAATTCTGGTATCAGAAATCCTTGTATATAGCCTATTTTGGAGTAGTTCATTTTCTCATTCATGGACTTTTATGACCATGAACTAATTTTATCTCCTCACCTGACACTTACTTTTCTGGTTTGATGGAGGGTAGATGTCCAATTTTTGTAAGACACTAATCATATGCAGCATGTTAGCACCCTGAAGAGTAATGATGGGTAAGCAGTAATTGAGACTAACACTGATGCTTAATGAAAATTGCTACCAGATGCTGGCAGAGTTCTGTGAGCCCTAGCATGTTAAGTGGTCATTGCTATTGTGGTTTATTAAATAGTTTACTGAGTTTTTGATTTTCCTGTGACATTTACATGGTTCCAGAATACAGATGTCTAAATTCAATGGTTCACTTGTTTTAGATTGCAAATAGCTAATAATATTGAGGAATTTTTTTTCTTTAGTCAGCTGCGGTTACTTAACCAGGAAAAACTCCTTATACAAGTTTACTTTCATGAATAATACTTGGGCATAATAATTGCCAATATACTTTGGCATAATAATATGCCAAATTTGTTTCCTAAAACTTTAATCCATGACAGGATGCAAAAGCAAACTGGTGAAGTGGTTGGAACATGGTACCACCCAGTTTAAATCCTGTCTTCATAGCTCAATGTGTTTTCATGCCGATTTCTTAACTCCCTCCAAGCCTTATTTACCTCAACTGTCAAATAGAAATTATTTTATGACATCGTTGGGAAGATTTGCAAGGCCTGATACCTCTAATCAAAGAATAATGCTTAGAATAATCTCTAAGCAATTTCTTTCTGACATTTTTAATAGGCTGTTCTTCTTCCTCATACTTTACATATGTCATAAAGACTACAACATATAGTACTATCCAGTGCCCAATTTTCCTCAATTGAGTTGCGGCTCTGAGTGCTCTTATGCTACTGACCCAGACTAGCTAACCAAAGAATGGCCTGGAGGGACTGTGATATAGCATCGTATTTTTCAGATCTGGCTGCTAGTAAGAATCACATAATAGGTCATATAGACTTCCAAGTCCTTTCCTTGGAGGTTCTGATTTAGCTGGCCTAGAGTGGGGCATAGAAATATATGTTTTAACCAGAGATCCAGATGATTTCAATGATAAGGGGAAATGTAGAAATAAGTTTTAGAGTTGATATATCTGAGTTGAAATCCTAGTGCCACTTATCAACAGCTATGCGTTGATGTAGCTTTTTGTGTCCTAGTTTGTAGGTGGTTAACACAGATGTTAGTTCCTTTTCTTATATTTTTGCTGATGGAGTCCAGAGTAAGTAAACTTTAAGTGGCCAATTCCTTTCTTCATTACTTGATCATGTCTTAGTACTTTCTAGATGTATGCTGGTAATATTTAACAACTCTCCAGAATAGCAAGCCCTATTTTTGCTTATTTCTGCGGCATAAAAACACTCATCATGGCCATTTTCTAGCTACCCATATTCAGTCACTAAATGCACAGTTGAGAAGAGATGTACACATTCAGGTCTCATGAGCTGGAGGGTGCCACTCCTTCCAGCCACACCTCACATCCATCAGTTTTCTCTTTCTCCTCTCCCTCTGCCCGCTTCTTGTCTCTTTTTTCCTCTCTGTCCCCTCTATTTCTCTCCCTTTCTCTCTGTCTTATTTGTAGGGCTACTTTCTAGAGAAAGTAGAATAAGTTATATCATTTCTTCATTAATTGTTCTGTAAAATGTTTACTGAATCTCTACTGTGTCAGATATCAGAAATGCATAATAGCTTTTTACAGTTCAGTCTGTATGCTTTGTATTTGGCCAGATAAGTTACACGGAAGGAAAATCATGCAACTTGAGGGGAGAAAAGGCTATCCTGGAAATTAGTGGTTTACACTTTCAGTTGAACTCCCACCACTTCCTATCAATCCTTTTCTTCAGCTCATCTTTCTGCATGCTCTCCCTTTTCTTTTGAAAAGAGGTTACTGGTTATCCCCTTTCTTTCCACTATAAATTGGCAGCTTCTCCCTCTGTTGCTTTGGCCTAATACATGGCCAAGTCTCTCCTATCTTAAGAAAACAACAAAAACAGGCTGGGTGCGGTGGCTCATGCCTGTAATCCCAGCACTTTGGGAGGCCGAGGCGGGCAGATCACCTGAGCTTGGGAGTTCGAGACCAGCCTGACCAACATGCAGAAACCCCGTTTCTACTAAAAATACAAAAAATTAGCTGGGTGTGGTGGCGCATGCCTGTAATCCCAGCTACTTGGGAGGCTGAGGCAGGAGAATTGCTTGAACCTGGGAGGTGGAGGTTGTGGTGAGCTGAGATCATGCCATTGCACTCCAGCCTGGGCACAAGAGCCAAATTCCATCTCAAAAACAAACAAACAAACAAACAAACAAAAATAACAAAACACAAACAAAACAACAAAAACAATATTAATAACAAAACTGCCATGACTCTCTATAAAATCACTATAAGGTCACTATAAAATCTTATTCCTTTACACTTAGAATTCTGGAAAGAGTAGCTTGCTCTTTGTTTTTACTTTTAACCCTTTACCATTTTCCTTCTGCCCTACTACTTTAGTGAAATTGCTTATGGTAAAGCCAACGTGCCAAATGCAATGAGCACAACAAATTCCTTAACTTACTGGGCCTCTCTACTACCATTGATGCTGCTAATCCATAACTCCTTGATTATCTTCTCTCACCCAATTTTATATATATTATTGACCTGCTTCTCTTTAGGTTTCTGACTATATTTCTAGTCTCTGACTTATTCACTGTTTTGTTTTTACACGCTATTTCAGTGGTTCTCAAATTTTAGCTGTATCAGAACCACTTGGAGGGTTTGTTGAATCAGATTACTGAGCCCAGATTTTCTGATTCTGTAGGTCTTGGGTAGAGAATGAAAATTTACTTTTCTAACAAGTTTCCAAGTGATCCTTCTAGTCTCAGAACTGCACCTCAAGAATATGCTGCTCTAACTTCTTGAGTTCCTCTTTTACTTCCTGTCCTTAACTGGTAGCTTGGTCTGTAATTTAACTCTTCTTGCTAAGTACATTGTTTCTAAATGAATACATTTCTTTTCATGGTTTTGATGGCTTATACCATCTGACACTAAAAATGTTTATCTCTTGTGACGTCATGGCCAATTTAGATTAGGATATCCAACTATATGCTAGACATCTTTTATTAATGTCCCAAAGGAATGCCTTGCCCATGGCCAGTCAGTGATGGAGGTGAAATTTGAATCCTGACTGTTTGACTTGAATGCGCCTGATTTTAACCATTAACTTCTATTGGGCTCTCATCCTTTTTATGATTTCTCTAGTTCAGACCTTCTTTGTCTCTGGGAAGATGAAGCTTTCTGTTTTGGAGGCATCCAACACTATCCCAAGTTCAGTGTTTCTCTAGCAGGATTCACAGGACTCTACATAGTGGTGTTTTATTTATGGCCATAATTTACTATAGTGAAAGGATACAAAACAAAATCAATGTATGCAAAAGGTGCATTGGGCAGAGTCTGGAAGAAACCAAGTGTAAGAGTCTACTCTGAGTGGATTCATACAGCACATGCTTAATTCTTTCAGCAATGAGTTGTAACAACAGGAGTCTAGTAGGGAAGCTCGTTAGAGATTTTGCCCAGGGTTGTCATTGTAGGATGATCACATAGGTACCCATTGCCTAACACATAGCAACATTTTAGTCTCCCAGAAGGAAAGCAGGTGTTCAACGTAAACTATATCGTTTGCATACACAGTTCAGGCATAGTAAACTATTTTTATCAGGGAATGCTTGGAACTCTCCTGAAATCTATGTTCCTAGACGTCAGCAAAGGGCCAACCTTGCAAGCAGGACTTTTGTAAGGATAGCAATCTCAGGCCTTTTATGTTAACCATTTTCTGTACCTTCTAGTGAGCCTTTCCATATACAATATTTTCCTTTCGCATTTTCATCTCCATATTGCAGCTGAATGAGGTATTTAAAATGCAAATCTGGTCTTACCCATCCTTGGCTTCAAACCCTTTGCAGTGCATCTTTCCTAGTTCTTGATAAATGGAATAAAAAGGGTTCATTGGGAGAAGTCTTTGGGAGCATAATTTGTATTGCAATTAATGTGCTGAATTTTTAATGTGAGCTATTCACCCACTTATTTTAACCTTAGGACTCAGAGGAGTTTCCTACTGAATGCTGTAGTTGAGAATCCCTCTTTTCACCACAGCTCATATATCAGACACATTTGATCTTTCCTGACTTTGAACTGACTCAACAATTTAAGTTTTCTTTTCATAGCACTTATCACTTTCTCTCTTGTATTGTAGATTTTTTCTGTACATGTCTCACCTCTATATTATAAGTTCTTTGAGTTATAATCTCTCTCTTTATTCCTCAAATTAATCTCCAGTAATTCAGTATTTGCCAGTTAGCTTTCAATAACCATGTTGAAGAACTGAATAAACTTGACTAAAAATGAAAAATAATGATCTGTATTTCATTCTGAAAAAGTTACTTACCTAGTTTTCTTAGTAGCCATTGGTAAACATCATTTAAAATAAAGATCCTAATAAACTAAAGGAAACCTGATAGGAATTCAAGTGGAAATTAATTATGAGCCCTTATTTTTAAAAGGTCTGGTCATAAACTTTGAGTTAGTGTGACTAGAATTAAGTGTATTTGTTTTTACTCTGCATCAATTTTTAATTACTTAGAGCCTTTTATATTCATTTTCTCCCTCTAAAACCACATTTCAGTGGAAATTGTCACTTAATTAGGTCTGTGCTAAATGATATACACAGAACTTATTTTTAAGATTAAGTGAAAATGGTAGATTTCTCCTCAGCCAAAGAAACCGTGTTATTTCTTGGTATCAGACACTTATTATTAATTAATTAGTTCTCCGAAGTGGTATGCTGGTGTATTTTTAAATCGGTTAAGCAAAGACATACTCCCAGTGTCCTGATAAGGAGAATTATGAAAATTTATAATTAGTTCATGATAAACAGCTTTTAGTGTCTATCAGGTCTCCTGTAGTAACTTAGTAAAATTAAGGGCTTTTAGATTTGGACAGCAAAAGTTAACCAAAGAGAAGTCGACTCAGACATTACTATAGAAAAAAAGTACATAGATACTTTAGCAAATGGATATACTTAGGAAGATATACTTAGCCATCATATGTTGCTATCATTTTTGAAATGCTAAGAGTGCAATATTTAACTTTCATATCTATTATGTGTTGAAAAGTCTTTTGTGGATATACCATTGTCATACGTCTGTGGCAGCCATAAGCATGTTGTCTCTCTGTGGCTACAATATGCAGATGTATGGTAACAGCTCCATGTAACATTTTAATGGTGCCTTTTCTAGTCTACTGTGACAAGTAATTCTACTCAGCTTGTCAGCGATGACAGCTGAGACTTTTTGCTTAGATGCCTTGACAGTGCTTGTATTAAACAGCCAGAGCCATACACTCCATTAAGTTTCCGTAAAATGAACTGCCTGCTTCTTGCTGTTTTGCTGATAGTGGCAGCAGTTGTAAGCTAATCCTCTCCAGTTGTGGATTGCTCGACTGAGTGCTTTCACTCATCAACAGGTAGTAGATCTCATAGGTTTAGTAGAGTGGCTATAAGGTTGATAGCTATGATAGGCAGACATAATTTATCTCAACACATTTTTAAAATGGCTATTTACTCTAAATAGGCTGCAAATCTGTCCCTAACTAGGAGAAAACTGACCTTCTAGATGGTGAATTGATGGTTCTTCCCTAACACATAATTATTCATAGGCTCTTGGTACAAAAGACATAAATATGGGAAGGGTGTGTCTCAGAATAACTATGTCTACTTGTAAGTGTGTGTGTGCACCAGTAAAAGCTACATGTTCCCTAATATGTCAAAGTACATTTAAGAGGAAATAAATCAGTATCCTTCAATGTCTTAAGCAAAGCTAGATCATTAGAAATACTGATACCTGATTATTTTCAAATATGTGGGGAAATATAAATTTTACTTTTTTTCTCTTTTAAATAGATGATGATCCATTTAGGCTGTTTCTTATGCCATTTATGCATTGTATTAAACTCTTGTGTTTATTCTTCTCCTTCCCCTGCCGTAAAACAGAACTATGTATGATAATTCTTCTCTAGGTGTTACAAAGACTGCTTTCGTCAACAAATCCCTGGTATTTGACCTGAAAAACAATGAAAGCCTTAGTGCTCAATTTTTAGGCAGTTTTTATATTCTATCTGGCATCACTGGGCATTATCAATAGTGGAGTAAGTCTTTGAAGAAGACAAATAAGGAAAGAAATGTTTACAAGGTTGAGCATTAGACTTGATAGAAATTTTAAGAATTCAGTGCTAGCTTCAAGTAACTTAGATAGGAATAGCATTATTTATAATATTCTATGTAGTTTACAGTATTCTTTATAGTATTCTATTTTTTTCAAAAAAAACTAATCCTTTATAATATATGATAATCCCTTACAGTGTCTCCTTGGATTTTTATGCCTCCCCACACTTTAGTGAAACAAGAAAGTTTCAGTGTGGTTTCTGAATACAATTTTTGCAGATAAAACCGATAATATAGATTTGGAAATTAAGTTGTGCTCAGAGCTTTTCAACCTTTAGCACGGGGATTAAGTACATTGTTGGTAGTATATGAGGAATTCTTTTTTTTAATCTTAAAACAATTTTATTTAGAGAGTTCAAGAATAGTTGGTCAAATACAGTTGGCCAAATTACTGTTTACAATATACCTTCAGTGACATATGTATTTCAATATATGGCTATATGGTTTTCAGATATATATATTGATTCTCGAATTCCCTAACTTCTCTAAAGTCTTGGATTATAATTTAAAATTTAAGATTTGTCTTTGAAGAGTCAAATATAATTCTTATTTAAAATTTTTAATTTTTGTGAGTACACGGTAAGTGCATTAGTCTGTTCTTGCACTGCTATAAAGAAATACCTGAGACTGGGTAATTTATAAAGGAAAGAAGTTTAATTGGCTCATGGTTCCACAGGCTGTACAGGAACTATGGCTGGGGAGTCCTCAATAAATTTTAAGTCATGACAGATAAGAAAGCAGGCATGTCTTACATGGCTGGAGCAGGAGGAAGAGAGAGTGATGGGGGAGGCACCAAACAATTTTAAACAACCAGATCTCCTGATAACTCTATTATGAGAATAGCACCAAAAGGGGAAATCTGCTCCCATGATCCAGTCACCTCCCACCAGGCCCCATCTCCAACACTGGATTACAATTCGACATGAGATTTGAGCAAGGACATGAATTCAAACTATATCAGTAGGTATATTTATTTATGGGTTACATGACATATTTTGATACAGGCATGCAATGCATAATAATCACATCAGGGTAATTATGGTATACATCACTTCGAGGATCTATTCTTTGTGTTTCAAACAATCCAATTATACTCTTTCAGTTATTTCATAGAAGTACAGATATCTCTTCAATATACTGATTTTCTTTCTTTTGAGTATATACCTAGGAGTGAGATTTCTGGATCATATGGTAGCTCTATTTTTAGTTTTTTGAGAAACCTCCAAACTGTTCTCCATAGCAGTTGTACAAATTTACATTCACACCAACAGTTGTGCGAGGGTTTCCTTTTTCTCCACATCCTCACCAGCATTTGTTACTGCCTGTCTTTTGGATAAAAGCCATTTTAACTGGGGTGAGATGCTATCTCATTGTAGTTTTTATTTGCATTTCTCTGATGATTAGTGATGTTGAGCACCTCTTCATATACCTGTTTGCCATTTGTATGTCTTCTTTTGAAAAGTATCTATTCAGATCTTTTGCCCATTTTAAAATCAGATTATTAGATTTTTTTGCTATAGATTTGTTTTCAGCTTCTTATATATTCCAGTTATAAATCCCTTCTCAGATGGGTAGTTTGCAAATATTTTCTCCCATTCTGTGGGTTGTCTGTTCACTTTGTTGATTGTATCCTTTGCTATGCAGAAGCTTTTTAACTTGATGTGATCCCATTTGTCCATTTTGGCTTTGGTTTCCTGTGCCTGTGGGGTATTTCTTAAGAAGGTTTTGTCCACTCCCATGTCCTGGAGAGTTTCTCCAATGTTTTGTTGTAGTAGTTTCTTAGATTGAAGTCTTAGATTTAAGTCTTTAATCCACTTTGATTTGATTTTTGTATATGGCAAGAGACATGGGTCTAGTTTCGTTCTTCTGCATATGGATATCTAGGTTTTCTAACACCATTTGTTTAAGATAATGTCCTTTTCCCAGTATGTGTTCTCAGAAACTTCGTTGAAAATGAGTTCACTGTAGATGTGTGGATTTATTTCTGGGTTCTGTATTCTGTTCCACTGGTCTACGTGTCTGTTTTTATACCAGTACCCTGGCATTTTGGTTACTACAGTTCTGTAGTATAATTTGAAGTCAGGTAACTGAGCATAGCTTTGGCTATTCTGAGTATTTTGTGGTTTCATATAAATTTAAGGATTGTTTTATTTTTCTATTTCCATGCAGAATTTCCCTGGTATTTTGAAAGGGGTTGCATTAAATCTGTAGATTACTTTGGGTAGTATGCACATTTTAACAATATTGATTCTTCCAATCCATGAACATGGAATATCTTCCGGTGTTTTTGTGTCCTCTTCAATTTCTTTCATCAGTTTTTATAGTAGAGAACTTTCTTTCTTTGGTTAACTTAATTCCTAGGTATTTAATTTTATTCATACCTACTGTAAATGAGATTACTTTCTTGGCTTCTTTTTCAGATTGTTGACTGTTGGCATATAGAAATGCTACTGACTTTTGTATGTTGATTTTATATTCTTCAACTTTACTGAATTTGTTTATCAATTGTAATAGTTTTCTTGTGGAGTCTGTAGGTTTTTCCAAATATAGGATAATATAATTTGAAAATTATATTTCAAATATAATTTGACTGATTTTGTTTTCCAATTTGGATGCCCTTTATTTCTTTGTCTTTGTCTTCTCAGATTGCTCTAGCTAGGACTTCTAGTACAATGTTGAATTACTGTGATGATGGTGATCATCCTTGTTGTATTCCAGATCTTAAAAAAGACTTTCATATTTCCCTCATTTAGTATGATATTAGCTGTGGGTTTGTTATACATTGCTTTTCTTATGTTGAAGTGTGTTCCTTCTATACCCAATTCATTAAGGATTTTTATTATGAAGTGATGTTGAAATTTATCAAATGATTTTTCTGTATCAATTGAAATGATCATATGGTTTTTATTCTTCATTCTGTTGATGTAATGTATCACCCTGATTGATTTGTGTATGTTGAACCATCATTACATTCCTGCGATAATCCCACTTGGTAATGATGAATTTGTTAAATTCAGTTTGCTAGTATTTTGTTGAGAATTTTTGCATCAATATTCATCAGTGATATTGGCCTGTAGTTTTATATTTTTTTATTTGTCTTGGTCTTGTTTTGATATCAGGATAATGTGGGCCTCATATAATGAGTTTGGAAGAATTTTCTTTTCCTGTATTTCTTGAATAGTTTGAATAGGATTGGTATTAGTTCTTCTTTATGTTTGGTAAAATTTAGCAGTGAAGCAATTGGGTCCCAAGTTTTTCTTTGCTGAGAGACTTTTTATTACAGCTTTGATCTTATTACTTGTTGTTGGACTGTTTCAGGTTTTGGATTTCTTCATGGTTTCATCTTGGTAGGTTGTATGTGTCTAAATTTGTCCATTTTCTGTATATTTTTCAATTTATTTGCATGTAATTGTTCATAATTTCCACTAATGATTCTTTGAATTTCTGTGATATCAGTTGTAATATCTCTTTTTTCATCTCTGATTTTATGTATTTGGGCCTTCTCTCTTTTTTTCTTAGTCTGGCTATAAGTTTATCAATTTTGTTTAACTTTTCACAAAACCAACTTTTAATTTCATTTATCTTTTATGTATTTTTTCCAATTTTATTAATTTTTTTCTTCTACTAATTTTGGGTTTGGTTTGTTCTTGCTTTTCTAGTTCTTTAAGATGCATTGTTAGGTTGTTTATTTGAAGTTTTTTTCTTATTCTATGTAGGCACTTATAGCTATAAACAGCCCTCTTAGTACTGATTTTGCTGTATTCCATAGGTTTTTGTGTATTGTATTTCCATTATCATTTGTTTCAAGAATTTTTTAAAAATTTTTTCTCTACTGGCCATTCAGGAGTGTATTATTTAATTTCCATGTATTTGCATTGTTTCTAAAATTCCTTTTGTTATTCATTTCTACTTTTATTCCATTGTGGTCAAAGAAGATGCATGATATTATTTCAGATTTTATGAGTGTTTTAACATTGTTTTGTGACCTTACATATGGTCTATCCTTGAGGATGGTCCAAGTGCTGTGGAAAAGAGTGTCTATCCTACAGCCATGCGATAAAATGTTCTATAAATATATATTAGGTTTATTTGGTCTATAGTGCAATTTATATCCAATATTTTTGTTGTCGTTGATGTTCTATCTGGAAGATCAGTGCTGAAAGTGAGATGTGCTGATAGTGGGATGTTGGGGTCTCTAACTATTATTGTATTTCTCTTTAGCTCTAATAATATTTACTTTATATATCTAGGTGATTCAGTGTTGAGTGCATATATGTTTAAAATTGTTATATCATCTTGCTGAATTGACCCCTTTATCATTATATAGTGACCTTCTTTGTCTCTTTTAGTCTTTGTCTTGAAATCTATTTTTTCTGATTTAAGTATAGTTACTCCTGCTGTTTTTTCATTTCCATTGGAATGGAATATCTTTTTCCATCCCTCTATTTTCAGTCTATATGTGTCCTCATAGGTGAAGTGTATTTCTTGTAGGTAATAGATCACTGAGTCCTGTTTTTTGTTTTGCTTTCCATTCAGCTACTTCTGTCTTTTGGTTGAAGAGTTTAGCCATTTACATTCAATGTTATTGTTGATAAGCAAGGGCTTATTCCTGTCATTTTGTTATTCATTTTCTGTTGTGTGTGTGTGTGTGTATGTGGTGTTCTCTTCTTTCCTTTCTTCCTTTCTTCCTTTCATTAAAGGTAATTTTCTCTGGTGATGTAATCTAGTTTTTATTTTTTGTGTCTCCACTGTATGTTTTGTTCTTTTCTTTTCTTTCTTTCTTTTCTTTTTTTTTTTGAGATGGAATCTCACTCTGTTGCCCAGGCTGGAGTGCAGTGGCATGATCTTGGCTCACCACAACCTCCATCTCCCAGGTTCAAGTGATTCTCTTGCCTCTGTCTCCCTAGTAGCTGGGATTACAGGCACGCACCACCACCCCGGCTGATTTTGATGGGGTTTCACAATATTGTCCAGGCTGATCTTGAACTCCTGACCTCAGGTGATCCACCCACCTCAGCCTCCCAAAGTACTGGGATTACAGGTGTGAACCACCATGACTGGCTCATTGTATGTTTTTTGGTTTCAGTTTACCACGTAGCTTGCAAATACCATCTTATAACCCATTATTTAAAGCTGATTACAACATAACACTGTTTGCATAAACAAACAAGTAAAAGTAAAACTAGGGGGTCGAGCCAAGATGGCCGAATAGGAACAGCTCTGGTCTACAGCTCCCAGCGTGAGCAACGCAGAAGACGGGTGATTTCTGCATTTCCATCTGAGGTACCGGGTTCATCTCACTAGGAAGTGCCAGACAGTGGGCGCGCAGGACAGTGGGTGCAGCGCACCGTGCGCAAGCCGAAGCAGGACGAGGCATTGCCTCACTCGGGAAGCACAAGGGGTCAGGGAGTTCCCTTTCCTAGTCAAAGAAAGGGGTGACAGACGGCACCTGGAAAATCGGGTCACTCCCACCCGAATACTGCACTTTTCCGATGGGCTTAAAAAACGGTGCACCAGGAGATTATATCCTGCACCTGGCTCGGAGGGTCCTACGCCCACGGAGTCTCTGATTGCTAGCACAGCAGTCTGAGATCAAACTGCAAGGTGGCAGTGAGGCTGGGGGAGGGGCGCCCACCATTGCCCAGGCTTGCTTAGGTAAACACAGCAGCCAGGAAGCTCGAACTGGGTGGAGCCCACCACAGCTCAAGGAGGCCTGCCTGCCTCTGTAGGCTCCACCTCTGGGGGCAGGGCACAGACAAAAAAAAAAGGACAGCAGTAACCTCTGCAGACTTAAATGTCCCTGTTTGACAGCTTTGAAGAGAGCAATGGTTCTCCCAGCATGCAGCTGGAGATCTGAGAACGGGCAGACTGCCTCCTCAAGTGGGTCCCTGACCCCTGATCCCCGAGCAGCCTAACTGGGAGGCACCCCCCAGTAGGGGCAGACTGACACCTCACATGGCCGGATACTCCTCTGAGACAAAACTTCCAGAGGAACGATCAGACAGCAGCATTTGCGGTTCATGAAAATCTGCTGTTCTGCAGCCACCGCTGCTGATACCCAGGCAAACAGGGTCTGGAGTGGACCTCTAGCAAACTCCAACAGACCTGCAGCTGAGGGTCCTCTCTGTTAGAAGGAAAACTAACAAACAGAAAGGACATCCACACCAAAAACCCATCTGTACATCACTATCATCAAAGACCGAAAGTAGATAAAACCACAAAGATGGGGAAAAAACAGAGCAGAAAAACTGGAAACTTTAAAAAGCAGAGCGCCTCTCCTCCTGCAAAGGAACGCAGTTCCTCACCAGCAATGGAACAAAGCTGGACGGAGAATGACTTTGACGAGTTGAGAGAAGAAGGCTTCAGACGATCAAACTACTCTGAGCTACAGGAGCAAATTCAAACCAAAGGCAAAGAAGTTAAAAACTTTGAAAAAAATTTAGACGAATGTATAACTAGAATAACCAATATAGAGAAGTGCTTAAAGGAGGTGATGGAGCTGAAAGCCAAGGCTTGAGAACTACTTGAAGAATTCAGAAGCCTCAGGAGTCGATGTGATCAACTGGAAGAAAGGGTATCAGCAATGGAAGATGAAATGAATGAAATGAAGCAAGAAGGGAAGTTTAGAGAAAAAAGAATAAAAAGAAATGAACAAAGCCTCCAAGAAATATGGGACTATGTGAAAAGACCAAATCTACGTCTGATTGGTGTACCTGAAAGTGATGGGGAGAATGGAACCAAGTTGGAAAACCCTCTGCAGGATATTATCCAGGAGAACTTCCCCAATCTAGCAAGGCAGGCCAACATTCAGATTCAGGAAATACAGAGAACACCACAAAGATACTCCTCGAGAAGAGCAACTCCAAGACACATAATCGTCAGATTCACCAAAGTTGAAATGAAGGAAAAAATGTTAAGGGCAGCCAGAAAGGTCGGGTTACCCACAAAGGGAAGCCCATCAGACTAACAGCGGATCTCTCGGCAGAAACTCTACAAGCCAGAAGAGAGTGGGGGCCAATACTCAACATTCTTAAAGAAAAGAATTTTCAATCCAGAATTTCATATCCAGCCAAACTAAGCTTCATAAGTGAAGGAGAAATAAAATCCTTTACAGACAAGCAAATGCTGAGAGATTTTGTCACCACCAGGCCTGCCCTAAAAGAGCTCCTGAAGTAAGTACTAAACATGGAAAGGAACAACTGGTACCAGCCGCTGCAAAATCATGCCAAAATGTAAAGACCATCGAGACTAGGAAGAAACTGCATCAACTAACAAGCAAATCAACCAGCTAACATCATAATGACAGGATCAAATTCACACATAACAATATTAACTTTAAATGTAAATGGACTAAATGCTCCAATTAAAAGACACAGACTGGCAATTTGGATAAAGAGTCAAGACCCATCAGTGTGCTGTATTCAGGAAACCCATCTCACGTGCAGAGACACACATAGGCTCAAAATAAAAGGATGGAGGAAGATCTACCAAGCAAATGGAAAACAAAAAAAGGCAGGGGTTGCAATCCTAGTCTCTGATAAAACAGACTTTAAACCAACAAAGATCAAAAGAGACAAAGAAGGCCATTACATAATGGTAAAGGGATCAATTCAACAAGAAGAGCTAACTATCCTAAATATATATGCACCCAATACAGGAGCACCCAGATTCATAAGGAAGTCCTGAGTGACCTACAAAGACACTTAGACTCCCACACATTAATAATGGGAGACTTTAACACCCCCCTGTCAACATTAGACAGATCAACGAGACAGAAAGTTAACAAGGATACCCAGGAAGTGAACTCAGCTCTTCACCAAGTGGACCTAATAGACATCTGCAGAACTCTCCACCCCAAATCAACAGAATATACATTTTTTTCAGCACCACACCACACCTATTCCAAAATTGACCACATACTTGGAAGTAAAGCTCTCCTCAGCAAATGTAAAAGAACAGAAATTATAACAAACTGTCTCTCAGACCACAGTGCAATCAAACTAGAACTGAGGATTAAGAAACTCACTCAAAACTGCTCAACTACATGGAAACTGAACAACCTGCTTCTGAATGACTACTGGGTACATAACGAAATGAAGGCAGAAATAAAGATGTTCTTTGAAACCAACGAGAACAAAGACACAACATACCAGAATCTCTGGGACACATTCAAAGCAGTGTGTAGAGGGAAATTTATAGCACTAAATGCCCACAAGAGAAAGCAGGAAAGATACAAAATTGACACCCTAACATCACAATTAAAAGAACTAGAAAAGCAAGAGCAAAAGCATTCAGAAGCTAGCAGAAGGTAAGAAATAACTAAAATCAGAGCAGAACTGAAGGAAATAGAGACACAAAAAACCCTTCAAAAAATTAATGAATCCAGGAGCTGGTTTTTTGAAAGGATCAACAAAATTGATAGACCGCTAGCAAGACTAATAAAAAAAGAGAGAAGAATCAAATAGACACAATAAAAAATGATAAAGGGGATATCACCACCGATCCCACAGAAATACAAACTACCATCAGAGAATACTACAAACACCTCTACGCAAATAAACTAGAAAATCTAGAAGAAATGGATAAATTCCTTGACACATACACCCTCCCAAGACTAAACCAGGAAGAAGTTGAATCCCTGAATAGACCAATAACAGGCTCTGAAATTGTGGCAATAATCAATAGCTTACTAACCAAAAAGAGTCCAGGACCAGATGGATTCACAGCCGAATTCTACCAGAGGTACAAGGAGGAAGTGGTACCATTCCTTCTGAAACTATTCCAATCAATAGAAAAAGAGGGAATCCTCCCTAACTCATTTTATGAGGCCAGCATCATCCTGATACCAAAGCCAGGCAGAGACACAACCAAAAACCAGAATTCTAGACCAATATCCTTGATGAACATTGATGCAAAAATCCTCAATAAAATACTGGCAAACCAAATCCAGCAGCACATCAAAAAGCTTATCCACCATGATCAAGTGGGCTTCATCCCTGGGATGCAAGGCTGGTTCAATATACGCAAATCAATAAATGTAATCCAGCATATAAACAGAACCAAAGACAAAAACCACATGATTTTCTCAATAGATGCAGAAAAGGCCTTTGACAAAATTCAACAACACTTCATGCTAAAAACTCTCAATAAATTAGGTATTGATGGGATGTATGTCAAAATAATAAGAGCTATCTATGACAACCCCACAGCCAATATCATATTGAATGGGCAAAAACTGGAAGCATTCCCTTTGAAAACTGGCACAAGACAGGGATGCCCTCTCTCACCACTCCTATTCAACATAGTGTTGGAAGTTCTGGCCAGGGCAATTACGCAGGAGAAGGAAATAAAGCGTATCCAATTAGGAAAAGAGGAAGTCAAATTGTCCCTGTTTGCAGACAACATGATTGTATATCTAGAAAACCCCATTGTCTCAGCCCAAAATCTCCTTAAGCTGATAAGCAACTTCAGCAAAATCTCAGGATACAAAATCAATGTACAAAAATCACAAGCATTCTTATACACCAATAACAGACAAACAGAGAGCCAAATCGTGAGTGAACTCCCATTCACAATTGCTTCAAGGAGAATAAAATACCTAGGAATGCAACTTACAAGGGACATGAAGGACCTCTTCAAGGAGAAGTACAAACCACTCCTCAATGAAATAAAAGAGTATACAAAGAAATGGAGGAACATTCCATTCTCATGGGTAGGAAGAATCAATATCGTGAAAATGGCCATACTGCCCAAGGTAATTTATAGATTCAATGTCATCCCCATTAAGCTACCAATGACTTTCTTCACAGAATTGGAAAAAACTACTTTAAGTTCATATGGAACCAAAAAAGAGCCCGCATCGCCAAGTCAATCCTAAGCCAAAAGAACAAAGCTGGAGGCATCATGCTACCTGACTTCAAACTATACTACAAGGCTACAGTAACCAAAACAGCATGGTACTGGTACCAAAAGAGAGATATAGATCAATGGAACAGAACAGAGCCCTCAGAAATAATGCCGTATATCTACAACTATCTGATCTTTGACAAACCTGAGAAAAACAAGCAATGGGGAAAGGATTCCCTATTTAATAAATGGTGCTGGGAAAACTGGCTAGCCATATGTAGAAAGCTGTAACTGGATCCCTTCCTTACACTTTATACAAAAATTAATTCAAGATGGATTAAAGACTTAAACGTTAGACCTAAAAACCATAAAAACCCTAGAAGAAAACCTAGGCATTACCATTCAGGACATAGGCATGGGCAAGGACTTCATGTCTCAAACACCAAAAGCAATAGCAACAAAAGACAAAATTGACAAATGGGATCTAATTAAACTAAAGAGCTTCTGCACAGCAAAAGAAACTACCATCAGAGTGAACAGGCAACCTACAAAATGGGAGAAAATTTTCGCAACCTACTCATCTGACAAAGGGCTAATATCCAGAATCTACAATGAACTCCAACAAATTTACAAGAAAAAAACAAACAACCCCATCAAAAAGTGGGCGAAAGACATGAAAAGACTGTTCTGAAAAGAAGACATTTATGCAGCCAAAAAACACGTGAAAAAATGCTCACCATCACTGGCCATCAGAGAAATGCAAATCAAAACCACAATGAGATACCATCTCACACCAGTTAGAATGGCAATCATTAAAAAGTCAGGAAACAACAGGTGCTGGAGAGGATGTGGAGAAATAGGAACACTTTTACACTGTTGTTGGGACCGTAAACTAGTTCAACCATTGTGCAATCAGTGTGGCGATTTCTCAGGGATGTAGAACTAGAAATACCATTTGACCCAGCCATCCCATTACTGGGTATATACCCAAAGGACTATAAATCATGCTGCTATAAAGACACATGCACACATATGTTTATTGAGGCACTGTTCACAATAGCAAAGACTTGGCAGCAACCCAAATGTCCAACAGTGATAGACTGGATTAAGAAAATGTGGCACATATACACCATGGAATACTATGCAGCCATAAAAAAGGATGAGTTCATGTCCTTTGTAGGGACATGGATGAAATTGGAAATCATCATTCTCAGTAAACTATCACAAGGACAAAAAATCAAACACTGCATGTTGTCACTCATAGGTGGGAAATGAACAGTGAGAACACATGGACACGGGAAGGGGAACATCATACTCTGGGGACTGTTGTGAGGTGGGGGGAGGGGGGAGGGATAGCATTAGGAGATACACCTAATGGTAAATGATGAGTTAATGGGTGCAGCACACCAGTATGGCACATGTATACATATGTAACTAACCTGCACATTGTGCACATGTACCCTAAAACTTAAAGTATAATAATAATAAAATAAAAATAAATAAAAAAAAGTAAAACTAATACACACTCTACAACTTAACTTTATCCCTCTGCTCTTTAACTTTTGTTCTTTCTGTTTATATCTTATTGTACAGTCTATGTCTTTAAAAGTTGTCCATTTTTTGATTTGTTCTTTTTTAGTCTTTCTAATTACGGTAGGAATAGTGTACATACCACGGATACAGTGTTACAATAATCTGGTTTTCTGTGCACTTACTATTGCCCATGAGTTTTGTAGCTTCGATTATTTCTTTTTTGTTTTCTTTTTTCTTTTTTGAGACGGAGTCTTGCTCCATCACCCAGGCTGGAGAGCAGTGGTGTGATCTCGGCTCGCTGCAACCTCTGCCTCCCGGTTCAAGCTATTCTCTTGCCTTAGCCTCCTGACTAGCTGGGATTACAGGTGCATGCCGCCACGCCTGGCTAATTTTTGTATTTTTTTTTTTAGTAGAGACGGGGTTTCACCATATTAGCCAGGCTGGTCTCAAACTCCTGACCTTGTGTTCCACCTGCTTCTGCCTCCCAAAGTGCTGGGATTACAGGTGTGAGCCACTGCACCTGAGCAGATGATTTCTTATTGCTGATTAATGTCCTTTTTTTTTTTTTCTTGACGTGCTCCCTTTAGCATTTTTTTGTAGGACAGATCTTGTGTTGACAAAATCCCTCAGCTTTTCTTTGTCTGAGAAAATCTTTATTTCTTGTTCATGTTTGAAAGATATTTTCACTGGATATACTATTCCACATTAAGAGTTTTATTTCCTTTAGCACTTTAAGTATGTATTGCTGCTCTCTCCTGGCCTGTAAAGTTTCCACTGGAAAGTCTGCTGCCAGGTGTAATAGAGCTCCACTGTATGTTACTGTTTTTCTCCTCTTGCTGCTTTTAGGATCCTTTATCCTTGACCTTTGGGAATTTTATTATTAAATGTCTTGAGGTATTGTTCTTTGGGTTAAATCTGCTTGTGTCCCGTAACCTTCTTGTACTTGAATAATGATATATTTCTCTAGGTTTGGGAAATTATCTGTTATTATCCCTTTGAATAAACGTTCTACTCCATCTCTTTCTCTATTTGCTCTTTAAGGCCGATAACTCTTAGATTTACCTTTTGAAGACTATTTTCTAGATCCTGTATGCATGATTCATTCTTTTTAATGCTTTTTTCTTTTGTCTTCTCTGTGTATTTCCAAATAGCCTACCTTCAAGCTCACTAATTATTTCTTCTGCTTGATCAATTCTGTTATTAAAAGACTGTGATGCATTCTTCCATATTTGAATTGCATTTTTAGCTCCAGAATTTCTACTTGATTCTTTTTAATTATTTCATTCTTTTTGTTTAATTTGTGTGACAGAATTATGAATTCCTTCTCTCTGAAATCTTGAAATTCTTTGAGTTTCTTCAAAACAGCAATTTTGAATTATCTATCTGAAAGGTCACTTACCTCTGTTTCTCCTAACTTGATCCCTGGTACCTTATGTAGTTTATTTGGTAAGTCATGTTTTCCTGGATGATCATGATACTTTTAAATGTTCATCTGTTTCTGGGCATTGAAGAGTTAGATATTTATTGTAGTCTTCATAGTCTGAGCTTGTTTGTTCCCATCCTTCTTGGGAGAGCTTTCCATACAGTTGAAAGGACATGGGTATTACGACCTAAGCTGTATCTGCATTAGGGGGCACCTCAAGCCCAGTACTTCTGTGGTTCTTGCAGACTTATACAGATATACCTTGATGGTCTTGGACAAGATCCAGAAGAATTCTTTGGATTGCCAGGCAGAGACTCCTATTTTCTTCCATTAGTTTCTCCCCATCAAATGGAGCTTTTCTCTCTGTTCTGAGCTGCCTGGAGCTGGGAGTGGAGGGACAAAAGCTCCCATGTGGCCACCATCACCAGGACTGTGCTGGGTCAGACCTGAAGCCAGCATGGTACTGGGTCTTGCCCAAGGCCTGCTGAAAGTCATCTCTGTTTTCTCAAGGCCCTGGGGCTGTACAGTTAGCAGATTGACAAGCCAGCCAGGCCTGTGTCATCCCTTCAGCACAGTGAGTTCCTGCAGGCCCCAGCTGGGTTCACAGATGCTGTCCAGGAGTCAGGGACTAGAGTAAAAAAACCTTAGAAGTCTATCTACTTAGTGTGCTATCGTAGTGTGGCTGAGCTGGCACTCAGAGTACAAGATGCAATCCTTTCCACTCTTTCCTCTTCTTTCTAAAGAAAGAGAAGCCTCACCCCATGACCACTGGCACCATAGGACAATGGGGACAACTGCCAGGCTACTGCTGATGTTCCCTGAAGTCCCTGGGGCTCTTCAGTCAGCTTGTAGTGAGTGCTACCTTGCCTGAGACTTACCTTCAGGGCAGTAGGCTCCTTTCTGGTCCAGGGCAGGTTCCCAAATGCCATCTAAGAGACAAGGCCTGGAATCAGGGCCCAAGAGTCCATTTGGTAGTCTACCCTTCTGTTGCAAACTGGTACTTAAGGTACAAGGCAAAGTCTCATTTACTTACCCAAGACCCACATCATACTACCTGGGTATTGCTGCTGGTTATTCAGGGCTCAAGGGTTCTTTAGTTAGCAAGTGATGAATCTTGCTGGGACTGTGTTCTTCTCTTTAAGGCAGCAGGATCCCTTTTGTCTCAGGGTGTATCTAGAAATGTCATGTGGGAGTTTATTCCTAGAAAGGGGGTCTCAGGACTCTGACTGATGTCCTATCCTGCTATAGCAGAGCTAGTATCTAAAATAGGAGACAAAGTCCTCTTCACTTTCGCTTTCCTCTCCTCAAACAGAAGGAAAGGGCCTTTTTTAGAGTTGTGAGCAGTTCAGCCTTGGGTTTGGGGAGGGTTAGCACCAGCATTCCCATAGCTGCCCCAGCTAGTATAGTTGAAATGTTCCCCTCCCCCTGTTTACTGGCTCTGAGCCCAGCTGTGCATTAGTACTCTCCTAGGAGTTGCAGTTTTTGTATCCTTGTAGCCTTGACTACCTTTCAAGTTTATTTAGAACTCCAGGGCACTTTGTCTTGTGGTGGCGAGGCTTGCAAGAACTGAAGTTCCAACCACTGGGATGGGTGATTCCCACCTGGGTAGGGCTGGTTCAAATGCTTCTTCCATGGGTGAGCATCAGTTGAGTTCGGTCTAGTTTTGCTTTCTTCTAAAACAGGGCTGCACTGAGTCCAACTCAGTGTCTCACCATTTTTGTGCTCTCCCTTTCCCATGCACTCAGATTTTCTCTCCACCACACTGCCACTGTCAAGGGACGGGGGAGAGGTGGCACTGATGATTCAGGAC
Source organism: Homo sapiens (assembly GCF_000001405.40). Lineage (NCBI taxonomy): Eukaryota > Metazoa > Chordata > Mammalia > Primates > Hominidae > Homo > Homo sapiens. The sequence continues at coordinate 174,614,602 of NC_000003.12, forward strand.
TGTTTGTCCTACCTCCTAAGTACCTCTTTTAGTGATATGAATTTAAAACCAGGTACTTTGAGCGCTCATCTGATTTTTGGCTCTTATGAAGGTATTTTTAAAAAATTTTTTCTGTAGATATTTGTTAAATTGGTGTTCTTGTGAGGGTGATGATAGGTGAAGCCTTCCATTTTGCCCCCTTGCTTCAGCTTTTTGTTGTTGTTTTTTTAGAAATTCTTAGTGTATTGTCTTTTTCCTAGAGTGTCTAAAATCTGAATTAATCTCCTGAAGATGGGGAAGAATTTTATTCAACTGAGATGGGGAAATTTTATACTATAATGAACTTTTCTCCAGTATGAAGTTCGTTAACTCCACAAATTACGTAGCCAACAATTAGAAACCTAAAAGCAGTAATTTTGAAATAATTTAGTGCTTTGTAACAGTGCATTTACCTCACATAGGTGACTGTTTTTCTGCTGTAGGCCATTTTCTAGGTGAGGTTTCCGTAGGGCAAGGAAAATTATCTTTATTATTGTGGTAAGAAGGAAAGTTTTGATGAATTAGAAAGTGGACTCAGAAAGGCTTGCACAGGCCCAGCTGCATTTTAAATGTGGAAGTAGCTATTAGATTACTTTAAAGATTGACATGTTTATCCTTACTTTTAAGAAAGACTGGGAACTGGATCTGATCTATCCTTCTTTCAGGTTAGAGAGCCGTCTTCTAGTGATGGTTTAGACAGTGTTCCACAAATCTCTCTGCCCCAAGCTTTTCTGCTGATGGTTCACTTTGAAATGTTAGTTGTGTCAGCAATTGATAGAGGTGGTTTTTCTTCCTGTATTCCTCCTGTTAACCAAAATGGATTAGAAGAGTGAGGGAATGCAGGAAACAGTCACAAAGCAGTAGCACTATCATTGGGAAGATTTAGAAGCGTATTGCTTGGTGTATTAAGGAAGATTTTTTTAAACCTTCTTCTAATAAGCCTGAGGAAAAAGTTGCAGGAGAATCTGGTTTGCTTTTCTTAGGGATCTATATCATTGATTATTTTAGCAAAGTTTATGTCACCTGAAAGTGACCTTGGTATATGATCTTTTTCTCTCGCTCTCCCTCTTTTCTCTTCTTCCTGCTGCCTCTCTCTTTCTCTTGCTCTCTCTCTCCCATTCTCCCTTCCTGTTAACTCTGGGATCAGTACTAGGAGTTTAACTATAAATTTTAAAGTGAGAGAAATACATAATATGTAGGAGGCACTTAAAGTTTACTTAGTAACTAAGTAAACAAATCCATAGTTTTTATTTTATTAATTCAGGTTGTAGCACTATACCTTATAAAGGGGATCTAGAATATATGAAATCAAATTCTTATACAGTACATTGAAAATGTTCTGTAGAAGGTTAACTCCAAAGCACAGAAGTGAATCTGAACAACTTATTTGCACTTAAATCCATTGTTTAGCAACATAAATTCCCTGTGAATATAAGGGGACTAGTTTTCTACTGAAAGAGTACCTAATTTGCCCCCCTGTACCCAGATTATCAGTCTTAGAGTATTTTTAGAGTGGTCACAGGGTCTTAAACACAATCGTTGATGTTGTAAATCTATGGAAGAATATGTTTTGTTAAAGGCATAATAGATCAGATAGGAAATATAAAATGATAATTAACACTGCTTTTTATTATGGCATTTATCCAAATACTTTAGATTACACTTAAGAAAGAGACAGATATACATAAATAGAAGGTACTAGAAGTAAAGTTGGGAGCACACTGAAGACCTTTGAAACATTATACCTTATTGTAATTTTAGGTTGTTATTTAATTAGGAATAGGAAGGTACTTTTTTGATACAGGCTCTGAATGATGACCAACTGTTTATGCATCTAGTTAGATTTTTCACTGGTATTTTGGGAACATTCACTCAGAACCACTTTGAATTAAGCTGGCAGTTGCAATTTCTAGTACTAAGAAATGTATGTATATTCCCTCATAGAATAATGTAGGAAGCTGTGTACTACTCTTGTTAATTTCTTGAATACACACTGGTTGAATATTAATTCTGATGCCAGAATCACATGAGTTTTCTTATCTACTGTATGTCTATTTGGGAACAGCTAAAAAAACTTGATACTAGTATAGCTTACACTAACAAAGCTGATGCAGTAAGGGCAAGCTGCGTCTATGATAGAAAAAGCGAATTCCAGATATTTGAATGTAATATAACAGTTAGATGTTCTTTATAATAGAAATATATCTGGTTTCTATTCTTGGCATCTTGATATTCTTGATTACTTGTATAGAAAGTTAAAACTTCAGTACATTTTTATAAGTTGAATTATGTATACTTATATATACCTGTTGTATTGTTTTAATAGTCATTAAATTTTAATTGTATGGAAAATAGTAAGCATAGTTGGTCTTAATACCAAGGTTAAGGAAGTGACTAAAATAATATGATTTGGAATTTTTAATTCACTTAGTTAACTTTGTATGGGTATTAAATACCCTGCTGCGACACAGGACTACAAAGATCAATGAAACATACCTACTGCTTTAAGGTACTAAATCTAATGCAAAAGGCTGTTAGTCAACTAGTTTAGCTTGTCGAACAGGTAAATTTGATTGACAAAATGCAGCTCAAATTTTCTTCTCTAACTCAGAATATTTTTGTATACTTACAGAAATAATTCACTTAACATTTAAAAAAATAAATTATGTATGTTAGTTGCCAAACTCTGTGCTACTTGTGTCCTTTAAAAGAACACTAAAGAAGAAAATATATCATAAATTTAGTCATAGCGATCTCGTTACAAATCCCATTTTAATTAAGATTTTATCGGGAATAAGAAAAAATGATACATTTACAGACAAATTGTACAATTTAATATAAGAAAGTATATGGTAGTAAAATATGCTTTATACTGTAAAGAATTTTTATATTGCATGGGATTGATTTGACCTGTGAATTCAATTTTGGGAAGTAATAAAAACAAACTGTATGTAAATAAAGGAATTGATCAGAGTCCAAAAGAGATCATCTTGACATTCTTAATTAGACCTATGTCTACAGAGTCATTTTTCTTCTATGATAGATAATAATGAAGCTTGTTGTTCACTGAAGAGTTAAATGAAAAAGGCATTTGTGGTGCTGCATAAAATGGTGCTGATTTAGCAGGTGCAAGATTTAGAGATGATTTACCAAGGATAATTTATAAACTGGGTGGGGAATGGACTTATTTTTTTCCTTTTAATGGAATTTAAAAATATTTCTGTGTAATTATGTTTATATACTTTAAAATGTGATCTAGCTTTATGTTATATAGTCTCTAAGATGGGAATACATGGTATGTGAACTTATCCTCTAAAAAGGATCGTAACTAGTTATTCTCCATCTTCACTGAGGTTAAAAGAAGAGGACAGCATCTTAAATTGTAGAAGGAAGAAATTCTTTTAGATATGAAGAAGAAATTCTTGACAGCATTAAAACCAGAGCTGACTATCTAAAGAGGTTTTAAATTTTTCTTCTTGGATGCCTTTTAAGAATGTAACAGATAGTAACTCAACATAGATGGTTTAGATATAGCCATTTCTTGAAGGGTATATACAAAATGATAACCAGAGGTCAGTACTGCTCCATAATTCTGTGCTTTCATTACCTATTTTAAAATTTGTTCCATAAATTGCTTGTCCACTTTTAGTAAGTTGCTATATTTCCTAGAGAGAAGGTTGAATAAAGATTCTCATAAATTCAGTGATGCTGTATTGTGGCAAAAAGATACAAGTAAAGAATCAAAGTATTAAATTCTGTCAAGTCTCTATTATCTCTATACAGTGGGGCCTTAATTTTTTTTCATTCACTCTGCTTAATTGAGTATTCTAAACATAGGTAAGATTTTGTTTACTATAACACAGCAGAAGAAAAGGCTTTTGGCTTAAAGCAGTTATTTCCTGCCCTAGAGTACAGAAACTAACAAGCTCAGAACTCAACCTTGGATTAATCTACTGAAAGTTACTAAGAATCATGTGACCATTTCTGCAGTGTTACAGGCTGAGGAAGAGTGAAATCTTTTTCTGAGACAAAACTAAAGTTTTCTTTATAACTTCTACTTTATTTGGCGATCACAACCAAATATAAGTTCAAAAGCACTTATATATAAGTTGAATGGCTCAATGTAATTTTTTTATAGTATCTTTTCTTCTCCCAGCTACTTTAAGACTTAATTTTATAAGTGTTATTTTGGTTATAACTGTTTAAAGAAAAGTATACATTATCTTAAGTAATTGTAACAACTTCCTCTATTAACAACAGTTTTAGAAGCTAACCACAATTTTTAGTAAAACCACATTCAAAGCAAAGGATATTTGAGGCTAAAATAGGTACATGAACCTTTCAATGGTTGTGACAGAAAGTTTACAAATAAATAATGTGTCTGAGTCTAATTCTTTAAAAAATTAATGCAGAGATGGTTCAAATTAACATCAACAAGTTACCTTTTTACATTGGTCAAGGTTAAAGCAGAAGTAAATCCTCCTAGATACTGAAATTAGATTTATGTCAGTTTTTACTAATAGGAGACAGATGGGTAGATCACTTTGCTTCTACTCTCTTGTTACAGATGTTTAGTGAAATTGTGTAAATTTAAAAATCTATTTTCCCTTTAAATGGTCTGAGCAGGGTTTTCATTTATACATTACATTTGAAATTAGCTTGAACAACCTTTTCAATCCCAGCACCATGGGTTTTCTTGACTATTCATTGTTGCCTTTCTATCTCTTTATATTTACAGTTGGAAGGTTGATGCCAAGTTTTGTAAAACATGTTCTCTTCCATGCTGAGATCCTCTATGCCAACAATCTCCCTAGAGTGTGTGCTTTAGTAATAAGCCCTGAAAATGGGAACTGATAATGGAAATACTGGCAGCCCCTTTACAACAGGGGTGCTAGCCTGTTTCTGTAATTAGGAATGTGATTAGAAATAAGAGTTGCTTTTGGTCTTCAATTTCAAGCCATGAAATGAAGGGATTTTAGTTTGTCTCATTTTTGGCAAATGGCAAATTTCAGTAACACTTCAGCTTCCTGAGTCTGGCCACAAATAACCTGTTGTTTGAATGTGTTTTCAAAGCGTCCTAACTGTGCTTTCTTAATCTATTTGTAACCACAGCTTTCTTTTTGAAAATAATTATTTCCCTGATTGTCTTCTTAATATTTTTAGGGTTTATTTTCTTATTTCTTCCCACCAATCCCAGATTTCAGTGTGTTGTCATCTATGACATAAAATAGCAAAATAATAATAACAATAGTATTTATCAAATAGTTATTATATACTATGCACTATGCTAGGTGAATTACATGCATTTTTCATTTAATTTTCTTGTCAGTTCTATACAGTAGACACTATTATTACTTCCCATCTTATGTATGAGGGAAGCACAAGCATGTATCTAAAAAGCGATAGAGCCCATATTCTCTATCACTGTGCTGTGTCAACACTTTATATTACAAAGTACCCCGATCCACAGGTAACTGTTTTACTTAAATCAATGTTAATCTCCTTGGTCATTTATTCATGGCCATCCTCTTTCATTTGGAAAATATTAATTAACACCTACTATGTGCCTGACACTTTGAAAGGCTCTGGGAATATAAGGATGAATGAGTCCACTTCTTGTCCTTGAGATGGTTACAGATGAATTAAATAAAACATAGCAACACCTACAACCATAAATATCAAAATGGGCACTGAGTCACCCGATGTACCGTTGTAAATGCACAAGGGTGCTGTGAAATATTTAAAATTTTTATGGGAAACACAGCAACACCTACTGGATATTACATGAACTACTTTCAGTTTATGTGTGTTTTTTGTTTTGTTTTGTTTTTTTCAACTGGCTACTAAGTTAATAGGGCATTAATACTTGTGGAATTGTTTAGACCTACTCATTTAATAAACAGAACTGATACAGATTTCTTTTGGCCTAGAATATTGTGAAAAATATTACTAAGGATACTATTAACAGAGAATATTTAGGACTCTCTGGCCCAAGGAAAGATGTTTGATATTTTTATCAGAGCAATTAAAGAACCCTTAAACAAAACTGAACTAGGAAAATCTTGTAGGTACCAAGGGTTCAGGAGATCAAAATGGGACTGTGAAACTGGTTATGAAAGTGATATTCAGTTGGGTGCACATAAATACTTATGTATTTTACTCACAAAGATATTCAAATAAATCTCATTTTGATGAACTTGAGTTATTTTGAATCCAAATTATGAAAGATTTTTAGGAAATAGGTCAAAACACTTTGAGTGAGCTAATTACATGATTTGGCTTATGTTTAAATAATAAAAACATAATAGGCTATCAATCTTATATTTGAAGATGGCATTTTTGACACTTTATTTTACTGCTTCTAACCTTAGGTAAACTGAATGTACTGACTAGGAAGAGCGTATTATGCTGTCACCTTAAGAATATATAATTATAACATCTCAGCAGATGGGTAGACATCTCATAGAAAAATAACTGTAAATCTGAGGGAGAGATGTATTTGACAGTCTAACATCTCCACACTTCTAGTTTCCTTTAGTTCAGAATTGCCGCAAGCTTCTCTAGTAATTTGAGGCCTTGAAGCACTTTGAAATTGCTAGCAATGTTTCCCTAGCTACTTTTTTCATGAAAAGATGATTATGTGATGCTAAGAGGATTTGTTGACAAGAGGAAAATTTTTTATCGCACAAGTCTGCTTTCAAGGAAAAAAAACGAATCAATGAAAAATAGCAGTTGGATCATTTTCTGACAGATTAGAGAGATTATCACTGGGACTTGATCCATCATCTTAGAGCTAAGATTTAACTATACTATTCATATCATCAACTGAAGGACTAAAGGATGAGAAAATATGAAAGCTCCATTAGGGATAATATATGTAGGATAAAATAATATACATGAAATAAATGATGACCCTTGAGGTCTATATATATAGACCTCATGTAATGAGGAATTTGGTGGCATTATAGAAAAGATCACTTTAATTTAGAAAAAAGGATCAGGACTCAACCCTTGTTTCTGCCATTTATTTAGAAATACAACCTTAAACTTGTTATTTTACCCCCATTGACTCTGTGTTTCCACAACTAGAAAAGAACGTTGCAGGAGGGAGTAAATGAGACAATCCAGGCAAAATACTATACTTACGCAGGGCCTTGTATGTAATAAGTATAATGGGTCACGTTTGACTGTTGGCAAAAGAGTCACTAATTAGATGTAAAAAATAGAAGCTTATTTATTAATTTATTGTAAGGAACATGTGAAAAAGTTGCAGTCGTCATCCAGTAGGTGGTTTCATAATTTCATTAGCATTCATCTGTTTGCTTCACCATCCCTAACAAAGGACTCTCAAGATCTCATCCTGGTTTAAGCTCTAGCCATCACACTCAGATTGGATACAGGAAGCAGGAGGAAAGGGAGAAAGAAAAGGAGAGCATGTGACAGCTGTCTGTGATCCTTTAGATGAGGTTTCCTGAATATTATATTTAATAATTTGCTGCTGTTCTTTTTGCTATAACTTAATGACCTGGCCATGCATAGATAGTCTAGAAAATGTTGCCTCTTAGCTGGGCAAATGGATTTCTGGAATAAAACAGAGCCCTATTAAAGGGTCTTCTTAGAATGAAGAGGAGGATAGGCAACTCATGGTCTCTTGCTCTAAGTATTATTCATTTAATATGAAACTTTTATTTCTTCACCTCTAAACTAAGTATATCTGTTTTCTTGGATTGATAAAAGGATTAAGTGAGATTATATGTGCCTATCAAAGTAATCATTTGTTAAAGAAATACAAGAACATTATGTTTAGATTGTAAGGTATCATTTAGCATTTACAGTTGACCATTGAACAACACAGGGGTTAGGGGCACCAATCCTAATGCAGTTGAAAATCCACATATAACTTTTGAATCCCTCCAAATTTCACTACTAATATAGCCTACTGTTGACCAGAAGCCTTACTGCTAGCACAACCGTCAATTAATGCCTATTTTCTATATGTATGATATACTGTATTATTATAACAAACTAGATAAAAGAAAATGTTATTTAAAAAACCAAAGGAAGAGAAAATGCATTTACAGTACTGTACTGATTTATCCATATTTTAAGTTTATGTCATTCATTTAGTAAGAGGAATCGGGCCGGGCGCGGTGGCTCACGCCTGTAATCCCAGCACTTTGGGAGGCCGAGGCGGGCGAATCACGAGGTCGGGAGATGGAGACCATCCTGGCTAACTTGGTGAAACCCCGCCTCTACTAAAAAAAGTACAAAAAATTAGCCAGGCGTGGTGGCAGGCACCTATAGTCCCAGCAACTGGGGAGGCTGAGGCAGGAGAATGGCGTGAACCCAGGAGGCGGAGCTTGCAGTGAGCCAAGATCGCGCCACTGCACACCAGCCTGGACGACAGAGTGAGACTCCGTCTCAAAAAAAAAGAGGACTCATCTGTCTGAAATGGTGGGCATCCCTAGGGGCACTTCATATGGGTCCCATGGTGTTATTCAAACACAATGAAAAATATGCAAGAACTGCAAGAGATCACTTTTTACTGGGATACACAATTTACTGGAGAGATGAACTGTTCACATTGATTAGCATCCACAGCATTTTAAGCAGATACTTGGAACACTTAAGCTTACAGCAATAGCAACAGGAAGGGGCTACAAAATTATTACATAATATGTACTAGAGTTAATTTATGCAGTTATGATTTAATACTGCACCTTTACATTTGTTTACATTTCTCTGACTGCCAATGGCACCATATACAGTAAGGGTTTGTGTGTGTAGGTTAGGAAATTTCAACTTTTTATAATAGATTTGTGTATATTTTATGGTACTAAATGATAGACTAGTATATACATGTATTTTATGCATTTGTTACATACCTTTTTCTTATTTTTAAAAATATTTCTAGGCTATTTAGAAATATTTTTAAAATATTTAAATATTTATAAATATTTAAATAAATGGTGCGTCTGTGAGATTTTTTTCCAATTGTTGCATATCTGCAAAACATTTTGCAATGTATTTATTAAAAAAAAGTGTGTATAAGTGTACCCATGCAGTTTAACCCATGTTGTTGAAGGGTCAACTATGTTGTCTCTTTAAATTGCTCTGATTTCTAAGTGTATAGTCAACTTCTTGAATATTTTTGATGCTTTTATTATCAGAAACCACATAGATTCAGAAATCTTATTAATGGATTTTTACAGAAGGTGATACAGAATCTCCTTCTACCATGTAAATAGGAGCCAATTTACTTTATATAAAACCTTATAAAGTGCAATCCATCCAAAGTTACTTGGAAAGTAGAGTGATCGATTTAGTTGTATATTTGGATTAGCATTATGTTTAATGTGAAATAATGAAAATTAGAATGAAATTCACTTACAATAATATTTTTCTAAGCATAGTTTAAAATATTATTCAGAAAACACTTAGATGTCTTATTTTAAGATATTTTAAAATGTTTTACATTTGCTTAAAATTTTACAATTGAGAAAACATTTCTGCATAAACATCATATCTCATTTCCTTATAATAATAATTCTGTAAGCTTATACACTGAAAAAAAATGGTAGAAAAGTAAGAAAAACTGCTCAAGGACCCACAGACCATTTTAGAATTATAATATTAATTCTGGTCTTCTAAATTCAGTGCACATTGCATTACATGACAGTCCTCTCCATCTTTAGCAACAGAGATAAAAATGTTGGCATCGGGGCCGGGCGCGGTGGCTCACGCCTGTAATTCCAGCAGTTTGGGAGGCGGAGGCGGGTGGATCATTTGAGGTTAGGAGTTCAATTCCAGCCTGGCCAACATGGTGAAACCCCGTCTCTATTAAAAGTATGAAAATTAGCCAGAAGTGGTGGTACACACCTGTAATCCCAGCTACTTGGGAGGCTGAGGCAGGAGAATTGCTTTAACCCGGGAGGTGGAGGTTGCAGTGAGCTGAGGTCACACCACTGCACTCCAGCCTGGGCGACAGAGCGAGACTCCATCTCAAAAAAAAAAAAAAAGTTGGCATCATGTGGAGATTGGACTACTGTGATCTTATGTCAAAAACTGTTCATTTCAAAATAACTAATAGTTATTTAGATTGCAAGCTCTAAAAGGTAGGATTACCATTTTCATTTGTAACTTTGAAAGTGCCTTGTTAGTAGTCACTCAAAAATTTTTTCAGTGCTGTTTATTTACTTTTTCAGGCTATTAGCCAATAATAAGCATTATTTGAAATTAAGTAGTTTATTTGAAACACTGTTACATATTGATGTTCACATTAGTATTTTTAATTTAAGAAAATTATATTCTGCATTCTCTTTAGAAAGTCTTTTTCTCTTGGTAGCGTTTTCATGCAGGGTCTGAGGTAGTACATATGATCTAGAATGATCTAGATAATGTCCTCAGAATTCTATTTATTGCTATCTCTCTCTCTCTCTTTTTTTTTTTTTTTTTTTGAGACAGGGTCTTTCTCTGTCACCTGGGCTAGAGGGCAGTGGTACAATCATGGCTCACTGAAGCCTCAGCCTCCTAGGCTCAAGTGATTCTCCTGCCTCAGCTTCCCAGGTAACTGGGACTATGGGCACACGCCACCACTCCCAGCTAATTTTGGTATTTTAGTAGAGATGAGGTTTCACCATGTTGGCCAGGCTGGTCTCCAACTCCTGTGCTCAAGTGATCTGCCAACCTCAGCCTCCCAAAGTGTTAGTACTACAGCCATAAGCCACCACGCCTGGCCTATAAGTTTATTTGATGTAATGGCTGTACACAGAAAATTCAAATAATTACTTTTTACTTTCTATGTTAATCATATTATGACTAAAAATAAAAACCCATAAAATACTGAAAATTTGGCATTTTTTTCTTTTGAGAACATTTTCTTTTTGTAAAATAACACTAACCTAAAAAAAAATCCAAGTGATACAAAACATTTTAGTTTGAAATAAAATATTTAATATATTATAATTTTAAAATCCTAAATAATCAGAAATGTACACAAAATAATTACATATTGTTCACTGAAATACATTTATACTTGTGAAAAATGTCCAAGTAGAAAGGAATAGTTAAATAATTGACATTAAATCTATATGATGTTACCCAACTCTCAAAAATAATGCTTTCAAGGAATATTTTATAACAAAAAATGTTTACAATATGTTATGTTGAGAAGTGATGCAGAACTATATATACATTTAATTGCAATTGGGGTTTATGGAAATATTCACACCTGTGCGCATATACATACTTCATTTGAAAAATACTGGAGGACTACTATTCTTCACAATGTTAATATCTTTAAGTTGTGGAATACAGGTTAAGTCATTTTATCATTTATGCTTTTACATAGTTTATAAATTTCTATAATTAAAATGTATTCAAATATAAAATAAAATGGTTTCATTTCACTAATTCAAATATATTTATTGTGCACAACTAGATATTCCTATGCATATGTATAACTATAGATTTTTTTTTTTTTTTTTTGGTAATCTGACCAAAATGGGTATCATGCACTGCATTGGATATTTTTGTAATTTACTATCCAATTTCCTTTGAAAAGATTTAGTAATGAGATTTCGGGTCAAAGGGTAGAGTTAGTTTTAAATTCAAATATACTGTACAGTGTCATAAAAAATTCTACCAATTGTGCATGATTTTTTTCACACCCTCAATAATTCTGAGTGTTGTCATATTTTTCATCTTTATCAACCTGATAGGAATAGGAACAATTATTCCTATTTTCAGTTACATTTCTTTGGATATAATGAAGTTGAACTATAATTAATTGACCAGCATTTTTTGATGACTTACCTATTTATGCCTTTGCTTAATTTTTTATTAGTATGTTGGGTTTTCACCTTTTGGTTTACAAGAGTGTCTTTGTCTTGAAAAAATAACCCTGTCTGTCGGGTGTGCTCATTTTCCCATTTTATTTTTGAAGTATTGTGTATAGTAACATTTTTCCATATAGCTATTACAATTTTTAAGCACCCAAATGTATCAACCTTCTTCATAGTTGTAAAAGAGGCTTTCAGCACCTTTAGCTAAAGAGTATACAGAATATTTACTATAATAATTTATTATTGTATTTTAAAGTTTTATTTTCCAGTAAAATTTTTGATCTCTCTAGAATTTATTTGGCTGTATAGAGCAAGAAATGAAAGTGCGCTTTTTCATTTATTTCTAATGAACATTCAGGATTCTTAATACCAATTTTAGAATAATGGTCTTAAGCAAGCTGATATGAGACACACATTTTTTCATGTATAATGTCCCTATATACTTGATAATTAAAAATACATATTATTAAAATGTGGATAGTTTACAAAGATGATTCATTTATTCATAAAACTATTAACACCCATTGTCCTATACTCTCATTCTTTCATTCATGCAGTACCAATTTATTGAGACTTTTTAGTACTGGATACTTATGGTTCATGGTCTGTGACCTTAGGGATCTAAAAGTTAAGTCATTTATATTTATGTGCAAATTATTAAGTATGAATCTATCAGATATCTGTAGTATAATAGTATTTTGAAGTAATGGAGCAGTGAATAAATTATTTCAAGAAAGTCTGAAAAAAGTGTTCTCCTAAATAATATTCTTGTAAAGAAAGAAACCTTTACTCCTTAAGTCTTTGAAGATACACGTCATAGAGTTGAAAATGATTTTAAAGAGTACATATGGCCAAGAAATATGAAAAAAAAGTTCAGCATCTCTAATCATCAGAGGAATGCAAATTAAACCCACAAAAAGATACCATCTTACACAGATCAGAATGCCTATTATTGAAAAGTCAAAAAACAACTGACACCTGCAAGGATGCAGAGACAAAGGAACACGTATATACTGTTTTGGGGAATGTAAATTAGTACAACATCTGTGGGAAACAGTATGGAGAGTTTTCAAAGAACTAAAAATAGAACTAAACTTTGATCCAGCAATCCCACTACTGCATGTTGTGTTTTATCCAAAGGAAAAGAAATCATTTTATTAAAAGACACCTGCACGTGTATGTTTTTTGTACACTCTTCAAAATAGCAAAGTCATGAAATCAACCTGTGTTCATCAACAGATGACTGGATTAAAAATGTGGTATGTGTAGGCACACAGTACCACAATACTAGTTGGCCATTAAAAAGAATGAAATCATGTCTTTTGGAGCAACATGGATGGAGCTGGAGGCCATTGTCATAAGTGCAATGACTCAGAAACAGAAAAAAGGCACATGTTCTCATTTATAAGTGGGAGCTAAACAATGGGTATGTACAGCCACACAGAGTGGAATAATAAACACGGGAGACGTCCAAAGCTGGGAGGGTGAGACGGGAGTGAGGGATGTAATACTATGTATTGGGTACAATGTGCACTATTCAGGTGATGGATGCACTGAAAGCCCAGACTTCACCATTGTGCAATATATCCATGTAACACAAGTGTATTTGTACCCCTAAATCTACAAAAATATAAATTAAACATAATTGTTGTTAAGAAAGAAAGCTTAATTCCTCAAGTCTTTGAAGATACAAGTCATAGAGTGGAAAATGATTTTAAAGATGATCTATTTCTGGCCGGTCGTTGTGGCTCACGCTTGTAATCCCAGCACTTTGGGAGACCGAGGCGGGCGAATCATGAGGTCAGGAGTTTGAGACGAGCCTGGCCAACATGGTGAAATCCCGTCTCTATTAAAAATACAAAAAATTAGCTGGGTGTGGTGGTAGTCACCTGTAATCCCAGCTACTTGGGAGGCTGAGGTGAGAGAATCGCTTGAACCCTGGAGGCGGAGGTTGCAGTGAGCTGAGATGGCGCCACTGCACTCCAGCCCAGGTGACAGTGCGAGACTGTCTCAAAAAAAAAAAAAAAAAAAAAAAGATTATCTATTTCTATTCCCTGTTTTTATACATAAGAAAATTATGACCCAAACAGATTGAATGGCTTAATCAAGTTCACATTGCTGGATTTCCAAATGTTTCTTGCTTTTTGGTTTATCAAGGTATTCCCATAGTATGAAGAAAGAAAGGTTCATGCTGACAGAGCTATTATTGTTTCCTCCTTTTCTAACCTTTTATAGCACTATTGCATTATTTCTGAGAGTTAACCACTTTTTTTGTGCATTATATACAACTGTTAATACTCGTATCTCTCTGTTCTCATTCAGTGATTTTCCCTATAAGCATATTGGTTCTCTTCACTGTCAGATTAATTTTTCAGCCCTGTGTGTACCCTGATCGAGGAACTTTTTAAGGAATATGTGTAAGGTGAGATGACTCATTTATTCTTTTCTTCCCATGAACAGTTTGTATTTATTTCTGATAGTTGATCTTAAAATATCTGTGTGGTTGAAGACAAAGAAAAACAGTGACCAGGTTATAAAACTAATTGTTGTTAAACTTGTGTTTAGTCCTGCTAAATAAAAAATTCTATTAAATGAAACCCTCAAAAGTCAGCCTTCTATAGTGAATCACTAGTGACAAACCATTATTCTTACTATCACAGAAACAGGTGAATGTACAGATGAGGCAATTACATTATTTAGGGGCAGTTATGCTTATATTTAACAAGTTGATTTTCCTTTGTGTAGAAAGAAATACTAGAAACATAGAAGAGTTGTTTTTAGGGTCCTAAGTGAGTCTGTAGTTGATTAATTCGAGGGGTATGACATTTAGTTACCATGCCCTTATGATGAGGTCTGAACAAGTGCCTAAAAGCAATTTATCTTTCAAAAACAGCACCTGTGTTTCAGAATAGAGAAAAATAAATAGCTTGGTCATTGGCTTAAACAATTCCTTTATCTTTTGATGTTTGTTCTATTTAATTCTTCTCAGTAAGTCTTTAGAGACATATACAGAATCACTCTTTTGATTTGCACACAATGTATGAAGAATGTGAAAGTGAATTCCATAATCATAATACATTTGAAGTTGTAATTTTATTTTGTAGTGTATTTATAATATGCTTTTAATGAAGGGTAAAACATTTCAAACAAACATCTTTCAGGAAGGTATATGCTTTCAAATCCTAAATCTGATACCGTTATATCTTTTCATATTCAACAAGTGGCTCCCTTCTGCAGGGCCTGCCCTCATCTCTATTTGAGCTTTTCTTGAGGGGCTTAGCTATTTCTTCCTTCACTGACTTTTACCTACGTATGTATGCGTATGTTACAGAGACTATGTGAGTCCTGTGCACACAAAGCCAATATTCAGCTAAGTATGTAGTTCTTGATAAATGGGCAAGAAAATGAGCAATTTTGCCCTGGACCACAAATGACTGATTAGCTTTGGAATTTTGAAGTTGAAAGGGTAGCTTATTAGCGTAATGTTGTGCATAAAGAAATTTGGTTGATGTCACTCGAAAACTTTCAACGTAATATACCATTTGGGGCAGGTTTATGTATATTATGGCATAGTACTTACTTTTTAATATCTTTCCCATAGTATAAATGAAAGGTAATGCATTATGTCTATAATGCTTACTAATTTAAAAACTAAACTGCATATTTCTGAAACAAATATAATAATTTTTCATTTTGTTGATTAAAATACAATATTATTTAATAACACCATTAAAGCATGATTTTCATTATTTATCATTTTTTGACTTTCTTTGAAGTCACTACTTAGATATTTAGTAGGTATTTTTGCCTTTTTGAGAAAGGGCAAAGAATTGGTCTTTAATTGGAGTATATAAGAGCACTTTATTTCTCCTGTTTTAGAGAAAACCTGGGTCATACATTTTTGTCATAATTCATAACAAAATGTGAAAATTTTTTAAAAGCTCATTTATAAGCCAGTATGATTTCTGCATAGATTTATGATATGTTTATGCTTACAAAATTTATCCTTACTTTTCCTGGTATTTTCCCCATTCAAAAAAACAGGAGTGGAATAAAATGTTCAAACATTTGCATCATGGTTCACGGTTACCTTTTCAGGCTGTATCTTTCTTTATTCTCAACCACTACCTTTGCCAAGGTTTTGACTTATTCCAAATTTATTGGTAAAGAAGTCAGTTGGGGGAGTGGGAAAGGGTTATAAATAATTACATTTATCACTTCAACAGCTTCGTCTATGTTTACTAAGGAATTTGTCAAAGAGAAAGATGGAGGTGAATTACAACAGATTTTGAAAGCTGTAGCCTATATCCAGCATGTCATTGCATTACATATTTTACAGTCACCTTGGCTTCAGGTGAGATCTGTCAGCTTGTAAAGCTAAATGAGAGTCTTCCTAGTAGAACCTCTTTGGGGCCAGTTAAATAATTTCCAGTTACCCTGGGTAAAGAATCAGTTCATTCAACCTCTTTTCACTTTCAGAAGGGATTTTGGGTCTATATTTTGCCGTACCTTTCACACACCACTCCAGAAGAGCCTGTTATGGCATGATATTCTTTTGTGTGACTAGTAAAGTCTAGGGAGTAACAACTTTTACTTCCTATAGATTCTGCACATATTATTATTATCCCTTAGTGGTCAGATTCTGTTTCTCATGATTACATGTTGTTTACTGTATGTGGTCAAATCCTGCTTCTGACTTATTCCATAGATCATAAAGAGTAAAGAAAGCATTTACAGTGTATACAAAACAGTTCAGGCAATCTTTCTAAAAAGTTGCTTAAGTATATTGACTATAATGTTCCAGTCTTAAAATCTTTACCAACATTACCCTAACCTTCTCACTGTAGTCTATGTGAGTGGTGGGAAGAAAACAGTGAGTAGGAAAAGTAGGATCTGCTGGATGATTATTGATTCTTTCACTATTCCCTGTAGCTAAGATACTTTTTTGAGTTTGGTGTTTTCTGAACCTAATCATCTCTTTCTGTTCTGCAATGACAAAATGCATTCTTCCCATCAAGTTCCTGAAATGTTAACTAATCTTTGCTTGTGGCTCTCATTATTGTTTGAAAGCAGGAAAATAATAAAAGTGGGTATATGTGTTGGTGTAATGGAAAATGGAATTGCTTGATTTTATTTTCCAAATGGACAAGACAAGAAATATAGAAAAACATAAACAAGACAAATATATATTGCAGAGTGGCTATGTGTACTATTAAGTTTATGTTGTATGAGGTGTGAAGGCTCCAAATATCTGTAACTTTTCACTATGTTTTTCTCTCAAATAAAGTCCTTACATAAGCTTAAATATTGTGTATAACATTTTCTTGTCTCAGCAAATGTTTCATGACATTCAGGTTACTGGATCTGAGAGAAAACTAGCTGTGACATCTGTCAACACATTGATTTCCAGGGTTGATGCAGATGGTCTGAGCTGATCTCCGGTCTCTTTTACCACACCATTTGTGTCCCTTCCAGACTTACATGCTCATTCAAAGTGAATGACCTTCTGAAAGAGGATCAGTCATGAAGGGCATTTAAAAGATATATTCCCTTTCTGTAACTTCTAGACTTGTTCATAATTTATTCAAAGATATAAATCTGTAGAACAAAATAGACAACCTTTGGTTGGGGTGAATCTTTTATTGAGAAGCAGTGTAGTGAATAGAGGCTTGACCTTGGGAGTCTGCAAACCTGCCTGAGTAGTTATTTGCTTTATGACTTTTCAGACTTAGTTTCTTCAACGAAGTGGATTAATACTATGTTAAAGGATTGTTTAAAAACGCTAAACACGTTCAATAAACCAACATTTTTGGGTACTGACTATTGACCGTGCTCTATCCAGGCTTTGAGCAGTAAAGAGAGGAGTTTTAAATAACTAATAAGCAAATAATTAAAATAGTCATGCCCTCACGTTGATTACATTAAAGTTCGGGGAAATAGGCAATAAACAAATACATTTGTAAAATATATACTATGCTTAATGTTAATAAATTCTATAAAAGCAAAAAATAGAAGGAAGTACAAGATAAAATGCTGGAATGGGGCTTGTAATTTTAAGTATGTTGATAAGGAAAATTTTTATTCAGGGTTCATTTTGGGTGAAGACCTAAAGGAGGTGAGGATAGGCAATAGATTTCAGGAGGAAGAACAATAACATTTAATGCTGACACCTGTTAAAAAAAATCAGCACAGGCTGGGTGCAGTGGCTCATGCCTGTAATCCCAGCACTTTGGGAGGCTGAGGCAGGCAGATTGCGAGGTCAGGAGATCGAGACCATCCTGGTCAAATATGGTAAAACCCCATCTCTACTAAAAATACAAAAAATAGCTGAGTGTGGTGGTGCGTGCCTCTAATCCCAGCTACTCAGGGGGCTGAGGCACGAGAATCACTTGAACCCGGGAGGTGGAGGTTGCAGTGAGCCGAGATCGCGCCAGTGCACTCCAGCCTGGAGACAGAGCAAGACTCTGTCTCAAAAAAAAAAAAAAAAAAAAAAAAGGAAAAAAGAAAATCAGCGCAATTGCTGGCTCAAAGTACAGTAAGTGCTTAATGAATGTTTATTGTTATAAATAATTTTGGTTTTTAAATGAGATTTTTTTGATATGAAATTTGTTATTTCACTTTGTGATCATGGAACTAGCATGTGACTGAGTTGATACTACCAGTATTTGGTTGCCGTTTTTTTGGCATTTGACATGTAAAAACATAATCCAGAGAACAAAAAAAAACAGTCTTAAAATCTTGTGTTCAGGAAGATAATTTGCTTGTTTCAGATACATTTATGTTTTTTCCGAAACTTAAAAATATAATTATTCCTTAAAAATTGAATCAAAACTATTCTTTAAAAATGGATACAGAAACTGATAAAGCCTTTATGTTTTTACTAGAAGAGTCTTTAAAACACTTAAAGCTTTGTTTTACCTTATTACTGGGAGAAAGCTAAAAATAGATGAGCCTGAAACATTGACTTTTATCCATCTTGAATTTCATGGAGCATCCAGAATGATGCATCTTTCCCTTCAAATATTTATCCATCACTTCCAGACAAGTAGTGTATGAGGCAATAAATAACAGATAGCTAGAACAGGAGAAAACAGTTTTTTAATGCCTTGTGCTTAAACTGTCACTCTGCCAGGAAGTAATAACTGAATGCTGCATTATTTAAGGCAAGGTAATAGACTCCTTCCTTTTAGAGGCAAATTACTTTGGGATCTGCCACCTTACTCTCAGAAGCCAGGGTTTCCTCAGTGAAAAACTGGAGTTGCTAGATTTGATGTGATGTGATTGACTACTGAATCTTAATGCTTTAGATACCAGAAAAGAGTTTGCTTTTCTTCTGTCCATGATTCATCATTAAATGAAGAGTCTTGCCAAGTGCAGCTTTTCCATAGGGGAGTTAGTAGGGTGCATTCTAAGGAGCATAGACTTGGAGCTAAGATGCTCTGCATTTGACTCTACTAACCAGTAAATTGTATGATTTTGGATAAATTATCTAATGTCCTTGAATAATTCATTTTGTTACCTGTAAAACAGAAGTAATAATACTAACTTTATTGAATTGCTCAGATGATTAAATTATGTAAAGATCTGGACCTTATTTTTTGGTGCCAACAAATACATATTTATTACTTACGGATGAGTTAAAGATCTCAAGTTTGAAGCAAATATGTAAGTTTAGCTGTTGAGTTTTCAGAATAGATGTTGCAATTCCTATGGCTGTTATATAAGGAACCTAGAAAATATTAATACCCTTTCCTGTTCCCTCTCTTCCTTTGACTTTTAAAAAATCATAAAGTTTGTGATCCAGAAGATCATATTCTACTTGAAGGCTATATATTAAGCTTCTACCTCCACAAATCTTTGTGTGTGAAATGTCTGTCCAATTTTAAAAATCATCTAGTAAATGTAAGAGAGCAGAGTTATAGATCAATACTATTGTGCACAGTCCTAGAGTTGGTTGACAGAGTTTGGGCCTATTTGAATGCCACTATTTTAAAAATGCAACTTCTACTCAGTTGAACAGTTGCATTTGATGTAAAAAAAAAATCGACTATTGAATATACCCTACTCTCAAATACACTTATTTACATATTATTGCAAATTTACTTGCTTTTGGATGGTAGTCATGACAGATCCCCATCATGACCTTAGAATATAAGACTTTCATGTTCTCTTTGTAGAGGTGTATATTATATGGTCTGTAGGATGATAGGCTAAAGTGGACCAATGACTAGAAAATAAAATTAGTTGTTATGCTTCTTCACTTTTTAATTTCTTTATTTTGGATAGATACACAATAGATGTGTATTTTCATAAATGATTCAGTTTTACTTTTTAACTTTTTTACTCCTTATTAAAATAATTTTGTCATTTTTTGATGGGTTGTGAATTTAAATATGACAATGTTTATAATAGTGTTTCAAGTTGTTATAGATGTAAGCAGTGTTATTTTCTGTATTTATTGAGATTTTAATCACTGGAAAATTTTAATTAGTAGGATTTTTAAACAGATGTACTGTTTTGGGTTTCTCCTGTTAATACTATTTTGATATTTTAAACAATATTGACAAAAATGTGATCTTGCTTCAAATTGTTTTATGGTACACATTCCCAAACACACTAATCTTTGAACATGTAAACATTTGAATGTTTGTATCTTAATTATTTTGTGTAGTGACCTTCTCATTTTAAGCCCAATGCTTGTTTCATTCCATGGCAGTCATCTTCATTTTGAACATCAGGTATATATTCATTGGCATCGTATAGAAATTGGAGTGTACTGACCATCTGTTATTAACCTAAGTGGCTAATTTTAGAGTACTTAATCATTACATGGATTTCCAGCTCTAAAAGGTAAGGATTATATTTTTTTGTTCTCTGTAGCTTTGAAAGTGCCTTGATAATAGTTACTCAAATGTTTTTAAGTGCTATCTACTAACTTATTTTTACAGGTTATTAGCCATTAAATAGTGTTATTTAAAATTAAAATTTATTTGAAACACTGTTACATTTTGATATTCACATTGTCGTTGTGGTGGTGGTTGTGGTTTTTTTTTTTTTTGAGATGGAGTCTTGCTCTGTCATCCAGGCTGGAGTGCTCTGGCGCGATCTCGGCTCACTGCAACTTCTGCCTCCCGGGTTCCAGCAATTCTCCTGCCTCAGCCTGTCAAGTAGCTGGGATTACAGGCATGTGCCACCATGCCCACTTAATTTTTGTATTTTTAGTAGAGACGGGGTTTCACCATATTGGCCAGAATGGTCTGGAACTCCTGATCTCAGGTGACGTGCCTGTTTGGGCCTCCCAAAGTGCTGGGATTACAGGCGTGAGCCACCACGTCTGGACGATATTCACATTGTTATTGTTTACTAAATGATACTATTTTTTGCAATCTCTTTAGGAAGTCTTTACCTATTGATGACATTTTTATATGTGATGTGAGAGATAGTCATAGAAGGATCTAGATAATACCCTCAGAATTCTATTGTCCTAAGTTTTTGTGATTTAATAGTTGAAAATTCAGATTTATTTTACTGTCCATAATATTCATATCATGACTCAAAAATAGCCAGAAAAATATGGAAATGCAAGTGTTATTTTTTTTCCATGTTGAAGGCTGAACAAAATACTCAAGTGACACCCCTCTCTTCAATAAATGCTTAAAACTGGATAACCATATGCACAGTAATGAAACTGGACCCCTATCTTTCACCACATACAAAAATCAACTCGAGATGTATTAAGGACTGAAACATAATACCTGAAACTATAAAGCTACTAGAAGAAAACATAAGGAAAATTCTGAAGGACATTGGTCTACTCAAAGATTTTATAGCTAAGACCTCAAAAAGTACAGGCAACAAAAAGAAAAGCTGACAAATGAGACTATATTAAACTAAACAGATTCTGCACAGTGAAAGAAACAATCTATAAAGTGGAAAGACAACCTATTGAGTGGGAGAAAATATCCCAAATATACAAGGAACTCAAACAACAGTAAAAATATACAAATAATACCATTAAAAACTGGCCAGTGGACATGAACAGATATTTCTCAGAAGAAAACATACAAATGGCCAACAAGTGTATGAAAAAATGCTCAACATCACTGTTCATCAGGGAAATGTAAATGAAAACCACAATGAGATATCATCTTACCCTAGTTAGAATGGCTAGTATTAAAAAGTCAGAAAAAGAACGGATGTTGGCAAGGATACAGAGAAAAGGGAACTCTCACACACTGTTGAAGCAGATATAAATTAGTACAGCCATTATGGCAAACAATATGGAGAGTTGTCAAAAAAATAAAAAAAACTAACTAAAAATAGAACGATCATGTGATCCAGAAATCCTACTACTAGGTATTTATCCAAAGGAAAATACATCAGCATGTCAAAGACATACCTGCATTCCCATGTTTATTGCAGCACTATGCACAACAGCAAGGATATGAACTCAACATAAGTTTCCAGCAATAAATGAATGG
This sequence comes from Homo sapiens, assembly GCF_000001405.40. Classification (NCBI taxonomy): domain Eukaryota; kingdom Metazoa; phylum Chordata; class Mammalia; order Primates; family Hominidae; genus Homo; species Homo sapiens. Next base: position 174,636,944 of record NC_000003.12, read on the forward strand.
ATAAACAAAATGTGGTATATATACACAATGGAATACTATTTGGCCATTAAAAAGAATGAAATCATGTTATTTGCAGCAACGTGGATAGAACTGGAAGTCATTATGTTAAATGAAATAAGCAAGGCACAGAAACATAAGTATCACATGTTCTCATTAATATATGAGAGTGAAAAATGTTGATGTCATGGAGATAGAGAGTAGAATGATAGATACCAGACAGGGAAGGGTGTATTGTAGGTGGGAGTGGTGATAAGAAGAGATTGATTATGGGTAGAAGCATACAGTTAGATAGAAGGTATAAGTTCTAATGTTTTATAGCAGAGTAAGGTAACTATAGGTAACAACAATGTATTGTATATTTCAAAATAACTAAAGGAGAGGACTTTAAATGTTCTCATCACATATAAATGATGAATACTTGGTTGATGGATATCCTAAATATCCTCAATGAATACTTATGCATTTGATAAATTTAATAATATTTCACATGTACCCCATAAATATATACAAATATAATGAATGTATCAAAAGAAATTAAAAATAAAAACTGCCCACTGGTTAGAAAAAAAATAAAACAGCAATAAAAGGATTTTTAGCCTAAATCATCAGAATGATGTACAAAATTCATAATGTTCACTGAAGAATATTTTTATTTGTGAACACTGTCCAAATATAGGAGAACAGTTAAATAATGGAAAGCATATCTATATATTGAACATTATGCAAGTTTTCAGGACATTTCATGAGTTTAGGATAGAAGAAATATTCACAATATAATTCTATGTTAAAAATACAAAACGGTACATTTATTTTGATCCAATTTTCATTTATAGAAAAATACACATGTATATCTGTATGTACATATTTGGGGATTTTATAAAGCCAAGTCTTGATTTCCTCTGCTAAAACTTTATTTTTTTTCAAGTCATGTTTACAGAAATATGGCTTTGTTGCAATAACTTGGTGATTTATGAGTAGGGTGTCAGAAATAATCAAAATGGGTAATCTATCCTTGCATTTCTAAATATTCAAAGTGTTCATATTTATTTAAAATAAAGAAATAAGTATCAATGAAATGCACCAATAGTAGCATTTTCAAATAATATCATAGTAATAGGCTGATGATTGAATTTCACACCTTCAAACAGACTGCCTTTTATTGCATGTAGATATAATTTAAATAAAAATATTTACTGTGTTTTTGCTTATTAAAATGCACAATATGAGCTTATTGTCTTATTGTAATCACAATGGCAAGATTTTAAGACTTCTCTGCATGGCCTTCATTCAGTAGGTAATTATGGAGAATCTAGTTTATATAGGCTTTTTGGTAGGCCATGGAGATAACAAAAAGACCAAGAAATGTTTTTGTGTTGTTAAGAAACAGAATTTAGTGAAGACCAATTTTACAATATAGTATTTCATTATTAATGTAATAGAGGCACACATAGGGAGATGTGGGACAAAGGACCCTAACTCTGGCTGGACTTTTTCATGGAAGGCTAAACAGATTGATGCATCTGAGGTGAAGCTGGAAATGTCAGTCAAGGATGAAGTAGAGGTAAACAGCCTTTTGCACATAGAAAATAGCATAACTAGAAGTATAACTATGGCATAGGAGATGTTGAAGAAGGAGGGTCAGGTTTTTTTTTAAAAAAAACTTGATAATATTATGTTAACACTATGAATATAATCAATTAAGAAGACTAAGATTTTCAGATGAGAGACATAATAAAGGCAACTATAAAAATATGTTTTTGCATGCTGCATATTAACAGGATTCAGAAAAATTGGTGAAGGAATTTTTCCACATCAGTGAATTTTCCAATAAATACTTAGGGAGAGACACTTTAATGTATTCATTCTTGAGAAAAATGTTTTTCACTATTTTATAGCTTCATTAAACCATGTGTAAAGAACGTGTTTTTCCTCCTTTACTGCTTTGCTTCTTTAAGAGTTTTTGAGGTTGGTATAATTATCAAATATCTATTTTGCTGTCTGCTCCAACACAAGCATGTCTTTCTAGATGATTTGGAGAGCTAGAACTCTTTGCCCTTTCTTTTAATGGCCCTGGGTTGCTCTGACTTTTGGAATTCTTGTGATTGCTCTTTTTGTCATCTCTTGTCTCCCTCTGGGTAATGAGTTCTGTACCTGCTTCTAGTTAGCTCTTCTTTCAAGTAGCACCTTTGACTTACTCAACTTTTGAATTTTTGACAATTCCCGTGGCTAGTTAAGAATTTCTGTTATTTTCTGGTTGGCTTAATTAAAGTTGTGTGGTATCATGGTATACATTAATTCTAAATAACTTAAATGCTTTATACAAAAACTTTGTTCACCTGTATGTTTATTTATTATTGAGTTCTTTCAATGTAATGGAAATTTCCATATCATAAAGTCAAAGAAAAATCAAACTAAGACCCAGGGGTGTATGGGAGCTGTTTGGCACCAGGTGGCTAGACCTCACTGTGGGTCTTTGCGCAACTTTGTGCAGAGTGCCTTTGTGTTTAGTGACATCACACTGGGAGTTTGAAATCAGATTTAGCAGTAGTAATTACATCGCTGCAAAAGCTACAAATTAGGGCTTCCTGACTGTCTTTCCTTTCCCCCTCCAGAAGTGGTGGTTAAACCTTTATCAGCACACACCACTGGACTTGCCTTTCTGCGGGCTTTTTAAAACCCTGATTCTTAGGCTCAGCCTGCAGGGAGAAATGAACATTGCATACAGTCCAGTGATCTACAGCTGCTTTTGCTCATGTACCTCCGAAAAGAATTTTGAAAAAGTCTGTACCTTCTTGCATATTTTAAAAATCACACCTAAACTTTTTATTAATGTTTTATTGTTGCAAATGTAATTTCTGCTAAATCTTGTTAATATTGTCATTAACTGCATCCAGTGGGATATAAATATTATAATAATTTGATACCAACTACCACCTATATTAAATACTTAATCGAGTTTTTTTAAGCAACTCGAAAATTTGCGTCATTTTTTTCTGCTAGAACTCATGTTAGGCAACTGGTGTTTAGAAGTTCTGAAGTGTTTGTGCTTACTTTCCCTCCATTACCTCTCAGGCTGTGTTTTGTAACTTGTAACCTCCTCCCAAAGTTAGCTTGTTATTTGTAATGCTTTAAATCCACGTTAGGGGGAGGGAAGCTTGGTATATAATGATTTAGCCTAGAAATGCCAAAGTGCCTGCAGCGTTTCTCAATCATGGGTGCCCATCAGAATCACCTGAGCTGCAGCTCGGCTCCCAGACTAATGCTCTTAGCTCCTGCCCTTAACTGCTTCTCATGTAGGCAAATGTTTGCTGCAGGGAAGCCAGTGAGAAAACAGGGAATTAGTTCCTCTTTAGCTGTGCCTCAAAGGAGAGGTTTAAAGGGTGTCCAACCCTTAAAGGCTGTGTGATCCTAGGGAATCCTGGTAAAATGTGTCTGAAGAGCTAATCTCCAGCTGTCTATGATATCTTTAAACTGGCAAGCTCCCCAGATCAATTTTATAGAAGATTGATCAGTGTGTGTGTGTGGAAGGGAAAAATGGGAAAGAGTCCACCTCCACCCAGAGGAGCCTTATAGGATGGACTTCTGCCCTCCTCTCCTCTCTTAGCCTTGACAATGTGGGCCAGCAAGCCAGGCCAAGCCGGTAAGGTACTTGCCCCAGGGCTGCATTTAGGACCAGAACCCTCAGGAAGGCTTGGATAGAGCCAATCTGGCCAGGGTGTCTGGCCCTCGGGGCCTTTTTGCCTTTAGCTTTTCTGATGCCAGGGCCAGGCCTTTGCATCTGCATGAGCTGGATTTTGCCTGCGTGCTTGAGGCATAAAAAAGGCAATTGCTGGGCTGGCATTGCTTGCTGCTAGGGGCAGACTAAAAGCCTGGGATGATTTAGTTATAGGAGAGGGCACTCCATTGTTGAGAGCATGGACTCCGGTTTCAAATTCTGACTCTGCCATGAAAAAAAGTCACCTGAGGAGGAATTATTAAAAATGCCTGTTGTGCTCTTTCCCGGAAGCACCGAGGAAGGTAGCAGAGACCGTTCCTTCCCCCGGGCTGCACCCTCCCCTCCAGGCGAGGATGGGCGCCCCAAAGGCAAACCCAGGGGCTGGTGGGGCCAGAGCAGGTGACTTGGAGTTAATCAGAAGGGAGATTGACCTGGGCGGGCCTGGCTTGCTCAGGTGCGCCCTTTAAGAGGCCGGAAGCTGCAGAGCCGCCCCCTCCTGCTGCCAAAGAAGCAAACGGCCAGGGTCTCCACAGCTGCAAGAGATGGATTCTGCCCACAACCACGTGCGCTCGGGGGAGGACCGCGGGCCTCGGTTGAGATCCCAGCCCTGGCTGACACCTTGAGTGCAGCCTGTGAGGCCCTGAGCGGAGGTTCAGCAGCTCCTGGACTCCTGCTACACAGAAGCCATGTGGTGACAAGTCCTAGGTTTGGTGATTTCACTAGAAGGACTCACAGGACTTAGCCTGTCATCATACCATGGCTAAGATTTACTATGGTGAAAATCGATGCAGAATTAGCAACAGGAAAATGCATGAAGTCCAAAGGAAACCAGCTGACAGAATCAAGGACACACACCGTGTTAACGATGCCCTCAAGGCTGCAAGGAGAAAGACAACTGGTGGAGTGACGCTGGGAATTCAACACGTCAATGTACCTGTCCCTGGTAAAGTAAGTTACTTGAGATCCTAAGAGTCAGTCTTCAGCTGCTGTCATGGAAAGTACTGGGAGTCAACTAGACATCAAAGATGAGAGGCCAGGCCCCCAGCATAACTTCTTGTTTAAGCCAAATAGTGACTTTCTCAAGGAAATCCTTTTTTCAGAAATTTTTTTTTGTAGAGACAGGGTCTTGTTCTGTCACCCAGGGTGGATTGCAGTGGTTACAGTCATGGCTCACTGCAGCCTCAACCTCCCGGGCTCAAGTGATCCTCCCACCTCAGGCTCCTGAGGAGGTGAGACCACAAGCATGGGCCACTACGCCCAGCTGACTTTTAAATTTCTTTTTTAGAGACAAGGTTTCACCATGTTGGCCAGGCTGGTCTCAAACTCCTGGGCTGAAGCAATCCTCCTGCCTTGACCTCCCAAAGTGCTAGGATTACAGGCATGAGCCACTGCCGGGCCAACTTGGATTTGTTTCTGTTTTACAGGACATGGCCCTTAATATTCACATGAATGACAGTGAGACACACAATGCTTTCTAAAGACTGGTATTACATTCTGTTTATGTGAAGGAAACGCATTTTCAATAAAATTAATTATTGTAAAAAAAAAATGCATGTTGTTTTCCGGGCACAGTGGCTCACACCTGTAATCCCAGCACTTTAGGAGGCTGAAGTGTGTGGATCACTTGAGGTCAGGAATTCAAGACCAGCCTGGCCAACATGGTGAAACCCCGTCTCTACTAAAAATGCAAAAATTAGCCTGGCATGGTGGTACATGCCTGTAATCCCAGCTACTCGCGAGGCTGAGGCACAAGAATCTCTTGAACCTGGGAGGCGCAGGTTGTGGTTAGCTGAGATCGCGCCACTGCATTCCAGCCTGGGTGATAGAGCAAGACTCAGTCTCTGGGGATAAAAAAAAAAAAAAAAAAAGCATGTTGCCACACAGGGTATCTATCCCACAATCTAGGCTCTCTAAATCAGGATTACCTGCACAGTGTACACTACTAGCTCCTTGTGTTTCCTCTTTCTCTTCCTTGGGCTAATAAGAACCATTGTCAGAGACCTCTTGCAGTCTTGGTTGCTTGTTTCAAGTAAAAACATTAATATTGTGTGACTTTAGACTAAAAGTAATATCAGTGCCATGAAAAAAAACATATATATATATATATATATATATATATATATATATATATGTTTTTTTTCATGAAACTGGATCTCACTCTCTCGCCCAGGCTGAGTACTGTGATGCAATCACAACTCACTGCAGCCTCAACCTCGTGGGCTCAAATGATCTTCCCACCTCAGCTTCCTGCGTAGCTGGGACTATAGGCACATGCTACGACACCAAGTTAATTTTTTATTTTCTGTAGAGTCAGGGTCTCACTATGTTACCCAGCCTGGTCTTGAACTCCTGGGTTCAAGCAATCCTCCTACCTCGGCCTCCCAAAGTGTTGGAATAACAGGCATGAGCCACCAAATATGGCCACAAAAATATAATTTTAAGCAAGAAAAGTGTTGGCTGATGACACTATTCACTTGTTCAAGATTTATTGAGTCACTCTTATAATGCCAGACACTATTTTCAGGCCACAGAGTAGTTCCTGCTCTCATAGAGCTTACATTCTAGTGGCAATGGGGTGGCTGGATGGATATTGGTGAAGGGACAATAAACAAGTAAGCAAATAGGTGAATAAGATAATCATAGATCATGGTTTGAATAATAGAGAACAGAGAATGACTACAGTATATTGATTTTGGAATATTAGAAATTTTCCAGCCAGGTGCAGTGGCTCATGCTTGTAATTCTAGCACTTTGGGAGGCTGAAGCCAGCAGATCACGAGGTCAGGAGTTCGAGACCAGCCTTGGCCAACACAATGAAACCCTGTCTCTACTAAAAATACAAAAAATTAGCTGGGTGTGGTGGTGGGCGCCTGTAATCCCAGCTACTCGGGAGGCTGAGGCAGGAGAATCGCTTAAACCTGAGAGGCAGAGGTTGCAGTGAGCCGAGATTATGCCACTGCACTCCAGCCTGGGCAGTAGAGCTAGACTCCCTCTCAAAAAAATTTCCATATGGTGGTTTAATTTCCTTGCTTGTACATTGCTTTTGGAAATACCATTTTGAGCATGCAGAATCAAAATTAAAAGCTAACTCCATGTTTTTGGTATCTAATTGTTGCAATATCATATTGTTATTTACATACAACAGTGAAGTCACAGAAGACCTAATAATTATAGACCCTAAACCTAACAGCAGTCAAAGCAAGAAAAATACATAATAAAAAATACATGGAAGGAAGACAGAGCAGCAGTTGAAAAGATCCTGTATTTCTTTTATTATGTTACGGATAGTGGAGACTTCTCTTTAACTCAGTTTATGAAATCGTTTTAAATTTAAGGTCACTACCACAGTAGTTTATTGTATAATTTTGTTTTATTTTAAACCAAAGAGATCCACTCATGTTAAAAATCAGTTTAATAAGATTAGCCTTTTAGGAGGTGAATCATTGTCTAACATTTATTCATTTATTCACTAAAAATCATTGATAAGATATTGGTATGGGTTAGACAAAGATAAAGGATGCAAGATTTCTGCTTTCAGCGAGATTAGAAACTGACAGAGTATGCAATCTGCAAGCCTACTGTTGATCAGAAGCCTTAACAATCATATAAACAGTCAATTAATACCTAACTTGTATGTTACATCTATTATATACCATATTCTTACAATAAAGTTGGCTAAAGAATAGAAAATATGGTTATGAAAAGCATAAGGAAGAGAAGATGCTTTTACTTTTCATTAAGTGGAAGTGGATCACCTACTCATTGTTTTCATGCTGAGTAGGCTAAGGAGGAAGAGGAAGAGGAATGGTTGATCTTGCTGTCTCCAGGGTGGCAGAGGTGGAAGAAAATCTGCATTTTCATGCAGATTTAAACCATGTAGTTTAAACCCATGCAGTTTAAACCCAGGAGCCATGCAGTTTAAACCCAGGTTGTTCAAGAGTCAACTGTAGCATTAAAAACTTTGGGAAAGTTTAGCTGATACTATGGAGACCTCAGGAATAATCCCCAAGTGGAGCCTGAGACCCTCTGTGTAATGATGTTTTTGTCTTATGAGTTGCAGATGGGATTTAAAAGATGATGAGTATTATCTGTTGTTTTTAAGCAAGGTTTTTCAAGATATTTGTGCCTCTTCTCAAAGACAAATTGCATGCCTGCAAAAAGACTGTAGAACAAACATCATTTGTAAATTCCATATTGAAAGTACCTCTTGGTTTAAAAATCATACTTGCTTTAAAAATTCTGTTTAAAAATTATTATTTCTGAAAGAGCATGATGCGATACCTGAGATAAGAGTTGTGAGTAGATGCCGTGATGGGAATATTTTCTCTGCCATTGGCAAGGTAGTGAAAGGATGAGAACACCTTCTTTCTTACTTTGCCAGATTCACAGAGGCTGGGTTCCAAAGCAAGGGCAGCCCTTGGCCATTTCCTGATTGCAGAGAAAACAGCTCCCGGTCTAGGGCTAATTTCGTACAGCTGGAGAACTCCAACTTCGGGTAGCAGGCAGGAAAGGTACCAGGGAAATCTGGGCATTATTGTATACCACATTGAGGAAAGCATAAATAGAGAGTGAAACACATCTCAGTCTCTTGGTGTCTTGTAATTTTGACTTTGTTGTAATAAACAATTGAAATACTGCGTGGCCACGGTAGTCCCTAAAGTAGTTGGAGGTCAGATTTTACTGACTTTTGATGTTAGACTAAGGAGTTTCAGCTTTGTTTTAACAAAAGCTCGGAGGAATAGGCATTTTTTGTTCATGCTGTTGCTTTGGTTACAAGAATGAATTGCTCAGAGTTGTATATTAAAGTGTACTTAATGTTTATGTGAAAAATAGAGTTGGAGGACAAAGAAACTTCAGGGCTTATGCCCATGTAATTGGTAATGTTTTCTCCCTACAAAAAGGCCATATTTTCCCCATAGAAAGATAATTTTTTAATGTGCCCTACAGCATTCAAAGGTAATTTATTTTTCTGTAAGGTTTTTTTTCACATATATATGAGAAGATCTTGGGTCGATTTAAACATATTTTTCTAGCAAGGCTCTCATAAGTTAAATATGTGTATTTTCCAATATCCACTTGACTAAGCATGTTTCAACCATGTGTACTGTGACTGGAATGTGTAATTCATGCATATATTGAAGAGAATTACAGTTTAGGATGGATTCAGAATGATATTGCCATGAAATTTTATGGATCAAATGGAGATTATTATATTTTCTGGAGTCATGCTGTTCTTATAAAGGCCTTAGGTATGGAATGAATATCTCATTTCCTTTTGCTAATCACAAGGGTCTAGACAGTGGATGACAGGTAACACAAGCTTTCATGTTACATTAGTCAGTGTGCAAAGGAATCTTAGAAGCTTTTTCTATTCCTAAATATGTTTATTTCTTAATGAGAAAGTTATAATGTGGTCTTTCAACAGTCTTTCTGTTAGATAAATTGAAAAATCAGTTTATCAGCATTCAGCTGAGACTACACATCAAATAAAACACTAAAGTGATTCCAAAAGAGATTTATAATTTGAAATAACTGGGCAGTTGAAAAAAAAATTCTTGAGCAGGACCATTCAAAAAGCCTGATTCTGTAGTTCTGGTATGGCTTTGAAATCTGTTTTATAAAATAAAACCAGGTTTGAGAAACATTGCTTTATTAAGTCATGGGATAGTATAAAATAAAAATAGATATACAATAGAAAATAGAAATAGAGGCTTTCCCTTTTATTTTGCTTTCTAGTTTGGCTGAAGGAATGCATGAAAACACTAAGTGATACTTTAAAAGCTAGGGCATGGCTATGTGTTTGTGTGTGTGTGCACATATTTTATATGTGAACATATTAACATACATTAATTTAGCCATCCAAGGTAGAATTTGGCTGAAACAAAAACAATCTCAATAAACAGTACAAAAATTCATTTAAAATTAAGAATTCTTTTAAGATAAACTTTAGATAACAGTGATATTTCAATTTTAATTTTATAATTCTGTATTATAAAATTACTTCTAGCACAGTAACTTTTCTTTATGACATTTTAAAAATTAATTGTCTTTAAAATTGATTATTACTCTTTTATGCTGAAAGCAAATATTTATTTTATAGATGAGCTGGGAATAACTAATGAAAATATTTATATATTCTGTCTGCCCTGAATTCTTCATTTTAATAAAGTAACATGACCTTATTTTTTCTTAAATAACATTACATTTGATTAAATTATTTTAACATAAATGTATTGGACAAAAATAGCCCCAAGTCTGACGACATATTCTCTGCTTGCATTTCAGTATTCACCAGTTTTTAATGGTACATCTAACTCACTGTTAACATTCATGTCTTCTTTTCCTACTAATTAGTCTAAGGGTTTTCAATTTTGTTTAGAAATATAATTTACAGATGATCACTTTTTTACTTACTATAGTTTAAATAACAAAAATAATGCTACTTTATATATATGGATTTTAGAGTTAACAGAACCTTTCTTTATACAATCTCATTGACTTCTCACAGCAACACTATAATGTAGTAGGGGATAACTTTCACAGATTTATAGGTGGTGAAATTAGACTCCATGAAGGTAAATTACTTGCTCAAGGTTGCATTGTTAGTAATTATCAAAACTGAGACTTGGTCTCAATGTTAGAACTGGTTTGTGAATAACAGAAGTTATAAAATCAGATGCCTGCACTGGCTTTGGAATGAATGTATATGAGCGAAGACTGAGCACAAGTCATTGGGGAGTGAAGTGGTGAACTGGAAGACATGTCTTGTCTGTAGGGAGCAACAGGATTTTGAAGTAACTTGGTTTGAGCTACTTTGGGCATAGGGTGGCCAGACTTGATTTTTTGAGACAATCTCAAATTCTAAATTTTATGTGATATGCCTTTGTTTTTAATGTTGGCAACTAATTGAAAAAGTTGAAATAAATGGTCTAAGCAAGACATATCTGAGAGCCAGTGCCATGGCCAATTTACACTGGGTGTGGGGAACCTGACTATTCACAGAGCTGTTGTGCAGTGACAGAGATCTAAATCCTCTTCTCTAGAATTGACCCAGGATCTATAACCCTAAGGAAGTATTCAGTGACAAATCTTTTTCACTTGACTCCCTTGATTGACTGTTTCTTCTTTCATCTGTTTAAACCAAATATACTGTATGCCAACCATGCACTTGGCACTGTAATGCAAAGAAGAACATCATATAGTGTTTGCTCACAAGTCTCATTCCAAAACATTCTAGAAGGCAGTACAAAAGGAAGGGTTGGAAGCAAAATAAAAAAACTTTACTGTGAAGGTGGTATTTAAAAATGCATTTTCCTATGCAAACTATAGTCCTGTTACACAAAAGTTAAAGGGTATTATGTGGGTGTGTAAATACAATAGTCCCCACTGTCCACTGTTTCAGTTACCTATGGTCAAAAAGAAAAAGGGGAAGTACAGTATAATAAAATATTTTCAGAGGGAGAGACCACATTCATATAACTTTTATTACAGTATATTGTTATAATTGTTCTATTTTATAATTATTGTTAATCTCTTACTGTGCAATCCCAGCTCCTTGGGAGGCTGAGACAAGAGAATCGCTTGAACCCGGGAGGCAGAGGTTGCAGTGAGCTGAGATCACGCCATTGCACTCCAGCCTGGGCAACAAGAGTGAAACTCTGCCTCAACAACCACCAAAAAGAAAAAAAAAAAAACAAACCTTTGTCATAGCTATGTATGCATAGGAGAAAACTTAGTAGATATAGTGTTTGATACTATTGGCAGTATCAGACATCTACTGCAGTTCTTAGAACATATCCTCTGCAGATATGGGAGGGGGCTACTGTAAACAAAAATCTATGCTAAGTATATATTTCATGGTTCCATACAACTCTTCCTTATATAGACAACCCTAAAAAGAAAAATGTTACTTTATTTATGGTTTCCAGTATAGCACTATCTTATTCTTGGGCAATTAGAATAATACTAGATTAAACATTTAATATTTCATCACAACCTTGATTTTTCTGAATCTGTGTATTTTCTAATCACAATTTTAATATTTTTTATTACTTGATGCCACAAAGAGCTTTCACACTCTACTTTTATTGAAAGATGTACTTGCTCTTTGAAAATATGACTATATTAAATGAATAATAAAGCTTGAAATTATTTATATTTAATTTTTGCATGCCTGTATCTGTAGACATAACACATATGTGTCAATATGTATACATATGTGTTGAGAGAGAGAGGTTGGTTTTATATCATTTGATGAGTTGCACTGCATCTAATCAGGAGAACCTGTTTTGTTTTTGTTTTTGTTTTGTTGTTGTTGTTTTGAGATGGAGTTGGAATTTCACTCTTATCGCCCAGGAAATGGTGCTACCTTGGCTCACTGCAACCTCTGCCTCCCAGGTTCAAGTGATGATTTTCCTGCCTCAGCCTCCCAAGTAGCTGGGATTACAGGCTCCTGCCACCGAGCCCAGCTAATTTTTGTATTTTTAGTAGAGATGGGGTTTCACCATGTTGGCCAGGCTGGTCTTGAACTCCTGACCTCAGGAGATCACCTGCCTCGGCCTCTCAAAGTGCTGGGATTACAGGCATGAGCCACCAAGCCCAGCTGAAAACCTGTTTTAACTCATTGTATTACTCTCTATGACTTGTCAGAGAGTTCACAGATGAATTCCATATATAGTCTTAGAAATTAGATTAGCATACTTGTAGTTGTCCTTCTTTCTGATTTTCTAGTTATATAAAATACATATATATACGTTTATATTATATACTTTTCCATTACATCCTTATGCATAACATATATTTAGGATTTCTTTGCTCTTTATTTTATTTTTGCTCTTCATTTTCAATACTCTTCCTCTAGCCTATTTCCAATATTTGAAAACTACATATATGCTCATCTGATTTCTAAGACTATGTATCAGATTAGTCTCTGGACCCTCTGACAAGTCATAGAGAGTAATACAATGAGTTAAAACAAGTTTTCATGATTTCTAATATTGGAAATAGGCTAGAGGGAAAGAACAGCAGAAAGAAATATATCATCCCCAAATTCCTTTATACATACATACACACAGATGAATGGAATATAACCTAGCCTAATTTTTCTCAAGTGGCAGAATTAATTCATGTGGAAGCTGAAGATGAGACATAGGGTTCCTATTTCTTATATCTCTTTTGGTAATAAATAGTACATTGTTTTAGGCTGAGTATTAAAATCTTTTTATATCTCTGTGGCAAGACATTGCTCATATCTATCTTACATACAACAAAGCATTTCTTGCACTTCTCTTGAGAAGTAGATGTATTAGAAAGCACATAGATGAAGGAAAATTTATAAATCCACTTTTATAAAGCTATTTCAATATAAGTGGCAAGTCATCAATAATAAGATAATAATAGCTATGATAACAAATGTTTTACATTTGTTTAAACAAATTTATTTTTTATTCATCATGTGCAATAAACTTTACCTTCAGATGATGGTGAAATGTGGTTCAGGGATTGGGTAGAAGATTTTAACCTTAATCCAAAGGTACCTTCTAATAAGAACCTACTTGTGTGTGTATCTTTGTCATTTAAATTGCTATGAGGGACATTGAATGTCTATAAAATATTGTTTCTCAAATACAATTCATCAAAATGCTCCATGGAAAAGGTGATCAAATAAGTAGGCAAAACACCATATATCCATTTCTTTTCTTAGAAATCCACAGCTTATGTAAGCATATTAAAGCCTCTCAGTATGCCAACTAGTATGTTAAGATGTTATTGAAGGTAGTTTAACCCAGTATTTCCCTGCATTATTTGACCATTGGCCCCTTTTCCTCTAATAGCTGTGTCAACGTCTATTTACAACTAGTGTTCAGAACACATTAGTGAAAAACAAGTTTTAAAGATATGGAATTCATCTTAAGAATTTTTGTTTTCCTTTTAAGTGTTGCTGTAACAGCAAATCAGTAGTTACGGTCGTAATTGTTAACTTGCTGAGAAATGAGTTTATGTTATAGGAAATGTGAGTAGAGAAAGCTCAGTTATTTTTAGAGGAAATTAAGAATGGAAAAATTAGGATGTAGAATATGAAGAGACATATTAGGATGTAGAATATGAAGAGACAAATTAGGATGTAGAATATGAAGAGACAAACAGAAATGTCTTAGCACGCCAGGCTTCAGTGAAGTTGCATTTTCCTCTATAGATTTATCCATGATTGATTTATGATGCCTTGTGAAAGTAAATCTATATGAAAATAATTTATTGCATTTAGCCTAATTATCTTTTCCTTATGCATTTGGCCCTATTCACTTAGTTTATCTTTACTAGGAGAACAACTGTCCAGGTTCTTTAATATCTCGGGTGTTCCTTTATCTCCTTCAGGAAAAAAATGATACCCTTCTACCTCATGTAAGTTCTGCTAATATCTCTTATTTTTATTTTTAGCTTTCCATTATTATAAAATTGTGCTATCATTTAGAATATGATTTGAAAACTATTGTTCATGGAATATGATGATATGTTCACATGTAATCATTGACCTCAAAATTTTCTGTTGCATTGTTATCAGTGCTCGTAATTAAGTTCCTTGGTTACCAACACAATTGCTGCTTAATGCCTATTTTAGCTTCATCTAGGCTATTGGCTTTTAGAAAGTTAACAATTGAGGAGGACAACTCAGTTTATTATGTAGCGTATTTGAGGACCAAACAAAACTTGGAGTGGATACATGCTACCTGTAGTAAAGTCTGTTTTGTGCATGTGGACAAGCAATATTAAGAAAAGGCATTGAAAGAAAGTTGAAAAGCAGCTTTTGAGCATCTTTTACTAATAATTCTTTGCCTTTATACAGCACTTATTAAAACCTGGCTACATAATTGCTTTCTTTTTTTAAATAAAAACAATAACTTAGGCTTTATTAATCAAATTGTTTGAGAGGAAATATCTGGGACACTGATAATATTGAGTGATTTACCAAATGTCATGTGGTTAATAAAGGAACAGAGCTCAGACTGAGATATTTTTTCTAACCTTCCATTTGTGCTTTTCTCTAAAGTTAAGGTTTCCTATGCTTCAAATCATAGGCAAAGAGCACATTCTATTTTCTAATAACTGCCCACTCAAAGTTTGAATTACTGGCTTCTGCCACCTTCTTTATTTTTAAATGGAAGTTTAAACTAAACTTACTTATTGAAATATAACACATATATATGGAAAGATTAAAATCCTATGTTTAAAACTCAGTGGAATTTCACAAAATGAGCAAAACCATGTAATCCACCACCCAAATCAAAAGAGAGTACATTACCAGCACACTAGAAGCTTGTCCCATAACCAGCCCAGCCAACAGACCTAGGGAAGGAAGAATTGGGTGGGAAAATATTAGACTGCAGTCTAGTTCAAAGAAAGTTCAGCAAAGCTGATGGAGTCCTGCAGCCAAACCTACCCATCAAAGAGTCTCACATCTCCCAGAACAAGGCCTGCTTTAGTATCCTCGCAGCACTCAGTCAATGGCTGGGAGAACACAATGGGAATTGTGGCCTCTGAATAAAGTGATAGATTTTAGAGTGCAACAGCTGAGCTGTCAGTTAATTATACTCTGTGAAGTTAGAAATCCATGGCCATGACAGTGCTATAGAGGGATATCTTCGTGACTTTGTTATTCATAAAGTTTTCTTAAATGGGACACTGAAAACACCAACCATAATGTATTAGTTTGTTCTCACATTGCTATACGGATATATCCAAGACTGGATAATTTATAAAGGAAAGGGGTTTAATCGATTCACAGTTCCACATGGCTGGGGAGGCCTCACAATCATGGCAGAAGGTGAAGGAAGAGCAAAGGCATGTCTTACATGGCAGCAGGCAAGAGACTGTGTGCAGGGGAACTGCCCTTTATAAAGCCATCAGATCTCGTGAAACTTATTCACTATCACGAGAACAGTATGGGAAAAACCCGCTCCCATGATTCAGTTACCTCCCACAGGTCCCTCCCACAACACATGGGGATTATGGGAGCTATAGTGCATGGTGAGATTTGGGTGGGACACAGCCAAACCATATCACATAAAGTGAAAAAATCCTATTATATTCAATTAAGAACTTCTATAAATCAAAAGACATCATTAAGATAGAAGGAAAACCACTGAGAGAAGATATTTATAATACAGATTTCACAAAGGGCACATAGATATCAAATATAAGAATCTCTACAAATCAAACAGAAAAACCCAATGGAAAAATAGGCAAAAGACTTAATAGGTGGTTTATGGAATATCCAAAGAGCCAGTAATCATATGAAAAATTGCTCATTCTCATTAGTTATCAAGGGAATGCAAACAAAAGCAAATTAAAATGCCACACTACACACTAACTGTAATGATTACATAAAAAAGACTGACATGTCAGCATTCATGTGGACCAACTAGAACTCTCATAAATGGTGATGGATATGTAAATTAATAAAACCATTCTGAAAGACTGGCAGTATCTGTTATAGATGAACATACACATACTCTAAGTTCCAACATACATATTTTTCCTAAATGTCATGTACAGTGATGTTCACAGCAGCATCATATATATAGCAGCCCCAAACTGGAATCAACCCAAATGTCCATCCACAGTAGAATGGATAAATGAATAATGGTAATTCATACAATAGAATGCTATAAGTAATAAAAGTAAACAAGTGCTTCTTTTTTTGTGTGTTCATTATCTTTGAGCTTTTGTTCTTCATATTCATGTTTCTGTCTGGTTTTCTTTTAAATCAGTAAAGCAGGCACTGGAGTGGAATAAATGCAAAGATTTCTATCCTTTGGGACTTTACAATTTAGTAGGAGAGAAAAACATGTAAAATAAATACTTTAATTTCAAGTATAATGTGTCATGAGCTGAGAGGCTGGAACTCATGGTCTATGATTTTAGCACAGAGGTAATTTTTGTAGTGGTAGTGCAAGGTAAGGTTTTAGTGGAAGTAGGATATGAGCTAATTCTTGAATTAATAATAGGATTCATATATATGGACAATGGCAGAGTAGCTAGAGTTTAGGGAAATGTTCAACAAAAAAACTTGACAAGTATTTGTGAACAATATTGGAAGGCCTTATAATGTCATTAGCCAAAAATTCATAAACTTATGTAAATTGAAGTACTAATGTAGAGAAAATATTGATTTATAATTTTAAGGCCTACGCATAAGGTCATGTTATTCTTCTTTCCAAGTTTTTCTCCCTAATCTCATTGATACTTTAGAGTTCTGAGCTTCTGTGAGTCTGAGAAATGCATTGAAAACACAAATATTTTCTACTCACTTATTTTCAGGAAAACAGCTGCAACTTATCTCAGGATTTATTTTATTTAGGCTTCTTCTCTTGGTTTGTCATAATATTTAGTAATAAGATGGCTTTGTGTGTGTGTGTGTGTGTGTGTGTGTGTGTGTGTGTGTGTTAGAAATGTGGTTTACATAATTTATATCCTTGGCTAAATTTCTCTTGGCATACAGAAAAGGAGAAAGTGGTCAAACCCATTTATTTGCATTATACTCTGCTATGCTTTTGATAAATCATAAAATTTTGTTAAGGTCTGAGTGTGTGCCACAGTTTCTCTAAAGTTAGTGAAGTGTACTTGGGTACTCAATAAATATTAAATGACATTTGACTTTTCAAAGCTGTCTCTTATTTCCTGATTTTAAAAATAAAGATTAATTAGATATCATAATAATGAAATCAATGATTCTTAAATTAAGACTCTTGTTGTCTGGTAGCAAATTAGAAAGGGCTAACTTGACATTACTAGGGAGTTTTCTTTTTCTCAGGTGCCATAATTATCCCACAAAAATAATTGTCAGATAGATGAGATCTGGCAAAAAAAATCTTTATATTTTAGTAAGCATGTCAGAAATTTATGTATAAGCAAGAGCTGTCACTCAAAAAGCTCAAATTGAGAAGCTGCTCTCATGTTCCCCTGCACACAGGTTGTTACCTGCTGCCATGTTTTCTTTAGTGCAAATGTTTTCGGAAGTGCTTCACTTTTGAACTGATTTCAGAACCAGTTTATGAGCCTTGTAATAAAATTACCTACTTTATTATTTATTTATTTTGAGATGGAGTCTTGCTCTGTCACCCAGGCTGGAGTGCAGTGACGCCATCTCCACTCACTGCAAGCTCTGCCTCCCGGGTTCAAGCCATTCTCCTGCCTCAGCCTCCTGAGTATCTGGGACTACAGGCGCCCACCACCATGCCCGCCTAATTTTTTGTATTTTTAGTAGAGACGGGGTTTCACCGTGTTAGCCAGGATGGTCTCGATCTCCTGACCTCTTGATCTGCCCTCCTTGGCTTCCCAAAGTGCTGGGATTACAGGCGTGAGCTTACCGTGCCTGGCCTATTTTATGTTTATTTTTAACCAAACCTTGTACTGCAGTGTGACTGCATGCATATTTATTTTTTAGAATTAAAAATTAATTACATTAATGAATTAAAAGGAATTCATTGTTATCTGTGAAGACACTGTAAAATAGTAGTAACTAACAAAGAGTAAATTCTTAGAATACTGGATAAATATTTGGAACATGAACAACAGTCATTTAAATTATTTTGCTGCTGTTGTTGTTAAAGAATATGTGCTTTAAGCCACCACCGTAAACTAGATAAACCTCAATATGTATCCTCTCAAAGATGATTTTGAACTTTTTCATGTGATACTAAAGAAGATTCTGTAAATGTTACATGAACAACAGTCATTTAAATTATTTTGCTGCTGTTGTTGTTAAAGAATATGTGCTTTAAGCCACCACCGTAAACTAGATAAACCTCAATATGTATCCTCTCAAAGATGATTTTGAACTTTTTCATGTGATACTAAAGAAGATTCTGTAAATGTTACATGGCAGACGTTAATAATGAAGCACTTCAATAAATAGCAAATAATCAATGAGTGTTAGCTGTTATGTTTTAATATCCCTTTGAATATTTTTACCAAATTAAAGTATTAAAGTTTCTATAATTTTATTTAAAAATTAACTATAATATAACATGGATTTAAAATGAAAAATGGAATAATTTAGATAATTTAAAGTGACTTTCTTTATATTAAAAACATACTGTCTATATTTAGCTATTAAACATACCATTAACTAAAAAAGAGAATTTAAATTACCTTACTTTATCAGTTTTAACATATAAAAGTTTTAAAACACATTTTAACATCTCCAAAATCAGAACATTGCCTATTATCAAGTGTGTGTTAAAATCTTTAGGATTCAGGTAGGGGTGATGTTGTTGTTCTTACCGGTGGATACATAAACTTATCATAGCTATTTATGTATCACTTCAAGTGAGTTATGTGTATCAATGGTACTTTACACATGCCGAGTTTAATATTTGTTTAAAATGTCTTCTAAAATATTATGTTTTGGCATTGAAATGAAAAGTTATTGTACACACAGAAGGGCCTGGCAGAAGAGTAACTGAGCAAACATTTTATATCAATGGAGCAAATATCGGCTACTGGAGGAAGAACTACAGCAAACAATCAAATATTTCACATGGACCAGTAAAGAATACCCTGAAGTAGGTGAAGCTCTGTTACATTCTGTTACTAAGATTTCCGCAAAAGAATTCCCCATCATGCAGAGAGAAACAGAACTGAAGGATAGAGAAATTTCCAAATTTCCCAAAATAGATAAATTTCAAAACAGACACTCTAGTATGACTGCATGCATTGTGCATGTTGTTGAACTTCTTTCGAAAAAACTTCCTAATGACTTTAAAGAAGCTTATTTCCAGCAAGATATGATTTAATTGAGAAAAAAATGAAAATGTGAGTGTTCTCAAATGGAGAAGTGTCAGCCTCAAAGCTCACAGAATTGGTATTAGCAACTTAGAAGAAAATCCTGGAGACAAATGGAGCATTCTTTTCAGAAGTGTTTTTTCACCATTACTTTTTTTGTTTAAGGTTCCAGATTAAACTGTTTAGTATTTCAAGGACATGAAAAGCAGGTCAATATGGTCTTTGCTAAAATTATTATTTAAAACTACATTATAAAGCATCTGCTTGCTGTTTCCATTTGATTTTCTCTCCTCTGACCCCTCCTTTAGAAATTTTTTACTCTTTGTTATGGAAATTTCCAAACTAAAAATAGTAGTATGGTGAACTACCATGTACACATCACCTAGCTTCCATAATTATCAACATAAATAAGGCCGGTCTGTTTCATCTAAACTTTCTACCTCACCCCACTTTCTTTCGGCACCTCGAAAAGAGTAAGTTAGGATAAATCTCAAACATCATATGCTTTCATTCATAAACTTAAGAGATAAGGGCTTCCCTTCTCCCTCCCTTCCTTCCTTTTTTCCTTCCTCTCTCTCTCTCTTTTTCTTTTCCTTCTTCTTTTTTTTTTTTTTTTTTTGCTCCGTTGCCTAGATTGGAGTTCAACGGTGTGATCTTTGCTCACTACAACCTCTACCTCTTGTGCTCAAGCAATCCTCCCACCCCAGCCTCTCTAGTAGCTGGGTTTACAGGCACATGCCACCACCGGCCACATTTTTGTTTTTGTAGAGAGGAGGGTTTTGCCATGTTGCCATGTTGCTGGTCTCGAACTCCTGGGATCCTCAGCCTCCTGAGTAGGTAGGATTACAGGAACCTGAGGAAGCTGCCACTATGCCCAGCTAATTTTTGTAGTTTTAGTAGAGACGGGGCTTCACCATGTTGGCAAGGCTGCTCTCGAACTCCTGACCTCAAGCAATCCACCTGACTTGGCCTTCCCAATTGTTGAGACTACAGGCATGAGCGACCCTGCCCGGCCACAAAAAAATTTTTAAGACATCATGTTTCGGAAATTTTATGTTCGCAGAAAACTTGAGAGGAAGGCATAGAGATATCCCATATGCCTGTGCCCCCACACATGCACAGCCTCCCCCACTATCAATATTTTAGTTAGAATGGCGTATTCGTGACAACTGTATCAGCGTCTCATTATCACCCAAAGGGCATAATTGACATCAGGATTCACTCTTGATTTTGTATGTTCTAAGGGTTTGTACAAACTTATAATATCATGTATCCAACATTATAGTATCTGTCATACAACAGTATTTCCACTGCCCTAGAAACCCTCTATGTTCTTGCCTATTCATTTCCCTTTCCTTTTAACCCCTGGCTACTACTCATCTTTTTACAGACTTCATTATTTTGCCTTTTTCAGAGCATCATATAGTTGGAATCACACACTATGTAGCCTTTTCAGATTGGCTTCCTTCACTTAATATGCATTTACATTTCCTCCATGTATTTTCATAGCTCATTTCTTTTTAACGCCATCTAATTCATGAATAATACCCCACTTTCTTGATATACTACAGTTTATTCATTCACCTACTGAAGGATATCTTGGTTGCCTCCAATTTTTGGCAATTATGAATAAAGCTGCTAGAAACACGTATGTTCAGTTTTTTGTGTAGTTGTGTTCTCATTTCTTTTGGATAAATAGTATGATTGTTGGATTGTACGGTAAGAGCATGTTTAATTTGGTAAGAAACCACCAAACTGTCTTCCCAAGTGGCTGTACCATTTTTGCGTTCCCACCGGCAATGAATGAGTTCTTTGTGCTCCATTTCTTCACCAGCATTTGGTGATGCCAGTGTTACGCATTTTCATCATTCTAGTGATGTATAGTAGTATATCTTTGTTGTTTTAATTTGCATTTCCCTGATGACATATGATGTGGAGCATCTCTTCATGTGCTTATTGGCCATGTGTGTCTCTTCTTTGGTGAGGTGTCTATTAAGGTTTTTGGCTTATTTTTTAAATCAGGGTTTTTTATTATTGAGTTTTTAGAAATTTTTTTGTATATTTTGTGTAAGTATTTTTCCAGACATGTCTTTTTGCAATCATCATTACCTTTGATAGTACAGAACACTGTGTGGAAAATTCGAGATGTTTATGAGTAGGGAGAAATTCAAATTTGGCTTCTGAAAGTGAGAAATTTTACCTTAACATTTATTTAGCTTATACTTTACTTTTAATATTTGGCCAGATTAATATATTATAAATGTATGCCTAAATGGTAGTTTTTTCAATAAGTATAGACTAAAAATTCTAAGTGATAAGAAAGCATTTTATAATGGTTTGATATTCATTTCTTATTTTTCTACTGGTACAAAAGAAATGGTGCATCTGCAACTAATGGTATCTTGAAGTTGATGAAATATACTGTTAAGAATAACAAATATGTATAATGCAGTCTTAGCGTCGACATCATTCTAAGACTCCACTATTATCTCTCATTACACTATATTTCAATTTTTTGCCTTCCTCTTGTATTGATCTTGAAATAATTGATGGTCTCCTTTTTCTGTTTCTAACTTTAGTGTATACAGTTATTTGTGTAGCTTTCTCCAAAATTAGAGTTAAGGGTAGTGATTAATACTAATGTTTATATCCTTACTTGGTCTGTGTTTGGTGTATTATCTGAATAGTTATGATGTGGAAATTATAAGGACAATTCCTTCATGCAAATATATGACACTTTATTGGTGCCTAATTAAATTTTTCTTGGAACTAGTGTCATTAAAACTTGAAATCAAAACTATGTTCCCTCGTTTATTTGTATTACTATTGTTTATATGACGTTTATTAATATAACTTAGAAGCAAAGAGAAAAATAACTTGTTTTCTGAATTTTTCTGTATGAATATATTAGAAATGTCTCAATGTTATTTTCAATTTGAGAACTAGTTCATATTCTTTGCTACGTGTATTTGAAAGATAGATAGCTAAAGAACTTACAAGACTGAACCCTTAAAGGTTAGGGGCAATAGCAGACTCATTTTTATCTTCCCAGATCCACCTAAATGGTTATCACAGATAACTGTGCTGATTCTTTCCTTTTTTCCTCTTTAGATTCATTCTCCTTCTCTCTGCCCTGCTGTAATCCCTGTAAGGTCAATCTTAATGAACTGCATCTTCTGAACTCACTGGTCTTCTAATCTCTCCTGGATTCAGCCAGTGGGAGGCATAAGCCAGTGTGGAGAGTGAAAGGGAAGATAAGTCAGGTTATTTATCCCTACTTCCCTGGGGCTATGTCTGATAAATGGCAACAAACCCATCTACCCATGGTCACGTCTCCTGTCATGTGGTCGTTTTTTAATAGCTCCTGCTCTTACAGTAATCCTGCCCTGTCCTCCCACCCTCTAAGACCCAGAAGCTTCCCACTGCAGTTAGACCCCGGTGCATCATCATCAGTTCCCTTAGTCCTGCCCTCACCTCTCTTCGAGTGTGTCCTTTGTTTCCTTTTGGGACCCCGCTTGAAACAGTTCATATTCAGTTTTTCTTGAGGCAAAATTTTGAAATGAATGT
The DNA here is from genome assembly GCF_000001405.40 of Homo sapiens. Taxonomy (NCBI): domain Eukaryota; kingdom Metazoa; phylum Chordata; class Mammalia; order Primates; family Hominidae; genus Homo; species Homo sapiens. The sequence continues at coordinate 174,660,009 of NC_000003.12, forward strand.
AAGAATCTGAATATACAGAATATAATAAACACTTTTATTTTTAAAAAGACAATAGAAGAATGTGTGCTGTACATTATAAGCCACGACAAATTTAATATGTAGCTACTGTTCTGGAATATTTTCCAATTTTATATTCATAAATATATGTTTATAGTAGGAAATATGTGTTTATTCAAAAATATTAATAGAAGAAAGATTTATTATAATGATTACACTTGCAAATTTAGTTAAGCTAGTCAGATGCCTCAACTTTGCCAATGATTTTTGCTATCCTTTTCGACTGACAAAATGCAATTTTCACTGAATTAGATTAACTTATTCAGTGTTAAAATATTCATTAAGTTTTTTCATGACAGAATTTTCAGATACCGTATGATTGGTTATCTTTACATTGGAAAGTTATTATTTGCACAGGTTATTCATTAGATACAGAGAGTTAAATCACCAAGCTATAAAGTGATTTGTTCACAATGACAATATTTCTTAAAAATTTGTAGGTTGATTTTGAACCTCACTTTTGAAAGATCTCGCGTCCCGTTTTCATATAATAACAATATGCTGCATCTCTGAGGATACGAAAGGATGATTTATCAAAAATGTTGTGTACAATTTTGAAAGTTAGTTATTGGACTTATTCTTTATGCCTTATCATGATAAATTTATCTTAAATGAATAGTAATTTTCTTCTGGGAAGTTCTTTTTGAAAAGGAATACATTGTACTTTTTTAATAAACAAAAAGAACATAATTTTTGCCTTATTATTAAAGCTGTGAAAGTACCTTCATTTTTGGAGGAAGGGCAATAATATTTTGTGTTAAATAAAAGCCACGGACCCAGAGTACCTTTTATAAATATAATTAGTTTGTCCTAAAAGATGCATTATGTTTGAGTCTGTTATTTCTTTCAGGGTTATTAATAGGAAAGCATTATTGAGAACTGCCAAGAAAATCCATAGTGAAACACTTATGTACAAGGTAAAAAATGGTACATCATTATTGATGGTTATTTAATAGGGAAAAGTGTAGCCACTAGGTATGTAGAGGCCTTACTCTTGATTAAAATGCTTAAATTAAAAGATTCAGCTTCATTAAGGTCTTTGGCAACTAAATTGTTCATTTGTTTGTGATTGGAATACGCCTGTAATATTTCTGAGGAAATCTTGGCCAGATGGGTTTTGACTGAAAGTCTTTAATGTCAACCCCAGAGTCTATCCACTTGATGTTACTTTTCATCAATAACGTAGAATATTGGCTTCCATTCTTAGAAAATATTATTACTGAACTCATAACTGCTCAGTATTTTGAATAGTTTTTATAATGAATATTAAAGAAGAACTGTTTGAAGAATATGCAATTTATTAATTATTCCAGGCTCTTAGTTCTGATTCAATCATTTTTCTTACCTGATACACCCAAGGGATAAAACATTCTTTAATAACTTTTTACTATAGTTACTTAGAAGGAGGAACACTACCTAAAAAGGACATATGTAAATATTGGGTGCATGTATAGTTCCTGCAAATGACACTGATGCTTCTTCTTCTTCTTTCTTCTTTCTTCGTCTGTCTTCCTTTTTTAATGTAATTTGTATAAATTTAAGTGTAGTTTTGTTACCTGGGTATGTTGTGTAGTGGTGAAGTCTGGGCTTTTAGTGTAACCATCACCCAAATATTGAACATTGTATCCATTAAGTAATTTCTTTACCCTCACTCCCTTCCCATCCTTCCAGCCTTAGAACTGTGTGACTACTATTCCACACTCTGTGTCCATGGATAAAGAAATATCCAATAAAGAAAATGTGGTATACACATGCGTGCACGCACACACACACACACACGAGCTGTAAAAGTGAAATCATATCTTTTGCAGAAACACAGATGGAACTAGAGGCCATGATCTTAAGTGAAACATCTTGGAAATAGAAAGCAAAATACTGCATGTTCTGATTTTTCATGATGGTATTTGCACTTCTTCCAAAGTTGAGAAGTAATGAAGACATAGTGATTAGGATGACATAAGCTATATAGCTCATCCTCAGAGATAGCCTCAGTTTCAGCTTCCTCATCTCTACTGTGGGATAAAAATAAAATAACATTACAAAGTTATTTTGAAAATTTAAAAAAAATTATCTAAATCTCCTAGCACAGGCCCTTGTAAAATATATGCTATCAATTCTTATTATTTTATAGCTAACATTGTTATAAACTTTAGCTCAGATAAAGCTGTTTTCGTTTAGAAGTACTTTTACTGAACTCTTTGATCTTATTACAACTTGAAGTGGAGAGTATAAGCAGTATGAAATTTGCTTCTATATTCATTACATAAAATTTATTAAGGATATTAAAATTAGAGTTTCTCCTGTATGAGAACTCATAGGGGAAACTTTTGAACAACTTAATCAAAAACTGCTTTCCTATTTATTCAGAAAACTAAAAACATAATTTAAGCTTTCATAGCTGACTCATGGTTATTAACAGCATCAACTATTTTTTGTTTGTGTTCTGAAGTCGTTGAGATGCAAAGGAAAATTTGCCCCAACAGGAAATAAGCAAGGCAAGATAACTTGATCAGAGTTAATAAAAGCATCCTTGTTGAAAGAAAAGTTAGGAATAGAGAAATAAAAACTTTGACGTGATGAGATGGTCTGCAAGAAAACAAACAATCCTAATTTTATCATGTGCGCAGAAGTTCCTTTCATAGAAAATGTAGCTTGGCTATGATATTCTTGTTATACTTGAATTACTTGCTGTGGTGCTTATTTACGGCCAATGCATATGGCTATGTTGGGTATGCTCTGTGCTACTATAACTGGGCTATTCATAAAAGCCAGGAAGTCAGTGGCACCTCCTGAAATTGTGCAGAGCACAGTCTTCATGATGTTATCAGTGGGTCTGTATTTATTATGTATTGAAATCTTACGTATTTTACATAGATGACACTCATCTATCAAACAAAGCAGGGAGGTTTTTAGTGTAAAGCCATGTAGGTATTATTTATCTATTTTTTGTAGGATATTTTAGTATTAGATAATAATGTAACAATTGTTTACAAAGCATTATATTCTATTTTAATGTAGATGAGTATTGTTTAAAAATATATTCCATTGGCATTTAAAAACATAAATTTACTTGAAAAGGGGAAAATTAAATATTTATATAAATATACTAGTGAATAATTGGAGAAAACTATGTTTTGTCCATTGATATTATCTCAGTTTCTTTTGAAAAGTGGATGACAAAAATAACATAAAATGAGCTTAAAATATTTGTAGATATGAGTGTTTAAAGATAATATGTACCCAGCTATGAAAATAATAATAATTGTCTTAGTCTATTTGCATTGCTATAAAGGAAATACCTGAGGCTGGGTAATTCATAAGGAAAAGAGGTTTATTTGGCTTCCAATTCTGCAGGCTGTACAAGAAGTATGGCAGTGCTATCTGCTTATGGAGACGGACTCAGACAGCTTCTAGTCATGGCAGAAAGGGGAAGGGGAGATGGCTTGTCACAGGGTGACAGAAGGAGCAAGACAGAGGGGAGAGAGGTCCAAAACTCTTTAACAATCAGATCTTGAGAGGACTAAGAGTGAGAATTCACTCAATCCTGAGATAATAGCTCCAAGCCATTCGTGAGGTATCTGCCCTCATGACCTAAACACCTCCCACTAGGCCCCATCTTTAGCATTGGGGATCAAATTTTAACATAAATTTTGTAGGGGACAAATATCCAAACTATGTCAGTAATGGAGACTTTCATTTACTATATTCACTGGATTTCTTTTTTTTTTCTTTTTTTTTTTGAGACAGAGTTTTGCTCTGTCACCCAGGCTGGAGGGCAATGGTGCAATCTTGGCTCACTGCAACCTCTGCCTCCTGGGTCCAAGCGATTCTCCTGCCTCAGCCTCCCGAGTAGCTGGGATTACAGGCATGTGCCACCATGCCCAGCTAATTTTTGTATTTTTAGTAGAGAGGGGGGTTTCACCATGTTGGTCAGGCTGGTCTCGAACTCCTGAACTCAGGTGACCCACCAGCCTCGGCCTCCCAATGTGTGGGGATTACAGGCGTGAGCCACCACGCCTGGCTATTCAACTGTATTTCTTGGCCAACTGCAATTCTGCCAACCCCTCTGCAATATGACAAGCAAGAAGTATACCACTGCTGAGAAAATATCAAAATCAAAAATAGTAGTTGTAATTAAATGAAAATACCTGTACAATTTAAGTTTGAAACAATTGGTAAATGATATTGCTTCTTCATAATTCTAAAGCATTTTAATACCGAACAATTAATGGCCTTCTATTACATATTCTTTTAGCGATCGGACATATTGCATGAAGGATAGACAGATTGGGGCTAAACAAATAGTCTCACATTGACTGTAATACTTTACTAATGCATAAATCATGAACTATGAGAATCTTTTTATGGGGTTTTTAGAAGCACTGGGTCTCATACCAATAAGCAATTAATGACTTTTTAATGACTGATTTCACTACTAGCATCAATGGATGTTGTCATAAATATTTCATTCTTTGACATTGTATTAAAAATAGAGTGCTTTCTTGCTGGCATCAGTTAAATACATTATGTGTTTTTAAATGTATACATACCTACATATGTTGTAGTGGTTATCCAGTCAGAGTGTTGTGATGGGCAATTTAATGGTCTGAACATTTAGTTTCTGGTATTTTGTGCAAATGATAATTCTGGTGGGTGCTCTTATTCTGGAAGTGCTGTGCTCCTGTGCTTGCTACTTTGTCTCATAATTTAAAGGGAATATTGATTTACTATCTCACTGGTTTGAATGTGTCTGGCATTATACATGCCAAATGATCCAAATTTTTCAGGCTTCCTGAAGTTGCTTGATAGATCACTGGAACCAACAAAGTCCCCTAGGTCTTCATTCTGTCTTTCAAATCTTAAGATGGAAGAATTTTCAGCATACCAAGCAACTTGTGCCAGAGTGGAACTTTCAGTTGCTTAGCCACAGGCTAGCTTGCTGTTTTTCATTTTCTAAATATCAGATCCATTTTTCATTTCAAGGTAGACTCTAAACTCAGTCTTGTGGAAATTGTGTCCATGTCCTGACCATTGATGCAGTACTTCTCAGCAGACTTGAGAAAGAAGAAATTATACCGGTTTGAGCCACAAATTAAGAGAAGAACATTTCCTTGGAATTATTATGAGCATTACATAGAGATTTTCTGCTAACAATAGGGGGAAGAAACCAAACAGCCCTAAGAAAAATAGGAAATAAATTAGAGAAATCCTAGATTTCTAACGTAGAGGTAACACATTGTACATGGAATCAGGTACTTGGGTTCTGGGCCTGGCTCTGTGTCAAGCTGTTGATTTACTTTAGGAAAGACTGTTTGGTGCTATCGAGTGTGCTGCATGCAACCTCAGCTCTAATGTTAAGTGTTACTACCTTTATTATTTGTAGTGCTGTTATCATGTGGCAGGTTCTGGTCATTACATGTTATTGTATTTATTCTTCATAATGCAATTACTGAAGTTTCACAGGAGAAAATGGATGTCAGAGAGAATAAGTGTTCAGAATATCACTGCAAGTAATCATGGGGGCAATATTTGAGTCCAGGTTTGCACTGCAAAACTGCAATCTGATGTTCCTTCATGAAAATCTGGCTTCCTCATATATGCACACGTGTGTTTTGTATTAGTTTCCTGTGGATGCTATAACAAATATCACAAATTGGCTAAAACAGAAATTTATTCTCTCCCAGTCTGGAGGCTACATATCTAAAAGTTGTTGGCAGGGTTGGTTCCTTCTGGAGGCTCTGAAAAATAATCTGTTTCATGCCTCTCTCGTAGTTTCTTGTACTTACCAGCAATCCTTGGTGTTGCTGACTTGTATATGCATTATCCTATTCTCTTATTCAGTTTTCACATAGCATTCTCCTTTCTGTGTCTGAATTTTATTTTCTTATAAGGACAACAGTCATTGGATTTAGGGTCCACCCTAATCCAGTATGACCTTGTCTTAACTTGATTACACCTACAAAGACTCTATTTCCAAATAAGGTCACATTCATAGGTACCTAGGGTTAGGATGTCAACATATCATTTTTTGGGGTATAGTTTATTCCATGTCTATAAACTAGAAAAACATAATACACACTTACTTGTATCTGGATATACTTACCATAGAAGCATAAAATAGCATGTAAGTATCAGATATTTCTATTAAGTCAAAAATAGATTTTGATAATTAATATTCTCATTGAGCTAGGCCTGTGCAGTAATCATAAATGTACTACAGGTGCCATAGATGACAGCACAAACCAAAATTATTTCTTCAGCTATTGCAAACACCAAGCACGAATAGTATGAATTACTTAACATTTGTTGAATTGTTATTTCTAAAACTACATTGTCTTCTCTAATTTAAAAATAGCTATATCGTAGCATAAAATTTATTATAATTTTTAAGAAGTCAATTTTTATATAGATGACTTTCCTTGAAGTGTGGTTTAAAACTTATGGCTTCGATTATCACTACATAATTTTATTTGGGCATCGTTTCTGTTTTATTTAAATATACCAACATGAGAACAGTGCATGCAACCAGCCATTGAAAGAACAAGTATTCATTTGTGGATACAAATTTGATTTATGTGTCACTGCATAGCTACAGCCATCCATTTTTAAATACTTTTTTAGTGGTGGTAAAATATACATAACATAAAATTTACCATCTTTAAGTCTACATTTCAGTAGTGTTAAGTATATTCACATTGTTGTTCAACAAAACTCTAGAATTTTTTATATTTCAAAACTGAAACTCTGGGCCCATTGAACAACAACTTTCATTTTCTACAACCTCCAGCCCCTGCAAACCACCATTCTCCTTTTGTTTCTATGAGTTTGACTATATTGGGCAGTTTATGTAAGTGGAATCATACAGTATTTGTCTTTTTTTGACTGTTTTGTTTCATCTAACATAGTGTCCTCAAGGTTTATTTATGTTGTAGCATATGACAAGATGGCCTTCTTTCTTAAGGCTAAATAATGTTTCATTGAACGTATTTACCACATTTTCTTTATCCATTCATCCATTGATGGACATTTGAGTTGCTTCTACCTCTTGGCTACTGTGAATAATGCTGCATTGAACAAGTATCTCTTCAAGATCCTACTTTCAGTTCTTTTGTATGCATACCCAGAAGTAAGATTGGTGGATCATTTGGTAATTCTGTAAGCGAAATGCAGGTTTATTTGCTTGCTGCTTGAGGAGTCCAATTAACAAGAGCGAGGTCTGGTATAAAGAAAGGGACTTTTTATTCCAAAGCTAGCTGAGGGAAGAAGCAAGGGTTTCCTGCTTTAAGGGCACTGCTTTGATTCTGGAGCAGAAAGTGGGCACTTTTAAAGGGGTCTTATCATGAATATACACAGGGGAGGAAGTGAGCAGGTGGAAGGTCCACATTCTAGCTTTTTGCCTTATCTACCACGCAGTTGAGTTGGCATTTTCATGGGCAGAAATGAGGTAGAGGTGGCTGAAAACTCTCCAGATGGGAGAGAGTTTTTTTTTTTTTTTTTATAGCAAGACTTTGAGTTGTAATGTTGTCTCTCAAGGCAGTCTCCTGGTGAGTGAGAGTTTTATAGTGGGCATACTTTGGGTTGTAAATTGACTGTTATCTCTTGAGGCAATCTCCTGGTGGGTGAGAGTTCTGCTCTGGAGCTTCTAAGCTCATAATTAGGTGAACTTGTCCTATAAGAAGTGTCTGGTGAAGGGGAGGTTAAAGGTTATAATTGTATTTCTAAAGGAATAAGTAGGAAGTGGAGAACAGGAGGAATTGGAAAAAAGAAGAGAAAATAACAATGTTTTCTTTTTTAAAAAATAGTAATTCATTTTACTTTTCTTAGAAAAATGGGGGTACTCAGTTACAATTCTACTTTTACTTTTTTGAGAAATCTTTATTTTTTTTATGATAGCAGCTGCACCATTTTATAATCCTGCCAGCAATGCACCAGGGTTTCATTCTCTCTACATCCTTGCAAAACTTGTTCTGTTCTTATTTTTGCAGTGGTTACTCTAGTAGGTGTGAGGTGATATCTTCTTATGGTTTTGATTTGCATTTCTGTAATGATTAGTAATGTTTGGCATCTTTTCATATTCTTGTTGGTTATTTGCATGTCTTCCTTTGTCTATTTAATTCCTTTGGGCATTTTTAAATTGGGCTACTTTTTGTAGTTGTTGAGTTATGGGAGTTCATTGTATATTCTGGATGTTAGCCTCTTATTATATATATATGATTTGCAGATACTTTCCCCTTTCCATACATTGCCTTTCACTCCCTTGATTATGTCCTTCAATGCCCAGAAGTTTTAAGTTTGATGTAGTCTTATTTGTCTATTTTTGCTTTCTATGTTTTCCTCTGGGAGTCTTATAATTTGAGGTCTTTTTTTTATTATACTTTAAGTTCTAGGGTACATGTGCACAACGTGCAGGTTAGTTACATATGTATACATGTGCCATGTTGGTGTGCTGCACCCAGTAACTCGTCATTTAACATTAGGTATATCTCCAAATGCTATCCCTCCCCTCTCCCCCCACCCCGCAACGGGCCCCGGTGTGTGATGTTTCCCTTCCTGTGTCCATGTGTTCTCATTGTTCAATTCCCACCTATGAGTGAGAACATGCAGTGTTTGGTTTTCTGTCCCTGCAATAGTTTGCTGAGAATGATGGTTTCCAGCTTCATCCATGTCCCTACAAAGGACATGAACTCATCATTTTTTATGGCTGCATAATATTCCATGGTGTATATGTGCCACATTTTCTTAATCCAGTCTGTCATTGTTGGACATTTGGGTTGGTTCCAAGTCTTTGCTATTATGAATAGTGCCGCAATAAACATGTGTGCATGTGTCTTTATAGCAGCATGATTTATATTCCTTTGGGTATATACCCAGTAATGGGATGGCTGAGTCAAATGGTATTTCTAGTTCTAGATCCCTGAGGAATTGCCACACTGACTTCCACAATGGTTGAACTAGTTTATAGTCCCACCAACAGTGTAAAAGTGTTCCAATTTCTCCACATCCTCTCCAGCACCTGTTGTTTCCTGACTTTGTAATGATTGCCATTCTAACTGATGTGAGATGGTATCTCACTGTGGTTTTGATTTTCATTTCTCTGATGGCCAGTGATGATGAGCATTTTTTCATGTGTCTTTTGGCTGCATAAATGTCTTCTTTTGAGAAGTGTCTGTTCATATCCTTCGCCTACTTTTTGATGGGGTTTTTTTTTCTTGTAAATTTGTTTGAGTTCATTGTAGATTCTGGATATTAGCCCTTTGTCAGATGAGTAGATTGCAAAAATTTTCTCCCATTCTGTAGGTTGCCTGTTCACTCTTATATTTAGGTCTTAATCCATTTAGAGTCCAATTTTTTTATATGATATCATGTAAGGGTCAACTTCATTCTGTTACATGTGGCTATCCAGTTTTCCCAGCACCATTTGTTGAAGAGACTGTGTTTTCCTCTTTATGTGGTCTTGGTACTCTTGTCAAAGGTAATTTGACCGTATATGTTAAGGTTTATATCTAGGTTCTTTATTCTGTTTCATTGATCTGTATTTCTGTCTTTATGCCAGTACCACATTGTTTTGAGGACTGTAGCTTTCTGCTGTATTTTGGAATTAGGAAGTGTGATGCTTCTAATTTTGTTCTTTTTCAAGATTGTTTCCGTTATTTGGGGTCTCTTGAGATTACATATGAATTGTAGGATTTTTTTTCTATTTTTGCAAAAAATGCCATTGTGATTTTTGATACATAGTTAATTGAATCTGTAGGTAGCTTTCGATAGTATGAATATTTAACAATATAATGCCTTCCAATCCATGAACACAAATGTCCTTTCTCTTATTTGTGTCTTTTTTAATTTCTTTCAACAATGTTTTCTATCTTTTAGGGTACATGTTCTTTGTTATCTCCTTGGTTAAGTTTATTTCTAAGTATTTTATTCTTTTTGACTGATTGCTAATAAAAGTATTTTATTGATTTATTTTTCTGATTTTTCATTGTCAGTGTAGAAATGGAACTTATTTTTGTGTGTCAATTTTGTATCCTGCAACTTTGCTAAATTTCCTTATTATTTCTAACAGTTTTTTTTGTGGAAACTTTAGAGTTTTGTACGTATAAGATCATATCATCACAAACAGAGATGAATTTATTTCTTCTTTTCCAATTTAGGTACCTTTTATTTCTTTTTTTCTCCTAGTTGCTCTGGCTAGGACTTATGGTATTATTCTGAATAGAAGTGGCAGGAGTGGACATCCTTCACATACACCCATTATTGTTTTGAAGTGTTTAATTACCTTTTTAGCTACATTTTTGCAGCTGAGTTTAGAATGAAAACCACAAGAGTTTTATTGTTGGCTGTACTTTTCTTTTTCCATTGATAAATTTGTGTCTTTTCCTATTACTTATTTTTTAGTTTATTTCTTTGGGTTTGTAATTTGTTTATTTTTTTCTTCCCAGACCCAATAATCAACACAAATTTATTAAGTACTAAAAAGGTTCCTGGTAGTGTTGAAAGTCCTCTTTGGTAAGCTCAAGAGGCAAGACAATATTTCTATTTAAGAAGAGATAATGAGTTATCATCAAGTCTTTTCAATCTTGATTTTTCTATGAATTGAACTGTAGGAAATTATTGATTTTTGATCTTTAAAAATAATAATTTCATATAATTCAACATAATATATTCTGCTTACCTTTAAAGTCATTTTGTCCCTTTGTTTAGCAGTGAACTGATACTTTCTAACACCTTATATGGTTTGAATCTGTGTCCCTGCCCAAATCTCATGTTGAAATGTAATTCTCAGTGCTGGAGGTGGGGCTTGGTGGGAGGTGACTAGATCATGCGAGTGGTTTTTCATTGTTTAACACTATCCACCTTTGTACTGTCATCACAATAGTGAGTTCTCCTGAGATCTGGTGGTTTAAAAGCATGTAGCACCTCCCTCTCTCACCCTTTATCCTGCTTTAGCCGTGTAAAATGTGGCTGCTTCCCCTCTGCTTTCTGCCATGATTGTAACTTCTGAGACCTCCCCAGAAGCTGAGCAGATGCCAGCGTCATGCTTTCTGTACAGGCTGTGGTACCGTGAACCAATTAAACCTCTTTTCTTTATAAATTACCCAGTCTCAGGTATTTCCTGATAGTAATGCAAGAATAGACTAATACACTCAACCACATACTGTTTATATACTGTTAATGAAGGGAATTTCCACACTTATGAGGTAGTTTATTCCAATGATGGTCAGAGTGCAAGGAAGTTCTATAACTTATATTAAGTGAAATGCTATCTCTTGGCAATGTCCATTGTTGGGGTCCTAGTGAAATCATCTTTATAAAAATTACTAATTACCTACTCTGTATGAAGTATTCTCACAGATATTAGAAAAAACAATGTGGGAAAGATAGACACAACCCCTGCAGGCTTGGGGCTTAGTTAGGACCACTGAAAATGTGTGGTGAGGGAGAGAACAGGAGGAACTGTTTCTGTCCTTAACACAGTTTCCCCAAATCATATTCTTTCAAACATTAGGCACAATGATGTGATGAATTTGAAGACTTATGAAAATATGTCAAAAATACTATCCGGGAAAAATCCATTGAATATGAGTAAACAGATTTCATATCCCTTTACCCCCTCACCTTCTATTCTTTAGGTTAAAACATTTACACTTGTCAGAGGTTCCTAGCATAGATTTTGGAGTTATAGGAACCTGGGTTTGAAGCCCAGCATTTCTGCTTTTGGTGCTGCAAACTTGAAGCTCAGTGTCCACATATGTGAAAATGAAGATTTCAGCATTTCTGACCAAATAAGGTTCTTTGATGGTCAAATGAAATAATTCCTACAAGCTTCTTAGTGAAGTGTCTAGTTCAATAAATGTTAACTACTGTGATGATGATGATGATGATGATGATGATGATGACAGTGGTGATGATGGCATTGTTTCAAGTTGTTCTGCAATCCTTTATAAGTATTTCTGAGTAATGTAATGTGTGGATATACATTGCCTAAATTCTGAACTAAGAATATTCTAAATATCCTTAACTGATTAAGGTAAGGCAAGAGACACCTATGATTCACATTTCCTCTGCCCTTGTGTGATTTTGCTGCTCTAGCACAATGCATTTCAATGTTTACTTTTTTTCTTTCCCACATTGGGACAATAGCTAAACTTTGGTTCTCTATACTTCATACTTGGAATATAGCTATTTATTTTTGTAAAAAGTTTAAAAGTGAAACAAATTCGTGTTTGGCTACAAATACCAATAAGAATTTTTTATCTACTCAGAAGCACTCACTTTGCCAAAAGATGTGTGGAAAATTGTACTGATCTAATCAACATTCAGTACATGTTTATTGAGGGCCTATTATGGGGTCAGGCTCTATTCTATCATATGGAAATAGAACATTGAGCAAATCAGATAAAAATTCTGACCTTCTGGATCTTATGTTCTAGCAAGATAAGTAAATAAATTAATGTAGTATAAGATCATATCTATATGATGATCATGATGATGATAATGGGGTGTGCGTATTATATGTTAGGCCGAAATACTTTCTAATGAGAAGTAGAATAGGAAGTGTCAGGGAGCACAGTTTTATAGAAGATAGGCTAAGAAAGGTCTAAGGGAAGTGATTTTTGAATAAAGATCTGAAGGTGCTCAGGGAGTAAAGCATGTGATTATTAAAGAGAAGAGTATTCCAGGCCTTGAGGACAGCAAATGCAAGATTCCTAAAGTGAGAGAAGCCTAGTATGTTTGAGAAGTGGTAAGGAGGTCACTGTAACTCAAATGAAGGGGAAAAGAAGAGAGTGAAAGCAAAGAAAGTCAGCAAGGTCATGGAAATCCTAGGCCATTATAAAGATTGTGGCTTGTACACAGTGGCTTGTACAGTGAAAGGGGAAACTGTCGTGGGGTTGTACACAGAGGCATGTCTCATTCTGATGTATATTTTCACAAAATCCCTTTGGCTGCGGTGTTGATTAAAGCCTACATAAGGGAAGTTCCATCTAAGTTGACGTGATGTGTTATTAAAGAAAGAAATAGAGAAAATAAAGAAAAGATACATTTTTAAGTGTGAGAATTAGGCCAATGGAATACTTTCAGCTGGAATAATTTCAACTTATTCAAAAGGTATTCACTAAATGCTTTTTACAAGCCCACTTTATGCAAGACATTGGGCAAGGTCTTGGGGCTAACAGGTAACTGATAGCATTTCTTTTTTTCAAGGAATTCATGATGTAACTATAATAAAAATTAAATTTCATAAAGAAGAATAAATAGGAACTTGGAAGCAGAAATATGTATTTTAGGCTGTGAGAATCTGGGGCAGCATCATACATGGAAATACATTTGCTATGGGCCTTGAAGTAATAATAGATAATTGGCAGGCTTAATGAATGAAGATAATGTGGTATGTGTACACAGTGGAATACTGTTCAGCCGTAATTTGCAGCAACATGGATGGAAATGCAGATCATTGTGTTAAGTGAAATAAGCCAGGCACAGAAAAACAAATATTACAAATTCTCACTCACATGTAAGAACTAAAAGCGGATCTCATGGAGGTAGAGAGTAGAATGATAGTTACCAAAGGCTGGGAAGGGGGTGTGTTCGGGGGGTGAGAGGATGAAGAAGGCTTGGTTAATAAGTACAAAGATACAGTTAGATAGAAGGAATAAGTTACAGCATTGGCTAGCACAATAGGGTGACTATGCTTAAAAACAGTATACTCTATATTTCAAAATAGCTTGAGGAGAAGATTTAAAATGTCCCCAACACAAAGAAATGATAAATCCTCAAAGTGATGGATATGCTAAATACCCTTATTTGATCATTACACAATGTATGCATGTATCAAAATATCACATGTACCACATAAATTTGAAAAAATGTTATGTATTAATAAAAAAAAATTGGCAGCTGTTTTAGGCAATTCTTACATTGCTATAAATATATTAATTTGGACAGTTTAGGAAGAGAAGAGGTTTAATTCACTTACAGCTCTGCAGGCTGTACAAGCATCGTGCTGGCATCTGCTTAGGTTCTGGGGAGGTCTCAGGGAGCTTTAACTCATAGTGGAAGGAGAAGAGGGAACAGACATGTCATATGGTAAAAGCAGGAGGAAGAGAGAGTGAGGAGTGAGGTGCCACACACTTTTAAACAACCAAATCTCATGCGAACTCACTCATCACCAAGGGGATAGCATTAAGCCAGTCATGAGGGATACACTGCCCATGATCCAAACACCTCCCTCCAGACCCCACCTCCAATACTGTAGATTACACTTCAACTTGAGATTTAGTGGGGATGCAGATCCAAACCATATCAGCATGTCTAAAAGGTGAGGAGACAGCCATTCCAAGCCATACATGTCTTGTCATTGTATGTATTGAAAACCTACAAATACTGTGAAACGGAGCTTCTTTGTTTCAAGGGATGATGTCCCATTTCTACTCAACCACTCTTCCTTTTTTTTTTCCACCTATCTTTATGTCGTCTGTAGTTTGAAAAGGGTTTTACACATAATACTGAAAATATTTGTTGGATTTTAGCTTTTGGTGGAAATAATTCCTTTTAAATAACTTATCTACCCTTTTATTGGGCCTAAAGCAGGTGCGAGAAGAGGCAAATTATTGAAGTTGATGAGGAAACAGGGTCTATTTTTTTACACTATCATTTTCCCTGCCTTTTTACTTCTTTTCTCCCTTCACTCTTTGTATGTTTTTTTCTGACTTTCTCTTCTCATCCCAGAATCTACTCAATGACCTTCATAAAATGCTTAAATATGTTATTTAGGCTTATAACTGACTTTATTTTTAAACCAGTCAAACCATTTGTAAGTTTTCTACTTTTTTAAAAAATTGAGTGTTCTCAAATTCTGTTTTCTGTCAGTCAGTAGTCTTAGATAAGAAAATGTTTCTCACCTTAGTTATAGGTTATATGCATTATTGATATTTGACTGAACGCCACTAGTTTTCAAGATGTGATGTAACTTTTGGTCTAACCTAACCTTTTCTTGTTTTAATGGTTTCTGCTGTGAATTAATAGAAATATATATTTGCTTTATATTAAATTGCAATTATTGAGTATGTAAATATGAACTTCAAGAGATGGTTTGTTCCTTTAGCAACTTTTGGAAATAAGTATTTCACTTTTAAATTTACCAATTTAGTGAGGAAAAACACCTAAAGGAGCTTTGAGATTATTCCTAGTTTTGAAATGTGACTATTTAGGGATGACATTTGCACTTGAGAGCTGCTGCAGAAATGGGTTCATCTAGTTAACCTTCATCTGAATTGCCACCCTCTGCTTTATCCTATGAAACAACTGGTGAAGAGAAAATGTTAATTAGGAAGCTTTTCAAGATTAATTTTTTTCATTTTCATAAAGTGAAGTGTTCACCACTTTCCATGTTAAATAAGGTTCCTCGCTTGGCAACATAGGCTTTGCTGCAGTAATTGTGTGCTCACAGCAAATACTTGATGGTAAAAAAGACAAGTGCAAAAAGCAATTTTTGCAACAGCCAACCAGAACAGACTGTTCTGTTCCCAATAAATTAATGGATTTAACCTTGCAGCTGTAGCAGTGTTATTATGCAAATACTCTCTGAGTATAATGAAAGCCAAGTGATTCTCTATAGAGAAAGTTGTTTCTTTCTTCCTGAGAATTCTAAGTGACTAGATAATTGACACATTGTGTAACCATGTTAAGTGAAGGAAAAAAATATTTTCAGTAAGTCTACCGAGTTTGATTTTATGTTCCAATGTTTTCAGCAATTTATTGAGGCTTTTACTGAGAACAATATATTTAGCACAGTAAATTCCAATGTCCACAGACAACCTCCTAGAAAATGAAGAAATTGGAAATAGTAGATAGCTCTTTACGTTGTTTGTTTTAATTTAAGCAGAAATAAAAATTTCCTTTATTTTTATTCAAGTATAGTGGTCGGGTCATGCCAAGTGTCTTCAAAGCAGTAGATTTGCATTCTGATTCATGATGAACTAGAAAATTGTCATCTAATTATTGGATCAAGTTGATAGCCACTTTGGTTTTTGAAGCTGATCTTAGATTTATACCACATGTGAAACACTTGTCATTGAAGGTTTATTCTTGGTAATTGACCAATTGTGAAGATCACTCAAAGTGCTCTTCACTAGATTGAAGTTTCATGGCTAAATGAAATCTTCGATGATTTAAAAATATTTAAAACAGGAAGTATAAGTGTGGGAACACTGGCCGCTTCATTGTGGTAAGGCTTTAGTCAATGGATGAGAAAATGATAATCCTTGGAATTAGTTCAACCATTTTATATGAACAATTTGCATATATTGTTTTTGGTTTTTATCATAGCCAGTATTCTATGTGAGCTTTATATTATTAGGTCATATAAAATCAAGTGTCTATTCAATGTATTCCAAAATATTTTGTAAACCATTACTTACATATGCAAACATTAGGGATTATAATAGCCGTAGTTGTATAATTGAAAGAACACTAAATTTGGAATCTGAAATCCTACAACTATGCACTTTTGACTTTTTTGTAACACCTTAAAGATTTTTCTTCATCTATAAGTAATAACATTTTAGAATAGATTTATGTGAGACAGTATATGTATAGGAGTTGTATAAACTTTACATCACAAAATAAATGTTCTTTAATGATATTAGTATATATTTATTGTCATTATCTTTCATCAAAGGTCTTTATTAAGTAACATTTACCTCGAGTTAATAATTCTCAGATTTGCATTCCAAACAAAATGTTATAAATTTCTATAAGTTAGTTTAAAAATTTTTATCATGTAGTTAGTGAATAAGGAAACATATTTATAGAAATGAATAATGAACTGAATTTAATAATTATATCATTGCTGTTACTTTTTAAAAAACCCTGGTATATATAATTATATTCATTGAAAGTATTGATTCATGACACAGTTATCATTTATCATGTATACCTCTTGGCTAGCTAGCTATCCATTCTTTTTTCTCATATTTTAATAATATCCTGAATACTGTACCTACTTTTCAACTTGTATCTGTGTAAATGCTTACTAACCTCTATCATATCTATCTGCCGCCTTTTGGCTCTGCAGTGACTCTAATCCAAGTTTGGCATTTATAATTTCCTTGCTTTTAACCATCATCATTTGACACATATGTTTGTGACCTTAAACATATGTGTTTAAACTAAACATATTTTTTAGTTTTGCACACTTTTGGACTTTAACATCATATTTAAAGTCCTCTCCTGGGACTTGTTTTTTTCACTCAACATTATGTTCCTATGTCATTCATATCATTGTAGCTGTAGTTACTTTTTACAGCTGTATT
This sequence comes from Homo sapiens, assembly GCF_000001405.40. Taxonomy (NCBI): domain Eukaryota; kingdom Metazoa; phylum Chordata; class Mammalia; order Primates; family Hominidae; genus Homo; species Homo sapiens. The sequence goes on from NC_000003.12 coordinate 174,677,378, forward strand.
ATGTTTCATCATGCGAATATACGATTATTGAGTTACTTTTTATTCTGTCAATAACATTTGGTATTTTTTCATTTTGTGTTTCTAATATAGACAGTGCTTCTGTGAACATTCTTATACACAGTCAATTCTTACTATTCACAATAGTTATGTTCTATGAAGTCAAAGAGAACACTGAATCTGTGAATAGTAAATCATTGTGCCTAGAAGAAATACAGCATTTGCTTCATGCAAATCTCTAGTCACAACATTTTTATATATCAGTCAATCCATAACCTTGTTTTATGTGTGTTTCTGTTTAAAGAGTTGTTAATTAATAATGAATATTGTTGATTCATTAACACTGAACTCATGGTCGATAGCATTGTAACTCATGCCTGAATGAAGCTTATCTAACATGCATTTTCTCCATGAGGAACATCAGAGCCGTCTTGCATCTAGAAATACTAGACAGCACTTCAGCACTATGCTTGGGGGCAATTTTAGAGAGCAAGATCTCCAAAAAGAAAAAAAAAAAGAAAAATGCAAAAAATGTATCAATAAATAGACTACAAAAAGGACACTTGTTTATAATATGAGAGCTGAACTAAGAAGGCAGAGCATCTCTTTGTTCAGCCTCAACTGGGCTTGTGGGATAACTTGAATTTTTCCTACTCTGCACATGCACACATCTGTGAATAATGGCAAAAGAGCATCATTTGGTGTTACAAAAAATTTTAGTGAGTAGGCAAATTCACAAGGACAGGCCATGAATAATGAGGATCAATTGTATGTCTCTTACTGCTTTACACACACTACCTTGCATGAGAATGACTTAGAGAGCTTGGTAAAAGTCAGATTCCTGGAGATACTGATTTAGGTCTGGAGTTGGGCCTGAGAATTTGAATTTCTAACCAGCTATTAGGTGATGCTGATAATGCAAGTTTATGGAACACACTTTGCAGAGCTTTTTCTTAGTAAACAGGTACAACAGTTATCTAAGGTATATGCTTTCCCTGAAATCACCAGTTCAAAGGCTGTGTTAAATTGCCCAGTTATACTTTATGCTTATCTTCAGCTTTACATGTAGGATGCCAAATTTTTTTCCAAAGTGGGTGTACAAATTTGCATTCCACATCAGCAGTGTTATGATTGTTTCATGTTATTACCGGTATTTGATGTAATCACACTTCTTCATTTATGCCATTTGATTTTTATTTACATTTCAATAATCACTGAAACATTTGAGTACTTTTCCATTTTGCATATTTTCATTACACATTCCTCTTGTATGATAAGCCTGTGAAAATGTTTTACTCATTTGCCACTGGGGTGTTACCAGCTGGCTATATTATATTAGTAAGTTCACAGAAGTTTAGAATTGTTATATTCCATTGGTAGATTGTATCGATTATTATTGTATACCGACTCTCTATATATTTAGTTTAAATTTGTTTGTCATGTATTCTAAGTTGACAGTTATTTTCTCCTAGCAAATCACAGACGTTGGTCAATTTTTGTTGCTCTGGAGAAGTCAACTATTTATTACCTTAACTGCCATTTATTTAAAGTTTATCTACTTTTCTCCTTGGCTGTTTTAAGATAATATCTTTCTTTTTGTTCTGCAGATAGTATCTTTCTTTTTGTTGTTACTGTGCTGTGTCTAGATACGAATTTCTGTTTAATTATGCTGCCAGACTTCATTGAGCTTCCCAAACCTTTGCACTGGTATCTTTGATGAGTTCTGATAAATTCTCATTGCTTGTCTCTTCTGACGTTGTCTGTCTCTCACTTGTCTGTCATTCCAATAGAACTTTATTTGACTTTCCTTCTTCACCCTGTAAGTCTGAACTTCTATTCTGCATATTCCATGTCCTTGTCTCTCTGTGCACTACACTGTGGATATTATATTTATATATATTTTCTAGTTCACTGTTTCCCTCTTCAATGATGTCTAAACTGGTATGGAAACTTAGAGAGTTTAAAATTTAATTATTTTATCTTTAATTTTAGAATTTCTGCTTGGTCTTCTTGCAGTTATACTGATTCAATATAGATTTTAATCTCTTTTTATGTACAATTTCTGTAAACATGTTAAACATATTTTATATTCCATGTCTAATGACTCCAACATTAAATTATGTATGTGGGTTACATCTGTGGCTCACATTGTATTTCTATTGAATATTGCTACTGTCGTGGGATCTTTGGGGTGTTCCTATAACAGCAGAAACCTCTGTGGCCAGTGGCACCTTTGCCTGAGTTTTTACTCAGGCCCACTGTGCTCGTTCCACCCACTCAGCTGGAAGGCACACCACCAAAAAATAAATTGTGTTTACTTCAGTGGAAGCAAAGTAACAAAACTTTTTCTAAATAGCTGCTGTATTAAGGAGGAATTTGGAATAATTTTAAAAATTAAAATAATATATTGCAAAATATTAATTTACAATAAAATATTATTTTGTATTCCTGCTTATGATTAGAAATTTCTTTAGGGAGAAGATATAATCTCTTAGTACCTCTTTGTTGTCAAAAATGTTTTGTTGAAATATGTACTTACAATTATGATTCTTATCTTTGAAAAGCGTGAAAATTGAGGGTGCCCAATCTTCAGAGTGTGGTCTTTAGTTGTAGGCATATCATTTGACTTAATCAGTTGGTATTGTGTTTTTCTTAATATCAAAATGTGTTTTTTATTTTTGACACACACTAGAAACTTAATAATATAACCAGGTATTTTGTATAAAAAAAATGAGTTCATAATTAAAAAACACTTTTAGCAATTTCTTTGACAATTTCTCAAAATGTTGAAACTTGGTTTTGTTTCTTCTCAGTAGATTTAAATATACCTTTGATTATGTAATTTACAATATACATTTAGCCTTTAAGTTAATTTTCACTTTTGAAAGTACCTGAACATTTGAAAGGAAATATGTTTTATTTTCAAATTCAAGGTCCCAAAAGCTAGATAATCTCATCGATGTTGAGTGCTCCCTCATGACTACTGCTTTTGACAGTCTTTTGATCTGTGACTTTTCTTGTTTCATTCCTCAAGCATGTTGCAGTGTCTCTTGTCACAATGAAGCTTACTCCCACATAGAATGGCACTACTTTAAGTATCTTTGTTTTTTCTTTACTTTTTTGTTTTGTTTTGGCATTTATCTGAAAACAAAAATTCCAAAAGGAACTCTTGATTTTATCCAAAGAATTATACTTTTACAAATTACTTCACCACCATTTTATGGAAAAGAAGTGTTATTTTTACAGTTTATCCCATTTTCTTTATTTTCTTTAAAATTCAGAAGTCCAAACTACGACAGTCTTTGCTTTTGGATATTTTGTGCCATATTCAAGATTGCTTCTCTAAAGACTTAAAATTACATAGTGACATGCTACTTAGAAAATAAGGAGAAGGAGGAGCAAGATGGCCAAATAGAAGCCTCCACTGATTGTCCTCCCCACAGGAACACCAAATTTAATAACTATACATACAAATAAATACCTTCATAAGAACTAAAAATCAGGTGAGCATTCACAGTACTTGGTTTTAACTTCATATTGCTGAAAGATACACTGAAGAGGGTGGGAAAGAGCATCTTGAATTGGTGACACCACCCTTCCTCCCCAGCCTCAACAGTAGCTGTGTTGCATGGAGAGAGAATCTGTGTGCTTGGAGGAGGGAGAGTGTACTAATTGCAAGACTTTGCATTGGGAACCCAGTAGTGCCCTGTCACAGCAGAAAGAAACACTGGGCAGAACTCAGCTGATGCCTGTGGAGGGAGCAATTACACCAGCACCCAGCCAGAGGGGTATCACCCATCCCAGCAACTGGAACCTAAGTCCCAGCAAGCCTCAGTACCACAGGCTAAAGTGCTCTGGGGTCCAGAATAAACTCAAAAGGTAGTCTAAGCTGCAAGTGCTGTAATTCCTGGGCAAGTGCTGATGCTGTGTTAGGCTTGAAGCCAGTAGACTTGGGGGCCACATGACCTAGTGAGACGTCAGCTGGGGTGGCCAAGAGAGTGCTTGTACTAACTCACCCCCAACCCAAGGCAGCATAGCCCACAGCTCTGAGAAAGACACCTTCCCTCTGCCTGCAGAGGAGAGGGAAGAGTAAAGAAGACTTGGTCTTGCAACTTGGATAGTAGCTCAATCACAAAAGGATAGGACTCCAATCAGAAACCTGATACCCCCATTCCAGGCTGTAGATCCTGGACATTTCTGGACACACACTGGGCCAGAAGGGGACCTCCTACCTTAAAGGGAAGAACCCAGTTCTGGCAGCATTCCTCGTTTGCTGGCTACTCGCCATGATCCTTGAGTGAGACTCTGAGAAGTGCTGGCTTCAGGTGTGACCTACAACTTTTCCAGTGTTGGTGGCTACAGGGAGAGACTTTAGAAAAGCAGAGGGAAATGTGAATAGGACATTGCCTTCCAGCTTAGATACCAGCTTGGCCACGGTGGGGTAGAAAACTAGTGGACTTGTTGGGTCCCTGATTCCAGGCCTTGGCTCTTTGATTGCATTTCTGGACCTGCCCTGAGCCAGAGGTGGGGACAACTGCCCTGAAGGCAGTGCCCCAGACCTAGCAGCATTCACTACAAGCTAACTGAAGAGCCCTTGTACCCTGTGTGAACATAAGTGGTAGCCAGGCAGTACTCACCACACACTTGTGGCAGTGGTGGCCATGGGGAGAGTGCTTGTACAACTCACCCCCAACCAAAGGCAGCACAGCCCACAGCTCTGGGAGAGATGCCTTCCCTCTGCCTGGAGAGAAGGGGGAAGAGTGAAGAGGACTTTGTCTTGCAAAGTGGATACCAGCTCAGTCACAAAAAAGAAAAGTGTGGGAAAGACTTTGTCTTATGGCTTGGGTGCAAGCTCAGCTGCAGTAGATAGAACATGAGGGAGTTTCCTGAGGTTTCCAGATACTGGCCATGGCTTCTGGACAGCATCTCTGCATTCATGTAGGCTATGGGAAATTCGACACAATGAAGGGAAGGACACAAGCCTGTCTGGCTTTGCCATCTGCTGTTGATAGAGCCCTAGGTCTTTGAGTGAACTTAGGTGATAGCCAGGCAGTGGTTACCACAGGCCTTGGTGAAACCCAATAACATGCTGGCTTCAGATATGACACAGTGCAGTCCCAGTTGTGGTGGCCACAGGGTGCTTGTTTTACCCCTCCCCCAACTCCAGGCATCTCAGCACAGAGAGACTGTTTGGGAGAAAGTAACAGAAGAAAACAAGAGTCTTTGCCTGGTAATCCAGGGAATTCTTCTGCAACTTATCCAAGACCACCAAGGTGGTACTATAAGTCTGCAAGAGCTACAGCATTACTAGGCTTGTGGTGGCCCCTAATGCAGATCTGATGGCAGTGACCAAAAACTTAGAGTACAGTAGTCAAGACCCTTAGAATACCTGGAAAGCCTTCCCAAAAAGATGGGTACAACCAAGTCCAGACTGTGAAGACTATAGTATTAATGAATACCTTACTGTTTGATGCTTTGACACTAATGAACATCCACAAACATCAAGACCATCTGAAAACATGACTTCACCCAAAAAACTATTTAAGGCACCAGTAGCTAATTTGGAAGAGACAGAGATATGTGACCTTTCAGACAGATAATTCAAAATACCTGTTTTGAGGAAACTCAAAGACATTTAAGATAATACAGAGAAGGAAATCAGCATCTTATCAAATACACTTAACAAAGAGATGGAAATAATTTAAAAGAATCAAGCAGAAATTTTCCAGTTGAGAAATGCAATTGACATACTGAAGAATGCATGCAGCATAATTGATCCAGCAGAATAAAGAATTAGTGAGCTTGAAGACACGCAATTTGAAAATACAAAGTCAGAGGAGACAAAAGAAAAAAGAATAAAAAACAATGAAGTGTGCCTACAGGATCTAGAAAGTAGCCTCAAAAGGGCAAATCTAAGAATTATTGACCTTAAAGAGGAGATAGAGAGAGATACAGGTAGAAGGAAGCCCAATGTCCATTTAAGTAAAAATTCAGGATTAATTGAAATTGTACCACAGGTGAGAATGCCAAAATTAAACATAACCACTTTTTTGTAGTTTTAGTATGCTTTATTTAAAAACTGTATATAATTAAAATATCAGAATAATTTACAAAGAAATAAACCTAATTTAAAAACTATGAAAAGTATCAAATACTATAAAAACTTCAGTTCACTAATATAGTTGTTATAGATAGATAGATAATATAGATAAGCAGATTTTAGGTAGATAGAGTAAGAAATTAACAGAACTTCTGGTGTGTGTGTGTGTGTGTGTGTGTGTGTGTGTGTGTGTAATGTATATGTATTTTTAACCATTTGGAATTTCTGGAACCTTGCCCTGCAAAATATAAGAGAAGAATGAGAAGAAAATAAATAACTTTTACAAAAGAAAATGTTAATTCAACTTGATAATTTTTCATCTTGCTTTAATACTATTATTTATCACACTGTGCATGCAATTTAAAGTGAAAATGAGAATCTATTTTTTCAGAGCTACAGAGTGTATAATATGCAGGCTGTTTAAAATAGCTTAGGTTTTAGAGATTATATTAGGGAAAGTTTTAAAAGAAACATTTATATTCATTTAATTTTTAATTTAACTTTTATTAGTTTTCTATGCATCACATTTAGGGAATATATAGGCTTCAATTTTTTTCTTATTCCCTCATGTGCAGATTACTTACTAAAAGAAGTTTGGCATTTCAGCCAATCTTTTTTGTGTTAAAATCACACACCCTCCTTACTTCCTTGTATATACTAGATTCACATTTTTCTCTCTAATATTAAAATCTAAAAATTTAAAATAGTATTACTTATACAATTATTGAATCCTTATACTTCATGCTTTTAGAATTTGTAGATTCAGGTGGAGTAAATAATAAACATTATCTTTACTTGATCAACAAATTGCAGACTATTTAAACACGACTGAATGGGTATTCAAGATTATTAAAAGAATAAGTAACCATAAACCCTTGCAAAATATGAGTTTACAAATATACCTTTTATAAGTTTAACCCATTTATTCATTGAAATTATTCCCATAAGTGTCTGTTAACCTCTTTACAAAATTGAATTTCATTTTTTCAAGCTAGTTTGAGTAATTGCATGTAATCAGAAGGAATATAATTGACTTTCTTTAAAATACTCAAACTTTTTGGTTATTTCAGACATCCTTGCTGAGATTCATGAATTTTTCCATACTCATTTAAGTAAACTATAATCAGGTTAATCAGTGTTTCATGTTTTCTAATACTTTTTCTAGGACTAATGTGACAGTTCATGGAAGAGCAGCTATCCTTTATGATTGTGTTCTATGACATAGGACAGGCAGTTTTTGATTAAATGTGTGGTTCCTTTAAAATTCAGAAGAGTTTTCTGATCAAAATGATTACAAAACTGTGAATGGAAGTTGACATCCCTACAGTATTAAGGAGCCTGATGCAAACCAACGAGCTATATTATATTTAACAACAGGACACTTGATGAACTCTCATTGAAGTGAGGAAAAACAAAGACAAGGGTTTTCTTGTCACCCGGCCACTGTGATAAAGTAGATTTTCTGCCTATGTCCTCATTCATCTTCTTGTCTGGTTCCTCTCATCTCTTTACCTTTTAGATATTGGGAATGACTTGGTTCTTATTTTTAGGGATCTTTTTTTATCTACACTCACTTTTCTGGTTAAGCTTGCCTAGTGTCACGGTTTTAAAAAACTGCTATTCCCTGAATGGTCCCAAATGTATATCCTACGCTCAGATCTCTCCCCAAAACTTTCCTAAAGTCAGCTATCAATTGACGTAAGTGCCTAATAGAAATCTCATGTGATCCAAAACTGAACACATGATTTCAGTGTTCCTTGGTCTTCCTTCAGTTCTTTGCCTCTTGGTAAATGGCAGCTGCATCCTCCCTTTGCCCAGGCCCAAATCTCATCATCATCTTGATTCTTCTCTTTCTCCCACAATCTACAAGCAATCTGTTGTCAAATTCTGACAAATTTATCCAAAATGTATCTAAAACTCTACCAATTCTTACCACCAACTGCTGTCACCATGTTTAAGCCACAGTTGATTCCAAACTTCTCTTCCATTTTCTGACTATGCCCTTTTTCTGTTTATTTTCATGGAGCAGCTAGAGAAATTTTTTTTAATGACAGCCATTTATGGAAGTGAGCAGAATGAACACCTAATCTGAGGGTTTGGTGACGATGTTATAACCTGGCTTTTGACTTGGCTCCATCCTCCTACACTGAAGTCATTGGCTTTTTGGCCTGTGTTTTATTTTATCCATTTACTTTTATTTAACTTTTATTATAAGTTCAGGGGTACATTTGCAGATTTGTTACATAGGTAAACTTGTGTCATGGGGGTTTAGTGTACCGATTATTTCATCACCCATGTGTTAAGCCTAGTACTCATTAGTTATTTTTCCTGATCTTCTCCCTCCTCCCACCCCCACCCTTCCATAGGCCGCAGTGTGTGTTGTTCCCCTCTGTGTGTCCATGTATTATCATTTATCTCCCATGTATAAGTGAGAACATGCGGTATTGGTTTTCTGTTCCTGTGTTAGTTTGCTAAAGATAATGGCCTCTAGCTTCCATCCATTTTCCTGTAAAGGATATGATCTTGTTTATTTTTCATGGCTGTATAGTATTCCATGGAGTATATGTGCCATATTTTCTTTATCCCGTCTGTCATTGATGGGCATTTAGGTTGATTCCATATCTTTGCTATTGTGTATAGTGATGCAATGAACATATGCATGCATATGTCTTTCTGATAGAATGATATATATTCCTTTGGGCGTATACCCTTTAATGGGATTGCTGGATTAAATGGTATTTCTGTCTTTAAGTCTTTGAGAAGTTGCCACACTATCTTCTGCAATGGCTGAACTAATTTACACTCCCACCAACACTATATACATGTTCCTTTTTCTCCACAACCTTGGCAGCATCTGTTATTTATTTATTTTCATTTTCAAAAGAGGTGAAGCATCTGTTATTTTTTGACTTTGTAATAGCCATTCTGACTGGTGTGAGATGGGATCTCATTGTGGTTTTGATTTGCATTTCTTTGATGACTGGTGATGTTAAGCTTTTTTCATATGTTGAGCTTTTTTTTTTTCCACATGATTATTGGCTGCTGGAGGCATCATGCTACCCACTTCAAACTATACTATAGGGCTAACCAAAACAGCATGGTATTGGTACAAAAACAGACACATAGAACAATGGAACAGAATAGAGACCCAGAAATAAGCCTGCACCCCTACAACTATGTGATCTTCGACAAACTTGGGAAAAACAAGCAATGGGGAAAGAATTATCTATTCAATAAATGGTGCTGGGATAACTGGCTAGCCATTTGCAAAAGACTGAAACTGGACCTCTTCCTTATGTCATGTGCCAGAATCAACTCAAGATGGATTAAAGACTTAATTATAAAAATTATAATTATAAAACTATAAAAGCCCTGGAAAACAACCTAAGCGGTACCACTTAGGATATAGGAATGGGCAAAGATTTCATGATGAAGACAACAAAAGCAATTGCAACAAAACCAAAAATTGACAAATAGGATCTAATAAAACTAAAGAGAAATTTTTTTAGTCATTACATCAGGTCATGTCACCTTTCTGCCCCAGTCTGTCTTATGGCTTCCAATCCCACCCAGAATGAAAGCCAGATTCCTCACACTGTCCTACAATGCCTGTACAATGGAATAGCTGCCATTCCTCTGAGTTTATCTCCTAATCCTCTCCACCAACTTTTCTCATTTCTTTATCACAAACTTGGTTAGTCTTCCTGATCCTAGATATCACTGGAACCCTCCTTTCTCGAGCCTTTTGTAATTTCTAATCCTGTAATTCACTATTCCTCCCATATTTATGGATTGTGTTCTTATCTTCTTCAGGTATCTATGCTTCCCTTAACACCTTGCATTCAAAAGTGACTCACAACCCTACCCAATGCACTCTATCCCTCTTACCATAATATGTTTTTATCTTTTGCACTCAACACATTAGTATATCAAATGTTTACTTGTTTATTATTTGTAATGTGTGTTTTGGCCTATTGGATTTAGAGGTGATTCGCTTACAATATACTAGGGGATCCAAGAAAAAAAATGTATCTAACTAATAAAATAGAATTAGCTAGCCAAACACAGTGGTGTCCTGGTAAATGTTAACAACTGGCTTTATGGTGAGAAGGGGGCAAAAATAAATCGACAAGTGCAATAAAATAATTAGGAAGTGATGGGTTTTGAGTGTTTATTACCTTTGTTTCTAATACAATTTCTTTAATTTTATTTATGTTAATATAATTTGATATGGTTTGGCTGTATCCCCACCCAAATCTCACCTTGAATTGTAATAATCCTCATGTGTCAAGGGCAGGGCCAGGTGGAGATAATTGAATCGTGGGGGCAGTTTCCCCCATACTGTTCTCATGGTAGTAAGTAAGTCTCATGATATCTGATGGTTTTATAATGGGAAGTTCCCCTGCACAAGCTCTCTTGCCTGCCACCATATAAGACGTGCCTTTGCTACTCTGCCTTTCACTACGATTATGAGGCCTCCCCAGCTATGTGAAACAATCAGTTCATTAAACCACTTTTTCTTTATAAATTACCCAGTCTTAGGTATGTCTTTATTAGCAGTGTGAGAACAGACTAATACATAATTTTATATCTTATGTAATTTTAGTAATAGATGTGTTTAATAATTTGTAAAATTCCTGAAAATTTAGCTGTTGGCTTTTATAAGCTGGTATTAGCCAGTCCCTGCCACTAAGTCCTGGCTTCACCATATGTAAAATCTGTTGTCTTGGATAAACCATTTAGCTTATCTTTACCTCAGTCTTTTAAAATGTAAAACAGACCTAATTATAGTTACCACCTCAATGGATGATTATGAAGATAAATTTAATAACATAAAGCAGTTACCTGATATACAAGTAAGCAGTCTGTAAATGTTAGCTATTATTATTAGAATTATCATTAGAAATTCTTAATATTAAAATAATATAAAAAATATAAACAATCAGTCACATAAGGCAGAGTAAATACGAGAAATAGTGTAAAGATTAATTAAACCTATCTCATATAGTTGTTGTGAGCTTTAAATGAGTTAATATACACTAAGTTCTTATAACAGTATCTGGCATATAGAAAGCAGTATCTTTCTATTGGCTGTTATTATTCTTCTCAATAAAAATTTAGAAAACTGAGAAATTGCAATAAATATTTGAATAAATGAAGAGACAGTTTACCTTTCTGTGGGAGGACTATATGTTGTAGCGATTCAACTTTACAAATTAATTTATAAATGTAATGGAGTTAAATAAAATAGCAATTGTATTGTTTTAAGGGAGAGACTAGAAGCATAACTTATTATATAAAGTCTTCTTTTAAGATAAAGAGCAATGATAAGGAAAGACTTGCCTTGGTAGATCTTAAAAGTATGTTTTTGTTCTTAAACTATAAATGGTTACTAGAGATGGTATTTTGTGGGGCCAAAAAATTAATTTTGGAGTTTGAATATAACACTTAGTAGCTGTTCAATTTTGGTCAAGACAATTAAATGTTATCTTCAGAATCTTCATCTGTAAATAGGTTACTACATCAGCAAAAAAAAAAAATTATGTAATAGAGTTGTTACAGGAACATTCTGATAATAGCAGATATGAGAACTCTTTATATATGGCATAGCAATAATAGACTTTGTGTGATTATTGACATGAATAAAAACAATAAGTATAATGTTTATTTTTTATTAATTACGAACCTGTTTTATTTCTCTCTCATGAAAATAACTTTTATATGCACAGGGTATGAGCTCACTTTGTCTAGATATTTTTCTATGCTCAAAGCCTAGATATTTTTGTTAGTCTTTTTGCTATGCCTGGATTGCCCTTTTCTATCATCTCTGTTAATTGAAATAGCCCTCAGCCATCAAGAGCCACAAGAATACCAATTGTTTCATGAACTACTGCCTAAATCCCCCTCTACCCCCCGCTTCACCTTTTTTTTACCAGTTTGAGCAATGGGTCACTTCTGCTTGTCATGGATCATCTTCCATTTTCCTTTTCTGTTATCCCATTCAACCTCGGAATCCCTTGCCTCTTCAGAATAGTCTGGGAATCAGCAGTATGAACATCACCGGGGAGCTTGTTAGAAATGTAGAATTCCAGGCCATACCCTAGATGAAAATCTCCAGGTAGTTCTCCTCTATATTATAGTTTGCGAAGGGCTCTTCTAATTAGTCATGAACCTCTTGAGTGTTGGGAAATGGTGAGAGGAGAGTTGCTCCATCTTATCTTGATGCCCTCTAGAAGGCCCAGAATCTTTCAATGCTTTGCACATAGTAGGTATTCAATTGGTGGGTGTTGAATTGAGTTTTAATTTTAGTATTTTGAAGTCAGGAAAATACAGTTTAGGAAAACTCAAATGTTGGGAAAGAATGTTCTAAAGTCAGAGCAAGAGTAAAGCTATTCATTATTGATGCTACTCACATCAACTAATCAATATTTCTTGGTCATCAACTACTACTGTACCTTTTCATGCATAAAATATTTGTATAGATCCTTGATCTTCTAAAAAAAAAAAGGTCCTGAGTCTAACCTTTATCTTCAAAGAATTTATTTAGATAACTAAGTCAAAATGTGGTTGCTTTGTCATCCTTGTAAATATTTAATATATGATATTAGAAGTCATGACAGAACTGTAAGGCATTGTGCATCCAAAAATGACTGGTAAATATCAAGATGTGATTTCATTAAATTATTTAAACAGATCAATGTATCATTTGTTTTGATTGTCTAGAAAATGGTGAACAAAACTATAAGCAACAATTTTTTGTGATTAAAGTAAGACGATCATATACTGTAAAGAATTTTATTTTCCAATGTATGATTTTTAGATAGTGATATTTTCCCTTTCATACTTCATTTGTAGGATTTTTCTGTCAAGAATTTTATCAACATTTTAAAAGTTTTACGAGTATCATTAATTAACATTTATCTGTCTGGATACATTGTTGTTGTGGATTAAATTAAGCATATCTTAAATTGTAGGTGGTCTCTTTCCATTACCTAGAAATTTGCAAGTCTGCTTCTCTCTGCTGTCAGCTGATATGTGCTTAGGGAACAGAAACTAATTTAACATTAACCTAAGCAAAATGTAATTAGGAGGCTAATCTGCTGAAAAATACCCCCAGCAAATTCTATTTTTATGCAATGCCATTTTAATGGAAATGGCATTTTTATGAAATGCGAGTGACAAAGAATTGAATGATGCCTGTGAGCCTTTTATTTAATTTTGTGTGTTCTGTAATTTGTTAATAAAAGGGTAGGAGCACTCCACTCCTACCATTTTGGATATGGAATAGATTTGCAAAGTAGAATTCTTAATGTAAATATCCACTTTTAGTGCAAATAATTTTTTAAAAGTACAAACCTATGCCATAATTGATGCTCTAAATGGGTAGCGTGTGTGTATGTGTGTGAACGTATGGCATGACAACTGTAAGTAAAAGAGCTTTGGAAATTATTTCATGTTTCTCATCACTGCCCCTTTTCATCAAGACGAATAATTAAAATTGACTTTGCTTGTGTTACTTTCCTTTCCATGAATTTTCTGCCTTCCCAACGCATATAAAAGTTATGTTATGCTATATACCCATCTACTGACTGTGCAGTACCATTATGTCTAAATAAACAATGCATATATTTTAATTTAAAAATACTTTATTGTTAGGCCAGGTGCAGTGGCTTATGCCTGTAATCCCAGCACATTGGGAGGCTGAGGCGTGTGGATGACCAGAGGTCAGGAGTTCGAGACCAGCCTGTCCAACATGGCAAAACCCCATTTCTACTAAAAATACAAAAATTAGCCAGGTGTGATGACGTGCACCTGTAATCCCAGATACTTGGGAGACTGAGGCAGGAGAATCGCTTGAACCCGGGAGGCAGAGGTTGCAGTGGTCCGAGATCGCGCCACTGCACTCTGGCCTGGGTGACAGAGTGAGACTCTGTCTCAAAAAAAATAATTAAATAAAACCCACAAAAAAAAAACTGAATTGCTAAAAAATGCTAACAATCATCTGAGCCTTCAGCAAGTCCTAATTTTTGTTGGTGGAGAGTCTTGGCTGAAGGTTGATGGCTGCTGACTAACCAGAGTCATAGTTGCTGAAGGCTGGGGTGACTGTGGCAATTTCTTAAAATAAGACAACAGTAAAGTTTACCACATCAATTTACTCTTCCTTTTACAAAAGATTTCTCTGTAACATGCGATGCTGTTGGATAGCATTTTACCCATAGTAAAATTTCTCTAAATACTGGAGTCAATCCTCTGACACCTGTCTGCTGCTTTAAAAAGTAAGTTTATGTAATATTCTAAATCTTCTCTTGTTATTTCAACACTGTTCGTGACATCTTCAGAAGTAGTAGGTTTCATCTCATGAAATCACTTTCTTTGCTCATTCATAAGATGCAGCTCCTCATCAGTTCAAGTTTGATTATTAGATTGCAGCAATTCAGTCATATCTTCAGACCCTACTTCTAATTCAATTTCTCTTGCTACTTTTACCACATCTGCAGTTACTTCTTCCTCTGAAGTCTTGAAACACTCCAAGTCATCCTTGAGGGTTGAAATCCACTTCTTCAAAACTCCTGTTAATATTGGTATGTTGACCTCCTCCCATGAATGTTCTTAATGGCATCTTGAATGGCGAATATTGTACAGAAAGTTTTCAATTTCCCTCACCCAGCTCAATCAGAGGAATCACTATGTATGGCAGCTGTAACCTTACCAAATGTATTTCTTAAACAATAAGACTTGAAATGACTCCTTAATCTATGGGTTGCAGAATCGATTTTGAAATCAAGTAATGGAACGCCTCTGGCTTTGCTCTTCTTGTTTATGATTGTTTTAACTATTTGGGTTTCCATGTAAATTTTTGGATCACGCATAATGAGCTCAGGAGGGAAGAGAAAGAACAAGTTATGGCTCAAGTGCATTAGTCTCTGTTCCTACTGAGATTTAGTAGATTTTTTAAAAATAAATATTTCCATTTTATTATACAAACTTAAAACAATTTCCATAAACTTTGGCTATTTTTTTGTAATTTTTCAGTTGTTATGGTTGTGCCATTGGGATGAGAGTGCTGCTCATTCCTCATGCTGCTGTTCTGGAAGCTGTATTTTAAGTCTTTTGGCTTAGGGCCACTATGGATATATTTCTGAGATACTAAGGGTACCACCAAAAAAGAATGTTCGGAAACCTCTATACTAGGACAAATTACTAAGCCCATTCATGTTTCAGAATTTACATCTTTAAAATAGATGAAGTATATCCTGACACATAAGAAACCAATAACAAACTTGGCTATGTGTTGTTTATATTTCATATGCTTGTTAGGAGGAAGTATATATGTAAAAATGCTGTGTAAAATACTGCAATCATTATTGTCTCTTTTAAACAAGTTTTCATATTTTACTTCATTTTGTTCCTGAACTCAACTTGATAATAAAATTATTGGTATAAAAGGTTCTATTTGTAGGGACCCATATGAACTCATACCTTTCTTGAGATTCAACATACAGAATATAAATACCAACCAGTAAAATAATAAATGATAATTAATTCCTCTGTATCACTTTAAGTCTGTGATCAAAGTAGAAGTCTAAGTTCATGATATCTCTTGTGGATTAAGACCCAGTAGGCACTGTTCTTCCAGTACTGCTCTTAGGGCCATCAGGAGTTAACATCCAATCACTATTCACCAGGATGTTCTTGGCTTTAATTATTATTGCTTAACTTTGGTTCATTTAGAACTGAATGCTAAAGTCCATGCAGCTTGAGTGTATGAAAACCTGTTTTATGACATGGAGAGTTTACTGCATTCACTTTTCTTAATTCATGTCAAACTTTCAAATGTTTTACTTGGTAGAAGTGGACCATAGGGTGTTGCATCTTTCCTAAAACACAATTTATCTGGAAGCATCATGAAGGAATGTTTTCTTAAATGCATTTTGGAAAATAAATTGTTCATCTTTTGGTCTTTATTTTACTACCAAGAAATTTTCCAACTCCAGTATTCAGGATCTATGACCAGAAAGCTAATACAAATTTTATTTTGTTTCTTCCCGGCAAAAAATATGCCTAAACAATTCAATTCAGAGTATGTTGAAAAGGCTTTTGTAACATATCTTTGAATTGCCTTTAAGCACGATAAAAACAGTTACTGCAATTTAGCGAGTGGAATTGAAGAAGCAAGAAAAGGAATAAAACTGATCATTAGTAATATGTTGGGGAGAGGAATAGGAGGCAAGGGATACAGGGAATAAACAATGGAAGATAAGGAGGAAAGTTTAAAAGTTAATGTGGCATGGATAACAATAATGACATTTGCGTGGTTTATAGAGAGTGTGTACATATGTCATTTGCGTGCCACTCTCCCTCTTCTAGTCACAGATCATTTAGCTGAAGAAAGAGGCACTCATATCCACTCTAACTACAACGTAAAGGAAGTTCATTATAAGGATCCTGAGGAATATCAAAGAATCCATTTGCCAGAATTAACATTGGAACTGGAAAGCTGTAGTTTCTTCTCTCTGACTTTGGGGTCATATATTCTTTTCTACTAGTGTCTTTCTTTCCACAAGTCTTACATACACCTCTGCAAATTGGTTATCTTTGCAAGACCTTCAGACCCTTTCCCTTTGTAATTTCAGCCATGTGGCTTTATCTTGCACAAATGCCAACTCTGACTCTCTTTTGCCATACATTTCCCTATCCCTTCCTCTTCATACCACATTGAGTCAGAATTAGAGACCTAACTCCAAATTCCACATAGAGAGAATAAAATTGGCTGAATTTGTATAAGCTATCTGTTCTTAGTTTAGTAACTATGGCTGAAAAAATGAAGCCTATGTTATGTCGGACTGTTCCTAGAGGGTCATAGATGGACCTGATTCTCTAAGAAGAGGATAGAAATACAGATATAATAATGGATATGTATCTTTGCATATCTTTGCATACCTATTATGTAATTTCTAGTAAACTCTTTGAGAGAAGAAATCATGTCTTAGGTATTTCTTTTCCTAATACCTGGAACAATTTCAGAATGAATGTTGAATAAAAAGGCTTCACTTTGAGGGCAGTTTGAATTTGTACCTCAGGGGGCATTGTTATTGATACAAATGAAGAAAAGATTCTAGGGCCTTCATTTTTGCTGGATGTCATCAAGGTAACTTTTGTTTTGGGGAAGTTGTTAATATTCTTTGGAAAGTAGACTTCTTTGAGCAAACTTTGAAGAGACTCTTTATACATGAGAATGGAGCAATAATCTCCCACCTATCCATTTTTGTTAACTAGTATTCCACAAAGTATTTTTAGTGTGTTTTTATGTTAAATTTTACACAGAACACAAATAAAATATATTAAAATAGAATGCATGTTTATAGCAGGTGTAAAAGGTTAAGTACTGCCCATTAATATTCTTCCATGTAGCTGCCAACAAGCCCTCTCCCAAATCTTGAGGCACCTCTATAAAATTCCAAGGGCTCTAAAGTTTTAAAACCACCACTTCTAGATTAGAAGCAAGGAATTCATTGTCTAACTTGCTTAATGCTTGAATATAGTTATAATTTTAAGTACATAAGAATGTGATACAAAATATTATTAAGACAGAAAGGGATTTTATTGTCTGTTTTCTTCCCCTTGCTGCCATGTCACTTAGGTATAAGATTCAAAAGCTAAAATATATTTATTCAATAAACATTAACTGACCATTGTTTGCTACATTCTTCATTTGACATAAAGGTGTGAATAAGACAGTCCTTAGTTATCATGTGTCGAGAGTCTATGTTAGAATTTTATGTAATGAGAACATTTTAATTTCATTATACTTAATACAAAATAGGCAGCATACTTAGAACCACCAATGGCAGATGAAATAGTAGATATTTTAGTATACAGGGTAAGTACAGGAGTTCAGATTCTTTCATTCTCATCTTTCTCCTGAACCATAGACATAAGATCATTTTTGATATAACCAGTAACTCTTCTGCTTTCTGTTGTCCTTTTGAGTCTCTCTCTCTGCCCAATATGACACAAAACACTAATTTCCCAACAAGGATGTCAAAATGCCCCAATATTTTAAATTTTATATCACTAGATAAGTGTAACAGTGTCATACTGAAACTAAAAGAAATACATAAGCTTATATTAAAGAGTATATTATTGGATTGTTTGGTAGGGAGCATACAATGCTGGAATATCAAAATATTTTTATAAGCAAATGAGTTTGTCTAAACCTAAGGCATCTTCATAGAACTATAGACATTAAAACTGAAAAGGAACTTAGAATTTATTGTAAGCAATGCAATTTCCTACCATATATCACTTCTTAATTTGCAATAAAATTTCAGGTTTTTCAGGGTGAAAATATGCCCAATATCATCCAATAAATCATAGCCTGCAAAAGTAACATCCCTCTAGTGGGCATTTAGAAATATTTGAGCAGATTTTTGACTGTCAAAGGGCTAAGAGATAGTATTGACATTCAGTGATCCTGGTCTATGGATGCTAAATGTCCTGGAATATACAGAATGATACTGCATAACAAAGATTTTTCCAGGCTAAAATGCTCCTGAGATCTCCAGTAAGAAACACTGGTTTAACCCAATCCCGATAATCACATTGCCCTTTTAATCTACCTTACTTTTAAATTAGTTTGGATATGTTACCTAATTCTGGATAGTGAGGTGTAATGGGAAGTATTACATAGGATGAGTGTGGTGGGAGGCTTTAGTACAAAATAATATCTCTTCTTATTACTTATAAATTAATATTATAAAGTAGACATCTATGACTTATTATTTACTCAATTATATGCATAATACTTGGAGCTATGGTGGCTTTCTTGCATCAAGGAAGACTAAAATCCACTGGCCAAATTTGAAGAGTAGACATATGATAGCATCTGGGTGTCTATTGATGTACATAATTCATATTTCTTGTTGTATGAGTGCTAGACTTATGTGGGAAAAATAAACACCTTGGCTGTTTAAGTAATTATCAGTTTAATTTTCAAGTACCTATGGTTAAAAACATTCTTGACTGATACTGCTATCATTTATTAATTACCTTACCTTTTTCTCACCGCCTTTATTTTATCTTTGAAAAAAATTAGGGGTCAGGCAGGTGTAGTTATCTAAAAAAAAAAAAAAAAAAAAAAAAGCCCTACTTATTTAATGGCAGAGTAGAACTACAGATATATTTTTTCCATTACTGATCTAGGATTATTAAACCATGTTGTATGCATTTTTTGCTTTAATTTCCTGAAAAATAATTGTGTATTTTGTAACTGCTTTCATTTGAAATATAAATATATCTGAGAAAAATAATAAACATGCCAGTTCATTAAAAATAATATTCTGAATGTGTTTTAAAGTTTAACTCCTCAACATGGCTCATCCTTTGATTTTTGAGCATTATAAAAATAGCCGTTCTTAGCAAGTCTTGCTTAATTCTGGTTCAACAAGTGTAAAATTCAAGGCAGCTGGTTTTAAGCAGAACAAGAACAAGGCAAATCTTCTAATCAAGTAGACTCATACAAAAAGAAATATTGTAAAATATAAAATATTTTAAATTGTAAAAGCATTTCTCATTTGCCAGTTGTTTGGCAAATATATAATTGAACAAACTTGGAAAATAGTTTGTATGGCTCTGACTTTGCAGTAAAAAAATACGCATAGAAAATAAAGCATCTTGATGATAGCAATGCCATAATTTTACTTATTCTTAAAGAGTTTATACTATGGAACAATCATTGCCTCTTCTGGGAAGATAATAGGACAGAGAGAAAAGTCAAAATATGATATTTTCTTAGAAAGATGATCAAAAAACAAGCACTTACATGGAGTTTTCAACTTTGTATACAACATAAAAGGCATAATCACTTAAACGTTTCCTATGCCTGGAAAATTCTGTTAAAAGTAAATTTTTATGATTGCAGAAGTGTAATATCCCTTAGAAGACCTAATGGAGATAAATTTGAAGCCTTCCAGTAAGTCACATTAGTTCAGCTTCCTGAAAGGTTGAAGGATGCTTCTTTTTTCACACACAATAAACAGGCTTAATGACAGCAAGATACAAGGGTATGTTGAAGCTGACAGGGTAATGACACATAATATGATTGATATAGAAGGGAAATTGTAATATTAGAACTGAGGCAGGTATGAGGGATTTTCAAGTTCAGTGTTTATCATTTTTAAATTGTTTCAGTGACTCCCTTAAATACAATGCATCATGGCCCCTAGTTTTCACTTATATTTTTCTTATTAAAAATAAATATGTAAAAACTTGAAACTAAATATACATTTCAAAAGCTTAAAGCTCTTATATACCCATAAAATAAATACCAATAAATGGCTGGACGCGGTGGCTCATGCCTGTAATCCCAGCACTTTGGGAGGCCGAGGTGGGTGGATCACGAAGTCAGGAGATTGAGACCATCCTGGCCAATGTGGTGAAACCCGGTCTCTACTAAAATACAAAAAAATTAGCTGGGTGTGGTGGCACATACCTGTAGTCCCTGCTACTCAGGAGGCTGAACCAGGAGAATCGCTTGAACCCAGGAGGCAGAGGTTGCAGTGAGCCAAGATCCTGCCACTGCACTCCAGCCTGGTGACAGAGCAAGACTCCGTCTCAAAAAAATAATAATAAATACCAATAAATATAAAACCGATAAAAATAAATGTATTGTGTAATATATAATGTTATTTTCCTGGGAGGAAATCATTAATATTGAGTTTAATACTAGAAAAATATAGTTTTGGGTAGGATTATTTAGTTAATCTGTTTCCATATTTTTTTTTACCTGAAATAGCATTGTTTATAATCACATGTTGGTGGTAAACTCTCATAGATTTTATCTGATGCTGTTTTAATTTTACCCTAATTCTTGAAAGATAATTTTACTGGTTCTATGATTCTAGGTAGAGAGACATTTCCTCTCAGGATTTTGAAGATAATATTCTACTCTTTTCTGGCTTTCATAGTCGCCATTAAGAAGTCTACAATGTAATTATCAAACTACAATAGATCTGTCTTCTTTTTGATGGCTTGTAAATATTCTTTGTTTTTGAGATTCTCTAGTTTCCTTGTTTTGCTGTAGACTCCTATTTATTTTTAAAATTTCATGGCCGGGCGCGGTGGCTCACGCCTGTAATCCCAGCACTTTGGGAGGCCGAGGCGGGCAGATCACGAGGTCAGGAGATCGAGACCATCCCGGCTAAAATGGTGAAACCCCGTCTCTACTAAAAATACAAAAAATTAGCCGGGCGTAGTGGCGGGCGCCTTTAGTCCCAGCTACTTGGGAGGCTGAGGCAGGAGAATGGCGTGAACCCGGGAGGCGGAGCTTGCAGTGAGCCGAGATCCCGCCACTGCACTCCAGCCTGGGTGACAGAGCGAGACTCCGTCTCAAAGAAGAAAAAAAAAAAAATTCTATTTAGAATCTATTGTGCTTGTGCTTCATATATGTGTATATATTTATATATATATATGAATGTGTGTGTGTGTGTGCGTGTATATATATATACATTTCTTTTCATCAGTTTTGGAAATTCAAAGCTGAATAGTTATTTAAATACTGCCTTTTCTTAAACCTCTTCTCCTGTGATTCCATGTAGATGAATAATGGACCTTTACATTCGATCCTGCAAATATTTAGTACTCCATAAATTCTGCATCACATTTACTTCCTTTGTAACATTATGAGTAATTTCTTTATCATCCACTTATTTTATTCTTAATTTAGTTAAATCTAAGGTGGTGGGCCGGGCACAGTGGCTCATGCCTGTAATCCCGGCATTTTGGGAGGCCAAGGCAGGAGGATCATAAGGTCAGGAGTTTGAGACCAGCCTGGCCAATATGGTGAAACCTCGTCTCTACTAAAACAAAAATGAGTTGAGTGTGGTGGCACGTGCCTGTAGTCCCAGCTACTTGAAGGCTGAGGCAGGGGAGAATCCCTTGAACCTGGGAGGCGGAGGTTGCAGTGAGCCAAGACCACACCATTGCATTCCAGCCTGGGCAATAAGAGCAAAACTCCATCTCAAAAAAAAAAAAAAAATTCTTAGATGGTGTTTAGCCATACATTTCTAATTTGACCAATTATATTTTATTACTCAGTTTGATATTTAATTTGATTCAATTCTTCCTGTTAATTTTTGATAACAAAATGTTGCTAGTTCTTATTTATGACATTATATTTATGTAAACATAGTTTTATGTATCTACCAGTAATTCTGTGGAATTCCCTTGCTGGTATAAAATATTATTTTGTTGTTCCTGCTAACTTATGAGGTCTCGTTTTTGTGGTGTTTCTAAGCATTATATATGAGTTCATATGTGGTTAATTTTAATCTGTGGAACATTTAAGGCCCTCATTTTAAGATGCTTTTTTTTTTTTTTTTGAGAAGATTGTATATTTTTTTCTGCTTAGACTTTTGGGGAATTACTGATCTTAGGGAAACTTATTCCCCTTTTAGGGTCCCAGGTAGTTTCTGGGAAGGTCAGATTTAATTTTTTCTCTTGCATAGCCATTGCTGGAAGTGTCAGGTTCAATTCTCCCTCTTGTCTTTCCAGACTAGTTACTGTGTTTGTTTACTTACTTGTTGGTTTATTTGGCTATTTGAAGATTTCTCTTAATTATTCTGAAAGCATTGATCTGAAAAAAAAAATGTATTTGCTGCAAGATCTAGTTCTACTGAGGAAGGGCCTCAGGGTTATTTAATCTACCAAAAGTGGCTGAAAGTGGAAGTTCCATAGTTTGTAGATTTTTTGCCACAGTTTTTTTTTTTTTTTTCAGCGTAGAACTGTAAGACTATGGAAATAAATTAGTAAATAATTCAAGTTTTAAAAATAGTACTGCTCTGAAAATACATGGGCTAAAATTCAATTTACTTAATTTTATATTTCATGTGAAATATATTGACATCTACTCATTGTAATCTTAGAATCAATCTATCTTAATGGCAAAAATTATCATGGAACTAATTCTTCCAAAGCTAACCGTTTAAAATCAGTATAACGCTCTCCATGGAACAGCCATGAGAAAACAACCTACCTGTTAGCAACCAGGCTTGCTTACCACACAAAATATACTGTAGTACTTGACTTTTCATTTATTTTAGAAAAACAAAAAAAATGTATTGAATGCTTTCTGTGTTTCAGGCATGTTCTCAGCTTGGTGGTTAAAAAGGTTAACAACACAAAGTTCATGGCCACATTGTAGTTACATTCCAGTGATGGAAGTCAGATAATATACAGTAAGCAAACAAATAAATAAATAGGACAAATTTAGAAATCAGGGCAATGAAGGAAATAAAACTGATTTATATGATATAGAGTGACTTAGAAGGAGTATAACTGACTATTTGGATTGTATTATAAGTGATGGCTTCCCTGAGGAGGTAGAAATTGAGATGCTGACCTCAGGGAGAGGGATTCTAACAAAGGCTCAGCAAGTGCAATGGTCCTGTTGGATAATGGAGCTTAGCATTGTAGGAGGAACAAAAGAATGCCAATCTGACTGCAGCATTGTGATCCACTGTTAAGAGTGTTAAGACATTAAAGAAACAGTCATGAAGGGAGATTTCAAAACCTTAGTAAAGAATTTGGATTATATTTTAAGTGCAGGGAAGGGACCTAAGAGAGTTTCAACAATGTGAGTGATTCTTTATATATTTACATTATTCATGTAATATATATTTATATTCTAATTCATAATCATAAGTAATATTTGATAATTTTATAATTATAATATTTCAAAATAGTATAAAAATGCTTAAAATGTATTTATAAATATCTTATAATTATTATATCAAATTATATCTCATATGAACCTAACACCTAGCACTGAAAATTGTTGAGCAGATGCCAGAGAAGGGAAGGGGTGTTATGAGCTAATTAAAAATCTGAAATGATATCTCTTTATAGATCATTTTCACCAAATAATATATACAGATAAATTATTTCAAGAATTCATTAGGCTATCTTTTTGAATAGTTTTATTTAGGTAAAACTGATATACAATAAACTACACATATTTAAATTGTGCAATTTGAGAAGTTTTGATGTGTACGTTTGTGAATTCATCATTACAATGTAATGAGATATTCATTACCTGCAAAAATTTCTTCATGACTTGTTTTAATTCCATTTTCTCACTCACCTTTCTAATCCCAGGTTACTACTGATCTGCTAACTTTTACTATTGATTAGTTCTGTCACTATAGATAAGAATTTTATATGAATGGAATCACTCAGTATGTACTCTTTAGTCTGACTTCTTTTGCCCAGCATCCATCCATGTTGTAGCAAGTTCAAGAGATTGTTCCTTTTTTATTGTTGAGTAGTGTTCCATTGGAAGGGTATATCACCATTTGTTTATTCATTCATGTGTCGGACATTTGGATTGTTTTCAGATTTTTGCAATTACAAAAAAGATGCTTTTAACATTTGCGTACAAGTCTTTGTATAGACATGTATGTTTATTTCTCTTAAATAAACACATAGGAATAGAATGGCTGGATTATTACTTTTTAAGAAACTGCCAAATTGTTTTCCAAGGTAGTTGTACCATTTTCATTCCCATCAGCAGTGTATGAGAGTTCCACTTCCTCTGTAACCCCAACGACACTTGGTATAGGCCGTCTTTTTAATTCTGGTCAGTCTACTAAGTATGTAGTGATATCTCATTGTTATTTAATTTTTATTTCTTTATTCACTAATGATGTTGATCTTTTTTATGTGCTTATTTGTTATCCATATATCTTCTATGGTTAAACATTTGTTCAAATAATTTTTTTGTTGTTTTAACCAATAGGCAATGGTGGCTTAGTATCAGATATTACAATAAAAGAATAATCTTTTTTATTTTTACTTTTTCTCATTCTCTCTTAGCATCATTTATTTATTAATCTATCTGTCAATTAACATGACATAAATGGGCAATTACAAAGTTTCAAGCACTGGGGATACATTGAAGAGTGAGACTCTGTACCTGCTCTCAATCAGCAGGTACAAAAAATGTTCATTAAAATCTAATGTATGGTCACACGTCACTTAATGATTGGGATACATTCTAAGAAATATGTCATAAGGCAATTTTGTTATTATGCGAACATCATAGAGTGTACTTACACAAACTTAGATGGTATTGCCTACTACACAGCTAGGCTATGATATAGGCTCTTGCTCTAGGCTGTCAGCCTGCAAGCATGTTACTATACTGTACTCAATACAGTAGACAATTGTAACACAATGGTAATTGTTTGTGTATCTAAACATAGAAAATGTACAGTAAAATATGGTATTATGATCTTATGAGACCACTCTTGTATATGTGGTCCATCATTTACCAAAACATCGTTATGCAGTGCATAACTGTGATTATAATGTATTCCTTTGACCTAGTATTTTGTAGTTTATGATTGATTTATGTGGATGCTTCCTATAAGGGAAAAGATTAAGAGATGATGCTATGCTACATAAGATTCTGCCTCAGCGTTCAGAGTTCACACTGCTCTTGGGAAAGAAAACAAAGAGCTGAAAAATATTGTAGCAGAAAGTAAGTTTAAAATAGAAAATATTAAAAGTAAGTCTCTATCAATACAGAGGATTTCCTGGAGGCACTGGGGACTTTTGGATTTGGGGAATTGATAAGATTTTTTAAGGCTTTTAATCTTTTAATTTAATGTAATTTAATTATTTTTAGAGACAGGGTCTCACTTTGTTGCCCAAGGTGGAGTGCAGTGGTGTGATCTTGGCTCATTGTAGCTTCGGCCTGCTGGGCTCAAGTGATCCTTCCACCTCAGCCTCCTGAGTAGCTAGGATGACAGGCACATGCTACCATGCCTGGCTTTTTTTTTTTTTTTGTAGAGAAGGGGTCTCACTATGTTATCTAGAGTGATAATTGTTTTTAATACATGAATAATATGAAGAGATATGATTAGTGAGGTGAGGAGCAGCAATATTTAAGTTTTTGAAGAGCAAGAAAATGCCGCGCCATTTGGACTGACTAGTTTCCTGGGAATCATGAGAGTTTAGGATACATAGTGTTATCCTGACCACAGACATGATAATAAGTGGGTCGTCATCTTATTTCAGATCATAGATGCCTCTGAAAGACTTATTAGTGAAGTATATAATTAGAGGATCTTAATCTTCTCAGAAATCATCATCACCTATAAATGCATGGTCTGAACATTTTTTAATAGCTTAGTGGGATTTTTAGCTACACCAGATTATCATGTAGATTTTATAACCTCGTTAAGGTACAGTGCTTAGCATAGAAACCAAGACAGGGGACCGAGTTTCCCACGAAAATATTTATTTTTAACCTTACAGACATCTTTATACTCTACTCTGCTCTTAGAATTTTACTTTTTCTTTTGCTTCACCCTGTGATAGATAAAACAACATTCTGAAATGCTAGGGAAGTACAAACTCTGGCCTCTTAGGGTAGGAAAATTTTTTCAGTCTGTGCATGCTCTAGGCTGGACTGAATGCTAAGTGCTTTACCTTACAAACTTGCTGGAGAAAAGGAGAATCTACTTTATCTATCAGTTCAGAAAGTCAGAAGGCATGGGGTATGTGATCCTAACAATATTTATTCTAACGGAATAGGCTAGGAGATACGGAAGCTTTAAGATGAAGGTCACTCACTCACTAATACATAGGGATTTTTGTTGTTGTTATTTTGTCCTGTTAGTTCCCTCTCTCTCTCTTTTTTTCTGGTGATATGATAAAGTGTTCCAGTGCTATCAACTCACTACAGTAGGACCTTGAAAGAACAAACTACAGAAAGAAATAATTGCTTATAGCTTCCTGTTTTCTGCAATTTCAAATACAGACTTTAAAAAAGATTATCATCAGACAGTATTCTATGGTATATCAGTATGACAAGGGGTTTCTATTACAATTGGTGACAAATGTTCACTCGAAGAAAGAAAGCTTATTATAAGCAACATATTTAATTTAATATTTGATAGTAATGTTTTAATTTGGTATTTAAATTAATACTGAATTTAATTTAATTTTGAATTATTAATTATAAATTCATGCAAATAAATTTGTTCATAATACCAAAATAACTAATACTGGAGGATAAATGAGACAAGTTTAGAAACATATATACAGGCAGATACATACCATGTGATGGAAGATAGATTAAAAAAACTTCCCAAGGTATGGGAAAATATTATCAATTCATATATACAGGCAGATACATACCATGTGATGGAAAATAGATAAAAAAAAACTTCCCAAGGTATGGGAAAATATTATCAATTCATACCCCATGGATTAATTGGATAATATCAGACCAATTCATATCATAGAACAGTAAGTCCTCTCTTAACATAATTGATAGGTTCTTTAAAACTGTGACTTTAATGGAAATGATGTATAAAGAAGTCAATTTAACAATACACTAATTGATATAAACAAGATTTAAGTTCCTGCAGCATATTTTTGGTCACAAAAACATCACCAAACTTCTAAATAAAATCTCTAAGCACTTCTAATATTAAACAATAAAATAATTGTGAGCTATACATAAATTTAAGAAAGATTAATAAAAACAAGCAAAATCATTATTTACCCAGTTTTTACAGTTCAGGGTCATGGGTGGCTGTTGTTTATTCCAGCAGCTCAGGGTCCTAGGCAGGAACCAGATCTGGACAGGATGCCATTCTGTCACAGGGCACACTCACACACACACCCCACTCACTCATACTGGGGCAACTTAGACATGCCAGTTAACCTAACTTGCACATCTTTGGGATTTGGGAAGAAATCATAGTACTTAGAAAAAATCCACGCAGACGTGGGGAGAATGTACAAATACCATACAGACAGTAGCCCCAGTAAGAATCAGTTTTTTCTCATTATAATAAAATGGATGCTATTCAAGAACCTGTGATAGTTATCTTCTGAAGAGCA
This sequence comes from Homo sapiens, assembly GCF_000001405.40. Lineage (NCBI taxonomy): Eukaryota > Metazoa > Chordata > Mammalia > Primates > Hominidae > Homo > Homo sapiens. The sequence continues at coordinate 174,705,387 of NC_000003.12, forward strand.
TAATTTGTCCTGTGACATATCTCAGTCCATGCATATAACTTATCATTACACAGTTACAATATATTCCAGGACACATTACCCATGAAAGAAATATTCCTTTAAAAATTCCAGTTCTGGGCCGGGCGCGATGGCTCACGCCTGTAATCCCAGCACTTTGGGAGGCCGAGGCGGGTGGATCACGAGGTCAGGAGATCGAGACCATCCTGGCTAACACGGTGAAACCCTATCTCTACTAAAAATACAAAAATTAGCCGGGCGTGGTGGTGGGCGCCTGTAATCCCAGCTACTCGGGAGGCTGAGGCAGGAGAATGGCGTGAACCCGGGAGGCGGAGCTTGCAGTGAGCCGAGATCGCGCCACTGCACTCCAGCCTGGGCGACAGAGCGAGACTCCGTCTCAAAAAAAAAAAAAAAAAAATGTCAGTTCTGGGTCTCTTAAATTATCAGTGTTGGATAAGATGAGAGTTGGATATGTGATCCAGTTTTAAGTGATTTCCCAGGGTGATGCATATAGGTATTAGCAAAAAGTCTAGAATTCAGGTCTCATGATCCCTACTTTGGTGTTCTTTTCATTACAATACTCCTCTTCCCAACTTCTATTTAATCCCCATCTCCACTTTTATAATTTCTCTCTACGTGATCAACAAATAAATTCAATACAGAGTTAAATTTAGCCAAAGGAAGTGCTTGCTATCTGAAATAATTTGTATTAGTAAAAGTTTAATGTAAACACATGTAAAACAACAATAAAAATTTTGTTATAAAACTCTCACATACACAATCGTCTTTTGACAGAAATGAAAATAATGTTTAATAGGGAAAGAATAGCTTTTTCAAAAAATGGTGCTGGGGCAACTAAATATCCATGTGCAGAAGAATGAAGTTTGATCTCTACCTCATACCAAACACAAAAATTAACTCAAAATGTATTGCAGGCCTAAATTTAAGAGGTAGAACCATAAAACATTTGAAGGAAAACATAACAGTAGAAATCCTCATGATTTTGGGATCTACAGTGGTTTCCTAAATTTGATACCAAAAGCACAAACAACAAAAGAAAGAATAGATACATTGTACAATATCAAAATTAAAATTTTGTCCTCTAAAGAACACTCATGAAAGTAAAAAAGCTCACTTAGATTCTGGATATTAGCCCTTCGTCAGATGACTAGATTGCAAAAATTTTCTCCTATTCTGTAGGTTGCCTGTGCACTCTGATGGTAGTTTCTTTTGCTGTGCAGAAGCTCTTTAGTTTAATTAGATCCCATTTGTCAATTTTGGCTTTTGTTGCCATTGCTTTTGGTGTTGTAGACATGAAGTCCTTGCCCATGCCTATACCCTAAATGGTATTGCCTAGGTTTTCTTCTAGGGTTTTTATGGTTTTAGGTCTAACATTTAAGTCTTTAATCCATCTTGAATTAATTTTTGTATAAGGTGTAAGGAAGGGATCCAGTTTCAGCTTTCTACATATGGCTAGCCAGTTTTCCCAGCACCATTTGTTAAATAGGGAATCCTTTCCCCATTTCTCATTTTTGTCAGGTTTGTCAAGAACTCAAACAAATTTACAAGAGAAAAACAACCCCATCAAAAAGTGGGTGAACGATATGAACAGACACTTCTCAAAAGAAGACATTTATGCAGCCAACAGACACATGAAAAAATGCTCATCATCACTGGCCATCAGAGAAATGCAAATCAAAACCACAATGAGATATCATCTCACACCAGTTAGAATGGCAGTCATTAAAAAGTCAGGAAACAACAGGTGCTGGAGAGGATGTGGAGAAATTGGAACACTTTTACACTGTTGATGGGACTGTAAACTAGTTCAACCGTTGTGGAAGACAGTGTGGCGATTCCTCGGGGATCTAGAACTAGAAATACCATTTGACCCACCAATCCCCATTACTGGGTATATACCTGAAGGAATATAAACCATGCTGCTATAAAGACACATGCACACGTATGTTTATTGTGGCAATATTCACAATAGCAAAGACTTGGAACCAACCCAAATGTCCAACAATGATAGACTGGATTAAGAAAATGTGGCACATATACACCATGGAATACTATGCAGCCATAAAAAAGGATGAGTTCATGTCCTTTGTAGCGACATGGATGAAGCTGGAAACCATCATTCTCAGCAAACTATTGCAAGGACAGAAAACCAAACACCGCATGTTCTCACTCATAGGTGGGAATTGAACAATGAGAACGCCTGGACACAGGAAGGGGAACATCACACACTGGGGCCTGTTGTGGGGTGGGGGGAGGGGGAGGTATAGCATTAGGAGATATACCTAATGTGAATGACGAGTTACTGGGTGCAGCACACCAACATGGCATATGTATACATATGTAAAAATCCTGCACGTTGTGCACATGTACCCTAGAACTTAAAGTATAATAAAAAAAAATTTTAAAAAAGGACATCAAAATTGAAAGTCCAAAGCACAAAAAAAAAAGCTCACTTAACAAGGGAAAATATTTGCACATCATGTATCTGGTAAGGGAATATGAAAAAGTATGTATTTATAGACATAAATAGTTTTATAAACATGGATAGTTCCATAAACATACTAATATTTAGTGGGATGCTAGCTGCATTCCATTTCATCACTTTCTTTTACTTCAATACAAAAAAAATCTCTAGCTTAACATTCTAATAATTTTAAATTATCCATAATCTAAGGAACCATAGCCAATTTGCCAACAATTGCCATTTGGAAAGATAAATCAGTGATTATAACTAGTTTGTATGGTTTGACTCATGTTATTTCCTGTCTCTTTTCTACCTACATCTCTACCTCCCCTTATCTGTCAATGGGAAGCTATGGGTATGATAAATGGAAGAGACAAAATGGGCATTTAGCTCATTTTAGCAAAGTAATGAGACTTTCCATTGGGAAACTCCCCTCAATCAAACAGAATATTGTTTAAGTTATTGCTACATACATAGTTTACTGCTTGCCAATATGTTTGTTTCTTTGAAGTTTGCATGCTTGATCCATTTGAGAACTAAGGAATTAATGAGTGATATATCATTTATTCCACTTTTTAGATAAACATTTTATGCAGATTATGATAAATTTAAATCTGTAAAGCTGATCTTCTGAGAAATTTCAGTAATTCGTTAGGGACCATTATGTTTGTGAACTCATAATTATAAAATTACATTTTGTAAATGGTGAAACCCAAGTTTATAAATTTTATGAGTCAAATGCTATAAAGATAGTTTATGTTTGTTTGTAAATTTGTCCTTCAAAATATATCTATGTTGGTCAAGAGAAATAGGATTTGACTTACCTTACATATGAATTCTTTTTACAATGACCTTTTCAGGTTTCCTTGAATTAATAGCATTTTATCCAATTTTCTTGTGTTTAGACCTAGGAATTTAAAGGAGTTAAAATTTGAACTTTAAAGGAGGCATCTTAGAAATATTGAAGAGGAAAGGAATTTTCCATGATTAAATTTTCATTCCAGTGGGTTTTGCTTTTGCCTAGGAATGATTTTAGTTTTTAAATAAAGTCCATTCTTTGAATCAGATCTTTTGGAATATTTTTCTCATTATAGTGGAGAAGACCTAGTCCTTAATCTTTACTTCTCAACCCAACATGATTCAAATTATTTTATATTCCCCAAACAAAATTCAGGCATTCATAATATAGGTACAACATCATATGGTGCTTGATGTATATAGTTATTTATTCCTTTATTTAAATATAGTCTCATTTGCCACAGGATTTGAGATAACCTTGAACACAGTGTGAAGAACAAGGAATATTAGTAGAATAGAAATACAGACAAGGTAAAAGAAAAATACAAACTTGCTGTCCTAAGGTCAGACATATTCATTATAGTTGGTAGTTGAATATGGCTCTGAACTTCCTTGCAGTCAAAGTAAGAAACGGTACTTTGTGTCTTTCATCATGTTCATTGTTATAATATAAAAATATATCCACTGCTAGCTCTTAATTCTCAAAGTAGTTTCTCATAGAGAGCTTTACATAGGAACTGGCAAATGATATAGTAATGAATTTTCTGTAGTGACAAATTTCTTTAATTAAAGAAGGCCTAACACTGAAAAACAACTCCAAGAAGATGATTCTGGGTTTCTAAAGTTAATATTATCAAAATTTGTATTCTTAAGGTGATATGGCTTGATCTATGGAAATAATACAGAACATATAGAAGAGTGGCTAGGCTTTAGTTTCTACAAATCATCTTTCATAAACCTAATTTATCAGAGGAATAAAAAAATGTTTATAGACTGGAGACAGATAAGATAAAAATCTTGATATATTAGCGATTCTGGTAAGCTTTAATATTATTTGCAGAAACTACTAGACACTAGCAACCATATTTACCTCCTGGAACTTTTCAGTAGCCAGTTTTGGAAAAAGAATGTGAATATTCAGAAATGTTAAGATGGACTGGCTACTGTTCTTTCTCAGATGTTGGAGGGCCGTATAGTGGAAATTTGTTCCTTTTTGTAATGAATCATTGTTCTCACAAATTGAATGTGACTAACTTCAATGTGTGTGTCCTTTCATTCAAGGTGTATATCATTTATAAGGCCTTTGTTTATAAATAGCAGAGAATGTGATTCACACTGATTTAAAAATTGAAGTGAATGTATTGGCTTATATGGTAGGCAGAATTCTAAGAAGATATTCTGTGATTCTTAGTCCTCGGTGTATACTGTCTCCTAGTTAATTGGTTAAACTTGAATCTAGGTACTGCTGTGAAAAGATTTTGCAGATATAAATAAGATCTCAAATCAGTTGACCTTAAAATAGGGAGACTATCTGGATGGTAGTCAACTAGTCATATGAGCCTCCTTTTTTTTTTTTTTCTTTTTCTTTTCTTTTTGTTTTTTTTTTGAGACCGAGTCTTGCTCTGTCGCCCAGGCTGGAATGCAGTGGCGCGATCTCGGCTCACTGCAAGCTCTGCCTCCCAGGTTCATGCCATTCTCCTCTCTCAGCCTTCGGAGTAGCTGGGATTACAAGAATGCACCACCACACCCGGCTAATTTTGTATTTTTAGTAGAGACGGGATTTCTCCATGTTGGCCAGGCTGGCCTTGAACTCCAGACCTCAGGTGGTCTGCCCGCCTTGGCCTCCCAAAGTGCTGGGATTACAGGCATGAGCCACCGCCTCCGACCCTCATATGAGCCTTTTAAAATTTTTTTCTCTGCCTAGTTGCAGACGAGGAAGTTAGTGATGAGGCACAAGAAAGATTTCAGGCAAAACTGCCCTCTTGAAGATGGAGGGGGCCATCTGGCAAAGAATGCAGGCAGCCTCTGCGAGCTGAGAGAAATTCCTAGCTGATAGCCAGCAAGGAAATAGGGACCTCTTTCCTACAACCACAAGGAGCTGAATCCTGCCAGCAACAAGAATGAACTTCTTGTTGATGAAATGCATTTTTTCCTAGAGCTTACAGAGAATTACTCAGCCTAGCGAGAGCCTTGATTTCAGCCTTGCTATTTACTGAGTATGATGTTTATGCTGAATTTTTGATCTACAGAACTGTGAGCTTATAAATGGGTATTGTTTGAAGCCACTGTTTGTGGTAATTTGTTATGCAGCAATGGAAATCCAACACAGCCACATCAAAGAAAATTCTAGTGATAGGGTGATTTTTCAGTGCAATTTATAAGAGTTCTGGCTCCTTTCCTATGAAATTCTCATGTCTATGTCCCCATGTTTTCCTCTTGGGGGAAAACTGGCTGTAGGAACTCTGGTTTCAAATCCATATACTACACTTCCAGAAGTAAAGAAATAGCCTTTTACCTTATTCAGCACATATTATTCCCCAAGTCACCTTGATGATTCAGACTGGTCAAACTAATGAGAAACCTGGCACTGGATTAAAGAGGCAACATTGGAAGCCACATTTTGAGAAGGCCACTTGAGTGAGCTCATATCAAATTTTATACAAAATTTTCCATCCCTCCACCCACCTCCATGCAGGTAAAAGCGGTTCTTATGAGAGGAGCCTGTTTGTATTTACTAACTCCATAATAACAGGAGAATTATGCTTCCCACTTACACTTCCACATATAGTTAAGTAAGTAGAATGCCTAGATTTTCTATTTCCAGGAAAGTACAAGGATTTTATTTCAAATACTTGGCTCTGGCCTTTTCTAATTTCTTTACTCATTAAGGGTAAACTTCCAAAGTGTGTTCATTTCAGATTAAAATCAGACTTTAGTCCTTTCTATTCTTCAGTGGCAACCTTTATTCTCCCCAAATTATAGGCCATTTAGTTTACTAGATATTCTGTCCAGACTATGTGTTTGTTTGTTGGTAAATCACAAGCATTGGATTCTCAGGCTAATATTCTGCATGAGGTTTCTGTATCTCTGTATTTTATTATAGTGCAAGGAACATTTCAAGATAAACATATGAATTTTTGTTTGTTTGTTCTTGAGAAAGTCTCTTTCTGTTGCCCAAGCTGGAGTGCAGTGGTGTGATCTCAGCTCACTGTAACCTCTGCCTCCTGGGTTCAAGAGATTCTCTTGCCTCAGCCTCCCGAGTAGCTGGGACTACAGGCGCATGCCACCACACCTGGTTAATTTTTGTGTTTTAGTAGAGACGGGGTTTCACAGGCTTGTCTCGAACTCCTGACCTTGTGATCCACCCACCTCGGCCTCCCAAAGTGCTGGGATTACAGGAGTGGGCCACCGCGCCCTGGCCTAACATATGAATTTCTTTTGCAGATCTGATTGACTTCTTTCTCACCCTTGTCCCCAAACATAAACTCATTATTAGCTAGACTGGATGAGTTATTGATTCTCAATATAATCTTAAAACTACTTTGAGAACCTAGATTTGTCTGAATGGTATCTTGATAGATTATTTAATAATTTCTAATGGGATAAATAAGGGTACGTCTGGCTCCTCTTCTTAACGTATCCTAATGCTATGATAATAATTTCAAGAAAGGTCTACTCATATGTTCCCTATTAACAGTCTCACTTCTCCTCTTCTTTTTTTTTTTTTTTTTTTTTTTTTGAGACAGAGTCTTGCTCTGTCACCCAGGCTGGAGTGCAATGGCGTGATCTTGGCTCACTGCAAGCTCCACCTCCCGGGTTCATGCCATTCTCCTGCCTCAGCCTCCCAAGTAGCTGGGACTACAGGCACCTGCCACCAGGCCCAGCTAATTTTTATACATTTAGTAGAGACGGGGTTTCACCACTGTAGCCAGGATGGTCTCGATCTCCTGACTTCATGATCCACCCGCCTCAGCCTCCTAAAGTGCTGGGATTACAGGCGTCAGCTACCGCGCTCGGCCTCACTTCTACTCTTAACCCAGCAGTATTTCATGTAAAAGAAGAAGATATTCCTTTGATTTTAGAACAATGACACTTTTTTTTATCTTTAATATTTTGGTGTATTTCTTTCTTTATATTTATTTATTTTTAATTATACTTTAAGTTTTAGGGTACATGTGCACAACGTGCAGGTTAGTTACGTATGTATACATGTGCCATGTTGGTGTGCTGCACCCAGTAACTCGTCATTTAACATTAGGTATATCTCCTAATGCTATGCCTCCCCCCTCCCCCAACCCCACAACAGGCCCCAGTGTGTGATGTTCCCCTTCCTGTGTGCAAGTGTTCTCATTTTTCAATTCCCACCTATGAGTGAGAACATGCGGTGTTTGGTTTTTTGTCCTTGCAATAGTTTGCTGAGAATGATGGGTTCCAGATTCATCCATGTCCCTACAAAGGACATAAACTCATCCTTTTTTATGGCTGCATAGTATTCCATGGTGTATATGTGCCACATTTTCTTAATCCAGTCTATCATTGACGGACATTTGGGTTGGTTCCAAGTCTTTGCTATTGTGAATATTGCCACAATAAACATACGTGTGCATGTGTCTTTATAGCAGCATGATTTATAGTCCTTTGGGTATATACCCAGTAATGGGATTGGTGGGTCAAATGGTATTTCTAGTTCTAGATCCCTGAGGAATCGCCACACTGACTTCCACAACGGTTGAACTAGTTTACAGTCCCACCAACAGTGTAAAAGTGTTCCTATTTCTCCACATCCTCTCCAGCACCTGTTGTTTCCTGACTTTTTAATGACTGCCATTCTAACTGGTGTGAGATGATATCTCATTGTGGTTTTGATTTGCATTTCTCTGATGGCCAGTGATGATGAGTACTTTTTCATGTGTCTTTTGGCTGCATAAATGTCTTGTTTTGAGAAGTGTCTGTTCATATTGTTCACCCACTTTTTGATGGGGTTGTTTTTTTCTTGTAAATTTGTTTGAGTTCATTGTAGATTCTGGATATTAGCCCTTTGTCAGATGAGTAGATTGCAAAAATTTTCTCCCATTTTGTAGGTTGCCTGTTCACTCTGATGGTAGTTTCTTCTGCTGTGCAGAAGCTCTTTAGTTGAATTAGATCCCATTTGTCAATTTTGTCTTTTGTTGCCATTGCTTTTGGTGTTTTAGACATGAAGTCCTTGCCCATGCCTATGTCCTGAATGGTATTGCCTAGGTTTTCTTCTAGGGTTTTTATGGTTTTAGGTCTAACATTTAAGTCTTTAATCCATCTTGAATTAATTTTTATATAAGGTGTGAGGAAGGGATCCAGTTTCAGCTTTCTACATATGGCTAGCCAGTTTTCCCAGCACCATTTATTAAATAGGGAATCCTTTCCCCATTTCTTGTTTTTGTCAGGTTTGTCAAAGATCAGATAGTTGTAGATACGTGGCATTATTTCTGAGGGCTCTATTCTGTTCCATTGGTCTATATCTCTATTTTGGTACCAGTTCCATGCTGTTTTGTTTACTGTAGCCTTGTAGTATAGTTTGAAGTCAGGTCGCGTGATACCCCTAGCTTTGTTCTTTTGGCTTAGGATTGACTTGGCAATGTGGGCTCTTTTTTGGTTCCATATGAACTTTAAAGTAGTTTTTTCCAATTCTGTGAAGAAAGTCGTTGGTAGCTTGATGGGGATGGCATTGAATCTGTAAATTACCTTGGGCAGTATGGCCATTTTCATGATTTTGATTCTTCCTACCCATGAGCATGGAATGTTCTTCCATTTGTTTGTATTCTCTTTTATTTCATTGAGCAGTGGTTTGTAGTTCTCCTTGAAGAGGTCCTTCACATCCCTCATAAGTTGGATTCCTAAGTATTTTCTTCTCTTTGAAGCAGTTGTGAATGGGAGTTCACTCATGATTTGGCTGTTTGTCTGTTATTATTGTATAGGAATGCTTGTGATTTTTGCACATTGATTTTGTATCCTGAGACTTTGCTGAAGTTGCTTATCAGCTTAAGGAGGTTTTGGGCTGAGACGATGGGGTTTTCTAGATATACAATCATGTCATCTGCAAACAGGGACAATTTGACTTCCTCTTTTCCTAATTGAATATCCTTTATTTCCTTCTCCTGCCTGATTGCCCTGGCCAGAAATTCCAACACTATGTTGAATAGGAGTGTTGAGAGAGGGCATCCCTGTCTTGTGCGAGTTTTCAAAGGGAATGCTTCCAGTTTTTGCCCATTCAGTATGATATTGGCTGTGGGTTTGTCATAGATAGCTCTTATTATTTTGAGATATGTCCCATCAATACCTAATTTATGGAGAGTTTTTAGCATGAAGAGTTGTTGAATTTTGTCAAAGGCCTTTTCTGCATCTATTGAGATAATCATGTGACAATTTTTAAGGTAAAAAACTGGAAATGGCCCTTATTAGTCAATCGGCTTTTATATATGATTGCTGCCTAGACAAGAAGGTTTAAGATAAATCTATCCAAATCCAAATCAATTCTGGAAACTGTTTTTCAATATATCACCTAGTTATACCTTCCAACTATTTTTTTAGGCTAGTTCTTTTAGATATCTAGGCACATATTTTACAACCAGTTTATTTTAGCAGGTTCATCAGAGGTTATATTGCATAAGTTTAGAAATTGTATGGGTATAGTGTTGTATATATGTTAATTATTTGTGCTTCCAATGTTTTACCAGACAGATTAAAATAATCAGTATTACTTATTCATTAATGGAATAAGCCCAGGATTCATTTCTTAAGATAATACTGGTGGTAGACTCACATATTTTGTTAACTTATCCCTGGGCTTAGATTGAGAAGCCTGTTTAAATATGGATAGGCATTCTCACATTTCACTGGAGAATGGGTTTCCTCTTTTCAGTCTTGCTGTCAGTGGGACATATTAAATCTGTCATTTACAGCCAATAATCAGCAAAAGCCCAGTTTCAAGAAATGCTGTTTATAATTCAGGACTAAGTCAAATGGTTATAGAAAGCATTCTTGCATTGTGTTGTTTGGGGTCTTTCCCAATCCTTTAAGGATGAATGTGTTAGAAGGTATTATAGTAAATAGACTAACAAAACATGTTACTGTCCTTACTTTGTATCTGGGATAGAGGGGTGGTGTGGGGTGAGTGTGTTGTGGATAAAACTTTTCACACCAGGCTTATTACAGGTATTTTTCTAGGTTTCAGTTCTAGGATTATCTGCAATTTTTCTAAGAAACTGGTGTGTTTTATTTTTTGTAGAATATGAATGGCATAATTCATTACATTTTTTTCTTTCCTTTGATTGCTAAAATGCTCAGTCTAATTTTTTGTTCTTCTCATGTTTGCATGCATCTTACTTTCAATAGTTTACCAGTTTTAGTCCTAGCATTTGACATTTTCTACTTTTATTCTTCCTGTGACTCCATTTACTCATTCACTTTTTATCTCATCATGTAGAATATCCTTAACAAATAGAATATCCTTAATTATATCATCCTCTATTGGGAAAGATCATATTCTCTGATGAAGGGCACAGCTCTAGAAACACTATCCATTGACAGGTAAGTCAGAAAGGCATACCTGTTTGACCAGCCAGATCAGCCAACTAACCAGATATGCATGTATCTAAGGAAGACTACTGTCACATCTAGTACTCATTGTATTTTTTGCTTATTTTGTTTTGTTTTGTTTTTCCACCAAAGAGGGCTAGTCTCACACCTTTTAAATAAGGAGGCCTGTATACAGGGTTCCAAATATGATAATATGCAATTTTGGTGTTCCAAATTAATACAGTCTATATCAGTAAAAGAGAAACTCTCATTTTTGTTACATTTCTAGGTTTATATAATATAAATATATAGCAACTAAAATTTAGGTGCCTGTATTTTTTATTGCATTATAATAGTGGGGAATACATTAATAGAATTATTTTCCACCTTAGGGCTTTACAAAAAAATATTCCAGGCTAAGATTAAAAAAAAAAATAGACCCTGTCTCAGTTCCATGTGATTATAATCTCTGTGTGTACAGGCTGGACATGTGTGTATATACATATATATCCACACACCTACACACATATATACTATAATGTATACAAAATCTCCATAGAAGATTCTAATGTACAGTTCGGTATGAAAAATACTTTGTTAATAATGTATGATTATATTAACATATAATCAATATGTTATTGAAAGCCTAGCTCCAGAAGACAGCTTCATTTCTGAATTGTGGAAGAAAAAATACTGGTAGTTCTCTGCATAGTTGAGACATATTAATATTCTCTAAGACACAAGTAAAGAAAATAAGTGTAAAATTTTAGAATTGTTTTTTTTCCAAAGACCTTGTTTTGTATAGAAACAGAGAAAACTTCAGTACATTTGTTTTTGTAATATGAGAGTTGAAAATGACTTTTCTTCCTCAATGTTCTGAAAACCTAGACTGTTTAAGGCAGATATCTTTAGAACTGAGATTTTACTTTCTGAATACTAATCTGAAGAGTTTTGTGGTAAGAAAAGGGAGGAAAGAGAACAGATCTTAAAGCATCATCTACCTCTCTCTTCCTGGTGACTCTCTATTTTTTTAATTGTGTCAAGTCCCAGAGAGACTCATTATAAAGCTGAGATTGAAGGAAGTAATTAATTCAGGAAGGTTGATATTGGTTTTGATGCACCAGAGACTTTCAGTTTGTCGGCTGAAGTGTGAAAATAATGCTGTGCACTGCAAAATAGGAGGGAAAAATGTCATGCCGGTCTTTTTGTACACATCTAACTATGTACACATTTTAAAATACCTTCCATTTGTAAGAAAACCAATCTTAATTAGAAGAAGACTGGAAAAGATCAAATACTTAATCCTTCAGTTTAGTAGGCCAAATGTGTGCTTTCAGAGACCCATGACAAAAGGTGCCTAAGATTTTTTTCTTACAATTCTAGACTGTAGTCTCAGTATAGTAATTACATTTTAAGGATCTATATTTCATGTATCATTAGCAACCGCCTCTTCAAAATGATTTCAAATGCTCATGATTTCCTTCTGGAATATTAAATATGTAGTAAGAAATGATGCTTAAGAGCATTTCCTTGTACATTTAGGAATTGTATTTTTTTTTCTCCTGAGTCCATTGATATATGTGCAATTCACTTTTAAAAATACCTTTTACAAGAAGTTTCCTCCTTGGCCGGGCATGGTGGCTCATGCCTGTAATCCCAGTGCTTTGGGAGGCTGAGGCGGGCAGATCACCTGAAGTCAGGAGTTCGAGACTAGCCTGACCAACATGGTGAAACCCCCACCTCTCCTAAAAATACAAAAAAACTTGTCGGGCGTGTTGGGAGGCGCCTGTAATCCCAGCTACTTGGGAGGCTGAAGCAGAAGAATCGCTTGAACTGGGGAGGTGGAGGTTGCAGTGAGCGCTCCAGCCTGGGTGATAAGACCTATATTGTGTCTCAAACAAACAAACAAACAAACAAAAAATGAAACAAAAAGGAAATCTCCTCCTTTAATGATAAGATATGCCATTGAAAAATTCTGCAATGAAGCATTCTATTTTTGGGGCTTATTTATCTTTCCCATTTTTTATCTGGATGTAAGATCACATATTATTTAAATGTTTACAATTATTTTAACAATTTATATCATTGACCTTGATTGAAGACCATTCTGCAAGTAAAGTATTTGAGATTATTACAAAAGCTAAAATAGGAGGTTACAGTCATGATCTGTACAACTCTAAATGAAATCATAGACAGGTAGAACATACCTTCTACAGGTCAGAGTTCATACCTTCATTATTTTATTGACACAGAAGCTGAGAGTCAGAGAGGTGAAATCATGGTAATGGAGCAATTAATAGCAGAACTAGGATGAGAAACCATCTTCCAAAAAGTAGAAGAAAATAACCTTTTATTATGTCCAATTTTTGCCCTAGGAGACTGACATTGTTCTCTCTACTTAACAAGATAAGGAAACTGAGGTCCAGAGAGATTAAGCAACTTACCTAAGTTTCCCAGGATGGTGAATTTCAGAATTTGGATTAGATCCATTCTCTAAATCCAGGGCTGTATCTTCCCAAAGCCTACAAAATAGCAATTCTCTTACAGTCACAGTACTTGCCGCTCCCTTTAGTCGGCACAAATATCAGTAGAAGGCAACAAATGATATTCTTTTAGGCAATAGTATTAAATAAGTCAGCAGATTATAATACTTGGATCCAGTGAGAGCAGTAAGAAGTTATAGGAAAGAAAATCATTGGAAAAAAAATGCAGTCTTTTTTCCTTATCCTTTAAAACAATCTTTTCCTGCTTCTGGTTGTTCTTGAAGCCATTCTGTACAGGGAATAATAACCACCCACACCTGAGAAATCTCTGATGTTATCACTCCATAGACTGTTGCTGCACATGAAGACGACTTCTCATTAAGAAAGGTGGTTTATATTCACCATGCTTCATTTGCTCTAACATCCTGTAATTTATTGAAAATAATTTTATAAAAATGTTAAAACTCATATTTAAAAATATTCAGGTTATTTGAGAAATTAACATTTGTACCACCTCTCATATAGATGGCACTAGGTAACATTAACAGTTGACATGCATCAACTTTCTTTTGAAAAATATCCCATCTCTTTATACTTTTATGTGAAAAAAATATAGAGGTCAAAAACATATTCTGTTTGTAAATGGCCATATGCAGGTTTTCTTTTTCTTCAAGCCATAAGTTTATTACAATTGTGATTTTAAAAGTTGTAGATTTTCTTGATTTCAAAAGAGGTATATAACTTTAATGCCTATGTGCTATAAGTTCATGGATTCTTATGTTTTCTATATTTTGTAAATGAAGGACTTAGCAACCAAGAAGCTTAAGTGACTAACAAAGATTTCACAAGCTGTAACTCACGTATACTCCCTAATATTAGCATGCAAGTGTTGTTAGTATATATCATGACTGTTTGTTAAATCTTTTGATTATTTGTTCACTTTTAATTTTAACCATAAACACAGTTAGGAGCAAAGTGGGAAAGAAGCAATATCCTCTGGAATTTGAGATGTTTGAAGCAATATTACATTTAGACAATAGAGAGTATGTTAATACATTTTGTCAGTAAAGCTGACTGAATTTGGCAGTAAACTTATTTATTTATTTATTTTTGAGATGGAGTCTTGCTCTGTTGCCAGCCTGGAGTGGAGTGCCAGCCTGGAGCGATCTTGGCTCACCGCAACGTCCGCCTCCCGGGTTCAAGCGATTCTCCTGCCTCAGCCTCCTGAGTAGCTGAGACTGCAGGCATGCGCCACCATGCCCAACTAATTTTTGTATTTTTAGTAGAGACGGGGTTTCACCATGTTGGCCAGGATGGTCTCGCTCTCTTGACCTCGTGATTCACATGCCTTGGCCTCCTGAAGTGCTGGGATTACAGGCGTGACCCACCGCTCCCTGTCTAGGCAGTAATCTTATTAAAAATATCAAGAAATAATTTGCTTTATGAAAGACAATCCAGTTTTTATTTTACGTCAAACAAGGGATTATTTACACTTTAATAAAAGTGGAAACTTTTATTAAAGTAACTTTTAAAATGTGATTTATTTTTTAAAGGCATAGTATTGGTTTATTATCTTTTTAAAAATAGATTTCAATATATTTGTGAATTTTTAAGAGGAAAAGACACTGACATGGCCATTAATTAAATATTTCTTAGTAACAAAGTAATAACTAATTTATTTTGCATAATGATAGGTAATCTAGGATAAATCAGTCATATGTACATTATATGATAGCTATATAGAGAGATATAGCTACAGATATGAATATAAAAACAAAAATATTGATGGAAAAGTACTTTGTTATAATTTAGACAACTGTTAGTATAAATTTATATAATGCTGTGTATTGTAAAGACTGAGACAAAATAGAACATTTTGCAATGAAAGCTATGGAACTAAGATTTGGGAACTCAACCATGAGATGTTTATTTATCAGCAATGTGTAAATGAAAAAAAAATTATCGTTACAAAAGTGGGCATTGGGAATGCAGATGGGACAGCTGTTGTTCCTTAATTGTGAGTAGATTAATAAAATGCAGTTTTTACAATCCATTTAAAACATCACTAGGAGTACATTTTACTACCAGTTTGGGTATCCTTTGGTTAATAAATTCTTGCCGTTCGAATGTAGTATTTGGCTTCAAATTCCAGATGCAAGTTTATTAAAAAGTGTAATAGTTCTTAGAGACCATAAAATGAAATGAAGCGCACAAAATGTGTGTTTCCGGTGCTTGACTTTAAAACGATTTTTTACATGACTAATTTCAATATTTTCAACTTCAGCAGACTGTTGTTGAATTTAAATGATTATTAAATATTGAACCAGACATACTGATAGAGATAATATATCATTTTTGAGTAAAGTTTTCTTTCAGTTTCTTGGTAGTGTTTTTAATAATAAAATGAGTACCCTATATTAACATGTTATGCTAATAATTATGAATTCAATATTTATGTGAAATAGGCTGTAACTTTAAATCTGAGTTATAATAAAGCATAGTTAGTGTATTTAATATTAAGAGCTGTGTAAAATATTCTGCTGAAGGATTTTTAAGAGGTGATAAAAATACACTAATTTTTAATGAAAGCATTTGTAATATGACAGTGAGTATTCTACATTTAGCATTATTCTACTAGATATTTCCTTTCCTCAAATAAGCAAATGGAAGAGACTGCTTAAAGTTTATGTTAGTGAAGAGTCTACCCTCCTGAAAATTCAGCTTTATTGCCAGTGAGGTGAAGACTGTGACGCAGCGAGGCAAGAGCACAGTGGACAAAACCCTGAATTCCGTAATTTTGAATGGCGACTATCCTTAAAGGAAGATATGGCTCCTTGTTGGCATTTCTCGCGTCTTAATAAAATAACGTTTGTGTCTGAATAAAATAAGTTTGATGGTATGGAGGAGAGCTCGAAGCAGCAGAATTCTCACTGAAACAACTATGTAAGCTAATGAATGTGTCTACCAGAGTTCCATGGATGTTGACACAAAACAAAAGAATCCTGGCTTTACTCACAGGAAAAGCAGAAACCAGATTAGTTGTGCTGGTTCTCCCAGCCCAGAATACCGCAGGGTCACGTGGAGCACCAGCTGGAGTGTGCAAGGGTGATTGGTATTCCTCTGGAAAAGTAACCTGAACTCAGGAGATCCACTGCTTTTACAGCCATCAGTAAGCAAGACTGATTTTTGACCAGAGGGGTCCAAGACGCATTTCAGGACTACCTAATACATTCAGTCAGTTGTTACCTTACTGCCCAGAGCTCCAGTTTCATCAACAATCCTGAAAAATGGCATGATTGAAATAACAGCCAAGACCAAGAGCTCAGCAAGATGGTGGGAGCAAAAGAAGCCTATGGTGGACTGCTTTCCCACACTTTACTCCTTCTTTAGTTATTTAGGGCCCTTTCCCATTCTTCTTATTTACCTGTAACAGTATCTCCTCCATCACTCAATCCAATCCCATCCTCTAGAAAGGCAAATCCTCCATGTTCCTGGAAATGCTGTAGTCCCAACTCATGTTTGTCCTTTTTCTCTTTGGTGCATGAAGGTATGGGTTGGTTTACGGAATCCTTTTCATTTCCTGAGAGATCCAGTATATTGCTAATACCCACTGTACCATTTCATTTCCTTCTTTCCAAGGAACTTGAACTTTTTAAAATAAAATTATCCTAATTTAACCCTCCTATTGCTTAAATAAAGAGTGATTAATAACGTAGGGTGGGCTGGGTGTGGTTGCTCATGCTTATAATCCCAGCAATTTGGGAGGCCAAGGCAGGTGGATCACGTGGTCAGGAGTTCAAGGCCAGCCTGGCCAAGATGGTGAAACCCCATCTCTACTAAAAATACCAAAAATTAGCCGGGCGCTGTGGCAGGTGCCTGTAATCCCAGCTACTCGGGAGACTGAGGCAGGAGAATCGCTTGAACTCAGAGGGCGGAGGTTGCAGTGAGCCGAGATCGTGCCACTGCACTCTAGTCTGGGCGATAGAGTGAGACTTCATCCCAAATAAATAATTAAATAAGGTAGGATGGAAATATTTAAAAATTGTTAATAGAATCAATTGGCATATGCAAATGTAATGAAACAAAATGTAGTTAAAATTGTTTCTTTGGCTTTAAATTTAAAAACAACATAATTACCTTGTTTTTAAAATCACCAATTCAGTAAATTCAGTAGCAGGATCCTGAGTCTGGGGTCATCTGTGACTCTAAAGACAAACTTGACTGGTTTATGTGGCTAGCAGATACCATCTTTTTTACATTATTAATTCATGGCTGTATTCTGTGTAAAGTCAGTGCCTTGTTGAAAAGTCTTCCTAAAACAGACATACATGTATTTAATTTTTTCATGGTGAAGAAAATAAAAAATAAATTCCATATTGTAGTCAGAGAGAGACAGAGAGACTGAATCATTATCTTCTGATTTTATGTTAAGTGGACTGAGGGAAATTGAATGGACATCATATTTAAAGTTTTGCCTCCTAAAAATTGCCTGCCTGTGATTAAGTTAATTCACCTTTCTGAGCCTATTTCCTAATTCCTAAAGGTGAATTAAGTTAATTCACCTTTCTGAGCCTATTTCTGAGCCTATTCCTATGAAACTAGAATGATACTAAATATTTCATGAGACTATGTTGATAACATTTGATGATTTGTGGCAATTTCTCCCAAGCTTCTAACACCCAACCTACTTGGTGTTCAATAAATTGTGACTGTTATTATTGAAACGATCCAACAAATTAGAAAATATTAAAGGGAATAGAAATGCCCAGATAGGGCTGGGCGTGGTGGCTCACACCTGCAATCCCAGCACTTTGGGATGCCGAGATGGGCGGATCACAAGGTCAGGAGATCCAGACCATCCTGGCTAACATGGTGAAACCCCATCTCTGCTAAAAATACAAAACAATTAGCCGGGCATGGTGGCGGGCGCCTGTAGTCCCAGCTGCTTGGAAGGCTGAGGCAGGAGAATGGCGTGAAACTGGGAGGCGGAGCTCGCAGTGAGCAGAGACTGCGCCACTGCACTCCAGCCTGGGTGACAGAGCAAGACTCCGTCTCAAAAAAAAAAAAAAAAAAAAAAAAAAAAGCCTAGATAGAAGTACAACTTAAACTATACTGGAGGTTTTTAGGATTTATGGTAAAATGAGAAGGTGGAAAAATATTAGTTTTTATAAGTTGATCTATAATAAATTCAAGGTTTGGCCGCTATTAGTACGTATGGTCATTGTGTAAATATGCAATCCCTTGATGACGTCTTTGAGCAAATATATATGTGTTTGTTCATAAGTTTTTTTGAGTCTTAGAAGAAATTCCCTTAAAATAATGGGATTCCTATTTGGAGATGACTATTTTGCTATGATGATTTCTTTCTCCATGTTATTCTCTAAGACTGGCTACATCCCTTGTGACACTAATGCTAATTCTGAGGAAATAATCTATTATTACATAGTAAACTAAAATATGAAAGTCTTGCTCAAATAAAAATCATGCCATGTAGAGTTTCAATTAAGAGTTACTAATTAAGAATTATCCTTTTAGAAATTCACCTCCATAGCTGCAGAGCAAGGTCAAATTTCTCAGTTTGGTTATAGATGAGCATATATCTAAAGATATGCCATATGCTGGGTAAACTTATGTGCTTTTATATTTTGAAATAGACTTCATGTTAAATAATTGGGTAATTTTGAGATAATCTCTAAAAACTCTAACTTTTGAATGCTTTAGTAAACAAATATTGGTAGACTAATATGGTAATCCCATGTTTATATTCATATGTATTTTGCTTTTTTAGGAGAATATTGCTATTTTAGGAATAGGGAAATAAGAGACTGGAAAATATTTGAGTTTTGAAATAATACTCCAAATAGAAAGGGATTTAGAAAAGTCATATTTAATGCACTTATTTTAAGCTCCCTAGGCATAGAGAGCTTTTATATTAGATTTATTTATTGCATATAGTAAACATTCAACATATACTTATTGATTATATTTTATTTGCTATCTGCAACCATTGAATACACTATGTTTTAAATAATTACCACAGCATCTATATGATACTTCTGATGGAATAGTAGATCTATTTTGCACTAAATTTCCACTATTAGATCTGTCATGTCGAAATGGTAGAGTGTATACTATAAATGGATTATGTATTATATCATTTTTAGTGCTTCTTTAAATGTGACAACTTTGAGAATTACTTAGGGACATTTGTCAAAAATGCAGAGTCTGGAGCCCACCTATTCAGATTCTGTTTCTGGTGAGATCAGGAACCTGACTTTTCAAAAAAATCTAGAGCTGATTCATGGAGGTAGTTTCAGCATACACTGAGAAGCACTGCCTTTCAGTATTTGAAGAGTGACATTTACTAAATTCTAATATGTTTCCTCACCCCCCAAAGGAACATGTATTGGATTAACTCCATCTTGGTAAGACATGTCCCTTGTAGGTACTCTTCTAGTTCCACTTCCCTTAGTGGAAAGCTTCTTCTCTACTTTTCTCACTTAACCATGAGTAAAAAGATAAGTCTTAGGAGAATCCTTTGGCTTGGCAAAACTATAACATAACCTAATTCATTAGATGTTAGCCTTTTGAGATTAGTACTACAAAATAATTAAAAACATGGTTTTTTAAACTTAATTATTTAATTCTGTTTTAATTAGAAACCATCCCACTTTTATTTACCTAGTACTGCTTCATATTTCATTGGTATTATAGGCTGTTTTTAGTGGGTCATCTTGAATATATATTTGTATTTGCATATTCATACTGGAAAATTCCAAGGGTAATGACGTAATTAAGTTTCAAGGTGGCTGTACCTGAAATTACTTTTATAAACCATTTCGTAATTTCTCCTGTAAGATGTCTGTGCATTTAAAAGGTCAACAGTGGAGATCTACTACATGGTTCAAACTGAATCTGATATTATTGCAAAATTACTTTTGTTAAAGTTAGCAATCATCCAAATTTCTAGAGAACCGTTTTTTATAGAGATGATTCCTGGGATGTGGTATGTATGGGAGAGAGGCATGACAACATACATGGTGCCAGAAACATTTCAGAAATGTTCTAATTTGAACCACAGTGATATTGCTTATAGCAAGAGCCATCAGTAATCAACCTAAAGCCACAGTGAAGATAGTTGTCTCTAAAGCGGCACCAGAGGAATGACCAACTTGTTTTTAACTATACTTTTGCTTCTCTTTAGACACATTTCAGGAGATCAGTTTGAATAAAGGAGCAAGTGAATTGTTGTATTCCTCATGGATTATCTACCCTCTATTCTTAAATATCTCTGTTTCTATTTCCTTGTCTTCAGCCTAATCTCTCTTTAATTAACTGCAGTCTGGTTTCTCCTTTCACTACCACATTGAAACTACTCCCATTAAGTCTGTGATGGTTTTCTAATTGCTAAACCAAGTCTCAAGTCTCAGTCAGTGCTGTGCCAACCCTAATCAGAAACTGTGGTAAAAGGAAAAGGCGGGCCTCTGTATACATCTATTAAAAAATCCTCCCATATTTTCAACCAAGTGGAAAAGTTAATAAAAGCGCTATGATGAAAAAACACACATAAAGCCCTGGGTTGCCCAATCTATTGGCACATCATTGTCAACCCCATAAACATACCCAGTGGAAAAGCAAAGGCTGTGCAGGTCCAAGAACTACCAGCGGTTATGTTACACAGTAACACATGGGCATACAACAACCTGTCATTAGTTATAATTCTGGTATTTTGCTCACCATGGATTCTTTGTACTAATTATAATTTTTAAAATAATGTATTTAAATATTATTTGTCTTCTGAGTGAACTTTTTGATGCTCCTTTAAATTTTTTTGCCCAAGGTGAATGCTTAACTGAGCCCATTCCGAATCCCAGCCCTGTTCATAGTACTTGGCTTCTTTGCAACACTAGATACTATTCTTTCCATCTATTAAATCTGTCTTCTCTGAGCTTCTGTGACACCGTTGTCTTATTCCTTCCTTCCTTCATCATCAAACATTCCTTCTTGCTAACTTTCTTAGGCTCTTCTTTTCTTGCCCCTCAGGATTTCGTGTTCTCAGTGGCTCATCTTCACTGCTTAAGGCATGGTGTTTACACTTTTCCTGGCTGTGTTCACGCGTTTCCACTGCTATTGCTTTCTTCTATGTGCTCGTTATTTCCTAGCTAGACAGTTGCAATAGGCTCCTAATAAGTCCGTTTTATCTCCATGCTAGCCCCTTTCTGATTCACAACTTAGGCAGAATCATTTTTCTTTTGTAAAGAGAATATGTGGTTCATTTATTTATTAACCATATATTTATGTACTTTTTGGGTGTCAGATATTGCCTTAGATTCTAGGGATGAATCAGGAAATAAAAGAAAGGTCATTCTCTCTTGAAACTAATATCTTAATTTTTATTTGAATATTTCTTTGGCTTTATTCAAGGAGTTGTATATAATTTTTATATAAATATATGTTTGTGTGATGTATTTCTGTGAGAAAAATGTTGTTTTCTTGTTTTTTTTTCAATATTTTGACTATACAAATTTTTCGATCACCTGCATATGAAGTAATGGAAGCCTGAATTGAATTCCACTTTCTAAAAAAAAAAATCATTTTTATTAAGGATATGGAGATCAGTGGGTTGTTAATATTTAGGATTTCCTTTCCCAAAATGGGTAATGTTCACTCATTTTTGATTGAATAAATTGAACACATATTGCTAATTCTGTCCCAAGTCTTGGAGCATGGGTACTACCATATTCTTTAAACAAATTGTATAATCTAGTGGCCAAAAGCTCAAATCCAGCCTGGTAATAGGTTTTGTTTAACTCACACAGTATGTGTGTTTTAATTTTATTCACTTGTTAAAAAAAATTAATACTTTATTTTTATAGAAGCTTTAGGTTCACAGCAAAATTCAACAGAAAGAACAGAGTTCTCATGTATCCCTCCCCAACCCCAAAGCACAACCTCCCCTGGCATCAACATCCTCCACCAGTGTGATATATTTGTTATAGTTGATGAACCAATGTTGACACTTCACTCTCAACCAAAGTCCATAGCCTGCATTTGGGTTCACACTTTGTGTTGTATATTTGATGAGTTTTGAAAAGGTATAGTGGCACATATCGACCATTAGAGTATCATATGTAATAGTTTCACTGTCCTAAAAATCCTCTGTGTTCCACTATTCATCCCTACTGTCCCCTAAACCCTAGGTGAGCAATAATCTTTTCACTGTCTCCATAGTTTTGCATTTTCCATAACCTAATATAGTTGGGATCATACTTTGTAGCCTTTTCAGATTGGCTTCTTTCACTTACTAATATGTACTTAAGGCTCATTCATGTCTTTTTGTGGCTTGATAACTCAGTTTTTTTTAGTACTGAATAATATTCCATTGTATGGATGTACAACCGTTTACTTATACATTCACCTCTAGGACATCTTGGTTGCTTCCAGGTTTTGGCAATTATTAATAAAGATGCTATAAGCATCCATGTTCATGTTTTAATGTGGACTTAAGTTTTGACTCCTTTGGATACATACCAAGGAGCATGATTTCTGGATTGAAGCAATTGTTGGGGTATGAATTGTCCCCAAGAAGTCACAGAAAACATCAAGGGAATATGAACTTATAATAAGCCTTTAAAGGGAATGGTAAGTCACAAATTTGAAAGGGCACTGATAGTTGGAAGGAATGGAAGAAGTTATGTATTAGGATACACATTGAGAAGCTGGAAATTATATTCCAATAATGCTATTAAAATAGTAATAGGTAGCCTTTTTGTAAGTACTTACTAAAGCATAGTGAGGCTAAGTAAGATGCATCAGTACACACAGCTAATAAGTATTAGGGCAAGCATTTGAACCCAGATAGTCTCTCACCAGTGTACTTGAAAGCATTTTTCATGAGTTACTTGATTTTTAGTCCTCAATATAACCCCATAAAATATGATTTATGTGTTTTTTTCCCATTTCACATATGAGGAAATAAGCCTAAAGTTTAACTTGCTCAAAGCCACAGAACTCATCATACTGGAGCTGGGACTGAAACTCAGATCAATCGGATTATAACTTACATTTATGATCTTTTTAAGTTATTCGACTGAGAAGCAGTTATCCTCGAAACCACAGACATGAGTTTACATTTATGGACAGACAGCTGATGGAGCTGGCATTGTAAATATGAAATCCAGAAAAGCATAGTAGTCTATTGTTTTACTAATAACTCATTGGACCGCCTCATCGAGGTCAAGAACTTGACATACAGCACAAAGCCTAGAAGGCTAAAGCTAAGTAATCATTAGTGGACTGAAATAGTCTGTAAAGGAAGAGCCAGGCTTCCTTCAACTTGGATGAGAATACCATTTATTTCCATAGTCAATCTTAATAAAATCAACTAACTTATTTTTAGAGTGTATTAGTAAATGGGCCACGTTCTAAGAATCTGTGTAATGTCACCTGGCCTTTCTAACGTTTTCTAGACTAACATCCTGATGTCTCCTGTCTGATTGGTTACCATGAACACTGGTGGCCATTACTAAGAATGATTTCTCACCATTACTGAGGCTTACTATGTAATAAAGTCTGTGCTTTACTAGTATTAACTCATTAATACTTATAAAAGGTCAAGAGGCAGATGCTATTGTAATCTCTCCTCATTTTTCAAATGTGAAAACTGAGACATGGTGAGACTAAGCAACTTGCTCAAGGACACACTGTTAGTAAGTAGCAAGGCCAGACTTTGAGTCCAGGTAGACTGGGTTGGATTTAAGTAATTAATGAATACAATTAACCTACATCTCAGGGCCATAAACCCTAGAAGAGACAGTTTCCAGAGGATGGGTATTTATTATTCATTCATTTAGTATTTATTGATTATATACTTTGTGTTATACATCATGCTAGGACATTGTTGGGTAATTAAATATGATCCTAACTATGCAAATTTTACAAAGCTATATTCTATCTTTTAATATAACTTTTCTTTGAATTTAATATTTTGAGTGGACTATTCAAGAGTAGGACTTACCTCTTAATTATTTTATCCCATCATTCCTCTTGTTTTGAAAAAAATTAAAAGAATGAGTTGATATGATAATAATAGTAACATAATAACCTCCAGAGCATTTTTATCTTCTCATTATTTTTTAATGTGTGTGAAATCATGGCAATTAGATATGCAAAAGATGAATAAAAGAAAAAAGATAGTTCATTTAGTACATCCCACTAGTATTGAATAATTCCCTATGGCATTTGGCAAAGACAGGCTCTTGTCTAATTTTAAATGACTCAATTGAAGCATCTGCTGGAGGTTGATTCTAGAGGACTTTCTATGAAAGGTTTATAACATTTAGTCTAATTTTCCACTTCTTAAAATTTCAGAGCCTTACCCTTAATTACATTCTGTAACCTTCTTAGCCTTTACTGACTCCTTGTTTCATTCTATTTAGTGACCTACTGTCCTTCTAAGTAGGGATTATGTTTCCCTATGATTAATTATTTCTGGGTGAAACATTTTTATCTTTACATGGGTCGGTTGTAACCCTATGACAAGATCATTGTGTATTCTTCCTCTTTGAATTTGTTCTGTGTTATCTGTGTGTCCGTTTATATATTCATTAATTTGTGGTTTAAATTTGTGAATTTTAAGTTTTTGTATCAGAATTCGAACAGATCATCTGAACAGTGGCCAGTCATTTGCTAAATTCATGGGGTAACATCCAGGCCCGTATTTTCCATTTATGCTGTTACACAGCATGTCTGAACACTTTTCCTATATTCTATAGATATATGTCAAAATAAAAGAACTTTTAAAAGAATATTGAATAAAATGTTCATATGAATTTTAGGCATATGAAATTTATGTGTCAAATTTCTATAGAGAACTAACGGATATTTTATTTTGTAGAAACATACCTTTTTTTAAGACTAGGAAATAATGTGAAGTTTCTAGAGGCTGTCAATCAATAGTTTATTCTTATTGATTGACATATTTTTTTAACCTTTATGTAGAGACTCTTCAATAGGTTAAATAATTTTACTGTTTGTTTCTTGAAATAGCTGGAAGCTTATACCATTAAAATATAAAAGACTGAGACAAAAGTCTTTTAAGAAGTAGTTTTTTTAATGCTTTCCACTTATCAATAACTCTCCATTATTTTTGGTACATTACAGCCCTTTCATATCATAGACAAAGCTGCTTGTGTTAGTCTGTATTTTAGAGAAAAACAATGAGGAAGTGAGAATTTATCGTAAGTTTGAACATAATTATTTTGTGAAAATTGTATATATTATAACACAATTATAAATTTTTTTCATAGGGAGTGCTAGCTAATTATTACCATGCACAAGGCTTGGTGGTGATTATTCCTATTTTTATTCCTATTTCTACCCGCACACTATCATGGAAAGTGCTACCCACACACTATCATGGAAAGGCAACATTTATGACTTTGAGCTGGGGATATGCATGTTGGAACAAATGCTTGATTATCAGAGTCCCATACTGAGCTGCAATGCTGCCTCTCCTGTGTCCCTGCTGAGAAGCATTGTGCAAAGGTTTGTCTTGACAGGCAGTCCGATAAAAATTGGAGCTTCTCTGCTATATTGCTTTGATATTTCAATCTATTTTTGGATAGGTTTTACACTTTGGCACTTGGTATATTGTCTTTCCTTTGGATATACAGCTGGTGGCATTTCGGCATTTACTAAAAGTGCTATAGCAATTTCCACATCAAGATAATCCTGTTCCTTCATGTTCTTTCAGAATAAATGCAAGGTGTCTTATTTCAGGACTGGTGAAACATAATTAATATATTTTCATAACTTAGAATATCTTTAAAGAAAATGGATCTGCCATAGCCAGGCCAAGTCATCATGGTCGGGTGTTAATAAATGATTCTCTGTTTAATCCAGTGATTCTCAAATTTTAGTGTGAATTGGAATCAGTTGGAGGGCTGCTAAAAACACAGATTGCTGGGCCCTATCTCAAGAATTTCTGATCTGCAGTCTGGAATGGTGGCTAAGATTTAGAATTTCTAACAAATTTCAGTGTGATGCTTGTACTGCTAGTGCAAAAACTACCTTTAAGACCCACTGGG
Source organism: Homo sapiens (assembly GCF_000001405.40). Lineage (NCBI taxonomy): Eukaryota > Metazoa > Chordata > Mammalia > Primates > Hominidae > Homo > Homo sapiens. The sequence goes on from NC_000003.12 coordinate 174,731,789, forward strand.
TTATGTAACATTATCAAACCACAATGCTTAAGAGTGTGAGTAGGCCAATAAAATCTGGGACCCACACTGGAAAACCGCTGATCTCAACTGCTAGTTGGCAAACTTATTTTGTAGTAGACCAGAGAGTAAATATTTTAGGTTTGTGGGCCAAATGGTCTCAACTGATTGTTATAGCAGGAAAGCCACCATAAACAATACATAAATGAATGGGTGTGGTTGTGTCCCAATGAAATTTTACTTATAAAAACAGGCATCCGGCCAAATTTGGCTGATAGACCATAGTTTGCCTATCTCTGATCTAATTCATCAGTAAGAGACTTGTATCTTTTCTCACAAACCATCTGTATCTTATATATTAACTAGCAATGTTCCCAACTTAGAGCTATGACATGTGGAGGATATATAACAAGTATAAATATGATTTTTTGACTCTCTTTAGGAGAGTAGAGTTCAGTGTAATATAGTCTTGACACAATTTGAGAGAAATGAAATGCTTAGGCTGGAATAGATTTTATGAAATAAGCGAATCATGGAAAATAAGTAGAAACTAGGCAAGAGAGCAGAACAAATATCTCAGAAAGGACAAGGGAAAAGACATGAAGAGAGTACATAGTACATTTTTGAAGGGATGGCGAGGATATCCATTATATGAAAAGGATTGTAGAAATCTATGGAAATGTTGAGTAACAAATATCATTTATTAACATTTATTGTGATATTCTATATATTAACACAGTGATAGATCCTGAGGACACAGCTAAGATAGTCCTTGCCTTCAAGAGGCTCAGAGGTGGATCAAAATATTAAGGCATCTCAAAATCTTGTACAAGTATTTGAAGTAGATAGGCTTAACTTATGGTGGGTTTTCAAGAAATGTTTAATTAAAAATGAAATTTATGTGATTCAAAACAGGGAATTTTTATTAGTTATTGATAAGTAAAGTGTCTTGAAGAAGACTGTTTTAGAAAAAGGAGATAGCCATCCTGTATAAGTTAATAGAATGGCAACCATTAAAAAATGGCTATTAATAATATTCTATTAATCACACAGAAACTTTGCTAAGTTGGACATAGCATGTGTTCCATTGGGTTTTTTCTTTTATATGTGGTGCTTAGGAAAATCCAAAATACATGTATTAATATGTGTGTATTAAGCCACCATCAGAATTAAAGATAATTTCCAAAGAATTATACCATTTTGTCCTTCTAATATGAGAATATACCATTTAAAAGTCTATGTATAGAGAAAAACATCCTCCATAGTTGAGTGGGCTTTTTATTTATGAGATTTTATTGTTAAAAATTGTATATATGATCTGGTTGGAGTTTATTATGAAATATCAAGTGGGAGCTAGTGGTAAATGTTGGTGTGACACTTAAGTGAGATAATCATTAAGTTTCTTCTAGTCGCAGTATTCTGATTTTAGGTAACGCTTAAAAGGTCCACAAAGAACTAATTCAGGCAAGTTTTTCTGCAACCTGAGGAAAAAAATCACATCTTTAACAATGAATTTCAATGTAAGATACTAGAGTTCATTTCATTTAGTAAAGAGAATCCTTAATGTTGGGATAGGAAAAGCAAGGATCAGTCAAAGGCATTATGTTAGACAAAAGATGACATGACTTTTCATCTGTCTAACTCAATCTATATGGTTTGATTTTTAATCACATGCATGGATGCAGATGGCAATATGCCATTTTAATCCAGTTAGGTGCCAAGAGAAAGGTTAGGAAAAGAGCCCCATGTGGCTTAGCATTTCTTGTGATTTGTAGCTTGAAGGCTTGAGCTTCTTTGTGAACATGTCTCTGCCTTTTTTGTTAAGGCTCTTTCTGTTACCGAAACACCAGGGGTTCAGTTTGGGTCCTGCTGCTTGCCACGCAGAAAGTCAATTACTAACACAAGTATTGCCATGGAAGAAGGATTGAATGGGGTGCTGCAGCTGAGGAGATGGGAGATCAGTCTCAAATCCATCTCTCTGACCTACTAAAATTAGGGGTTTATGTAGCAGGGAAGAAATGTCACAATGTGTGGCAAAACAGGAACTTGGGAGGGTTAAGAGCAATCATGATGAATGAGGGGTCTGGCCTCTCACTTTCTGGATGTGGTGATCTGGTGGGTTTCAGTTCTTTGATACTTTTTGAGAGGCCTGGTGGGGGGTCCTTTCCTGAAGAAGAAATTCAGGTAAAACAAATGTAAGCTTCAAGCTTTAAGACCAGAAGGGTCAATTTCCATATTTATCCAGAAAACCCCAAAACCTGTCTATGGGACTACTGGGTTGGTTTCACTTTTTCATTTTCGGTGTTGAGGGGGAGCAGAAACCCACATTTGTACTAAAATTATCATTAATTTCTTGCATACCCTTACCCATGAATAGAATCTTGAGGCACTTAAATAAAATTTGAGAATTAGGTAGTGATTTCCAATCCTCCTCATTCCATATTTCTTTTATTCTCCACAAATGAGATAATATTAAATGTCCTGAATTATGTGTGTGTATAGGCAGGTATGCACATGTGTGTATCCATACTAATGTGGTAATAGCATTATTGAACTAAAGAGTTTATTTGAAGATTGAGCTGCTATAGCAAAATCCCACAGACTGGGTGGATTAAACAACAGGAATTTATTTTCACCAGTTCTGGATACTGGGAAGTCCAAGATCAAAGTTCCAACCAGTTTTCAAGGGCTCTCTTGCAGATCGTCTCCTTCTTGTCAGGTTCTTACATGGCAGAGAGAGAGTGTGCAAACTCTCAGGACCCACCTCCAAATATTATAACATTGGAGATTAGGGCTTCAACATACGAATTTTGGGAAAACACCAACATCCGGTCCATAACATTTGAGGATAGGTAAGTCTAGGTTGCATTTAATTCATGTATTAGCCTAGTTAGGTTATCCTCATCAAGCAGTTCTTTCTTTGTGAGAAAAGAAAGAAGATTTAGATAGCACTTCTAAATTGGTGAATTTACAAGATCTACCTTAAGCACCTTTTTCTCTAAAAGCAGAAGGAATTTAAGACAAAAATTCAGAATTATTATTTTATTCTGTATTTTGGTAGTTGAGAAATTTATGACACATTATTATTTCTTATGTAAAGCTTAAGGAAGATGGAAGATATTGAAATGAGTGTGAAAAACTGAGGAGGAAGGAAACTAACTTAACAGAGGGTAAGAATTTTTTTCTAGTCACAAGCTTGTACAATACTACAAGTTAATCTCGATAGAAGGAAATAATAGCTTATTTTGGGTTAAGTAATTTCGAAAGGAGAATAAGAACACTTTATAGCTTTCAAGTATCTCAAAACTAAGATAAAAATATTACAATAAAGAGAGTGAAGCACAAATAAGTAGCTTCATAATTCATAGCATTATTACTTAATATCACAGCCTGTTAATATGAAATGTAGAATAACCAATCTTGGTATTGGAAGATATAAAAGGAAAAGACTCAATATCTTAAAATAACATATAATTATATCAGTCATTTATTGAGCACCTAATACATGCTGGGCAATGTGTGGGGCACATTACATACCATGTCTCTAATTCTCACAATAGTTCTGCAAGTTTTCTGTTTTCATTCTAATTTTAAGGTGAAGTAATTGAGACTTAGAGATTCAGAAATTATCCAAGACCATACAGGTATGAAGAGAGAAGCTTTCAGTCCTAGATATGCTCTTTCTAATACACATCTCTTCCTTTGTTTAATCCTTTTTTCCCAAAGAGATACTAAGTTACTTCCTTCCAGTTACGTATTTTCTCCTTCATATTTTTTTGTTGTTTTGTTTTTGAGGCAGGATCTCACTCTGTCACCCAGGTTGGTGTGCAGTGGTGCAATCACAGGTCACTGCAACCTCTACCTCACAGGCTCAAGTGATCCTTCCACCTCAGCCTCCCAAGTAGCTGGGACCACAGGCATGCACCATCATGCCCAGCTAATTTTTTATTTTTATTTCTTGTAGAGATAGGGTCCCACTGTTCCAGGATCCTCAGGGTGATGCTTTTCTGTTTGGAAACCTCTGGCCAGCAGCGCCTTTGCCAGAGTTTTGCTCAGGTCCACTGGGCTCGTTCTGCCCACTTGACCTGGCAGGCTGCGCTTGGCTCACACTACTGGCCTGGATCCCATGCTTGCCAAGGGTGAACAGAGTGGTGAGGGGTGTGTGAGTGAGCAAGCATGGGGTCTGACCAAGCACACTGGCTGCAGTGGGGTGGGCAGCTCCAGGCACTGGCCTGGGTGCTGGCTCCCTGTGAGGCTGCAGCTGGTCCAGGTGTACTGCAAGCCGCTTCCATGGCTGGCACCAGGGAACATGGTGATGCCTGGAAGCTTGGAGATACCAGGAACCTCAGAGCCCCAGAGAGAGTGTCACAGCCCTGGCTCAGGGAGTTCCTAGGTCTAGGAGGTCCACAGCTCTTCTCTTCTTTCTTTTCTCCTTCTTGTTGCCTGCAATGTGGCGAGCAAGGGGCATGTTTCGGCCCTGTTAGTGTTATACCTCCTTTACCCCTGCCATTCAGTGGGTCCTGAGTTCTTGTCCTGTGTCCAGGTAGAATGAGGTGTGAAGACAAATGGAGGGTGAGCAAGGTGAAGAGGAACTTTATTGAGCAGCAGAATAGCTCAGAGAAGACCCACATTGGGTAGCTCCTCTCCACAGGCAGGGTGTCCCAACAAGTGTTCAGCTATCAGCAGAGAGGAGACCCTGGAGTGGGTAGCTCCTCTCCACAGCTGGTTGTCCCATCATCTCTTCAGCTTTCAGCAGAGAGGAGACCCTGGAGTTCCTGTCTGTAGGCAGGTTGTCCTGTCATCTCCTTGAGTCTGGCTGAGTCCGGGGTTTTTATGGGCTTCAGTGGGGAGGAAGTGCATACTGATTGGCTCATGGGCAGCCTTTCGTCGGCCTGGAAAAAGCACCATAGTTCCCATTCTGGTCCATCAGCCCAGCCCCCAGGCTTCAGGCCATCCTGGCTTGAAGGTGCAGTTTTACCGGGGAGCCGTCTCTTTCCACCTAGGAGCCTGTCTGTCTTCCCTTGCCACCCAGGCTGTTTGTGCTGAGGGGCCCCTGCAGTCCTATGCTGAGCTTCCCTCAGCCCCCTCTCAGCCTTCTTCCTGTGCTTGTTGGTGCCCAAAGTCTGGAGAGGGCCAAGGCAGCAGGGTGATTGTGTGTCAGTGCTGCCCCAAGCCTGCGCACACCCAGCCAGGTTGCAACAATGTTCAACTTTGCCCCATGATCAAAGCATGGGCAGCTGCAGCTGTGACTGGAAGGGTGGGGGTCCTGCCCTGCCAACTCAGGAGGGTGGAGATTCCACCTGTTCCTGGCTCCTGCCAGGCCATGGGGCATGCAGCCCTAGCCACGCCTCCCCTACTGTAGCCAGTGTCATGGCAGCAACCTCTCCAGATGGGCTGCTGCTGCCAACACCTCTATATTCCCCAGGCAGGTCTCAGATTCCTGGGCTTAAGCAATTTCTCCTGCCTTGGCCTCCCAAAGTGCTTGGATTACAGGTGTGAGCCACTGTGCCTGGCCTGCTTTATCTTTTGTTATGTTTAGCAGTGTGTGGCACAAAGTGTGCAATTTATGCTTGCCGAATTGATTGAAATGTAAACATGGAAAAATGAAATCAAGGGAGAAAAGTATTTGTGTGTTTTTGTATACATTTGTTGTTAAGGTAAAATGGTATGCTTTAAAAATAAAAAGTCTATACATTGTTGACTTCCAAAAGAAGTGAAAAATTTGTCTGCTTACAATAAAATGAACTGATAAAGTTATGCTAAGAAGCATTAATCAAAGAACAAAATTCAAGAGACAATAGATAAATTATCTGATGCGGTTCCCAATTTAACTCTGGTTTTTGATTTATGAACAGGAAATGAGCATTGACTATTAGGCACCTGGATGAAGACTGGGTCCAGATTGTCAGTCTCCTGTAACCTGCAGAAGCCCTCCAGTTGCACTAGGAACATTCAATTGAAGTAAGACCTAATTATTTTAATTAGATTGTAGGACTTTCATTCTTGAATCAACTTTTAATAAGGTGACTTCATGTATTTCTATAGTGTGCCAATAGCTGCTAATTTTGAAAAAAGAAGACTGCAAGCATTATTCTGTGGCAAAATTTTATGTATTCCAATTTTTATTTATCTTTTATTTCATGGGTTTAAGCCCATTTTCTTTGGGTAGCATTATATAAATATTTTAATTTCTGTGTGGCTGTTGAAATTGGTACAGTCTTCTTGTCTTGGTGTGTATCAATTCTCTGTCTATAATTGTAAATGTTATGACTAATAAGATTAAGTCGTGTTTTTGGATTAAGTCAGCCTAGTGATTTTTATTGAAAAATCACAACAATGCAGTTGGTGCCATGATACCACATGGCTTGCATAACTTCTTTATTCCAAGTTCATACAGATTTGTTGACCTTTTGGAACACTTCTCAGTACACGGCCATATATAGACTGTGAACTTCTGTTCATACATTATGGCTTAATACGTATAAAACTTTAGATGATGTGGATAATGGAAAGGCACAAAATAATAACATAGAACCAAGAGCTGAGACATTTGAGCAGAGCCAGTATAACCACCAACACACTTCAGGAACATAGACAAATCTTTTAACTCTTCTGAGTCATCTCTTGCTTTCAAATGTAAGGAGTTAGATTAAATAAGGGAAAGGTGGCCAATTCCTATGCCTTGGAGGGTCAGGCAAGTAATGCAGATTTAGGAAGTGGCTGGGTGTGAGACAGTAAAAGCTGGTAGGCCTACGGGGAAAGAGACTGTGCCTCTTATGAAGCCATTAAGATTCAAGTGTTTTAAAATGGTCAAAGAAATAAGTTGGGGAGGAGCCCTGGAAAAGGGTAGAGAGGGGGGAGGGTTGAATTTGGCCTTGAGATTGAATTAATTTCTAAGGTTATTTCCACTCGACACATGTCTATAGAATTTTGTTACTATGTAAACACTTATTGCCTAGCATTTGTTGAGCTCCATTTCTGTTACTTTCTAAGTAATTAAAACTAAATAAGTAAAAATTAAACCATTTTTGGTTTGCATTTCTTTGAATTTTATAGTACATTTGGGGAAAAAATTACTTTTTGACCATAAAATGCAATATTACATGATGCATCAGTTTAATCTTTTTTCTGAGGCTTAAAAAATTATTTATCTAGAATGAGAACTTCAACTCTAGGACTGACATCCAAGAATAAAACTAGCCTGTAAATTACTGATTAGCAGCTTATTTCTTAATTTGTATTTTCTTTTTATCAACAGTCTAACGAAAATATTTCTTCATATGGAAAAAAATTAAATTGGTAGCTTAAATAGGTATATTTTCTAGCATAATATTCTAACTTCATCAACTCTTGCACTTTTATTTTCCTTTATTTTATTTTTTACAGCAGTGGAGTGTATTCTTTTTTTTCACATTTTACTGCCTTTTGAACCTATATTTTACCTGAGAAAATAAGTACATTTTATCAGATGGTAATGGTAATTAGGCAACAGGCTTAGTGGAAGATGCGAAGTTGGCCAAGACAGTATACTCTTAGAATCTTGTCTAATGTTTTGGCTCAGTTTAAGTCAGAATTTATGTCTACAAGAAAATCGGATGAAGATTTTAGGGAGTCACATGTGTTATTTTAATGATAAAGAGAGAATTATAAGGAGCTAGGATCTCTATGGTTTCATTTGGGCCCTTCCATTGTCTTTTTTCTTACCTTTATTACTTATAGAGCTTTTCAGTTCATGATCGTATGTAGACAGATTTGAGTTACTTCAAGTGTGATCATTTTGAGAACTGAGTATATTATACAAAGCATGCAATGTCTTTTAGGTGGGTTTTTCCATGTGTTAGTAGAAGCTGTTACTGACTTAATTATATTCCCCAAATAACATTTTAAGAGGCTTTTGCTTTGGATGTCATAGTCCAGCCATGTTGGCCATGTTGTAATGATTTTGAATATTTGCTTTCCAGTTCTTTGATAGCCAAGCCAACCAGGAGAATTTCAGTATTAATGTCAAACTGATCAGAAGTGGTTACATCTATTTCTTGACTGACTTACATCTTGTATTAGCAAAAAGTATTAGCTCTTTTTAAATAAACATTCATTCTGTCTTCCAAAGATTGCACACACTGTGGAAAATAACAATAAACATATAAATGAAATGTTAGCAGTTAAAGTAAAGCTATTTAAGGAGGCTTTCTAGTGATGCCGACTTGTATCTTATTACCTTGTTTTATAAAAGCATTTTGTAAAACAAAACAAAACAAAACTTCAAAAAGTGCCAGTGTGATTTAAGCATTTTCTTTAAGAAATACATTCATATGCTGATTTTCAATATTTTGTTAAAACATAATGCATGTGGGCAAGGTGGACATGTAAGCAACAAACCTAATTTTTTAAAAAAATTGTCTTTTGAGGCTTAGAGAATTAAGGAATGCCTCACCCACTGAACCCATTGTTGAGCTCACTGATTCCCAACATGAAAATAAATTAACACAAGCATCTAGATTGAGGTAGTTAATTTTACCTTTCTTGTCTGTGCTCCTTATTGGTGATTGTAAAACTAAAAACCCTCAGACCTGAATTCCTTTCATGCTATGAAAAATCTTCTGATATCCATTTAACATAAATTCACCTTTAGCATTTGACATTTATTAGTCATGGCTTTCAAATGAAGTGTTTAATTAAAATCAAAGTGCCATTGTTTTTAATAATCCAGAAAGAATGAGTATGAATTAAATTTAGAAAAATGTGACAGTGGCTTTAAGAGTACTATAGCTCCTGTGTGAATATTGCAGTTGTTTGAAAATTTTCATAAAATACTCTTATAATCAAAATCTAATTTAAAGTTTAATGAGGCAGTAAAGTTGAGATATTCACAAAGAAACCAGAATAATAACGGTAAAAATTTAGCCATAGCTAAGTATAATCTAAGCAAAATTTTCTGGTCAATTAGCTTTCATTGTGCTAAACAGTGACAAACTACAAAAGTAATTAGAAATCACATATTAGTGAGTGTCTAGATGCTGGGGCTAGTTAGAGCCATTTTTATGCTGCCAGAGATTTTCTAACACTTCTTGAGTCTCTTTAAACTAGGGTAGATTAAATTATAGGAATTCTTATTTTTATGAAAAAGTTCTCACTAAACTATCCAATAAATTTGATTTATCTCAGAATGTACTGTTTGCTGTTTTATTTTCCTTAAGAGGTAGACTTTGCTTTGGGTTCAAACCAGTGAATAAATTAGAACAGTTAAATGGTCTAATGGTGATAATTCAATAGGAAAATAAAATCTGGTTTCATATACAATCTTACAGCACTCATGATCTGTACATTTCTGAACCAATGGATTTAGGTAAAGAGTCTTGCTGATATTCTAAGTCTTATCCAAATACAGAAGAAAATACCGAAGAAAACTGACGGCAAATGTCTTGAGGTACTTTTCATTATGTCCTTAAGTTCATCCCTCCGTCAATGTAATTTTACCTAAATAATGTTTTCTGAAGTGAATTCACTCATCATGAGATTGACTTTATTAGGAAGACTCAGTCTATTTGTTTAAAATGCATTTTGATAAAATTGTTGAAATATTTTTGGCTTCAGTTACATAATGCACTTAAATAATATAAAAAAGCATACAACTTAATTAGGTAAAATAAATATTTAAATGTAATATACTATTTCAGGTAGAAATGGTAATTTTTGTATTATTATAACCTATCCTTGGAACTGAAATTATATTGTTATTTTTTATATTTTTAAGAATCTTCTGTCCCTCTCAGAGGACAAGCTTGTAGCGGTTTTCTTTCTAAAGGTATAAAAGAAAAAACAATATTCATATAGTGAATAAAAAGCCATGAAGAGCTGAGTAATATTTTAAAGGGGAAAAACTCCAACTCATTAACTTTTTAGCTTTATATAGATAAATTTTTAGCCTAATTTTGTAAGTTTTTGAAGATCTTTGCATATAGCTCTTGCTATAAATTTCAAAGATATCAACTTTTAATCATATTAATAAGTTTGACAGCAATTCATTTAGTGCTTGATGCTGAAAACTATCTTTACACAAGCGGTTTCCATTTCCTTATATAGCTGGAATAAATCTGTAATATTTCATCTGCAAATATGACATATGGTCTCTTGTTAACTTACATGGAATGCATTTTATACTTTTTGCGTATGCACTGCCTTCTTGTCCTTGGAACATGTTTTTATATTATTCTTTCCAAATGAACTGTTTCTAAAATTGATTTTTTTCAAACTGAATGTTCACCTTTTAATTCAAGGTGGTACTGATGTAAAACTCACTCTTATTTCTCTCTTTCATAATAAAATATTTCTACCCTAGGTAACATACTAACATTTTAAATAAAACTCTTTAAAATTTTTCAAGGACCATTTAATAAAAATATTTATGGTGAGCCTATTATGTGTTAAGATACTATTTTGGGTAGTGGCAGAATAAAGGTGAATATGCTACCATAGTTTTCCTCGGGATGTTCACTGTCTAGTGGGGGATACAAAAACATTACAATACAGAGTCATATTGTAATGGTATATAACTGGCAATAAAAGAATTCTTAGGTAAGATTATTGTTTTTTACATCAGTTTATTTCCAGCCCAGATCAGTCATGGGCTTCAGGTCAAATAACAGTGTGGTCAGTTTTTTAGAGCCAACCTAGTACCTATTCATATCATGCCAGACCAAAAAAGTCAACCTATAACAAATAACATATAATAAATAATCATATGCGTATGCAATACTTTAACATTTAAAGCACAAAAAAGAGTATTTATTGAAAGTATGTATTATTTCATATTATTTACTTTTCTGTTACATAATTGCTCTATTTAAACAAAATTACACTAGGATATTTAAAAGTGACACCTACTAGTAATAGGAGGATTAAACAAATGACATGTGTGAGAAAAATATAACAATATTTTAATGATGTTTCTGTTTTTTAATGCATTTAAGTATTTAAAACTTTTATTAGATACTTAAATTTTGTAGGGTGTATTATTATGAATTTTTAAGATAGACAAATATGAGAATATAAAGCAAGAATGTAAATACAAAAGGACTGTTATTTAATACAAAATAACAATGATGTGTTTTTTTTGTGTCTCATCATACAATAGGATATTTTCACTCTTTGTGTTGCTCTGAACTGCCTGCAGCTTCTGGGTCATGCTTTTTTCCTTTTATGTAATAGTAAAGGTGAATATAGTCAAATATATAATTCACTTTTATTTGTAGCTCTGTTCTCATCAAGCCCACATTCACTAATTCCTGGTATCAATCTGATGTGATAACATCAAAGTAAATATCCTATCAACGAAATAAGTTGACTGCTTAGGATTTTGCTTCCAAGAAGTGGCGTATGTTTAGACTTGTTGGAATTAGAGTCCCGATCTGTCTATCCACTTTATATCTACAGGCTTCTTTCAGTAGACTAGCTGTTTCTCAACCGGGTCTTTTGTTTCTCTGAATTTATCAAATGGATAATCCCTGTCTAAAATATCCATCATTTAAACGTCTCCAGAGCACGTTTTATACCATTGTAAGTGAAACCTCTCTGTTTCTGAGAAAACGGTCTTAAAGCACACAGGTCATTTGAACTTGTAAAATTGAATTGGATTCCAAATAAAATTATAGTTTTACTAAATAAATAATGAAAAAGTCTTCTAACTTGGCTATACTTTTCTGGTAACAGTTTTGCAGTTTTGAATCAGAATATGTATTTTTGCCACAATTTAACCTCAAACAACTCAGATGTCATTAGTTCTTTCTTTTCTAGATTCCATTATTAAAGATGTATTGAACTCTTTTAGAGAAACAGCATATAATGTCTATTTTATTTTAATATTTTCTTCATTATTATCCTCAATGTATTTCCAAATTAGAATAGAATATTATGTTTAGTTTCATACTTTGAAAGTCAATTATGACTGGCCAATGTTTTGACACCTTTTCTACAGCCAGTAATAATAATAACCATCTTACAGGCATAAGTCTAAAGAACATATTTTTTTTTCATTTATATAAATTTAGAATCTCATCATGTGCTTCTGCACATTTTGAGGAAATTGAAACATGAATAAAAGCTTTCATTATGTAATTCTCAATATCACAGGTAGACAAATCACTCCCCTTTTAGCAGTGTTGTATACAAGGAGTGCAGGGTATTTAGCAGGAGATATTTTTTGCATTTTCTTTGGTCAGAAGTTTATACATTGATTAAGTTTGTCAAAATTTATACTCACACTGTCTGCCAAACCTGCAGATAGATGAGTGTGGTAGGCAGAATAGTGGCCTCATAATGATGTTCAAGTCCTAATCCTTGGTACCTGTGAATATGTTATGTTACATGATAAAGAGAGATTAAGGTAGCAGATGGAATTAAGGTTGCTAATCAGATGACTATAAAATAGGAGATAATAGCCTGGATTATCCAGGCGGGCCCAATGTAATTATAGGGTCCTTTAAAGAGGGAAAGAGAAGACTTATGTCAGAGTGATGTGATGTATGAGACTCAAGCAGCCATTGGTTGCTTTGAAGATTAAGAAGGCCACTAGCATTACATAGTGGTAAAGGGATCAATTCAACAAGAAGAACTAACAATCCTAAATATATATGCACCCAACACAGGAGCGCCCAGATTTATAAAACAAGTTCTTAGAGACCTACAAAGAGACTTAGACTCCCACACAAAATAGTGGGAGATTTTAACAGCCCACTGTCAATATTAGGCAGATCATTGAGACAGAAAATTAACAAGGATATTCAGAACTTGAACTCAGCTCTGGATCAAGTGGACCTGATAGATATCTTCAGAACTCTCCACTGCAAAACAACAAAATATACATTCTTCTCAGTGCCACATGGCATGTTCTCTAAAATTGATCACATAATTGGAAGTAAACACTCCTCAGCAAATGCAAAAGAACTGAAATCTAACATATAATCTCTCCGAACACAGTGCAATCAATTTAGAAGTCAAGATTAAGAAACTCACTCAAAACCAGACAACTATATGGAAATTGAACAACCTGTCCCTGAATGACTCCTAAGTAAATCATGAAATTAAGGCAGAAATAAATAAGTTCTTTGAAACCAGTGAGAACAAAGATACAATGTACCAGAATCTCTGGGACACAGCTAAAGGAGTGTTAAGAGGGAAATTTATAGCACTAAATGCCCACATCAGAAAGCTAGAAAGATCTCAAATCGCCATCCTAACATCACAACTAAAAGAACTAGAGAATTAAAAGCAAACAAATCCAAAAGCTAGCAGAAGACAAGAAATAACTAAGATCAGAGTGGAACTGAAGGAGATAGAGACACAAAAAACCCTTCAAAAAATCAACGAGTCCAGGAGCTGGTTTTTGAAAAAAATAATAAAATAGACCACAAGCTAGACTAATAAAGTAGAAAAGAGAGAAGAATCAAATAGACACAATAAAAAATGATAAAGGGCATATCACCACTGACCCCACAGAAATACAAACAACCATCACAGAATACTATAAACACCTCTACACAAGTAAACTAGAAGATCTAAAAAAAACTGATAAATTCCTGGACACATACACCCTTCCAAGAGTAAACCAGGAGGAAGTCGAATCCCTGAATAGACCAATAAGTTCTGAAGTTGAGGCAGTAATAAAGAGCTTACCAACCAAAAAGTCTGGGGCCAGATGGATTTACAGCAGAATTCTACTAGAGGTACAAAGAGGAGCTGGTACCATTCCTTATGAAACTATTCCAAACAATTGAATATTGGGGACTTCTCCTTAACTTATCTTATGATGGCAGCAGCATCCTGACATCAAAACCTGGTAGAGATACAACGACAACAAAAAGAAAACTTCAGCCAATATCCCTGATGAACATTGATGTGAAAATCCTCAGTAAAATATGAGCAAACCGAATCCAGCAGTGCATCAAAAAGCTTATCCAATACGATCAAGTCAGCTTCGTCCCTGGGATGCAAGGCTGGTTAAACATACACAAATTAATAAATGTAAGTCATCACATAAACAGAACTAAAGACAAAAACCACATAATTATCTCAAAGGCCTTCAATAAAATTCAACCTCCCTTCATGTTAAAAACTCTCAATAAACTAGATATTGGTGGAACATATCTCAAAATAGTATGAGCCATTTATGACAAACCCACAACCAATATCATTCTGAATGGGCAAAAGCTGGAAGCATTCCCCTTGAAAACTGGCACAAGACAAGGATGCCCTCTCTTACCACTCCTATTCAACACAGTATTGGAAGTTCTGGCCAGCACAATCAGGTAAGAGAAAGAAATAAAGGGTATTCAAATTGGAAGAGAGGAAGTCAAACTGTCTCTGTTTGCAGATGACCTTATCTTATATCTAGAAAATCCCATTGTTTCAGCCTAAGAGCTCCTTAAGCTGATAAGCAACTGCAACAAAGTCTCAGGATACAAAATCAATGTACCAAAATCACAAGCATTCTTATACACCAACAATGAACAAGCAAAGAGCCAAATCATGAATGAACTCCCATTCACAACTGCTACAAAGAGAATAAAATACCTAGGAATATGGCTAACAAGGGATGTCAAGGATGTCTTCAAGGAGTACTACAAACCACTGCTCAAGGAATTAAGAGAGAACACAAACAAATGGAAAAACATTCCATGCTCATGGGTAGGAAGAATCAATATTGTGAAAATAGCCATACTGCCCAAAGTAATTTATAGATTCAGTGGTGTTCCCATTAAACTACTATTGACTTTCTTCACAGAATTAGAAAAAAAAAGCTTTAAAATTTATATAAAACGAAAAAAGAGTTGATATAGCTAAGACAATCCTAAGAAAAAAGAACAGAGATGGAGGTATCACATTACCTGACTTCAAACTATACTACAAGGCTACAATAACCAAAACAGCATGGTACTGGTATAAAAGACACATAGACCAATGGAACAAAATAGAGATCTCAGAAATAAGACCACCTATCTACAACCCTTTGATCTTTGACAAACCTGACAAAAACAAGCAATGGGAAAGGATTCCCTATTTAATAAATTGTGCTGGGAAAACTGGCTAGCCATATGCAGAAAAGAGAAATTGGACCCCTTCCTTACAGCTTATACAAACATTAAACTCAAGATGGATTAAAGACTGAAATGTGAAACCTAAAACTGTAAAAACCCTACAAGAAAATCTAGGCAATACCATTTGGGAAACAGCACAGGCAAAGATTTCATGAGAAAAGCAACAAAAGCAATTGCAACAAAAGCAAAAATTGACAAATGGGATCTAATTAAACTAAAGCGCTTCTGCATAGCAAATGAAACTATCATCAGAGTGAAGAAAAAACCTACAGAATGAGAGAAAATTTTTGCAATGTATGCATCTAACAAAGGCCTAATATCCAGAATCTACAAGGAACTTAAACAAATTTACAAGAAAAGGCCAAACAACCCCATCAGAATGTGGGCAAAGGACATGAACAGACACTTCTCAAGGAATACATTTACGTGGCCAAAAAACATATGAAGAAAAGCTCTATATCAGTGTTCATCAGAGAAATGCAAATCAATACCACAGTGAGATAACATCTCACGCCAGTCAGAATGGTGATTATTAAAAAGTCAAGACCAGCCTGACCAACTTGGTGAAACCATGTCTCTACTAAAAATATAAAAGTTATCCAGGCATGGTGGTGTGCACCTGTAATCCCATTTACTCAGGAGGCTGAGGCAGGAGAATCACTTGAACCCAGGAGGTGGAGGTTGCAATGAGCTGAGATTGCACCATTGCACTCCAGCCTGGGTGACAGAGTAAGACCCCATCTCAAAAAAAAAAAAAAAAAAAAAAAAAGAAAGTCAAGAAACAACCTGCTGGTAAGGCTGTGGATAAATAGGAACACATTTACACTGTTGGTGGGAATGTAAATTAGTTCAACGATTGTGGAAGACACTGTGGTGATTCCTCAAAGATCTAGAACCAGAAATACCATTTAACCCAGCAATTCCATTATAGGGTATATAATCAAAAGAATATTAAATCATTCTATTATAAAGATACATGCATGTGCATGTTCATTGCAGCACTATTCACAACAGCAAAGACATAGACTCAACCCAAATGCCCATCAATGATGCATTGGATGAAGAAAATATGGTATATTTACACCATGGAATACTATGCAGCCGTAAAAGGGAACAAGATAATGTTCTTTGCAAGGACGTGGGTGGAGCTGGAAGCCATTATCCTCAGCAAACTAACACAGGAACAGAAAACCAAACACCACATGTTCTCACTTATAAGTGGGAGCCCAACAATGAGAACACATAGACACAGGGAGGGGAACAACACACACTTGGGTCTGTCATGGGGGTGGAGGGAGGGAGAGCATTAGGATAAATGGCTAATACATACAGGGCATAATACCTAGGTGATGGGTTGGTAGGTGCAGCAAACCACTATGGCACATGTTTACCTATGTAAGGAACCTGTATGTCCTGCACATGTATGCTAGAACTTAAAAATAAATTACATTTTTTTTTTTTTTTTAAAAAGAGGCCACTAGAAGGTGGCCCCTAGAAGCTAGAAAGTCAAGAAAACCAATTCTCATCCTGGATGTTCTAGAAGGGAACTCAGCTCTTCTGGTACCTTTATTTTTAGCCTTGACCCCTTGGTTTTAATCAAGTGAAATCCATTTCAAACCTCTGGACCCCAGAACTGTAAGGGAATAAATTCATGTTGTTTTAAGCCACTACATTTGTGGTGATTTGTTACAGTAGCACCAGGAGACTAATACAATGAGCAAAGTCCAGTTATTATTTGGAAAAGATGCCAGCATTGTTTTGTGTTTTCGGTAGTTTCATAAAATGTTACGAGAATCTAGAAGATTATATGAAACTCAATTTTTGATACCAGAGCCACTAAGAACCAGGGTGAGCATTTTTTCATTATTGAGATACCTCTTGATATAGTGCAAAAAGCATGATTGTTAACAAGGTTTG
The DNA here is from genome assembly GCF_000001405.40 of Homo sapiens. Taxonomy (NCBI): domain Eukaryota; kingdom Metazoa; phylum Chordata; class Mammalia; order Primates; family Hominidae; genus Homo; species Homo sapiens. The sequence goes on from NC_000003.12 coordinate 174,748,795, forward strand.
ACTAAATCAGGTCTACAATGCAATAAGCCAACACATCTATTACCAACATTTTCTTATTTGCTTTCCTACATGGTTGTAACCTCTGAATTGGTAAATGTAATTTTATTCATTTTTATTAAAAAATAGTCAAGTTGAGTGTAGCATGCATATTTGTTCTTAAGGTATACCCATAAACTACTTCATTGGCTATTTTCAAAAATATTGGTGCCTTTGATGGAAATAATAATAATAAACAACCTTTGGCTAATTTAGAAAACTTGCCTGTTTCAGCCAGGACTTATAACATTTAATCTCCCTATATGCTTTCACATCCCCTGTTCTACCATGCCTAATCCCAATTTTCTCTCTGCCTATTGTGTAGGATGCTTTGTTGTGGTTACTTGCCTCTCTAAACCAGTTACATGTATCTTTCCATATGTCATTAAAATAATACGGTTGCTTGGGTGATGCTAGCATCTGTTTTGTAATCATTCTCATTTTCATCATTTGAACTCTTAGAAAACATAGCCACAATATTCAGAATGTTAAACTAGCATTACCTCAAGACAAAGCACATAGTAAATCCACAGGCAATGTCTAAAACGATTGTTAATGCTTATGATTAGAATGCACTTAGTTGAATACATAAATCACATCACTCACAATGATGCAAGAATGGATTTTCCATTTCTGTGAATGGCAGATTATGGTTGCCAATGATAGTAGTTAGGAAAAAAAAAAAACAGCAAAAAAGTGGATAATCTATGACATATCCATTTGAAGCTAAGTATAATAGAATGTTGCTTTTAGCCTCCATACTTGGGCTGTCATATGGGTTTTGTACTTTTCCCTTAAGGTTCTGCATCCATTGCTGAAAATTTTAATATTTTGCATTTTGAGGTGGGTTGGGTTTCCCAGGATGTAGGAATGTTAGTGCTAAAATCTGGACAATGCCATACAATCCTCACCCTAAGACTGGTAGATAGCTTTAGATATAATTGGCACTCAACATACCTAAGATGTAATTTTCTTTCCCGTATCTCTGCTTAAAATATATTTTCTGTCTTGCCATAGTGCACTAAGTTGATCAAACCAGAAACATGGGAATCATTATGTTAATGTCTCTTTCTCTAAACCCCTTTTCCAGAAATTATGAAGTGCTATGAAATTTTTAAAATTCTTCTTTATTTTTCATTTTATTTTCTGAACATGGACTGCCTTCCCATGGTTCCAAAAATTACAAATATAAATAGGTTTACAGAAAAAAGCCTATTTTCTTTCCACCGTGTCTCCAGTCTTTCCAGTTTTTGCCCAAGCTAAAGCAGTAATTACTATTGTTTGTTTTATATGCATCTTTATGGACATACATGCAAATACAGACTTTTAAAATGTTGTCCCACTTGGCAATAATCACTGCTATTTATAAAAGATAAGAATGGGCACTATATAGCAGTAAGAGATCTTTAGCAATTCTAAATTTTATCTGGGCAAATATCGCCAGCCTATTGTCCTAAAGTTAGGAAAATTACCTTGAATTAGGTCCTGGTTCTGCTCTTTGGATATGGCTTCCCAGTTTTTGTGCACCATGGATCTTGGCTTTATTCTCTTGAAGGATATTTCATTTCCATTCTTCTTCTTCTTCTTCTTCTTTTTTATTTTATTTTGTTTTTTTTGGAGACAGACTTCTGCTGCTGTTGCCCAGGCTGGCATGCAGTAGCACAATCTCCACTTACTGCAACTTCCACCTGCCAGGGGGTTCAAGTGATTCTCCTGCTTCAACCTCCTGAGTAGCTGGGATTAAAGGTGTGCGCCACCATACCTGGCTAATTTTTGTATTTTTAGTAGAGACAGGGTTTCACCATGTTGGCCAGGCTAGTCTCGAACTCCTGACCTCTGGTGATCCACCCGTCTCAGCCTCCCAAAGTGCTGGAATTACAGGTGTGAGCCACCGCACCCGGCCTATTATTCTTCTTAATTATGTAAATAAAGCATTGGAAAGTATCCACTCATTGCTCTCTTAGCAGCTTTCTCAATATACTTCCTGCCAATAGCAAGTTGGGAGCTTAGAGATCTTTCATATATCTCATACAGCTGCAGTCATTTTGCAAATACAGCGCTCTCAAAACCTTTTTTTTCTCTCAGTATGTTTGATTCCAGTCAGCCCTATATGCCAATTGTATGCATATATTCACATATATTCTATAAGTGCAATTATATTTTTATGTTTTCTTCAATTATAATAGTTGTACCTCTTCCTTTCCAAAATATATAATTTTTAAATCTTATTTATTTATTTTTGGCTGGTATCTCCAGTGGAATTACTGGAGTCAAATAATAGTGATGATAGTGTGCTTTTGCCTTATTTCTGGTTTTGTTGGTAATGCGTCTAGTGTTGCTTCATTAAGCACAACAGCAAATTTTGGGCCAATCCAGATATATTATATCATATGAAGGAAATTCTCATCTAATCCTATTTTATTGTGTATTTTAGTCCAAAATTGTTATGAAATTTTGACAGATTTTCAGCATATATGAAAAGAAATATTTTTGCAGAGGTCTATTAATATTATAAAAGTATTAATGTAAATTAATATCATAAAAGTTTATGGCCAGACGCAGTTGCTCACGTCTGTAATCCCAGCACTTTGGGAGGCCAAGGCGGGTGGATTACCTGAGGTCAGGAGTTCGAGACCAGCCTGGCCAACATGGTGAAACCCCATTTCTACTAAAAATACAAAAATTAGCCAGGCGTGGTGGCACACGCCTGTAATCCCAGCGACTCGGGTGGCTGAGGCAGGAGAATTGCTTGAGCCCGGGAGACTGAGGTTGCAGTGAGCCGAGATCGTGCCACTGCACTCCAGCCTTGCTGACAGAGCGAGACTTTGTCTCAAAAAAAAAAAAAAAAAGTTATTAATGGATTTCCTAGTATTGGAAATTCATTAATTCTTGGAGTAAAGCTCACTTGATCATGATGCATATCTAATAACTTTCATGTACGCTTACATTGTGTTTGCTAATAATATTTGACTTAGGATATTTCCTATGCTATTCATAAGTGATATTGACTTTAGAGATTATGTATGTATGTGTGTGTGTGTGTGTGCGCGTGCGCAATTTTATTGTACGAGGAGGGTTTCTTTAATTCATATTCTGGAAAATATTTTAGAAGCATTGGAATTGCCAGATTTTCTTTTATTTTTTTCTTTTTCTTTTTATTTTTTTTAGACACAGTCTCGCTCTGTTGCCCAGGCTGGAGTGCAGTGGCGTGATCTCGGCTCACTGCAAGCTCTGCCTCCCGGGTTCACGCCATTCTCCTGCCTCAGCCTCTCGAGTAGCTGGGACTATAGGCGCCCGCCACCATGCCCGGCTATTTTTGTATTTTCAGTAGAGACAGGGTTTCACCGTTTTAGCCAGGATGGTCTCAAATCTCCTGACCTCATGATCCACCTGTCTCGGCCTCCCAAAGTGCTGGGATTACAGGTGTGAGCCACCGCGCCCGGCCCAGATCTTTAAAGGTTTTAAAAAATTTTCCAGTGAGACCATCTTGGACTGCTGCTATTGCATTTATTAATTGACAATTTTATCCATTTCTCCTATGTAAATAAGTTTTTAGGTTTTTATCTCTTGAATTCAGTTTTGGTAAAGCACATTTTCTTAGAAAATTGTCTTCAGTTTGGGTTTTCAAATTTACTTGTATATTGTTTAGCAAAATAATTGATTATTACTCTTAAATTAACTCTGTGGGTTTCTTTAATCGTTTATAATTTATTTTTGTGTATTTCTATTTTATTTTAAAAAAAATAGGCCAGTGATTTTTTTTTTATTTCACATAACCAGCTTTCAGTTTTCTTCTTAACTCCTTTTCTTTTTTATCACTTTATTTTGGTTTTGTTTGTGTAATATCCCATTCCTTTTCTCTCTTGAAGTTAGCTGTGTAATTTATTTTTGTTAATTTTTTATGGATAAAATACTTGAGAATAGTAATTTCCTTAGCAATATGTTTAACTTTTAAGAATTGTATTTTGCAGAAGTAGGAGTCACATATTTCATACAAAAAATTTAGTTATGTGTAAAGATATAAAATAGCATGGCATCTTCTGCTACAGCTGAACATTTCAATGGGATACTAATGGTAGATTAAACTGAGCCAGATGATGGAAGGCCTATACACATTTAATAGTATGTATTCTAATAGTAACTTTTTCTATACATATAAGACTTGTGATAGATGTATGATTAACATTTTTATATTTGTGCATGTGTGTTTTGTGTACGTATCTCTAATAATTTGCTAACAAATTTACCTTCTTGTTGATCCCCTTTTTGCTTTCTTTCTTTCTTTTTTTTTGAGACAGAATTTCACTCTGACACCCAGGTTGAAGTGCAGTGGCTTCATCTCAAGCGATTCTCCTGCCTCAGCCTCCCAAGTAGCTGGTATTACAGGCATGCGCCACCATGCCTGGCTAATTTTTTTGTATTTTTATTAGAGTTGGGGTTTCACCCCATTGGCCTGGCTGGTCTCAATCCTCTGACCTCAGTTGATCCAGCCGCCTTGGCCTCCCAAAGTGCTGGGATTACAGGCATGAGCCACTGCTCCTGGTGATCCCCTTTTTTTCTTAAGGATTTTATTCTAAAATTAGTCAGGAGGATTAAATGACCATGGTAGTTTTGAACGTCCTTACTCTTTATAATCTTTAACTTCGTTTCCAAGTTTTACATTGGTGGCTTTAATTCTTTTGGTTTCTTGGGATATAGGCCAATATTGCATCTCAAGATCATACTTTTTAAAGTAGGAGTGATCTGGGAGACCAGACAGCTATGCAACTTCTGTCCACAGTGGGGAGGGGATGGGGGATAAGAAGGAATTAATGGCAGAATTGAATAGTATGTGTGAGAGAAAGCTTAGAGCTTAGTACGCCTCCTCTCTACCCAGCCAGTGGTCACCCTTTGTTTGTTCCAGCAAAGTCCCCACTATGCACTGAATTGTGTCCCTTCCAAATTCATATGTTGAAGTCCTAACCCCCAGTGTGATTGCACTTGGAGATGAGACTTTTGGAAAGTAATTAGGTTAAGATGAGGTCATGAGGGTGGGGCCCTCATAATGGGATTAGTGTCCTTGTCTGAAGAGACATCAGAGCTCTCTTTCTCTTCTTGAGATGAGAGGCCAAAATAAGGAAGTGGCAGTCTATAAACTAGGAAGAAAGCCCTCCCAGGAACCCAATTATGCTGACACCAGATCTCAACTTTTATCCTCCCAAACTGTGGGAAACAAATTCCTACTTTTAAACCCACCCAGTCTATGGTATTTTGTTATGGCAGCTTGAGCTAAGACATTCAATTTCATGTATGGAAGCCTCTGCTAACTGTTACGTCTTTTTTAAGGTAGTAAAAAGATTGTAGTTATTACCTTGGTAGGGATTCTAATGAGAAACTGGAAATACTAAGAAAATATTTTTTCTGTATTTTCTTTAAATATGCATATATGTTTTAAAAATGCATATCAGGAAGGTTACACAGAAGTATAATAAAATATGAATTTGTAAAATGTAATGAAAATATTTTATGGTTTAAATGCATAAATTATTTCACATTTAAATAAATTCTTAGAAATTCATTATTTTTTGTGAATGAAGATTAACAAAGTATAAAATAAGGAAAGTATATTTCCACGTATGCAAAATTACAGAGCTATCTTTTTTTTTTTTTTTTTTTTTAAAGAAACAAGGTCTTACTCTCTTGCCCAGGCTGGCCATTGTAGTTCATTGTAACCTGAAACTCTTGGGTTCAAGTGATCCTCCCACCTTGGCCTCTCAAAGCAGGCTACATCATGCCTGGGATCAAAGGAATAAACCACTGGATCCAGACTATGAGCTATTTTTTAAGATTGAGAATTTTGATTTGCTTGCTTAACATTAAGATGTGTTGTAGAATGGATTGAGTTGGAATATGAATATTATTAAAAGTGCTTACTTAGGGTTAACATCTATAATTGTGGTTTTTAATCTTTCTTTCAGTCTCATCCCACTCAAGAGCTGACACTCTCATTAATAATGGCAGCTAAATGCTTTATATCACTTAGTCCTTGCTACCATTCTTTGTGATAGGTTTTATTGTTTTCATTTTGCAATGAGAAAACAGAGTTAGAAAAGGTAAATACCTTTTTTAAGTTTATATAACTAGATTGTGGCAAAACTAAATTTATTCATACTTCATATGGTTAGGCTTTGTGTCCCCACCCAAATCTCGTCTTGAATTATAATCCCCATAATCCCCACTTGTCAAGGGAGAGACCCGGTGGAGGTGATTGGATCATGGAGGCGGTTTCCCTCATGCTGTTCTCGTAATAGTGAGTGAATTCTCATGAGATCTGATGTATTTATAAGTGTTTGGTACTTCCTCCTGCATTCATTCTCCTTCCTCTGCCTTTGAAGAAAGTGCCTGGCTTCCCCTTCATCTTCTGCCGTAATTGTAAGTTTCCCAAGGCCTCGTCAGCCATGCTGAGCTGAGTCAACTAAACCTCATTTTTTAAATAAATTACCCAGTCTCAGTGGTATTTCTTTATAGCAGTGTGAGAACGGGCTAGTACAATACTCTTAAGCATTGAATTAAGATTTTATAAGTATGTGGCTAATGAATGTCCTCATTTGGTCAGAAATCTGGTGAAATTAATATGTAACAAAGTTTTGTTTTTCCTTGATATTAACCTTGATACATTTCTGTGAAATAATAAATATACTCTTTAATAAAAAATTTCGAGCCACCTCTCCTTTGTCCTTAACATGTATATAGCTTGCCTTTTGAATACTCCAGTTCTGCATATTGCCAAAGAACTTCATAGAGCAAGCCACACTGTAGTTTCTCGAGAGAAGAGGGACACATTTCCTCTTTCCCAAAACTATTAGAATTTATTTCCTTATAACACTTATTGCATAAAATCGTAAATCAAAGAGTTCATCCTTGACTTCAATAAATGTCTAAGAGATTTAATCAAATTTAAGATGCTTACCTGATACATAATAGTTAGAACTTCTATTCAAAATATCTACTTCTCCATAGTTATCTTTTAATGTCTATGATTTCACTTGCTAATCGGTTCCCAATATGAATCTGCAAGGCTAGCTCTTTGCTTTTGCAATTTCTTTCTGCATAGGCCCATTGTGTAGGCAGAGGTTTTAAGCCCATAGCCTGCTGTGTTTATTGATCTATTTCTTAATAATTCCATATCAGGCAATCACACAATTCATGAACGGTCTGGGAGGGAAGAAACACACACATTACTATCAGCGGGAGACTGAAGTAGCCATGCATTTAGGGGCTCCACTAAGAATTTTAGCCTTGTCTGTATTACGTACAATGATTGTAAAGCACTGCAGTGAGACTTTTAAACAAATCAAAATTATAGCTTTCTTGTTCTAAAATACAAATGTTTCCTTAAGGAATCATTTTGGTATTTGTCTCAGGTTGTTTTCTTCTTCAGTTTGAATAGGATGTGAAATTTTCTAAGTCCAAATTAACCAACCAGTATTCAGTAATGTTCTGTCTTTGCTCTCAAATGTGCTTTTTCTATTTCGTGGCTCTGCTGAGTGTCTGGACTTCTCCTATATATTCTAGGCCAGGCAATATTCAGCTATTCCAGTGTCACCTCTGCTCCATCTACTGGAATAATTATATTTACTATGTACACTCTTTAGCAAAATCATTATTTTTATAATGGCTTTAAAAAAATTTCTGCAAAGCATGCTGCCAAATAGTATTAAGTTATTTAGTTAAATTGAGAAATCTCAGAGCAGAATTAAGATGAAACTATTAAATTAATCTTATCCAGTTTTGCCTAAATATATGCAGCCTGCACAGACTTCTGTCATGAACAGATAGAGATCTGCTTTGCACTGAGGGAGAAGCAGCACATAAGGTCAGAGAAGTAGGTGAATTTTGAAATAAAGCTGGTACACAGTAAAGATCTGCAGCACTTGATTTGCTCTGATTCCTGATCTCGCAGCCACAGTGACCTATTTGTTCTCATACATGCTCTGGCTTCTCATATCTTCTGGCCTTTGCACATGTTCTTCTTTCTTCTTAGATCCCCCTTCTCAACCATCCATATTTGAAAAACTTCTTTCTCCATTTTATAAGATTTTAAACAGTTCCTTTTACATATTTCTTGACACCTATAGACAAAAAAAACAAAACAAAACAAAACAAAACCTCACATTTTGGTGTCTCTGTAATGCCTGCAGTTTATTTCCATTTTAGCATTAATTGCAAAATAATTGTCAGTATGCAGTATTCATATCTGCCTTTCCTTCTAGACTCTAAACTCCTTGAATGCAACAAAATTTTGTGGTTGATGTTAATATTGTTGTTAGTTAGCATCAACTGCCTTTGCTAAGCAGAAGTAGTCCCAATATTTGAAGATCATTTTGCTTATGTACTCATGTCCAGAGAAGGTAAGACAAAGCACGTTTGTTCTGCATAAAAATATGTGAAAGATTTTGGGTAGGTGGTAGCAGTGAGACTAAGTACATGGATATCATGGCTGAGGTAGCCAATGAGCAAGGCTGGGGCATAATTGAGATGAGGAGGTGTTAAAGTGAAGGAGTACTCTGGTTAGATGCTCAGCCAGAGACTTGAACAACTAAGTATGACTTAGAAGCATTGGAAAACAAAAGAGATGCTTTGGTTTTCCTCAGTGTTGGCCTGAGATGAAAATAGAGATAACTTTTCTTTTTTTTTTTTAAGTTGGAGTCTCGCTCTGTCGCCCAGGCTGGAGTGCAGTGGCATGATCTCGGCTCACTGCAAAGTCCGCCTCCTGGGTTCCAGCGATTCTCCTGCCTCAGCCTACCAAGCAGCGGGGACTACAGGTACGCACCACCACGCCCAGCTAATTTTTGTATTTTATTTTATTTTTTTTTGTAGAGACAGGGTTTCACCATATTGGCCAGGCTGGTCTCGAACTCCTGACCTTGTGATCCACCCGCCTCAGCCTCCCAAAGTGCTAGGATTACAGGCGTGAGCCACTGTGCCCAGCCTAGAGATAACATTTCTAGTGATAGCCAGACATCTAGTTTACAGCAAAAATCTTAGGACTTGTAAAATACCTGGGACATAATGATACTTAGTGAATGAATGAATAAAGGTATGAATGATGGCTTCTTAGAAAAGTACAGGAATAGTGAGTAAAATAGTTGATTTTAACTTTTGTTTTCCAGAAATGGAAAGGCCTTTAAAATTAGCAAGGGAGTGAAAAGGCTCATATGAGCCTGGAGAGTTACCAACACTATTCTTTGCAGCTGCAGGAAGCAGAGAACTGCAGGTCATGAGTGCCAATCATTTGCCTTAAGACCCTCAACAACATAACCAGAACCAGCAAAGACCCCTGTCCTGGCTCCCTTTGGTACTCAAAAAGAGAAAACCATAGCATCTCCCTTCCACGTTTTAGAATATTTTCTTTCTTTCTAGGTAAAACACAAATTATGTTATGTATTTTACTTTTTCAAGAAGGCAGCAGGATTTAGTGACAGGAGGTCAGATGTTTGGAACCCTGTGCCAACATTTTCTCACTTTCATTGATTACCTTCAGAGTAATTAATGAAATAACATATACAACTAGCATAGAGTCAAATAAATAGTAAATGCTCAGTGATCATTCTCTTTCGTCCCTTAAATGTCATTGTACCCTTGGAATATGAAGTCATAAGCAATATTCCCAAGGGTAAATGTTGATAGAGTAGGTTAAGTACATGCAGAAGTGTTTGAGGGGAGCATCCTGAAGAGAGGATGAGTGCTTGTGAAAGGGAAGCCTCAGGCTTAGAAGATATTTTCCTCCTTCCCAGTTTTGCCTTAGGCTTGCCTTTGGAGTAGGCTTTTGCCTTACAATCGACTGTGGGGTAGCAGAAGGAAACCTGTCCAGGAATAGAGCTCTGTGCTTTTCCAGTCCCCCATTAAACTATGGAGATGTACCAGTTTGTTGAGCTTAGCAATCTTGTAATGTGGATGAATGTTCTTTGTCTAGGATGGGATAACAACTTCTTTTCATTGGATCATGAGAAAGCACATAGTTTTTTTATACTGCTGCATCCCTAGTTTAAAAAACAAATTTTGAACATTTTACAGTGAGATTAATTCTTTCCTAGTGGGCCTTATCCAGACTGTTTTTTAAATCTCTAAAATGGTTATTTCTATAATTTTTAACAGGTTTAAGAAAAATGTGTATGTAAATAATTATGCCAGCAAACATTCTATCTAGTTAAGATTGAAGTAGTTTCATCTACATACTTTTTTTTCTTTTGTTGGTAGAAAGCATAAGATTTGTTTCTCCAGAAATTTAGAATTAACTAGAAGAAATCTGTTTTGCATTTATGCTACCAAAATTATTTGTGTATTTTGGCAGCTGGAATTAGTCTCCTACTTGCCTTATTTTATAATGGCTGCACTGAATGCTGTGTTGTTAATTTGCATTCAGATACTTTATCTGGAGTGATTCAGATGTTTTAAATGGATTTGCTTTTAGATAGGAATAAAAAATCATGTACCCTTTTCACAATTTACATTAAAGACCCAGATACAAATTTGTTTGCCTGTGCAAACTCTTCCCTTGCTTTTTAAAAGACAAAATTCTCATTTCCCACCTAGATTGATTTGAACATGGTGCATTGCCTTATTAATTGGTAAAAATGCAGATCTAACGATGCTTGTGTTTCCTGCTTAAAGCATTTTTGTTAGCTCTTGCAAAAGAGGAGTATACAAAATGTAGAAGCAGGAATTATTTGTATTATACACTTTGGTGGATTAGAGGTTCATTGAAGATTAGTTTTCAATTAAAATATTTATCTTCAATGAATAGATCTGTTAGTAGAAGCTTAGAATTAGTACCAAACCAAATCTACTAACATGTTTCTTCTCTGATACTATCAAATACAATACAAATCACTTTTTTTTTTTTTTGAGATGGAGTCTTGCTCTTGTTGCCCAGGCTGGAGTGCAACGGCATTATCTTGGCTCCCTGCAACCTCCAACTTCCAGGTTCAAGTGATTCTCCTGCCTCAGCCTCCCGAGTAGCTGGGATTACAGGCACCTGCCACCACACCCAGCTAATTTTTGTATTTTCAGTAGACATGGGGTTTTGCCATGTTGGCCAGGCTGGTCTCGAACTCCTGACCTTGTGATCTGCCCGCCTCTGCCTCCCAAAGTGCTGGGATTACAGGCATGAGCCACTGTGCTCGGCCCACAAATCACTTTTATTTGGCTAATGTTTCACAGTACACAGAACATTCTCATGGATCTTATTTAATCTTTCCAGTCTCCTGTAAAGTAGATAGAGCAGGCAGTAATTTTCTTCCCATTTTATGTATGCAAGGAAACTGATTGTCTGAAGTATTAAGCAGCAAAAAAACAGTGGAAGAGCCACAGTAGGTACCCATAGGCCTAGTCATTCAGGTGTCTCCTCCATATCTCCATGCTGGTGAAGACCATTCATGGCACCACACTGCCATCATTCCTCTACTTGTTTGCAAAGAAACCTTCCCACCGAGGAGGAGTGATAGTAATTTTTCAGTGAAATATGAAAAGCCAGTTGAATTTCTTAACCTAGTGGTAAATTTTCCAGGTCAGCCAATACATAATAGAATACATTGGCTGGATTTGCTCATACAAAGGAACCATTCATTCATTTCATTCATTCAATGGAATACTGCAATAGGGACTGTGGACAGTCCAGACAAGTAAGCCCTAGATTTAGTGGGATTCTTTGATTTGTTTTTAGATTTATTCATGGTGGAGAATTTAATTACTGATATGTGATAGCATCACTGAGAGCAGGCAGCAGGATTTGTCAGGAAGGCAGGTCTCTACTGGATGGCCACTGAATGGCCTCTGCTAGGCTCTTGCTGTCCTTGTTGCTGCTTTCTTTGTGCATAGGTTAAGTTTATGATTCAGCCATTTCTAATGTGTTTGGCTGTGACTCGGAGTTGGTAATGTAATGAACATTAGCATTCATTTCTGTCTGAGAAGAAATTTGTCTTTGTCACAGCTAGTTAAACCAAACACTTGTTTTGAATTCGGTTCAATTACCTTAGTTGTTTCTTTCAATTTACTTCCAACTTTTATTCTTTGTGATTGTCCAAGTCTAGCAAATGGGGGACAAAGAGAAAAGAAATTGTCTTTTTTGGGCAAACCTAGTATGTGATCTTTTAATTCCTAATGATCCCCACACAGCTGATGCAGTACACAAGGATTATTCACAGGCCCATTAAACTTAACTTTCTCTTTGCAACCTCAGATCCAAAATCACTTCCATAGTAGTGCACCCTGTAGTCTATTCCCTAGTCTCACATGTCATATTGACTTTAAACCCTTCTACTTCTAAAGAAAATAATTGTTCCAAGTGAATGGTTCTATATGAAAATCTATTTCCGAGTGCCTAGCAGTATCTATCTTATAATGACAATTACATTTGATTATTCTGATTTGGCAATTTTCATGGAACCCCTAATTATGGAATATCTTTTTAAAGATTTTTAATATTTTCTTCACATAGATGATAATTAAAAAAACTAACAAAAGTTTGAATAGTAACTAGAAAACAGAAAGCTATTTTAAAATAAAGTCTTAAGTGTAAAATAAAATATAATTTAATGTCTTACAGTAGAAAAATAGTATATTAACTCCATATTACATGATACATAAAAATGGATCACTTACAAGGTTCTTGAAGCAAATTTCAGGAACGTAGATGACTTAGATTATCTGTGTAAATGGTCATATGTATTATGCTTAGCTAACCAAGAGAGTATAAAGGATCCTATTAGGTTGGCACAAAAGTTTTTGCAATTACTTTTTAAGAAAAATTTTTTTATTATTATACTTTAAGTTTTAGGGTACATGTACACAATGTGCAGGTTTGTTACATATGTATACATGTGCCATGTTGGTGTGCTGTACCCATTAACTCGTCATTTAGCATTAGGTATATCTCCAAATGCTAACCCTCCCCCCACCCCACGACAGTCCCTGGAGTGTGATGTTCTCCTTCCTGTGTCCACGTGTTCTCATTGTTCAGTTCCCACCTATGAGTGAGAACATGCGGTGTTTGGTTTTTTGTCCTTGTGATAGTTTTTTGCAATTACTTTTAATGGCAAAGCCTGCAATTGCTTTTGCACCAACCTAATGTTATATTTGAATTCTCTCATCTGTGCTGCTCTTTAGAAGCAAATAATGTTTAATATTTTAGAGTTATACATCTCTGGGCTGGTATGTTCAATGTCATGCCTTCCAAATCCATAGTTACATATATCATGTATTTTTTAAAGCTATATTGATATTGATTTTTTCTATTTTTTGATGAAATGAAACAATGTATCTGGGGAAGTGATTTTTTCTATACGTTTTCTTGCTTTTTTTTCTTTTGAGACGGAGTCTCGCTCTGTCACCCAGGCTGGAGTGCAGTGGCGCCATCTCAGCTCACTGCAAGCTCCCAGGTTCACGCCATTCTCCTGCCTCAGCCTCCCGAGCAACTGGGACTACAGGCACCCGCCACCACGCCTGGCTAATTTTTTGTATTTTTAGTAGAGACGGGGTTTCACCGTGTTAGCCAGGATGGTCTCGATCTCCTGACCTCGTGGTCCTCCCACCTCGGCCTCCCAAAGTGCTGGGATTACAGGCGTGAGCCACCGCGCCCAGCAGCATTCTTAATACTTGTTACCATGTTCCGTATAAAGCAAAACTTTACATTAAACATTTGATTCCATTAAATTAGCTCCTTTCCCTTCTTCCTGGGCTAGGATTAGGTCAATCCCAGCTATTTATGGAAAGAAGGGAGTGGAAAAAAATATTGAAATACTTGGAATTTCAGAGTGTTCTAAGTCAGACTTGGGGCCCCATGGTGGGTGATGTACTTCAAAATACAAAACATTGCCCCAGAGTCATCCTGAGGCAATTCTGCAGCATCAGCTTCTAGCATACTAAAACTTACTATTTAGAAAATCAGCGTGATGGGTATACTCATGAAATACCAAATAATAACTTTAATATTTGCAACTACAGTGCCAATAATAAAAAAAAATCTTAATTACATGGAGCTTGAAAAATTAAAACAATCAAGAACTTTTTTACAAAGATATCTTCTTAATAATTGAAATGTATCTTTATAATGTATAATTTACAACATAATATGTATCATTGACAATGTAATATTTGAAGCTTCTTGATGTAAGTGGGAAGTTACAAATAATAACTGTAAATAAAGGAGATGGAGCCACAATTTCAGCAAAAATTAATCAATGTACAGTTACTTTGCTCCTAGTTGTGTTTGAGTTACCACATTGGATCCTATTATGAACTCACTAAAATATTAGGTTAACCTTATTTTACTAAAAAAAAAAGTTCTGTATTAACCTGTAAATTTGACTATATCCTGAAAATAATTATGAATTGAAATTTCCAATCCTGTTCAGAGTGATATATGAATATAATAATTAATATGATGAAATTTCACAATTTTATGTACTGAAGAAGATTATTCAGATACAAAAATGTTGGCCGGGCGCAGTGGCTCATGCCTGTAATCCCAGCACTTTGGGAGGCTGAGGCAGGTAGATTATGAGGACAGGAATTCAAGACCAGCCTGACCAACATGGTGAAACCCTGTCTCTACTAAAAATACAAAAATTAGCTGGGCGTGGTGGTGCATACCTGTAATCCCAGCTACTTGGGAGGCTGAGGCAGGAGAATCGCTTGAACCCAGAAGGTAGAGGTTGCAGTGAACCGAGATTGCGCCACTGCACTCCATCCTGGGCTACAGAGCGAGACTCCATCTCAAAAAAAAAAAAAAAGACTAAAATGTTGAAGTAGCATTTCTCACCAACTCATTTTTTGATTGCAGCAGACAAAGTTCAGTGAATTTGCAATGTATCTAGTGTTAATGGGGTAGAAAATGAAAAATAACCATAAAAATGGTCAAGCTGATGAGAGTTGTAGAGTGAAATGATTTGAAATTGGATTTATAAAGATCTATACATCAGTTTTCTTTTCTGGTTAGAAAACTAAAACCAAAACAAAACAAAAAAAAAAAAACAAACAAAATTTAAAAAAGATTAAAGTCCCAAGCAGTTTTAAAGCCATAAAATTTTAGAAATGGTGTGTAACCAAAGTTAACCAATCAGCCTTCTTCCTCTTCCTATTTTAAATGAGGAAACTGAGGCTGAGAATGAGGAAATAAATCATAGAGTTTTTAAAGAAAAGACTGAAATCATATAGGTCAATCTGCTCTTTGTGATTCAGAGAGATTGAAAGATTTCAAAGGAACACAAAGGTATTTACTACCCAAGCCAGGACTATCCACTGGCCACTTTCTTTCTGCTATCAACTATTTTTTAAACCAAAATTTGGATTAAACATTATTCACTCACATGCTGGGTGCTGAGTAGAATGACCCAATGATAATTATTGTACCACAGCATGTACCTGTACTGCAGTTCATGATCTTTTGCTTCAATTCATAGTTTTAAGCTAGGTAACTTTTGTGTACCAAATGTACAATTCCCTTTCTTGGGACTTAAACAGCAAAAGGTGCCGGGTGCAGTGGCTTATGCCTGCACTTTGGGAGGTTGAGGCAGGTGGATCATGAGATCAAGAGATTGAGGCCATCCTGGCCAATATGGTGAAACCCTGTCTCTACTAAAAATACTAAAATTAGCCAGGTGTGGTGGTGTGCACCTGTAGTCCCAGCTACTTGGGAGGCTGAGGCAGGAGAATTACTTGAACCCAGGAGGTGTAGGTTGCAATGAGCCAAGATTGTGCCATTGCACTTCAGCCTGGCTACAGAGCGACACTCTGTCTCAAAATAAAAACAAACAAACAAAAATAAATAAAAAGCAAACAAAACAAATATCACACTGCTATTTGAAGATCAAGATTGAAAGTTAGCTCTTAAAGATGTATTTACAAAAACATTGATTATTAATAAAATTGGCTACCAGGTAATTTTTGGGTTAGATGAGAATAAGGACCTGTACTCTGGCAGTAATTGTGGGTTAGAGAGGAGGAGAGAAATAAGACAAATCATTAAACAGAAGTAGAAGAGAGGTGGACTTTTTATAGTATAAGTCCAACTAGAAACAACCAGGGAAAATTTATTTGTATGCTGAAAAATAATCTGAAGCAATTAGAGACAAACATTGTTACAGAGAACTTGGAAGTTATACATGTACATGTTACTTTCTACCTTTGTTTTTTTTTCTATTTCTGTGACAGCATTAAAATAATACAAAGAGACACTAAATAACCAAGAAAATAAAAGTCAACCAAGTGATTTCACTTAGACTGGATAAAATACACACAGAAATACACACACATACACACACACACACACACACGAGAGAGAGAGAGAGAGAGAGAGAGAGACAGAGAGAACAAGAGACAGTGGTTGGTTATTATAAAAGTTCAGTACTAGAACCCACTTAAAGATATTAGCTACTGCACCAAATTGGGAAGGTTATTTAAATAGTTGCAATGAGGAATACACATTTTTATTGTGAAATATTAGAGCTTATGTTGTCATCTAAAGTCTAGTAAGAACAAGTTTCATTACCAGCATAGAGAGAAAATGTTTAGTTTTATATTTATTACTAAATAAGTAATAGCATTCTTGTCTTCTTATCATATTTATCTCCTCTACTATCCTTGTCTCCTTGCACTTGGTTTTATGTTAGGTGGGCAGTTTCCTGTAGTTTTCCAGTTTTCAAAAACTTGCCATTTTCACTATGGGCCCTGAAGAGGTAGGTTATATATGAATACCAGTCATATTTGTTTCTTTTCTAGGTTAGTTGACAACAATGTTGCTTATCTTCAAGATCCTTAGGAGTGAATCCTTGTTATTTATTTTTTGAATACAGGATTTATTTTTTGAATACAGGATTTAGGGCAGCTTTGCAGATAATACAGGTTTTTATATTATTCAGTAGAATGCCATTTATTGACAAAATGATAACATGAGAAAGTGTTTGCATTATTTTTCATCACTTGAATTTTCACACCATACAACAGCTGCCTGTCAAAATGAATGTGATATCCTCACCTAACACTGTGCCAGTAAAAGAAATGATAGAGGAGCAAGAAAGTCCACTTAGTACTGTGCACCAAACTCTATGAGTAATTGACTGTTGCCGGCTTGAGTGATACACACAAAACCCTTGGAAACAGCAACCTTATTTTCACTGCTAGGTCTACCTAAGGACCATTTCAGATAAACACCCCTCAATAGTTTTAAAGATTTGGCATTTTGTTCACAATTTTCTAGATGATTAATGTGTTTCATTGGGAGCTCTAAAGGAAAGAGACTTCTGCTTTCTCTGGGGAATGCCTCTTTATACCACCTTTCCCTTTCTTATCCTATTTGGATGTCATTATTCAATGTTTGCATTCACTTCTGATATCATGTTACCTTATTGGGCTGGTTTTGTCTTCCAGAAATCAGTCACTGTACTTCCTTTGATGGGGCTGTTGACCCACGAGGCATGGAATTTTGAAGTGACCATTTTGAAGTAGTCATTTTAATGTGTCCTGACAGCTACTGGCATTTTTGATCTTCACCTTATCTCTCACTGGATCTTTGAGGGTCAATGCTTTCTTCAGTGTATCGCTCAGGCTCTTGCGAGGTGTGAGTCAGAAATGAAATACAGGTATGGGATGGGTGAAGGTGTCTGCTGTGCACATTATGTGTCAAGAAGCAAAGCTATAAACTTAATAGTTTCTTTTTCAGGCAACATCAAAGGGCACCTTCTTCAAAAGAGCCTTAACAAATGCCTGTACCATGTAGGCTACTACTATGACATCTGTTTTTGTTGTTATTTCTTTCTACTATTATCTTTATTTAAACACTAATTGCTTCTCTATTATAGAATTGGAATCTTTTTATCTGTTGTAGATTTAGAGTTCTACCTTTGCCTTATTTATTTAACAAATATTTATTGAGTAACTACCTTGGAGCAGGCATTATTCTAGGTAGTTGGCACATATCAGGGAACATAACCAGCAAAATTTCTTGCCCTTTGAGAGCTTACATTCTAGTAGGGGTTAGATATACAATAATATATTGAGGACTAAGCAGGCTGAAATTTCTTTACTATCTGCGGATCTTGGGCAGAGCCTGCATGGACAGCTGTGCATTTTGTGCCCTACACAATTCCTGGGTGTGCCATTCACCTATTGTCCATGTGAATGGCACTGCCTAGAATTGTGTCATGGACAACCTGTGCAGCCCTGGGTGGTAGCCCTGGTGTTGCACCAGGTTTAGGCAGAGGTAACAGCCTTTGGTTCAGTCTCATATGGCCTCCTGAGAGTGAATAGGCCTGAGTTTTCTGAGGGATTTGGTTGAAAGATTGGTGAAAATTAGCACAACTGAGCACTTCAGTGGTTACAACTAATATAATTAACAGTTGATTGCAATGAAGCACAGAGTCGATTTAATAATAAATGATATCAGAGCAGATTAGACCTTTCAAATCTTCCTATATCCTGTTAGGAAACATAATCAAGTTTGTTGCATGGTTAAGTTTTCTGTCTAGTGTGAGATTCTTTTATTAATAGTTACCCTTACCAGACTTTTACCAGGAAACACATCACTCTAAACTTAATTACAAAACTGCCTTTATCAGGTGATATCACCTGGATCTAACATTCATGTTCCGAGGAGAATTTCTTATTGCCCATTAAATATCATCATGCTGTAGCACTCAAACGTTATATGGTGTCTACTAGATAGGCTCTTGCCAGTCACTGTCCACTGATGTTATGACGCTCACAGGAAGCTATTCACTAGCTTACCCACGCCAGAAGGATTGACCTAAGTAATGGGGCCATGGCTTACCACATTTACGTACAAGAGACAGTGCCTGATATTGGGACATGTTCATGTAAATGAACTTTCTCTTGGAGCTTTTATTTTCTGGTTCTATTTTCTCAATTCTCCAAAAATAGATTATCAGGAATATCTAAACTCAGAACAACTGCTTATCCTTTTTTATATGTTTATATGTTTGTTTTCCTGTGAAGTTCCTCATAGAGAGTTGAATGAATGAGCAAAGAATGCAAAGAGAGTTGTTCCATTGAATGCGAAGTACAAGAGGTTATGTCAATGTTCAAAACTGAGAGGTTTGTGGTTACAATCTAAGCCAGCAAATAGAGTAGCTGAAAATTTAACAGAAATACGTAAGTGAAGAGGCCTATTAGAAACTGTTACCTCAATTCGAATATGTGACATTTTGATGTAGGTTAAATAAACGTACTAGGAGAAGCAAGTCACCCAAGCAAGTTGGTGGAGGTGGGGAAAAGAGGTTTTGGAGAACATAGAAACCCTTTCTGGCAAGTTATAACTTATTTACTTTAGTGTTAGTAATTTCGTTTTGCTTTCTTTGAGTTGGAGGATGATAAATTGTTTTGGAGAGGAAGTGTTTTTACTGGCAGTCAATTCAGTGAGTAAATCATATCATGAATTCTTTTATACTTAAGTAAAATTGGATAATATATAATAATATCTTTAGCTGGGAGGCAGTACAACTTAGTGGTTAAGAACATAACCTTTTGAGTGAGATAGAGCTGGGTTTGTGCTTTAACTCTGCTAGTTATTTTTGATTACCTTTGGCATTAACTCTGAGCCTAGTCTTTTCATTTATAAAGTAGAAATTTTAGTCCATAATGTAGGTATGTTCTGTGGATGAAGTCAAGTAATATAAGGCACCAACTCCAGTGCTTGACTCAAATGACATGCTAAGTTGTTGCAATTACAACTATTTACTTATTTGGAGATACATTTAGTAGTTTTAAAAAATAATCCCTTTTTATCAAGGAACAAATTAGGCAGATTATACCTTTTTGTCTATGACATGAGCAGATTATAAAATATGGTTAAAAGTTTGAATAAATTTGCTAATCAAAAAGGACTGGTTTTTCTTGGTGAAAAGAGTTTTTAAATAGTTCTTTTAATTATTGCCTTATGCCAATACCAGAAAATCATACATTTGATTGAAGTTTTGTACTTTATTGTCATATAATTGAACTTTTAGAAGTGCTTGCTTGTATCTCTATTTTGATTTTTAATTTTGCCACTGATTTTTTAAGTCCTTTGTATTCACAATTTAATGCTATTATACATTTAATAAGTTAATATAGTATGCCTTTAATTTCATTAACTTATCGCTATGGGTTGCTTTTCTTTTTTTCTTTTTAAAATTTCAGGTTGAATGGTTAACATTGATTTATTTTAATATTTATTTTAAAATAGAAGCAGTTAAATATATAAAATAACATCTAACTTTGGTTCCTTGAATAAGCACTGGAAGATAATTTTTTAAATGTTCCATTTTCGCTAGTCTATATTATTTCCTTTGATGCCTTATTTTGTGGTTCCTATGGTTTTATTGTTATTGTCTCTGATATTTGTTATTCAATATTCAAATGCATTTTAAACTTGTAGTTATATTATGCTGCTTACAGAAAATGCAGCCTAAAACCTTGTTGTTCAGGTATAGTTTTTTTTCTGTTTTTCTTTTTTCACCTGCGTGGTATGATAAAGGTTAAATCTTAGTCATGTTTTAGCATATTTGTGAAAGAATTTCCTGCCTGTGTTGTTTGAGTGAGGTGAGGAATTCAGTTACACATGTAAACTACTTTTTATAAAATATGTATTTAAGTAATTATTAGCATACCTAGTAATCTTTTTTCCTTACTATTACAAATATTTTAAAGGGAGAAAGCGTCTGGATTTATTAAGGACAATAGCTGGAGTATTAGAACATTCTAAATTATTTTTATTTTTATTTTATTATACCTTTCATTTTTATATTTTATATGATTTGCCCTCTATCATAAAAATACAATGAAAAAGGCACAGAAAATACAATTTGGAAATTTCTATATTCTGTTTTCTCCAGTAACATATTTTTTTTCTTCTAAAGGGCCTTCATGTCACACTTTTGAAAACAATTAAAAGTTTTTTTCTCTTTTCTTATATATTCTTTAATTTTATTTATTTCTTTAAAAACATTATTTTAAAAATAGCTACAATGTTTATACCAGATCTAAACCCTGTTGCCTGTTTTCTTACTATAGATGTTAAAAATCTTTTGGGTTTTCAATAACCAAATTTTAGGTCATAGAGGCCTCCATATTTTTGGCATAAGATAGTTATATATGCTTTTTCACAAATAATACAATATATAATATTAGATGCCCATCTTTAGAAATTGCATATCAATGATGAAATTTTCTATGAATTAATATTTAAAACAAGAAGTAATCTGTTATGTCATATCCATCAACTCTTTCAGCAAAATTGTAACTCTTACAGACACTCATGTACACAAACACACATGCATGTACATGAAGAGAACTGTACAAATAATACACAAGCTTGTCTCAGAAATATTCTGACTGTGAGTTAAAACAAAGGGAATAAAAACTTGATATTAGACTTTATCTGCACTCATGGTGCCTGTCAATTTAGAATAGGATCTAATAGGTGACAAAAGTGATATGTAACCAATTTTTATCAGAGTAAACAAATATAAAGATGTTAAATTGGTGAGAACAGTACTGCCTTGGAGTTCTGAAGGCCTGAATTCTATTTTTTGGTGAACTTGGGTTATTCTGTTACTTCTCATTTGTGAATAGGTATGATTGGTAATCTTTTATAGGTTAATTGATTGTATTAGTGAAAAAGCAATGCAAAATGCGAGCTAACATAATTCAGTAGGTTTTTGTCTTAAGGAATACATAAGTTCTATTGAGAAATAAATATTTTTTGGTGGCTCACGCCTGTAATCCCAGCACTTTGGGAGGCCGAGGTGGGCGGATCACGAGGTCAGGAGATCGAGACCATCCTGGCTAACACGGTGAAAACCCGTCTCTACTAAATGTACAAAAAATTAGCTGGGCTTGGTGGTGGGCACCTGCAGTCCCAGCTACTCAGGAGGCTGAGGCAGGAGAATGGCGTGAACCGGGAGGCAGAGCTTGCGGTGAGCCGAGATCGTGCCACTACACTCCATGCACTCCAGCCTGGGCGACAGCAAGACTCGGTCTAACAAAAAAAAAAAAGAAAAAAAAAGAAATACGTATTTTTTATTTCAATTGTTTATGGGTACTTAAAATTGTTAACTCATAGTTTTACTATTCCTTTTGTCACAATTTTCCAAGTTATATGTAGGAATCAAGCCTTTTTGTTAAAAGATAATAATTGATAAGTTTCAGTCTGAGCTTTGTCCAAACTAGAATTAATATACAAATTATGAAGTCTGAATTACTGAATTTCTTCGATGTTCAAATATCTGGGTGTCTATTTCTATTACTTTGATCATTCATTCATTGTGCTTTCTAAATTAAATACATTCTGCCACCCAACACACTTTTGGGTATCAAGGATATAGATTAGAGGCAAAGCATCTGATCTCTAATGGAAGAGATATAAACATTTACATTTAATTGAAATACACAAAATTCAGAGTAAAATCAAAGTATAATAAGAGCACCTCCACTGTATCTGAGGAGTTAGGTAAGGCTTCAAGCTAGAGGTGATCACAGAAGTATATATTGATAGAAAATAACTAGCTTCTATTGAGTGCAATACGAGGTTTTACCCAACAGAAGTGCAGTACTAGGGACATGGTTGTTACTGAATGAGGAAAAGATAGGGAGGGTAATGTGCTGAGGTACAAAGGCATACAAGAGCATGGCTTGGTTAGGGTGTAGAGAGACACTGGGTATTGCTAATGTGTCGGGTGCATGAGCTTTGGTAAAGGAATGGCGAAACATGCACATCGTAGAAAGAAGTAAATTGGAGCCTGATCCTAGGGATTTCTGTGTTTTGCTAAAATGTTTAGATTCCATTCTACACACAAACTAGACCCAAAAGATGCATGGAAGTAGGAGAGTGAAAGCTCTGACTTACTGTTTAGAAAGGTATCCATGAGTATGGTACAGGGGAAGAAACTACTGGAGTGATTATTGTAAGAATACAAGGTAATCAAACTCTGATGGAATTTTGTGGGGAGACTTAAGTGGAAAATTTCAGACATTTTTAGGGTAAAACTGACAATGACTAACTGGCTTTGAAAAGTGATGGAGAAATAAGGAAAAGGTTATTCACTTTATGCACATACTCAACTGTTCATTCTTACTCTTATCAAACATATGTGATCAGGCATTGCTCTAGGTATGGGAGATACAAAGACAAATCAGACACATTTTTTTTGTCCCTAAAAAGCTTATTGCTTGGTGTTTTTCTCAGGGACATTTTAGTTTTGATGATCATTGGTAATTGATGAATATTTTTCTGATACAAAGGAAATGACTAAGCTTTCCCAAAATATAGAAATAAATCAGTGGGTTAATTCTAATTATTTTCTTGAAATCTTCAGTCCTTTGTAATTAATATATTCAATGTCATTGGACTAGGATGCTACTCTCTGTTTCTACCTAAATGACTTAGAAAATAAAAATATGTGTGTAGGGTTTTTCCAGCATAATTTATTACTACATTGGAGAAAAAGAGAAATGTATTACCTCCCAGATTTTCACTGTGGTTTTATTTTTAAAAATTGTAGATTTAAATTGAGTGGAGAGGATGTTAATTGGTGTGCAGATTTCAAAAAATTGTCTATAATAGGATGCTAATTGGTGTTTTCCTTAAAGAATGAATTTAAGGAAATGTGATTTGAAAAGTGTAGTGCTCTTAATCTCACTGATCCAAGTAGCAGAGACTATTGATTAAATAAAATAAGCAGTTTTGATTGTTTAACTGCAGGCCCCATTCTGAGAAACCAGAATTAAATGGTGGTAATAATTACATGACTTAAAACATCATAATAACTCTGACCTAACTATAGGTGTACTCTTATAAAGATTAACTCATTAATTTACGTGAATGAAGTCTGCGTTCTGGTATTGATAGGTGCAGACAGACACAAAATGATATAGTAGGTGAAAGTTAAGGTGGAAACACAAGAGAGGAACCCATGAAACAATTGTGAAATGACCTTGTTCATGTCAGTATCATCTTCTGATATAAAGTTCTAAAGTGCAATCTGACAGAGAATGTGGCAAAAATCAAACATTAGGATGTTGTGCACTCTAGAGAGTAATTCTAAAAGGTGTTAAAGGAATTAAAAAATACAGGGATGCCATCAGTCCAGTTCTGAATGGCAGCTAATATATGAAATTATGGAGGAATATGTAAGATGGAATAGCCATATAGTCTGGGAATAGTGAGAACAAAAATAATGCTGAGACACAGGAGAGTATGAAAGCTGTGTGTGCTGACCTAAAGTGACAGCAGTCATGCAGATAATTACAAAAGAGAAGGACAGGTGACAGAGAGTGAATGGAAAGAAGGATGGGTCTTGAGAAGTCTATTCAGTAATAGAGGTCCTTGGAGAGACCAAAGTGGCTCTCAGGCCTGTTAAAGTATAGAAATAGAGAGGAGAAGGTATCCTTGGAATAAAGACAATATCCCACAAGCTAAAAAACTTTTCTCTTTCCTGTTGTTAGTTAATTGAGAGGTGTGAACCCAATTCAACATCACAGTGGAAGCCTAGTGTATAATCAAAGACAGACAATGGAGTGATCTACCCACGAATTCTGCAAGGACTGAGCTTGAGTTTGCCATCTGAGATCCTGGGGAAGAGGGCTTAGATGATAGACTCTCCATCCCTTTAACTGAGAATAAGGTATACTCCATGCTAGTGATGAGACTTTCATAGAAGTGGTAGCTTAGGCAGAACTATGAACATATCTAGTTAAAGTTTGTGGTGTGTGCCTTCAAGATATACTTAAATTTTTATGTTTAGGGTTCCAGAGAATAAATGTCTATCTCATATATCAAATATTTCCAGGAGTTATGAGGGGAGAAACTAGCGGTAAGTGGGCAAGAGAAAGCTTTCCATCAACACTTATTTTGCGTTTTAGAGTACCCAACGTTTAAAGTGATGCACAGTATTGTTAAATTCTTTCCTTTGAGAGCCTCACGTTAGGTAGGTGTACTTACTTTAAATAGTCCAACAATGATTGTCCCTTTATTTCTTCCCTCCTCTCAGTTCTAGCTGCTGAAGTGATGGAGAGTGAGAGAGTGGATGAGAGGAGTAATGAGCACATTTCTCTTAACTTTGTAAATTTGAAATTCTTTCTTTTTCAGTTTCTATTTCCCCTCTATCACTGAATTTTCATGATTGCCTTATGAAGCAAGTGTCTTAAGACCTCTTCCATTGGGTACACTTATGAGTTATTCACAAGCCTTTCCATTATCTCTCTACTGTACTCTTTTCACTATCCCACTTTCCTTGCTTCCAGTACTATTCCTCTAACCCACAGCTCCTAGTTGTTGGAATCCCTTTGCCCTGCATATGGCCTTCTTATATGGGATTATAACCAATAGATACTACCTTAGCTACCCTCTGTGGCATTCATGTGGTCCATCAGAAGCTCATAAATTCTCACCATGTCAAATGGTGGAAATGTGCCCTATCATAGTTCTACCATCTCTCTGCAGTCCTCTTTCTCTACTTCTTAGGTAGACTCACGTGCAAATCTGCTGGCTAACTGCCCAAATAGACATCTAACTAGGGAATGAAAATGCCTGAATCCCTTTCCTGAGGGGACCCCTTAGAGTTGGTCAGCCATACCTTCACATCTTGACTTCGAGGAGAAACAACAGCCTTTAATAATGAACCAGTACATCCCAGAAGACAGAGGACTTGAGGACAACCCTGTTTCTTCACAGATTCTACAGAGGAAGTGTCACGATAGTTGGTAGTTGCAGTGACAGTTTGGCCTCATCTTACTAAGTACATGTCTTTTTCCTGCTTTAGCAGACCCATGGGGAGTTTTCTTTAAATGGGGGAATACTTAGCATCTTTGGCAGTTCTGCACCAAGAGGAAAAGTCACATGACATGCTGTTGCAGGTACATACTTACATACACACCTACAAATACAGTAGATTCTGAACATCTTCAGCTATTTTAATCACAAAAGTAATAGAAATGTAAACTTCTAAGTAATGAGAGATCATGCTCTCAGAGAGCCTTGGCTTTTCACTTTGCCCAACCTCAGGTTAAAACCTTATGATTACACTTTATCTGGATTTAATTTAATGATTTTACATACTTGGCTGTTGGTTTTTACTTCAGTTCTCACAAACGGAAAAGTTAGGCTGTTCTGCTTGTACCCTTGGAAATGACAACTGTCAGTAAAAGATGGACACATGTCTTCGCACAGTTCCTGAGTGCCACTGTTATGAGTATAATCTGTTTAGAAAAATAGGAAAGTATACATAAAAATGCTTTACTAGTATATATATACATATATATGCTTTAATGACCCTATTGAGATAATTTATATAATATGATATTCATGTATTTGAAGTATGCAGTTCAGTGGTTTTTATTATATTCACATAGTGCAACCATTATAACAATTTAATTTTAGAACATCTTTCTCACCTCCCCTAAAAAAAATCCCACATCCATTAGCAGTCACTCCCCATCTCCTCATAACTCTAGCCTCTGCAAACCACTAATCTACTTTCTGTCTCTATAGTTTTGCCTATTCTGGATATTCATAAAAGTGGAATAACAATACAATATGCAGTCTTTGTTGGCTGGCTTGTTTCAGTTGGCATGTGTTTTCAAGTTTCATCCATGATATAGCATGTATCAGTATTTTATTAATTTTACTGCTGAAAAATATTACAAATCACTTGTAAAACCTTTCTATTGCAAGTTGGGTTCTCCAGGAAAAATTGTAGAAATGCAGTTAAGCATGCAAATGTTTTATTAGTAAACCAATGGCTTGTTAAAGGAAAAGAGTGGAAGCAGGATTGAATAAGTCCCTCAGGCCACAGTGCAGATCTCCCCACAGGGTCCTCCAGAACAAAGGTTGTCCACTGGAGGAATCCTCCACTGGGAGGAAATGACCAGGCTTTTGTAGTCCTCCCTTGCACAGTTGTTGGCCAGGACTTGCCCTGATAATAAGGTGACCTCAGCTGGAATTTGAGGCAGAACCAGATAAAGTTATCAGCTGTTACCTCACCACATTCCTTGCAGCTGGACACGAAGTCTTTCCGTAAAGGGCAATCTGAGTGTTATACGTAACAAATATGGCTAAAATAAGCACCTCTGAAAAACAGCTTTAGTTATCTGGACATAGACACTGAGGATGCTGACTTTAAAATGTCCTACTATTGCATATTTATTTGTTGTCTTCTTTCCCACAGCAGTTTTTTGAAGCAGAAGCTGTTACTGTTTTCCTTTTATGTCAACTTTCTTCAAATAAGAATCTTTATACACAATGGGAACTCAATAAATGTTGTTGGTTGACAAGCCTAGCCAAGCAAGACAAATATTTCTTATTTAAACCTGAAGTTTTTCTCTTTTGGCATGCAATAAAACAGCCCAATACCTCCCTAACATCAACAATACTCTAAGAAGTTCTGTAGGATTACAAAATGCATGAAAATTGGCCTGAGGCTGTTGAGTGACTTCGCAAAGTGTATACGATCTGGGTAATGATATCAGAAATAGAAACCATGACCACTCACAGCACACTCATCCAGCAGTGAATGGCCCTGTTTAGGTAATAAACTTTACAGACTCACAATTCTGTAAACGCCACACCTCCACAGTTCCAGAGACACTTCTTATTGAAATCTTATGAATAACATTGAGCCATATACTCTATCGAGTCCCTGGGTGGTGCCTGAAACCTTCCCAAATTCTGCATACCTCATTGTGAATTAGGAAACTAATCTGTACTCCATTAGCCATGAAATTTGCCACTTAGAAAACTACATATTCATAATTTGGGAACTTGTAATGATACATTATAACTGACAGATGATCAGTTATATTGCTCAGGCACATATTGCTTTTAGTTTTACTTATTGAAGATAGAAGATATTTCACTTATTTTCATGAAGAATTCTTATATACTTTTTACGAATCATGGTGGCAGTGTGATAAAATTAAGAAATTCCATTGATTCTGTTATGAATAACTTCATTGCTCACCATGCATGACAAAGCTGCATTGTTTGCACATAATACACATATTTAAAGGCATAATTCAGTTCCGAGTGCACAGAACATTGTGTGACCATAGAGAAAGCCTTTTAAAAATTCTTCCCTTAAATTCTTTTGGGGTAAAATCAATGGCAACAGCATTGGGAAGTAGTGGAAAGCTATATATAATGAGTAATTAACTAAGTTTATTGCTTTATAGACTTTAATTTTAATCACAAGAATAAGTAAAATGACTGTGTGCATTTGTCAACTATCATAATCTTTTCAAGGGACAGAATACAACAATTTCCTCCTTGATATTTTGGACACCAGCCCAGAAACCACTGTCTAATCACCTTGTATGGAATTCCTCTTTCTAAAATATACATTAAATCAGCAGAATATTTTGAATGACATGTGCATGTATTTTATAGTTCATTTTAATTAAAATGTAGGTAATGTGTAAAAAATCATACCACCTTTTGCCACCAAGTGTCCTTCTTCCTCTGTTCTAACACAAATAAAGTCATGAAAATTATAAGTAAAACTGGATTTCAAGACCCTAAAATGATTTAAAAGTTTGAAAATATTTTAAAAATGTATTTCTAGTTGGAACCTAATTGTAATTGGTTTTAAGATACTTTTGAACTGGTTATATATCATCAAAATTTCTGGTCTTTAGAGGAGGCCTTGCTACAATTTTTACTTAAAAAGTTCATCAGCTGTTAGAGGGGGATAAACAAAAGTACATATCTTGAAGATGATGAAAGTCACTTTCTTAATAATTTAATGTAGACATGAATAATGCTACATATCTGCAGTGGGAACACACTAACATGGCTGTTAAATTGCACTATTCTTTCTGTCTGGATGAGAAGATTTCCTTAATGACTTAAAAGAAATGAAAAATATAGCCAACAGATATCTCAATTCTGAACTGGCTCTGTTCAACAAGGAGCTTAGTTCATCTACTGTTTCTACTGAACCTCTCCTTTCCACATATACATGCATAAGCAAACCATCCTCTATCTTCATGGTTCAAGTCTTCATTGTCAATTTTCTTGTGAAAAGTTGGCTGGCAACTATAAGGAAAATCAAGCTAGTCTTTAGAATATCAGAAAGTCATCTAAAAATGCACATAGAGTACAGTATTAGGAATAAATATGCATATCTTTTAGGGATGATATAGTACTAGCATTCCAATGCTATGACAATTACACAGATTTTAAAACTTCTATTTCATGAATACTTATTATATGCCTACTGGTATTATGCTAGATACTATGCTATGTCCCAAGTAGAGAGACATTCTAGACTTTCCATGATCTCAAAATAATGTTGAACTCTGTCCTCAATGCCAAAGTTTAGGATGGACTCTAAGTTTTAAGTGTCCATAATAAGGGAGGGCTTGGAACTTATCTTGATTAATGGGGATATTCAGCTTGGTCAAGATAAAACTTCTCATCATATAATATGTCATAAGACATGTGATATCTATTATACACAAGCAGGCAGAACCTTAGGGTAATTATGAAGGGTTTACATGATGAAGAGCCTCATTTCAAGAACTAGTACAAAATTGTTCAACTTTGAAAGAGGGATTTTTATTCATTCCACAGAGATTTACTAGGGCTACTCTGCACCAGGTTTGGGTTAGGATGTTATTTATTTATTTATTTATGTTTATTACACTTTAAGTTCTGGGATACATGTGCAGAACGTGCAGGTTTGTTACATGGGTATACATGTGCCATGGTGGTTTGCTGCATAAACCTGTCATCTACATTGTGTATGTCTCCTAATGCTATCCCTCTCCTAGACCCCCACCCTGCAACAGGACCCCGTGTGTGATGTTCCCCTCCCTGTGTCCATATGTTCTCATTGTTCAACTCCTACTTCTGAGTGAGAATATGTAGTGTCTGGTTTTCTGTTCCTGTGTTAGTTTGCTGAAAATGATGGTTTCCAGCTTCACCCATGCCCCTGCAAAGGACATGAACTGATCCTTTTCTATGGCTGCATAGTATTCCATGGTGTATATGTGCCACATTTTCTTTATTCAGTCTATCATTGATAGGCATTTGTGTTGGCTCCAAGTCTTTGCTATTGTGAACAGTGCCACAGTAAACATATGTGTGCATGTGTCTTTATAGTAGAATGATTTATAATACTTTGGGTATACACCCAGTAATGGGATTGCTGGGTCAAATGGTATTTCTAGTTCTAGATCCTTGAGGAATTGCCACACTGTCTTCCACAATGGTTGAACTAATTTACACTCTCACCAACATTGTAAAAGTGTTCCTATTTTTCCACATTCTCTCCAGCATCTGTTGTTTCCTGACTTTTTAATGACAGCCATTCTAACTGGCGTGAGATGGTATCTCATTGTGGTTTTGATTTGCATTTCTCTAATGACCAGTGATGATGAGCTTTTTTTCATATGTTTGTTGGCTGCATAAATGTCTTCTTTTGAGAAGTGTCTGTGCATATCCTTTGTCCACTTTTGATGGGGTTGTTTTTTTCTTGTAAATTTGTTTAAGTTCTTTGTAGATTCTGGACATAAGCCCTTTATCAGATGGATAGATTGCAAAAATGTTCTCCCATTCTGTAGATTGCCTATTCACTCTGATGATAGTTTCTTTTACTGTGCAGAAGCTCTTCAGTTTAATTAGATCCCATTTGTCAATTTTGGCTTTTGTTGCCATTGCTTTTGGTGTTTTAGTCATGAAGTCTTTGCCTATGCCTATGTCCTGAATGGTATTGCCTATGTTTTATTCTAGGCTTTTACGGCTTTAGGTCTTACGTTTAAGTCTTTAATCCATCTTGAGTTAATTTTTGTATAGGTGTTAAAAAGGGATCCAGTTTCAGTTTTCTGCATATGGCTAGACAGTTTTTCCAACACCATTTATTAAATAGAAAATCCTTTCCCCATTGCTTGTTTTTGTCAGGTGTGTCAAAGATCAGATGGTTGTAGATGTGTGGTGTTATTTCTTAGGTTTCTCTTCTGTTACATTGGTCTACATATGTGTTTTGGTACCAATACCATGCTGTTTTGGTTACTGTAGCCTTGTAGTATAGTTTGAAGTCAGGTAGCTTGATGCCTCCAGCTTTGTTCTTTTGCTTAGGGTTGTCTTGGCTATACAGGTTCTTTTTTGATTCCATATAAATTTAAAGTAGTTTTTTCTAATTCTGTGAAGAAGGTCAATTGTAGCTTGATGGGGATAGCATTGAATCTATAAATTACTTTGGGCAGTATGGCCATTTTCATTATATTGATTCTTTCTGTCCATGAGCATGGAATATTTTTCCATTTGTTTGTGTCCTCTCTTATTTCCTTGAGCAGTGGTTTGTAAATCTCCTTGAAGAAGTCCTTCAAATCCCTTGTAAGTTGTATTCCTGCAAATTCCTTGTAAGTTGTATTCTCTTTGTAGCAATTGTAAATGGGAGTTCACTCACTATTTGGCTCTCTGTTTGTCTGTTATTGGTGTATAGCAAAGCTTGTGATTTTGGCACATTGATTTTGTATCCTGAAACTTTACTGAAGTTGCTTATCAGATTAAGGAGATTTTGGGCTGAGACAATGGCATTTTCTAAATACACAATCATGTCATCTGCAAACAGAGACAATTTGACCTCCTCTCTTCTATATGAATACCCTTTATTTCTTTCTCTTGCCTGATTGCCCTGGCCAGAACTTCCAATATTATGTTGAATAGGAGTGGTGAGAGAGGCCATCCTTGCCTTGTACCTGTTTTCAAAGGGAATGCTTCCAGCTTTTGCCCATTCAGTATGATATTGGCTGTGGGTTTGCCATAAATAGCTCTTATTATTTTGAGATATGTTCCATCAATACCTAGTTTACTGAAAATTTTCAGCATGAAGCGCTGTGGAATTTTATCAAAGGCCTTTTCTGCACCTGTTGAGATAATCATGTTTTTTTTGTCATTGGGGCATTTAGCCAATTTACATTTAAAGTTAATATTGTTGTGTGTGAATTTGATCCTGTCATTATGATGCTAGCTGGTTATTTTGCCCATTAGTTGATGCAGTTTCTTCGTACTGTTGATGGTCTTTACAATTTCGTATGTTTTTTCAGTGGCTGGTACCGGTTTTTCCTTTCCATGTTTAGTGCTTCCCTCAGGAGCTCATGTAAGGCAGGTGACATGGTGACAAAATCTCTCAGCATTTGCTTGTCTGTAAAGGATTTTATTTCTCCTTCCCTTATGAAGCTTAGTTTGGCTGGATATGAAATTCTGGGTTGAAAATTCTTTTTGTTAAGAATGTTGAATATTGGCCCCCACTCTCTTCTGGCTTGTAGGGTTTCTGCAGAGAGATCCGCTGTTAGTCTTACGGCTTCCCTTTGTGGGTAACCCGACCTTTCTCTCTGGCTGCCATTACCATTTTTTTCCTTCATTTCAATTTTGGTGAATCTGACAATTATGTGTCTTGAGGTTGCTCTTCTTGAGGAGTATCTTTGTGGTGTTCTCTGTATTTCCTGAATTCGAATGTTGGCCTGTCTTGCTAGATGGGGGAAGTTCTCCTGGATAATATCCTGAAGAGTGTTTTCCAGCTTGGTTCCATTCTCCCCATCACTTTCAGGTACACCATTCAGACGTAGATTTGGTCTACCTCAAAGTGATGGGGAGAATGGAACCCTCAAAATTTTGAATTTCAATGACCTGATATTATGTAGACACTGATTAGCAAGACAATATGTTAAATCTGTAGGTGATTATAAAAATAAGTTCCGTAGGAATTATAGGGGAGGAAAATACTTTCTTTTTAGGGTGATTTTAGAAGGATGGATAGTGATAGAGAGGGAAATTGAAGTTAGAATTAAAAGATGGATAGGACTTAACATAAAGAGAAATAAATCAGATAGGAAGTGAGAAGTAAAAGAGTTGATGATACAAATGTTTCATGTGTTCAGGAGAGGTAATATTGAGCACCCTGGTGACAGTCATGATTTTGTAGAGGAGTAATGGGAACTTACAGTGGAGAAATAGGCAGACCTTGTGCAAGGGAGGATGGTTTGTGCCAGGCTGTAGCAGACAGAGACTTTTCAGGTCTTTGCAAGATGAAATGGGAATGCTTCTTTCCTTTATTGATGTAAATATAAAGGAATACTCCACGTGTTCATGTATTACTTAATACAAGATTTTTATGCCCCAGGAGACAGTACAAGATCATGTTTCTTTTTCTAGCATCATTAAAACTTTAAATGTACTTGATCCTTTTCTCCTTGTAGGGAAGTGTGAAAGTACATATGCATTGTTTTTGACTGTGGCTGCTGTTTTTGGTTCACTGCTGAGAACAGTTTACTCTTATTCAAGCTGTTAAAGTGCTACATCAAAAACAGGGTTTAAATAGTGAGTAGATGATCCTGAGAATAACACTGCCCCTCACTGAGTACAAGGTTACATTTCAATCAAAGGTGTTCGCCCAGTGAAACACAATTCAAATAGACGATAGAGAAGGAACTAGTGTAAAAGTAGTATATGTGTGTTTTAATAGAGTAATTCTGTTGATTTTCAGTGGTACTTTTACTACCATGCTGGCTTTTACACAGTTGTCTAATGTGAATTATGGGCATTATTAATAATAATCTAATTATTATTCCAATATTTGCCTTAACACAAATGATACAACAAGATGAAAAATTTGATAGAAATCTGAGTGTGTCTATTTATTTTTGTACTTATATAAATATATTAAATACATATGTAGCAATTTTGGTGGACTCACCAAATTGAGCAATAATGAAGTTGTATTAGTCCGTTCTGACGCTGCTGTGAAGAAATACCCGAGACTGCGTAATTTAAAAGAAAAAAGGTTTAATTGACTCACAGTTCTGCATGGCTGGGAAGGCCTCAGGAAACTTAGAATCATGGCAGAAGGGGAAGAAAACAGGTCCTTCTTCACATGTTGGCGAGAGAGGTGCCGCGCAAAGGGGGAAAAGCCGCTTATAAAAGCATCAGATCTTGTGAGAAGTCACTCACTATCACAAGAACAGCATGGAGGTAACCGCCCCCATGATTCAATTACCTCTTACTGGGTCACTCCAATGACAGATGGGGATTATGGAAACTACAGTTGAAGATGAGATTTGGATTGAGACACAGCCAAACCATATCATAAGCTAAACTAAGCAATTTGGTGAATGCATTCTCTCATATTTAAGATGAAGGTACTTGGCGTCTCTTGGCTGTCTTTCTTCTATTTTCTAGGTTGCATCCATATTCCATTTTCATGTAAAGATACACTGGACATACAGATGTTAAAAAGCTTTTGTCATGCTGTCTATTGGAGATAACATTTCATTTTCCATCCATATTTAAAAAATAATTTGCATCATCTTAAACATTTACAGCTTTTGAAACTCCCATGTAAGTATAGAATGGAAAATATAGTTTGTGTGATTTCTCACTTGAGGGCCCTAGTGGGGTAGAGGTATTTAGTAGAGTTTATTAAATGACTGTAGTCTTTGCTTTCTTTCCTGCCTTGTTCCCTTTAGTCTTTTTTGAATTTCTGTTACAAGCGTATCCCGATGAAGATGAGGATTACTTCTTGGTATGAACAGCCACATGAATGCTGTTTCAGAATTGATGGGGTATTGCACTTTGCACAGAATATTTATAGTGAAATTCTAGCCACGTTTGACCCTTTGCAGAGCTTCATTACTAGAATTAGAGTCCTTTGTACTTGATACAATCAAATAGTGTGCATTTTGCAACCGTGGCAAATTGTCAATTTGTAGGCCAAATTTAGCCCATAGACCTGATTCTTCAATTCTCCACAAGGCTTTAATATATATATATTTTTATTTTGAATACCTGAGTGAGTGCCACAGCTTTCCTGTTTATTTCTTAAGCGGCCATATTTGTAGGCATCAGCATTTTCTGTCTGACTCTGAAGTCATTGTTGCTTGAGTCTTGTGCTGTGGCTAGAGGGTTCAGGTGGACAAGGCTGAAGGAGTGACAACTGATTCTCAATCCTAGCTATGGAATTTTAATATCAGAAGGTTTGGAGGACTTCCAGGGCATCATTTTTTTCAGAAAATGCTCCCAGGTGATACTGATGTACAGGTAGAGTTGAGAACCATCATGATAGAGCTTATTCCTCTTCTGAGAAGAACAGTTTGTCTCACTGGATATATTAACTAAAGAATATATACTAGTTTGAAGCTTAGAGTATTCCAATAGTTCCCAAAGAAAGAATAACTCAAACAAAACCACAAAACCTATATTGAATGCTTACTATATATATAAATATTTACATCTTTACAAATAGATAAATCACTGCGCATCTAATCATTTTCTTGTTCTGCAACACGTATTTTTTACTTAGCTAGTTTGTTTATTAGTAATGTATATTAATGTAAAATAATATCACACACTTCTATAATAAAGAGTTATCTGCCTTGAATCCAGATATTGGCTTTTTTGGAAGTTAGGATAGGGAAAATTATACATATGCATATGCAGCTTTGATGGTGCTATCAGAGGTGTATTTGTCTAAAAATCTCCAATTGCATTATGTGGCGAGTCTTTGCAGTACAGCTCAGCTATTTGTTGAAGAGCCTAAATCTGCCTTAACTGTCTTACTTCATGAGTCATAATATATATTTGTTTAAACAGAATCATTCATGGTCTGATTACTATATACAATGTGCCTCAGTAGCTAGCACAGTGCTGGATGAAATCAAACGATAAAAACCTTTTCTTAAGTGTATTAAAGATGTGACAGTAAACATAGAAGTAATAATTGAAGTTAGTTATGAGGGGAAGACAGCATCAACATTGAAGTCGTTGAGTAATTTTAGTAAATACTGGAGGGTTCAATGTATTGAAGGTCTAATAGTAGAGAATCACAGATGTGAATGAATACTCCTTATCCGTTGGACCAAATGTGAGTAATTCTTTATGCCCAAGCAGAGGTTTCCCTATTCAACTGGTGAATAATCCTTTAACTCAGAATTTTGGAATGTTTAGTCTCTTGTTTGTCATGAACCTTATTGTATAGGCAGTTGTTCAATTGTTTAAGTATTTATACACTTCCTTGAAGTGTTTCCTTTTCTTTCTGTCTGGAATATTTCATTTAATATTTTCAGACTGTAGTAAAGAGCAGGTAACTGAAACCTAAAAAAGTGAATAGGAGAGGACTATGATAATCAAGATCTTTTGTCCTTTTTAATTTAATTTTTAATTTTGTTATAATTTTATCTTTTATTTTAGATTCACGGGGTACATGTGCATGTTTGTTACATGGGTATATTGCGTGATGCTGAGGTTTGAGATATGAATGACACTGTCACCCATGTAGTCAGCACAGTGTACAACAGTTAGCTTTTGAGCCCTTCCCCTCCTTCTACTGTTTCCCTCTATTAGTCTTCAGTATTTACTGTTGCCATCCCTTTGTCCATGAGTGCTAATTTTTATTTAAGTTGGTGCAAAAATAATTGTGGTTTTTGCCATTAAAAGTAATGGCAAAATAGCTAATAGCTCCCACTTATAAATGAGAGCATGGTATTTTATTTTCATTCTGCGTATACCTAGTCAGTTATCCCAGCACCATTTATTAAATAAGGAGCTCTTTCACCATTGCTTATTTTTGTCAAATTTGTTGAAGATCAAATGGCTGTAGGTTTGCGACTTTATTTCTGGGTTCTCTATTCTATTCCATTGCTCTATGTGTCTGTTTTTGTACCATTACCATGCTGTTTTGGTTACTGTAGCCCAATAGTACTTTGAAATTAGGTAATGCAATGTCTCTGCAAATAAATATTGCTTTGTCTATTTGGGCTCTTTTTTGTCACTGTTTTGGTCCTGTGACTATTACACGTGATGTTGTGTTGCTACATTTCAATTGAGCGGACATTAAGATGTAGGCTTTAAAAAAAGACACAGAATACAGTCATAGTGATTCCCTGCTATATTTATTTATTTTGTCTTATGCTGTTTGAAGTATTGAAATTGAAACTAAGTGTTTATGATTTTTGAATGGGTTTCACAGTGAATTTTGGCTCCAAAACTTGTCAGAGTACTCTATTTTCTTATTCAAGTTTGTCTCTTCATTGCCTCTTTACCACTGTGTTTTCAGTAGATTAGAGCAGGTTATTCTCAGTTGATATTGATTCCTTTTTCCTAAATTAATGCACATTACACAGCCAGTGATTGTGTAAAGGCACAGGAATTACATGATTAGCTGTGGCATCTTTATACCAACTTTTAGTTAGTTAACTGGTACCAAAAGGCCAGGGCACAGCCAGGAACTCTATTTAAATTAGCATCATGCTGCCATCTGATTATTTTTGCATGATCCCTTGCTTAGCAAAAAGCTTTACTGAAAAAGTAAAATTGGCCAGGCATGGTGACTCACGCCTGTAATCACAGCACTTTGGTAGGCCAAGGCGGGCAGATCATGAGGTCAGGTGATCGAGACCATCCTGGCTAACACAGTGAAACCCCATCTGTACTAAAAATACCAAAAAATTAGCCGGGTGTGGTGGCATGCGCTTGTAGTCCCCGATACTCGGGAGGCTGAGGTAGGAGATGTGCTTGAACCCAGGAGGTGGAGGTTGCAGTGAGCCGAGATCACACCACTGCACTCCAGCCTGGGTGACAGAGCAGACTCTGTCTCAAAAAAAAAAAAAAAAATAATAAATAAATGAAAAGGAGAAAAAAAAGAAAAAGTAAAATTATTCTTGTTATTTTTGGGTAGAGAGGATGATAGATCTGTTCTATATTTCTTTTCCAGACCCTCCACTTTTTGACAAGTAATACTGAGATTTTTTTTGTTTATCTTTTTTTGTCTAAGAAACCATTCTGCTAATAATGGATAAGGAATTTAGAGAAGGACAAGACACATTGACTAGGCAAGATCAGGTGAAACCAAATTGTAATGTTATATAAATGTCATAGGTCTTTGGTGGGTTGCAGAGGAAACACAAGGTTTGTTAGATAAGGGTTATGCCCTGTGATAGTAATAAAGACCAAGAGAACATTGCTCAGCTTCCCTTCTTCTACCTCTAAGATGTAAAAATTAAATTGTCGTCTTCTCCTGTATCTTATGAAATAAATATAGATATTCTGATATGAAGTTAGAACATCTGGCTAGCCATGTCATGGTGATTGTTACATGATGTACAAAAAAAATTATACAAATCAGATAAAAATAAATCAGTTAATATTACTGGTTAATATATTTGATTTTATTATACTGCAATATAATAAATTATTATATTATTATATTTATTGCAATATAATAAAACCAAAGCAAATACAATATATTGCTTTACAGACATATGAAGTGAAATGACCCATTTTATGAATACATGAAATGACAACATCTTTGGGGGTTAGAGTTAGATTTGGATTCTTTAGACATGATAAAATTTTTATTTTTGTTATTCGTCTCTTCAAACTGACAAAATATTTCACAAGTTAAGGAAAACACTGAAAGTGTAATGAAAACACAATGCCCAAGACTGCATAAATGCATCTCATTTTGTTTACATTTGTAGACTTTGCAAAGCTAAATTATTGGATTTCTTCATTGTTTTGACAGAGCCAGCCTGAAAAGTAATCTAATACTTCTTTTAAATTGCTTTTAAGAGTTGAAACTATTAAGACTACAGGGATAGAATAGTATCTCAGTTAACAGGATTTGCCAGGAATAAGCCATGTTTTCTTGACCTCAAGATTTGTTAAAGATAATTTAATTTGTTACTTTTAAAGTATTTTAATAGAAGAAGGCAATATATCATCATATATATATATATATATATATATATATATATATATATATATATAGTAGTGACTCTCCCATTTATATTTCAAATAGGGCTCAACTATATTTCAAAACTGGACTTTTTGAAATAAAGAAAAGAGAAGTGGATTAAGTATGGAATAAATCTTTCTGGGTTTTTATAAATTTGAGTTTCAACCTAAGTGTCAATACGTTGTATGTAAGCTGAAACTTCAAGTGTTTTCTAGTAACTTTTATACCTTTTACCTAAATATTTGTCACCACCAGAGTTGGAAAAGAAGTAGATTCAGTTGGTTAATAACCAAGTCAGCACTCCAGCTCTGAGTGACAGAGCAAGACCCTGTCAAAAAACAAACAAAACAAAACAAAACACCAAGTTAGCAGTTCAGCATCACCGTTAGAGTGCTTGTGATACGGAGATTAGACAATAGATAGATGAGTAGTTAGATGGATAGTTGAAAGGCACGTATGGATAAATATCCTTGATGTTCTCTAGAGAAGACTCAAAAAGAGATATCAGGGTCTTTTGCCAAGTTACTTGAATATGAATTCAAGACCTAACATGACAGCTGATAGGCTCTTCCTTTAACATCCTGTTGGGGGACAATGAGATATTCCAAAAGTTTGCTCATACCAGAAGAATTGCAATAGAAATCGGAATCACTTAGATCCAGCAAAATACAGGAATGAGGCATTATCAGATGTGACATTATTGGGTAGTACTGATATGAGGAGAAGTCTATTTGAAAGAAGACAAAAGGACGCATATTAGTTTGCTAGGTCTACTAGAATAAAAGCACTACAGACAGGGTAGCTTAAGTAACACAAATTTATTTTCTCACAGTTGTGGAGGCTAGAAGTACAAAATCCAGGGGTCAACCAGTTTGGTTTCTTCTTAAATCTCTTTCCTTGGCTTGCAGATGGCTGCCTTCTTGCTGTGTCCTCACATGGTCTTCCCTCTGTTTGTGTCCTAATCTCTTGTAAGAACACCAGTAACCAGTCACACACCCTAACCACTCCATTTAAAATTATTTACCTTTTAAAGGCCCTATCTCCAAATACAGTAACATTCTGAGATACTAGGGGGTAGGGCTTCAAAATACAAATTTTGAGGTAATACAAGTCAGCCCATAATAGGATTGGAATAAGGAAAAAGAGGTGATAGAATGCTTACATTTTCAGGTTCACCAAATTGAGGCAAACCAAATACAGAGATCTACCAAGCAGGACAAAGGACCCAACTGAGATCAACCTATACAGGCATTAATCTTGGTTGCCTAAATTGCAGGGCCCTCTCATTACATTCTAATGTGAAAAGCCAAATTAAATACAATAATCATTAAGTAAAAAGTAACCATGCTCTTGTTGAGCCCACTTTAGGGAAGAGTTTGAGAGAAGTTTGTGTGATAGGAAACAGAGGTCACTAATGGAGGAACTAGGTCTTCGATAGAACGATTTTAATAGCCTATGTGATTAGGATCTGTCTGGGACCTATTACATCTTCTTTTGCTGAGGTCATTATCACTGGAAGAGAGCAAAATGTTTTTTCATTAATCCATATTGCTTCATTTGTAACTGTCTTCTGACCAGTGGTACATGCACAGAAACTCCAGGACTGGGAGAGAGCATAACTTGTAATATTGCTGAGGTGGATTCTGAAAATGGCTGGAGTCACCACCTATTGTGATAATTTGTACTATTTCATTTACTTTCCCTGCATTTTGCCACCACCAAAAGGAGTGGAGCCACCAGAAGGGCGTGAGGTAGGGTAGGTAGAGGAGGGGGAGTCAACAGATCCTTCAAAATATTAATGAGTCTTGCTGCCTTATTTTGACTTGGAAAAGATTTTAAATAAATTATTTTAAAAACCAATTATTTGAGAAAGCTGTGAAAGCTTGGAACTACATCTGTGGCTCTCATCAAGAACCCTGTTGTGAAATAACTTCTAGAAATGGTGCTGAGGATTAATGGTGCCTTCTAGAAATGATGCTGAGGATCAATTGATTTTAAAACAAAAACACAAGAAAACAAAACTAGAACATGTTTTTAAAACAGCACCCAAGGAGGTAAACAGAACCTAAAATGCAAATGGTAAATAAGAGGAATGGAGATGACTTTAACTGTATACCATCAGCAGCTAATATCATAGCAACAACTAATATCATAGTTCCAATTATAAGGAACACCCACCTTAGCAACCAGCAATGGCTAAGTGAAGTAAACCATGGAATCTGTCACTAAAGAGAGCATGTAAGTTGAAAACAGATAGAAGAACAACCTCTGAGTTCAGCTGTCACAAAGACCCTGCTGAGGAGTGCTGGCTACCAAGCCTGACTCTGGAAGCATTAGATGGTGTACCTGGGCCAACAGGGCGTTATCATGCTGAGTTAGATCTTTGACATCTCTCTGTAGCATAAGTAAGCCTGGAATAAAAAGGGACTCCTTGACATCTCTGAAAACTAGATACTACTCTTGGCTCTCTTTCACCACACTCAAGGGAGAGGGTCTAAGACAATTTTATGCATTCCTGCAGTGAATCAACGATGAAGTGGGGTTTCTTGGCAGCCATAGACACTTGGTCTCCCATTTCCTGGTGGAGGGTGTAGCCTTGGAAAGAGTCAAGATCGGGGAATCTCCCTGTTTTTTGGTTCCTAGTTTTGATATTATAGCTTACTAAAAAATTGATAATTCCAGAGAAGCCTATGTGGCATGCTGCATCCGATTTGCTTTCTTTCCCTCCTTTCCATTACATGCCTTTTTAAAAAGAATGATCTGTCAAATATTGCATAAGTTCAGGCGTGGTGGTTCATGCCTATAATCCTAGCACTTTGGGAGGCTGAGGCAGGTGGATCATTTGAGGTCAGGAGTTCGAGACCAGCCTGGCCAACATGGTGAAACCCTGTCTCTACTAAAATGCAAAATTAGCTGGGTGTGGTGGTGCATGCCTTTAATCCCAGCTACTCACA
Organism: Homo sapiens; assembly: GCF_000001405.40. NCBI lineage: Eukaryota > Metazoa > Chordata > Mammalia > Primates > Hominidae > Homo > Homo sapiens. The sequence continues at coordinate 174,790,544 of NC_000003.12, forward strand.
AGGCTGAGGCAGGAGAATTGCCTGAACCCAGGAGGCAGAGGTTGCAATGTGCCAAGATTGTGCCACTGCACTCCAGCCTAGGTGACAAAAGCAAAACTCCATCTCAAAAAAAAAAAAATGTGCGTAAGTAAGAAAAAATCATTTTGTGTCCTGTAGAAATTTATTTTTCTATAATTATGTCAGTGTGTAGAAAAATAATAAGTTGTAAATCATTAACATACCAATACAATAATATAAACCCAATTGATAATCTAAAGAATGTTGATGATTTATTTTAAAACCAAGATTATATTGTCTTATTATTATTTACTATAGTTTTATAGTTATTTATATATGTTCTTGTGGATATTGTTGAGATACAATTTACATAGAAACAAAAATACAATCGGAAGATATAAAGTATACTTTAGTCTACATTTTGCGTTTTGGAGTTTGCTTTTATTAGCTTTGAAGTAGTTACTACAGGAAAGAGCAGTTTCAAAAGGAAAGCGTGGTGAAACAAGAGTTATTACTCCACTGCATCTCAGAAAACTTCCCTGCACAAAGTAAAATACTTAACAAGTTTCTGAAGTATTACCTAATGTAGACTTATGTAGTATTTTGAATTATTTTTATTAAAACTTCTTATGAAATTAAGTCAGTACCCCTCTTATATGTGGGCAAACAGGACCATGCTGTGGGCCACATTCTTTCCAGACCCCTCTCTGGGTATTCTCCTGTGCAACTGCTGTGGTCTGAATGTTCGCATTCTCCTAAAAGTCATATGTTGAAATCCTAACACCAAAGGCGATTGTATTTGAGAGCCTTCATGAATGGGATTAGTGCTCTTGTAAAAAAGGCCTCAGAGAGACCATCCATCCTTCCACCACGTGAGGACACAGCAAGAAGGCATGTATGAACACATAAACAGGCCCTCACCAGATGCAGAATCTACATGGGCTTTGATTCTTGCTTTTCTAGCCTCTGGAACTGTGAGAAATACATTTCTGTTGTTTATGAGCTACTCAGTTTATAGTATTTTGTTACAGCAGCAGTCCAAATGGAAAAAGACAGTACCATGTAAGAATATTCTCCCCAGAATTATTTTGCATTAACACAGCATTCTCTGGACCAAATACTGTATTAGGGTTTAGGGCTAAGAATTGTTCCTTCACATTTTTTTGTTGCTTAGCTTTTTTAAAATTGTGAATATTTTATATCCTCATGTATATAATACATATTCTTCAGGACTTTTGAAAATGATTAATCAGTAGCCTTGATTACTGTAAGCTCCATAGAGGACAAAAATCATTATTCTATTCATTGAGGTATTTTGTGCATAGCTTAGTACCTGGCACAGAGGAAGTGTCCAATAAATATTTGTTGAGTGAAATATATATAGTGACTGGCCAGGTATGGCTGACACCTGTAATCCCAGCACTTTGGGAGGCCAAGGCAGGTGGATCACTTGAGGCCAGGAGTTCGAGACCGGCCTGGCCAACATGGTGAAACTCTATCTCTACTAAAACAAAAAACAAACAAACAAACAAAAAACAGGCATGGTGGCACACGCCTATAGTCCCAGCTACTCAGGAAGCTGAGGTGGGAGAATGGTTTGAACCCAGGAGGCAGAGGTTGCAGTGAACTGAGATCATGCCACTGTACTCCAGCCTGGACAGGAGAGTGAGACCCTGTCTCAACAGAAAGAAAGAGAGAAAGAAGACGAAGATGAGGAAGGAAAGAAGGAAGGAAGGAGGGAGGGAAGGAGGGAGGGAGGGAGGCAGGCAGGGAAGGAAGGAAGGAAGGAAATTTTTGTGGTAGGCTGTACTGATTTTGTTATTTTCAATTTAGATACTGCTTTAAAACTAGATAAATCCTCACTGTTTGCTGCCTACTACCCAGTTTTCATGTCAGCCTCTGTGCCACTGTCTAATTTCAACACCAATGTGAAATGTAAGAGCTCTCTACCCATGTTTGTCTCTTGCATATAATAGATGGCTGTGGCATCAATTCTTCTTCTATCACATGATTCTTACATGTTCTGCCTAGATTGATGATAAGTGACCCTTCTGGTATGGCAATTCTCTTGCCATGTTTAAAACTCTTTTTATCCAGTGTGGTGGAGACAGTATAACCCCTGCTCAACAACTTTATTTGATACCTAAAATCAGTTATATTTGTTTGAGATACATTCTTCTTGGAAAAAATAACAGCTGAAATTTCAAAGTTGTGAACAAAATCTGACAGTATTAAGAATACGATGCTATTCAAGTCTGGATTCATAACTTCTAAGGAGTAGTAGCAAGCATAGATGGAATATTCATTTTGAGATACCTTTCTTAAAATAAGTCCCCTCTGTCTAGAATGTAAATATGTTTCACTGCCAGCTTTAAAGGGTTTGGCAGTATACTTTTTTTCTTTTTTTAACTTAGAGTTTTGGATGGACTTATGTAAGATAAAAATAGTCACTTTATCTTCCTACAAAATATGTCATAAGCATTGAAATATGAAGATTCACTTTGAGTGCATGGAACCACTGCACTTAAAAGGTGTTGGCAAAGATAACAATGTCCTTAAGTACATCATTGCTTAATACATTGTGATAAGATTTAAAGAAACAATATTTCAACTTGTTTTGTCTTGTTTTGTTCTATTCTTTTATGAGACAAACTTATTTGTATGATATGAGATGATTTATCGTAATAATTATGTTTTATATTGTTAAATACTCTCTATTGGGGTTCATATATATAAAAACTGAATTGAAATGGATTTTATTGTTTAACAATACAAGTCAGCTAGCACCTAGTCATGGTGGATAATCTCTAACCTGAATTCAGTTACTTCTGGTTACCAATTTGTATTAAGATACATTATATTGATTAATTAATTCACTTTCATTCAGTAAATAGTTATTTACTTGGCAATACTATGTGGTATACACCGGAATAGGAGTTTGGGAAACTTTGTAAATAAGACAAAAATCACCACCAAAGCTGTGGTCAAATCATGTGTCCATTGATAGTTCTGAGTATAGTAAGTTGTATGGTACTTCTGAATGAACCTACTCCCAAATCCTTGGCTGTGTCATCAGAAGTATAGATAGCCCTTCCCCTCAATAACAAAACAAAACAGGACAAAAGTCTAAGTTTCATTAAAAATCCGTGATCTTATAATTTATTTATTCCCGTGGCTATCTCTCTCATACAGTGTCCTTTAAATAATTCTATCAACCAGGTACTGTTTACAGGTTTTGAAAAAAGTTTTATGTTAGTCCCCAGTTTCTTTTTTTTTTTTCTTTTCAGATCTCATCACATAAGACACTAACTGCATGCTTTTATATCTGTTTAAAAGTGATTTCAATTAGGCAGGTTAGAAGATACAGTTGCGACCATTCAGATTCTTTTATCCTTGAAGAAATCATTTGGTTTAACAATAGCTTTCCTTTTATAAGAAAGAAAAATAAAGCTTGGAAAGATCCAATATCTACTAAAAATCCTTCCATTACAAGTACAGTTGCTGAGCAACTGGAGAGAATGTGAGAAGTCCAAGTTCCAAAGTAGCAAGAAACCCAGTTTTTAGTAGTTATGGAATTATTTTCTTTATTTTCAAAGTAAAATGTATGGAAAAATTTGACTTTATGAGACTTTTAAATATATTTAGTGTTTAATAACAGGTTCGATTCAGAATGATAGTCTTCTGCCCAATGTGATTGCTCTAGTATTTACTCAATAACTCATGAAAAAAGCGGCAAGTATTTTACTTTATTCTTTCCTGGTTTTATAGGTACTAGATGAAATTATGGCTTTACTAAATAAAATTATTGGTTATATAAATCCGAACTAATATATAATTATAATCTTCTCATATGTATCCTTTACATTCTAGGCGTATTAATGAAGGATGGGGAATGAAAGAGGACAGAAAAAAATTAAGAATAAAAGAAAAAATGTGTAATTTTTTACATCCATTGTTATTAAATTGCTGGAGGTTGATTACAGTTCTCCAGAGTTATTGGATATTTGCTAATGCAGGATATCTTTTTCTTATTTAAGTTTTGCCATCAAAGAAAAGCATTCTCTGCACAGAGCTTATTAAATGTTAGACACTACGGCTCTTCCCATGTGGAGCATACTATCTAATTTAAACTTTTTATTTTAAAAACATGTTACTTTTCATTATTTTTATTAACACAGGAATGTAATGTATATTGAGTTGCTGAGAAATAAGATACTCTGAATATCTGAGTCTTAGCACTATAAGTAAGATATTGCTGATCCTTTACTATTTTATTGTCTCCATTTGGTCATTTATTGCTTACTAAAAAAATCATGATCTATAGAAATTCATGAAAATTTGCATCACGGAAAAGTTAAACAATGTACTTGCAAAAGACAAATCAAGTTTTTATGACACTAAAGGGTGTGTTTAATTTAAAAGTTGAAACTTCTAGTCCAGCTTTTTTTTTTTTTTTTTTTTTTTTTTTGAGACAGAGTTTCGCTCTTGTTGCCCAGGCTGGAGTGCAATGGCATGATCTCGGCACACCACAACCTCCGCCTCCCAGGTTCAAACAATTCTCCTGCCTCAGCCTCCCGAGTAGCTGGGATTACAGGCATGCACCACCATGCCTGGCTAGTATTTTTTTTGTATTTTTTGTAGAGACAGGGTTTCTCCATGTTGGTTAGGATAGTCTCAAACTCCTGACCTCAGGTGATTTACCAGCCTCAGCCTCCCAAAGTGCTGGGATTACAGGCATCAGCCACCACACCCGGCCTTCTAGTCCAGCATTTTTAATATGATTATTTAAATATAGTATAATGGTGTGGCTAATTGAGTATATGTGTGTAATTTCCTGAAATATTTTTATATGCTAAAAATAGTTAAATGCCTCAAATATTGTATTTATCCATTGCATGGTAGACAGATATTAGAAATGTTTCTACTGTTTGGTTATTATAAATAATGTTCATATGAACATCTACATACAGATTTTTGTATGGCTATATGTTTCCATTTTTCTTAAGTATATATTTAGGAGTAGAATTGTTGGGCCAATAGTAATTCTATGTTTAATATTTAAGAAGCTGCCAAACAGTTGTCAAAAGTGGTTCTAGTATTTTACATCTTTGCTAACAGTGTATGAAAGCTCCAATCTCTCCACATCTTCACCAACACTTGCTATTGTATGACTTGTATAGTATAGCTATCCTAATGAATATGAAGTAATATAATGATTTTGACTTGCATTTCCCTCATGACTGTTGATATTTGAGCATTTTATGTGCTTATTGGTCATTTGCATATCTTCTGTAGAGAAATTCCTTTTCAGATCCTTTGCCTATTATAAAAATTGGGTTGTGTTTTTATTGTTGATTTGTAAGATTTCTATTTATATCTGCATACACATTTTTTGTTATGAAATGCATTGTTTCCCCAAATTTCTATTTTGAAGTCCTAATCCCAAGCACATCTCTGAATGTGAATTATTTAGAGATGGAGACAGGGCCTTTAAATAGGTAATTAAGATCAATCAGGTCATCTAGATAGACCCTAGTCTAATATGACTGTTGTTCATAGTAGAAGAGAGACAGATACGAGAGATGCCTTGCACAGAAGAAACGGCATGTGAGGACACAAGAGAGAAGCAGACATCTGCGAGCCAAAGAGAAAGGGCTCAGGAAAAAAGCAACAACCTTATTGGAATATTTAAGAAAATAACTCTAACGGGTACAAGTACAATTTTGTTATATGAGTATATTGCATACTGGTGGTCTGAGCTTTTAATGCATTCATCATCTGAATAATGTACATTATACCCATTAAGTAATTTCTCATCATACCACCCCTCCCAAATGCTTTCCACCCTTCTGAGTCTCCAGTGCCTATGGTACTATATTCTATGCCCATGTGTATTCATTATTTAGCTCCCACGTGTAAGTGAGAATATGAAGTATTTGGCTTTCTGTTTCTGAGTTGTTTCACTTAAGATAATGACCTCCACTTCCATCCATGTTGTGCTAAAGACATGATTTAATTGTTTTTTTAATGGCTGAATAGTTTTCTATTGTATATGTATATCACATTTTGAATCCGTTCATGTGGATGGACACTTAGGTTGATTCCATATCTTTGCTATTGTGAACAGTGCTGCAGTAAATATGAGTACATGTCTCTTTTTGATGGAATGACTTATTTTCCTTTGAGCATTTTTGTCGTTTGAGCATTTTTGTATATTTTTGTTGGCCATTTGTATGTCTTCTTTTGAGAAATATCTATTTGTGTCCTTTGTCCACTTTTTAATGGGATTATTTGCCTTTTTTGTTGTTGTTTTTGAGTTGTTTGTATTCCTTGTAAATTCTGGATATTTTCTCCTATTTTGCAGGTTGTCTTTTCACTCTGTTGATTATTTGTTTTGCTGTGCAGATCTTGTTAGTTTAATTAAGTCACATTTGTCTGTTTTGGGTGTTGTTGCTTATGCTTTTGAAGTGTTAGTCATAAATTATTTGCCAAGAGCAATCTCCAGAAGAGTTCTTCATAGATTTTCTTCCAGTATTTTTATAGTTTCAGGTCTTACATTTAAGCCTTCAAACTGTCTTGTGTTCATTTTTGTATATGGTGAGATATAAGGGTTCAGTTTCATTCTTCTGCATTTGGCAATCGAATTTTCCCAGCACCATCTATTGAAAAGAGTGTCATTTCCCCAGGCGGCTTCATCAAAGACCAGTAGGCTCTAAGTATGTGACTTTATTTCTGGGATCTTTTTTCTTTTGTTTTTCTTTTTTCTTTTTTTTTTTTTTTTTTTTTTTTGAGACAGAGTCTCGCTTTGTCACCCAGGCTGGAGTGCAATGGCGTGATCTCAGCTTACTGCAACTTCTGCCTCCCGGGTTCAAGCGATTCTCCTGTCTCAGCCTCCAGAGTAGTGGAATTGCAGGCGCCTTCCACCACGCCTGGCTAATTTTTGTATTTTTCTTTTTAGGAGAGACAGGGTTTCACCATGCTGGGATCTTGTTTCTATTCCACTGATCTATGTCTATTTTTATACCACTTCCATGCTATCTCTGCTATTATAACCTGGTAGTATAGTTTGAAGTCAGGTAATGTGATGCCTCCTGCTTTGTTCAGTTTGCTTAAGATTGCTTAGGCAATTTTGTTTCTTGTTTTTGGTTCCATGTGGATTTTAGGATTGTGTTGATCTTGAGCTTCCAGCCTCCAGAAATGAGAGAATTAAATTGCTGTTAGTTAAGCCAAATTATATCTGATAAGGTATGTACAAATTGTTTTTCTTATTTTATGGGTTATGTTTTCATTTTTTTCATGTATTATTTGAAGCACAAATGTTGTAAATTTTGAAATAGTCTATTTTTTGGTGACTTGTACTTTTATTGGCATATCTAAGAAGCCATTGCTTTCCTGAAGGTTTTGAAGATTTACTTCTATGTATGTATCTAAGAGTTTTATAGTTTTAGCTCTTACATTTATGTCTGTGATCTATAATCAGTTAGTTTTTATTTATTATGTGAAATGGAAGACCAACTGTGTTCTCTAACATGCGGATATTGTTCCAGCAGAAATTGTTGATAAGATTATTTTCCCTCATTTAATTATCTTGACTCTGTCATCAAAATTAATTGACCATAAATATATGGGATTATTTCTGAACTCTCAATTCCATTCCATTAATCTATATATCTATCTTCATGCCAGTACTACATAGTTGTGAATATTGTAGCTTTGTAGTTTTGTTGCTGTTGTTACTGTTTTCATTCTTAATTGTTTTAAAAAAATTTTGTGGTTATATAGTGGGCATATATATTTATGGGGTTTGAAATTTGGAACTGTCAGTCCTACAGCCTTGTTCTCTCTTGTTAAGATTATTCGGCCTCTTCTGGGTGTATTGAAGTTCCATATGAATTTCAGCATCAGCTTGCCAACTTCTGCAAAAAACGGGCAGCTTGGATAGTGATAGGAATTACTTTGAATCTGTTTATTAATTTGAAGAGTATTGCCATTCTAACAATGTGGAGACTTGTGATCAATAAACATGGGATGTTTTTCCATTCATTTTTACCTTTAGAATTTCTTTCAATGATTTTTTTTAGTTTTCAGTATACTATTCATTAAAAATGTATTTTTATGTATTTTATTTTTTGATGCTATGTTAAATGAATTTTTTTAAATTTCATTTTAAGAAAGTTGATTTTTTAGTGATATTAGAAATATAATCAATTTTTTATATATTTGATCTTGTATTCTGCTACCTTGCTGAATTCATTTATTTATTAGTTCTAATAGTTCTTTAGTGGATTCCTATGGATTTTTTTATATGCAAGATTATGTCATATGCAAATACCAATTATTTTTCTTAAGCCAGGAGTGGTGGCTCACGCCTGTAATCCTAGAACTTTGGGAGGCTGAGGCGGGTGGATCACCTGAGGTCAGAAGTTCAAGACCAGCCTGGTCAATATGGTGAAACCCTGCCTGTACTAAAAATACAAAAATTACTTGGGCATGGTGGCACATGCTTGTAATCTCAGTTATTTGTGAGGCTGAGGCAGGAGAATTGCTTGAACCTGGGAGGCGGAGGTTGCATTGAGCCATGATCGTGCCACTGCACTCCAGCCTGGGCGACAGAGCAAGACTCTGTCTCAAAAAAAAAAAAAAAATTATTTTGTGTGTTGTTTTGCTTTGTGGATGCATTGTTTTTTCTTGCCTAGTTGTTCTGGCTAGAACCTCTAGTACAATGTTGAATAGAAGTGAAGAGTGGACATCTGATATGGTTTGGCTGTGTCCCTACCCAAATCTCTTTTTGAATTCCCATGTGTTATGGGAGGGACTTGGTGGGAGGTAACTGAATCATGGGAGAAGGTCTTTCTCGTGCTGTTCTCATCATAGTGAATAAGTCTCATGAGATCTGATGGTTTGATAAAGAGGAGTTCCCCTGCACAAGCTCTCTGTTTGCCTGCTGCCATCCATGTAAGATGTGACTTGCTCCTCCTTGCCTTCCACCATGACTGTGAAGCTTAAAAAGCCACATGGAACTGTAAGTCCCTTAAACCTCTTTCTTCTGTAAATTGTCCAGTCTTTGATATGTCTTTATCAGCAGTGTGAAAATGGACTAATACAGTAAATTCTACCAGAAGTGGAGTGCCGCAGAAAAGATACCCAAAAATGTGGAAGTGACTTTCAAACTGGGTAACAGGCAGAGGTTGGAATAGTTTGGAGGGCTGAGAAGAAGACAGGAAAATGTGGGAAAGTTTGGAACTTCCTAGAGACTTGCTTAATGGCTTTGACCAAAAGCCTGATAGTGATGTCGAATATAAGGTCCAGGATGAGGTGGTCTCAGATAGAGATGAGAAACATGTTGGGAGCTGGAGCAAAGGTGACTCTTGTTATGTTTCAGCAAAGAGACTAGTGGCATTTTGCCCCTGCCCTAGAGATCTGTGGAACTTTGAACTTCAGAGAGATGATATAGGGTATCTGGCAGAAGAAATTTCTAAGCAGCAAAGCATTCAAGATGTGAGTTGGGTGTTGTTAAAGGCATTCAGTTTTAAAAGGGAAACAGCATGAAAGTTTGGAAAGTTTGCAGCCTGACAATGTGATAGAAAAGAAAATCTCATTTTCTGATGAGAAATTCAAACTGGCTGCAGAAATTTGCATAAGTAACGAGGAGCTGAATGTTAATCACCAAGACGATGGAGAAAATATCACCAGGGCATCACAGGTCCTGAGACCTGGAAGAAAAAAAATGGTTTCGTGGGCTGGGCCCAGAGTTTCTGTGCTGTATGCAGTCTAGGGACTTGGTACCCGGCCAGCCACTCTAGCCATCATATAAAGCTCATGCTGTTGCTTTATAGGGTGGAAGCACCAAGCCTTGGCAGCTTCCATGTGGTGTTGAGCCTGCAGGTGCACAGAAGTCACGAATTGGGGTTTGGGAACCTCCACCTAGATTTCAGAACATGTATGGTAATGCTTGGATGCCCAGGCAAAAGTTTGGTATAGAGGTGGGGCCCTCATGGAGAACCTCTGCTAGGGCAATGCAGAAGGGAGATGTGGGTTTGGAGCCCCTCCCCCCCAACAGAGTCCCTACTGGGGCACCGCCTAGTAGAGCTGTGAGAAGAGGGCCACTGTCTTCCAGACCCTGGAATGCTAGATCCACCAACATCTTGCACTGTGCACCTGGAAAAGCTGCATATGCTAAACACCAGCCCATGAAAGCAGCCAGGAGGGGAGCTATACCCTGCAAAGCCACAGGAGCAGAGCTGCCCAAGACCATGGGAAGCCACTTCTTGCATCAGCATGACCTGGATGAGAGACATGGAGTCAAAGGAGATCATTTTGGAGCTTTAAGATTTGACTACCCTGCTGGATTATGGACTTGCATGGGGCTTGTAGCCCCTTTGTTTTGGCCAGTTTCTCCCATTTGGAACAGCTGTATTTACCCAATTCCTGTACCCCCATTGGATCTAGGAAGTAACTAACTTGCTTTTGATTTTACAGAGTCATAGGTGGAAAGGACTTGTCTTGTCTCAGATGAGACTTGGGACTACAGAATTTTGAGTTAATGCTGAAATGAGTTGAGACTTGGAGGGACTGTAGGAAAGACATGATTGGTTTTGAATGCGAGGACATGAGATTTGGGAGGTGCTGGGGCAGAATTATATGGTTTGACTGTGTCCCCACCCAAATCTCTTCTGTAATTCCCATGTGTTGTGGGAGGGACCCAGTGGGAGGTAATTGAATCATGGGGGCAGGTCTTTCTTGTGCTATTTGCATGACAGTGAATAAGTCTCATGAGATCTGATGGTTTGATAAAGAGGAGTTCCCCTGCACAAGCTCTCTCTTTGCCTGCTGCCATCCATGTAAGATGTGACTTGCTCTTCTTTGCCTTCAGCCATGATTGTGAGACTTCTCCAGCAACGTGGAACTGTAAGTCCATTAAATTTCTTTCTTTTGTAAATTGCCCAGTCTCAGGTATATCTTTATCAGCAGTGTGAAAACAGACTAATAGAACATCCTTGTCTTGCTCTTGATCTTGGAGAAAAGCATTTGGTTTATCATTATGTATGATAATAGCTTGTTTTATTCATAGGTGATATTAGCCATTTTATTCATAGATGCCCTTTATCAATTTGAGGAAGTTTCCTTCTATTCCTGGTATTTTGAGCGTTTTTATCATGAAAGGATGCTGGATTTTGTCAAATGCATTTTCTGTGTCTATTAATATGATTATATAATTTTGCTTTATAAAATATTTTAATATGATATATATATTCATTTTTTGAATTGATTTAATGTTTAAAGCATGTGTTTAATGAGTCTCTTATCATGATAGCTTAAGAGGTCATGAAAAGATCTAACTCTACTGTGACATCTCTGATGTTACTAATGGATTGTGATTTGTGTTTCCAAAATTAATGCTAAAATTGGTTCTGTAAACTCATACCTTTGATACAAATGAATAATTTAATCTGTGAATATTTTTACCCACATTTTAAAAATACCACAATTGGCATTTTCAAAGATAGATGAGATGCTTTTAAAAAACTTTTCTTTCAAGTTTTCAATGTCAGTCTATGTCCACACTTATTAGATTAATATATTTTTTTCTAACAATATATTAAACAATATTTATATTAAACAATAATTATTGTTTCTCTATTTCTTACAAACCCATGCCAAGTGTCAAGGTTACAATGTAAACAAAACCAGCATGATTTCTGATTTCATGAAGTTTACACTAAAGCCTGTCAACAAACATTAAACAAATGGCACAAAAATAAATTTCTAAGTACTGATTGTGATAAATGCTATAAATAAAAAATAAGATATAAAACAGAATTAAATCTTAAGAAATATAGGAGAGGAAGTAAAAATTGCATATCATTCAAAATTACCCTACAAAATCTCTTAAGTGGCCTATAAAATATGATATACATGACTTCTGTATATAATGCTTTACAGAAATATTTTATTATTATACTTTAAGTTCTAGGGTACATGTGCACAATGTGCAAGTTTGTTACATAGGTATACATGTGCCATGTTGGTTTGCTGCGACCATCAATTCGTCATTGACGTTAAGTATTTCTCCTTATGCTATCCCTTCCCCAGCCCACCACCTCCCGACAGGCCCCGGTGTGTGATGTTCCTTGCCCTGTGTCTATGTGTTCCTGTTGTTCAACTCCTACCTATGAGTGAGAACATGCAGTGTTTTGTTTTCTGTCCTTGTGACAGTTTGCTTAGAATGATGGTTTCCAGCTTCATCTATGTCTCTGCAAAGGACACAAACTCACCCTTTTTTATGCCTGTATGGTATTCCATGGTGTATATGTGCCACATTTTCTTATTCCAGTCTATCATTGATGGACATTTGGGTTGGTTCCAAGTCTTTGCTCTTGTGAATAGTGCACAATAAACATATGTGTGCATGCGTCTTTATAGTAGCATGATTTGTAATCCTTTGGGTATATACCTAGTAATGGGATTGCTGGGTCAAATGATATTTCTAGTTCTAGATACTTGAATTGCCACACTGTCTTCCACAATGGTTGAACTACTTTACGCTCCCACCAACAGTGTAAAAGCATTCCTATTTCTCCACATCCTCTCCAGCATCTGTTGTTTCCTGACTTTTTAATGATCGCCATTCTAACTGACATGAGATGGTATCTCATTGTGATTTTGATTTGCATTTCTCTAATGACTAGTGATGATGAACATTTTTTCATGTGTCTGTGGGCTGCATAAATGTCTTCTTTTGAGAAATGTCTGTTCATATTCTTTGCCCCACTTTTTGATGGGGTTGTTTTTTCTTGTAAATTTGTTTACATTCTTTGTAGATTCTAGGTATTAGCCCTTTGCCAGATGGGTAGATTGGAAAGATTTTCTCCCATTCTGTAGGTTGCCTGTTCACTCTGATGATAGTTTCTTTTGCTGTGCAGAAGCTCTTTAGTTTAATTACATCCCATTTGTCAATTGTGGCTTTTGTTGCTTTTGGTGTTTTAGTCATGAAGTCTTTGCTGATGCCTATGTTCTGAATGGTACTGCCTAGGTTTTATTCTAGGGTTTTTATGGTCTTAGGTCTTACATTTAAGTCTTTAATACATCTTGAGTTAATTTTTGTATAAGGTGTAAGGAAGGAATCCAGTTTCAGCTTTCTATATATGGCTAGCCAGTTTTCCCGGCACCATTTATTAAATAGGGAATCCTTTTCCCATTGCTTGTTTTTGTCAGGTTTGTCAAAGATCAGATGGCTGTAGATGTGTGGTGTTATTTCTGAGGTCTCTATTCTGTTCCATTGGCCTATATATCTGTTTTGGTCCCAGTACCATGCTGTTTTGTTTACTGTAGCCTTGTAGTATATTTTGAAGTCAGGTAGCGTGATGCCTCTAGCTTTGTTCTTTTGCTTAGGATTGTCGTGGCTATGCGGGCTCTTTTTTGGTTCCATATGAACTTTAAAGTAGTTTTTTCTAATTCTGTGAAGAAAGTCAATGGTAGCTTCATGGGGATAGCATTGAGTCTATAAATTACCTGGAGTGGTATGGCCATTTTCACAATATTGATTCTTCCTATTCATGAGCATGGAATGTTCTTCCATTTGTTTGTGTCCTCTTTTATTTTGTTGAGCAGTGGTTTGTAGTTCTCCTTGAGGAGGTCCTTCACATCCCTTGTAAGTTGTATTCCTAGGTATTTTATTATCTTTGTAGTAATTGTGAATGGGAGTTCACTCATGATTTGGGTCTCTGTTTGTCTATTGTTGTATAGGAATGCTTGTGATTTTTGCACATTGATTTTGTATCCTGAGACTTTGCTGAAGTTGCTTATCAGCTTAAGGAGATTTTGTGCTGAGACATTGGGGTTTTCTAAATATACTATCATGTCGTCTGCAAACAGAGACAATTTGACTTCCTCTTTTCCTAATTGAATACCCATTATTTCTTTCTCTTGCTTGATTGCCCTAGCCAGAACTTCCAACGCTATGTTGAATAGGAGTGGTGAGAGAGGGCATCCTTGTCTTGTGCCAGTTTTCAAAGGGAATGCATCCAGTTTTTGCCCATTCAGTCTGATACTGGCTGTGGGTTTGTCATAAATAGCTCTTACTATTTTGAGATATGTTCCATCAATACCTACAGAAATCTTATGACATGGACCCTAACTTAGACTAAAGAAAGGAATAGATGGAAATTTATATGTGACTGTCAGAACATTTTGAATAAATCTAAAATCTATACAGTAAAAAAGTAGGGTTGAAGAATTCTAAAATATTCCTGCTACCCTGAAGGACTTACGTTTTGAAAATTTAATACTAAGAGTAATTTGTATTAATATATTTATTAGTAAAATTAAACAAGATGTTATACTCATCTAATTTGCCTTAGATTTTAAATTGTCTAATTATCAATAAGAGAGGTTCAAATTCTTGCTGTGCCATTTTGGCAAGTAGTTCAGCAAGTAGTTAATCCTTCTGTTTTTCCTTTTTTTCCTTTTAAAATGGGAATAATCAGAGTTTTCTTGTCATAGATTATTTGCTAGGGTTAAAATGAGATGAACCAAGTAACTATTTAGCATAGCACTGGCTCATATTGGAACTCAAACCATGTTAGCTGCTTCTACTAGTAATTACTCTGGGAATCTTTTATGCTGTCAAAATTGGAATATTTAGAAAAGGTAAAACCAAGTGGTTGCTTCCTACTTATTAACAAACCTGGGATTGGCCAAAATGTGATTAAAAGAATGACATGTATTTAGTAGATCTGCATCCTTTTTGTCTCTCCTCTACTCTTAGATAGTGGCGATAAAAAGAAGAATATGTCTCCTAGGATTACTTCGTTGTTCTAAGGAAGCAACTATTTTTTTCTGTTTTTTGTTCTTTTTTTTGTTTAATGTAGCACATCGAAATATGAATTTCTGGTTGATGCCCAGTATTGCCTGGGACAGCTTGGCATAAAACATACACCTTTAGCACTATTTATGCTATCTTATTAACTGCTAATACTTAAAAATCTTTTCTTGTTTCAGTAGTAAGATGTCATGTTAACATTTCAGGAATTAATATAGATTAGCTTGATTCTATTTTGTGAAGTCTCTATTGTGGTATTTAAGAAAATCTTTGCTCACTAATTTTCCTTAGGAATTTTGTTACAAAAGCATAATCAACTTGCAATAAAATAGAGACTACTGCCTGGAGGAGAATATTGGAGAACCCAATGAATTATTTCATCAAAATTTGCCATCTTAGATTACACTCACAATTTGAAAACTGATGAAAATATGAGTTAAATCATAAATATAGAAGAAAAATTCTGCTTCATTTATGTAGGCATTTTATGTGTAAGTACATTTTAGCATAAATTATCTACAAGGCTTCCCTATTTCTCTATTAATCTATATTAGGCCTGAATTATTCTATAATTTTTAAAGAGATTAAGCTAACTTTGTTCTTGACTATGTGCTAGTGTGTTTTCTGCCTCCGTAGCAGCAGCTACTACTAACTGTCATGGAAATTTATAGTATAAAATAATTGTTTGATGATGACTATACAAGTGTTCACTTTCTTCTTGGATGATGAATTAGTAATTAGGCCCTTTCTATATTATCACTAATCTTTTGTCCCTGGTTGGGCTTCTCCCAAAGCCCATTTTAACATGGAGTTTAGCATATAGGATGTTTGCTAAGAACTGCCTTTAGGACCCAATACCTATGAAAGGGAGGAAAAGAAGAAGTGAGCCAAGGGAAAAGTCAAACTCCTCTACAGTCCCAATTATTGCCTCAGCCAACACCACAGGGACATCTGGAGCTAGAATGGCACTTGAGAGTTGTCCTCAGTTGGGCCAAGAAGGCCAGGTCTTTTTATTTCTTTGTAAGTCGGTCAATGGATGTGGGAGACCCAAGGCATCACCTCAGCCTAGGTGGTTCTCTGCTCTTGAGCCTAATCACTGAAGAGCCTAACAGCTGAAGGATGTCTGATGACAGGACACCCAGAAGTTGAGGAAACAAGTCTTTCCTGAAGAGAAACCTAGAAGTGTAAAGATTTAAACAATCCTGCAAATTCTGTTTGGAAAATACAGTTACCTTTGTTTTACAGACAGCAAAACAGAGATTTGTCCAGATGCACAGATAATAATTACCTGGAATGTGATTCAAAACTAGGATTGTCTGAATCCAAAGCTCTGTTCTTTCCTCTGTACTTCTACACTTTCTCAGGTTGTTGTGTATTGACAGAATTTTCAGAAAGACATTAGTGTTTTTCAAGCTATGTATATCCAAATATCTTCTCACTGATTTGACTATGACATATTTATGTAGTCCTTTCATTCTGTATTATAGTTTATAGTGCATTTTCTCAGATACAATATAATCAGATAAGATTATTAGGTCCTTATAGCCATCTAGTAAACAAGGCAGGAGAAACATCATTGTCCTTAGTTATAGATTAGGGAACCAGCAAAAAGTGATTAGGTGTCTTGATACAGTCACAAGATAATAAGTGAAAAAACTTGAAATTGAGATTAAGTGTTTTAAATCTAGAATGTAAATAAATAAAAGTACCTACTAGAAATGTGCTTGTGTATTGCAGGGTTTCAGCTTTTAAAGGATTTGAAATTTTATTAGCTCACATCCTAGCACTTTATGATGTGCTACTTTAATTGAATAACAGTCTCTTACATTAGCATTTTTACCACCCAACTTTTTTTTCTTCATGAATATCATAATAGCCAGCCTTTGATATTTTCAGCTTCTGCTTGTAGTTAACAAAAATGTATACAGAACTTGCACAGTGAAGTGAAAAAAACACCGATAACTCTATTGGGTAGGACTTACATTTGTTAGTAAAATGCTCTGCTTCTTGCTCATACGATGCACTTAGCCGTGTCCAAGTGGAAGTATAAGAATGATAGCTGCCCCATATTATCAGATATAGCATTCACTGGATGCAAATTTTAATTTCTGTTAAATTATTCTTTTTCTGTTTTGCTTTTTCCTTGTACACATTTTTCTTTTGTAATTTGCTTATTTGACATGTTGCCATGCTAATAGCTTCAGCACGTCTTCCATGAATTTGTAGTTTGCAAGTATATATAAATTGTGGAAATACTAGAACTAGAAATGAGCAGAACAGCGTTGAATAATAAATATATTTATTTCTTTCCCTTGTTTTCTTTGGAATGTAATTTTAAAATATTGGTCTTACATTTTGTTTTCTTTGTAGTTGGAATATAGGTAATTAGTGTAATTTGAAACATCCATGTAAAGATACCTTGTATTTAAAATAAATCTAAAAAGGAAGGAGAGTTACATTCCTTTATAATCTTAAAAATAATAGTTTGCTTATCACTATTATTTTCATTGTGTGTGTGTGTGTGTGTGAGAGAGAGAGATATGCAGTGGCAGTAGTAGAATGTGTCTCTAATATAAAGCCCAAATTAAGTTACTATGTGGTATCCCTTCATGTGTAGAATGTTATATTTTGTTTGCTAAAGATACTTGGCTTTTGAATTTGTATATTGGTACATTATCCGTAAAAATATTGAAATTCTGCAGTGTTTTCAGACTTGTGGAAATTTATCAATGGCAAATGAATAATTTGGTATTTCAAGTCTCTTAACTATTAAATCACACACAAATTAAAATTTCCACATACAGGTATCATTTGCCATGAACAAATTCACTATGAAGAGTTGATGCTTAGGAAATAATAAATAAAATATGAATTCCTTTTTCACAATATAAAAATTGAAGTCTAAAAACATATTTAAACAAGGCCTCCCTATATCCAATTAAACACTTCTGCACAAAATGTCATATGGGTGTTCAGTTCCACTAGTGGGTTATGCCCAGATGAAAATGGTCAAATGTAGCAAACAGGAAAAGAAGGCAAAACTGTTGACTACATTTTCTCATGAACTTTGAAGTACAATTTAAAGAATTTTAGAATATTCCTCTTTATGAAAATATGTGAACTAGATATAGCATTGAATATATATTGCATCATAGACATGGTAAAATGCTGCCAAAAAGTCAATACAGCAACTGCTATTTTTAAATAAGTATAATAAACTGTTTGAACATGCTGAGATTCCCATCTTTCCAGGAACCTGGCCACTAATTTTAATACCTTTATCATTATACATTTTTACTTGGTGGATTATTTTCCCCTAGAGAGAAAAGTGTCTTGGATTGTTTAATGGAAAATGATGAAAAAACTAGAATTTGCTTTATATAAACCTTTCACAAGCAACTTTCCAAAATTATATTTATCCATATTTTCAATTAAAAAAAATGTGTGTGTGTGTTTGTGTGTGCACATGCATGTGTGTGTTGGTGGTGCCTGGTGTATGTGTATGTGTATGTGTATGTGTGTGTCTATCTGTGTTTATGAAATCTATCCAGACTTTGAAATCTTCAGCTTGAGTGATATGAAATCATTTTTTAAAAATCACATTTAAAAGTATAATTTATAGAACCACAGAATTCTGTAAATCTTTTCTCATGTATATGTTCAATTATGGAACCTATTTGTTTTGTCTTAATTACACATTTACCCAATTAGTACCAGAAATTCTGAAAAGCCAAATTAGTAATATAAATTTTGTGTAGAAATCAATTGAAAAAGAAAACTGGGGAAACCTTTATTGTAAACCTGAAGCAGGTAGAAAACCAAAATAGGCAACATAATATGCAGTCAGATATAGAAACAGTACTGGGGATATATACGCAGGCTCCATATGCTTTGGAGGTATACTGGATCTATTTTTCTTGTGGTTGTTAGAACGTAGCAGGAGCTTTTACTGAAAGGAACCACGCTATGTAAAACTAACAGAAAAGTAGACAATAAAACTTTTGTATAAAGTATTCAGATATGGCCTAAGATAATATAGGCAAGAATCTAGGGCACTATGTTCCATATCAATATGTTCGGATTTTACCAATTTCACTTTGTAATAGCACAGTAAAAAGCTTTGTTGAACACTGACTTTTCTATAGTGACCAAATGCTTATAAAGCTGCTAAGAATTTGGGGGCAAGCCTTTCTAATAACTTGGTTTATACAAATTTTTTTCATGGCATCATATTTAAGAAAGTGGCCTCATATATAACTTCAAAAAAACACACTGAAAAATGGACTGACTTTTTTTTTACTACATAGTAATTATTTGATGGTAAATAGATGATATTTAAGTAACATTAACATAGTTGACATTTCTTGAATTTCTCTACTAACTATAAAATTGTGATATTATTTGTATCTGTATTCCTACCCAAATTTCATGTTCACTTGCAATCCCAATGTTGGAGGTGGGGCCTCATGGGAGGTGATCAGATTATGGGGATGAATCCTGCACAAATGGTTTAGCATCATCCTTTTGATGCTGTTCTCATGATAATGATAGAGTTCTCATGAGATCTGGTTGTTTCAAAGTGTGTGGCACCTCCCCCCTCTCTTGGTCCTGCTCCTGCTGTGGAAGATGCCTGCTCCTGCTTTGCCTTCCATCATGAGTAAAAGCTCCCTGAGGCCTCCTCAGAAGCAGATGCTGCCATGCTTCCTGTACAGCCTACAGAACTGTGAGCCAATTAAACCTCTTTTCTTTATAAATGATCCATTCTCATGTATTCCTTTATAACAGTGCAAGAATGGACTAACACAGAAAAATTAGTACTTAAGAGTGGGACATTGCTGTAAAAATACCTGTAAATGTGGAAGCGACTTTTGAGCTGGGTAATGGACAGAGGGTGAAAGAGTTTGGAGGTCTCAGAAGACAAGAAGATACAGGAAAATTTGAAACTCCCTAGAGACTTGTTGATTGATTATGACCCAAATGCTGATAATGATATGAACAGAGATGGCCAGGCTGAGGAGTTCTCAGATGGAAATGAGGAACTTACTAAGAAGTGGAGCAAAGGTCACTTCTGTTACACATTGACAAAGAGCTTGGTTGGATAGTGCCTCTGCCCTAGGGATCTGTGGAACTTTGAACTTGAGAACAACCATTTAGGGCATTTGGTGGAAGAAATTTCTACCAGAAAAGCATTCAAGATGTAGCTTGGCTGCTTCTAACAGCCTATATATATGTAAGCAAAAAAAAAAAAAAATGATCCAAAACTAGAATTTATATTTAAAAGGGAAGCAGAGCATAAACATTTAGAAAACCTGCAGCCTGGCCATGTGGTAAAAAAGAAAAGCTCATTTTCCGGGTGGAGATTGGGAGGCAACTCAAGCAGGCTGCAGAAATTTCTATTACTAAAAGGAAAGGAAGTGCTGATACTCAAGAAAATGGGGAGAAGACCTCGAAGGTATTTCACAGAACTTCATGGCTACTCCCCCCATCACAGGCCTGGAGGCCTAAGAGGAAAGAATAATATCATGGACCAGACCTAGGGCCCTGCCACCCTGTGCAGCCTTAGGCCACTGCTCCCTGCATCCTGGCTGCTGTAGCTCCAGCCCAGGTACAGCTTGGACTGTTTCAGAGGGTGCAAGCTGTAAGCCTTGTGGCTCCCACATGGTGTTAAGCCTGTGGTTCACAGAGTGCAAGAGTTGAAAATTAGGAGCCTCCACCTAGATTGCAGGGGACGTATGGAAAAGCCTGGATGTCCAGGCAGAAACTGGCTTCAGGGGCAGAGCCCTTATGGAGACCCTCTACTAGGCCAGTACAGAAGGGAAATATGGGGTTGGAACCCCCACACATTGGGGCATTGCCTAGTGGAGCTGTAAGAAGAGGCACTCTGTCCTCCAGACCCCAGAATGGTAGATCTACCAACAGCTGGCACCTTGCACCTGGAAAAGCCACAGGTACTCAACATCAGCCCTTAGGAGCAACTGTAGTGGCTGCACCCTGTAAAGCCACAGGGATAGAGCCAAGGCCTTGGGAGTCCACCCCTTGCACCAGTATGCCCTGGATGTGAGACATAGAGTCAAAGGGGATTGTTTTGGAACTTTAAGACTTAATGACTACCCTGCTGGGTTTGCACTTGCATGGGGCATGCAACCCTTAACTTGTGGCTGATTTTTCCCTCTTGGAACAGGATTATTTACCCAATGCCTATACCCCTGTTGTATCTTAGGAGTAACTAAATTGTTTTTTATTTTATGAGCTCATAGGTGGAAGGGACTAGGCTCGTCTCAGATGAGACTTTGGACTTTTGAGTTAATGCTAGAATGAGTTAAGACTTTGGGGACTGTTAAGAAGGGATGATTGTATTTTGCAATGTGAGAAGGACATGAGATTTAGGAGGGGCCAGGTGCAGAATGGTATGGTTTGGAATTGTGTCCCCACCCAAACTTCATGTTGAATTATAATCTCCAATGTTGGAGGTGGAGCCTGGTGTGAGATTACTGGATCATGGGGGGTGGATCCTTTATGAATGCTTTAGCACCATCCATTTGTTGTTGTTCTTGTGATAGAGTTCTTATGAAATCTGCCTTTTTTAAGTTTGTGGCACCTCCCCCTCTTTCTCTCTTGGTCTTGCTCCTGCCATGTAAGATACCTGCTCCTGCTTTGCCTTCCACCATGAGTAAAAGCTCTCTGAGGCCTCCCCAGAAGCAGATGCTGCCCTACTTTGTGTACAGCCTGCAGAACCATGAGCCAATTAATCATCTTTTCTTTATAAATTACACAGTCTCAGTGTTTTTTTTAATAGCAGCGTGAGAATGGACAAATACAAATTGCTTATTGTTCTGAACCATATTTCATGAGTCTATTTATATAGATCTTGCTCCTAGATACACAATCTGACATTTTGGTCAATGAGGGACCACGTATATGAGAATAGTCCCATATAAGATTTTAATGGAGCTGAAAACTTCCTATAAGTGAGTAACACCTAGCTGTCATAACATCACAGTGCAACAAGTGCTAGTGGTGATGCTGGTGTAAACAAACTTACTGCATTGTTAGTCATACCAAAGTATATTACATACAATTATTTATAGTACGTAATACTTGATAATGATAATAAACAACTATGTTCCTGGTTTATGTATTTAATATACTATACTTTTTATTTTTATTGTAGCGTATACTTCTTCTACTTATAAAAAATAAAAAACAAAGTTAATTGTAAAACATCCTCAGGCAGGTTCTTCAAGAGGTATTCCAAAAGAAGGCATTGTTTTCATAGGAGATAACAGGTCCATGCATGCTATTGCCCCTGAAGACATTCCAGTGAGACAAGATGCATGGGTGGAAGACAGTAATACTGATGATGCTGATCTCGTATAGGCCTAGGCTAATGTGTGTATTTGTGTCTTCATTTTTAACAAAAAGTTTAAAGAGTAAATAAAGGCAATTAAAAATTTTAAAAATAGAAATAGGCTTATAGAATAAAGATATAAAGAAAAAAATTTTCATACAGCTCTACAATATATTTATGTTTTAAGCTAAGTATTTTTACAAAAGAATCAAAAAAGTAAAGACATTAAAAAGTTTATAAACTAAAAATGTTATAAGCTAATTTTTTATTGAATAAAGAAAAACATTTTA
Source organism: Homo sapiens (assembly GCF_000001405.40). Taxonomy (NCBI): domain Eukaryota; kingdom Metazoa; phylum Chordata; class Mammalia; order Primates; family Hominidae; genus Homo; species Homo sapiens. Next base: position 174,813,000 of record NC_000003.12, read on the forward strand.
AATATATTTAGTGTAGCCCAAATGTACAGTATTTATATTATAAAGTATACAGTAATATCCTAGGCCTTTTTCTTCACTCACCGCTCACTCACTGACTCACCAGAACAACTTCCAGTCCCGCAAGACCCATTCATGTTATGTGTCCTATACAGGTGTACTGTTCTCTTCTTTTCCAGTGGTATTCAATCTTTTGGCTTCCCTGGTCCACATTGGAAGAAGAAGAATTGTCTTGGGTCACACACAAAATACAGTAACATTAATGATAGCTGATAAGCTAAAAAAAACACAAAAAATCTCATAATGTTTTAAGAAAGTTTATGAATTTGTGTTGGGCCACGTTTAAAGTGGACCTGGGCCATGGGTTGGACAAGCTTTTTTAATACTCTATTTTTACCCTACCTTTTCTATGTTTAGACACACAAATACTTGTCATTGTGTTACAATTGCCTATGTATTCAGTATAGTTTTAATAAAAGGCTGTAGAGGTTTGTAGCCTAGGAACAGTAGGTTATACCATGTAGTTTAGGTAGTTAGTAAGCTATACCAACTAGGAAAGTACGGTCTATGATGTTCGCATAAAGATGAAAGTACCTAATGAAGAGTTTCTCAGAACTTATCCTTGTTGATATTTCCATAGTTATTACTCTTTGTTCTTTTGTTTTATTTTTTTCATAGACAAAGTTTTGCTATGTTGCCCAGGCTGAAGTACAGTAACTATTTACAAGCACGATCATAGTGCACTACAACCTTGAACTCCTGGGCTCAAGCAATCCTCCTGAATCAACCTCTTAAGTAGAGACACACATTAGTGTGCCTGGCTCCCCTTATGTTTTTGAAATGTAAACTTAAATAAGAAATAATAAATATTTAAGATCTCAAACTTTTATGCATGTATAGTATAGCTCTTTAACAGATAGGTAGTGTCTAATATATGTAAGTCATTACATATGCACTCCACCCCACAGACATACATATCTTCATTCCATTATACTGCATTATAATGATACGTATTTCATATAGAAGTTTAATAGAAATACTAATGGTGTCAGCACAGAGAAGGTGTGACAACTGTCTGTTTAGGTAAATATTTTATTTTTATTTATTTATTTTTATTTATTTATTTTTTTGAGACAGAGTCTTGCTCTGTTTCCCAGGCTGGAGTGCAGTGGTGCAATCTTAGCTCACTGCAAGCTCCACCCCCCGGGTTCACACCATTCTTCTGCCTCAGCCTCCCAAGTAGCTGAGACTACAGGTGCCTACCGCCACGCCTGGCTAATTTTTGTATTTTTAGTAGAGACAGGGTTTCACCTTGTTAGCCAGGATGGTCTCAATCTCCTGACCTCGTGATCCGCCCGCCTCAGCCTCCCAAAGTGCTGGGATTACAGGTGTGAGCCACTGTGCCTGGCCTGTTTAGTTAAATATTTTAAGACTGGGAAGAATTTAAATATGTATCTTGCGTGTGATCTTTATATATGAAATAATATAATTTTGTGCACTTTAGGCCATGGAATAATTAATAATATCCAATTTAAGTACTACTATGTGTGTACCTTGTGTGTGATTTTTAAGGTATGGAATAATGTAATTTTGTGCTCTTTAGGGCATGAAATAATTAATATCAAATTTAAGTAGTACTACTAATGGAATAATTAATAATATCAAATTTAAGTACTACTATCAGAATTAATTATTTAAGATCAACTGCCATGAAACAAAAATTATTATTTTGGGCAGATATCTTCCAAAAGGTAATTTGTTTACATATAAACCACATGGCCTTCCATATAGCAGGCCAACTCTTTTGATTACTTAGAGGTATATTTCACAAGTAATTTATCCTGACCCTTCGGTTGCAAGCTATGTTACTCACACAGAAGTAGTCTGTGGGTACGTTATTTCAAAATTTTTATGCTGTAGGTAAATGAATGGTCGCATTTCAATACTTACCCGGGCCAAAACAATGTCAGACCTGTTCTGTGACATTTTATAACACGTATTTCTATATAACATGTTGAATGTTTTATATAATTAATGCAAAACTGAGTTTTCTTTAGCTCATGTGCTGGTGGGGAAACAAACTATGTTAAAGGTCCTGGTTCTAGTTTTATAGCATCCTTGGGCTCACTTCTCTGTAGAAGTAAGTGGTCATTTGTTTAGCAAGGATGAAGTTTTGATGATGTATTAGTTTGCCAGAGCTGTTGTAACAAAGTATACCACAGACTGGGTGGCTTAAACAACAGAAATATATTTTCTCGGAGTGCTGGAGTTAGATTTCTAAGATCAGGGTTTTGGCAGGGTTGGTTCCTTCTGAGGACTGTGAGAGAGGAATGTACTCTAGGCCTCCCTCCTTGACTTGTGGATGGTTATCTTCTCCCTGTGTCTTCACATCATCTTCCTTCTGTACATGTATGTGTCCAAATTTATTATTCTTTTCATTTCTTAAGAGATAGGGTCTTGCTGTCTCACCCAGGCTGGAGTGCAGTGGCACAATCTTAGCTCACTCACTGAAGCCTCGAACTGCTGTGTTTAAGTGATCCTGCTGCCTCAGCCTCTTGAGTAGCTAGGACTACAGAAGCCTGCCATCATGCCCAACCCATCCCTAAATTTATTTTTCTTATAAGGATAACAGTTACATTGGTTTATGTAAATATTTGTCTAAGCCACAGGACTTGTAGTATTAACTGATCTGACAGCAAATCATATATTGAAATATTCCAAGAGAAAAGCATTATAAAAATACAAAATGTGATGGTATTATTTTATTCTATGCCCTTTTGTCACTGGGAATTTTAATAGAGGCAGAAACTGAAAGCAGCTAAATTTGACTTTAGTTTTTTTTTTTTTTTTTTTTTTTTTTTAAGTTTCCTTTGGTAGAAGTGTCAGAGTGTTTGGAAATGACAAACACCTTTGTGACCTCATTTTAATTTGTTTGCTGTCTCCAAACACAGTCATACTTGGAGGTACTTAGAGATAGGAATTCAAGATGAATTTTGAAGGATGCACAATTCAGCACTCAGCCCATAACAGACATTTGGATCCCTAAATTACATAAAACAACAACATTGGTCCTATTAATTATTTCATTCATTGACAAAATATATGTCCATAGGTTATGATTATATATTCCTTTAAATTGTATAGCACGTATGTACCCCAATGATATAAATATCTTCTCTTTCCATTCTACTCCTATCCTCTTCTTCATCGTATCCTTTTTCCCCCTTCTCCTCCTCCTCTGCCTTCTCTCTCTTTTATTTCTTCTCTCTGTATATACAGAGAGAGAGAACAGATAGTCTATATAGTCTCTCTTTCTATGTATAATGCTCTCTCAAAGAATTTTATGTGGATTTGTGCTGTCTTGGGAGCCCTGGAATTGAGATATATATATGTGTGTGTGTGTGTGTATGTGTGTGCGTGTGTGTGTGTGTGTGTATCTCAGTATGAGAGACAGAGGGAGAGACTATATAATCTCTGAATAAATACACGCATATATATACATTATTTTATACATTTATTTATATTATATTATATATAATTTTTAATATATATAAATTATGTTATGTAACATATATATAAATTATTACTTCAATAATCTGAAATATGAATTACCAATGAGGTCGCTAAGACAGACTAAGTGATTCACCCCAGGTCACTGCCATGGTAAACCTAGCAGCAGATTGTTAATTCTAATCCAGGTATATTGGATTCCCAAACTCATATTCTTAACTACTATTTATTAAGTCCTTCTTGCTTTTGTCTTATTCAAGTTTCTTGAGCCCCTAGCCCTGACAGTTACTTGCTTACATTTTATAGTATTGGTCATTGCAAGGCAACACTGAGATTTCTAAAACCAGCTCAATGATTAGGAGTGCATTAGTGTGCCTGAGCCACAGGCCTTGTAGTATTAACTGATCTGGTAGTAAATCATATATTGGACTATTCCAAGGGAGAAAACCATCATTAATAATACAAAATTTGGTAGTATTACTTTATTCTATGTCTTCAGTCACTGGGTGTTCTACAACAGGCAGGAACTTAAAGCAGCTAAATTTGACTTTAGTTCTTTTTTATTTCCTTTGGTTACTTTGGTGGAAGTGTGTGAGTGTTTGGATAAGGCAAACAGACATTCAAAAGGAAAATCAACACATTGAGTGACTAGATAATCCACAGGGATCAAATAAAATGACAAAATAACCCACAATCTTAATAATGTCTTTGAAATACTGAGTTGGTTATTTTGTTTTAGGGTACTTGGCAAAATATCCCTGGAGACAACTTATGTGAAAGTATGATAATTTGATTTTTATCAAAAGCTCTTTAGGCTGGGCACAGTGGCTCATGCCAGTAATCAAAGCACTTTGGGAGACTCACGTGGGAGGATTGCTTGAAGTCAAGAGTTTAAGACCACCCTGGGCAACAGAGTGACACCATGTCTCTACAAAAAATTTACCAATTAGACAGGCACGGTGCCACATACTTACAGTCCTAGCTACTTAAAAGGCTGAGGTGGGGGGATCACTTGAGCACGGGAGTTCCAGGTGGCACTGAGCTGTGATTGTACCACTGCACTTCAGCCTAGTTGTCAGAGGGAGACACTGTCCCTTAAAAATAAATAATTTTTAAAAAATTTAAAAGCTCTTTAAAATAAAAATTGGGGGGAGTGCATGGTAATAACATTAAAAACAAATGCTTTCCAAAAGAGGATTAAAAATATTTTTATCACTCTCCTTAGACTAATGCATTTAAGGTTTTAATCTTACAAGCATACTTTGTAGCTTCTTATAAACCCTCAGTTTGCCAGTTTATGTCCATTGTCAATCAGCATTTCAGTATAATTTTCTAGCTCACACGTTTATCTTTAAAAAATAGTTTTATCAGAAAGCTTGTTCGTTTTCAGATTGTGATTAGCTACATGCTCACTGTCAGTAATAAACACAGCCCATATATTTCTATAGTAACTTTATGAACTTCCCACAGAAAATTCATATTGCATTTTGTTCTTCAAAATGCAACCCGCTGGGCTTTCTTCATCTGATAACCCATTTTGGATTAGTCATTGATTTGTGTCTGTTGTTAGTACCGGGTTGCAGGCTGTTAAAAGGACACAGGCTGTGCACTCTGTTATGCATCTTTACCCCGTTGTGTCCTTCGAAATGCCAAGAATTCTGAAGTTGTTTAATAAAAATCACTTTGATTGATTTTCATCTTTGCAGCCAAATAGGGGGGACAGGTGCCATTTCCTCTGACTTTAAGATGGTCAAACATTCCTGGAGCAGAGATTAGGTGCCACGTCTCTAGCTTATAAGCCAAATTCTAAACCTCTTCACTTAATGCAGAGCTTCTTCTTGAAATACCCCTAACTGCGGAGATGAATGAAACATACCTCTGTTTGGGGCCTGGGCTCCTAAGAGAAACTGTCTTAGGGCCAGCTGGAATATTTTTGAAATCATATATTTTATCTAAAAAAAATCTGTAAGTATTACATTGTATTTGTTGTTGTATTTATTTGAATATAAAAATAACACTGCATATACTTAACATAAAGTAAAACACATACCAGGAAACTGTGTCACCTTTGTCTTGGATTTCTTATTTTCTCCTTCCTCTACCTGTCACATACTACACCCTGGAATTTGCACGCCCTAAGAAGCCCTGGTGAGATCTTGCACAAAAGTCTCTTTGCTTTAAGATTGACTGTAAAAAGATTTAGATACAGAAATTCCCATTGATAGTGCACACTCAAGAGGAGGCCTTCGTCTATGGGATAGACCAAGTCTATGTGGTTAGCAATAAGTTTAATGGCATCCCAAATTTCTGACGTCTGTGTGGCTCACTGCAGGGGGAAAGGGAGGGAGTGGGGGCTTAGGCAGGTTCTTAGCCCTTGCTTCAAACTGAGCAGCTTCATTGCTTCTGATTTTCTTTTTAACATTCATTTTACTTTTAAAAGATTCTTTTCTATTTTTGTTTGTTTCTTTCTTAAAAAAGTGCCACTGAGTTAAAAAGAAGAAATAATTCACTTTGATATAAAATTTTGAATTTCTTTATTATACCATTTATTCTTTTTTTTTTTTTTTTTTTTTTTTTTTTGGAGACAGGATTTCCTTCTGTCACTCAGTGGCACAATCTCGACTCATTGCAACCTCCACCTCCCAGGCTCAGGGCTCAAGTGATCTTCTTGCCTTAGTCTCCCAAGTAGCTGGGACCAAAGGCACATGCCACCATGCCCAGCTAAATTTTGTATGTTTTGTAGACAGAGGGTTTCACCATGTTGCCCAGGCTGGTTTTGAACTCCTGAGGTCAAGCAATCTGCCTTCCTGGGCCTCCCAAAGTGCTGGGATTACAAGCATGAGCCATTGTGCGTGGCTAATATATTTATTCTTTATATTTACTTTCTTTTTTTTCATTTAAAATTTTTATAAACAATCAGCAAAAAAGCAATAATATATTAAAAGTAAATACGATGTAACATAGAGGTATAAAAGAGTCATACATGGACTCGAGGTCTGACTTCTCATACACGGACTCGAGGTCTGACTTCTCATACACAATCACATCCTTACCAGATGTCATAGGTCTGTTCAACTACTTTTAGTAATGGGAGTTCATAGCTTTTTGATGCAGCCCATTATATTGTTGGGCACCTGTTCTTGATTGCAAGTTCTTTATAAAACTGAACCAGAAAACTCTTTCCTATAATTTTTGTATGAAGGTATATAGCCTCATGTTATACAGAAAAGCACAGAAAATAGTTATCTCTCATCTACAAAATAATCATCCACCAGAGGTGGACATACTGAGAAATTAATAAAGCTTACGCTTCAAGACTCGTGTTCATGAGCCATTTTCAAAGCTCCATATAATAATAATAGTTCTGAAATTTTTTCAAATTTGAAAAAATAAGATATTTTGATCATGATCAATTAGGACAACTCTCCCTTCCTAATCCAATTTCTCCATTACATTTCCCTTCATATTAGTTGGTTTTGGAGAGGCTGGGGGTAGATCTAGTTATAGGCAGCTTCAGTTTGGAATGCACTTAGTTTGGGTTTAGTGGGGTTTGTAATGTGGCTCTCAGTAATTTTCATGTATTTTACAGTTGTTTTTACTCAGTTTGATAAGTAGGAATCACTTCTAGAAAATTACTACTGCTCACTCTGCCACAATACATAGATGTGAGGCTACAGGTCATACCAAAATATGAATACATCCTAAGAGTCTCACAGCAAAATTTGGTGGTTAGCAGATGTTTTAGTATATGGAAATAGAATTAGTTGATCAAAATTTATCTAGTCATTAGATTTGTAAAATTATTAAGTTGAAGTGTCTCTAACCAATGTTTTCTATTCTCAGGAATATGCAGGGTAATGGAGCATATACAATTATAAACACACCACATATACTTTTTCATTTTTGATGGAAATTGCAAAAAATATAATTTATCAGAATTTCTATGTTTATAGTATATACAATTGTAGTGGTCCTATAAACAGTGAGTATATCTATAAAAGCTCATAAACAAAAGAAACTTGATAGGGAGTTTTACTAATTTGTTAACAATCCTAAAAATGTATATGGCATTTGCAACAATGAGTTGTGAAACTGAAAGAAACTTTTGTGATATATAATTAATGAAAAGCAAATTTTAGACAACCATGATAAAATTCTCTCTATAGAAAATACTGCAAAATAATTGACATAAGATAATTAAAGAAGAAATCTAAGAATATGCAGCCAAGATGTAGGGAAAAGAGTGCTATAATGGTGTACCAGTCAGTTAATTTAATAAAAGTAGTATTATATTATTTTCTGTTATTTGAAATATGTGGTATATGTTTTTTTAAAAAAAAACATTTGTTCCTATTCATTTTCATAACTAATTTTGCATTTGAAATTTTGTGTTATTTTTCACAGAAAGCCTCGTTCACAGAAATTGCATAAAGTTTGAGTATCCAGACAACTGAACTCACTCTCCAATATTCAGAAACAGAGATTAGGTTTTTTGTTTTCCCTTCCCCAGGTCAACATTCTCAAGTGCTTTCCAGTATGACTGTGCTTTCCAAATTTATCAACCACTGATTTGTGGCCCTTTTGCTGACTAGTTAGGGCTCCACTCCCCTATGGGGACTGGGAATGAGCAGACTTAAATAGTTTGGAGAAGGAACAGGATGGCTTAGTAAAATCAATGCTTTGCTTCAGACCTATATAGGTTTGTTTCCTGGAATTTTAGGTATTAAGCCTATTACATTAGGAAATATATTTCACCTTTAGTTTAATATTTAACTCCTCATTTATACTAATACGGATGACAATACCGGGCTTGAGGTCAAGTGGTATAATGAAAAAAAAATGTGTAAGTCACCTAGCTCTGTACTTGGCATATAGTAGATGATCTGGTAACATTTGCTATTGTATTTATTAGCATTTAAACAGAAACACTTGCTCCCTTCTTTAACATTCAAAGAGACTAGAGGAGTTTTATTATATATATTGTTTTAAAATGTGATGTTTCTCATTTTACAAGTGATGAAAAGCCTGTTTTCCCCTGGTGAGCTATCAGACAGATTGAGCAAATGAACCACTAGTCACTGAAGTCAAGTCTAGCTAGGCCTGGAGGAGATTTGGGCAATTACACAGAGTTCTGACTTCCCAGAGGACTCAGTGGTTGTCAGCTGACTTCAGAAGCTTATGGTAGAACTTCTGGTGCTTCTCAGAGCCTTCTGTGTTCAATCCTGGGCAGGGAGCCAATTATCTGGAAGGAAGATAAGAATATCAGACATTGTTTAAACTAATTTATTTATTTATGGGTTAACTATCCAGATTGAGAATTATCACTAGCTTTATTTCTGGCAGTCTCTTTTTGGTCATTACATGTTTAACACATTAAACAGAAGAAGGACAGCTAGGGAGGGGTTTGGTAAGGAAAAATAGGTATTTTTAGAAGCACTGAAAATGAGTTTGAATTGTGGAAACGAAGTCGTTAAAATTCACTGCGATAATAAAGATAATGGTAGTAATAAATGATGTATATATTTAAATTATCTGCGATATTCATGTTCCTGAAGCATAGGGATATCAAAGTCAAATAATGTACAGGCTAGGTTGACAAAAATAAGTGAGGTGAGTTAAACTAGGTACACAGAAATAGTTCTCAGTGACACAAACACACACACAGGGCGGAGGGAGAGGGGGAGAGAGAGAGTGAGCGAGCAAATATAACACTATATGAGAGCGGATAGACCCTGAGTGGGAAGATAAGAAGGAAGGTGATAAACCCGACGGCCCCTGCTTATTGCACAGGAGCTGGTCCATTCTCAGATATTTTTATGATGTAAAAATGCCAGATATTTTTTCTTCTCTAGAAAAGCTAGAAGTCTGGAATTTTATGGGAAATCATATAAAAATATTGGACCAGTTTAAAAAGAAAACAACACTTTTGGGCCAAATATAAAAATCAACAGGGTTGATCTGACTCATGCACAGACATTGGTAATTTCTGCCCACAAATGAGCTGCGTAACTGTTACAGGAACACGTAGCCAGAGATGGATAACTGGACTTGGGAACAAGGGAGAAGGCTAGAGAAAATCAGCTCAGAAAAGTGATCCAAGAGCTGAGCTGGGTCTTGATTTATATGTAATATATGATGTATATATAGATATATCACCTATGCTATAGGTAGGTGCATTTTGGGTATAGGGAAATTTGTCCAAAGGCAGAAAGGTATGGAAGGTATGATTTGTACTCAGACAGATGTTCAACCAGAATGCAACTATGGGAACTCTGAGGATCTGGGGAGAGAATTGGTGGCCTGAATGATTGGAAAATGTATAATATAGACTCTTACTTTGTTTAGCCTTTTGCTTGCAATTCAATTTTTGTTTCTCCTTGTCAAAAGCACTTAATATTTTTTATCTATTTGCAATAGAAAGACACATTCTCACAAATAAACAAATGGGAAAATAAAGATTGAAGAACACCACACAGAATTCCTCTGTCCATATCTTTTCACTTGAATATAATATTTCGGTATACATTATGAATGTAATCTCTGTCAAAGCTGTTAAATGCATATAAAAGATTAAAGCACTTTCTATATTTGTAGATACGTGCTTTTGGAAGAATTTACTGTCATCAAAGTAGGTATGATTTAAAACCAGATTTGTTCTTTGTCCCAAGTGTTTGGAGTTTTCCTTTTTGTTGTTGTTGTTGTTGTCTGTTTGTTTGCTTGTTTCTTTCCTCTTCTTTTTTTTTTCTTGTAAAGACAGAACAAATACAGCTCCTTCTTTTCCTTAAAAAAAGCTTTGTTGTTTTCTCATTGCAAGATCCTAATTAAAATGTTCCATATGGAGGATTTTTTGCCAATCTACATTCTTGTTAAGCAAATACTTTATATTTCTTGCTGGAGCATGAGGCTGCAGTATTCCTAGAGGGCAAATTTACAAAAGACCACTGGACCCAAATATACAGCAACATAAATTAAAATATAGATTGTTACAGAAACTTTAAATAACTAGGAATGCATTGGTCAACAGATTTTATATGTATCACTTTGGAAGAATGAAATTGTACTTCAACATCATCTTTAAACAAGAGTATGCTCTTTAGTGGTACAAGAACAATTTCATTCTTTTATGCCCTTGCTCCTCTTTATTATAAGGAAAGAAAACTTAATATTCTCTGTAACATAAGTTATTCTTTTTGCAATATTAGTTTGGAATCTGCTTTTTGGGTTTTATTTTAATCTCAGAGGAAGCCAGGCTGGAGTGCAGTGGCACAATCTTGGCTCACCACAACCTCCGCCTCCCGGGTTCAAGCTATTCTCCTGCCTCAGCCTCCCGAGTAGCTGGGACTACAGGCATGCACCACCATGCCCAGCTAATTTTTGTATTTTTAGTAGATACGAGATTTCACTATGTTGGCCAGGAAGGTATAAAATAAAATTGAAATCTATATATTTTATTTTAAAATCTTTCAATTCTTAGTATCTTCTATGAGCCAAATGGATTGGTTCTTTCATTTTTAACACCTCCTATTATTCTTGGGAATTAAGGTTAAAAAGCAGTAATCACCATGCTAACTTAAATGTGTATTATCTAAGGGAAATTGAGTTTCATAAACTAATTTATTGCTTACACTTTATTAGGATCATAGCTGAGTGTAATTTTATTTAATTATGTGTCATTTGTAATGTCTGTTACATTAAAATTATAACTGGAAAAAGGTGCATATGTAAAATTTAACATTTTAATTTATTAAATAGTAGATATAAGGAATTATTTTATTTGTAATAATCTATAGAAAGAAGACACTCTAAGTGTATGTTTACATGATTGCCCTTGCTAACAATAGAATGCGACTGATAATTCATTTTCTTTCCCAATATTTCTGATGAATATTCTGATTTCGATTGTGAATTTAAGCACTACTTTGGCATATATTCAAATAAAGCAAGTTCTAAACTATGCAAAATATATCACATTCCAAATATACCAGAGGATATGACTGGTTACTTTGTGAATTTTTGAGTTATACACATCTACCTATAGGTATTTACAAGATTTTATATATCATGCATCCACATAAGTGATTTGACTTATAACCAACAATGAATATAATAAAGTTAGTTTAGTTTATTAACCAGAAGCTAAAACTGACTAGATAAATCAATCAATTAGGAGATAATTCATTAAGTGAACCACCTAGCGATTATTTGTGCTGTGTAGCCTTTGGTTCTGCAACTGGAAGAGCTGACATTCATTATGTCTGTGCTTCGGTCACTTATGGGACAAAATGGCCATACTGTTCCTACGAACAGATAAATGGAGGATACTGGAAATGATTTACTTTATGACATATGTAACTCATCAAAAAAATAAGACTGTTAATTAATAAATTTTATACATTTTTTGGAGACATTTTATTTCAAGCAATGAGAAATAGAAGCCAAATATTTAAATCTGTTCACTGCAATTCTCATTGATTAATTCTACTTTACAGCTTTGATTTAGACACACTTGCCCTTTTTCAGTTTCAAGAAAGGACCAAGTTTCTTTTTTTATCTCTAGGCTTTCTCTCATGTGGCCCAGTGTATTATTTTCCAGAAAAATAGAACCAGTAGGATATGTACAGATATTTATAAAAGGAGAATAATTTTAGGAATTGGCACACATGATGGAGGCTGAGAAGTCTCATGATATACTACCTGCAAGCTGGAGACTCAAGAAGGCTGGCAGTATAATTCAGTTTGCATCTTAAGGCCTGAGGGCCGGAGGAGACATAGAGTAATTCCCAGTCCAAGGCCTAAGGCCTGATAACTTGGGGGAAGTCAGGGTGCTGGTGTAAGTCCTGGAGTCCAAAGACCCAAGAAGTAGGAGCTCCCATGTCCAAGTTAAGAAGATGGACCTCTCAGCCTAAGGAGAGGGAGAGAATTTGCCCTTTCTCTGCCTTTTTGTTCTATCTAGGCCCTGGATGGAATGTATGATTCCTGCCCCCACTGGTGAGGGTGGATCTTCTTTACTCAGTGTACTGATACAAATGCCAGTCTGTTCCAGAAATACCCACACACATATACCTAGAAATAATGTTTTGCCAGCTATCTGGGCATCCCTTAACCCAATCAAGTTGACACACAGAATTACATTAATCATCACACCCAGTATGCCTTCTTCCCTATTCCTTAAACATTCCTGTGGCTGACGCCTCAAATTTTCGCTGTTTAATTGTTGAGTCCTTAAACATCTTTTGAAGGGCCAGGCACAGTGGCTCACACCTGTAATCCCAGCACTTTGGGAGGCCGAGGTGGGCAGATAACGAGGTCAGGAGATTGAGACCATCCTGGCTAACACGGTGAAACCTCGTCTCTACTAAAAACACAAAAAATTAGGCGGGCGTGGTGGCGGGCACCTGTAGTCCCAGCTACTCAGGAGGCTGAGGCAGGAGAATGGCGTGAACCCTGGAGGCGGAGCTTGCAGTGAGCCGAGATGGCGCCACTGCACTCCAGCCTGGGCAGACAGAGCGAGACTCCATCTCAAACAACAACAACAACAACAACAACGACAACAACAACAACAACAACAATCAAACAAAATCCAAGACAAAACAAAACAAAATCTTTTGACATCTCTTTAGTCTTTTATGTCACATCCTGCTCTTTCCTTACAAAACCCTATTACAATGAGTACTTACTTATTTGATTGTTTACTTTGTTCTAATCTGTCTTTCCAACTAGAAAGTAACCTTGTGAGAATGTAGACTATGTATATTCAGCACCTAGGACAGGTGGCAGTAGAGATAAATGGTTAAACATCACTAAGAGCTAGAATGCTTGTTTTGAATTTTGGCTCTGTTATTTGCAAGACCTCAGACAAGTTTCTTTTTCCTTTTTTTGCATGTGTATCATCTGTAAAATGGGCATAGTAACAGAACAGGGATTATATGGATTAATATACTCAAATTACTTGGCACATAGTGAGGCCTCATTAAATGTTGGCAAGCTAGCTACTACAGTGTCTGGTACATAATAAGTAATCAGTAAACATTTCCTGAATGAATGAATAGCACATAGACCTTCAGTGCCAGAAATACTTGGATTTGAATGCCCATTCCATCTCTTAGGACCTTGGCAAAATTACTTAACTTTTTTCAATATCAGTTTTCTCAGTGTATAAAATAGTTCTGACTTCCTTAGGGTTTTTGTAAGAATAAAATCAGATAGTCCTTATAGCATGTTTTATGGTTTATTTTTGTTTAGAAAAGAAAAATAAATCATTTTGTTTTGCACTTAGAGTCAGAAGTCCTAGATAGCATTTCCATTCTAGGAGTATGGTGTTCAGATACCCCTGCCTGAGGCCACTTCTACCTATTGTTAGAATAATTATCCTTAATAATTCTAGTAATTAAAACTCTTTGGTTATAAATAACAAAAGCAATTCCAGCTAACTTTAGCCTAAATTAATTAAGAAATTAATAAAAGCACTCTTATTATAACTAGCAGATTGAATAAGAATCATTCATGATATGTTCATAGCCTAAAATTTATATGTTTATTTTTTATTGCCCGTTTTAAACTTCTTGAGTTCAATCTTCTCTTCGTTGGATGAAAATCCTGGAAGATATCATGACTTTTCTTCTCACTCACTTTTTTTTCTCACCTAATAGAATAGTCTTGCAGTAACTTTAAGTCATAAACATCATTTCAGTTCCGTAATTAGTATGTACTGGTATATTAGTTTTGTATTTGTACTGTAACAAATTACCACAAACATGGTGGCTTAAAGCAAAACAAACTTACTGTCTTACAGTTCTATGGGTCAGAATTCCAACATGGGTCTCAGTGCGTTAAGGTCTAGGTGTTGTTGGCAGGACTGTGTTTCTTCCTGAAAGCATGGAGGGGAGAGTATTTTCTTGCCTTTTCCCCACATTTACTGGCTTGTGGCCTCTCCCTCCATCTTCAAAACAAACAACATCAGAGCAAGTCTGTTTCACATCACTTCTCTCTGACCGTTTTTGGTGTCTGTTCATCTTGTACTCTTAGATTCAGGTTATTAGTTTGGGCCCACTAGGATAATCCCAGGTAATTTCTCCATCTCAGTGTCACCTGATTAATAACTTTAATTGCATATGCAACTTTATTTATCTCTTGCCATATAACATAATAAGCAAACAGGTTCAATGTATTGGGATATGGACATTTTAGGAGTCGTTATACAGCCTACCATCACTCGACAAATACTTTAAAATCTAGCCTTATAGATTTACTGGAGATTAAGCTTTACTGGACATGAACAAAGACCCTACCTTTTTACCATCCAATTGTAGCAAACATATTTTATATTCCAAAGCTTTTCATATGGTCCCTTTGAAGTCCCTCTTCCCAGGCATGGGACTCAAAGTTATCATTTCCTGACTGGGTGCTATGCTCATGCCTGTAATCTCAGCACTTTGGGAGGCTGAGGCAAGAGGATCGCTTGAGGCCAGGAGTTTGAGAGAAGGCTGGGTATCATAGCGAGATCCTGTCTCTACAAAAAGTTAAAAATTAGCCAGGCATGGTGGCTCATACCTGTAGTCCCCAGCTACTTGGGAGGTTGAGGCCAAAGGATTGCTTGAGCCCAGGAATGGACTGCTCTCCAGTCTGGTGACAGAGAAAGACCTTGTCTCTGAAACCAACCACACACAACACAACACAACACAACACAACAAAGATTCTCTCAATCTTCCCCCCAAAAGATGGATTAGTCTTATAGCACAGCAGTGGCTCTCTACAAAGAAAGCTGCTCTTCACTTCTTTCCCCAAATGTTTTCTTACACTTGCCCTGATTAATATCAGTATCATTGGTCCTATGAAGGTGTCTGCGAGTTAGAGAACAGGCTTTCAAATTCTTTTCTTATAAATTTAATTGCTTGGCATCATAGAGGTGTTGTTCTCACATTAATTGAGGCAGAAAGAGTGTATATATTCTGATTCAGTTGCTGTATCATGGAGTAAAGCTAGGCCTTCAGAACGAGTGAAACTAAAGTTGCTGTATCATGGAATAAAGGCTATGCCTTCAGAAAGACTGAAACTAATTAAAACAAAACAAAACAAAAACACGAGTAAGCCAAACTAAGTTCACTTTTCATTTCTTATCTCTGTATATTCCTACAAATGAGCTTCATTAGTGTGTCTTCTTTGAATAGCTGTTTTCTGGTTCCTGAACTCTTGGATAAACATGGTTATGCACATCGCTCCTGAATTTACATGTTATAAACCTACCCTTTCTTGTGTCACTCCCAAATCAACAGTCCAGGGTGCAAAACTCTGACTTTCCTAGTTGGAGCTACATGTATAATATGGGTCCAATCAGTTAAACTGTGGGATGAGCTATATGATGTAGAACAAAATGCTCTACATTGATAGATAAGGGAGGATCACTGTGATTTGGGAAATACTTCAAAAATTGTGTATTATAATATTTTGTGAAGCTTGTAACAATAAAAGAAAAATGTTAATCATTAAAATACTCAAATTTTATTGAGAGCCTATTATGATCAGGCCCTGAGTTACATATTGAACTATTATCTCAATCATACAAAGAGGTTCAGGTATTACATCTGTTTTTTTTTGTTGTTGTTGTTGTTGTTGTTGTTTTTAATTATACTTTAGGTTTTAGGGTACATGTACACATTGTGCAGGTTAGTTACATATGTATACATGTGCCATGCTGGTGCGCTGCACCCACTAACTCGTCATCTAGCATTAGGTATATCTCCCAGTGCTATCCCTCCCCCATCCCCCCACCCCACAACAGTCCCCAGAGTGTGATGTTCCCCTTCCTGTGTCCATCTGATCTCATTGTTCAATTCCCACCTATGAGTGAGAATATGCGGTGTTTGTTTTTTTGTTCTTGCGATAGTTTACTGAGAATGATGGTTTCCAATTTCATCCATGTCCCTACAAAGGACATGAACTCATCATTTTTTATGGCTGCATAGTATTCCATGGTGTATATGTGCCACATTTTCTTAATCCAGTCTATCATTGTTGGACATTTGGGTTGGTTCCAAGTCTTTGCTATTGTGAATAATGCCGCAATAAACATACGTGTGCATGTGTCTTTATAGCAGCATGATTTATAGTCCTTTGGGCATATACCCAGTAATGGGATGGCTGGGTCAAATGGTATTTCCAGTTCTAGATCCCTGAGGAATCGCCACACTGACTTCCACAATGGTTGAACTAGTTTACAGTCCCACCAACAGTGTAGAAGTGTTCCTATTTCTCCACATCCTCTCCAGCACCTGTTGTTTCCTGACTTTTTAATGATCGCCATTCTAACTGGTGTGAGATGGTATCTCATTGTGGTTTTGATTTGCATTTCTCTGATGGCCAGTGATGGTGAGCATTTTTTCATGTGTTTTTTGGCTGCATAAATGTCTTCTTTTGAGAAGTGTCTGTTCATATCCTTTGCCCACTTTTTGATGGGGTTGTTTGTTTTTTTCTTGTAAATTTGTTTGAGTTCATTGTAGATTCTGGATATTAGCCCTTTGTCAGATGAGTAGGTTGTGAAAATTTTCTCCCATTTTGTAGGTTGCCTGTTCACTCTGATGGTAGTTTCTTTTGCTGTGCAGAAGCTCTTTAGTTTAATTAGATCCCATTTGTCAATTTTGTCTTTTGTTGCCATTGCTTTTGGTGTTTTAGACATGAAGTCCTTGCCCATGCCTATGTCCTGAATGGTAATGCCTAGGTTTTCTTCTAGGGTTTTTATGGTTTTAGGTCTAACGTTTAAGTCTTTAATCCATCTTGAATCGATTTTTGTATAAGGTGTAAGGAAGGGATCCAGTTTCAGCTTTCTACATATGGCTAGCCAGTTTTCCCAGCACCATTTATTAAACAGGGAATCCTTCATTGCTTGTTTTTCTCAGGTTTGTCAAAGATCAGATAGTTATAGATATGCGGTGTTATTTCTGAGGGCTCTGTTCTTTTCCATTGATCTATATCTCTGTTTTGGTACCAGTACCATGCTGTTTTGGTTACTGTAGCCTTGTAGTATAGTTTGAAGTCAGGTAGTGTGATGCCTCCAGCTTTGTTCTTTTGGCTTAGGATTGACTTGGCGATGCGGGCTCTTTTTTGGTTCCATATGAACTTTAAAGTAGTTTTTTCTGTGAAGAAAGGCATTGGTAGCTTGATGGGGATGGCATTGAATCTGTAAATTACCTTGGGCAGTATGGCCATTTTCACGATATTGATTCTTCCTACCCATGAGCATGGAATGTTCTTCCACTTGTTTGTATCCTCTTTTATTTCCTTGAGCAGTAGTTTGTAGTTCTCCTTGAAGAGGTCCTTCACATCCCTTGTAAGTTGGACTCCTAGGTATTTTATTCTCTTTGAAGCAATTGTGAATGGGAGTTCACTCATGATTTGGCTCTCTGTTTGTCTGTTGTTGGTGTATAAGAATGCTTGTGATTTTTGTACATTGATTTTGTATCCTGAGACTTTGCTGAAGTTGCTTATCAGCTTAAGGAGATTTTGGGCTGAGACAATGGTGTTTTCTAGATATACAATCATGTCATCTGCAAACAGGGACAATTTGACTTCCTCTTTTCCTAATTGAATACCCTTTATTTCCTTCTCCTGCCTAACTGCCCTGGCCAGAACTTCCAACACTATGTTGAATAGGAGTGGTGAGAGAGGGCATCCTTGTCTTGTGCCAGTTTTCAAAGGGAATGCTTCCAGCTTTTGCCCATTCAGTATGATATTGGCTGTGGGTTTGTCATAGATAGCTCTTATTATTTTGAAATACGTCCCATCAATACCTAATTTATTGAGAGTTTTTAGCATGAAGCGTTGTTGAATTTTGTCAAAGGCCTTTTCTGCATCTATTGAGAAAATCATGTGGTTTTTGTCTTTGGTTCTGTTTATACGCTGGATTACATTTATTGATTTGCATATATTGAACCAGCCTTGCATCCCAGGGATGAAGCCCACTTGATCATGGTGGATAAGCTTTTTGATGTGCTGCTGGATTCGTTTTGCCAGTATTTTATTGAGGATTTTTGCATCAATGTTCATCAAGGATATTGGTCTAAAATTCTCTTTTTTTGTTGTGTCTCTGCCTGGCTTTGGTATCAGAATGATGCTGGTCTCATAAAAAGAGTTAGGGAGGATTCCCTCGTTTTCTATTGATTGGAATAGTTTCAGAAGGAATGGTACCAGTTCCTCCTTGTACCTCTGGTAGAATTCGGCTGTGAATCCATCTGGTCCTGTACTCTTTTTGGTTGGTAAGCTATTGATTATTGCCACAATTTCAGATCCTGTTATTGGTCTATTCAGAGATTCAACTTCTTCCTGGTTTAGTCTTGGGAGAGTGTATGTGTCGAGGAATTTATCCATTTCTTCTAGATTTTCTAGTTTATTTGCGTAGAGGTGTTTGTAGTATTCTCTGATGGTAGTTTGTATTTCTGTGGGATCGGTGGTGATATCCCCTTTATCATTTTTTATTGCGTCTATTTGATTCTTCTCTCTTTTTTTCTTTATTTGTCTTGCTAGCGGTCTATCAATTTTGTTGATCCTTTCAAAAAACCAGCTCCTGGGTTCATTAATTTTTTGAAGGGTTTTTTGTGTCTCTATTTCCTTCAGTTCTGCTCTGATTTTAGTTATTTCTTGCCTTCTGCTAACTTTTGAATGTGTTTGCTCTTGCTTTTCTAGTTGTTTTAATTGTGATGTTAGGGTGTCAATTTTGGATCTTTCCTGCTTTCTCTTATGGGCATTTAGTGCTATAAATTTCCCTCTACACACTGCTTTGAATGTGTCCCAGAGATTCTGGTATGTTTTGTCTTTGTTCTCGTTGGTTTCAAAGAACATCTTTATTTCTGCCTTCATTTCGTTATGTACCCAGTAGTCATTCAGGAGCAGGATGTTCAGTTTCCATGTAGTTGAGCGGTTTTGAGTGAGATTCTTAATCCTGAGTTCTAGTTTGATTGCCCTGTGGTGTTGTTGTTTTTTTGAGATGGAGTCTGGCTCTGTCATCCAGGCTGGAGTGCAGTGGCTCGATCTCAGCTCACTGCAAGCTCTGCCTCCCAGGTTCACGCCATTCTCCTGCCTCAGCCTCCCGAGTAGCTGAGACTACAGGTGGCTGCCACCACATCCGGCTAATTTTGTTTTTGTATTTTTTAGTAGAGACAGGGTTTCACCGTGTTAGCCAAGATGGTCTCGATCTCTTGACGTCGTGATCCGCCCGCCTCAGCCTCCCAAAGTGCTGGGATTACAGGCGTGAGCCACTGCACCTGGCCAATATTACCTCTGTTTTAAAGAAAGAATTGAAGCTTAGAGAAATGAACTAATTTGTTCAAGGTCATACTGAAAGCAAGTAGTGGCTGGACTAAATCCACATTTCCCTGCTTCTAAAGTCCAACAAAAAAGATGTCGTCGTGTAATTTAACATGTTTCAAAATCTAATGTATATTAGCATTTATATTTCTATTCATACCTACAGCTATGACTATGTTTCTACATCTACATCTCTCTACATCTGTATTACTTCTGTATCTACCCATTCTACCCCACTTCCTTCACTTTCTTCCATTCTCAGAAATAGTATTAACTTTTAAATACTGTCTATTTAATTTTAAAAGTTAATACTGTTTCTGAGAATAAAATCATTTGTTATATAAGTTCTACTTTTTTCTGTATGTACTTTTAAATGATCATATCTGTAAAAGAAGGAGATAACTTTGGTTAATAAAAAATGAGAAATGTCAAGGTCATTTTCTTAGTCTGTTAGGTCTCTGGAAAGTAACAGCTTTTTATTATGTAAATTCATTGAACATCTCAGATGAAGTGAACAAATTTCTGAAGGACACATACTATCAATACTGACTCATAAAGAGAAAGAAAAACTTAACAGCCCTATTACAGTTAAGCAAAACAAATTTGTAGTTAAAAACCATTCCAGAAAGGAAGCTCCAGGCTTAGATGGCTTCACTAGCAAATAGTATCATACATTTAAGGATGAAATATCAGTTCTGCACAAATCTTGGAAAATAAAGGAAGAGGAAAAACTTGCCCACGTATATTATGAAGCCAGTTTTGCCCTGATTAAACATAAAACTAGACAAATAAAAAACTTCCAGAAAAAAACTATACTTTTATGTATATCATAAATCTGAACATACATATCATTAACAAAATACTATCAAATTCAATGCAGCTATATATGAAAAAGGTGTGACATGTTAAAAGCAGGATTTATTCCCAAATGCAAGTTTCATTTAACACTTGAAAATCAATTTAATTTAAAATGTATATTGAGAGAGTAAATGGGGACAACTATATAATTATCTAAACAGAAGAGCAAAAGAGATTTGCCAAAATTTAATGCCCATTTATCATATTGAATATCACACCAAAATTGAAAAAGATTGTTTTCTCACTCTGAATATGGGCACCTACATAAACCTAGAGTAAACATCATACCTAAGGGTAAAAACTGAATGCTTTCTACGCAAGATTGGGAATAGGACAAAATGTCTACTCTCTCAATTTCTGTCTAACGTTGTAATGGACATTCTAGCATTGTAATAAAGGAAGAAAAATGAATTAAAGGAATAGAGTTTGAAAAGAAGCAAACTGTGACATGTTAAAAGCAGGATTTATTCCCAAATGCAAGTTTCATTTAACACTTGAAAATCAATTTAATTTAAAATGTATATTGAGAGAGTAAATGGGGACAACTATATAATTATCTAAACAGAAGAGCAAAAGAGATTTGCCAAAATTTAATGCCCATTTATCATATTGAATATCACACCAAAATTGAAAAAGATTGTTTTCTCACTCTGAATATGGGCACCTACATAAACCTAGAGTAAACATCATACCTAAGGGTAAAAACTGAATGCTTTCTACACAAGATTGGGAATAGGACAAAATGTCTACTCTCTCAATTTCTGTCTAACGTTGTAATGGACATTCTAGCATTGTAATAAAGGAAGAAAAATGAATTAAAGGAATAGAGTTTGAAAAGAAGCATGTAAACTTGTAATTTTCAAATGTCATGTTCCAATATGTAGAAAGTCCAAATAAATATACAAAAAGCTACTAGAACTAATAAGCAAATTTAGCAAAGTCACAAGATTCAAGTTTAATATATAAAAAGTCAATTGTATCTTATATACTAGTAAAATACTATTAAAAACAAATTATAAAAATAACACCATTTACAAAATCATTCAGTCATAGAATGCTTTAAGACAAATTTAAGAAAAAATATATGACTCATAGAAATTTATAAAATGTTTCAGAGAGAAATTGAGTATATAAATAAATGAAGAGATAAGCCATGTTTATTGGTTAGAAGACAATATTTTGAAGTTATTAATTTTTATTAAATTGACCTTTAGATTTCATTTAATCACTGTAAAATCTATGAAAGAATTCTTTTAATAAAAAATGACAAGTTGATTCTAAAATTTGTATGTAAATGTGAAATTTCTAGGATAGTCCAAAATATGAAATTTTTAAAAATTTAAAAATGCAAAGAAATTTGGAAACTTACACTTTCTAATTTTAATACATACTATAGAATTAGAATAATCAAAATAACATGGTATTTGTAAGCATATGGACCCATGGAACAAATTAGAAAGCGCAGAAATAAATGTACACATATATAGTGAATTGTTTTTGTCAAGACTTTAAAAATAACTAGGGGAAACAATAGTGCTAGAACTATTGGATATCCACATGGAAAGAAATAAAATTAAGTTCTTACTATTTAATGGGGAAAAGACAGCCGTTTCAACAATTGCTGCTGGGAAAACTAGATATCCACATGCAAAAGAAGTTGGACCCTTACCTTATACCATATAAAACGGTTAACTTGAAATGGATCAAGGACTTAAATATAATCACCTAAAACTATAAATCTCTTAGAAGAAAACATAGGGAAATGCCTTCTGACATTGGATTTAGCTATGATTTTTTGCATATGACACCAAGAATACAAGCAATACAAGTAAAAATAAATTGTACTATATCAAAATTATAAAGTTCTGTGTATCAAGGGATACAATTAGCAGGGTGAAAAGGCTACCTACAGAATAGGAGGAGATATTTGTAAATCATATATCTGATCAGAGGTTAATATCTAGAATATATAAACAACTTCTCCAACTCAAAAACAGAAAACTAAACAATCTGATTTTTTAAATGTGCAAATAAGTTGAATAGACACTTCTTTAACGAAGATATACAAATGACCAACAAGCATGTGAAAAGATACTCAACATCCCTAATAATTAGGGAAATCCAAATCAAAACAACCACGAGGTATTATTCATACCCATTGGATGGCTAATATCAGAAAAATAGCAAATAACAAGTATTGGTTAAAATGTAGAACAATTGGAACTCTTGTGTTCTAATGGTGGAAATGTTAAATGATGCTATCATTACAGAAAACGGTATGGTGGTTCCTAAACAAAATTTAAACAGACCATATGATCCAAAGGTTTTACTTCTGGTTATATACGTAAAGTAAGTCAAAGTGAGGCCTTGAGATCTTTGTACACTCATGTTCATAGGAGCATCATTCACAATAGCAAAATGTGGAAGCAACCCAAAAGTCTATTGATGGATGAATAGATAAACGTTGTATACAGTGGAATACCATTCAGTCTTAAAAAGGAAGAAAAATTCTGAAACATGCTGCAACAGGGATGAACCTTGTAGTCATTACGCAAAGTGAAATAAGCTAGTCGCAAAAAATAGCCACTGTATGATTCCACTTACATAGGTACCTAGATTAGTCAAATTTATAGAGATAGAGAGTAGAAGGGCGTTACTGTAGGCTGAGGGAAGGGAAAAATGGTGAGCTGTTTAATGGGTATAGCGTTTCAGTTTCACAACATGAAAATGTTCTGGAGATTGGTTGCACAACAATGTGAATGTGCTTAATAATATTGAACTCTGCAGTTAAAAATGCTTAAGAGGCCGAGGCGGGTGGATCATGAGGTCAGGAGATTGAGACCATCCTGGCTAACACGGTGAAACCCCTTCTCTACTAAAAATACAACAACAAAGAAAATTAGCTGGACATGGTGGTGGGTGCCTGTGGTCCCAGCTACTCGGGAGACCGAGGCAGAAGAATGGTGTGAACCCGGGAGGCGGAGCTTGCAGTGAGCCGAAATCGCGCCACAGCACTCCAGCCTGGGTGACAGAGCGAGACTCCGTCTCAAAAAAAAAAAAAAAAAAAAAAAAATGCTTAAGAGGGTAAATTTTATGTTATGTATATTTTACCACAATTAAAAATTATTTAAAGGGCAAAATAAACACATTTTTAGTAGTTCAATCCTTACCACTTCTGACACACAAAATTTAGCTTGGGTAAAGTTTAAAGTATAAAACATCTAGAAGAAAATAGGGAAATATTTTTTGCAACCTTGGGTTCAACAAATATGTATTACATAAGATAGAAAAAAAATAAAACGATATATGCCACAACCTATCTCTGGCATACAGCAAAGGTGGTGCTAAGAGGAACGTTCATAGCCCTAAATGCCTACATTAAAAAATCTGAAAGAACACAGACAATCTAAGGTCACACTTAAGGAACTAGAGAAACAAGAACAAACCAAACCCACACCCAGCAGAAGAAAGGAAATAACCAATATCAGAGCAGAACTAAATGAAATTGAAACAAAAAAAATACAAAAGAGAAATGAAAGAAAAAGCTGGTTCTTTGAAAAGATAAATACAATTGATAGACATTAGCAAGATTAACCAAGAAAAGAGAAGAGAAAATTCAAACAAGCTTAGTTAGAAATGAAACGGTAGAGATTACAACTGACACCACAGAAATACAAAAGATCGTTCAAGGCTACTGTGAACACCTTTATGCACATAAACTGGAATACCTAAAGGAGATGGATACATTTCTGGAAAGATACAACCTTTTTATCTTAAATTAGGAAGAATCAGGTGCCCTGAATAGACCAGTAACAAGCAATGAGATTGAAATGGTAATAAAAATAATTACCAGTTGGCCACAGTGGCTCACGCCTGTAATCCCAGCACTTTGGGAGTCCAAAGCGGGCAGATCACCTGAGGTCAGGAGTTTGAGACCAGCCTGGCCAACATGGTGAAACCCCATCTCTACTAAAAATACAGAAATTAGCCAGGTGTGGTGGTGCGCACCTATAATCCCAGCTACTCGGGAGGCTGAGGCAGGAGAATTGCTTGAACCTGGGAGGCGGGGGTTGTGGTGGGCTGAGATCATGCCACTGCACTGCAGCCTGGGTGATAGAGTGCGACTCTGTCTCAAAAAAAACAAACACAAAAACAAAATACCACCAAAAAATTACCAACACAAAGAAGTCCAGGACCAGACAGATTCACAGCAGAATTCTACCAGACAGTCAAAGAAGAATTGGTGCCAATCCTGTTGACACTATTTGACAAGATAGAGAAAGAGAGAAACCTCCCTAATTGATTCTATGAAGCCAGTATCACCCTAATACCAAAACCAGGAAAGGACATAACCAAAAAAGAAAAAAAAAAAAAAAGAAAAAAAAAAAACTACAGACCAATATCTCTGATGAACACAGACACTAAAATCCTTAACAAAATACTAGCTAACAGAATCCAACAACGTATCAAAAAGATAATACACCGTGATCAAGTGGGTTTCATACCAGGGATGCAGGGATGGTTTAACATATGCAAGTCAATAAATGTGATACACCACATAAAGAGAATTAAAAACAAAAATCACATCATCATCACAATAGATGCAGACAAATCCTTCGACAAAATCCAGCATGACTTTATGATTAAAACTCTCAGCAAAATTGGCATACAAGGGGCATACCTCAAGGTAATAGAAGCCACCTATGACAGACCCACGGCCAACATAATACTGAATGGGGAAAAGTTGAAATCATTCCCTGTGAGAAATCGAACAAGGCAAGGATGCCGTCTCTCACCACTCCTCTCCAGCATAGTACTGGAAGTCCTAGCAAGAGCAATCAGACAAGAGAAGGAAATAAAGGACATCCAAATCAGTAAAGAGGAAGTCAAACTGTCGCTGTCTGCTGATAATATGATTGTTTACCTAGAAAACTCTAAAGACTACTCCGGAAAGCTCCAAGAACTGATAAAAGAATTCAGCAAAGTTTTCAGATACAAAATTAATGTTCATAAATCAGTAACTCTTCTATACACCAATAGCGACCAATTGGAGAATCAAATCAAGAACTCAACACATTTTACAATAGCTGCAAAAAATAAAATAAAATACTTAGGACTATACCTAACCAAGGAGGTGAAAAACCTCTACAAAGGATACTACAAAACACTGCTGAAAGAAATCATAGACGACACAAGCAAATGGAAACACATCCCAAGCTCATGGATGGGTAGAATCATTATTGTGAAAATGACCATACTGCCAAATACAATCTACAAATTCAATGCTATGCCCATCAACACCCCCACCATTCTTCACAGAATTAGAAAAAGCAATCCCAAAGTTCATAAGGAACCAAAAGAGAGCCCGCATAGCCAAAGCAAGACTAAGCAAAAAGAAGAAATCTGAAGGCATCACATTAACTGATTTCCAACTACTATAAGGCCATTGTCACCAAAACAGAATGGTACTGTTATAAAAATAGGCATATACAACAAAGGGACAGCATAGATAACCCAGAAATAAACCCAAATACTTACAGCCAACTGATCTTTGACAAAGCAAACAAAAACATAAAGTGGGCAAAGGGCACCCTATTCAACAAATGGTACTGGGATAATTGGCTAGCCACACGTAGGAAAATGAAACTGGATTCTGTTCTCTTACCTTATACAAAAATCAACTCAAGATGGATCAAGGACTTAAACCTAAGACTTGAAACTATAAACACTCTAGAAGAAATCATTGGAAAAACCCTTCTAGAGATTGGCTTAGGGAAGGATTTCATGACCAAGAACCCAAAAGCAAATGCAATAAAAACAAAGATAAATAGCTGGGACTTAATTAAACTAAAGAGCTTTTGCATGCCAAAAAGAACAGTCAGCAGAGTAACCAGACAACCCACAGAGTGAGAGAAAACCTTCACAATCTATACATCTGACAAAGAACTAATATCCAGAATCTATAACTAACTCAAAAAAATCAGCAAGAAAAAAAACAAATAATCCCATCAAAAAGTGGGCTAAGGACATGAATAGACAATTCTCAAAAGAAGATATAGAAATGGCCATCAAACATGAAAAACATGCTCTACATACACTAATTATCAAGGAAATGCAAATCAGAACCACAGTGTGATACCACCTTACTCCTGAACGAATGGCCATAATAAAAAAAAAATAATAAAAAAAAATAGTTGTTCGCATGGATGCGGTGAACAGGGAACACTTCTACAGTGATGGTAGGAATGTAAACTAGTACAATTACTATGGAAAACAGTGTGGAGATTCCTTAAAGAAGTAAAAGTAGAACTACCATTTGATCCAGCAATCCCACTACTGGGTATCTACCCAGAGGAAAATAAGTCATTATATGAAAAAGATACTTGCACATGCATTTATATAGCAGCACAATTCGTAATTACAAAAATGTGGAACCAACCCAAATGCCCATCAATCAACGAGTGGATAAAGAAACTGTGATATATATATATCTAATATATATATCTATATATGAGATGTATGATACATATAAATATGTGTGTGTGTATATATATATAGTCTCACTTATGCCCTTTCTTGATTTTATTGCAAATGTTTTAGGAGAAAGAGGAAATATAATTGTGTTATTTTTTCATTATTCTATTATCAAATATTTATTGAACACTTATGAATCCGGCATATCTAACACCAGCAACTAGGAACTGCTCTCAAGGTGTGCACTAGGAGTCGGAAGATAGGGTCATGTTTGCCCTCTATAGTTTTTAAAATGTTAAGGAAATAAAAATTAGTTGACACATTAAAATATAGGGAGACTAAAATATTTTAGAAAAGATTTGAAGGATACATGGAATAAATATTTAAAGTCAAGTTTAGCAGAGGCATTTTTGCCTCTATTTTTAGATGTACTTTTTCTCAAAGTTGTTCACATGTTGTGAGCTCCTCATTGCCCAAGGGAGTCAGACACTATATTTTTCAGTGTCATCCTGTGATTTTTTAAAATTTCATAGGTATCTCCCCATTCAGCCTCTTATCTTGAAAAATCCATCCAGAGAAGCTATGTTTATGTCTCTTTCTTCATTTGTTCTCTCTCTTTATTTTCTCATTTTGTAAATCTGGCCACCGTAGGAAAGACAGCAGCCATTCACTTTACAGAAACGTCTATTTTAAGAACTAGCTGCTTGGGGGAAGGCTGGATACTTTAATCCTTCATCTTTTCTTTAACAATACTAGCTGGTAGGTAGTCAGCAGGAAAGTAGAAGTGGAGCTTTCAGAAAGAAAACATTCACAGTAGAAAGTAGTGCCCATTATGATGTTGAACAAAAGTAATTCTCCTGGACTCATTTTTTAGGAAAGCATGTTATGCCACTTTGACTTTATTAAAAAAAAAGAAGAAGAAGAAGAAAAGGAAGAAAGAGAAAAAAGAAAAGAAAGAAAAATAAAAAGTAATAACAAATCAAAGAAAACCTAATGAGACAAAATGATAAACTATCCTTTTTCTCAGATTCTCTACAGTTAATTTGTTGTTGGAACCTACTTTTCTTCATACTTCATGAATTGAAACCAAACCACTTAGTGTTAATTATAAGTTATTGTAATAGTTACTGTGCTTATTCTGGATATGTTCATGTCTTATTAATGTTTTAAGATATTAAGTGAAAAGAATAGAATGTTCCTAAAGATAACAAGAAACCTCACCTTTTACCTCAGCTTCACCTTAGTACATTTGGCTCCCAGTAGGAGTTAGAGAAAGCTGTTATCCCATGAACAGCTGTTAAATGTTGTTTTCGTTTAGTTAGTATTTGCCAACTTCCTACATCACAGTTGGCATTATTTTTTCCTTTTTCGAAGCTACCATGAAGAAGCTAAAACTTGGAAAAGATTTTACCTCTCAGCATGAGTGACTAGGTTCTACTTGCAAATGTTATTAGAGCTGTGTTAGATCACTCTGTGGCTGGAAAGGACACTTCTCTTTTCAGGGTTGATCATTTTATTTCAAGATGTTTTGAGGAAATACATTTTTCTCTATGCCAATAATACCATTTGAACATTTTCATTGCATTTTTAAAAAATGATGGAAATCATCCTATTGTCTTGGGGTTCTTCTTAAACTTTAGTGTTCTAGGGTTTTATCTGTAGATTTTTAAAGTGTCATTAAATTCCCAAATTGGTAAATTCATCATTCTATGCTTGCATCAGGCAGTTAGCATGCATATTTCTCTCCTTTCATGCCTTCCTTAGCATTCCTCTTGAGGGGTTTTTGCCGAATTTGTTAAACAATTAATCGTTATATGTAATTAGTCATATATATCTGTGTATGTGTGTGAATGTGTGTGAAGCTTTTAATTGTTCTTCATTTTATATTTCCATGATCGTGTTAAATGTACATTTAAACTTTTTTTTTTTTTTTTGAGACAGAGTTTCACTCTTGTTGCCCAGGCTGCAGTGCATTGGCGTGATCTCTGCTCACCATAAACTCTGCCTGCCGGGTTCAAGTGATTCTCCTCCCTCAGCTTCCTGAATAGCTGGGATTACAGCCATGCACCACCACGCCTGGCTAATTTTGTATGTTTAGTAGAGACAGGGTTTCTCCATGTTGGTCAGGCTGGTCTCGAACTCCTGGCCTCAGGTGATCCACTCACCTCGGCCTCCCAAAGTGCTGAGATTATAGGTGTGAGCCACTGCACCTGGCCACATTTAAACTTTTTAATGTTTTGCTTCAGGTGTTGCTTACATGGCTATCATGTCCCACTCGTTTTGGGAGACTATGAAAATATGACTTTTTGTGTCTGAAAAGTAGTTTTGTGCTACTGGAACTTACAGTGGACTTACATGAAGGAAGCTGAGATATTACCTCAAAATGTTATGGCATTTAAGATTTCATGGGAATCTCATAAAAGTATACATCTATGCACACTCTAATTACAAGATTGTATTTAATGATTTTGTTACATACTTCTTTCAGAATTTGGGATAGTGTTATTCACAGCAGATAATTACAATGCTTTGTAGTTTCACTAGTTTCACTTCTACTTGACATCCGGCTTGGTACCTCTATATGTCTGTTATTATTATATGAATCATTTATACCTTAATTATGAAAACTTACCTACACACCTGTTTTTGTGTGTGTGTGTGTATGTGTGTGCGTGTCTTAACAAATAATTCATATAGCTCCTTGGCTTATTTACTTAATAAAACTGCAGTGGAAATATCATTGAAATTACAGTATTTTCCTTGCCGTCAATTATGGCTTATCTTGTTTCCTTGTTAATGGATACTCTTTACTACTGAGTTACTTTCTTTTCAATTTTTTTAAAAATTTTAATTGGTAAATTGTAATTGTATATATTTATGAGGTTCAATTTGATTTATTGATACATATGACAATCAAATCAGGGTATTTAGCATATCTATCGCTTCATGAATTTATCATTTCTGTATAGTAAGACCATTCAAAAGCCTCTTTTTGATCTATTTTGTAATACATTATACGATATTGTTAACCATCATCACCCTACTGTACAATAGAGCATCAGAACTTATTTCTTCTAATAGTAATCTTGTACTATCTGATCAATCTCTTCCCATCTTCCCCTCCCTTCCCCAGTCTCTGTTAACCAGTGTTCTACTCTCTGCTTCCATAATAGCAACTTTTTTTTTTTTAGATTCCACATAATAGTGAGATCATGGAGTATTTGTCTTTCTGTGTCTCATCTTTTTTATGGTTGAATAGCATTCCACTGATGATATATACCACATTTTCTTTAAATATTCATCCATTGTTTGACACGTGAGTTGATTCCACGTCTTGGCTATTGTGAATAGAGCTGCAATAAACATGGGAGTTAAGACATCTTTTCAACATACTAATTTCACTTTCTTTGGATATATGCCCAGTAATGAGATTGCAAGAACATATGGTAATTCTATTTTTAATTTAATGAGGAACCTCTATAATGTTTTTCATAGTGCTCTATTAATCTGTAATCCCAACAACAATGTGTAAGTGTTCCCTTTCTCCATATCCTGTCTGACACTTTTGTCTTTGGTAATGGCCATTCTAACTAGAGTCAGGTGTTATCTTGTTGAGGTTTTGATTAGCATTTCCCTGATGAATAGCGATGTTGAGTTTTTTTTCATTTACCTTTGGATATTTGTATGCCTTCTTTTGAAAAGTGACTATTAAGGTCTTTTGCTGATTTAAAAAAAAATTGGGTTATTTTGTTTTTGAGTTGTTTAAAGTGTTTATATATTATGAATATTAACATTATGTCAGATGGGAAGTTTGCTAATATTTTCTCACATTCTGCAGGTTGTCCCTTCACTCATTTCCTTTGCTATGCAAAAGCTTTTCAGTTTGATGAAATTCAATTTGCCTATTTTTGAGTTTGTTGCAGAGCTTTTGAGGTCGTATTTTAAAAATCTTTGCCCAGCCCCAATGTTGTAAAGCATTTACCTATGTTTCCTTCTAGTAGTTTCATAGTTTCAGGTCTTACATGTATGTATGTAAACTATTTTTAGTTTATTTTTGTATATGGTGGGAAGAAGGGTTTTTGTCATATTCTAGCACCATTTATTGAAGAGACTGGGTTTTCCCCAATTTGCCCTATTGGTACCTGTGTTGAAAATCAGTTGGCTATAGGTAGGCGAATTTATTTCAGGGGCTTCCATTCATTTCATTGATTTATGTGTTCCATTTTTATGCTAGTGCCATGATGTTTAGGTTACTATAGCCTTGTGGTATATTTTGAAGTTAGGTAATGAGTGTGATACCTCCAGCTTTGTTCTTTTTCTGTTTAGCATTGCTTTGGCTATTTGAGGTCTTTGTGGTTCCATATACATTTTTGGATTTATTTTTCTATTTCTGTGAAATGTCATTGGTATTTTGATAGGAATTGCATCAATTCTGTAGATCTCTTTGGTTGCAATTGGCATTATAACAATATTGATTCTTCCAATCCGTAAACATTGAATATGTCTTCACTTGTTTGTGTTTTCTTCAATTTATTTAATAAATATTTTATAATTTTCAGTGGAGAGATCTTTTACTTCCTTGCTTATTTTCTTGATTTCTTTTTTAGATAGTCTGTTATTGGCATATATAAATGCTACTGATTTTGGTGCATTGATTTTTTATCCTGCAATTTTAATGAACTTGTTTATTAGTTCTAATGGTTTTTTTTTTTTTTTTTTTTTTTTTTTGGGGGAGTCTTTAGGGTTTTTTATATGTCAGGCTCTGCAGGGGTATGAAGCCTCCCTTAGGCTGATTGTCAGGCAGAAAGCTCTCTCTGCAGGTGGGGAAGTGGGACTGCCCTCGGGCCAGGGGGAGTGGGGCTGCCTCCAGGCTAGTGACTTTTTGGAAAATGTGATGGTGGAAACAAAGATAAATTCTAAATTTCTGTTTACAGCAACTAGGTTAATGGTATCACTGAGATCCAGAAGAGAGAAGATACAATATGTTGGGTCAATATACCTAAGCACTGGGTTAATAAACCTAAGCACTGGGCCAAGGGCTGACTGAATGGCTGTGCAGGACTCTCTTCAGCAAGATGGACCACCTCCAGGCTGGCTGTTTTGTTGCTGGCAGGCAAATGAGAGCCTGGCAGCTGTGCAGGATTTTCTATGTTCAGGTGGGCCACCTCTGGGCTGGCTCTCCTGCCAGCATGGGCTGAGTGGCTGTACTGGCTCTCTCCAGTAGGCTGGGGCCACCTTCAGTCCTGCTGTCAGGACAAGGATGGGCACATGAGAGTTAGGCAGCTGAGGAGGGCTTTTTCCTAGGGAAGGCAGGGCACCTCTTGGCTGGCTGTCTAGGTTTCTCTCTGGTAGGGCAAGACCATTTCCCCTGGTGACTGTCATGCTGAGAAAAGGTGCATGCAAAGCTTGACAACTTTACAATCTCTCCAGTGGAGCAAGGCCACCTCCATGCAGGTTTTCAGCCCAGGGCTGGGTGTGTTCAGGCCAGGAAGTTAAGTGGGAGCTTATTTTGATGGGGCAAGGCCTCCTTTAAGCAGGTTGTTGAGCCAGGGGTGGGAACATGTGGGCTAGTTTTCTGGGTGAGAGTTCCCTGTTGTGCAGATCCACCTGTTTTTCTGGGGGATAGGGTACCTCATGGTTTCAGCCATTAAGGTCTTGGTCATTCCTTCCTAGGTTGCAGAAGGTAGGGGAATTGCTACTGCAGGCATGCATGTTAACTTAGTGGAATGACAGTAGCGTCTTAGGAATGGACGAGGTTGGTGGTCATTGGCTCCCAGGGCAGGACGCGTTGCACCTGTGGGTCTAGTTTCAAGATGGCACCATGGTGTATCAGCTCAGGTTGTCAGAGTAGAGCATACGATGGGGGTTTCTGCTCTGGAGCAATGTATCCACATGGACTCCCAACAACTTTCCACACTGAGCTTGGGGCCTGTGAGGACTGGGGGACCCTCCTGTAGCAATAAAATGTGCCACTCACATCTGTGGCAGTGATGGGGACCACCAAGGGTCTCTAGATTACCTTTTTGCTGCAAGAATAAGTCCCCTTTGACTCCAATCTGATCCCTGCAGGAGAGATAGTGTGGCCAAGGCAGAATGCTTTGCTCTCCTCTCTATGTTGGTATACTAGGTTTCTGTGGTCCAGAGGTATTTTGTCATTTCCGTGTTGCTTCATAACATACTTCCTCAGTCACTGCAGTCAAACAGTAGTTGTAGTTGTTTATTTGTTGTTTTGTTTCCTTTTTGTCAGGGGATGAGAGCCAAATAAGTCTAGTTAGCCTCTTGCTGACATCACTCTAGCTCTCTGAAACAGTTATTTTCCTTGTTCTCTAACAATGTCAATTTTCTTAAAATTTTGTATGCCACATAATAAAAAAGTAATAAGAGAATTAAAAGTTTAGTTAGTAGTATCTACAGGATACTTTTGTCAATCCCAGTGCAAAGTTCTGAGTAGGCCTCAATGTTTTTTTGACTTTTAAAAAACAAACATATAGAAAAATAAATATGATTATGTATGTATGATATATTCTTAGATTTCTAATATTAAGTACACTTGGGGACATCAGAGAAGCCTTTACAGAGGAGTTAAATGAGTTAAATGTTAATGAAGGGTTTGGAGTCAGCAGGATAAAAAATTTTGCTGGTAACATGTTGACATTATTGGGCAGGCTGTGGGGCCATTGAACGTATGTGAGCATGGAACTGGCATGATTGCTATGTTTTAGGAAGACCACTATAGGAGATATAAGACCATAGATGAGAGAGAAGAAAGACTGTATTTAGGGAATTGTTCTCCAGGCAAGAGATGAAAATGGCCTCACCTAGAGGAAATGGAAAGTTTAGGCGATAGAGTTCAATGACAGTTAGGACACAGAATTTATCAAACCTGGTGACTCTCTGGAAAATGTGTTGGTGGAAACAAAGATAAATTCTAAGTTTCTGTCTCTAGCAGCTGGGTTAATGGTATCACTGAGATCCAGAAGAGAGAAAATACAATATGTTGGGCCAGTATACCTAAGCACAAAAGAATCTTGTTTAATTTATCTCTACCCATATTTCTTATATGTGTATACCTTTCCCCTACTTTCCTAGTTTACCTATATATCTTATTTCTTGGAGAACTCACAAGTATTAAGCATGCATGATCAAAAAACCCCAACCTGGGATTTCTTGGCCACAACCAACCAACATAAGTTCCAAATTTAAAGAGGAATATCTGCTCTATAAAATGATATTATAAAATGCCTGGTTCTAATGCCATATAACTCATAATATCATGTTGCAAACTTTATCACTCTTATCCTATTGATGGCTTTATTATAATCAAGAAATAAACTTTTAAAAAATAGGCTAAACTCAGAAAATTTTATGTGCCATTAGTTCCCAACAGTTGAACATATTTGTCTGATTTTGGATGGTTGGCCAGGATTGGGGAATTTTGTTGGGGTGATAGTGAGATAGTGAGAGACTAAACCATCTTATTACTTGCCTGACAGTATGTTGAAATTTTAATATTATCTCATTTGATTCCTTCAAAAACTGTTACTTAGCACCATTTTATGGATGATGAAACAGACTGAAACAGTTTAAACAACGGGTGTAGAACTAGGTGGGAACTAGGTTAGCTTTACTCTAAAATGCATGCAATAAGTGCCCATCAGAGTATGTATTTGAAAAAAAAAAAAAGCACATCCATCTATTTCTTGGAACTATAATTTCAAAGA
This sequence comes from Homo sapiens, assembly GCF_000001405.40. Taxonomy (NCBI): domain Eukaryota; kingdom Metazoa; phylum Chordata; class Mammalia; order Primates; family Hominidae; genus Homo; species Homo sapiens. The sequence goes on from NC_000003.12 coordinate 174,847,856, forward strand.
TCCACCCAGGTAGCTGAACATAGAATTTCTCTTCAACTCTTTGGATTTTTGACATACTGGATCCAGTCTCTGTGGAGCACATATTTTTGATCTCTGCTCTAATAATGTCTTCAATGATTGTGTATCTAAGTATTCTAACTCTTTTCTCTCTCTTTTTTTTTTTTTACTTCTTTGCTCCTTTTTATTTTCTCTACATGATATCCATGGTTAAAATCTATGGTTTCAATCAAGTTATTTTGCTCTCGCTGTGATATGCTATTTATTAAAAACAATTAAGTACCAAAGTTGTGTAATTCAATGTATTTGTAACATTTTATATACCAAGGTTTCCATGTTTTATGACATGTAATGCCAACATTCATGCTTTGAAAACCACTTTATAATTTTTTTCAAATTTTCACAAATGTCTTCCTTTGAAAATCAGAACTAAATAATAATAATAATCACTTCAGTAGCTGACCTTACAAGTTGAACCTGCAAAATTAGTTTTTTCCCCTTGAGTAGTTTATAAGTGATATTCTCCAACCGAGTGATAAATGATAGTATTTGAAATCTCTTTTGCCAACTTTCTTTTTGAAATCACTTAGAAGTGGGATTTTGGAAACATGAATAGGTGATGTGGTTGAATATAATGTTTACCGTTGTGCCATATAAGTTTCTTAAAAATGTGCTCAGTAATTTTTACAGAAATGGCTCAAAATGCATATAGAGGACTCACTGACTGTGAGCCTTTCAAGCTTCTGAAAATCTTCATGATAATTTTTATAATTATGTCAGTTTCATTTTCACAGCTTTGCAGTGAAGTTCTTCAGTGAGGTTCACCAGTGCTTTTTGTTTTTGTAATGTGTGTTTTAAACTACAGTCATGCGTCACTTAATAATGGGGATACATTCTGAGAAACATATCTTAACTGATTTTTGTTGTTGCGTGAACACCATAGAGTGTACTTCATAGAGCAAACATTATAGAGTATAAAAATATAGAGGTTATAGCTTACTGCAATCCTGGGTTTTACAGTATAGCTTACTGAACATCTAGTCTGTATGGTATAGCCTATTGCTCCTAGGCTGTAAACCTGTAGAGCATATTACTATACTGAATATTGCAGGCAATTGGAACACGATGGTAAGTGTTTGTATATTTCAACATATCTAAACATGGAAAAGGTACAGAAAAATATGATATAAAAGATTAGAAATGGTACATCTCTGTAGGGCCCTTACCATGAATGGATCTTGCAGAGTTGGAAGTTGTTCTGCGTGAGTCAGTAAGTGTGTGGTGAGTGAATGCAAAGAACTAGGACATTACTGTAAACTACTATGGACTTTATAAACACTGTAAACTTAAGCCTACATTTATAAAACATATTTTTCTTTCATCAATAATAAGTTAATCTTAATTGACTCTATCTTTTATACTTTACAAACTTTTTATTATTTTCTTATTGATTCTGTTGTAATAACATTCAGCTTAAAACACAGACACATTGTACAGCTGTACAAAAATATTTCCTGTTTGTATATTCTTATTCTATATGCTTTTGTTCTATTTTTAATGCTTTCTTAAAATTTTCAATTTTTTTTGCTAAAAATGAAGATGCACTGGGCACGGTGACTCACGCCTGTAATCCCAGCACTTTGGGGGGCCGAGGCGGGCAGATCACAAGATCAGGAGTTCAAGACCAGCCCTGCCAACACAGGGAAACCCCGTATCTACTAAAAATACAAAAATTAGCTGGACATGGTGGCGGGTGCCTGTAATCCCAGCCACTTGGGAGGCTAAGGAAGGAGAATTGCTTGAATCTGGGAGGCGGAGGTTGCAATGAGCTGAGATCGCGCCATTGCACTCCAGCCTGGGTGACAGAGCGAGACTCTGACTCAAAAAAAAAAAAAAAAAAAAAAAAAGATGCAAACACATACATTAGCCTAGGCCTACGCAGGGTTAGGATCATCATTATCATTGTCTGCCACCTCCACGTCTTGTCTTGCTGGATTGTCTATTTCTTAAAAATTGTTGTACCTATTATTTTTGATTGGTTTGTCTTTTAATCTTCCTACTAAAGATATAAGTATTTTACACACAACAATTAAAGTGTTATAGGATTTTATATTTCTCTGTCACTTACCTTTACCAGTGAGTTTTTATAACTTCAGGTAATTTATTGTTGCTTGTTAACATACATTTCTTTCAGAGTGAAGAACTTCCTTAGCATTTTTTGTAACATAGGCCTGGTGTTTATAAAATACCTCAGCTTTTGTTTGTCTGGGAAAGTATTTCTCCCTCATGTTCGAAGGATAATTGTGGTGGATATAATATTCTAGGTTGGAAGTATTTTTTTTTTCCTTCAGCACTTTGAATATTTCATCCTACTCTAGCCTATCCTGTAAGATTTCCACTGGGATGTCTGCTGCCAGACATATAAGAGCTCCTTTATATGTTATTTGCCTCTTTTGCTGCTTTTAGATTAAGTATCCTTTCAGATTAAAAACAAAAACAAGATCCAGTTAAATGCTACCAACAAGAAACTCACCTCACATATAAAGACACACTAAACTGAAAATGAAGGGATAGAAAATATATTCAACGCTAATAGAAACCAAAAAAGAGCAGGACTGTATTTATGTTAGATAAAATAGATTTCAAGACAAAAACTGTAAAAAGAGACAAAGAAAATATCATATAATGATAAATAGGTAAATTAAGCTGGAGGATTCAACAATTGTAAATATTCATGCTCTGAATGCTAGAGTACCCAGATATGTAAAGCAAACATTATTGGAACTAAAGATAGAGACCCCAATACAATAATAGCTGTGGACTTCAACACACCATTTTCAGCACTGGACATATCACCCAGATAAGAAATCAACAAATCAACATGGAACCTAATTTATAGATCAAGTGAATCTAATAGACATTTACAGAATATTTTATCCAACAAATGCAGAATGCACATTCTTCTCCTAAGCACATGGAACATTCTCAATGATAGACCATATATAAGTCCACTAAAGATGTCTTAATTTAAAAAAAAACACTGAAATTATATCAAGTATCTTTTCTGACTACAGTGGAATAAAACTAGAGAGTTGTAACCAGAGAAACTTTGGAAACTCTACAAACACTTGAAAGTTAAACATTATTCTCCTGAATGACCACTGGGTCATTGGAGAAGTTAAGAAGGAAGTTTTTTCAATTCTAGAAACAAATGAAAATGGACACGCAACATACCAAAACCAATATGACACTGCAAAAACAGTAGTGAGAGGGAAGCTTAGAACAATAAATGCCTTCATCAAAAGTACAACTTCCAAAAAACAACCTAATGATTCATCTTAAAGAAGTAGAAATGCAAGGGCAACCAAACTCAATCTTAGTAGAAGAAAATAAATAATAAATATCAGAGCAGAAGTAAATGGGATTGAAACAAACAAAGACAACACAAAAGCAAGTAAAGAAGGTTTTTGGGGGAAAGATAAACAAAAGTGAAAAAATTTCAGCCAGACTAAAAAAAAAAAAAAAAAAAATCAGAGAGAAGACCCAAATAAATAAAATCAGAGTTGAAAAAGGAGACATTACAACCGATAGCTAAGAAATTCAAAAGATTGTTTTGAGCAACTATACTATGAGTAACTATATGCCAATAAATTGGAAAACCTGGAAGAAATGGATAAATTCCTAGACATGTCCAACCTACCAGTGTTGAACTATGAATAACTTTATATCTGGAACAGACCAATAATAAATAATGGGATCAAAGCTGTAATAAAAAGCCTCCTATCAAAGAAAAGCCAAGGACCTAATTGCTTCACTGGAGAATCCTACTCAAACTATTTCAGAAAATTTAGGAGGAGGGAATAATTTCAAACTCTTTCTACAAGGCTAGTATTATCCTGATAGCAAAACCAGGCAAAGAAAAAACAGATAAGTACATGCTACTATTTCTGATGATCATAGATTCCAAAATCTTCAATGAAATATTAGCAAACTGAATTCAACAACACATTAAAAAGATCACTTATCAAGAACAAGTGGGATTCATCCCAGGGATGCAACGATGGTTCAACATATGCAAATCAATCATTGTGATACATTACTTTAACAGAATGAAGGAGAAAATCTATATGATCCTTTCAATAGATACCCAAAAAGTACTTGGTAAAATTCAACATACCTTCATGAGAAAAACTCTCAAAAAACTGGGTATAGAAGGAACCAACCTGATAACTACCTTACAAAACAGAACCACAGCTAGTATTATGCTGAGTGGGAAAAACTGAAAGCCTTTTTTTCTAAGATCCAGAATAAGAGAATGATGCCCACTTTCACTACTTTTATTTCACTTAGTAGTGGAAGTCCTTGCCAGAACAATTAGACAAGAGAAAGAAATAAAGGCATCCGAATTGGAAAGGAATTAAAAATATCCTTCCTTGCAGATGTTATAGCCTTATATTTAGAAAAACCTAAGTACTCCACCAAAAAAACAATTAGAACTGATAAACAAATTTAGTAAAGTTTCAGGACACGAAGTTAACATACAAATTCAGTGGCATTTCTATGTCAACAATAAACTATCTAAAAAGAAACCAAAAAAGTAATCCCATTTACCATAGCTATAGATAAAATTAAATACTTTGGAATAAACTTAACCAAATAAGTGAAATATCTCTATAAAAAACTATAAAACATTGATGAAAGAAATTGAAGAGGACACAAAAACATGGAAAGATACTCCATGTTTATAGAATGGAAGAATAAATGTGGTTAAAATGTCTATACTACCCAAAGCAATCTACAGATTCAGTGCAATCTGTATGAAAATACCAATGAAATTCTTCAGAGAAATGGAAAAAACAATCCTAAAATTTATGTAGAACTACAGAAGACTCAGAATAGCCAAAGCTATCCTGATCAGAAAGAACAAAGCTGGAGTCATAACATTACCTTACTTCAAATTATACTATAAGGCTACAGCAACAGCATGGTACTGTCATAAAAATGGATGCATAGATGATGGAGCAGAATAAACAAAACCCAGGGATAAATCCATACATATACCACAAACTGATTTTTGACAAAGTTGCCAAGAACATGAATTGGGGAAAATACAGTCTCTTCAATGAATGATGCTGGGGAAACTGGATATCTACATGCATAAAAATTAAACTAGACTCATATCTCTCATCATGTTCAAAAATCAAATCCAAATTGATTAAAGACTTACATCTGGCAGGGTGCAGTGGCTCAAGCCTGTAATCCCAGCACTGTGGGAGGCCAAAGTGGGCAGATCACGAGGTCAGGAAATCGAGACCATCCTGGCCAACATGGTGAAACCCCGTCTCTACCAAAAAAAAAAAAAAAAAAAAAAAAAAATTAGCCGGGTGTGGTGGCTCGCACCTGTAGTCCCAGCTACTCAGGAGGCTGAGGCAGGAGAATTGCTTGAACTTGGGAGGAAGAGGCTGCAGTGAGCCGAGATCATGCCACTGCACTCCAGCCTGGCAACAGAGCGAGACTCAATCTCAAAAAAAAAAAAAAAAAAAATAGATTTACACCTAAGACCTTAAACCATGAAATTGCAAAAAGAAAACTTTGGAAAATGCTCTAGGAAATGGGCCTGGGCAAAGTTTTCATGACTAAAACCTCAAAAGCGGAGGCAACCAAAGCAAAAGTAGACAAATGGGATCACACCAAATTAAAAACCTTCTGCAGAGTGAAGGAAACAATCTACAAACTGAAGATACAGCCCACAGAATGAGAAAAAATATTTGGAAACTATTCATCTGATGATTAATAATCAAAATATGTAAAGAGCTCTAACAACTGAATAGCAATAAAAAAAAATCTGATTTTAAAATGGGCCAAAGATCTGAATAGACATCTTGCAAAAGAAGATATAAAAATGGCCAATAGGTATATGAAAAAATGTTCATCATCACTAATCATCAGAGATATGCAAATCAAAACTACAATGATATATCCTCTCAACCCAGTTAAAATAGCTTTTATTAAAGAGACTGACAATAATGGATGCTGGTATGGATGTGGAGAATGGGTAACCCTCATAAACTATTATTGGGAATGTAAATTATTATAGTCAGTATGGAAAACAGTATGGAAGTTCCTCAAAAAAGCAAAAATAAAACTACCACATGGTCCAGCTATCTCACTGCTGGGTGTATATTCAAAAGAAAGGAAATCAATATATCAAAGATGTATTTGAACTTCTGTGTTTATTGCAGCACTATTCACAATAGTCAAGATATGGAATCAATCTAAGTGTCCATCAACAGATGAATGAATAAATAAAATATAGTACTTATACATAATAAGAGTATTATTCAACCATAAAAAGAATGAAATAATATCTTTTGCAGTACATGGATGGAACTGGAGGCAATTATGTTAAATGAAATAAGCCAGGCACAGAAAGATAAATATTGCATGTTCTCACTCATATGTGAGACATACAAAACGTAATTTGAACTTGTGGAGATAGAGAATAGAATGAAGATTACTAGTGGATGGGAAACCTAGTAGAGAGAAAGGGATAAACGGGATGGTTAATGGGTACAAAACTACAGTTTGATAGAAGGAATAAGATCTAGTGTTTGGTAGCACAATAGGGTGACAATGGTTAACAGTAATTTATTGTACATTTCAAAATCATTAAGAGTGAAATTGTAATGATTTTAACACAAAAATTATGAATACTGGATGTGAATGATATCCCAATTATGCTAATATCCATTACACATTATTTTGTTGTATCAAAATATCACTTTTACCACATACATAGGTACAACCATTATGTATCCATAATAATTAAGAATAAAATTATTTTTAAAGAATAAAAATGACAAAAAACTTTAAAAGAATAAAATAACAAAAGTATAATATATTGAATACGTAACACAGTATCATTGTTTTTATTATCAAATATTACGTACTTTACATAATTGTATGTGCTTTGCTTTTTTTTCTTTTTTTTTTTTTTTTTTTTGAGATGGAGTTTCCCCTTGTTGCCCAGGCTGAAGTATAGTGGCATGATCTCAGCTCACTGCAACCTCTGCCTCCCAGGTTCAAGTGATTCTCCTGCCTCAGCCTCCCAAGTAGCTGGGACTACAGACTCCCACCACCACACCTGGCTAATTTTTGTAGGTTTTAGTAGAGATGGTGTTTCACCATGTTGGCCATGCTGGTCTCGAACTCCTGACCTCAGGTGATCCGCCCGCCTTGGCCTCCCAAAGTGCTAGGATTACAGGCGTGAGTCACTGTGCCCGGCCTATGCTATACTTTTACATGAGTGGCAGCATAGTAGCTATTTTTATATCAGCATCAACACAAAACATGTGAGTAATGTCTTATGCAAGACATTTTGACAGCTATGATGTTATGACAGCTATGACATTATGACAGCCATGACATCCCTAGGCGATAGGAAAATTTTGGCTTCGTTATAATCTTTTGAGACCACCTGTGTTTATTCAGTCCACCATTGATTGAAACATCATTATTCAGTGCATGACTATGGTGTATTAACTTCTTATTCTCTTTCATTTCTTATCCTGGTTTTGACTTTTATTTTGGAAATTCTCATAATTACCATCATTTCTTATATCCTTCTAACTCTTAATGTTTTGCTCTTGCAGTTAAAACTCCCTACTTTCCCTCATCACTTTTCGCTTTTAAGCTTTAATTTGTTACTTTTCCCAACTGAAAATTTTCTATCATCTTCTTTGCTAATCTATGTCTTTGTTTTCTTTGAGACTCTTTTATTCACCCTTTCTGATGATGGTAATTTTATTCATTTTCACAAAATTCATTGCAGGCTCAATGTGTGCTAGGAACTGGGCTAGGTGCCAGGAACTTGATGACTACTTTTAAAGTGTCTTTGGCATAACAGAGTGTCAGGAGAGAAATACACACACACACACACACACACACACACACACACACACACACACATGTATATGTCTCATATATATGAAAGATATGTATATATGTGTATATATGTATATATACATACATATGAATATATATACACATAGATATGAATATATATACACATAGATATGAATATATATACACATAGATATGAATATATGTGTATGTGTGTGTGTGTGTGTATATATATATATATATATATATGAGAGAGAGAAGTAAGAGAGAGAGACAGGTTCTCAGTCTGTCACTCAGGCTGGAGTCCAGTGGTATGATCATAGCTTACTGCAGCCTCAAACTTCTGGACTCAAGCAATCCTCTCATCTCAGTCTCTTGAGTAGGTGTACTACAGGCACACACCATCATGCCCAGATAATTTTTGTATTGTTTGTTCACACAGGATTATGCTATGTTGACCAGGGTGGTCTTGAACTCTTGGGCTTAAGCGATCCTTCTGCCTCAGCCTCCCAAAGTGCTGGGATTACAGTCGTGAGCTCCTGTGCCCAGTCTGAGAAATAATTAAGAAGTACAGTAGTCTTCCTGAATCCACACTTTTCCTTTCCACAATTTGTTATCAATGATCATCGTGGTCCAAAAATATTGAATGGAAAATTTTAGAAACAATCAATAAGTGTAAAATTGTGCATCATTCTGAGTGACTTGATGAGATCTCATTCTGTCCTGCCCAGGATGTGAATCATCCGTATGTCCAGTTTATTCACACTGTAGGTGCCTGTTAGCCACTTAGGATCCATCTCAGTTATCAGAAGGACTTTCATGGTAATTTGGTGCATGTTTTCAACTCTTATGTTACTTAATAATGGTCCCAAAATGCAAAAGTTATGAGGCTGGCAATTCAGATATGCCAGAGAAAAGCTGTAAAGTGATTTCTTTAATTGAAAAGATGAAAGTTTTGAGTTAATTAGGAAAGAAAATTTTATTGAGGTTTCCAAGATCTACTGTAAGAACATACCTTCTATTTGTAAAATTGTGAAGAAGGAAAGAGAAATCTGTGCTAGTTTAAGCTGTCACACCTCAGACTGCAAAAGTTACAGCCACGGTGTGTGATAATTGCTTAGTTAAGATGGAAAAGGCATTAAATTTGTGGGTGGAAGATATGAACACAAATGTGTTCCGATTGATGTCATTTGGGTTTGGTACTATATGTGGTTCAAGCATTCACTAAGGGTCTTGGAATGTATTCTCCTGAGGTTAAGGGGGCCTACTGTACCTATAATATAATGTGACAAGAGCCATGGTGAAATGAAAAGTTTAGAATTGTTAAGGGGTGTCTGGGAGCACAAGGAAGGGACCTGAACTCAGACTGAATTCAACAAGAATTTCTGCATATGAATTCAGCAAAAGGGAGGTGAAGAAGTTTTTTAGGCATGTGCAAAACTCACCAGGTATGTTAAAAAACGTCCTGGAAGAAATTTTCCAGGCATGCACAAAGACCCAGAAGGAGAAAGAAAATATGTGTGCACATGGCACTTTATTAGTATTGCAACTGATTCTTTTCTACTCAATCAGTATTTATGTTACTTTCTGTGAACTTACGAACTTAAGACCTTTCTGGTGTTTATATTTGTATGGATTTTTTGTTATCGTTTAAGAATAGGACTTCTCTATTCCACTTTCATCGTAATTTACCACATGCTATAATTCAGCTCATAGATAATGGGTGCTTTATAACTGTTATTGACTAATTTCAGTGCCTGGGGCAGGTCTGTAAATATATTTCCAAGTTTGTCATAATGAGTGAGGATTGATATGTGTGTTGGTCCTTTTAAAGTGAAGTAAGAATGTGATGATTACAGTGTTTTATTGGCAAACATTCAATTTCAAGTTACTGTTGGTAAAGTATGTAGCATGGTGTGTATATATATATATTACAGTATGCAATTGCTATAGGCAAAGGGTTATTCTATTCTGGAGCAAACCACAACCCAGATTTTAAATCAGAGGCTCCTGGCATTATAAAGAGAGAATGGGTTTTCAATGGTCCAGCTCCCTCATAGAAGAAACTGAGACCTAGAGAGGTAATAAATGAAAGAGACAACTCCCAATTGCAATCAGAAATTTTTAATGTCATGTTTGCCTTTATTTCTAATACTTTTGAGAAAAACTGTTGTTTGACATTTCTGTACTTTACACAACTTATATAGTCAATTTTTACATTAGTAAGCTAGCACACATAATATATAGATTTTTTCAAATTAAAAAGCAATGGATTATAAAGAAAGGAGCTTGAGCTTCATATACATATATATGTGTGTAACTACAGCCTATATATATATATTAGCTGCAGACTAATAAAAATGTTTTTATATATTATATATTTGAATATAATAATATGTAATTATTACAATATTAAATATATAATATATAATTTGTAAAATATTAATATATATGAATATGAATATATATTTATATTCATTTATTTACTAGTCTAACTACAGCCAAAGTTAAGGATTTCTAGAGGGAAGAAAGTGGAGATTGTTTTTTATTCTAGGTGCCTTATGGGGGACAAAGCTTAAATAAATTGCCTTAATTCTGTGATATCTTTGCTTTCTCACATACAAATGAATATTTAAAGATACGTCTCCAATTTGTTGCTCTTGTTTGCTGGGAATTATTTTTGTTGAGTCACAACAGTTAATCTAAGTTAATATTCACCATGCTTCTATTCAAAAGGCAATGCAAATATCATGACTCTCCTTTTACAAATGAGGACCTTGAGGCAACTCAGGATTAGGTTGAACAGTTTTTTTCAGGTCTCTCAGTTAATAAGTTGCATAACTGATGTCAGTACATGATCTGGGACATCAATGCTGCAGTTCAGCATTCATTCCACTCATCAGAAGAACAAGAGGGAGAGAAGGAAGAAGAAGGAAAAGGAAGAGGAAAATTAGAAATTGTTTTTTGTTTATTGTCCATTATTCACAGTGTTTAGCACAGCCATACATTAGTGTTTTCAATCTTCGTACTAATCATACATACTTCATACATACTAGATATTATTCTATTTTATAGTTTAGGAAACTGAGTCTCAAAGAAGTTATATTCTTTGCTTACAGTCACACAGCAAGTATTAGAGATAATCCAAAACTTGTCTTCACACTGCTGCACAAAACTGACTCTGAGCTGTTCCTTATTTCCCTATGGTTTAAAAAATAAATGTCGTGTAATACACTTTAAATTTGATTTCTGTAGGAAAAGTAGATTAGAAACACTCAAAAACAAAGAAACCAAACTCTGTGAAGCTTGGTGTACTGGTAATATCAATGCTCTTTTAGGGGAAAATATAAATATGTTTCTGGACTAAAGTGAAAGTAGAGAATTAAAAGTTTATATCAAAACTGAAACAAAGCAATGTTTTGTGAAGTACACTTTAATAGCCATACAGTGGATCAAAAGATATGATCTCACTTCATAGTAAAACAGGTCCTGCAAGCCCAGGTAACTCAGGAAGCAGAATGGTAATTATTCACAGAAGAAAGCAGGTAGTATACTGTTACAATACTACAGTAGAAAGTCAGAAGGTCACAAAGCTTGCAGGGTAAGTGACACAACTTGAAACTGCTTGGCCCTCTTTAAAAAGAAATAATAAAATGGGAGAGAATGAAGCAAGTTTACCTAACACGTCTTTGCAAGGTAAGTACCAACAGCCTATGAACTTTTCACTTTTCACAATCAGAAACTTAAGCAGTGTTGATTACAAAGTCTGTGTGTTTCTGTGTATGCACACACGCATCCCTGCATGCATGTTCAGGTGCCCTGGCCCTGTTTTTAAGGTGTTTTCTGCGAGCGAGAAAAGAGGTGGAGATTGTTGATTCAGAGGAAGCATGTTTTCTCAGTTGTTTACAAAGACTCAGGCAACACAGAATCACAAATTTGGGGGACCCGTGGAGGGTATGGAAAGCTTTATCCTTAATCCCCAGTATAATGTTGGAGAAATGGTATAACCAACTTCCAGTGCATTTTCATGTTGGACCTTTTCCAACATTAACAGAACCTTGATTTTTGTCTCTACCTGTGGAGTGTTTATTGGTAATTAAGTTTTGCCATCTCTGGAGTTTACCAGCTCAGTTTCCCTGTAATTAATATAACCACTTTTTAAAAGGTAGAAAACAGGGGAACATGGGCGAGCCTATCAGTTAGGAGGCTGTGATTTATTTCACAGGTGTTGCTTAATCAGATACCTTTGTCCTTTGAAAGGACTGGCTTTGTTGACATTGGCTTGACTAGGCATCTCTGGTTAGAGGCTTGTTCACCGAAACAAATTTAAGGTCGCTCACATTTCACATTTTTGGGTAACAAAAGTTATTTCTTAAAGAAGAAAAAGAAAGTAGATATTGGGCCTAATCAATATTTGTTATAGACTTCTAGAATACCATGAGATCACATAGATCTGCATGATCCTAAAAATATATCACCTATTTTATAGTTAAATTATATTTTTCTTTCATTTCTTTAATCTTTTCTCTACATAGCCTGCTTAAGAATCCCCGTATCTTTTTTTATCTCTGTATATTTCCTAAAAATCTTTCTTGAAATACTGTGTAAAATGCTACTATAAAGCATTTTTAATTTAAAAGATTAATTTCAAAAGTCATGTAATAAATTCTATTGAAGAAAAACAGTAAGGTAAAAGGCTCATTTAGCATAATGAGAATCATTTATTTCTATGTGTCTTATGGACAAATGGTATTATGTACAAGATTATAACATATTCCTTATTTGTCTCTAATATTTTTCATTGGAAAGTATATGGGAAGCCTCTAGTTTGTTCCAATTGTGCATATGATAATGATTTTACATTAAATGTTTATTACTGTTTGGCAACCACCTAAATAGCCTATTCTAGGCTGTGTGGGTGCATCACCTGTCTGTATTCAGCGATCAAAATAAACTAAGGAGTAACCAGGCCTCTTTCCATTTCACTCATTATCCCTCTTTGTGTTAGGATCATGGGTAATATTTTTTTAATTGAATCCCAGATTGTGTATACATTTTGTTGTTGTTTCTTTCTTTTTCTCTGGTGCTTTTTATGTATATTATGTTTCTGGTAATACATATGTTTCACTGTGTAAGGATAGCCTTCCCTTTCCCCTATCCATATATATGTATAAAACTACAATTATTTTCAGAATTATTAATCAGAAAACCATGCACAAAATTCAACACAAGTGATATAGTAAATAATTTGAATGGTGTGCTTTAAGTTCAAGAACAGTGTGCCTAATCTTTAAGCCTTTTGTAGTTGGGTAAAACTTGTGAAATCAGTTATATACTAGGGAGTTTTTGTTTGTATACTCTGAAAACTTTTCAATAAAATATTTATTCTCTTCTGATCTTATTCATGTTTAAATGTATCCTTGGTAGGTCTGTAAATATTTCAGATCTATCTTCTTGGAGTATTGAAGTGCTTCCCTACCAGTTATATTTGCATCAAGATTCTTAAGAGCACCTATTAATCAAGTGAGGGTTAAAAAGAACCGATGGTAGTTCAGTTGTTGGTTTCGTTTCTGGATTTCTTTACATTATAAAGGCAATGGAATGCCTTAACATTTTTCTGTTGTCTGTGATACCCTGTCCAAAATCTGAAATTGAGTTTCAAAATGACCAAAGTGAATGAAAAGTTATTTTCTAGTGTTCAATTTCACCTTTGACTTAATGACATTTATAAAAAATTCTGAGGTTCTTTCAAATAATACTCATTGTCAGCTCCACTTACAAACGGATGTTCTTTAGTGGAAATAACTATGTTAAAATAATATGTTTTGTATATTAAACATGTGGATGACTTACGTGTTTTGACTATGAGGATAATATATTATGTAGATTATCATTGGAACTCCATCAAGTGCTTTGAATAATGATTTTCTAAGGCCATGTATCTAGATTTTCTAGATTCACTGAATGATCTCTAGTTACAATTTGAAAGGCTAGCCATAGATATTATCAATGATTATTCATCACAGTGCTTTTTCTGTACATCTCTGACCCAATTATACTCTCAGGGGGTTAGTTGCATGTGCCCTGGTTAGTGGAGCCCATATGCCATTAACATTTAGTGTTTCTGGTAGTATTGAGAACCCATTTTTTTTTTTTCCTGAATAAAAGTGAAGTTATTCCAAGGTTATCTTGAGCTGTGTGAACAGATTTTAATTAGCTTTTCAAACATAAAAAGGAATCTCCTCTTTTAGTCCCAATGACAAGGTAACCCCAGCGGAGAATTGTGTAAAGCTATCATACATGAAGGTTCATAATGTCCTCAGGATTCATAAAATAAATTATCTAGGTAAGGAGAGAATGCTAGAATTTTTTTCTAAACGTTGCAAATATGAATAAAATTGTACAAATAATATGGCATAAGGAATAGGGGTAAGTGCTTTCTAAGCATTGTTATTTGTGAAGGGAAGGATCATTTTTCTTGCATAATGCCTGCAAACTCACCTGCACCACTGAGTGGCACTCTATCACTCCATCAGTCTGTAACAGGAGTAGAGGGAGGGACATGGCTGGGAGATGGGAGGGTGACAGCTCCCTTCCTGGAAGGGAACTACCTGGAATATGCCTTAGGCTAAAGTTTCTTCAGAGGCCATCCTTGAACGTATAAGGGCTTCTTACCTCTTCTCTGCCTCGAAGGATGTCCATTTCCTACTTCTCCCAGGATTCTTATTAACAGAGTAGGTCCTAGTCAGAATTGGAAAATGGGGAAAGAATCTATCAGCATCCAGCTATGTGCTTCACCTGCTGAGCTCCTGCTACCTCAGGAATCCAGTTTCCATGAGCTTTTAACATGTTCTTTCTCTCCTTTTCATCTTTAGTCGAAATATATTCAAGGGCACCTTCCTCTTTGTAAATAATATGATATACTAATTGGCCCTTGAGATAATTGAATAAAAAGTATTTCTGAGTTTAATGCTGGGACAATCTTGTGAGAGGAGGAATCTTTAAGTTACGCCTCCCTGGGCTGTTTAATACACTTGGCACTCGTGCTGCCTACCAGCTGCCTGGATGTTTTGAGCGTTTCTAATAATAGCTCTCCTTCTACTTCAGTTCTTCTTAGTTCTCTAGCTCTAGGAAATCCCTACTCTGAAGGCTACAAAACAGTAGAACTCTGGGGGAAGATGTTCCAAGTACAGAGGAGTTGGCTGGATCCTGAGGAATGCAGAGCTAGCTCTAGATAGCAACCAGCAGGAGATAACTCTTCAACCCACTGAAGGAGAATTTTGCCATCACAGTTAGGAAAAAATAATCTTCAGAAAATTAACATTTTCAAGCTAGAAGATAGTCTCAAGTCCAATGTTTTTACTTTGTAGAGTAACAGAGATCCTATGAAGCTAGGAAAATTGTTTTTGGTTTCACAGAAGCCATTGCCAGAGGCCACGTCTCTAACCTGCTGCTCAAAACTGCGTTTGCTGCAGTTTTACGGAAGAATTTGGTGCATTATTTTCTAGAGTAATTTACTTTCCTATTTCTAATGGAGAAAGCAGTCTTAGTAATGTTTTCCATATTGACGTCTTTTAGTTTCTATATTTATGGTCTTGAAAGCATTGTCGAGTATTCAGTGAGCTTATTATGGAACCTGTCCATCCAGGCTTGGGTTTTCTCTTTACTAAACAAAAGTTACATTAGCTTGTAAGACATTTAGTTAATTTTCATTACAGCTAGGAGAAGTTGGCTTGTAAGTTCATAGGCACATGTATGGAATGTTTCTTCATAATAGAGTCATTGTTTAGAAATGGCACTAATTCTATTTAAAATAAGTAAAAGAAAAAAAAAACAACTCTAGGCAGGAGGAGCCTTAGTGTCTATGCTTCCAAGTTGCAGCCTGAGGGTAGTAGTACTTTGTACTCCAACCTGTTATACTGGTTTGGTGTGCATGCTTACTTTCTGTGGTGGGAAAAATATCTCTGTATTCATCATCAGAAACCATGACTGTGAGTGCCTTGAAATCTTTGTGATGCCACAAAGAGGACTAACCAGTATGTGACTCTTCCTTCCCAGCCTACAGAACTTTAATAGCATTTTCAATTAACAGAAGTGCAAGGAGCTCCTGTTGGACCTGTGTTCCATGAGGAAGGCTTTCACTAGCCCTTCATGATAGGTTCAAACACTTGAAGACCTGAGGAATTTCAGAGTTGACATTTAGATATTGAGGTAACAGGACATCTTGGAGTTGAAATTTCCAGAATCTTTGCTGGAAAGTCTCATAATCTCAAAACAAAATCAAGCAAATTTGGAGCAAAGAAAGTTGCTGAAAATGTCAAGGCATGAAATCCAAGGTGAGTCTGACCTAAATGAGTGAGTTAGGCAAAGGTGCATGTGAAGATGGACTGGGTACATTTTCCAGGTACAAGAGAGGGTCTTTGCAGCAGGCAAAAGAGATTAGGAAAACAAAATCTGAAGTAAAGCCTAAGAAATAGTTAATGAAATCAACTAACTGAGCTTATGAGCTAATTTTTTCTTTGTCTTTCTAAGTGGAAGTGGAATCTTTACCTTATTAGAAATAAGATGGCAAGCAGTGTACTTGAATAGAACGTGAGATAAAGGTGGTCAATGACATGGTACTTAGTTAAAACCTGCTGTTGGAGGAAAAGCCAATTCTCAAACACTTTGAAATATGGAGTTTGTTCCTGGAGTTTGTTTAATCCCCTTTGATTTAAATAATATTTTATGGTACTGAAATTGTTTCAAAGGGAAACATTTTACATTTCAATTAAAGTCACTGTAAAATCTTCTTGAAGAAAAGGTGATACATAACTACAGGATGACTTGATTGTTTATACGTTATTATTAATCATGCAATAAAAACTTTTCCATCTATTTAAAAGTTTGAATCTGTTTTTGAATTTTTCTTTGAACAAAAGATGCAGTAATAATCTTAAGATTATAAGTATATAAATGTAATTATTACTTTGTATGCTATTCTCTGGATTTTGGAAGGAGTTTAAACAAATTTAGCTAATTGAGTAGGACAGTAAGCCAAACTTCTTTGTATCACAGTTTTTTGGGGGAGGACTATTAACCAAACATGTATTTGATTTATTATTGGAAAGTATTAGACTTGATATATAAGTGAAGAAATAACAGGTGACTGCAAAGATTGCAAAGAAGATGTTATTAGGATGACAATACACAAAAGGGCATTGAGCTTCAGTTGATCCCTTGAGCTTCTAATTACTCTTCAGGAAAAGTATGTGTCAATAGTTTTATTTGACAATGCTATTTTGTTGCTCTGGTGACAGATATGTTTAACCATCTGCATAGTCGAACACTTCGGGAGGCTCTTTCATAAATGCTTTCTGTAATTTATATTGAAAAGTAATTTACCTGCCTCTTTAAACCCCTGATTAGTGTAATGCAGGTTGTATATTGTGTCCAAAAAAAAATAATAAAGTTATAAAATCCTACCAACTAAAAAAGTCGAAAGAGAAATACTTTGAAAAGTCAACTGCTAAATTTAATGCAGTTTATAATGAACATGCAAAAGGTGTGCACGTATGCTTGTTAAACCATACAATCAACTTTACCGTGTGACTTGAAACTTCAGTGAAAGATTCATTCTGAGATCTGATTAAACTGCTGAAATCCATTCAATCTCTTGATTCCTTTGTTCTCTCAAAAGTAAGCTCCTTTGAAAACAGGTCATGAGAAGAGAGGAATGAAGGATTATTGTACTTTATCTTCCTCTTTATTTATGACCTTTAATGCAATCGTAGACCAGCCTATCTTCCATTAAACTATTGATAAATCTTGAAAATTTCTCCATCACATCCACATTTCTTCGAGGGAGCTTTCAGAGATGGAGAAATACACTGCCTCAAAAGGTAGACATTGCTTCCATTCTTGCTGATTCTTGGTATTGTTATAACACAGGGATGTAAATAAGAAATTATAGAGGAATCTAGGAATTTATAGAGGGTTTCATAGAAGAGAGATGATTTGAAATTTCCTTGGCAGTTTGATAAACTGGAATAAGTGACCAGAAGGAAAAAAGCCTTCACTGGTCAAAAGAACAGCTGAGAGAAAGCATGGAAATTGTTTCTATGTATTTACTTGCTTTATTTCCCCCCTCTTTGGAAACAGAGGATTTTTCAAAATTCTCTACTTTGCTATAGGCTATAAATAAATAAACATAATAGAGATAAGATTAAGACAATGTAACAGTTAAAATTTGTATACAAAATATATGCCAGAACATGCTGAAAAACTGTCAAGCAGGTGACAAATTTGCTTTCAAGCCTCCTAGCAGCCAAAAGAAAATAATAAATTGTTTTTCACATTTATGGTCTTCAAATTATATAGAAATGTACCAGTCATTCAACAGATGCATGGATTTCTTGATAGACATGATGATAGAAATTGAAATCATTTCTATAGAGGATAAGAGACAGGCCTAACTAGAAGAGAGCATCTTTATTAGAAAACACTGAGCATTAAAATTAAAATTGTTATAGAGAGAAGGAAAATACTATTATATAACTCATATAAGAATATTGACATAGATGATTTTCCTTTGAGCTCCTAAAGCTATTGCACTATGCAGCCATATATTTGTCACAAAAACATTTCTGCAGAAAAAATTTCAAACCTATAGTAAATCTGAAAATAGAAAGGAAAATAATAGAAGAATAATTTAAAAATATAGATTGTACAAGATCTATGTATTTACATGATTTACATATTTACACTGTTAAAACTTCAGAATAAAAATAGATTCTTTTAAAATTTAGGCTTCTATATATATATCTTATAAGCTTACTCAATTGTCTGTCCCAGAGTTCCTAATGAATTTTATATAGGTGTTTTGCATTTATTTTGGTTAATGAAGGGTTCAGTGCAGTTACTATGGCAGATCTGGGGAAGAGGAGAATAGAGATAAGAATAAGGAAGAGCATATGGGCATTGATAATAACGACTTTATAACCTTCAGATGCAATGAAGTAATGATGTTGCCTAGAAGTTATTTTATATGTAGGTAAATAGGAATTTGGAGAAAAAGAAAAAAATTACTAAGAAAATATTAATGTGTTTATTCTTGACTCTGATTTCTGATCAGTTTTAGCATCATATTTTATATTTTTTCCAGTTTACAATTAGACCTATAAAAATTTCTTTGGGGCATCTTTTTTTCTTTTCTAGATTAGAAAACCCATAATATTGTCTATATTTCTATAAAATACTTACTAATTACTAAATCATATTTATCAAAATATCTTATGTTGTTTAGTAACATAATCTGCAATTAAGTTGGTATGTAGGTAATAGAATGTTCTGGAAAAGGAGTCTATGTAAAATATTTAACTAAATTGATTAGATAATAAATAGTTTATCTTCATAATCACAAAAATAAAAAAGGGGAAAGAACTAGTAAATTGGGTACTAATTTAAGGCAGAAACTTACTAAGCTTATTTGACTCTCACAGTGTTGGCCTTCTCCTTTCTTCCAACAAACACACCAAGCTGATCCGCTATTAACACTTACATGTTTTGGTTGTTTCTGCTGAACTTCTTATATTATGTTCCTTCTTGTCAATCAGTTATCAGATTAAATATCATCTCCAGCCTCACAAACTAAACTAGCCAGTCTGTCTTAATGTGTGATTTTTAATTCTTTTAATATGTCACCATAAGCCATTTTCCTTTTTTGGTATATTTGTTTATTGTCTATTTCACTGCAATAAAATGTTCTCTTCCTGAGATGAAAGGCCATAGCTGACTTGTTTATTGCTTCATTTCTAGTGCGTAGATCCATAGCTAACATATACTATGTTTTCTCAAGTTTAATATGCTCAGAAAAAAAGCATAAAATGCACAGTCTTATTCCTATGTGTATATGCAATTTACATTTATTCTAACATGAAAATTAGTTGAGCATAAAGTAGCAGCATTTAACATGATCAGTACAAAACAAAATAAAACAAGAAGCTTTAAATAAAAGAACCATTGGCAAATAAAAATTGTCTCAAATTGAAACAGACCTTTTTTCAAGAATAATAATAGTTGGCATAGAGTCTCTTTATTCTGAGATTGGAAGTAGTGCACTGTTATTCAAAATTAGAGAATTTATTCCTCCTCATTTTCTCTAGTTCTGTGTTACAGTGACTCTCGTTGGATTACCTAGATGAGCTCTCAGAAAGTCTAAGAATGAAAAGGCAAATAACAAATGAAACTTAGAGCAGCAGAATGTAAGGAGAGAAGCTCATGAAAGAGTCAAAGGGTTGGTTCTTATTGGTAACAGGAGGCTAATTTCAAAGGCTTCAGACATAATGCTAAGGTACTAGGTGTGACGGATGGCTGTGCATCTAATGTAACTGCATCTAGATACATTGTGAGGGGTAAATAGGTTATTTTGGAAGAAGGAGAAATGTAATGCTTTTACCTTTGGATAAATTGCATTTGTGATAACAGTGAGGTATCGAAATACTAATGTATTCATTTAATAGAATTTATTTTACATGATTGTTTTAGATATGGAGGGTATGTCTGCTGCCTTTGATGAATTCTCAGTTCTTTGGGAAATTTAGTGATGTGCTTATTTATATTTGTATATATTAGGCATATGCCCCTTACTGGGTAATTGTGAAAATTAAAAACATAAATATGCCAAACACTTGGAGCAGTCCATGGCACATAGTTTACACTTGATAAATGTTTTTTCTGTTCCCACAATCATCAACACCATCATTTTAATTTTAAACCTCATCCTTATTGTTATCCATCATCATAGTGATGATGCGCTGAATTCATGTGATTATAGTGGGATTCGAAAAAAGAATTTGGGAGACACTTGAGGTTAAATTGGTGTTTGCTTGTACTGAAGGAGGAAAAATGAAGAGACTGTGAAAACTTGATTTCTTGCTTGGATGACAGCAGGAATAGTATCCTTAACTGATTTAGAGAATGTAGGATGGGGACCGTTTAGGCAATAGAAATATAATGAGACTGCTTTAAAACAGTTATTCTAAACTGTAATTGTATATTTTGATGAAAATGTCTAGGACTTAAATTGAAAAATTGAGACTAGACCTTGGGAGAGAGAGAAATAGGATGGAAATAAAGCTTTAGGAGTTATTAAGGCATAAATGGTGTATGACATTGTGAATAGGTGAGACTATACAAAGATGGATGGTAGAGGAAGAAGACATGAATAATGATGATGGAGTATAAAGTCTGAGCAGAAATAAAAGAAACTGAGATGAGTCCATGGGAGAGAGAGAAGATAAAGATGACGGAGTTTTCAGAGGAATTCATGCTGGGAATTTCTATTTAAAATGAGTGAGAAATATTAAAGGACAAAATAGTCAAACAGCAAGGATTTGGTGACTCAAGCCTGGAACTAAGGTGAGACATGAGAAAGAATACAACTGGAGAATCACTGGGAATGAGGTGAAAAAAGATGAAATTATAGAGTATAACTTTAAGAAGCTTAAAACAGTAGAAATTCTGTCATAAAGCCCTGGGAAATGACCACACTTTGGAAATGGGAGAAAGAAGAGTGGAAAAAAGAGGTAGTTACACCAAAACAGTTCTAGGAGATAAATATAATTTTTCCCTTTTCACAAATGGAAGCTGAAGTTCAGTGAAGGAAAGAATGAAAGTGCTCAAATAGAAGGGGTGTGTCTGAAGAAGATGAGGACTTGGATTCCTAGAGTAACTTTAAAGAGCAGAAATGCAGATTTATCTTTCTGGAAGGAAAAATATGAGTGAGTGTAATGACAAATTCGCTGGATTACAGAGAGTCGGTAATGGAGCTCTTCCCAGCTGGATCTTCGAAGCAAAGGGTGAGTTTATTTGGCTAAGAGTCAAGATGGAGCTGTGTGTGGAGTGTTGAATCCATGAAACATAAATAAAAAGATCGGCTAGCCGCAGCTGCAGTGAAGTTAGGCAAGAGATAGTGTCAGTGAATGTGGGAAAGCACTAGGAAAAAAATAAAACGCACTTTGGGAGGCCAAGACGTATGGGTCACCTGAGGTCAGGAGTTTGAGACCAGCCTAGGTCAACATGGTGAAACCCAGATTCTACTAAAAATACAAAATTAGCTGGGCGTGGTGGCTCGTGCCTGTAATTCCAGCTACTTGGGAGGTTGAGGCAGGAGAATCACTTGGACCTGGGAGGCGGAGGTTCCAGTGGGCCGAGATCACGCCATTGCACCCCATCCTGGGCAACAAGAGCGACAAAACTCCGTCCCCACCCGCCAAAAAAAAAAAAAAAAAAAAAAAGGCTAATTATGAAGTCAGTTTCACAGAGATGTGAGTGAGTTTGTGGGTGTGTGTGTGTATGAGTGTGTGTGTAAGCGTGTGTGCGTGTGTACGTGTTATCAGCATGTTTGCATTTTAGGTAGAGATTGTTATTCTGGAATATTTATTCTCCATTGTGTGATATCGCCCCCAAAATCCTACTTCATCCAGTTATCTTCAGATTGTATGCCACTGGACTATAGCAGAACTAGAAGAGAAAGTACATTTCATTACCAACCCATCCACCCTTTGAAAAGCAATGGAACACCCATGCTCCACTGCCCATAAATTTTGATAATGGTATATTCTGTGTAACATTAGGAAAGCATCCATATATACCACTGACCATATAGTATGAATGTGGTATACCTATGAGACTGAAATGATGAGGACCTACTTTCATTTGACTCTATTTGAAGAAGGCAAAATACGGTTGGTATCAATGTTTACCCACGGAAATATTTGAAGACATTTGGATAATCCGTGATTGACATTAGGGTTTGTGTCATTATCTTGTTATTATTATCAATAATAACAAAAAAATAAAAAAAAAACACAATTAGCCATTTAGTAAATGCCACGAAGGGACAGAGCTAGGATTTAAATCAAGGAAAATCTGAATCAATTGTTTCTTGACCACTATATTTTGCAGGTGTCCACTTTAAAAGAGCTACTTTAAAAAAATAGAATTTTCCAGGAGAGTACTTTAAATATTTACCATTTATGTCCATATGCAAAAATTACTGACTTAAATTTTATTACTTAAAAAAATAATATTTTATTCACAGTCCCTTTTATAGCTGATGTATCTGCTTTTCTATAGACACTGTATTTTACAAAAATTCATATAACTTCATGTACAACATAGTGCTTTCTGTTTTGGTGCATCTTGATTCCTCTTATCCTACCTACCCTCACACTCTTATGATATTTCCATCATACCTACATTCCTGACACTTTTATTGAAGGTGATAAAGCTCTGAACAAGTAGTTGAAAGTAAATGGGTTCTACTAAATTCAAGAATGTTTTGACCATTAACCTTCAGTTTGAAGTTTTAGGTGACCAAAAACTAGTATAAAGAAATATAGATTTACCTTTACAAAATACATGTTAAAGAGGTTTTTAAACAATTGATACTTTGCTGATGCAAATGATATTTCCTCTTCAGTGTTTCTAACTTAACAAATTACATGTAAAAGCCATAAACTCCTTTATATTATCCATAAACATAATAAAAAATGATACACCACATAACTTTGACTTAGTCAATAATTCTAGGCTTAGCCTTAGGGTATGAAGAGAAAATTATTCTTGTTACACATTTTAATTATGCTATAAACTTCGGGAAATAGCTATTGATCTTCAGCATCTGGCGTCAGAAAAGTTGTTTCTTTCTTGTTCCGTAGCCAGTGAAAGTTTGCCACATAGGCTAAAAATGAAGGATGAAGGATTATTATTTTTTTAAATTTGTGTAACTTAAATGTTAGGAGACAAAAGATTATCTTCTCTATACATCTTTCTGCTGAACACTAGAAACATACATCTGAGCTAAGAAATATACTAACTTGGCCGGGCACAGTGGCTCACAGCTGTAATCCCAACACTTTGGGAGGCCAAGGTGGGTGGATCACCTCGGGTCAGAAGTTCAAGGCCAGCCTGGCCAACATGGCAAAACCCTGTGTCTACTAAAAATACAACAGTTAGCTGGGCGTGGTGGTGCATGCCTGTAGTCCCAGCTACTTGGGAGGCTGAGATAGGAGAATTGCTTGAACCTGGGAGGTGGAGGTTGCACTGAGCTGAGATCATGCCACTGTACTCCAGCCGGGGTGACAGAACCAGACTCTGTTTCAAAATAAATAAATAAATAAATAAATACCTTGTTTTAAGAAAAATGATAACATTATCCAGTGCTACTCTTGACGATCTTTAATATTTTAATATAGAAATATGGGAGCCGAAGCAGGAAATCTTTTTTGAAATTACAGGCTTTAAGGTTCTTCAAAGCTTATATGAAACGGTGAACATTGTGATTATCATTTTGGAAGCCATTATTTCACAAATTTTCATACTTGAAGTAGTAATATGGGTGAAAACCTCGTGCTGTTAAGATTAAGCGCATATTCTAACATCTATGATGCTGATTATGATGATAAGAGTAGCTACTAACTGGTAAACTATTTTTAGGGGATGGGCATTACTTACAAACACTTTACAGATATGGCCATATTTAAGAGTCACGTCCACCACATGAAAATGGCCCTTCATTTCTCCATTTTACAGAAGG
This sequence comes from Homo sapiens, assembly GCF_000001405.40. NCBI lineage: Eukaryota > Metazoa > Chordata > Mammalia > Primates > Hominidae > Homo > Homo sapiens. Next base: position 174,872,334 of record NC_000003.12, read on the forward strand.
CTCCTTGAGGTTAAGTAACTTACTCAGGATTATGCAGAAACTAGGTGGCAGAGCCGGGATTCGGGATTCAAACTGTCTGACTCATATAATGATGGTTTACTTGAATAGAGATAGGCTCCTTCAGTTGCCATTTTTGGCAAGTTGAGAACTCAAATTTAAAGCATTTCACTGAAGTAGATTCATATTTAAATTTAAACATGCTAAATTTTGTATTATGCCTTTGTTCATCCAACAAATATTTATTGAAATATGATTATGTAGCAGGTATAGTGTTAGTAACTGCTGAAGCTAAGCTAAATTCAAGGAGACAGGGATCATAGCCGCTCATAGCTTACTAAGGGAAATATTACACTGTAATGTGAAAAAGGAAAAACCAATGTATTCATCTACACACACACATACACACACACACACACACACACATTTCATGTAGCTTCAGGTTTCTCTGATAAACATTCTGAAATTGCTCCTTGAATTTTCAGTACCTAATTAAAGGTATGGTAGTTTCTCTTTAATACTGTGATGCCTTGTTTGTGAGTTTGGATAACTCAGTGGCCTTTATAACTCCAGTCATTCATTAAAGATGCTATTTTGAAAGCATTGTCTGGGAGTTTATATTGACTTTTCTTGCAAATGGACATCCCCAACCTCCTCACAGTGAGAACTAATGAATATAATTTTCACCCATTTCTTCTCCACCCGTTTCTTCTTAACCTACAATGCAGTTAAATCCAGTGGTTAAAGAATCTGTTGAGCATTTCGTGTATGTAATTCCCTAATAGTGGCTCTAGATGTAATGGTTTGCATTAATCTATTTAACTTAGTTTTATGTAATGAATTAAACTAAAACTCACTCTCTCTGTCTGTCTCTCTCTCTCTCTCTCTGTGTACATGTCTTTATTTATTTATTTATTTATTTATTTATTTATTTATTTATTTTAGACGGAGTCTCGCTCTGTCGCCCAGGCTGGAATGCAGTGGCACAATCTTGGCTCACTGCAACCTCCGCCTCCCGGGTTCAAGTGATTCTCCTGCCTCAGCCTCCTGAGTAGCTGGGACTACAGGGGCACATCACTATGCCCAGCTATGTTTTATATTCTTAATAGAGATGGGGTTTCACTCTTCTGGCCGGGCTGGTCTTGAACTCCCGACCTTGCGATCCACCCACCTTGGCCTCCCAAAGTCCTGGGATTACAGACATGAGCCACCACACCTGGCTGTTTCTTTTTATAAAAAATACAAGCATATATATTTAGGGTTATGTGGAATAATATGCCTTTGCCAGTTTAGTGCTTTTGAACATACATCAGTCATGGCATTTAGGCATGATTTGAATTTTACATTTTGAGTCAAATGAAATCTGGGAAGCCTATTATATGCCAGGTACTTATCCTGGGAATTATATTTAAGTCACCCCACTTCATTCTCACAACAACATCTAAAGAAACTAATAGCTTTTCATTATAATATTCGTGCATGCCATTCTGCTTGGAAGGAAACATATTGAAAGAGGGAAATTTAAGCAGAGTAGGTGATACCTGCTTCCTCCTCAAGGAATAAAGAATTCTGCCATCAAATAAATGAAAAGGGTATTTCAAGAATAAGAAACCAGTTGTACAAAGGCATACTGGCATGACTAGTGTGTTTGGAGAATTTTAAGCATTAGTTAATGATATTTGCCCAACAAACATTAAGTTACTGGAGTGCTGTTTTTCCTGGGCTGGCATAATACAAGCCTCCAGCCCACTGATTACAGTGGGGTTATAAGGCTATCAAAATTTTAAACAGAGTGGATGGTAGTATGCTGTTTTTACTTCATCTTGGTACATGAGTACGATATAGTTAAGGCTTTGTGCCTGTTCACCAGATGGCACGTGAGTACATGTGCACATGTTATAGAAGTTATCTACATTTTCAGTGAACTGCTTTTGTGGAAAGCTCCAAATTCTCATCATGAATTTACTCCTATATGAGAACAGAATATCAATGCTTCTTGACTACAGTCTCCCCTACTGATACTTAATGTGCCAAGTTAAAATACTTGCATAGTGGACAATAAGGCAGCATGGGGATTTCCTATTCCTGTTTCCTGCCAAATTGACAGGTTGCATTGCAGCAGGTGCACCTCAAAGTGATTAAGAATGTAAGGGCTGACAAAACATGTGTGATGTGACTGCAGGCATTTTATGTGAGTGACATGTCATGGCAAGTATTGGCCTCAAGAGATTATACTTGGGGCTCTAGGGTGTGAGGGCAATCTATACGTGTGTAAAAGCATCATTGAGAAGGTGAGTACTCAAGAAAAAATAACCTTGACTGGGAGTCTTTACATAAATGAAGTACATTGCAATTCAAGGTATATTTTTTTTGCTACTTAAATATTTTACAAATGTCCTATTTTTATGAGTAGATGAAATACACATGTGTCTTGAACAGTGTGATTATTTGACTGCTGAACAACTCATTAAGCTGCCAGGACAGTGAGAGTCTGCTTTGTTAAAATTCATGATAGATGCTCACACCGCTAATCCTAGCACTTTGGGAGGGTGAGGAAGAAGGATCCCTTGAGCCAAGGAGGTTGAGACCAGCCTGGCAATATAGTGAGACCCTATCTTTACAAAAACAAAAAAATTAGCTGGACGTGGTGGCATGCACCCATAGTCCCAGCTATTTGGGGGCTGAGGTGGGAGGATTGTTTGAGCCCAGGAGGTCAAGGCTGAAGTGAGCTGTGATTGCAGCACTGCACTCCAGCCTGGGTGACAAAATGAGACCCTGTCTCAAAAAAAAAAAAAAAAAAAAAAAAAAAAAATCACGATTGGCGAAAAAAATGCAATATAATTCAGTCATCCAATTTAACGAACACATTTAGTTCATGTTATCAACCTCTCCAATTCTAGGATTTCTGACTTATTTTACATGTAAGAAAATAAACAATATAAATGTCATTGCATTATTTATTTATTTTCAAAAATGATAAAAAAGCAGGAGTGAAAAGAGTAGACTTTGGAGGGTAAATAAAATAGTTGTTTACTATGTACACACATACATATATTTGCATAGAAATACAGGAGGAATATGGACTTCTAGTATGAACCACTGGTTGACAGACCCCAGATTAAGAATTTTTATGTTTATGTACCTTTTTTAAGAGACAGAGTTCATAGGTTTTGTCAGATTTTGATAGTAATCAGTAATCTCAACAGCATTAAAATGATTTCTAAAGTTCTTTCTATATTTAAAATTGTGTAATTCACTTTACATCCTAATATATTCCTGTTGAAACATATTTGCTTTTCTCCAGAGAAACAGAAATATATCTTATTTTCTAAGAAAGAAAAAAAATGTGTGTCCCTTAATTTATGACTAAAATAACTAAAATCTGTGTTTATAACATTGTAACAAAAAATAATTTTTGGCATTTTTTCATAAGCATTTAAAAGCAGTCTTAAAGTAATATCTTGCTGGTAACGATTAAGGTGGAATGTTATTTGCCTATTTTTCATTTTACATGGACCATTAAAGCCAAATCTGAGAGTGATAAATGCTTAGGAGAAATGAAAAATACCTCAATCATGCTTATAGTAATAATTTAATTTTTAAAAATTTCCTATTATGAGTAATCAACTTAAAAGATAGATAAAAGTGAAACCTTGTTTTTTTTTTTGAGGGAAAACTAAAATGCATATTTCAAGAATTATACAAAACAGTATTTTAACCAGGTTTATTTCCATCATATCTACTATAATGTACAGTGTATATTCGTTTTATGTGATCAGATGTTAACAGCACAAATAATCTTGGACTTTAGCAGCATAATACATTCTGCACAAAATACAATAAAAATCTTCTCTCTTTGTTATTATATGTGTAAAGCTAGGAAAGGATAGCGAATAGGATCTGAACTCTTATTCTAAGGCTCTGTAAGAGCAAAACAGAGAGACAGGACCCGTTGAAAAAACCATGAAGCTGTTGATATTTTCTTTGTTTGTTTTTTACTCTTCAACTTGTTTGCTACATTTCCTTTCTTCCATGGCTAACCATCCTCTAGCTCTTTTCCCCTCTGTCCCTCCCACCACATAACCTTCTTATAATACTTCTGCATAAAATGAACCAACAAAATTGTTCACAGTAAATGTTTATAAAATATTTGTAATGGTAGAATTATACGCATAGGTAGGAGATACAGTTTTGTGTGATATCATCTGCTCTGTGTCCTTCAAAAATATTACTGGATGACAACTGTCAATATTTAAAGTAATGAGTTCATACTATTCCACCCTCCTCTTTAGTTTTTCCTCATTTACGAGGTACCACCAGCAATTCCACAGACTGAGAATCTTTGTAGCTAAATGGATTCTTTTGACTTTGTTAATGATTTATTATCCTTGTCTGTTATATTGAATTTCAACAGCCATCTTTGTGAGATAGCCCATAGAGGAGGAATTTGTGGCAGGGATATTTCTTGTGTTCTTAGTTGGCTTGGGCTGCTAAAACAAAATACCATAGATTAGATGGTTTAAACAATAGATATTTATTTTCCACCATTCTGGAAGCTGGGAAATTCAAGATTAAGGCATTAGCAAATGTAGATTTGGTGAGGGCTCTCTTCCTGGCTTGCAGATGGCCAACTTCTTGCATTTTTCTTACATGGCCAGGAGAGAAAGCACTGGGCTTTCTTCTTCTTTTTTATAAAACATGAATCTCATTATGAGGGCCACAACCCCAAGACTATTTAAACCTAATTATCACCAAAAGGTCTCAACCTTAAATACCATCACATTTAGTTTAGCCAGCTGAAACTGCTTAAAATTGCAAAATATGCATTTTGGGGGGAGACAAACATTCAGTCCATAAGTTGTGCTATTCAAAGAAGCTACTTAGACGCTTACCTTTTAGGTTTATTTTCATATATTTTACATCTATGTAGATATCTATGCACCAAACTTGAGATCTCAGTAATTCAGTACTGATGGTTAACAAACTTATGAAGCTGGCCAGTGTATCCTTAGGGATTAATTAAAGTGATCCTTCCGTTATCTTTAATTGAGGCCTTCTTTCATAAATCAGCATATGAAATAGATAGACATTACTTCAATCTCCATTCCATTCTCAATTCTCCCTATTTCAGGCATTCAGAAAAGGCTCTCACATCTCTGCCATACCCCCAAATCCAACAACAAAGAAAAACATCATTTTAAATATAACCACTTAGCTCCAGGAATTTCATTAACTTTTAACTTTGATTTTTAGGATTCATTTGAGTTTTATCCACTCAGTATTAAAAATACAGCTTCCTTAGGTTTAAGAGTTATAACTGTTAAGTGTCTATAGCTATCTTAAAGTATTTGAAGACAGGTGATGTAGAATATGGATTAAAGAATTGTTAAATAGCATTGCAAGGGAGAAGCAGTAAGACCAATGGATAGCAGCTAGAAATCAAACGACTTTATTTAGCTGAAAGTACGGAAGGGTTTTTGCATAGTTTAAAGATGATACGATTTTTCCCCATAAGAAAAATAGAAACTCACTATCATAAGATAGCAAATTCCTTACAAACAATTATAGCCCAGCATAAGTGGAATAACTGGTTAGGGATGATATAGTGGAGACTCATGTAGTTAGAGATGGTGGCTTATTAGGGCACTTCCAAAACCAGAGTGTACTTAAATATTAGCTTTCTATGTATATATTTGGCAGAAAATGAACTTAACAAAGAAAACAGTGATATACATGGACCTCTAAAATTTGGTTACATCGTGTCTGATTTTGAAATAGCTTTTCAATTAACTCTAAATATATAATGTGGTAAATGTATAGGCACAATCTATCAAGACCTTTGAAAACAAGCAAATTTCATAAAGTATTTTGAGAAAAATTTATATGATTAGACACAACGTTTAAACTGAGTGTGTAGTAAGTTATTGATTGTCAAATTGAGAACTCAGATGAAAGATTTCTATATATTAGTTAATGCCATTTTTTTCTGAGCAATTTTTTTCTCTACCTCAATGAGTCTACTCAGTGGGATTTGGCCAACCTGTTGAATCATTGTCTTCTGACAAAATGTATGGCCTAGCCAACTAGAACTACTTAAAACTGCGTGAGCAACTATGTTGCTATGAAGAATCCAAACCATTGCAAAAACCTACATGTTTTGGATTTGGCTTTTAAAACTACCTTAATTTATAGGTTTTGCTTCCTGGGATTACATTTCTTATATTGCTCTGCACCTAATGTCTATGATTGTTGTTTAATCCATTTATGGAGATGAAATGATTCTAAATCCCTCTTGAATTTTTTTCTTGTTGGCAGTAAGCTCAATATCTGTTCTGCCGCTCTTTTCTATTTGCCCCTGTACACTGCAGCAAGGATAGGTTAATTCTGGTTTCCTATAGACCCCACCCCTTCTGCTGTTCATTAAAGACATCATATTTGACATCTGACTTTTTTTCATACCTCAGAAGACATGTGAGATAAAAAAATCCTGTTAAATTGAAAAGGGGCCATGTGATTATTTGTCATTCAAAACAATAATAAAAAGAATGTGTATAGTGAAGAAGAGGACCCAATATGCCGACGCCATGCAGGCCTTTATTGGCCTTGAATACTTGTATAAAATTCTGTATTACTGTCTTTCTTCAATCTCAGTACGCATATTTAGCTAACGTTATTTTGTGTAGCCCTACAGAAGAAAAAATTTATAGCTTTTCCAGTACAGGACAAGCCAAAACAACATTGTATTTTTCAAGGTTATACAAGCTTAACTAGCCTTCCAGTGCAGAAGTAGAGCTTTCAAGGTATTTTTTTCGTACCTAAATATCTGTCGTTATATATTTAGTTTATTCATCTTAGTTAATGTGGCATGGAGAATAAGTAAGATAAATCTACTTATTAAGGAACACCTTGACTACAGACCACAGACAGTTTTAATTGCAAAGATGAAGAAGAAGCCTAATTTTACTCCTTCTTAATTTTGCCAAAGCCAAATTTCCTAGTTTATCCCCTTCATTGTAGATTGGCACAATACTGTCTCCAAGTTAAAAGCAGAAAGAATTAGGTCCTTTATGTTCAATGACTTTGTCTTTAATATACATATTCTTAATTGTCTCTGATTATGGCCTCAAAACATACAGTTTTAAAATAATTTTATGATTTTTTCCTACGGAGGTAAATGCCTCATTCATAATTTTGAAATGTAAATTAATTTTCTTTTCATATGATGTTTTGATTTCAATGTATTAGATTTTAATACATAGAAAAATATATTTTGTGTAAGTACTTGCTTCAAAAGAATTAAAAATCAACATTTATAACTTCAGGTGAATGAGATATTCATAATTTTTTTTGGCCTCACTACTCATCTCCTAAACTACAGTCCCATTTTTCTTACTCTTCTTTGTAGCAAAACCCCTTTAAATAATTGTTCTTATTTCTCCCCTCATATTTTATCTGAAGCCCATTTTCATCAAGCATTTGCTCCAACTATACCCAAAGCTTCTCTTATCAGCGTCACTAATTACCTTCATGTTCTCAAATTCATTAGTAAATTCTCAATCTTCTTCCTGCTTGATCTATGAGCAACACTTGACAGTATTGGTTACTTCATCCTCCCTGTATCCCTGGTCTTCGGGTACTGTGCTGTCTTGCTTTGCCCCTAATTTATTAGTCACTCCTTGTTAATCTCCTTTGCTGTTTTACCCTGTTATACCTGCTTTCTTAATATTGGAGTGCCCCGGGGCTCAACCCATGATCCTCTCTGGCTTCCATTCCTCCCTTGTGACCTATCAGCTCTATATCGATGATTCTCAACTCTCAGTTTCAGTCCTGGCCATTCTTGAAACCCTAGAGTCCTATGGCCAATTATGTACTCAACGTATCTACCTGGGTATGATTAAACATCTCAAACTATGCTATACTCCTGATAGTCTCTCCCAAACCTATTCTGGCATTGCACATCTCAGTTGGAAGTAACTCATTTCCAGTTGCTCAGCCTAAAACAAAACAAAACAAAAAACTCAAGTAAAAACAAGCAAAAACAAAAACCGTAAAATTATACCCTTCTTTACATTTAGTCCCTTTGGAAATGCAATGTCTCTGTCTTCAGATACATCCAGATTTTGATTTATTTTTTTCACTTTCACTAACGCCCTCTGGTCTTGATTGCCATCATTTCTTGTTTGCAATATCTGACTAGTCTTCTGATGGGTTACCTTACTTCTACCCTTGCATCTCTCAACACAGACTCAATGACCATCTTAGAACATGACTGAGGTGCTTCTACTTTAGGGCTTTAAACTAGCTCTTCCCTCCGCCTAGATTATCCTTCTCATAGGTCTGCTTTTGGCTTTACTCCTTCACCTTCTTTAAGTCTTTTCTCAAATATTACTTCTTAATTAGATATATTCGTTTCTTCAGGCTGCTGTAACACATTTCTACAAATTGAGGGCCTTAAAACAATAGATGCTTATTTTCTCATAATTCTGAAGGGCAGAAATCTGAAACCAAGGTATTGATTGGGTTAGATCCATATTGAGGCTCTGAGGAAGAATCTATATCATGCCCCTTCTCTTAGATTCTGGTGGCTGATGGCAATCCTTGGAATTCCTTGGCTTGAAGCTGAAGAACTCTAATATCTGCCACTGTCTTCACATGACCTTCCTGTCTTTTTATCTGGGTCTTAACTCTCCTTCTGTTCTTCTCTTTTAAGGATACCTATTGCTGGATTCAGAACCCACACTAAATCCAAGATAATCTCATGTCAGATCCTTTATTACTTCTGTAAAGACCCTGTTTTCAAATAAGGTCAAAAATCATAGGCTCCAGGTGGACATATCCTTTGAGGAGCTGCCATTCAAACCATATCATTAAGCTTAGCATGGAACATATGATATTTCATTTATATTAACAGACTGTCTGTTTAGGATTGCAATCTCCCTTCTCCACTCTACTTTTTACATTAATTCTACAATAAGTTACTCAAAATCTTTGGGATTTTGAACATTTTGTGTTTTAAAATTTTTCAGGTTTTAGGAAGATTATATGGTACACAAAACATATTACACAATAGCCTCAATAGGGCTTGGGGCATCATACCATAATCAAATTTACTCACGTTTCTGTGGTGAAACATGGCTATTTGCATTTGGGATAAATAAAATATGTAAGTAGGTTTATATTAGTTCAGGTCAGTGTTTGCTCCCAAACTGGTTGATAGAAAACTTAGAGGAAAATTTTCAAGACTTTATGTTTGTTGGTTTATTATTTACTTGTTTATTATGCTTGTTTTTATTGTTTGTCTTTGTCTATCCAACTTGTACTCCATGCGGGCAGCATGTTTGAGTATTTACCTGTTTTATTCCTGGATGTATCCCAAGCTCCTAGAATAGTCACTGGCATATAGTAGGTACTCAATAAATATTTGAGCATCTTCTTATGCTGCTCACCTCAGGAACATTCTCTAGAAATCTGGGTCGGATAAGTATGTGCAGAGAACAAGAGAGAAATGCAATTTCAAAGAGAGATATATGGAGAAATGCAGTTTAACATATCTTGTAGATCTACTGTTATGTTTTATTTCAGATGTTTCAGATTTGGGGAAAGGCCTTTGGTGAATGAATAATCAAATTATTTAATGATATGTATTTATCTAAAATGCTTTTACAGTGATAGATTTTAGGCATAAGAACAAGATTTGGTCCCTGTTTTGTATAGCTTTAATAGTTTTTGAGAATAAGTCAGAAAAGAAACTTCTTTCTTGTATTTAAGGTGTTACAGAACATGTGATATTCCACTTACGTTAAGTAAGATATTTGAATTTTCCAGCCTTCTAATTTACCACTGATTTTCCTAATCAACCCACTTGTTCTCTTTGTATCTCTGTGGCAGTTCCTTTATAAAAATGCAAAACTATGTGAAGAACTTTAAAAATAGGTTTTAGTCACTAATTATAGGGAGGTAAGAGGTTTTTATTTTTCTTTTTTGACTAATAATATGGCCATGAAACAATTAGAAAAGGACACAAAATAGTTAACTTGATATATTAGGGTTCTCTAGAGGAACGGAACTAATATAATGTATATTGTGTATGTGTGTTGTGTGTGTGTGTATATATGTGTGTATATATACATATATACATATGTGTATGCATACATATGTGCATATACATATATGTGTATATACATATGTGCATATACACATATATGCATACACACATATGTACATATGTGTATATATACATATGTGCTTATACACATATGTGTATATACACATACATATATGTGCATATGCATATATGTGCATATACACATATGTGCATATACACATATGTGCATATACACATATGTGTATATGTGTATCCGTGTATATACATGTGTATCTACACATATATGTGTATATGTGTATCTATGTGTATATACACACGTGTATATATACACACGTGTATATATACATATGTGTATATATACACGTGTGTATATGTGCATATGTGTATATATACACGTGTGTATATGTGCATATGTGTATATATACATATGTGTATATGTGTATATGTGTATATATGTATATATATGTGTATATATATGTTTGTATATATATGTATATATATGGCAGATTATTAAGCATTAACTCACATGATCACAAGGTTTCGCAATAGCCCGTCTGTAGGCTAAGGAGCAAGGAAAGCCAGTCCGAGATCCAAAACTGAAGAACTTGGAGTCCGATGTTCAAGGGCAGGAAGCATCCAGCATGGGGGAAAGATGTAGGCTTGGAGGCTAGACCAGTGTATCTTTTCACATTTTCTTGCCTGCTTATATTCTAGCCATGCTAGCCACTGATTAGATTGTGCCTACCCAGATTAAGGGGGGGTCTGCCTTTCCCAGCCTACTGACTCAAATGTTAATCTCCTTTGGCTACACCCTCACAGAAACACACCAGGAGCAATGCTTTGTATCGTTCAGTCCACTCAAGTTGGCACTCAGTATTAACCATCACAAGTCCACCGCTTGTCAACCTGAATCCATACACATCTCTTGAGATCATTCATAATCTTCATAATCTTCAAATAAAGACAATAAGAAGGTCATAATTACGCCTAACATGACACAACTATCCTTCATACAAGCGGAAATGCACTGATCCCCAACCCAAATACTATTACATAAAGCTAGCAATACTTAAATGCTGATGTGAAGTCAATAAATCTTATGTCACATGATAATGGAGAAAGGAAATAAAATGAAGATATTTTCTTAGTACAAGTGTATACATGCACAAACATGTTTTTTAACAAAAGAAGGAGTGAATACTCATGACAATTACAGCCCTCGTTTCTGCAGCTGGTCACGTGGTTGTAGCTGGTATTGATGACTACATTCTTCTACTACCCACTCTGTATTCCCTTTGCCTTCAGCAAGCACCTCAGCAGGTTGTGGTTTTTCTCCTGGTAGGGTGATCCAAACCTTCATTCCTGAAGGGTCTGGGTCTTTTGTAGTCCTGTCTGGATTGGGCTGTTGTAATTTCCCATTGACCTTAAACATAGGGCATGGTAATACTAAGAGACCCCCTAATGGGCCTCCTGTATTCCATGCATACTCTTCCTTACCTCCACTGTGGAGTAGTAGGCTGATTTCATCTTGAGAGTCTGGGCCAATCACCCCAGCCAATACTGTAACTCCCTTCTTAGCCTGTTGACTTAAGGGTAGGAGGAGCCCGAAGAGTCCAGGTGGCAATGTTAACTTCCAATTCAATGGAATCATCATTGTGTCTCCTGGTGGCGGCATTCCTCCCTCTGGAACTAAGACCTCTAGGACAGCAGAATGTAATGTCATGGGAACAGGAAGCAGAAATGTTAGTGGATCACTAGGGGTAATGATGAGTGGTGCCACTTCCACTGCCACTCCTTGATTCTTGAACCCATGAACCCTGGCCATGAAAGAAACAGTACCATATGTTGGACGCTGATTCAGAGCATATGTGACCTTCTGGAGAACTTTGTGTCCCAGCCCTGAAAAGTATTGTCACCTAGTTGGGATTGTAATTGTGACTTCAAAATGCCATTCCACCATTCTATCAATCCAGCTGCTTCAGGATGATGGGGAATGTGGTAGCACCAGTGAATTCCATGAGCATGAGCCCATTGTCACACTTCTTTAGCTGTAAAGTGGGTGCCTTGGTCAAAGGCAATGCTGTGTGGAATACCATGATCGTGGATAAGACATTCTATGAGTCCACGGATGGTAGTCTTGGCAGAAGCATTGTGTGCAGGATAGGCAAATCCATATCTGGAATAAGTGTCTAGGAGCTGCAACGTTAAATGCAGAGTCCCTACTTAGTGGGCCTGAATCCATCAATTCAGCCTAATCCAACTCCGTATTTCTTCAACCATTATCCCACACCCTTAATATACACTCTCATGCCTGTTCTCCAGATTTCTGTTTATATGAATTAGAAAACTCAAGCAGTTCTTTTCGAGTATAGCACACCTCCTCAGAGGTGACACTCTCAACCTCATCTCTAGGGGCCCGCCAGGAATTTAGTATAGGTCTAGAGGTAAACAGGAGTGTTGGGGGTGGCTCCTGAGGAGAATCCACATTTTCTTGCCTGGAAACTGCCTCAGGGGAGGCCATCACTGTTGTCTCAGGCAGCACAGTGTTTATCTCCTCAGTCAAAGGTGGAAAGGCTGATGGCAGCATGAGTCAGGGAGGGGATGTTGCCTCTGCTGGGGATGGGGAAGTTGTTTCTTCTGGCAAAAAAGTTTCATCACAGTTTACAACCTCAGTGTCCCCATTGTCATTAGGGTCCTCACACATATCCCAATTGCAAGTTGTAGGGTCCCATTCTTTCCCAATCAATGCCCTCAGTAGACACCTGGTGAGGCTGTGCATGCACCTTTCATTGCAGGTCGGCCACTCGCATGATAAGATCTTGTGTCTGTTTTTCCACAATTTCAGCTCTTTGTCTGTAGGAGATAAGACTCTCATTCAGGGCAATTTTAGCAGATTTGAGGCTCAGTATCTGCTTCTGAAGCCGGGAGAAGAATCGCTGAGTTCATCATTTTCTTTCATCACTTTGTCCACTGAGCTTAGGGGCAACCAAGCAGCTTCATTATGTTCCTTGGTTCTCCACATATGGTCAAAGGTATTATGTATAGAGTCACTAAACTCCTTGCCTCCCACGAATGATGAATCAAGAGTGTCAAATGCAATTATTTTGTGTAATTCTCTAAACAGTTTATGCCAAGGAGTATCAGTGTACTCCATACTATTAGAAGTAGAGTTCTTTGCATTTTGGGGTCTAATCATATTAAGCAGCCAACTCCAGAAACCCCAAAACTTACAAAAGAACTCCATCCTTAATATTCTGTTCCTCTAGAAGCACCCCTGGTACCAAAATCTGTATTAGTCAGGGTTCTCTAGAGGGACAAAACTAATGGAATATATAATATAGTCTAGCAGTAACTAGCATAAAAATTAAGTATTAACTCACACAATCACAAGTTCCCACAATAGGCCATCTGCTGAGGAGCAAGGAGAGCCAGTCCGAGTTGTTTTTTTTTTTTTTTTTTTTTTTTTTTTTTTTTTTTTTTTTTTTTTTTTTTTTTTTAGATGGAGTCTCCCACTGTTGCCCAGGCTGGAGTGCAGTGGCTCAATCTAGGCTCACTGCAAGCTCCGCCTCCTGGGTTCACGCCATTCTCCTGCCTCAGTCTCCTGAGTAGCTGGGACTACAGGCACCTGCCACCACGCCCAGCTAATTTTTTGTATTTTTAGTAGAGATGGGGTTTCACCATGTTAGCCAGGATGGTCTTGATCTCCTGACCTCATGATCCACCCACCTTGGCCTCCCAAAGTCCTGGGATTACAGGCATGAGCCACTATGCCCCGCCTGTCGGAGTTCTAAAACTGAAGAACTTGGAGTCCAGTGTTTGAGGGCAGGAAGCATCCAGCACAGGAGAAAGATGTAGGCTGGGAGGCTAGGCCAGTCTCTCTTTTTATATTTTTTCTGCCTGCTTATGTTCTAGCCATGCTAGCAGCTGATTAGATTGTGCCCACCCAGATTAAGGGTGGGTCTGCCTTTCCCAGCCCACTGACTCATATGTTAATCTCCTCTGGAAACACCCTCACAGACACACCCATGAACAATACTTTGTATCCTTCAATCCAATCAAGTTGACACTCAGTATTAACCATCACACTTGCCATGAGGTGTCCTTATATATTTTAAATATTTGATAATGACCAAGGAAAGAAGAGTTAAGAATGATTCATTTTATCACCATTTTTACTGGAATAGCTATATTCTCCTGGTGCCAGACTCTGTTTTAATGATTTGAAATACAAATACACTTTTCAAAGCGATATTCATTTTTCTCCCATGCATCTATAAGCCTCTTTAAAAAGGGTGAATGCTATTAGGTGAAGTTGATAATAGCAAAAATGAGTGGTGGAAATTTAACCCTATATTTTAAATGTAAATCTTAATTGGGTTCCAGCTGACACTGAGCCATGTCTACCTACTTCTCCTTTTATATTATCATTTCATTTCTATTGGGTCCTTTGGCCATGTCTTTAAAAAGTACTCCACTCACTCTCTTTTCCCTTCACAGTAAGCAAAGAAGTAAATCCTCCAATCAAATAAACAACAGACAAACGTGGGTACATTTTTCAGCTGTATTTCTACTCTAATAATCAAGCTATAACTCTCTCTTCAATTAGTACCAAAACTCTGATGCTGTAGCTTATATAAGGAGCTTCCATCTTCTTGCCTGCCATCTGCCTAGCCTTCTACAGCCTGATTTCCTTTGCTATTATTTTGCTGCTGTCCTAGATGGCCACTCATTGAAGTCTAGAAGTTTGTTTTAGGCATCTTCCTTTTTGCCTGCTCTACAGCACTGAACACTAAAATTGTCTAATTAGTTAAATGTAATTTAGATGATCTTTGTTAACCTTATCAATGTCATTATCACTTAACTACATACTTGCTTGCTTCTTGAACATATATAATAATTGATATATAAAGAGATTATATGTTTATTAATCTCTTTATTAATGGTATTAATCAATTATATATGTTCTGTTTATTAGTAGGTCACCATATACATTCTTCAAATTTATCCTTGTTATTCATTTTCTGAGTTTAATTTAAAAGTGAATTATGACATACTCATCTATTAAGTATTTTCTGACAGCCAGTCATGGTGGCTCACATCCATAAACCCAGCAATTTTGGAATCTGAGGTGGGAGGATTGCTTGAGCCCAGGAGTTCATGACCAGCCTGGGCAACATGGCAAGATCTCATCTCTACAAAAAACTTAAAAAAATTAGTCGGGCTTGGTGGTGCACACCTGTAGTTTCAGCTACTCAGTAGGCTAAAGCAGGAAGATCATTTGAGCCCAAGTGGTCAAGGCTGCAGGGAGCCATTTCACAATACTGTTCTCCAGCTTGGGCAACAGAGCGATACCCTGTCTCAAAAAAATTATTTTTGCTTGAGCATCTTTTTTTTTTTTTTACATGTGGATATAGTGATGAAAAATACATATAATATTTCTGTTGTCATGGAGCTTGCATTTTAACAAAAGTAAGATAGACAATAAATAAAAATACAGAAATGAGATTATATCAGCTGATGATCAAAGTTATAAAAAATAATGAGGTCATGGGATAGAGAGGGAGTGTATAAGGAAAGCTGATCGCTTTGGATACGATTGCCAGGGTGGATGTCTTACAGGATATAATATTGACCTGATTTCTAAATGATGAAATAAGCCAGCAATGTGAGGATCACGGGAAAAAAGTATCCCTAGCAGAGAAAATTGCAGCAAGAGACAAGACCTTGAAACTTTTTGACAAAGAAAAATTCAGAGTCTAGAATGTTATCAACAAAAACGAGAGCTGTGCAATGATGTCGTGGAAGAATAGGCAGTGGCCATACAACAGAGGGTTTTGCAGCCTTACAAATTTGAATTACATTCTAAGTATAAAGAGAAGTAATTAGGCCTACAAAGTGAAATAATGACATGAGTTGATTCCCATTTTGATCAATATAAGACAGGAAATGCTCACTTACTACTGTAAAAATAGGTTACTGTTATTGGTGAATGTAGTAGTCTTCAGCTGAAATAATAGGCTCACTTCACGCAAAGTTGATCAAATACTTTCCATCTGCTGCTTCTAAAGTTGCTCTTCAATAGTTTTTATTCCATCCCATATTTCTAATTTCCACATACAAAATGATGGCTTTGCTTACGTTAGAACGTGACCCTAAGAGAGAGCCTGGTATCCGAGGAATCTGAAGTAGTGACTCCTATCATTCGGGGCATTTATTTTATCAAGCTTATCAACCTTGCGCTCTGAGCATTTGTATTCTGTGCTTATGTTCTATTGTCTAGCAGTAACTAGCATAAATATGTAATTATATGGTTTGTTTTGTTGGTAACAGATTTCAAAATACTGTATTATTATGGTGCTGTTTGAATTGTGTTTACCATATCGGCATAAACATATAAATTGAGTCAAAATATTTGCTTGGTTAACTGCAAACCACAAGTTATTACAGTGTTGTCAGTTTAAAAATGTTGCGTGACAATAAAACCATTTGATTCTCTTTGTTCAGATTTGAATCTCAAAAAACTTTGTCATTGTTTCCTATAATATATTAGGCACAACTTTTGGAGAAGGCAGTTGATATATTCTGTAGCACCTTGCAAGGGCCCTACATAACTATTTAAACACGTTTCATAATTTCTACAGTGACTCGTGCCTTATTGTAGTGGATAACTTCTGTTTAATTTCAAAATATATTTTCCCTTTGCCTAAGCCCCTCAGTCTTCTAACATATACAAAACCAAAAAACCATTAGAAAATTCAAGGTATTTATATTAAAATGTTAACATTCTTTATGATGTTTCCTTTACTTTGAGTTTTCATTAGGTGACCCAACCATACTTTAAACTGCTGTTAGTCTATTAGGCAATAAAATTGTTTATAATCCTTGCTGTTTTATAATCTCTTTTAACTGCTTCTCTTTTCTTTTTCTTCAGGGTTTTAAATAAAGACAAACAAAAGGATGTGGGATTTACACCTGGCTTTTTGTAGCCATGTGATTCTACCACCTGCCTTTAGTTCCCTGCTTCCTCTCCTGCTGGACGCCATTGCTATTATTTCCCTGCTTCACTGTCTGCCCTGTGTGTGCCCTTATATCTCTCATTCCCCATCCTCACTTCTCTGCTTCCAGTGAAGAAAAGGGAAAATCTAAAATCAGATTTAACATTGAGAGCCAGATGACAGAGTATTTTATCGTATAATCCAAGCACTAAAAAAAAAAATGGCACTAATAATTGACAAGGCATGACTAAATTGCCTTGCCTTTCCATGAAAGAAGAAAAGAGACCTCCTAGAAATTCAATTGATTATTTTAATTCTTTTTCTGATCTTATGATTCTCTCCCTCCTTGATACCTGTATTTGACTAAGATCAACATTCATGTGATTATATGAGAATTCTGTCAAATGGGTAAACAGACAGTCTTCTTAATGCTAAAGCAACTGTGAAATAAGTTTCTTTTCAGTTTATGGTAAATAAAAAAGCAAGTTTCCCTGAGGACTGGCAGCTCAGATGTGAGTGTGTGAATTTTTCCCCTTCAATGTTTCTTAAAAGAAGTAAGTAGAGAAGTTCGCTGTAGTACGCTACATATGAGTTCAGGCCATGGTTCCAAATTGTAGGGGAGCTAGAGACCATGAATGTCCTTGAGATAATATCGGTACCATCACTCTAGAACATTGTTTATAACCATCACGATGACGTTTCTAGTAATCTCTCATAATATCTTAATGAAATAGATTATGTATAGTAATAAAGAAAAAGAAATTTCTGCATTTGACATTATTTAGTTGAAGTTACAATATATTGAGAAGTATAAGGAACAGGGTAAATTTGAAATGGAGAATCTCATACCATTCATTCATTGAGTGGTAGGAGTTAATGAGCTCCTGTTATATACAGAGAACAGTTCTCTGGGAGATAGCAAAATAAATAGAACACTGTTCTTATCCTGGATGAGTTCAAAATCTAGTATCAAAGACATGTAAATAATAGTAGCATAAAATGGCTGTATAAAAGAAATATTTTGATTGGGGAAGCTAAATAATTAACTGTTGAGGTTGATTTTTAGAGGCAAAAAGAAGTATTTTTCCACATAAGAAATACAGACAGAACAATTGATAATGAAGATGTAGAATGAATAAGCACAGAGAAATATGAAAGGTGAAGTGGTTGAGGGAATTACAAATTGCCCAGTGTGGCAAAAACTAACTTGCCTGAGAAGGATTAGCTAAGAAAAGTCCAAAAACAAGTGTGAGAACCTTTATATTCCATCAAATCATTAACATATGCATAATATCAGATAGTGTTTGTTTATATATCATTTGACAGGGTGTATGTGGTCAAACTCCTGCTTTTCTTGATTCTGTGAACAATAATTACTAAATAAATATAAGATAGGAAAATCATAAAAAATATTGATTTCTTTATTTGTGAAAATCAACCACTTGTGGAATTCAGATATTCAAAAAGTTTTTTCTGGCCATTACTTAATTGCTACTGTCTCTTGGAAATAATAATATATGAATAAGAAAATTATTTTTTTATTATGATAGGAAACTATCTCTTCTAAATATAGATACTTAACTACTTAAGAAAAATACTAGTAAATAGAAACTAGAAATATTGTAAATGAATTCCATATCACAAATTATACTCTTAACCAGGAATGCAAGGAGGTCTTCAGTAATAATACATTTTATTAAGTAATAGATAAGTAACGCAACATTTCACTAGTTGGGAAACATTCGCTTATGTTAGTAACCATTCTTAATAAAATTGAGAATAGTAAAATATTTTTGGCATGTTAGAATACACTCTAAGGTGGCAAAACAGAAAGCTCCACCAATCATCATCCCTTACCCACAAGGATACCAAGTTAACAACTATCTACACAGAGAAACACCTTATACGAACCCCAAATCATGTGAGCACTCACAGTACCTGGTTTTAACTTTGTATCCCTGAAAGAAGAACTGAAGATATAGAAAAAACAGTCCAGAGTCACTGATGCCACCCCTCCCTCATCCCCCAGCAGCAGCATGGTGCAGAGAGCCTCTCTGGGTGCTGGAGGAGGGAGAACACATTTGTGAGGCATTGAACTCAGTGCTGTTCTGTTGGCACAGAAAGCAGACCCAGACCAAACTCAGCTGACACCGCTTACAGAGGGAACATTAAAACCGGGCCTTAGCCAGAGGGGAATCACTGATCACACAGGTCTGAACTTGAGTTCTGGCAATCCTTGCCACTTAGGTCCAAAGTGCTCTTGGTCTCTAAGTAAACTTGAAAGGCAGTCTCTGCCACAAGGACTGTAACTCTTAGGCAAGTCCCAGGGCTGAACTTGACCCAGAAGCAGTGGACCGGGGAAATACATGACATACTGAGACACCAAGTATGGCAGCCAAGAGAGTGCTGGCATTAACCCTTCCCTAACCCCAGACAGCACAGCTCAAAGCTGCAAAAGAGACTTCTTCCTTCTGCTTGAGGAGAAGAGAGGGAAGAGTAGGGAGGACTTTGTCCTGCATCTTGGTTACTGGCTCAGCCACAACAAGGTATCTCTACAACGCTGCATGAATCACAGCATTCCTGGGCTTGGGGTGCCCCCTAAAGCAGAAACTGCTTAGTTCACAACACCCAAGTTCTTTCAAATATCTAGAAAGTTTTCCCAAGAAGAACAGCTACAAATAATATGAGGCGGTAAAGACTACGATAAATACCTAACTCTTCAATATCCAGACACTGAAGAACATCTACTAGAATTAACATCATCCATGAAACATGACCTCACCAAATCTACTAAATAAGGCACCAAGGACCAATCCTGGAGAAACAGAGATATGTGACCTTTCAGACAGAGAATTCAAAATAGTTGTGTTGAGGAAAGTTGAAGACATTCAAGACAACACAGAGAAGAAATTCAGAATTCTATCCGATAAATTAAACGAAGATATTGAAATAATTAAAAAGAATGAAGCAGCAATTCTGAACCAGTGTATTTGAAAATATACTGTCAGAGGAAACAAACAAACAAAAAAGACAAAAAAAAGTACATCTGTACGATCTAGAAAATAGCCTCAAAAGGTAAAAATCTAAGAGTTATTGAAGGTCTTTAATAGTATATATGGAAAGATACAGGGATAGAAAATTTATTCAGAGGAATAAGAGAACTTCTGAAACTTAGAGAAAAATATCAATATCCAATTACAAGAAAGTTATAGTTCCAATGCGGTGTCTCACGCCTGTAATCCCAGCACTTAGGAAGGTCGAGGTGGGTGGATTGCCTGAGCTCAGGAGTTCGAGACGACCCTGGGCATCATGGTGAAACCCCATCTGTACTAAAATACAAAAAATTAGCCAGGTGGTGGCATGTGCCTGTAGTCCCAGCTACTCGGGAGGCTGAGGTGTGACACTCACTTGAACCTGAGAGGTGGAGGTTGCAGTGAGCCAAGATCACACCACTGCACTCCAGCTTGGGCTAGAGAGTGAGACTCCAACTCAAAAAAAAAAAAAAAAAAATACAAGAAAGTTGTAGAAAACCAAGCAGATTTAACCCAGATATGACTAACTCAACACATTTAATAATCACACTCTCAAAGGTCAAGGATAAAGAAAGGATTCTAAAAGCAGCAAGAGAAGAGAAACAATAACTTAAAGTGGACCTCCAATATGTCTGGCAGCAGACTCTTCAGTGGAAACTTTACAGGCCAGAAGAGTGGCATGACATATCTAAAGAGGTGAAGGACAAAAACTTTTAAACTAGAGTAGTATATCTGGCAATAATATCCTTTAAACATGAAGGAGAAATGAAGACTTTCCCAAACAAAAGCAGAAGGATTTCATCAATACCAGACCCATCCTACAAGAAATATCAAAGGGAGTACTTCAACCCCCCCCCGCAAAAAGTTATTATTGAGCAATAAATAATCACCTGAAGGTACAAAACTTGTAATAGTAAGTACGCAGCAAAACACGGACTATGATAACACTGTAGCTGTGGTGTGTAAACTATTATAATTCTAAGTAGAAAGACTAAATGAGGAACCAATCAAAAATAATAGCTACAACAACTTTTCAAGACATAGTCAGTACAATAAGATGCAAATAGAAGAAACAAAAAGTTAAAAAGGGTGTTGCATGTAATTAACATGAGTTTTTCTTAGTTTCCTTTGTGCTTATTTGATTGATTATTGATGCAAATAGTGTTAGATTGTTATCAGGTTAAAATAATGGGTTATAAAATAGTATTTGCAAGCCTCATGGTAACCTCAACCAATAAATAAAAAAGATAGAATGAGTACACAAAAAATACAAAGCAGGAAACTAAATTATATCACCAGGGAAAATCATCTTTACTAGAAGAAAACAGGAATGAAAGAGGAAAGAGAAGACCACAAAACAGCCAGAAAACAAATCACAAAATGGCAGGACTAAGCCCTAACTTATTAATAATAACATTGAATGAAAATGGACTAAACTCTCCAATACAAAAATGTAGACAGCCCAAATGGATTTACAAAAACAAGACCCATTGATTGGTTGCTTACAAGAAACACTTTACCTGTGAAGACAAATATAGACTGAAAATAAAGATATTTCTTGTCAATGGAAACCAAAAAGACCAGGAGTCACTGTACTTAGAGAAATTAGATTTTAAGACAAAAACTATAAGAAGAGGGAAAAAAGTCACTATATCATGTTAAAGGGGTTAATTCAGCAAGATGATACAACAATTTTAAATATATATATGCACCCAATATGGGAGCACCCAGATATATAAAGTAAATATTAATAGAGCTGTACAGATAAATAGGTCTTCTACAATAAGAACAAGAGATTTCAACACCCCACTTCTGGCACTGGACAGATCTTCCAGATAGAAAATCAGGCCGGGCACAATGGCTCACGCCTGTAATCCCAGCATTTTGGGAGGCCAAGACGGGTGGATCACCTGAGGTCAGGAGTTTGAGACCAGCCTGGCCAACATGGAGAAACCCCATCTCTGCTAAAAATACAAAAAAAATTAACTGGGCGTGGTGGTGCACACCTGTGGTCCCAGACACTTGGGAGGCTGAGGCACGAGGATCGCTTGGACCTGGGAGGCGGAGGTTGCAATGAGCCGAGATCATGCCACTGCACTCCAGCCTGGGCAAAAAGAGTGAAACTCCGTCTCAAAAAAAAAAAAAAAAAAAAAAAAAAAAAAAAAAAAAAAAAAAAAAAAATCAGTGAAGAAACATCAGGTGTAATCTGCAGTATAGACAACATAGATCTAATAGATATTTACAGAACATTTCATCCAAGAACTGCAGAATACACACTCTTTTTCTCAGCACATGGATTATTCTCAAAAACAGACCATGTTTTAGATCACAAGAGTCTTAAAACATTCAAAAACCTGAAATAATATCAAACATCTTCTCTGAAAAATATAGAATGAAACTAGAAATAACAAGAGGAGTTTCAGAATCTATACAAATACAGGGAAATTAAACAATATGCTCCTGGAGCAGTGGGTCAATAAAGAAATCAAGAAGGAAAGTGATAAATATCTTGAAACAAATGATAATGAAAATACAACATACCAAAACCTATGGTATACAGCAAAAGCAGTACACAGAGATAAGCTTATAGCTTTAAGTGCCTACATCAAAAAAGAGGAAAAACTTTAAATAAACAATGTATTGGTGCATCTTAAAGAACTAGAAAAGGAAGAGCAAACCAAACCCAAAATTAGTATAAGAAAAGAAATAATAAAGATCAGAGCAGATATAAATGGAATTAAAATGAAATAAACAATACAAAAGATCAATGAAACAAAGAGTTGGTTTTTTGAAAACTTAAAAAAAAATTGACAAAATTTTAGCCAGATTAAGAAAAACAGAGAGAAGATCTAAAAAAAGTAAAAATAGAAATGAAAAAGGAGACATTACAACTGATGCTGTGGAAATTTAAAGGATCATTAGTGGCTACTATGAGCAGCTGTACGCCAATAAATTGGAAAATCTAGCAGAAACTGACAAATTACTAGATACATGCAACCTACCAAGATTGAACTGGGAAGAAATCCCAAACCTGAACAGACTCATAACAAGTAATGAGATGGTAGCCATAATACAAATTCTTCCAGTAAAGAAAAGCCTGGGACCTGATGGCTTCACTGCTGAATTTTACCAAATATTTGAAGAATAACGAACACCAATCCTACTCAAACTACACTCAAGAAGAGAGGAGGAGGAAATACTTCCAAACTTATTGTATGAGGCCATTATCACCCTGATATCAAAACCAGACAAATACATCAAAACAAAAAAACGAAAGCAAACAAACAAACAACTGCAGGCCAATAACTCTGATAAATATTGAATAAAAAATCCTCAAGAAAATACAACCTGAATTCAGCAACACATTAGAAAGATCATTCATCATGATCAAGTGGGATTTATCCCTGAGATGCAAGGATGGTTCAACATATGCAAATTAATCATTGTGATACATCATATCAACAGAATGAAGAAAAAAATATGATTATTCCAATTGATGCTGAAAAAGCATTTGATAAATTTAACATCGTTACATGATAAAAAAAAATCTTAAAAAACTGGGTATAGAAGAAACATACCTTAACATAATAAAAGCCATATATGACAGACCCACAGCTAGTATACAAAAAACTGAAAACCTTTCCACTAAAACCGGAACAAGCCAAGAATACCACCTGTCACCACTGTGGTTCTACATAGTACTGGAAATCCTAGCTAGCACAATCAGACAAGAGAAAAATTTAAAGGACATCCACACTGAAAAAGAAGAAGTCAAATTATCCTTGTTTGCTGATGCTATGATCTTATATTTGAAAAAACCTAATGACTCCACAAGAAAATTATTAGAACTGATAAAAAAAATTCATTCAAGTTGCAGGATAAAAAATCAATATACATTTTGATTTTGTTCACAATGATGAACAATGTTAAAAAGAAATAAAAAGGTAATACCATTTACAATAGCCACACATAAAGGTAAATACCTAGGAATTAACCAAAGAATTAAAGGATCTCTATGATTAAAATTATAAAACACTGATGAAGGAAATAGAAGAGGACACCACAAAATGGAAAAGTATTCCTTATCCATGGATTAGAAGAATCAATATTGTTAAAGTGTCCATACTACCAAAGCACTTTACAGATTCAATGTGATCCCTATCAAAATACCAATGACATTCTTCACAGAAATAGACAAAACAATCCTAAAATTTATATGGTTTATATGAAACTACAAAAGACTCAGAATAGCCAAAGCTCTCTTAAGCAAAAATAACGAAACTGGACGAGTCACATTCCTGACTTCATATTACGATACAGAACTATAGTAACCAAAGCAGCATGGAATTGGCATAAAAACAGACACATAGACCAATGGAACACAATAGAGAACCTAGAAACAAATCCACACAACCACAATGAACTCATATTTGATAAGTTTCCAAAAGCATGCACTGGGGTAAAGACAGTCTCTTCAATAAATGGTGCTGAGAAACTGGGATATCCATATGCAAACAAATGAAACTGTGTCTCACCATATACAAAAATAAAATTGAAGTGGATTAAAGACTTAAATCTAAGACTTTAAACTATGAAAACTACTACAAGAAAACATTGTGGAACTCTCCAGGATATTGGTCTGGGGAAAGACTTTTTGAGCAATACCCCAGAAGCACAGACAACCAAAGCAAACATGGACAAATTGAATCATGTCAAGTTAAAAAGCTTCTACACAGCAAATGATACAGTCAACTAAGTGAAGAGACAACCCATAGAATGGGAGAATATATTTACAAATTACCCCTCTGACAAGGGATTAATAGCCAGATTATATAAGGAGCTCAAACAACTCTATAGGAAAAAAATAAAATAATCTTATCAAAAAGTGGGCAAAATATTTGAAAAGATATTTTTCAAAAGACAACATACAAATGGCAAACTGGTAAAAAAAAAAAAAGTGCTAACATCATTGATCATTAGAGAGGTGAAAATCAAAACTAGAGATATAATTTCACCTCAGTTAAAATGGATTATATCCAAAAGACAGGCAATAACAAATGCTGGCAAGGATGTGGAGAAACAGGAACCCTTGTACATTGTTGGTGGGAATATAAATTAGTACAATCACTATGGAGAACAGTTTGGAGGTTCCTCAGAAAACTAGAAATATAGTTACCGTATGATCTGGCAGTCTCACTGCTGGGTATATACCCAAAATAAAGGAAATCAGTGTATGAAAGATATATCTGCACTCCTATAATTGTCACAGCATTACATACAATAGTTAGGAGCAACCTAAGTGTCCATCAACAGATGATTGGATAAAGAAAATGTGGAGTCCTATTCAGCCATAAAAAAAGAATGAGATCGGCCGGGCGCGGTGGCTCACGCCTGTAATCCCAGCACTTTGGGAGGCCGAGGCGGGCGGATCACGAGGTCAGGAGATCGAGACCATCCCGGCTAAAACGGTGAAACCCCGTCTCTACTAAAAATACAAAAAATTAGCCGGGCGTAGTGGCGGGCGCCTGTAGTCCCAGCTACTTGGGAGGCTGAGGCAGGAGAATGGCGTGAACCCGGGAGGCGGAGCTTGCAGTGAGCCGAGATCCCGCCACTGCACTCCAGCCTGGGTGACAGAGCGAGACTCCGTCTCAAAAAAAAAAAAAAAAAAAAAAAAAAAAAAAGAAAAAAAGAATGAGATCTTATCATTTGCAATAACATGGGCAGAATTGGAGATTATTATGTTAAGTGAAATAATCCAGGTACAGAAAGACAAATATCACATGTTCTCACTTCTTTGTGTGACCTAAAAATCATAATAATTGTACTCATGATATAGAGAGTAGAAGGTTGGTTACCAGAGATTGGGAAGGGTAGAGGGGGGTTAGGAGGAGGGTAGATAGATAATGCGATAATAATAGATAAGTAATAATAAATAAATTAATAATAAATAGAATGAATAAGACTGACTATTTGATAGCACAACAGGGTGACTATAGTCAATAATAACTTAATGGTATGTTTTAAAATAATGTGAAGAATATAATTCGATTGTTTGTAACTCAAAGGATAAATGCTTGAGGAGATGGACATGCTATTCTCCATGATGTACTTATTTCCAATTGCGTGCTTGTGTTAAGTACATATCAGGTACTGCATAAATTTATACATCTACTATGTACTCACAGTAATTTAAGAAATAAATAAAAATAAAAAATTATATAATGTATGAAAAAAGACAGTCACTAAAGTATTCATAGAGCCATAGATTATATAATTTCATTTATGTGACCTTCAATAATTAGATAAAACTAAACTGTATTTTTTGGAAATAAATCCTGGATGGTAAAATTCTAAAAGAAAAGCAAGGAAAGTATCTTTGTGGAGGAAGAAGTAGTGATTAAGAGAGCACAGAGGATGGGCTTCCCTGGTACTGACAATGTTGTACTTCTTGACTTGAGTAGTAGTTGCATGGGTGTTCACTTGTCATTAATCATTCAGCCGAACATGTTTATTTTGTGCACTTTTCTGTATAGATATTATATTTTACAATTATGGAGTTTTTAAAAGGAGACTTTTTATTGGCAAGGAAACATATTCCTGAAGTATCATGAAGTGAAAACAGTTTACAAAAAAGATGCAAACTAGAACCTCAGCGAACATTAAAACTACAAAGACATTACATACAAAGTGCAAGAACTAAACTAGGATGCTATTATTAACTAAATTTTATGCTATTATTATCACTATTAATAAAAATCTTTTAAAATTTTTATTAGAGAAGAAAGACATGAAAGAGAAATGAGTAATATATAGAAAGAGAAAGGATAAGAGATAATTATTTGCATATGATACAGTTTAAGTATTTGGCCCCACCCAAATCTCATGTTGAAACATAATCCCCAGTGTTATAGGTGGGGCCTGGTGAGGGGTGATTGGATCATGGGGGCCAATGTCTCATGAATGGTTTAAAGTCCTCCCCTTGGTGGTGTCCTCCAGGTAGTAAGTTCTCTTGAGATCTGTTTGCTTAAAAGTGTGTGGCACCTCCACAGTCTCTCTCTTGCTTCTGCTCTGGCAAGGTGATGTGTCTGCTTCCCCTTTGCCTTCTGCCATAATGTAAGTTTCCTGAGGGCCCCTCCAGAAGCTGAGCAGATACTAGCATCGTGATTCCTGTACAGCCTGCATAACCGTGAGCCAATTCCACCTCTTTGCTTTATACATTACCCAGCCATGGATATTTCTTTATAGCAATGCAAGAATGGCCTAACACAATATAATATAATTTTTCCTGGGAAAGAATTTCCAGTGTTTTTTTCTATGAATTCCAAGGGCATATGCTTACACGGCCAGAAAAGAACAATAAAATCAGCAAAATGCAAAATTTACAACCATTTCTACATTTCTGAAAGTCCTGACAGTAAAAAAAAAAGTTCTATTCCAAAAAGCAACAAAAAAGCTAACAATTTCAAAATAACTGTTAGCAAGATAAGTGTAGGTTCTTTAAATAAAAATTTAAAAAACTCTTATTTTATATATTAATTTCAACCAAATTTCAGTCAATATTTGTTTAGAAGTTTGGCAAAACAAAAATAAAACAAAACACAAATATTAAAGAAAGAACTAAGGGAAAAGATATTGAGGAGAGAACCAGTTCTACGAGATATTACACCATTTACAAAGCACCAATAATTAAAATATTAGGTAATTGGCACAAGAATAGTGAAAACGTTAGAATTTTATAAACTATCACAATTAGCTTTTATTATAGATAAAATGGACAAGTTAGAATCACAAAATTGGGTAGATATACTAGACATGCAATCTCAATTCATGCTTTTACCAAAATAAATTCAGATTTATTAAGGGGTTAAGTATACTTTTAATCAATAACAAATAAAATCTTAAATAAAAATAAAACAGCATGTTTGCCTGTCAAATTAGCAAATAAAAACAATAGAGTACACTGGTGGTAGTTAGGATAAATGAAATAGGTACATGTTTCTATGTGAATGTAAATTCATACAATTATTTTGAAAGACTGTTTTGCAATATAGATAAAAATCCTTAAAATTCTATGTCAATATTGATCAGAGACTTCTGATAACCTAACAAAAAATTCTAATTCATAAATAAGCTTTTATATGAAAGACAGCATTATTTACATACCATAAAATTATTTGTAGTATAATCTAAACATTTTATACCTTATGTTCTCATATAAGTCAAACCTCAGAAAAAAAACATAAAAATAACTAAATTTTAACAGAGAGTACATCTGTGATAGAATAACTGGCTACTTAAAAAAATTAACATTGTATGCATGTATTTTTTTAATGATAAAAATATGCCCTTTTTAAAAGCAGAAAAATGTTCACTAAAACCATTGTAAAAGTAAAATACATATCAGTAAGCTTCTTTAGAGTTCCTTCCCCTATACTTTGTCATGACTCTTTAACCTAAATTTATCACTTAATTACTCATTGAAAATATAATTTTGCAAAAATCAATCTATAATCAATTTGTAGACAGAGGGTTGAAGACAAAGACACTTGAATATTTGGATGTTTTCAATTGGAATCAGTGTGTCCAACTGTATGATAAAATTAAACTAATTTGACCATTTTATTTATTTAAATCTATGATTCCATGCTTGTCACATGTCTAGGGGTTAAAAGTGTCAGTTGTGAAAATGTGATTCATTAACATATGTTTGAGAGAGTGTTGATGGTGTTTGGACTTACCAATGATGTGGCAAGGAATAATTTTAACATGTATCAAGGAATGTAGTTTTAGCTGATATAATTCTATGGGGAATTTATCAACCATTTCCAAAATATTTGTGTGATTGATTATCTGAGATATAGATGGAGCTTGTGAGAAGTACATGAGCCCTGTCTCTATGGGCAATGGAAGAACGTGGGTAGGAGGCCTAATACCCTCCTAACCAAAAGATACGAAGGTGATTAACATGAAGTAGGCTTTAGGATATTGTAAGCTTCATTAGGGGCTGGGCTTCTAGTAATCTTTCATCAAATACAGGGCTTCAGGTAAATGTCTTTGAAAACATAGCTTTAATGTGAAGCCAAATGGGATCACCTTTTCTCAGTCCAGTTTTAGGCCTCAAGATCTTCTTGTAAAGATAAGCTGAGTTTTTTTTCAGTAAACCTTGAATAGTCAGCCCTTTATCTAGCCAGCTGCAAAATCCAAGGACTTGCTGCCACATGCCATTTCCAGTCAGGTCAGAAAGAAAGAATACTGGAGGTTATGGATGGTGAGTGGGTGATTTGGTGTACTTAGATCTGTAACTACAATTGCTGGAATGGGCCAATGATCATGAGCACTAATTTGAATGCAGGCAAGTCTAAGAGAAAAATACATTTTTGCACATATATGCATGGGCTTTATGTTGTGATTTATGTATGGCCCCAGGATTAGCTTCCTTACAGAAGAACAAGAGACTGTAAATGTTCTCTCAAATGATCCTCTATTTTGGAAAAGGTGTGGCTATCTGAGAAGAGAATGATGCAATTTGTCTCTAAAACAGTGCCCCTAAAACTATAATATATACACGACTTACGTGGGAATCTCGTTTAAATGCAGATCCTGATTGAGGTGGTCTGATGCAGGGCATGATCTACCGCCCAGGTGTTGCTGATGCTGCTAGTTTGTGGACCACTCTTTGTGTAGCATAAGTCTAAGAGAAATAGCTAAACCCTTTTGTCCCATCTTTATCATATCTTTTGATATTATATAGCAAAACAGATACATCCAATAACCTATGTCTGTCTTTTTGACCATATACTTAAACTCATTGACCCTCTATTTATAAATTTCTAAAACAGGTGATAACTCTTGCCTTGTGTTATAGAACAGGTTAGAAATAATGTATGTAAAGTACCTATTATAGAACAGATTCTGGCTCATTGTAAATCTCTTCTCCACCCGGTAGTGACTATTAATGTAATTATTACATAAAAGAAAGGGGGGTGGGGTTTAACTAAAATAAGTTGCAACTAATCATTTGAATTCAGACTCTAAAATAACTCAAAAAGACAATCGCGTGATTAAAGATGTACATGAAAGAATATGAGAACCAAAAAAGTAAACATTATCTAGGTTCTATTAATAGAGGTTAAATATCTATATTAAGGGAGATACTGCAGAGACATCTGGAATTTTCAAGGAGATATTATGAACTCAAAAGTTATTTATCTATTGAAACTTGTTACTGAATAATAACAAGTTGGACTTGGAAATACTGTGGTCAACTCCAAGGTTATTATTTTTATTCTGGTATGCTGATGGATAAAGTATACTCAAGGAGGGCGGCACTGATGGTAATTTTTCCAAAGGCATTATCTGAGATATAGATGGAGCTTCTGAGAAATACATGCTTGGGAAATGTTTGAAAGAGGTTAGCACATATTCTCCCAGAAACAAGAAGATTGGACAGAAATTGAGCGCTTAGGCTGAGGAACCATGTGAAAGGAATAAATAAATAGTCTTACCTTTATCATACTCCTGGGGCAAAACTGATACTTGCCAAAATTATATGTTGACAGTTGTATTCTTAATATAAGAAGCTATTTCTAATTTCTCAAGTTTTCCCCCCCAAATAGCCACTATATTCATAAGGTAACTGTTGTTTTAATAGAATGTAAAAGCAAATGCCTTTATGCCATCCCTGCAGGAATTTAGACCAGACTTATGGTAAAACTG
This sequence comes from Homo sapiens, assembly GCF_000001405.40. Lineage (NCBI taxonomy): Eukaryota > Metazoa > Chordata > Mammalia > Primates > Hominidae > Homo > Homo sapiens. Next base: position 174,903,179 of record NC_000003.12, read on the forward strand.
AAGAGTTGAGCTAAGATCTTCATTTCTAAGTTCCAGTATTTGAATACATTAGATATTAGCCAAGAAATACTACTTAATTGTTTTTATAGGCACCAACAGAAATGATTTTATAGTAATAAGAAGACGCAATAATCTGTAGTGTTTTAAAGTGTTCAAAATGCTTGTATGCACATTACCTCACTTAACATTTTAGAAATTTATTAATTTGCTAGTGTTTTAGCTTACTCTGCCCTTATAAGGAAGGCTTGGAATGGAGAAGGGCCTGGAAATGGGTGATAGGTTAGTGAACCAATGGTGTTTGTCAATCCCACCTTTTACTCACTAGTCTTTACTGAGTCATTCTAAAGGTTTTGACTTAATAGATACAACTCCTTTTCTTTGTATCTATCTTTTAGTAGTAGTATTTGTAAAAATTAAGTTACATAATTACAATATTAAATTTAACTGGCATATGAATGTTTTGAGAATAAATACAATTGATTTTGACAAGCATGCAATTCACTGGTAAAAACAAAAATCATGGGTATTATTCCAAAATCACTACTAGCTGGAAGGATGCAGTGTTCCCTGGATATTGTTGAATATATTTGCACGGGAAGTTTTCAGGTAATGAGATTAAGTAGTGACTGATTAAGAAAATTAAAACTTTTTCACAGTCATTTTTATCATCATCATCATCACCTATAAATGTACTTTTTTATAAATATGTTTTGGTGTGTGTCCTAAAATCCTTTCTGGCTCTGGAAAGGATATTCTTCGCAGGGCCAGAAAGGAATATCTATATCTATATCTATATCTATATCTATTTCTATATCTATATCTATATCTATATCTGTATCTATTTGAGTTTCTAGATATATATCTATATCTCTGAGCTTATAGATATACAGAGATATATAGTTATATAGATATGGATATATGTAGTTAAACATCTCTAATTTAAACCAGTCTCCTAGAGTAATGCAACATATACAATCCACCTTATTTGGGATCAGTAAGGGGCCAATCTGTGTCTTACTCATCTTAGTGTTGCCAAGAGCCAAAATCTGGACTCAGTAAAGGTTTGTGTTGAATAATTATGATAATGTTAAAGTGTTAGAATGTTACATTGTGTGATATGTTACCAACTTATTAAGAATCTGAGTTCTGATGAATTAGATGTTTATACGTTCTGTATATCTGCCAATGAAGTAGTTAAATCACCTTTATTTATCAGATGGAAAGTGCCTTGAAAGTTTGGCATTCTACGATTTGGCATAGTCTATGAAGCAAGTAAACACCAAAATCAACACATTTCCTGTGTAATCAAAAGTTCCTATACATTACTAGCAATTCTAAATTGTTTTGCTAATTGCACAGAAAGTCTACTAATGCCCAAAACATCAAGAACATACTAACAATCAAATAATAGTAAAAGTAATAGATTGTAAATACTTAAGTGGGAGAAAATTTTGCATGCTTTCCCTGCTAGAGACCAGAAAACATAAGTTTCATATCCTTTTACAAATGAAAGAGCATCCTACTTCTGTTTATGTTAACAGCTGGAGCTACCATTAATTTTATTTTGTTGTTCTCATACTCTTTATAGCTTGAGGCAATAATTCACTCAACTTGTGAAATAGTTACATCACCAATTTTGATGCTCGGTATGTTTTCATGTGTATTTGGTGAATTTCTTTTAAATTATTAAGCATTTTTTTTCTGCATTATGTGGGATAGAGGTAGTTTCAGTATTAAATAATCTAAATTCAGTGTAAGTCATAAACATAGCATTAAAACTTTTTTGATCTTTCTTATGGGATTGCTGTATTGTTATTTTTAAAGCTGTCACATAATTAGTAATTCTATAGCAGTTTTCTTATTCTAGAATGACAGAGTTTAGAAGTAGTCCACTGGTAAAATTTTTATATATTTAAAAATATAAATCGTAATGATCAGTATTTCAAATTTGCTACATTGTATTTAATTCTGGCTTTACCATAAAGCTATCTAATTTTTTCACATTCTAATGATTTATTAATATATAGCTGACAAGATCGAAACCTATTCAATGATTATGCGTGTGTTGTATCATTTAACTTAGTATTTAAATGCTCATTGTTCTGAGCTGCAGCACAAGCAATCAATCATATATTGCTTAATTTGGAATAGAATTTGTTGAGGGATGTCACTTTTCTGGCTATCCCCGCCTCTAAAATAGTTACAATTAAGAATTTTATAAAGTTGATCATAAGTTTCACAATTCATGTATTTTCAGTAGCATATTCGTAAAGTTAAATTGGCATCAGTTTGGTAAAATGGCAGCATGCATTAAACTGTATTTGTGGATAAGTCTTTTTCATAAGACACAGGAAACTATAAGCATTAGGGCAAGTAAAACTTTAAAAATAAAAACATGTAACTCAAATATGTAATTCTGTAATTCTTGCTTCATTCTTTTATTTCTTCCATTTAACAAAGCAAAACATTTTATCTCAGTCTGCCACATTCTAATCTTTTATTTTACTGACACTGTTTTGTGGGAGAGTATAAGAAGTTGATTAATATACCTGAGACAGACAGGATAAATCTCTATTGTGGTATCTGATGTAGAAGGGGCAACCGACTTCTGAGAGAGGCCATCTAAGGAAATGTGTTTTCTGGATCTGAGACATCAAAATTATCTGGGGTTTTATTATAAAGTAAGAAATCTATGCCCATCACTCAAGATTTGATTTAGTACAACTGAGTTGCACCTGGATATTAATCTTTGTTTACACACAGGTAATGTTAAGCATGCTAAAGTTTTGAAAAACACTGATACATTAATTCTTCATTTTTTTCTCGATTCTTTATCATATTGAATACCTAGAAATCAGCATTAACCTCATTCACAGTTTAATACTACAATATAACCATGAAGTGCATTTCTGTATATTGTACAAAACAAACTGTTCAGGACATTGTACATTATATTTCTCAATGATCTTTACATGCCAATTCATATCAAACATTCTTTTAGAACTATAAAAGAAACAAGAAGGTTTCTTGAAATAATGAATCTTTTTAATGTAAGAAGAAACATGCAATCAGCATCTTCATCTCTTTTTGCTTCGACAGTATGGAACTGTGGTAGGCAACCTCTAATATCCCTGCTTCTTGGTTACATACCCTTTGGAATACCCCTGCCTTGAGTATCAGTTGGATTACTACTTGCCTCTGACTAATAGAATACAGAATGATTGATTGAATGTCACTTCTGAGATTAAGTTTTGAAAAGACTGTGACTTTCATCATGGGTGATCTCTCTCACTTGTTCCAAGGGAAGTCAAGTGTATGTTGTAAAGTACCCTCTGGATAGGCCTACATGGCAAGGATTTGAAGAAAGCCTCTGGTTAGCAGCTAGTGAGGAACTGAGATGCTGTTTCCAATAGCCTGCAAAGAACTGAATCTTGCCAACAAGCATGTGAGTGGGCTTAGAAGCAGAATCAAACTCAGTCATGCTTCATATAAGACCACAGCTTCCAACAATTCCCCAACTGCAACTTCATGAGAAACCTTGATCCAGAAGCTCCCAGCTATACCAACCCCCAATTTCTAACCAACAGAAAATGTGAAATAACTTGTTTGATGTTTTAAGTTGTAAAGTTTTAGAATAATTTGTTATGTAGCAATAGATAACAATACAGAAACCAAGAGCTTCATTAATCACCTCACCTCAGATTCTCATATCAAAATTTTTCTTATGTGATCACTAATCTTTCTTCTTATATAATTTTATTTATCACAGGTGAGTTTTATATTAAATTACTTCAAATCCTTTTTAAAAATCAGATGGTTATTAATAGTAAAAAATTTCACAGATAACTCATAACTCTTTGTGCCTAGTAAATCAGGCCTCCCCTAGACCATCTTTGTCATTTAATCCAAATTGAAACTGCAAACTCATTTATATTTGATCTGATAATTAATCAAACTCTTTCTCAGCAGAATTACCTTTCTAGTACTTAGATCAAAATCATTGCATCACAGAATACTAGCACTGGAATGTATCTTAAATATTCTGGAGATCAGCCCTTTTGTTTTATGGATGAGTAATCTTAGATCTAAAAAAAGAAGAAGAAAAAAAAGATACAGCAAATTACCCAAGATGGAGCTGTTGCTTGAACTGAGATCTGATGACTCTTTTCCAGTGCTCATTTGATTCCTTGATCATAAATTTACTGGGTGGTTGAAGATGCTAAGAAGTGTTTTGAGAGATGGGTGATATGTAGCCCAGGTCTTGAACATTTTCATGTATAAATTCCAAAATGGGATAGTTCATTTGTACTAATATTTCAAAACTGCTATCAAATTTCTCATGGCTCTGTATACTATAGAGGAATGTTACAAAAAACATTGAGATTAGAGAAAAACCACGTCCCTAAAAGGTAAACTTATCTGTGACTATTTCTTACTACTAAATAACATTTTATCGAGTCCCTAGTGTCTTCCTTTTCTATGATGACATCACAAAGTTGTTGTACTACCAATGTTCAAAAGCAAAACATTGGTGGTGTTCATTAGTAACATAATTCAGATTGTATTGTGGATCTATTGTGTATAGATGGGAGTTTGGCTCATTTCTAAGTGAACAAACAAAATGAAGATTAAGACAGAGGCACTAAAGTTCCCTGCCTAAAGAGCCAGGTCTTTAATAGTTGACTAGGTGCAAGACTCAGAATTAACTATTTCATGTCAGTGTTATTATGAATGAAGATTTAACAACATAATGTGTACTTTAGAAAGTATCAGTTGCTTTCCAGCATTAAGTAACATATTTCTTATTTATATCAATTATCTCTTTTCGAAAGAGAGAAGTTGGTTTTTTTTTTTTTTTTTTTTTTTGGCCTGAGATAAAATAATTTCCTTTATCTCCCACTTGATTTTACAAGTGCTGACTAGCTCTTGCTAGTTTTATGTAATTGCATGGAAAGTTCTGGAATACCTCTCTGGTTGCACTTGGTGGTGAAGTTATTACACAAATAAATGCCAGGAAGTCAGTTATTTGCTTTCCTATTACTATGCACTGTTGGAGGCATTACTATCGTCTCTTGTTTAAATAAATTTCACCATGTCTTCACACCCCCAGGCCTAAATTAAATCAAAGTAGTTTTAGAGCTCAAGGACAGAATAAGTCACTATGGGAAAGTGGGACAAAGGAAATCAAGCACGCCAGATGGAAAGTTCAGACTGGCCAGTATCTTTAAAATGTCAGTGCTGTATAAAAAGGCTTTATAAGCCATCAGTCAACGATGGCTCTAGAAACAGGCCAGTGGCTACAGAAATTAGGCTTTTTTCACTAAGCCTTGAAAATTTATTTTCAAAGTGGGTTGAATTTTAGGTCATTTGTGCGGGTATATCTAATGAAGAGAAAAACAAAGTGATGGAGAAGGAATTTCTAATAAGATCTTAGTATTCATTAGAAATATAACCTCTTGCTTTCATAATTAATAGGATCTGAAGTTAATTTAATAAAAATTTGACTTATATACTAAAACAGGCAAGATTTGAACCTGGCTTTATTAAGTTTTTATTTTAGTTTACATGTTTGTTTCAAACAAGATTAAAAATTAAGAATTAAAAATTGATGTTTGTCTGGATTTTTACAACCAATTATTAGATCTATGGCAGGTATCCAGCCATTTAAAAATAACAGTGTAAAGCAAAGCCTCTAATTTTAAAGAAGAAAAGGAATCCGAAAGAGGGATGGCTATAGCAACCTTGATGATAAAGGAAAATTTGTGCAGAAAAGCCTGCAGTAAACAGATTTTCTTAGACTTAAGGCATGTCCTTAGTTTATCATACTCAGAAAAAAAAAAAAAGATCTCCTTAGTTGTGTAGCTATTTCATCTTAACTGAATTCACAGTAGCTAAAATATGCATGTAACAGTATTAGCTAAATTTATAGGCTAGGCACGGTGGCTCACACCTGTAATCCCAGGAGTTTGGGAGACCCAGGCAGGCGGATCACCTCACCTGAGGTCAGGAGTTCAAGACCAGCCTGGCCAACATGGTGATATACCGTCTCTACTAAAAATACAAAAATTATCCTGGCATGGTGACGGGTGCCTGTAATCCCAGCTACTTGGAAGGCTGAGACAGGAGAATTGCTTGAATCCCGGGAGACAGAGGTCGCCATGAGCCAAGACAGTGCCATTGCACTCCAGCCTGGGCAACAAGAGCAAAATTCCATCTCAAAAAACAATTATAGAGCACTCTATACACACCAGACACTTGTGCAAACTCATGATCATATATTTAACTGTTAAAATAGTCCTTTGAGGTAGATACTAGTAATGAGGAAATCATGATAAACAATCTGTATTAACAAATCCCTGCTTTATATCATTATCCCTACTCCAAGATTTCTAATATTGTTGAAACATTCAAAATATGGATTGTGTGGTGGGTTAGTGCACAGACTGTGGGGTTACCTACTTGGTTTCAAATACTGGCTCTGTCACGTTCTAGCTATGGCACTTTAGATAATTTGATCTCTTCCTACTTTTGAGTTTCTTCATGTATAAAACGAACTCTAAAAGGACTATTCTGAGGATTAAATGAGATAGAAGCTGTAAAACTATCTGTAACAGAACCTAGCACATAGTATGAATGTCATAATTGTCAGCTGTTTTTATTATTTCGATTTCCTTTAGGATTCCCAGGCAAGAAATGCACAATTGTAACATTTGTAACATTTGGTTAATATATTTAACTACACAAGTTAAGTATTAGAAGATATTTTTTAAAATATACATTTTCTGCCTTCAAGTGTCATATAATTCAAATAGAGATTATAAAGAATCACATATGCAATGTATTGTATTTGCAATGCTTTCTGCAATACTGTAGCACAAATAAAATATAATTTTATCTAAATTGTGTTCATCAGAGATTTTAATCAGAATGTAGTTGATTTTTTAGAGATTGGCTTTAAGAATAACTTTATTTTAATAGTTTATATACATATATATATATCACATAGAGATCGTCAGAAGGTTAGAAACAAAAAAGTGTGAAGAGTAAAGTAAACATTACCCATAAATTAACAATCCAGATTTTTCAAAAATTACTAATATTTTGGCATGCTAACTTAAAGTCTTTGTGTGTGTGTATAACTATATATTTTAAAATAACTGCATCACTTTTTACATAGAAATTTGTTATCCTTTTTTCCACTCAACATTATTTAATAAAAAATTTTCCAGTTTATTAAATGTGGGTCTGATGAGTTAGCTAAGGAAAAGAGAATAGTACTCCTTGACTTTGGGGGTGGGAACTGAGGAATAAGCAGTAAACATAAGAAAATAGTGAGTTTTATTTAGTGAATGGTGAGGTAATTTATTTGGTTTTAAAATAGCAGGAAAGGTAGGAGTTAATTTTACATATGCAGGTAGGAGTTAATATCCAGTCCTGCAGTCCAGGCAGGATGACGCTCTGTGGAATAGTGGGACGAGCAGTGGGGAGTGAGGGGCCTCAGTACACACCATATTAGTCATATTCAACACTTCAACAATATCAAGTTTGTTAATTGATGGCCACTTCACCTGTGACATGTGACTTGACCCTCCTCTTCCCTTGTTTCTTCATCTTTAAAATGTGACATCTGAAATATGGGCCCCAAATTAATAATGTACCATTTTAGGCCAAAGCTATCCCATGACTATTGCCTAGAACGGGAGAGGTGAACAGAAGAGGTAGGGGCTGTGAATGCTTTCGCAAAACTGACAAGCAGGGCGAAAGGGAAACTCTGGAATATGAGCTTCCAGGCTGCACTTGCATCTTGTTTATCTCACGGTTCTCAGGGGCCACCACCTTACCTGGCACACCGAATGTGCCTGAGGAATGCTTGATGCACTAAACCACAAATCAGTGCAATGGAATTGCCATCCCCCAAAAGTCCTTTTTTAAGATAAGAACGTATTTTCTGAAGTGGATTCTGATAGCTATTAGTTTTGGTGGTCTGGAGTATGCTTTTACTCTTTCTCCCTGATACTGGCAATAGAACACATAGGTCCACAGGTTTGGATATGAGACTAGGTTCTTGCTAATTGTATAGTCCGCTTCATTTTGACATAGTGACTGATTCATAAGGGTAGGACAGTCAATCAAATATATTTGTAGAATTAAATGTGGAAGAAAAAATATTTGTGCATTTGGTTAAAATATCAAGGACTGGATTTACCCTCTTTCCAGAAACAAGTAAAAACTGTATACAGCATTTGAAGCAATGGCACTCGACATTGGCATGAGGCAGTGGATGGAAGTGATTGCTAGAAGATGGATAATGAAAGAGGTGACTGGTAAGAGTGCCCCAGTGCACTGCCTGCTACAAATTGCAAGCTGGGTTTAGGGAGGGGCAATATAGGCAGAGCAAGACTTCTCCCAGCATTGAGAAGGAGCTGGGAGTTTGGGAAAGCCCAAAAGTCACAAGAGTTTACATTCATTTTTATTGCTAAGCTACTTCAATTTGGGTTTCAGTCATTTTTAATGAAAGGAGCCCTAGTACACCTTATATTCCTGTCTGTTTCCCTTGTTCCTGAGTTCCTTTTTTAAACTGGTAATATCTCAGACATTGCTGAAGTCACATGCCAACATCTGACAAGTGCCCTTTACGATGTAGCCTCAAGTATGTAAGCGGCAAGAACCACAGCCTTTAGAGCGATTTTGGAATTAAGTTGTTAAAATGTGTTTTTAACTTAGTACTTACTGAAATATCCATTCTCCCGCAGACAGACTTATAGCTGTCTTCCACTAGGGCTGGAAATTGACCTTTTAACCACTGACAGTTGACAGGATGTTTATTTTCCCATTATAACAGTTGCCAATTGTCCACCAATTTCTCTTCTCACAGAAATAAAGAAGGTCGGCTGTGATGAACTATACTCTCTGTAGCCTCTCTCTGACAATTTCTTTATACCTATATTTGATATTGGTAGTTCTCTCATTTTCCATAAAAGAAAAAAAGAAATGAAGACAATCAGTGCAGAATGCTGTCATTGGGGGTGGGGCAGCAACAAGATATAGGTGTTTGCATGCTGTTCTCAACCTGACTACTAAAGTCATCACCTAAGGAAGATGGAATGTCAACATGGATCCATGTTTTAAATTTTTTTTTTTCTTTGAAAAAGCTCTGCAACTTCAGCATAAAGTGTAACCTTGCAGTTGCTGAGGTAACTGTTTTTCTCCCCCTCCTTAGGAATAGCAGAACAAATTAGGGGAAGAAAACGTTTGTAAATCGTCAGTACATGGACACCCTAAGGCTGCAATAGCTAAATGTTTCATTGGAATCCTAGGTAACCAAAATGTGGTCAGCTAAAAGGTGTTTCTGTTTTCAATCTGATTTGTTTCTTGAGCAATTTAACGTACATGGATAAAGTCATATTTACCCCTCCTTTTCTAGCTTTCGCAGCCTTTTTCCCCTGATTAATTTATGCAACTTAATGGCTTTCAATGTTCCTAAGAATGAAGCACAGGATGGAAAATTTCTAGATAGAATAAAATAAGACAAGGTTAATTGTTGGCAATGGTCTGTTTCATGATCAGCACAAATTTAGAATTATATATTGATATTTTCCTGTTGCTATAATTCCCTGGGGCTTCCCTGTATTGTGGCATCATTAATCTCTCATCATTTTGCTGGCAGGATTATTTATGAAAATATTTGGAATTAGATACTAATGATTTGAACATGATAAACTAGTCATTATGTTTGCTTTCAAAGTGCCCTAATGTATTTCTACATTAAAAGACATTGATGATATCTATATTTCATGGTTTCTAAAATACACATATTTCCACATTTTAATATCCCTGAAATAAAGATGAATCTTCCAAGTGACAGTACCTCAAAATTGCCTTTGGGCATATTTTCACATTTTAAAGTGTCCTGCAATACATATTACAATTAATGACAGACTGGATAAAATATAGTATTATGACTTATTGGTATGAAAAAAGTTTTGGTAGAACTTTCCCTATAAATTATTTTCGACTTGTCTTACCAACTAGTAAGACAAGTTTGAAGGGTTTACATAATTGCTAAACCCTTCTTTAATGAAAACATGTCTCAGCTGTCATGGCAGTGTTGTCACCTGCAAGTATTCTAGTGGCTTATTTAGGTGTCACAGGTTCATCCCTCACTATTTTCCTTTGCAAACAGGGCTTCAAGACAGATGGTTCACTCTGACTACACTGTGAAGGAAAAACCGTGTTTACTGTTAATTTGTCTTTTGTTGCTGCTGCCTCAGTCTTGTGCCTGAGTGTCTGATTAATGAGTAACATGCATTCACAAGATACCTGGACTACTATAGAGGCTCTAGGTTGTGGCAGTGGGCTTTGGGGGCAGTTGCCTCCACCTCAGGCTACTCATTAGTGGTGTCACCAGGCAAATCAGTTTACAGCTCTCAAACTTGCAATCTCCTCTGGAAAAAAAGGGATAAATAATTATTTTACCGATTTGGTTATTGCTGGCAAATTAAACCAAATGAAGTACTATATTGCGCTGTAATGGGCACTCAATAAATATTTTATCCTTTCTGTTCTTTCTCTATATCTGCTGATCAAGTTAATTTTTTGGTACCAAATTAATGAAAAATCATTTTGTGTATTGAAAATTTTAAATTATCATTACTATTCTTAATATGTCCCAATACAATAAAAATATAATTAGAAAATGTTAGTCTTATCTAATGGGGTGGTTTGAAGAACTGAAGGAGTTGATTTATGAGTCCCAGCCTAAGAAAAACAAAATTCTAGAATTAGTTTTAAATATAATTTTATAATCTCTATAAGCAGGAGATTATGTATTTCATTTCCAAGGTACACCTTTTTGGTTTTATATATATATATTCCTTTTCTTTTCTTTTTTTTTTTTAATTAGAGACGGAGTCTCACTCTGTTACCCAGGCTGGAGTGTGGTGGTGTGATCTCGGCTCACTGCAACCTCTGCCTCCAGTGTTCAAGTGATTCTCCTGCCTCAGCCTCCCGAGTAGTTGGGATTACAGGCACCCACCACCACATCAGGCTAATTTTTGTATTTTTAGTGGAGAGAGGGTTTCACCATGTTGGCCAGGCTGGTCTCAAACTTTTGACCTCTGGTGATCCACCCACCTCTGCCTCCCAAAGTGCTAGGATTACAGGTGTGAGCCACCATGCCCGGCCTGGCTTTATATTTTATTGCAACTAAAAATCACATTAGATAATGAATATTTAGTATCATATGGGGTACAGAGGGTATGGACTTGGGAAGTCGATAGATCTGAATCTGTAAGTTTGAATTTCTCTAGTTTTAGACTTTGAGTAAATTACTTATTTGAGCCCCATTTTCCTATAAGTAAAGTTAGACTAATGCTATTGTCATGGTAAGAATAAAAGGCAATAATGGATATCAAATATCAGACATAATCTATCAGTTAGAACAGGTAGTAAATAAATGTACATTTTCTCAATAATCACAGACATTTATTTAGAAAGGAAAATTTTCAAATATAGATATAATTCATTATAATAAACCTCAAAAGACATTGTAATGCAATTTTATTAAAGATTAATTTATTGGAAGATCAATATCTGCAGTCAGAAAGGAGTTTGGAGACAAAACAAATTTGATGACCAGAGTCTTTGTAGCTGAGTGTCAGGGGTTTCAAACTCAATAAGGGAGGAAAGGTAAAATATCAGGTACATCTAATACAATCTTAGAATTATCTTTTCATTTTTGGATGCTTTAGTGTACAAGTTTTGATGAAAAGGCTGGGATTTCACAGATTTTTATTTTACTTGATAGACTTAAATTTAAAAAGTTATACTACAGTTTAATTCTACAAAGTCTCTATTCTGGACAGGTTCTAAGAGTTCTAGAAAATAATACAATGTTGGAAAACTAGTATCTAATTGCCCACTAATTATTACAACAGAAAGATTTTTAAACACAAATGGTTTAATTGTAAAGCTTAGAAAACATTTTTCATGGTCAATTGGATAGATTATTTCATATGAGTGTGGGTGGGGAGGTGCATTTTGAGGGATGGCAGCAGAGGAGGTGTCATATTGTCTTCTGTGTTATCTCAGTGATAAAGCTCATTTTGACAGTGTTTGAGATTACCCATGTTAAATCATCATGGCTTAGTGGTTAAGATCTAGGCTTTGTAATTAGACATACTGAAGTTGCTGTCTCCTCCCTGTCAATGAACAGAGTTTGACAATGGAACATTAGATATCTTTCTAGACCCAGCTTTCCCAACTTTATGGTAAGGACAACTTCATAGAACTATTATCAGTGGTAGAGACAGGTTTTGAGCCCATGTTCTCTGGTTCTAAGACTCATTCTATTGATGGATATGTTAGAGGTTCAAGGTGTATTTTGTTTAAAAATGTTATATTCAGATTTATTTATTATATTTATTAGAGAAATTGAGAGGAAAACAAAATAAGTCAGTTATTTACATTTAAAAATTGAATTTTATCATATGATACTTTAATAATTTTAGGAAAAAAAGCGTAAGCTAATTTTCACCCAATCAATCTTACAGCCTTGTGGTTAAATTGTATATTAAATACTATTCATTATATTTCATTTGAAAAAGTGCAGGAAAACTCTTCTGGACATTGGCTTAGGTAAATAATTCATGGCTAAGACTACAAAAGCAAATGCAACAAAAACAAAATTAGATAAATGGGACCTAACCAAACTAAAAAGCTTCTGCACAGCAAAAGAAATAATCAGCAGAGTAAACAGGCAACCCACGTGTTGGAAGGAAATATTCACAAACTATGCATCTGATAAAAGACTAGTGTCCAGAATCTACAAGGGACTGAAACAAATCAGCAAGAAAGTAATCCCATGAAAAATATGGGCAAAGGACATGAATATACCTTTCTTAAAAGAAGGTATACAAACAGCCAACAAACATAAAAAAATGCTCAACATCGCTAATCATGGAAATACAAATTAAAACCATGATGAGATACCACCTTACTCCTGCAAGAACGGCCATAATTAAAAAGTCAAAAACAACAGATGTTGGTGTGGATGTGGTGAAAAGGGAACACATTAATACTGTGGTGGGAATGTAAATTAGTACAACCACTGTGGAAAACAGTATGGAAATTCCTTAATAGGAACTAAAAGTAGAACTACCATTCAGTCCAGTAATCTCACTCCTGGGTATCTACCCAAAGGAAAATAAGTCACTATATGAAAAAGACACATGCACACACATGTTTATAGCAGCACAATTCACAATTGCAAAGATAGGGAACCAATCTAAATGCTCATTGACCAATGAGTGGATATGGAAAATGTAGCATATATACACCATGGAATACTATCAAACATCAAAAGAAATGAAATAATGTCTTTTTCAGCAACTTGGATGGAGCTAGAGGCCATTATTCTAAGTGAAGTAACCCAGGAATGGAAAACCAAATATTATATGTCCTCACATATAAGTGGGAGCTAAGCTATGAGGACACAGAGGCATAAGAGTGATATAATGGACTTTGGGGACTTGATGAGGAGACTGGGAAAAGGGTGGGGGATAAAAGACTACACACTGTGTATAGTGTATACTGCTCAAGTGATGGGTGTACTAAAATCTCTGAAATCACCACTAAAAAACTTATCCATGTAACCAGAAACTACTTGTACCCCAAAAACTATTGAAATAAAAAATTAAATTACTTAAAAAAGAGATTTAAAGTGCAAAATATTTTCAGAGTGATTAATATATAGCATCTAGTGTCATTATCTCTACTAGATTTCATACATTATGTTTTTAGCACTATTTCTGCCTGTTCATCATCCTTGGTACACCTGGTGGTAAAGCGTTTCAGACTGTAATTCTCATTGGAAACTTTATTTGTTAGATGCTGAGAGCTCTTTTAAAATTAAGAATTTGATTTAACTTTGTTTCAGCAATTCCGATTTTAAAGTGTAAATTAATAACAGTCTATAGTAGGAGCAAAGAAGATTTGTAAACACAAATGGTTTAACTGAATTTTCCCATAGTCAATTGAAAAAAAAGTTACTACAATGATCCTTCATTTCCAATTCTTAACTGATCATGAATTTGTTCAAGAACCTGTTGATGAAACAATTCAAAGACAGCACATTTGCATTGTGATTACTGTGCTTAAAATGCATTATACATTTTATGGCAAAAATGTACATTCAGAATGCTTGGTCACGACTTTAATTGAATGACATTGAACAAAGACCTGAAACTGAGTATAAATGTAGTGTAACTTTAGCTTTTATTTTGTTTATGATATTCCTTAATTGTAGTAACATGTGGTCCAGAAAATATCCTCTGGATTTCATTTCAGAATCTGCTGAATACTATTATTTACTTGAATACCTGTAGCACAAAAGAACCTTGGTTAGAGACACACTATTATCTTGCCCATTTCAAGTTGTTTATTAATTACCTGGAAAGTCTTTTCTAGGTCAAATGAGATGAATTATTTGAAACCTTTATGGTTTAGTTAAAATTGAATTTTAGTCTCACTTTCATTTGTTTTAGATCTATTTGTTATTTTTTTTTTTGTCTTTTTTGAGCCACCAATTTTAGGGAATTAAAAAGAGAGAAAATCATTAACTTCAACCTGGCCCCACAGATATTTGTGCATGTCAGACTGTTGAAATAAAGATCATTTTCATCACAATTTTCTAATTTTCGTCATAATTTTCTAAGCTTGACTGATAATTTACTTTGTATATTTTAAAACTGAAAATAGTGTTAAAGATTTTCAAGAATGTTTGTAGAAGTGTATTATAGTATACGATTCATATTAAATATTTATGATGAAAATAAAATGTTCTTTTTAAAAATATAAGACATGTTTAGAAACATCCACTGCAATACTTAATAATTTTTACTATGTAGCATATTTGATTCCATCTTAGAAAAGTAGTATATGATGAGGATGCTTTTGGGCTGATTATGAAAACATATCAGTACTTATTCAGAATATTCACTTGTAATTGCATCTAATAATTTTATAAGTTGAGTTTAGGGAGGTTATTTAGTATGCCTACAGAAACAAAATAACACACTAGATTTTGGAAAACAGTAGTGCATACTATAAAAAAATATATTTTGGAGTCAGTGTATCAGTGGGATATTAGCCCCTCTGCTTACTCTTGGTGCAAACTTGAAGACTCTAACTTTTTCTGTAAAAAATGGAAAAAAACCGAATCCCTGTATTAGCTATTGTATGAGAAACCACCTCAAAACTCACTGACTTAAAATGGTAAGGATTTATTACTGCTCACTAGCCTGCAGCTCAGCTAAGCTCACTTGTGCATCTGTACTCAGTTTTGTGGATCATCTAGGTGATTGCGCTGATCAAGGATCTGGCGGTTGATTGGCTGAGGTTTACTTTAAGATGGCCTCAGCTGGGACAATTGAGCTCTCTTCCACTGAACAGGTTACCTCAGGGTTGCTCCCATGGCCAAGAAGGGGGGCCCATAAGAGTGAAAAGAAGCACAAAAGTCGTTTCAGAACTAGCACACTAATGATTCTGTTTGTGTCCTTTTGGTCACAGAAGTCACAAAACCAGTCCAGATGCAGGGAGTATGAAATAAACTCTACCACTTGATGAGAGTAACCATGAGTTGCATTGCAAAGTGTTTGGATCAAAGAAAGAATAAAGAATTATGGCCACTTTTATAATACACCACAGACCCTATCTGGCAATTTAATATTGATGTTCAGATCGGGACCACTAGAATAAAGCAAATATTACAATAAAGCAAGTCATGAAATTTTTGGTTTCTCGGTGCATATAAATGTTATGATTACAATCTACTACAGCCTATTAGGGTACAATATCATTGTGTCTAAAATGTACATATTTTAATTTAAAAATATTTTATTGCTAAAAAATCCTAGCAGTATTACAACTTCAGCAAGTTGTAATATTTTTGCAGATGGGGGATCTGGCCTTGGCGTTGATGGCTTCTGACTGATCGTGGTGGTGATTGCTGAAGGTTGGGCTGCTTGTGGCAATTTCTTAAAACAATAAAGATTGCCACATTCATTGACTTCCTTTTACAAAATATTTCTCTGTAAAATGCAATGCTATTGAATAGCATTTTACCCACAGTAGAACGTCTTTCAAAATTGGAGTTAATCTTCTGAAATCTTGCTACTGCTTTATAAATTAAGTTTATGTAATATTCTAAATCTTTTGTTGTCATTTCAGCAATGTTCACTTACTTCACCAGGAGCACATGCCATCTCAAGAAACCACTGTCTTTGCTCATCCATAAATAACAACTTCTCATCCGTTCAAGTATATTCATAAGATTTGAGCAATTCAGTCATCTCTTCAGTCCCCATTTCTAATTTTAGTTTTCTTGCTGCTTCCACCACATCTGAAGTTATCTCCTCCACTGAAGTCCTCAACCTCTCAAACTCATCCATGAGGGTTGGAATCAATTTCTTTCAAACTCCAATTGATGTTGATATTTTAACCTCCTCCCGTAAGTCATGAATATTATTAATGGCGTATAGAATGATAAATTATTTCCAAAAGGTTTTCAATTTACTTCTTCCAGATCTATCAGAGGAATCCCTCTCTGGCAGCTACAGCTTTATGAAATGTGTTCCTTTAATAATAAAACTTGGGAGTCAAAATTACTCCTTGATCCATATGCTGCAGAACTTATGTGTTAGCAGCCATAGAAACAATATTAATCTCCTTGTACACCTCCACTCCACCTCTTGGGGTGACCAGATGCATCGTCAATGAGCAGTGATACATTGAAATAAATAGTTTTTTCTGAGCAATAGGTCTCGACAGTGGGCTTGAAATATTCAGTAGACCATGCTATAAACATGTATGCTATCATTCAGGCCTTGATGTTCCATTTTATAGAGTACATATAGACTCAATTTGCAGTATTCATAAGGGCCCTAGAATTTTTTGAATAGCAAATAAGCTTTGCCTTCAACTTAAAGTGACAAGCTGCATTAGCTCCTAACAGAAGAGTCAGACTGTCTCTTCAAGCCTTGAAGTCAGGCATCGACTCCTCCTCTCTAGCTGTGAAAGTCCTAGATGTCATCTTCTTCCAACATAAGACTGTTTTGTCTCCATTGACAATCTGTTTAGAGTAGCCATCTTCATCAATTATTGTAGGTAGATATTCTGGATAACTTACTGCAGCTTCTACATCAGCATTTGCTGCTTCACCCTGTACTTCTATGTTATAGCGATGGTTTCTTTTGTTAAATCTCATGAGCTAACCTCTACTAGCTTCCAGCTTTTCTTCTGTATCTTCCTCACCTGTCTCAGCCTTCATAGAACCGAAGAGTTTTGAGATCTTGCTCTTAATTAGGATTTGGACTAAGGGAATGCTGTGGCTGCTTTATCCTTCCATTCATACCACTAAAACTTTCTCCATGTCAGCAATACGGTGGTTTTGCTTTGCTATCATTCCTATATTCGACGGAATGGCACTTTTAATTTCTTTTATGAACTTTTTCTTTGCATTCCCATCTTAGCTAACTGGTGCAAGAGGCCTGGGTTTTGGCTTACCTTGACTTTCAACATGCTTTCCTCACTAAGTTTAATCATCTGTAGCTTTTGATTTAAAAGTAAGATATATGTTACTCTTCTTTTCACTTTAACATGTAGAAGCCATGTAATTAATTGTCCTAATTTCAGTATAGTTGTGTGTCTGAGAAGGAGGCCTGAGGAGAGAGAGAGAAACAGAAGAGCGGCTGATTGGTAGAACTCTCAGAACACGGTCAGCATTTGTCTATTAAGTTTGCCATCTCACATGGTCATGGTCCATGGTGTCCCAAATAATTACAATAGTAACATCAAAGATCACTGATTACAGATCACAATAACAGATATAATAATAATGAAGAAACTAAAAATATTGTGAGAATTACCAAAATGTGAAACAGAGTTATGAAATGAGCACATGCTATTGGAAAAAAATGGCACTGATAGAATTGCTTGATGCGAGGTTTCTACAAAACTTCAATTTCTAAAAAACACAATGTGTTTTGCAAAATGCAAAAAGTGAAGTTCAATAAAATGAGGTATGCTTGTATATCTAGACAATATTTTGCTGAAAATATGTGCTCAATAAAGTTACTTAATAGAAATTTACAACTAAATCACTTAAATACAATTTTTTTGTTATTTTTTATTTTACGTGGCCTTTATATGATTATGTAATCTTTTGCAAATTCTACTTCTAAAAGCATTTAAAGTAACCAGACAAGTATAAAAATATTCAAATGTGACAGAAATTTATTATAAGAATTAATGTAAAATATTTCACTTAGAAAATAACTTCTAAGGGCCTGGCGCGGTGGCTCACACCTGTAATCCCAGCACTTTGGCAGGCCGAGGCAGGCGGATCACCAAGTCAGGAGATCGAGACCATCCTGGCTAACATGGTGAAACCCCATTGCTACTAAAAATACAAAAACAGAATTAGCTGGGCGTGGTGGCGGGTGGCTGTAGTCCCAGCTACTTGAGAGGCTGAGGCAGGAGAATGGCTTGAATCTGGGAGGCAGAGCTTGCAGTAAGCCGAGATTGTGCCGTTGCACTCTGGCCTGGGCAACAGAGCAAGACTCCGTCTCAAAAAAAAAAAAAAAAAGAAAAAGAAAAAGAAAAGAAAAAAATCTTCTTAGTATTTTAAAGGTGCAAAATCCATTTGGCAGGAAAATACTTTTACCCAGAATGTTTGCACATAGATTGGAGCTCTCAGTTGTGCCATTTATTTATTAGTACCTGTTCTTTTGTTTTGTCATGAAAAAAACATATGTATGAGACAAAGTATAAGGTTTTATGTTATTAATAATATAAACTATTTTGGCTCATGCCTTAATCCCAGCAGTTTGGAGGCCAAGGCAGGAGGATTGCTTAAGTCCAGGTGTTTGAGACCAGGTTGGCCAAAAGAATGAAACCCCATCTTTACAAAAAATAAAATAAAAAATTAGTCTGGCATGATGTTGTACACCTGTAGTCCTACGTTCTTGGGAGTCTGAGGTGAGAGGATTACTTGAACCCAGAAGTTCAAGGGGGT
Organism: Homo sapiens; assembly: GCF_000001405.40. Lineage (NCBI taxonomy): Eukaryota > Metazoa > Chordata > Mammalia > Primates > Hominidae > Homo > Homo sapiens. Next base: position 174,922,251 of record NC_000003.12, read on the forward strand.
ATTGAGCTGTGATCATGCCACTGCACTCTAGCCTGGGTGACAGAGTGAGACCTTATCTTAAAAAAAAAAAAAAAAAAATTGTCTATGATTTTTTTAAAAGCTTTTTATTTTGAACTAATTTTAGACTTGCTTAAAAGTTGCAAAAATAAGACACAAGTTTCATATATCACTCAATCTGCTTCCTGTAATATTAACAACATAAATAGCCACAGGGAAATCTTCAAGACCTGGAAATTAACTGTAGGACAGCACTATTACCTAAACCACAGCTCTAATTTGAATTTCATCAGTTTTTCTCCTAATGCTGATTTTCTGTTCCAGGATCCTATCCAGGAGCCCACATTGCCTTTAGATATTATTTCTCTTTCATCTCTCCAGTTTGTAAAACTTGCTCAGTCTTTCCTTGTCTGTAAGGAATTTGACACTTTTGAAGAGTACAGATCAGTTATTTTGTAGAAAACCCCTCAATTTGGGTTTGTTGAATTTTTCTCACTATTGAAATGAAATGGTGTATTTTTCCACAACAACACTACTAAAATGATGCTTTGTGGTTAGTCCATTATATGAATATGATATCAAGACATATTAGTATTTCTTATTGCTGATGTTATTATCAAGACTTATCAGTATGTCTTTTTGCTGGTGGTATTAACCTGATCACTTGGTGAAGCAGAAGTCTTCAACGATTCTCCATTTTAAAGTTCTTATCTTTCCCTTGTTCATTAGAAAGTATCTTTGGGGAGATACTTTGAGATTATGCAAACCTGAAGTTGGAGTTTCTAAATGTCATTCTACAAAAAAAGGAACAAGGCAAGGACTCCTTGGGAAAGTGGTTGATTCCAGAAGGGACAGGGTAAATACAAGATGAGCCTGAAATGTCTTGTGGTAATAGAATTTAAGGAAGTATCAGAAAAAGATGGGGGCTTATGGAAAAAACACAGAAACCAATAGCCAATTTTTCATCTTAAGCTCATGAAATTATAAAGTGTAGTTAGTAGCTCCTGAGGGCTGAAGTTGAAATAACTAGAACAACAAAATAAATGATCATTACAGATTTTAACCCATAGAATTAAGTACATATCCATGAGTACATAGTGCAATAAATAAGAAACCAATAATATTATTTAATCAATAACTAAATATTATTCAATATGGAGAAGGGACAGTATTCTTATACAGTAGAATTCCAATTAATAAAAGTAGAAGAAAAGAGAGAAATAGAAAAATTATTATTAGGCAAACAAAATAGTAATGAATTTTATCCACTGATGGATTTTTAAATTAGTGAGCAAAAGTTTGAGGAGAAGCAGGATTTGCATAGTATCTTTGATTTTTTAGAACAAGTAAAATAATTTTCTAAAACATTTCACTGTTTTATTCTTCATGTAGTTTTCTTACCACACATCTAGATGCCACCATTTTTCAATATCCTGTTCTCAGGTAAAGAGAGAACATTATTTAAAGTGGTGTTTCTATTTTTCCTTTATTGTAGTCTGGATAGGTATAGAGGAATAGAAAAAAATTCAAATACCTTGGTACTTTTGACAGTATCTTCTGAGGTTTTGCTGGTATGGCACTGTAGAGGTAGAATACAGAACCTCAATTTGTGATATTTTTTGGGTAGTTCATCAGTTCAAAAAACCATGCCTTGTCCCCTGGCAGAGTCATTATTAAAAGAACACATGCTGTAATGGCATTCATAAATCTCAGCAGCTGTTCATGGAATTGAGGCATAGGACTGACTAGGTTTTTAAAAGAAGGAGAAAAACACATAATGGTATCTTACTTGTTCAGGAATGTTATATGCTGTTACATGCTTTTCTTTTTTTATTTTAAGTTCTAGGGTACATGTACACAACATGCAAGTTTATTACATATGTATACGTGTACCATGTTGGTGTGCTGCACCCATTAACTCGTCATTTACATTAGGTATGTCTCCTAATGCTATCCCTCCCCCCTCCCCCCACCCCACAACAGGCCCCGGTGCGTGATGTCCCCCTTCCTGTGTCCAACTGTTCTCATTGTTCAATTCCCACCTATGAGTGAGAACATGTGGTGTTTGGTTTTTTGTCCCTGTGATAGTTTGCTGAGAATGATGGTTTCCAGCTTCATACATGTCCCTACAAAGGACACGAACTCATCCTTTTTTATGGCTGCATAGTATTCCATGGTGTATATGTGCCACATTTTCTTAATCCAGTCTATCATTGACGGACATTTGGGTTGGTTCCAAGTCTTTGCTATTGTGAATAGTGCCGCAATAAACATACATGTGCATGTGTCTTTATAGCAGTATGATTTATAATCCTTTGGGTATATACCCAGTTGTGGGATGACTGGGTCAAATGGTATTTCCAGTTCTAGATCCTTGAGGAATCGCCACACTGTCTTCCACAATGGTTGAACCAGTTTACAGTCCCACCAACATTGTAGAAGTGTTCCTATTTGTCCACATCCTCTCCAGCACCTGTTGTTTCCTGACTTTGTAATGATCACCATTCTAATTGGTGTGAGATGGTATCTCATTGTGGTTTTGCTTTGCATTTCTCTGATGGCCAGTGATGATGAGCATTTTTTCAAGAGTCTGTTGGTCTGTTGGCTGCACAAATGCCTTCTTTTGAGAAGTGTCTGTTCATATCCTTTGCCCAGTTTTTGATGGGGTTGTTTGTTTTTTTCTTGTAAATTTGTTTAAGTTCTTTGTAGATTCTGGATATTAGCCCTTTGTCAGATGAGTAGATTGCAAAAATTTTCTCCCATTCTGTAGGTTGCCTGCTCACTCTGATGGTAGTTTCTTTTGCTGTGTGTAAGCTCTTTCGTTTAATTAGATCCCATTTGTCAATTTTGGCTTTTGTTGCCATTGCTCTTGGTGTTTTAGACATGAAGTCCTTGCCCATGCCTATGTTATGAATGGTGTTGCCTAGGTTTTCTTCTAGGGTTTTTATGGTTTTAGGTCTAACATTTAAATCTTTAATCCATCTTGAATTAATTTTTGTATAAGGTGTAAGGAAGGGATCCAGTTTCAGCTTTCTACATATGGCTAGCCAGTTTTCCCAGCACCATTTATTAAAAAGGGAATCCTTTCCCCATTTCTTGTTTTTGTCAGGTTTTTCAAAGATCAGATGGTTGTAGATGTGTGGTATTATTTCTGAGGGCTCTGTTCTGTTCTACTGGTCTATATCTCTGTTTTGGTACCAGTACCATGCTGTTTTGGTTACTGTAGCCTTGTAGTATAGTTTGAAGTCAGGTAGTGTGATGCCTCCAGCTTTGTTCTTTCGGCTTAGAATTGTTTTGGCTATGCGGGCTCTTTTTTGGTTCCATATGAACTTTAAAGTAGTTTTTTCCAATTCTGTGAAGAAAGTCATTGGTAGCTTGATGGGGATGGCAGCATTGAATCTATAAATTACCTTGGGCAGTATGGCCATTTTCATGATACTGATTCTTCCTATCCATGAACATGGAATGTTCTTCCATTTGTTTGTGTCGTCTTTTATTTCATTGAGCTGTGGTTTGTAGTTCTCCTTGAAGAGGTCCTTCACATCTCTTGTAAGTTGGATTCCTAGGTATTTTATTCTCTTTGCCAGCAACAGAACAAAGCTGGATGGAGAATGACTTTGACGAGTTGAGAGAAGAAGTCTTCAGATGATCAAACTACTCTGAGCTAAAGAAGAAAGTTCGAACCAATCACAAAGAAGCTAAAAACCTTGAAAAAAGATTAGACAAATGGCTAACTAGAATAACCAGTGTAGAGAAGTCCTTAAATGACTTGATAGAGCTGAAAACCATGGCACGAGAACTATGTGAGGAATGCACAAGCTTCGGTAGCCGATTCAATCAAGTGGAAGAAAGGGTATCAGTGTTTGAAGATCAAATGAATGAAATGAAGCGAGAAGAGAAGTTTAGAGAAAAAAAGAGTAAAAAGAAATGAACAAAGCCTCCAGGAAATATGGGACTATGTGAAAAGACCAAATCTACATCTGATTGGTGTACCTGAAAGTGACAGGGAGAATGGAACCAAGTTGGAAAACACTGCAGGGTATTATCCAGGAGAACTTCCCCAATCTAGCAAGGCAGGCCAACATTCAGATTCAGGAAATACAGAGAACGCCACAAAGATACTCCTCGAGAAGAGCAACTCCAAGACACATAATTATCAGATTCACCAAAGTTGAAATGAAGGAAAAATGTTAAGGGCAGCCAGAGAGAAAGGTCGGGTTACCCACAAAGAGAAGCCCATCAGACTAACAGTAGATCTCTCGGTAGAAACTCTACAAGCCAGAAGAGAGTGGGGGCCAATATTCAACATTCTTAAAGAAAAGAATTTTCAACCCAGAATTTCATATCCAGCCAAACTAAGCTTCATAAGTGAAGGAGAAATAAAATACTTTACAGACAAGCAAATGCTGAGAGATTTTGTCACCACCAGGCCTGCCCTAAAAGAGCTCCTGAAAGAAGTACTAAACATGGAAAGGAACAACTGGTTCCAGCTCCTGCAAAAACATGATAAATTGTAAAGATCATCGATGCTAGGAAGAAACTGCATCAACTAATGAGCAAAATAACCAGCTAACATCATAATGACAGGATCAAATTCACACATAACAATATGAACCTTAAATGTAAATGGGCTAAATGCTGCAATTAAAAGACACAGACTGGCAAATTGGATAAAGAGTCAAGACTCACCAGTGTGCTGTATTCAGGAGACCCATCTCACATGCAGAGACATACATAGGCTCAAAATAAAGGGATGGAAGAAGATCTACCAAGCAAATGAAGAAAAAAAAAAAAAAGGCAGGGGTTGCAATCCTGGTCTCTGATAAAACAGACTTTAAACCAACAAAAATCAAAAGAGACAGAAGGCCATTACATAATGGTAAAGGGATCAATTCAACAAGAAGAGCTAACTATCGTAATTATATATGCACCCAATACAGGAGCACCCAGATTCATAAAGCAAGTCCTTAGAGACCTACAACGAGACTTAGACTCCCACACAATAATAATGGGAGAATTTAACACCCCACTGTCAACATTAGACAGATCAACGGGACAGAAAGTTAATAAGGATATCCAGAAATTGAACTCAGCTCTGCACCAAGCAGACCTAATAGACATCTACAGAACTCTCCACCTCAAATCAACAGAATATACATTCTTCTCAGCACCACATCACACTTATTCCAAAACTGACCACATAGTTGGAAGTAAAGCACTCCTCAGCAAATGTAAAAGTACAGAAATTATAACAAACTGTCTCTCACATCACAGCACAATCAAACTAGAACTCAGGTTTAAGAAACTTACTCAAAACTACTCAACTACATGGAAACTGAACAACCTGCTCCTGAATGACTACTGGGTACATAACGAAATGAAGGCAGAAATAAAGATGTTCTTTGAAACCAATGAGAACAAAGACACAACATACGAGAATCTCTGGGACACATTTAAAGCAGTGTGTAGAGGGAAATTTATAGCACTAAATGGCCACAAGAGAAAGCAGGAAAGATCTAAAATTGACACCCTAACATCGCAATTGAAAGAACTAGAGAAGCAAGAGCAAACACATTCAAAAGCTAGCAGAAGGCAGGAAATAACTAAGATCAGAGCATAACTAAAGGAGATAGAGACACAAAAAACCCTTCAAAAAATCAATGAATCCAGGAGCTGTTTTTTTGAAGAGATCTACATGCTTTTCATAGTGAGCACACAGGTAGAAATAGTCTAAAAATTAAAGACAGATAACTATAGCCACCTTCTTATTTTTATGTATTTTTCTTTATGTATATTTATAGGAAAAAGTGAATGTAAATGCAAATAAAGAGAAAAAAGTCAGGAAATACAAATTTAAAAACTGAATGACAAAATGTAAGGAACTGATTGATGCTTGAATTCATTCAGTTCACCATGTACATTTAACAATGTGAAAACTATAGCACAGATGTTAGGGATATTGTAAAATTTTGATGTCACCCTTATGTGACATCTGTTATTTATTTATTTATGGAGACAGAATTTTGCTCTTCTCACCCAGGCTGGAATGCAATGCGATCTCGGCTCACTGCAACCTCTGCCTCCAGAGTTCAAGCGATTCTTCTGCCTCATCCTCTCGAGTACCTGGGATTACAGGCACCTACCACTATGCCCAGCTAATTTTTTTGCATTTTTAGTAGAGACGGGATTTCACCATGTTGGCCAGGCTAGTCTCGAACACCTGACCTCTGGATTCACCCGCCTCGGCCTCCCAAAGTGCTGGTATTACAGGCGTGAGCCACCGCGCATTGCCCTTATGTGATATTTGTAACAATGTAATCATAATTAAAGAAATTTGACTTCTTTACAAGTGATATACAACTTTATTTTCAGAATCAGTTATTCGCAACAGAAATTGCCAAGCAAACTGATGATAATTCTCTCACAGCCAATTTTAATATTTAGGTCATCACATTATAAAGTATAGTTAAATTACAGTATTCATAGCTTACTATAAAATTGTAATTATAACAAAAAGGAGGAATAGGTAGTTGTGGGAAAAGTGTGTATTTCATTGGTGAATGCAATAGTTTGGAATAATGCTTAAATCCATATATCATTGTCTTTGGATGGACTTTTATTCATGTTTGACTCATTGATTATTTCACATGTACAGTGGAAAATGAAACTCTTAGAGTCACTTGCCCATATAGAACTTATAATTAAGCTCTATATGGCCAGGTGGAAAGGAAGAAAACTAATAAGAAATAGTTAATTAGATATTTAATTTTGATTTTATAAGCTGTTATATGGGAGATATGCATCTCTTAGGAGATGACATTTGAGCTGAAATTGACTGAAAAAATAAAGGAGCCAGTGATGAGTAGTCAGCGTCACAGCATTCCAAGGAGGGGCACAGTTTATGCCAAAGCACTAAGGCTGGAAAGAGGGCAGTGTATAGGAATACGTGGAGCAGAGGAGAGCGGGGCTCTGTGTTTGTGGTGGGCCACATTAAGGAGTTTAGATTTTATTCTAAGTGTAATGGGAAATCACTGAAGGATTGCAGTGAGGAAAGTGAAATGTCTGATTTTTTTAAAGAATGATTCTCACTGCTGTATCTGAGGAAATAATGATGAATGACACAGCCAGTAAAAGTGCTCTGATGTTTTCTTCTTTTTCCTTATTCTACCTTCCTTATTCTCCTCCTCTAAAAATGGTAGAATTATGCTTATAGAATTGTGATGAAAGAATTGTATGGCCTTAGAATCATCTTTTAGAGCATTATATATATTAATGTATGTAAGTATGTATGTGTACATATACAATACTATAATTATATGCTATGATACATATTATTATGAAAATTTATTTTATTTTTGCTATCTGTTTGATTGAGAAAATAATGTTGTGCACATAGATTTAAGGGTCCCTTTCATAACTGCTTCAGTTTACACCGTTGGACTATGTATAGGAGTGGAATTATTGTCCTTGATCTTACTTTTTTTCTTGTTTTACAAAATACTTTTATACATGAAAATGAGCAGGCCAATCAAAGTTGGACTCTTCTCCCTGTTTGCTTCCTAGTTCTGTAACTTTAGCCAACTTAATTAACATTTCTATAAGATTTCTTAGCCTTTCCTGTAAAATAGTACCTACCTCATAAGATTTTTGTAAAGAATAAATGACATAGTGTATGTAAGGAAGTAAGGATTACCTCTAGCATATAGTATGTACTCAATAATAATGAACTCTTTTAACTTTTATTTCCCCTGTTCTATCTTTACTCCAATCAAAGCCACCTTAGTTTCTCTCTTAGTGTACTTTGTGTAGACCATAGACTTATGAGAAAAGTATGCATGTAGTATCCAGCAAGGACATAATTGAGGGAAGGCTCATGTAAATTTATAATGTAAAAAGAAACTGACTAACATTATCTGTAGTGTTCAATTTAAAAAGTATTAGAATTTGGAAGTTCATGGGCAAGGTCAGTTTGGGCAGTTTTTAAAACCACAGGAAAAATAGATTTAGTGGGTTTATTTTTTATATATATTATTCCCTGTGATTTTTTTAAAAAAATGTTTTTATTTCTGTAATATACACTTAGTTTAGCTTTACTTGCGCTACATGTATGGACTTTAACTAACTTAGAGCTATTTTGAGTAATCCTTTCCACTAAAGGTAGAGTGGTTATTGTTATTTTTATTGTTTATATTACTTGAATATTAATCAAAACTTATTGTTGTGTACCTTAAAGATAGCCTTAAACAAAGCCCTTTAACCCAGGTGGAAAAATAAAAATACAGCATGAATGAATAGCTTTGGAAAAGTATAATGTTATATTATATACCAAAATAACAATTATTTGCAAGTCCTTTAAATAAGATGAACTTTTTTTTTTTTTTTTTTTTTTTTTGAGACAGAGTCTCACTCTGTGACCCAGGCTGGAGTCCAGTGGCGCGATCTCGGCTCACTGCAAGCTCTGCCTCCCAGGTTCTCACCATTCTCCTGCCTCAGCCTCCCAAATAGCTGGGACTACAGGCACCCGCCACCATTCCTGGCTAATTTTTTTGTATTTTTATTAGAGACGGGGTTTCATCGTGTTAGCCGGGATGGTCTCCTTCTTCTGACCTTGTGATCCGCCCACCTCGGCCTCCCAAAGTGCTGGGATTACAGGCATGAGCCACCACGCCCGGCCAAGATGAACATTTTAAATGCTATTTGTATATATCCCATATTATGATTGAACTAAGTAGAATCACTTTTTACCTAATAAAATACCAGACATACTATCAGGTTCTTGATGAGAGGTAGTTCTTTCCTCACACTTTGAAGAGGACATAGGTTTTATACTAATGAACTATATTTCTTCTACTAAACAAGTATTTCGGGGCTGAATCGATCAAAATACATTTATTGACTATAAAGCCATGCCTGTGTACCACCTAAAACCATGTAATGACCAACCAATAATATCAGTTTAGGGGATAATATCAATTTGGTGAAATTATATATTCATGTAAAATAATGTAAAGTACAATAAAGAATAGGGGTTAAGATCATGGGTTCTGGAGCCAGGTACCTGGTTTGGATTTCAGTTTCTGGTTGTGACCACTTGGGAACTATGTGACCCAGAGGAAATCACATAACTGCTCTGTCTCACTTTTCCAAACATAAGATGGGAACGATACTAAAAGTGCCATATCGTAGAATTATTATAAAGATTAAATGAGTTTAATTATGTAAAACACTTCAAATAGTTATTAGTACTATGGTGATGGTCCTTTAGTCTTTACTGTCATTAAACATATTCATTTGGTTTAGTCAAGCAGAGAATATGAAGAATGGTTTATTCTCAGAATTCAGAAGGAAGAAACAAATTATGAGACATCCCTATGGCACTACTAGAATGTTAACTATCTCTTCAAGGGTAGATAAGATCCAAGTTTGCTGGGTTGTAAGAACAAAGACATGGACATGGACATGGATATTTAAAAAGTGTCTGGGATGACATGAGATTGCTGATTAAAAGATCGTTGCAAGCATTTGGTGAAAAAAGAGGTATGAAAACCAGGTTGACTAGATCCTATGGTGTGAGGAATTGAGACCTAAACAAATTGTGAGCTTCTGAGATCAGATAACTTCTATTGCATGATGGCTTGGTATCTGTTTTCACCTTGAAATTTATAATTCATGAGTTTTAGATATCTTTTCTCATGTGGAAATGATTGAGTAGATTCAAATAACTTCAACAATTTTTATGTGTTTTTAATAGTTGAAATCAATCCAGTGATGGCAGAATTTTGTGTTGAGATTTTTAAAATGTTCACCAATGTCAAGTTTCAAGATTTATTGGACACTCTAAAGACATGAAGTTATTGTCATAATGTTGACCCCTGATGGAGGCATGTGGTGCGGCTTGCAGTGTTTCTTTCACCATAACTGCAGAGTAGAGCATTTCATTGCTTTCTCCCCAGGAGTTGCTGCATTACCAGCTAGGATATCTCTAACAGCATATCATTAACCAGGCACCATCAGATCATCAAAACAAAGAAACTGCTCAAGCTGTATTATATGTTCTCACTCTGATAATAAGCATAGTGACATTATATAAAATCAAGACATCAACAACAGCAAAGAAAGCCTGGACTAATTTTCCATACTTCCAAATATTAGCTTGTTAACTTTGTTTATTCATCTGTCTTAATTTCTCTATGTCTTTCCGGGTATAGGAACAATTGGCTCCATAAAGATATGTTCACAGGTGAATGAAACAGCAAGCAGATCTCCTGCAATTTAATGATATTAAAATGAAGAGTCATTGGGCATATTAGTTCAATATTGATGGGTGAATTGCTGGGCTTTCCTTAGCTTCCTTCTTATTAATAAGCCCTGCTGGACCCTGGAGTGTCTTAGATGCTCCGTTGCAATGGTCTGTCAGCAAAAAAATACCATATAGAGTTCTTCATTTATGGTGAACTTTGTATAAACTTTAACACTGCTTAAAATTCCCAAGATTTAGTTTTGTGACTATGATTTATAGTGATATGGTCAAGATTACCTTTAGTGTAATATGTTATTGAGAAAGCATTGCTTAAAAAGTTGTAATAGAGTCTGGGCACGGTGGCTCACACCTATAATCCCACCACTTTGGGAGGCTGAGGCGGACGGGTCACCTGAGGTCAGAAGTTGGAGACCAGCCTGACCAACATGGAGAAACCCCGTCTCTACTAAAAATGCAAAATTAGCTGGGTGTGGTGGCACATGCCTGTAATCCCAGCTACTTGGGAGGCTGAGGCAGGAGAGTCACTTGAACCCAGGAGGTGGAGGTTGCAGTGAACCGAGATTGTGCCATTGCACTCCAGCCTGGGCAACAAGAGTGAAAGGCCATCTCAAAAAGAAAAATTGTAATAGAAAAGACTATCTGCCTGTTGACTCTGCTGAACCTTGCTGCCTTTTTACCCTTCTAATTAAGGGCATTTATACTGAATAATAAAGTAGCTTCTCCTTGAAGAGGGAATTGCTTGGAACTTTTGTGTCTTAATGTCAGCCTTTTCCTACCACAGTGTAGACATATTTTCCTGTTCAGATTCTTGACTATTGAGATGTTTTTCTTCTACTTCGAGCTACTCTGTGTTTCATGAGCTGTGATTACAAATGGGTCTTCCAGTTTCTTCTGGGAATCTTTATATGACCTTGAGAACATTCAGTTATTAAACTGTATCAGTTTTTAAAGGATGAATTACGTTGCCTCATTATAGGTTCTGACACTTAGTTAATTTTCCTAGGTTTTAGACCAACTATGTTGTTCTTTTTCAAAGCTTCATCACAAAAAGTTTCTTTCTTCAGGTAAAATCATCAGTATAATTAAGATTTAGCAGTAAATAAATAACCAATAAAATAGTTCAGTTAAAATTCTAAGCCTATTGTGTTGCCAACTAAGTAACCATTTTGCTGTATGAGCTAGAATAACTGATGTTATTCAAAGATATTTTCTACACTCTAGGATATCTTTCGTTTTTAAAGGAAAAGGAACTCCCAAATTTTATAAACATGTTTGCTCTCAGTTATAAGTAAAACTAAATTGAGAGATATGGTCCCATTGTGAACCATAGTGAACAACATTGGGCTTTGGAACTAGAAGGTACTGGGTACTAGCTTTTAAAATGTTTTATAACCTTGGCCGTATACTTAACCTCATTACACTTCTATGGTATGTGACTTTAGGCAGATTTCTTAACTGTTCTGAATCTCAGTTTCCTAATCCTAAAAATTATGATAAATATACATATTAAGGATGAAATAGGAATTCAGACATTTTATTTAAATAATATCTGTAAATGACTTGCTGTGTCCAACACACAAGTTTGGAACAATGAAGGATTCATCCACCCCATTTATTCAGCAGTTATTTATTTAGTTCTTCTACTACTACTACTGACAACAACAACAGTAACCTCTCTCCTATTTCTAGCACCTAAAGTAGGATTTCACACACTTTACTGTCCAACAGAATTTCTTGGGAATTTGTTTTTTAAAAATATGTATGATTTCTTAACCAAGAGACTCGGATTACATGTCAAATGAGCAAAGAAGTATCCATTTTTAACTATTAACCCAGATGACTTTGTACTGACAACCCTCAGATCTCACTTTTGGGAAACTGAATCTAAAGTAAATGACCATTTCACAGCTGTTTTCAGTTTCTGATTGAATTACAATAACAACACAGCTTTAGATATTATTTTTTGTTTCATGATACATTAAGTTTAGTCATTCAAAAATATTTATGAAATATCAACCATGTGCCGAGCGCGGTGGGTCATGTCTGTAATCCCAGCACTTTGGGAGGCAGAGGCGGGAGGATTGCTTTAGCTCGGGAGTTTGAGACCAGCCTGGGCAACATGCTGAGACCTCGTCTCTATAAAAACAAAACAACAAAACATAAACAACAACAACAAAAAACTATGTGATAGGCATTGTGTTAGGCACTAGAAAATAGTGCTCAAACAACAACAACAACAACAAAACATGATTCTTGTCTCAAAGAATGCACAATGTTGGGGAAAGACAACTAAAAAGTAATAAAACATAAAGTTTGAAGGATATTATGATAGAGGAATTATAGGATACGTTCAATCATTTGAAATTTTTGAATGTCATCCTTTTGGGTGGAGCACCGAGAGGGTTTGTGAAAAAGCTTCCCCACATAAAGTCATAGAATCTATGCATTTTGTAAAAATACTAATGTATTTTTAAAAATGAATATGGCAAATGAACTGTCCTGCCTAGCATAAGATTAAGGTCTCACTTTTCCATTTCTAGGGTATTAGCTTATGCAACTTCAGACATTTCAAAAGTTGAAAAGACTCACAAATTCAAAGAACATTCTGTAAAGTTAATTTGATGTGATTGTTCATATAGATGTTGGAAAATCAACTGCAAAAAAAAAAATGTTCACTTTCATGTGTAATGTTCTGACTCAGCAAGTGTTCTTCCAATGTGTGGCTCTAAAACAATATTAATGAGGAACTATCTTGCGTTTGCCTGGGTGTTCTTTGCAGATGTTAAGAGCCATTGGCAGATGCATGAAATTTTCTCACATTCATGTAGAATGAACATACAGTTCATAATAAAAAATCCTGGTTCATGTATCTTTGATGAAAGCTGTGACCAATTAAAAAGAAAAAAACAAAACAGACCTTAGAGATATACTGGTTATTTACATTACTTATAGAATAATTTGATACGTCTTTTGCCTTATCAGTCTTGTATTTCAAAATTTGCAATTGAATTAGTAGTGGTGGAAGTGATGGAGGGGCAATAGTACTGGAAATAATTTAACTTTTGTGGTTTATACACATACAGACAGACACACACTAAGCTTGTGACTTAAAAACTTTTGAGTAAAGAGTAAATATAACATTTACAATTGTAAACTTTTGGTATGTTATGTTCTTTTAAGGTTCTCTAATGAATGCCTTGTATAATAAATTTCTTCAGAGCTACGGATTAGCTAATAGTAAATAATATTGCAATAAAAGTTAGGAGATGACATTCTGTTTGCCTCTCATGTTTTATAATCATTTCTTCTAACATATATTTTTTGCTAGACTATAAGATTAATAGGGATACAGAAAGTGTGATAAGTCTAGCAAACTTTAAAAAATAAAGATAGAATATTTTGGGTAATTGTCACATTATTGCTGCTATGCATTTGCTATATTTCTTTTCCCATAATGATGTCAGGACACTGATTATTCATTTTGCAAAAATGATATATAGAGAAGCCGATGTTGCATGACAGAATGTTATTGTAATTAATGAATTATGTTGTGGGGAAAACAGTGCTCTGATGGTTGAAAAGGGAATTAATAACTTAATAACTGAAATTTCCATTAAACCTAAGGGTGAGTGTTCACTGTTCACAATTTTAGAGTATTTGTTAGGGACCTGGGAGAGACAAGACATTGTTATATATATGCTTTCCATTTCCAAGGAGATAGTAGTTTGGAAATGACTTTAGTTTTAAAATAGGTGTTTTCTATATTTCAGGGGAATTTAAAGTATTATTTACTTTGTACTCTACATGTACCTTGAAGAAGAATTATTTCTTATATAATAATAATAATCTGTTTAGATCTATTCCTGGATGCCTACTCCTACACATGGAATATTTTGTTATAAAATGTCCATGAATTGTTTTCTGTACATAATACAGTTAATTTTTGAAGCAGATAAAAAGATTTTGAGAATCAAGCAGCCATAATAAAAGCTACTTATATGTTATATTACTAAAGGTCGCTTGATAAAATTAAACCCAAAGGTTCTGTAGTGAAGGCCCATCTCAAAATGGAAGATAAGCCATTATTAGGATTGTTTTGGTAATACTTTAGTCTGGTCCCACAAGATCATAGCACAAAAAATCTAGTAGTTTTTGCTTCTCTTTTTGTTTGTAATCACCTAAATGTGCTTTCCAAAGTCTGACTCTCTAGAGCAAGTGTAAGCAAACCGACAGTACTGACAGGCCATGTCAATACTGATGCCTGTTCTTGTAAATAAATTTTATTGGAATACAGTCACACCTGGTTGCTATTTATTGTCTTTGGTGCTGGAGAGAAAGAGAGTTTGCAGAGGGACATAAGGAAACTTGCGAGGGAAATGGAAAGATTTGTTGTCTTGATTATGGGGACGATTTCGTGGGAGCACACATAAGCCAAAATGGATCAAATTGTTTATTTTAAATATGTGCAGTATAGTGTCCTTTACCTATAACTCCAAAAGTTGAACATTTTAAAAAAGAGCCAGAGAGATAAGATTCAGATTTTTAAAATAAAACATATAAACTACCTGCCCAAACATTTTATCATTAACTCTAATAGTGATAAAATGATCCTGTCAAATTGCTCTAAGAATTTTAACACTTTTAATGTCTGTACCAGTCTCACCAGGGATTAGTAATGAACCTTTCACTGGTAATTAGCATCCCACAATACACTCATTGAGTAGCATTGCTCTAGGAAATACAGAAGAAAGCTAAGCTAGGGTCCCTATTCCTCTTGGATAATTACAATTAGGATAACAATGAAACAGTACCATAACAGGGTAAGACAGGTAAAGTGTGGTTCCAAAGTTAGTGATTTAGGGCTTTTCAGTAGACAGTAGAATGAAATCCAGAAAGGTCTTTGGAAGCTCTCAGGCTAAGATTTAATCTCAATTTCTTTCACTTCCGTCCTCTTAGACTGTAAAAAAGTTATGAAACTGCTTAGAACCAATTTTGTTATAGAAGGAAATGACAAAAATAATATTCTCTTCATGGAGCTATTTGTATCTTTCAGAAACATGCATGTACTAGGCATTCAATAAATATTTGTTAGCTGGAATAAAGAGCCTAAAAAAAATTGCATTTCCAGGGTTGCTAAGCAACTTGCCAGAAGATAGTAGTTAGTGACTATTGCTGATCTCATCTGGTTTATGATTTCTATCTGAAGGCTGGATTTAAAACATTTGCTTATGTGAGTCATTTACTTTAACAAAGCTAACCTAGTATTATAGGCAATATTTGTAAAATTCAAAACTAGCTTCTTTTTATATGAGTATTATAATTTTCAGTTTATCTGTGTGCCATAGACAAATATTTATTTTATATAGATATACCCTCCTCTTTGCAAAAATAGAAAAATATTTCTAGAAAGTATATATATTTCTTTAGCATTTAATTGCAAAGTTCACTATTTGTTAAAGGTAATCTTTATGGTAATGTATTGTGAAAAGTGGAAACATATCCCCTAGTTTTTTTGCTTTACATTTTTATTCTAGGTTGGGGGGTACATGTGAAGGTTTGTTATACAGGTAAACTCCCGTCACAGGGCTTCGTTGTACTGATTATTTCATCACCCAGTTTTTAAACTCAGTTTGCAATAGTTACCTTTTCTGCTCCTCTCCTTCCTCCCACCCTGCACTCTCAACTAGACCCCAGTGTCTGTTGCTTTATTCTTTGTATTCATGAGTTCTCTTCATTTAGCTCCCATGTATAAGTGAAAACATGTGTTACTTGGTTTTCTTTTTCTGCATTATTTTGCTAAAGATAATAGCCTCCAGCTCTATCCATGTTTCTGCAAAAGACGTGATCTCCTTCCTTTCATGGCTGCATCGTATCGCATGGTATAAATGTACCACATTTTCTTTATTCAATTTGTCATTGATAGGCATTTAAGTTTATTCCATGTCTTTACTATTGTGACTAGTGCTGCAATGAACATTCGTGTGCCTGTGTCTGTATGATAGAATGATTTATATTTCTCTGGGTATACACCCAATAATGGGATTGCTGGGTCGAATGGTAGTTCTGCTTTTAGCTCTTTGAGGAATCACCATACTGTTTTCCACAATGGTTGAACTAATTTATACTCCCACCAACAGTGTATAAGTGTTCTCTTTTCTCCAAAAACTTGCCAGCTTATTTGTTGTCTTTGTAATAATAGCCATTCTGACTGATTTGAGATGGTATCTCTTTGTGGTTTTGATTTTCATTTCTCTAATGATTAGTGAAATTGGGCTTTTTTTTACATGCTTGTTGATCACATACATGTCTTCTTTTACAAAGTATCTGTTCATATCCTTTGTCTACTTTTTAATGAGGTTGTTTGTTTTTCTCTTGTAAATTTGTTTAAGTTCCTTATAGAAGCTGGATATTAGACCTTTGTCAGGTGCAGAGTAAGCAGATATTTTCTCCCATTCTGTAGGTTGTCTGTGTACTCTTTTGCTGTGCAGAAGCTCTTAAGTTTAATTAGATCCTTCTCGTCAATTTTTGCTTTTGTTGTCATTGCTTTTGGTGTCTTGTCATGAAATCTATGTCCATTCCTATATCCAGGATGGTATTGCCTAGGTTGTCTTCCAGGGTTTTTATAGTTTGGGATTTTACTTTTAAGTCTTTAATCCATCTTGGGTTGATTTTTGTATATGGTGTAAGATGTCCAGATTCATCTTCTGCACATGGCTAGCCAGTTATCCCAGCACCATTTATTGGTTGAATAAAGAGTCTTTTTTCCATGGCTTGGTTTTATCAGCTTTGTCAAAGATCAGGTGGTCATAGGTATGTGGCCTTATTTCTGGACTCCCTATTTTGTTCCATTGGTCCATGTGCCTATTTTTATACCAGTGCCATGCTGCTTTGGTTACTGTAGCCCTGAAGTATAGTTTGAAGTAGGGTAATATGATGCCTTCAGTTTTTTCTTTTTACGTAACATTACCTTGGCATTTGGACTATATTTTGGTTCCATATGAATTTTAAAATAGTTTTTTTTTCTAGTCCTGTGAAAAATGTCATTGGTAGTTTGATAGAAATAGCTTTCAATCTGTAAATTGCTTTGAGTGATACAGCCATTTTAATAATAGTCATTCTTCCTATACGTGAGCATGGGATTTATTTTTATTTGTTTGTCTTCTCTAATTTCTTTGAGCAATGTTTTATAATTCTTATTGTAGAGATCTTTTACTTCCCTGGTTAGCTGTATTTCTAGGTATTTTACTCTCTTTGTGGCAATTGTGAATGAGATTAACTTTCTGATTTGACTCTTGGTGTGGCTGTTGTGGTATATAGCAATGCTAGTGATTTTTGTACATTGATTTGGTATCTTAAAATGTTGCTGAAGCTGTTTATCAGCTGAAGAAACTTTTGTCCCAAGACTATGAGGGTTTCTGGATGTAGAATCATGTAATCTGCAAATAGAAATAGCTTGACTTCTTCTCTTCCTACTTAGGTGTTCTTTATTTTTTACTCTTGCCTGATTGCTCAGGTTAGGAGTCCTAATACTATGTTGAATAGAAGTGGTGAGAGAGGACATCCTGTCTTGTACCAGTTTTCAAGAGGAATGGGGAATACTTCCAGCTTTTGCCCATTTAATATAATATTGGCTGTGCATTTGTCATAGATGGCTCCTATTACTTGGAGGCATGTTCCTTCGATATAGTTTATTGAGAGTTTATAACATGAAGGAGTGTTGAGTTTTTTCAAAAGCCTTTTATGCATCCATTGAGATAATCATGTGGTTTTTGTCTTCAGTTCTGTTTATGTGATGAATCACATTTATTGATGTACATATGTAGAACCAATCTTGCATCCCAGGGGTGAAGCCCATTTAATTGTGGTGGATTAGCTCTTTTGTGTGCTGCTGGATTCGGTATGCAAGTATCTTGTCAAGAATTTTTGCATCTGTGTTCATCCAGAATATTGGCCTGAAATTTTCTTTTTTCATTTTGTCTCTGCCAGTATTTGGTATCAGGATGATGCTGGCCTCATAGACTGAGTTATAGAGGAGTCCCTCCTCTTCAATTTTTTTTTGGAATGGTTTCAGTAGGAATGGTACCAGCTCTTCTTTGTCCCTGTAGTAGAATTCAGCTGTGAGTCCATCAGGTTCTGAGCATTTTTTTGGTTGGTAGGCTATTTATTACTGATTCAATTTTGGAGCTCATTATCGGTCTGATCAGGGAATTAATTTCTTCCTGGTTCAGTCTTGAGAGGTTGCTTATGTCCAGGAATTTATCCATATCTTCTAGGTTGACTAGTTTGTGTGAATAGAGGTGTTTGTAGTAGTTTCTGATGGTTGTATTTCTGTGGGGTCACTGGTAGCATTCCTTTTCTCATTTCTAATTGTGTTTATTTGGATCTTTCTTTTCTTCTTTATTGGTCTAGCTAGCGGCCTGTCTTACTAATATTTTCAAAAACCAACTCCTGGATTCATTGATCTATTGGATATTTTTTTGTGTCTTAATTTCCTTCGGTTCAGCTCTCATTTTGGTCATTTCTTGTCTTCTGCTACCTTTGAGTTTGGTTTGTTTTGCTTCTGTAATTCTTCCAGTTTTGATGTTAGGTTGTTAATTTGAGATCTTTCTAACTTTTTGATGTGGGCATTTAATGCTATGAATTTCCCCTTAACACTGTCTTAGCTGGATCCCAGAGATTCTGGTGCATTGTATCTTTGTTCTCATTAGCATCAAAGAACTTCTTGATTTCTGCCTTAACTTTATTTACCCAAAACTCATTCAGGAACATGTTGTTTGATTTTCATGTAATTGCATGATTTTAAGCAATGTGTTTTTCAGTCTTCTCTTTTTTTTGCACTATGGTCCGAGACTGTGTTTGGTATGATTGCAGTTCTTTTACATTTGCTGTGGATTGTTTTATATCAAATTATGTGGCTGATTTTAGATTATGTGCCGTATGGTGATGAGAAGAGTATATATTCTGTTGTTTTGGGGTGGAGAGTCCGGTAGAGGTCTATTAGATCTATTTGGTCCAATAGTGAGTTCGGGTCCTGAATATCTTTGTTAATTTTCTGCCTTGACAATCTCTCTAATACTGTCATTGGAGTGTTAAAATTTCTTATCATTATTTTGTGGGAGTCTATTTCTCTTTTTATGTCTCTAAGAACTTGTTTTAGGTATCTGGGTTCTCCTGTGTTGGGTGCATATATATTTAGGATAGTTAGGTCTTCTTGTTGAATTGGACTCTTTACTATTATATAATGTACTTCTTTATGTTTTTTTTTATTTTTTGTTGGTTTGAAGTCTATTTTGTCTGAAATTAGGATTGCAACCCTCTGCTTTTTTCTGTTTTCCATTTGCATGGTGGATTTTCCTCCATTCCTTTATTTTGAGCCTATGGGTGTCATCATGTGTGAGATGACTCTCTTGAAGACAGCATACCACTGGGGCTTGCTTTCTTATGCAGTTACCACTCTGTGCCTTTTAATTGGGAGCATTTAGCTCATTTACATTCAGGATTAGTATTGTTATATGTGGATTTGAGTCTGTCATGGTGTTGTTAGCTGGTTATTATGTTGGCTTCTCGGGTTGCTTTATAGTGACAATGGTCTGTGTGTTTATGCAAGTTTTTGTATAAACATGCTGATAGTAGTTTTCCTTTCTATATTTACTGCTGATAGTAGTCTTCCTTTCTATATTTACTGCTTTTTTAAGGATCTTTTATAAGGCAGGTCTGGTATTACTGAACTCCCTCAACATTTGCTTACCTGAAAAAAGATCTTATTTTCCTTTTGCTTAGGAAGCTTAGTTTGGCTGGATATGAAATTGTTGGTTGCATATTTTTTTCTTCAAGAATGCTGAATATAGGCCCCCAATCTCTTTTTGCTTGTAGAGTCTCAGCTGAGAGGTCCACTATTAGCCTTATAGGCTTCCCTTTGCAGCTAACCTGCCCTTTCTCTCTAGCTGCCTTTAACGTTCTTTCTTTCATTTCAACCTTGGAAAATCTGACAATTATGTGTGTTGGGGATGATCTTCTTGTGTAGACTCTTGCAGGAGTTTTCTGTGTTTCCTGAATCTGACTGTTGGGCTCTATAGCAAGGCTGGAGACGTTTTCATGAATGATATTCTGAAATATGTTTTCCAAGTTGTTTGCTTTCTCCCCCTCCTTTTCAGGGATGCCAGTTATTCATATATTTAGCCTCTTTACATAATCCCATATTTCTTGGAGGTTTTGTTTGCTCCGTTTTATTATTATTTTTTCCTTAAATTTTGGTCTGTCTTATTTCAGAGAGCCAGTCTTCAAGTTCTGAGATTCTTTCCTCAGCTTGGTTTATTCTGCTAATACTTGTGATTGCATTGTGAAATTCTTGTATTTTGTCATTAAGCTTTATCAGATCCATTAGCTTCTTTTTTATATCAGCTATTTCATCCTTCAGTTCCTGCATCACTTTATTGTGATTCTGAGTTTCTTTGGATTGGGTTTTGCTGTCCTCCTAAATCTCAATGATCTTTGTTTCTATACGTATTCCAAATTCTATTTCTGTCATTTCAGGCAGCTAGCCTGCTTATGAACTCTTGTTGCAAAATTGGTGTGGTCAGTTGGAAGACATAGGACACTCAGGTTATTTGAGTTACAGGAGTTCTTGCATTAGTTCTTTCTCATCTGTGCATGTGAGTCTTCCCTTAATTGCATTGTAGATGGAGTACAGTCAGTAGACTTATTTGTTTGGTGTTTTCTCTGGGCTGAGGCTTTGTGCAGGGTCTTTATTTGAAGCTGCTTTCTTGTCTCTGGTTTCAGAGGGTGGTATGTTAGTGAGGTAATTTTGAGGTTGAAGCTTTGGGGTATGCTCCAGTAGGTGGCATTTAGGTGTACTGGTCAGTTGGTAGACTCTTGCTCAGTTGTGTGGCTCCCCTGTGTTTCCTCACAGTTGCAGACCTGTTCCCTCTCAATACTCTTGAAAGTGAGAGTTCCTCTCCCTCTTGAATGCTGGCTGTGAATCATGGCTTGGCACTTCTGGGATGTCCACTGCAGCTCTGGGGCAATCTCAGTGTTTATGTTCCTTCCCCAACTTTGTGGCAGCAGACGAAGGGACCCTAGTAGTAGTTGTGGCCAAGAGTTTTTGCTTGTCTTCTGGGGGCTCCACCCCAAAGAGATGCAGGTCAGCAATCATCCAGTGCAATCAACCCAAGATGGAAGGTCTGTGTTATTGGCCCCAGCCAGGGGTTCCCTATTTGGTGATGAGCAGCAGGGTGTGTGTGGGACCCATGGGAGATTGACTGGCCTCTTCTACTTGTTGACTGGAGCTTGTTAGAGGTGTGGTAAGGCATTTAGGGTCTTTGCTCCTTCAGTAGTCCAAGAATAGCAAAGTCAGTTCCACTGCAGAGGCAGTGGCAGAGAGACTTTCAGTTGCCCCTGGAGGCTCTGCCCAGGGAGTTGCTGAGTTGCTAATGGCCCGATAGCTCTGGCAGGGGGTAACTGGAGGCCCAGGCCTGGGGGATCTGTCCAGTGAGGAGATGTAGGAACAGGCACCCACCTAACAGTCTGGCCACTTTTCCTTAGGGCTGCTGCGGTATGCTAGGCACTCACTCCAGTCCCTAGTCACCTTGGATTTTCTAGTACCTGGAGGTATCACCAGTGAAGGCTGTGAAACAGCAAAGATGAGGGCCTGCTCCTCCCTCTAGGAGCTTCATCCCAGGGAGGCATGAACATGTTGTCAGCCTGAACCCACCTGTAGGAGGTGGTAGAGACCCCGATTAGGAGGTCCCACCCAGTGACAGGGAACAGGATCAGGCACCTACTTTAAAAAGCAGCCTGGATGTGTTGTCATAGAGCAGCTGTGCTGTGCTGGGGAATTCCTTCTGCCCCTGGTCAGCTTGAACTCTCCAAAAGCCAAAGGCTGTAATGGCTAAGTAGCCCAAATAGCAAAGATGTTGGCCCACCCCTCCCCCGGGAGCTCTGTCTCAGGGAGGTACAATGCTGCTACCAGTGGCTAGCTGGAATTCCAAGCCAGTCTTATCCTGTGAGGTGCCATGGAAGTATGGCCTGCAGACTGTCACTGCTTAGCATCCTGGATTCAGCTTCTTTCCTAGGGGTATGAGGATCTAACCCCCTGTTTTGTCATGGTTGCAGATTCTTTTGCCAGGAAGCCTAGGAAGCTCAGGTATCTAAGGCTCCCAGGTCTTAGCCTGTGCCTGAGTGGCTGCTCTGCCAAGACTCCACATAGCTCTGTGTGTCAGACTGAAGACCCTGGTGGAGTGGGCTCACGAGGGGATCTCCTCACCTGGGGGTTGCAAATATCCATGAGAGAAGCATGGGTTCCCAGGGGTCACACATTCTGTCACCACTTCCCTGGGCAGGGAGTTTCCACTGGCTCCATGTCACTCCCCAGTGGGCCATCATCCTGCCTTAAGTTTCTTTGTTCTCTGTGGGTTGAGTTGTTTCCTTGATTAGTCCTTGATGAGTACTGGATGTTTCAGTTGAAGGTGCCGTATTTACTTGCCCCTTCAGTTCTTCTGGGTGAGAGGCAGCACACTAGCTGCTTCTAGTCAGCCATCTTGGCTACCCCCTCCCCATCTAGGTTTTAGATTTCTACAAAGCAATAATCTGAAAAGATCATGCAGTGCTTACAAACAATAGGTGTAAATGGTTGTCTGTATTTCTCCATTTGTGGAAAAAGAGGTATACCAGAATTAATGAGAAACCGTGTACCAGGCTCTGAGCCAAGCACTTTTTCAAACATAATCAAATTTAATCCTTATAACTATTGTACAAGGTTAGTACTGGTATCACTACTTGACAGATAAAGAAACTGAGGCTTATGAAGCCCCTTTTGCACTAGGGATGATAACTGGAGAAGCAAATATTTTCACTCAGGCCTGGTTGATGCATATTTTCTGCTCTTCTGTGATACTGCATTGCCTATTATCTGAGATTTGGCCTACATTTAAAATTCTAATCTTGAATCCCTGGGGCAAAAATTTGACAGCAAAATGAGTTATAGCACCTTTGGAAAGCAAAAGCTTGAGCTACCCAAATTTCCTGGATTCCCTGAGGTTTTCCAAAGATATTCTTTAATAGAATTCTCAAACGTTTTGAGCACTTGTATCCCAGACTTCAAGATTGAATAAATGACATTTGAACGTGGCTTGGTTCTATAAGTAATTGGGAAACCTATATTAAAATTCCTAGAATTTGTGGCCTAGAAATCACTTAGAAGAATGGAATTGGAGAGGTCCCTTGAAGACTCCCTTTTACTCTCAAAATATTCTTCAGAAGGGCTGGGCAAGGTGGCTCACGCCTGTAATCCCAGCACTCTGGGAGGCTGAGGCGGGCAGATCGTGAAGTCAGGAGATCAAGACCATCCTGGCTAACACGGTGAAACCAGTCTCTACTAAAAATACAAAATATTAGCCAGGTGTGGTGGCATGCACCTGCGGTCCCAGCTGATTGGGAGGCTGAGGCAGGAGAATCACTTGAACCCAGGAGGTGGAGGTTGCAGTGAGCTGAGATCCTGCCACTGTACTCCAGCCTGCGCAACAGTGAGACTCTGCCTCAAAAAAAAAAAAAAAAAAAAAAAAAAAATTATTCAGAATGAGACAGAAAAAATGTGACCTAATTCTGTGACTATTCCTCTTGTTTATTTCTCTATATATTTCTCCAATTCTTGCCAAGTTTCCTAAGCCTATCAAGAATTTGAGCTCCTAGGTACTTCTTTTACTTAATATTTCTCAATGGAATGCGTTTTTTATAAAAACTAGTTAAATATAATATACATTAGGTCTTTATTTACATTAGGCCAATGTATGTTTGGTCTAGTGTAAATAAAGTATTTCACAAAAATTCAGTAATAGAATCTATGGTAAAGATGGCAGATTTTGGAGTCACGCTACCTAGACTTGAATCCTGTTTTCCTAGTTGTATAACTTTGGCCAAAGTGTAATGTTTATGTCATTCTGTTTTCTTTTAGTTAAACAGGGAATATGATGTCGCCTATCTCATATAGGATTACTTTGAGAATTATATGAGGCAATACTTTTAAAGTCACTTAGAACAGTGCATGTTATAGTATCAAGTAAGTTCTGAATGTATTTTCTTTTATTAATCATTTTTATTTATACATAGTTGAAACATTTTTGTGATTCTGTTTTCACAAAATAATAAAGAGTGAAGGAAGATGGAAGTGTATTATGAAGAAAGGAGGGAGGAAAAGAGAAAGGGAGGGAAGAACGGAGAAAGAGAGAATGTGGAAAGGTAGATGTGAAGTAGGAAGATCAATTAGGAGTATACTTAGGTCTCTGACAGTTCTAACGTGTTTAAATACACAGTGAAAACTCTGCATACTCTCTTGCAATTCTTATATTCATTTATATTGAACATATGAACATTTCTATTTTATATTCATTTATATTGAACACATGAATATTTCTTAGGCAGTTGCTTTGCTACTGTAGCTCACAGACTTAATAAAGGAATCTGCTACTTGCTAACAAAAATAAACATTCAAAAGTTGTGAAGCTAGAACCGTCACTTAGTAACCCTTCACCTCAGCTCAAAGCCATATAAAATCCTTGATATATAACTGTGCTTAATTGCGTTGTGCTCAGTTAGAGCATCATAACTTATCTATAGTGCATTTATCTCTAGGAGGGTCAAATGTATAATTTTGCTGCCACATGATACTGATTTTTCTATATTATAGTTATTCTGGTCAGGTTGTAGGTTAAAAGCAACTCTCAGCATTGTCTTCTTTCAAATGCAACATGAGTGGGTTTTTTTGTTTGTTTGTTTTTTGTTTTTTTCTTTTTTGCACAAGATTACATGTTCAGTTATCCCAACCCTTGCAAAGGAAAATTTATAAGCCTTCCTGGAAAAGCAGAGCTGAAGATTGCTGTTTTATGGTTTCACTTTGATCAAATTTATAGGCATAATCTGAATATGACCTTTTTCTAAGATTAACAGTTCCTTCCTTAAGTGCTGACCATGGTTAGGAATGGTAGTATTGTAATTTGAATTTTTAAAAATTCCCTGGAAAGTACTATTCTTTTCAAGACATAAGAAGAATGTGGGACTCTCAGTGAAAATGGAATTTAGGAATGATGCTAATAGTTCTTCTTTATAAATTTATTATTCTTGGGAAAAAAAACACTGATAACTTTTAAGAAATCTTTTATTTTTTTTCTTTGGTCTTCTAGTATACAGGTTTTAAAAAAAAATCCACATGAATAGTGATATATATACAGACACACACACACACATACTGACACATATACACACACATACACATATGTGCACACATTCTTCTGTATGTACATATTCTGTTGTCAGTGGTGTCTAAATTATTATAATTATTATTTCAAAGACTTGCACTGAGCTTTATTTTCTAATAACAAATATATTTTATTTTGGTAAACTTGCTGCCATTTTAGTAACTAATATTTAATTTTGCTGTATACCTACATAGATGTAAATATAGTTATGAACTGCTATTTTTAACATTTTATATAATTATATTTAATTAGACATGTAACACCTTTGACACGAAACTTGACATATTGTTAATTTTTGCCAGTTAAACCCGTAACTAAATTTAATTCTTTAAAATACAAAATGTTTCCTGAAATGTCATTAGGGCATTCTTACACATAAATATATTCATGGAGGCCCATATAGAACTTATTTATTTATTTATTTATTTATTTATTTTTGAGATGGAGTCTTGCTCTGTCGCCCAGACTGGAGTGCATTGGCTTGATCTCCGCTCACTGCAACTTCCACCTCCCGGGTTGAAGCAGTTCTCTTGCCTCAGCCTCCCTAGTAGCTGGGACTATAGGCGTGTGCCACCAAACCCGGCTAATTTTTGTAATTTTAGTAGAGACGGGGTTTCACCATGTTGGCCAGGCTGGTCTTGAACTCCTGACCTCAGGTGATCCACCCGCCTCGGCCTCTCAAAGTGCTGGGATTACAGGCGTGAGCCACCACGCCTGGCAAGAATTTATTTTTTTATGAATGTTGAATTTATCAGATGTCACTAAAGATAACTTTTGTCTGGTACTTTATTGTGACTATTACTACTTAACCAATCTTCCTAAAACTGAGTGTCACAACACAGTCATTTTATTATCTTTCATGGCTTCTATGGGACAGGAATTTGGACACAGAACAATAAAGATGGCTTTTCTTTCTTCCATGATGTCAGGGGTCTCTTCTGGGAAGATTTGATGGCTGTGGTGACTCAAAAACTGGGGGCTGGAATCATCTAGGGCTGTCTGCACTGATGTATTTGTCCATTGATACTGGTTTTAGACTGAGTCCTCATCTGGACTGTCAGTTGAAACACTTACTGTCTTAGTTCTTTCAGGCTGCTATAAGAAAATATGATAGACTGGGTGACTTATAAACAACAGAAATTTTATTTCTCCCAATTCTGGAGGCAGGGAAGTCCAAGATCAAGGTGCTGGTGAATTTGATGTCTGGTGAAGGCCCACTTCCTCATACACAGTTGTCTTCTCACTCTAGCCTCACATGGCAGAAGAGAAAGGGGTCTCTCTGGTGCTTCTTTTATAAAGACACAAATTCCTTTTATGAGTTCTCTACCCTCTTGACCTAATCATCTCCCAAAGATCCCACCCTCTTGACCTAGTCATTCCCCAAAGATCCTACCTCCTACTACCATCACCCTGGGGGTGATTATTTCAGCATAGGAATTTGGGGGAAACATAAACATTCAGGCCATAGCTCTTACCCATAGCCCTTCAAATGGGCTTTCTCACAACACCCAGTAGGGTTTCAGGTGCAAGTGTCCCCAGAAAGCCAATTGGAATCTATTTTACCTGTTACGACCTAGCCTCGAAAGTCACATAATATCACTTCTGCCATGGTTGCAAGCCTGCCCAGTTCCAAGGGGTGGGGAGGGTTGTCCCTGATACCATCTCTTAGTAGGTAGAGTGTCAAAGTCACACAGTGTAATGGGGGATATTGTTGCAGCCATCATTGAAAAATATAATTTTTTATATTGGTGTAAAAAAAACAAATTCAGTAATCAGCTATTATTGGCTTTTAATATATTTCACACTACATTGACTTTAGTTCCATCTGCAACCTCAGAATTTGGACCAGGACCAACATCACAAATGAGCCATACTATAAACACGGAACACCATTGCACTATGCCCTTTACAAAGGAATGTTAGTATAATCTTACAATTCACTGCAGAGAAATGATCAGTGTTCTGTCCTTTTAGGACATGGCCAAAGAAAACAAACAAAGTTACCCTTAGCTACAGTAGCTAAACATTCAACAACAGAATATGTCTTCACTGCTATTCGGAAGAAGAAGTGTGGAGCAAGAGTAATACTAATATGTGCCAAATAATAGCATATTGAGATAACTATCCATTCCCAGATTCTCTGTGCTCCTTTTTGTGCACTGGTCTTGAGCAGCAGTTCTCAAGATTGTTATCCATTGTCTATTTGCATTGGAACCATTGAGGGCAGGTCTAAGCAAACTACAGCCAGCAGATCAAATCCAGCCTGGTCAGTTTTTTATGACCCGGTTTGCTAAGTATTGGTTTCCTATTTTTAAAGGAGTACAAAAAACAATCAATGACAACAAAATAAAAATAAGAGACAGAGAATACCAAAGTTTAAAATATCTACTATCTGTCCCTTTACAGAGAAACTTTGGTCGCCCCCAGATCTTACATACTTGATGAAAGTGTAGAGTCCTTGGTTTTACCAAGGACTCTACAAACCTACTGAATATGAATTGAGAGTAGGGAGTAGATTTTGGGAATCTGCATCTCTGAAGAGTTCCCAAAAGTTTTATAATACCTGGTATATCTTGAGAATCACAAATTTTGGTTGTCCACAAATCCTTGGAAATATGCTTGGTTTGACTAATTTGACCAATGCATTGATTTTCATTGTTATACTTTGCTGTGTAAAACATACATATACATGATTCTATTCATCACAGTAGATTTTGTGTCATAGCCAAAAAACAATGAGTTGATAATCAAGTGAGCACTATTTTTCTAAAAAAGCTAGGATCCTTTTTAAATCTGGGCTTTGATACTTTTGAAATGTTTTTGAACTATATATGGTGTTCTTGAAGAGTTCAAAGCCTTTTTTTAAAATAGTCATCCTAGAAAATTATTCCCCCAAATAGTAAGGTTGTGCACAACTTTGTTTTAATTGTCAATAATTTGAAACAATTTTAGCATGCCACTATAAAAGGCTAGTCAAACAATTCATATTTGTAATATGACATACTTAGCATCATAAAAGTAGCATTTTACAAAAATAATAAAATAGAAATATGGTCAAACTGAAAATTAAGGAGCTTACAAAATAATTTGTAATTTAATTTCATTTGAATCAAATAGCTATTAACATTTGTATGTTTATATCTATCTCTTTATTCATCTATGTATCTAGCTATTTATCTCTTTTCCTCTCTACTTGTCTCTTTAGATAAAGGATGGAAGGACAGAGAAAAAGATAAAGGACAGAAGGATGTGCTGGTGTCATTAGCAAACATGCCAATCTGTATTTTTCACATTTCTATTTCTGTAATAAAGAAAAATAATTTTACATAAAAAGAGAATAATGCTTAAAATTTCAAATTACATCATTTCCTGCAATGAAGACCTATACAACCCTATTTTAGTTAGAAAGTATTCCATACTTCATATTTGGAATAATACCTTCATGAGTCATGTTAAGTTGGGATGTAAATGTAGCAAAAATACCTTCATGAGTCATGTTAAGTTGAGACGTGAATGTAATTCTCAGGAGGCAAGAATAAATCGTTAGCTTTTTCCATTAGAACAGCAAACTAGGGACAGCCTTCTAAATGATATGGTAAGAAAGAACCTGCAAGCTCACATTATGAACAAATATGCTGACAGATACGACTCAACTAAAATGATCAAAAAAAGAGAAAATAGGCGGAGTGAATTTATTATCTCCAAAGTATAGAGAGGTTATGCTTGAAAGGGTATTTTATGCTGATCCTAATCTGTGTTCTCCTTCCCTTCTTTCTCTAAATCTTTTTAATTTTAATTGATAGTAGATGGTGAGGCAATATATGTTTAGGTAAAGTTAATATAAAGAGTTCAGGTAATAAAACAAAAGTTGTGCCTAAGTGCTTTTATATTCTTTTTACTTGTCGATAGACGCCTTCAACTTTAAATGTTGTAATCAATATAACTTTGTGTTGCATCATCCTTCCTGCAATATGTCTAGCAAAATACTTCAAAATATTTTACAAATACTTGCTGGTTAAATGTTATTTTTCTATTATTACCCCCACTCTGTTCTTACTGCCATAATTTCTCTTTCCTTAAAACCACTAGTGATGTCCTGTATTATTCAACATTGATTTATAGCCTTGGTCTGTTATTATTCCCCTATATCAAACCCTTTATTCCAAGCATACCAAGCTCTTCAGTTTTCTAAACCTAAGATAATTTTGTGTTACTCTATGCCTCTGAACATGCTTTTTCTCTTATCTCTGTTGCCTTCCCCTGTCTAATTCATTAGGCAAACTCTTATTCATTTCCAAGGCCAAAGATCAAACACTTGTTCTGTAAAATTTTATTTGCTACATACTACATCTTTGGTACAACTAAATCTCCAGACCCGTCAGATCCTAATTTGTGATACCACTATGGTAATCTGTTCATCTTTCTAACATAGTTCTTATCATATTACATTGCACTAATTTTCTCTATGACACTTAAAGTAGGTTGTCTTATATTTTAATCTTCAGCACTCAGCACTTAGTAAATATCCAATACATATTTGTCTCACAGATGAATCTCTGTTCCCCTTCGTGACTCTTTTAACATTAAGCATTCTGGCCTAATTATATAATTCTCAGACTGCAGCTCAAATCAATTGCTTATTTTCCCCACTTTAGACAGGATTTGCCTGTGATAGCAATTTTCCTATAACCTCAGAGATAATTGAATAAAGAAGAAAGCCAGGGGTGTTTGGTCCTAAATATTGAGTTCAGTAGGCACATCTATTGTGATTGCTTTTACTCTGAGCCACACACTACTAGAAAATGGACCATGACCTCAGTCTATTGAGGAAGGCAGACAGGCACAGATAATAGAGGGGAATATTGGACTGAAACATGGTAATGGGAAGACACGTAAGGAGGTTGCTGACGTGGTTGTGTTTGTAACCCATGGAAATTAATGTACTAAATTGGAGTCTATGGTGTTGCTTTTAAAAGTGATAACAGTCTGTACTAAAGATGGATTTATATCTGGGTATAAGGAAGCCTGCATGACATTAGGTTTGGATGATGAGTAGGGCAACCATATGTCACTGATTGCTGGGTACTGTCCCTGCATTTACACTTGTAGGTCAAATGAATATTTTTGATCATTTTAGTGCCCTCCTCTTTCACTCTCAGTAGTGTCCCAGTGAGGATGGTAGATTATACATCATATTAGAAATGAGCTATCTCCTTAGGGGAAATTAGTGATGGGATAATGGTAGGAGGCAATATTCTTTGAGGGCTGCTAAATATATTTTCACATTTAATCCTTACAACAACCCTGTGGGAAGTTACTATTATTATAAGAATCCCAGGTTTACAGAAGAAGAAATTGAGACACAGGAAGGTCTAGAAATGTGCCCAAGTCATATGATTAATAAGCATAAAAGGCAAGTTTAAAATGAGGTCTTGTTTCAGAACTTATAACCTCAACTGCTTTGCTACATGGGCTCCTGGTTAAAACCATTTTATTCAGGAAGCAAAAACCAGGTTACTTAGGACCCAATCTTTCTTGCCTCCCCTCCCCTCCCCTCCCCTCCCCTCCCCTCCCCTCCCCTCCCCTCCCCTCCTCTTTCCCCTTCCTTCCAGTAAATCATTATTAAATACCTACTACGTGTCAGGCATAGTCCTAGGCACTAGACTACACCAGTAAACAAAACAAAATCCCTGCTCTTATGGAGTTCAAATAAATCTCAGGAGGTGGATATTTAAGATGTGTTTTCATGGTGTCCCCTTACAGATATTTTGATGGAAGTCATTGTTGCCTCCTTTGTATAATATGAAACAATAACAATAAATTTGGCTGGGTAGGTAGAGTGGGAGGATGCAGCCATGAATATATACACAGATAGTTGATGCACGGTGTCTATTCCCTTGGGCTGTGGCTGACTAGACATTCATATAATTCAGGAAACATTTATCAAGTGCCTACTGTGTGCCACACTCTGTTGCAAGCTTTTCCCCGGAGCAGGTTACCACATGACTCCCAGAACAGCAAGAAAGGAGGTGCGTGACTACTCCATATTTCTATTGTTTCTCATGGAATTAATCACTTTTTAATTGTTTTTTTTTCTCATCTAAAACCAAACACATACAGAAACACACATGACATACACTCCGTTCTCTGTCCTCAGTGGCTAGATTTCAGGGAAGTTAAGGCACTTGAAGCTAAATAAGTAAGCCTTTTACTCTCTAATATAATGTGTTTAACAGAAAAACTTCCAGGTACATTTTAATGCCACCGTTCCTTGGAGTCTATTTAGATACGACTTTGGCATGTTCTACCTGGGGATTTGACCCCATTAGTGATGGCCCTATTTGCAATATTCCTTCTGGCACATCCACTGAAGGGGATCAAGCCCACTGCCCTAATCAGGCAACTTGAATACTGACAAAACAAATCAATAAGCTCACTGGAGAATTTTACTGAGCCTGGCATCAAATGTTTGGGGTATTTTAATTTCTAAAAAAATTCCACCCCTTTTACATTTAAACCATCTGAGAAATGTTATGCAGATGTAACTTGAATGCAACTGTTTGTAGCTCCATTAAAGGTTAAATTTGCATAAAAATTAAGTTATTAAATGAAAACTGTACTGCATTGAGGGTGCATTATACTGTGATTGACAAAACTCAATTTTGTAGACTGACAGTGAGACTTAGATACATTTAGATAATACAGGGAAATAAACCTCAGGATATCCTATGAAAAAGAATAAAATAGTTGAGGAGGTAGAGCCATTTGGATGCTAACACTTTGGCCAAAGTTAGATAAAAGAGTATATTGTATGTGTTTACAGTGAGACATATTTGCTGGTATTTTTGTTCTTTTGGTGCAATGGGATATAATTTGGTATACTCAGTAAACAATCTTCTGAATGGAATTTAAGGACCATTAAAATGCAGATCCAACAACACGATAGAGAATGTTAAATAATGTGAACATGGAGAGTAGCCTAGTCAAATGGGAATGGGAACATTCGATGACCTGAGAGGTTTGCTGTTATTCTTCTGTCAGGGGAACCTATGCTGGCTAAAAGACCTTGTAAGAGAAGTTCATAAAACATTCATACATGTAATTAAAGCTTCTCTAACTTAAGAGCTAGGGCATGCATCTTCTGGATAATTCACTTAATTTGCAGTTTTAATTGTGGTTAGTGTAGATTTCTGAAATTTCTACATCCGTTAACAACAATATATTATTTTTTAAAGTCTCCTTATAAAAATGCTTCATGAATCTAAAATGTAATTCAGAGTAAAATTCATTACCTTTAGGAAACGTAATTGAAAACATTTTCTCTTACTCCAAGAAAGATTGAAATGGCTATCCAAGTAATGAAAATGGTACAATGAAAAATTACGGCCTCCACAGGCCATCAGTTACGGCATCGTCTTCTACTTATACATAAACTTTTCTTGAAATACAACTACAAATATAATTCACGACGCATTTTCAAAGTTGGCAAGTGTACCATATCAGGAGATTCTACCAATTTCCATAGTTATTTTAAAAACAATTTCTTTCACATTCAGTGCAAAATAAAATAAGTTCAGAGAAGTTTCACAGACTGATTTTCTGGGGTTCCTCAGGGCATCTCAGTGTTTTAAAACAACAAATACCTGTTTGGATATTCTCTTCAAGTTTTTCCTTAAATTTTGGAAAGCAGTGAAAGGTTTTAGGATCTAAGAAGAATTTACTTAATGATCAGCTAATAAGGATCAGGAATTTACTTAAAGATTATCACAAATGATGATACCTCTCAAATAGAGACACTGGCAGAACAATGCTTGTCTG